>NC_000017.11:58185980-59435980 GCF_000001405.40 Homo sapiens | reverse complement strand
GAACCCGGGAGGAGGAGCTTGCAGCAAGCCAAGATCGCGCCACTGCACTCCAGCTTGGGTGACAGAGTGAGACTCCGTCTCAAAAAAAAAAAAAAAAAAAAAGTCGAATGGTTGTTGCCAGGGTCTGGAGGTAGGGGGTGATGGGGAGTTATTGTTTAACGGGTACAGAGTTTCCGTTTGGGAAGATGAAAACACTAGAGGTGATGTAGTGATGAATGCACAACAGTGTGAATGTCTTTAATGCCACTGAACTGCACGCTTAAAAATGGTTAAAATGGTAAATGTATGTTATGCACATTTTGCCACAATAGGAAAAAAAAAAAAGAACGAATCTTTTACTCATCAGCCAGAGAGCAAGTCCTGTATTTAAATGGATCACAACATCGTGGGCTCTGTGGAGATTTCTTAGAAATGTTCAGTAGAGTAGAAAGGGTTTAGCCCCTGATTGAGTTTGCTTTTGGACATAAATTAGTAATCATAGAGGCTGACAAACTGATTACTCATAAATCAGTCACGCAAAACAAAACACAGATTGCAACACAGTACCCTAAGTTTTACCAACTAGGCAGTTTTCCTATCTTGTAGATCAGGACTTTTCAGACTTGAATGTGCATGGGAATCACCCAGGCATCTTGTTTAAAATGCAGATTTGGATTCAGTATGTTTGGGGTGGAGCTTCAGATTTCTGTCTGTACAACCAGTTCCCAGGGGATGCTGATTCTATTGGTCCAGGGACCCAGTTTCAAGTAGCAAGAGTGTAGACCTCTCTGTAATTAAGATTCCTTTCTTTGCTCATTTGGCAAGAAAAAAAAGGTTCCTGTCCACACCTTGGAGGTAACAGCCTCCTCATGAAAATCGAACACAGGCATCTCCAGATTTAGATGGAAGAAAAGTCTGTGGGAGATAGGAATTATTCCTGGGATCCTCTCATTTTGCTACTTACTGCCATCAAAAGTCAGGTTTCAGGGATCAACTCCATCTTTTTCTCCACCCAACCATGGACATACTGTAAATAAATCCCTTGCACTTATTCTCTTTGGGTATAGACCAGATCAGCTGCAATTTCAGAAAGAAAGAGAGAGAGAGAGAGGGAGAGAGAGAGAGGGAGGGAGGGAGGGGAGGAAGGATCAGCTGCAATTTCAGAAAGAAAGGAAGAAAGAAAAAGAAAGGGGGAGAGAGAGAAAAAAAGAAAAAGAAAGGAAGGAAGGAAAAGAGAGAGAGAGAATGGGAAATAAGAAAAATATGAGAAGCAAACGACTTCCTTTGAAGTGCTCTAACATAATCATTCAGCATCTCCTCATTGCTTTTAGGCTCAAGCTCCGAATCCTTAGAAGGGCTTCTGGGGTCTGATGAGGTCCCTGCCCACCCAGCTCATCTCTCACTCTTCCCCTGCTTGTACTCTGTGTTCAGCCATATTGAATTCTTTTCTTTTCTTTTTTTTTTTTTTTTTTTTTTACAGTTGCTGTCTCCTTGATCTGGAAGCTTGTCCCTCCTTGTAACACCTGGCAGGCATTGTCTCTTCTGGAAAGACTTTACGCCACTGCCCTCTTTTGCTGCCCTTTGAGTTGGGTTGTCTTTCTCTGTCTTCATTTGCACACTGTGCTTACCTCTGGCACAGCACTTCTCAGTATATTTCCATTGTATTCCCCTGTCTATGTCCCCCCTGAACTGTGAGCTCCTTGAGGGATGGAAAGATGTCAAAAGGCTGACAAACTCAGTGTCTCGAACATATGAGGTGCTCAACGTTGAAAGAATGGGCAAATGAAAAAGAACTGTAACATTGTGTGACATTTGAAGAAGACATTGCTGGCCCGGCGCAGTGGCTCACGCCTGTAATCCCAGCACTTTGGGAGGCTGAGGCAGGTGGATCACTTGAGGTCAGGAGTTTGAGACTAGCCTGGCCAACATAGCAAAAACCCGTGTCTACTAAAAATACAGAAAATTATTGCTTGAACCTGGGAGGCAGAGGTTGCAGTGAGCCAAGGTCACTGCACTCCAGTCTGGGCAACAGAATGGAAGGAGTAAGAAAGAGGAGGAGGAGGAGGAGGAGGAAGGAGAAGAAGAAGAAGGAGGAGAGGGGAAAGGAGGAGGGAGGGGGGAGGCGGAGGGGAGAAAGGGGAGGAAGAAATTGCTTAGTTCCTAAAACACCATGATGTTGCCCTCAGAATGACTTTTGTAAAGGCCAAACACATTGACACCAATTTCTGTGTTCCAGCAACTGCAACTGAACTCCTCTGTTCTGATAAATTATATTGCCCCAGCTTCCTCATTTTATATTGCTGACCATGTATCTTCTCCTGAAGACCAAATACGAAGAAATACACAAGGTGGTAGTAATAATTTTTAATGGAATTTGAGGAAAGCTAGAATCTCTTTTAATATTGTACTGTTTTTGGCTGGATGCCGTGGCTCAAGCCTGTAATCCCAGCACTTCGGGAGGCCGAGGCGGGTGGCTCACAAGGTCAGAGTTCAAGACCAGCGTGGCCAAGATGGTGAAACCCCATCTCTACTAAAAGTACAAAAATTACAGCACGCCTGTAATCCCAGCTACTTGGGAGGCTGAGGCAGGAGAATCACTTGAACCTGCGGGGCAGAGGTTGCAGTGAGCCAAGATTGTGCCACTGCACTCCAGCCTGGGTGACAGAGCGAGACTCCATCTTGAAAAAAAAATTTTTAAAAATTAAAAATATATATATATATATAGTACTGTTTTTATTGCTAATTTGACCTTTAAATAACACTTTAAAATTGCAGTGTTTCCAGATTTGAGGTCTCTGGGCATCTAGCAGTTACTAGCAGTTTCCAAATTGGTACATCTATATGTCTATCTATAGATCCTGGCACAGATACTGCCTGCTTTATACAAAGTACTGTGCCAGGAGTTCCTACTGTCACAGGCTTTGCTCTTTAATGGGGAAATGTCACAAATGCTACACTAGAATTCTCAGCAGCTCTGACCTACTTGACTGCCTCCTCTTCTTGTCTCCTATGCCTTCTAAGATGTTGGTCTCTGCCAGTTCTCCTAGCTGTTCTCTGGACACCTCTTTTTACTTTCCTTTTCTGGCTCCTCTTTGATCAATTCATTTATGTTAGTGCTCTATAGGGTCTGTGCTGGTGTCTCTTATCTTCTCACTTTCCAGCTGTACTTGGTGGGTGTGTGCCCTTTATGTCCATAGCCTTGGCACCTATTTATTCCCAGCTCAATCACTAGCCTCCAGCTCTCTCATTAACTCTAGGCAGAGATTTCCAACTGCCAGTGGGGCTTGTCCACTTGAATGTCGTGCAGGCATCTTAAACACAGCATGTCATTATCCTGTCTTTATCTTTCCTCCTGTTCTTCTATTCCCTACTGTGGTTAATGGCACCTTTGTTTCCTCAGCTGCATGGACTAGTGACTTCTAAATCATTCTTTTATTTATTTATTTATATTTATTTATTTGAGACAGGGTCTCACTCTGCCACCCAGGCTAGAGTGCAGTGGCTTGGTCATTGTGCACCGCAGCATCAATGTCCTGGGCTCAGGTAATCCTCCCACCTCAGCCTCCTGTGTAGCTGGGACTCCAGGCACGTGCCACTAAGCCTGGCTACTTTTTTGCTTTTTTTTTTTTTTTTTGTAGAAATGAGGTTTAAGCCATGTTTCCCAGGTTGGTCTTGAACTCCTGGGCTCAAAGGACCCACCCACCACAGCCTCCCAAAGTGTTAGGATTATAGGTGTGAGCCACCACACCCAGCTCCAAGTCATTCTTAATGCCTTCTTTCCCTACATAATCTTCCTTCCAAACAATAACCAAGCTTTGTTGATTTAATCTCTCAGTTCTTTCTTGAACCCATTCTGTTCCCTCTTTTTCAGTCATCAAGATGTTATCACTTCTCACCTAGATTAGTGAAATAGCGTTCCTGTTGATTTCTTGGCCTCCAGTCCTTCCCCACTACTACTCTTCCTTCAGACTGCTTCCAGAACGTCTTTCTAAAGCCCAAACTTGATCTTCTCAATCATTTACTTAAAATTCTTCAACAAATCCTTCTGTCTACACAGTTCAAAGCCCATAGCAAGATCTATGAAGCTCTGTGTGACTTACCTTTTAGCCCACTTATGTTTTCAGCCTCCTCTGCTGACACTCTCCCCACATACCCAAAGATCCCCACATACCAAACCACTCAGCATTTCCTCACACACCATTCTGGCTCCTCTTTCAGGGGCTTTCCAGCTACTTTGGAAATCCAGCCTAGGAAACTCCTGTTATTGTCAAGATCCACTCAAATATCACTTCTTTTGTGAAGACTTCACCTCCAAGCACTCAGGGCATATTTCTATTATAGCACCTCTCATGTTAGATAATAATTTTTTTTTTTCTTTTAGAGACCAGGTCTTGCTCTGTCAGGCTAGAATGCAGTGGCACAATCATAGCGTACCATGACTTCCAACTCCTGTCCTCAAGTAATCCTCCCTCCTTGACCTCCCAAAGTGCTGGAATTACATGTGGAAGGCACTGTGCTCAGGCTATAATTATGTTTTTTATGCCTCCTCCCCTCCTAGACTGAGCTACAGAAACCATGTCTCACTCTATTTTGTATCCTGGCCCTTGACACAATATTTAGCACATATCAAGCCTTGCATCAGTGTTCAAGGAGTAACCAAATAATTGAATGAATAAATAACCGACTGTGATACAAGTTAGAATAAGAGCAGTAGGCAAGGTGCAAATAAACTGCTGCTGTAGGGCGTTCAGAGGACTGGGTCACATTTCTTTGAGCAACCAAAAAAGACTTTGTATAATTGATTGCCATCTCTCCACTTAGCCCTATATATTTGTTTATGACTTAACACAAAGTCGGTTCATTCCATCCCAGATATAGCCCACTTCTTCTCCAGCCTCCACCCAAATACTGAAACTAGTTTTCTCTTTTCTGTCTCCTGTGTAATAGTAGATCTTTAGTTCATTTTAGCTTTGCATATAATTTTTATAATCATTTACCTATTTATAAAGGGAGGTCCCTTCTTTATTCTAAAAAGGATTTAAGTGCCTGCCTCATAAACTGATTGTGTGTTTTTATTATAGCTTCTTGTATAGAAGATACCTAAAAAGTGTTTGCTGAATGAAGAAATAAAGGATTGCTCAGGCACCACTGGCACTTTAAGTTGTTCAGCAAGTACTCGTGCCTCTTAAGAACTGGCCAAGGGCCGGGCGTGGTGGTTCATGCCTGTAATCCCAGCATTTTGGGACGCCGAGGCGGGCAGATCACGAAGTCAGGAGTTCGAGACCAGCGTGGCCAACGTGGTGAAACCCCATCTCTACTAAAAATACAAAAACTTAGCCGGGTGTGGTGGCCTGCGCCTGTAGTCCCAGCTACTCGGGAGGCTGAGGCACAAGAATTGCTTGAACCCACGAGGAGGAGCTTGCAGTAAGCCGAGATCGCGCCATTGCACTCCAGCCTGGGCAACAGGGCAAGACTCTGTCCTGAAAGAAAAAAAAAAAAAAAAAAAAAAAGAACTGGCCGAGGTCTTAGCTGGAGCACTCTCTCTACCCTGCATGTTTGACTGCATTTCTGTCCATTTTCAATCCGTTTTGGTTATACGTTTTTTCACACAGGTCTGTTGAACTTAGAACACCGAAGGCCTGTGTATTTTCATGGCTCACAGCTCATGTTGTGTTGACCTGCCCCACTGTGGTTAATGTTTAGCCCCTAAACCACCAGCTGAATGTCCTTAAATCTGAAAGAATAATGAACACACGCCAACAGATAGCTTAGGTTTATTTGGTGACTTGCGCCACATACTTTGCGAATATCATCTCAGTCATCCTTTTAGCATCTCTCTCAGGCACATACTCTCCTCTGTGGTGGCTCATGCCGGTAATCCCAGCCCTTTGGGAGGCCGAGGCGGGCAGATCACTTGAGGCAAGGAGTTCGAGACCAGCCTGGCCAACACGGTGAAACCCCATCTCTACTAAAAATACAAAAATTAGCCGGCTATGGTGGCATGCGCCTGTAATCCCAGCTGCTCGAGAGGCTGAGGCAGGAGAATCATTTGAACCCAGGAGGCAGAGGTTGCAGTGAGCCTAGACTGCACCATTGCACTTCAGCCTGGGTGAGACCCCATCTCAAATCAATCAATCAATCAATCAATCAATCAATCAATAAGGGAAAAGCTATCACACAGCAGAATACAGTCCAAGGGTAACTACTGAAGGGCCAGATCAAGGAGCAAAGTCTATCATGTATCAACCTTTACAGTGTCCCCAAGGGTCAGCTGTGTATAGGGGCCCACACAGAATTTGGAATCCAAATACATCTCTGGATCCCCAGGCCTGTGTTTGACTCGCCAGGTAGTAATGAGATGTCTCCATTTTCTGCAGGCTGAATGATTCCCTCAGAGCAGAAGTATAAGCATATTTATTGTTTTTCCTTCTATCATAAACAGTTATTAGTTGTGGCCCTTTCTCCCTTCCAAATAGGTGCCCAAATTTCTGGAAGTGGAAAGGGCCCAACTTTCCCATATCAGGGGGTGGGCCCCACTGGGCGTGAGCCAATCAGTGTCTTCTGTCCTGTGAGCTCCCGATTTATGCTGGTCTATAACCTGAGATGGCCTTCTCAGGATGGACCTCCAGGGATTGCTGGAACTTGGACTCTTGTCAGCCTGGTAAATGGTATGTCTTAGATCTGCTGCAGCCGTCGTGGAAAACTTGAAGCTGCCAGGAGAGAGGGGTTCCAACATGTGGTGGCTAAAGAATGAATCCAACTCAAAGGAAGCAGAGCCAAGAAATGGATCCATGCTGTTTGAATCTTGGATCAAATTGTGCCTGGATCTCCAGTGAGACAATAAATTCCTGTATTACTCAAGCCTATTTGAGATTGTTTTCTTTCACTTGAAACATTAAACTTTTAAATTGATACACCCTAGTTAAATTATAAACTGTGTGACAGCAGGGACTGTGTCTCTCTCTTTTTTTTCTTTCTTTTTTTTTTGTTTTGAAACAGAGTTTCACTACCGTCACCCAGGCTGGAGTGCAGTGGTGTGATCTTGGCTTACTGCAACCTCCGCCTCCTGGGTTCAAGTGATTCTTGTGCCTCGGCCTCCCAAGTAGCTGGGACCACAGGTGTCTGCCACCATGCCTGGCTAATTTTTTGTATTTTTGGTAGAGATGGGGTTTCACCATGTTGGCTAGGCTGGTCTCAAACTCCTGACCTCAAATGACCAACCAACTTGGCCTCCCAACATGCTGGGATTACAGGCGTGAGCCATTGCGCCCGGCCCAAGACTGTTTCTCTTGATCACTTATGTGTCCCCTGGCACGTGGTAAGGATTCAATAAATAACTTTTGAATGGATGCATTTTAGCTGCAAGGAACACCCATAAACTCTCTTTTACTCAGCTGACAGCTAAGGAATCTGGTGTTATATAAGAAAGTGATGATGTGGATCTATAAGTTGGACCTTACCCCAACACTGGGATTTTTCTAATCACAGGAAATCTTCCAGTAAATATGTTGGGGTCTTTGAGGAGGCCCCAAAATAGCAGTCTGCTCCCTTCTCTGTGAATTTTGAATTGAATCAGAAGATAGCAGCAAGCTAGATGAGGACCAAAAATAACCTTTTCTACTGATAAAGCTGATATTAGAGAACGTGGCTTATATCATCAGACAATCGAGCTTCCCGATACTCAACTTCAGAGTTAGGCAGACTTGGCGGCTCGATGACAGGCAGCTGAGCTGGAATGGGCCTACTCTTCCCACCCCACGGGAGCGAAGCTTGCTCCCAAGAAGAAAAGAGAGGATGATATAAGGCACAGTTCCTCCTTCCAAACTCACCAGTCATATTAAACCACTCCTCCTTCTCAGGGAAGAGGGGGCGGGTGGAGAGAAGCAAGGAGTGTTTGGACTCCTTTCAGAAGAAAGAAAACATCAGGAGTGGAAAGACCCAGTCTCCCTCACACACACACGTGTGATTTGGTCAGGTCATTGATTCTACTTTGTTTTCAATCAAAATGGGTGATATTTCCAAGTGGTGGGATACGTTTGCTGTCTAAAATATAGAATAGCTCACATAGAATAGCTCCATAGAATAACTCACACATCACAATATCAAGCTCCCCAAGGAGTTAGAGATCTTCATTTAAAATTATGCAAAATTCAAAAGAAGAAACAAGAATTCACGACGAAATTACACAATCAGGGGCACTAGGTGGCAATAAGCCTTTTGCTCTCTCACCATGCCCATCAAAGGCATTTCAAGAGCACTGAAAGCTCACACTCTTCCCACGCCGACTGTCAGTTTCTTTCTGGATGATCTCAGAGCCACACAGAGCATTCTTAGTCACTGGGAGAACAGAACCAAAGCTTAACTCCTTGGTGGCACCAGGGGAAATGGCACTTCAAGTTGGATTCCAGGAAATCCAGGGAAACACTTGACATAGGAAGTCTGCGACCACATTCCCAGTTTCCCCAGTGTCAAGGCTGGGGCCATGAGCATTGTTCAAAATACTCAGGCCTGCATTGTGTCTGTCTGCCACATGCTTTTGGTTTTACTCACCAGGGCACTTTTTCCTGTTTCTGTTTTTTGGAATTTTTTGGTTTTGCTTTTTAAGGTAAACATGTACCATCTAGGCTTCAAGAAACTTCCTTGAATAAACATCGTTTGTCGATTTGAAGTTTGATACACAAACTACCAGCTGAATTGGACAATCATAACCCCCCAAATGAGCCAAAATACATTTAAAATTCAACATGGATTTTCCTAAAACTGGTATTGGCTGTTTAATGTGACTGAGCCCGGTGAGAAACAGGATGCCCTGAACTCAGCAGAGATCCCCTCTGTTCTTGCTGCCAAGATAAAGTTTTGCTCTAATCTTTTTTTTTTTTTTTTTGATACGGAGTCTTGCTCTGTTGCCCAGGCTGGAGTGCAGTGGCACGATCTCAGCTCACTGCAACATCCGCCTCCCGGGTTCATGCCATTCTCCTGCCTCAGCCTCCCGAGCAGCTGGGACTACAGGCGCCCACCACCACGCCCAGCTAATTTTTTGTATTTTTAGTAGAGACGGGGTTTCTCCATGTTAGCCAGGATGGTCTCGATCTCCTGACCTCGTGATCCACCCGCCTCAGCCTCCCAAAGTCCTGGGATTACAGGCGTGAGCCACCACGCCCAGCCTGCTCTAATCTTAAGTAGCTTGCTGGTGGACTATTTGCTGGAGGTCACTAAGTAGACTTTGCTGGCCAGTCTTGGGAGAGAACCCAGGCTGACAAAGGAAACCTCGAACACAGCAAGATTGAGACAATATGTTCCCATCCTCTCTTCTCAAATGTAAAGCTATTTTCTCATCTATTACCTGCCCCTATTTTTACCATGAGAAGCTCTCCAATGCCACTTTAGCTATCGATAATTGGCAGTGAGTTTTGCAATTAACAGCTGCCCAGAATCAATTCCAAGGATGCGCAACTGAAACCACTTTTAAAAAGGCAGAGTTGGGGATTACTCAGCTGCCTACCTGACCTCCAATCCTTTTTCTTACCCCATACAAACCATTTGCTGGAAGAATCTGAAACTTGAACCACGTACCTAAATGCCCAGTTCTGGGTATGGGGTAGATATTTGAGAAATACTTCGATTGATTGATGTGTGCCCGGGGGAAGGGTACGGGCAGATCCACAAGGAGTTGCTGTGTAATTCATAGTGAGGAGTGGCTCTCCTGCTGACTCAAGACTCCTTTCTTATTTCAGGCCAAAGACTCCAGGGACAGATTTGGGTTAGAAACCTGGCCTCAGGGAAAAGCAAATGAAGCCTGTTCATTCCCCAGAAGAGAAGCAATAGAGAACTGCTCACCGTGATGGGCGCACCTCAGCTTTGCTAATTTATCGTCCTCATGAACCGCACCAGCAAGGGGCCTTCTATGAGGCCGAACTTCCCACTCACCCGAGCCTGTTGGAGACATGACCCAAGGCTTTGGGGGCTTTCTCGCAGCTTCTGCTTAAATGGAGGCAAGGAGGGAGCCAGTCCTTTCACCATGACCTCTAAATGACTCCAGTGCTGAAGGCTGTGGGGCCTTCGATCACTCGAAAACTAGGAGACATATATTTTTAGACACATGCTGTCATCTGGGCAGCCTTAAGTAGATGTTTTCTCTGTCTTTCCTCAGATCTAGTGGGTTTGCAAGAAACCCTCCCAGGGCAGCAGCCTTAGAGGAAGTGCCTGCTAATGCAAGAAGGAGGGCAAGGGGGACAGCAAGCTGGAGCCTGGAGCTGCTCATGCGCTTGGAATCCTCGGCGGGCGCAGGCGGGGATTTACGGACCTGCCTTTTCCCTCATCATTCCGCAGGAAGCTTCTTTAAATGAGCCTCAGCCCAGCAGCTCTCATGGGGCCTGGTGTTTATAGTGGAGACTGAGATAAAAGAACCGTGGAGATGCCAGCCCTGGATATCGACCCCACGGTCCAGGAATCATCAACTGGGCCCGAGGGCAAATTGTGTTCTGTTTTCTCTGTGCGAAATGCCAGAATGCTCCTGCCTCGAAGAGGTTGACTCTGTTGTCAGCTGTGGGAAAAAACAGCCAGAGTTGCTATTTACACCCTGAACTGCAAGCTGGGTAAAAATAGCGCTAGCAGCTTGGTCCAGCTTCAAACCCCACTGCAGAGAGATTATTTTTGGAAGAGAAGATTTTCCTCCCCACCCACAGATCTGAAAATGGTCACCTCCCCGGAAGAAAGGGGGAGAGATGATCCCACGCAAAGGTGAAACCTACCCCCTTCCCACTTTCCCTGCCCAGGACAGCACATCAAGAGACAGACAAGAAATGCCCTCCCCTGACAGCAGGTCAGGCCCAGCACAGCCCTGCAGCTGACCTAGTTCAAGGTACAGTGAGAATTAATTAACTTTGACTAAGTGAGAGGAGGCAGCTTTCTGAACCTGGATGCTGCACCATCCTGTTGCTTGTTATGGCTAAAGGCAGAAAAAATAATTGATCAAAAGAGTACGCAAGACCCCAAAACAATAGCTCAGAGCCTGAGGGTCAGGAAATTACTCTCCAGCCCTCCCACTCCGGATAGGCCGTGATACGGCTGTACAATGATGAACAAATTCCCAAAAGCTTGGTCTGGTCCTGCTTCTGTGTTGAGAACCCCTGGCAGCTGGGGGCTGAAAATTCTTCCCTCAGCTACTTGCTAGAGCTCAGGACCCGGTGTCTGGAGTTCCAGAACCTCCTTCAGGTTCAGGAAGTGATCCACATGACAATCAGTGGAAGAAAAGTCATTCCTTAATAGCATGCCCTTTATTCTGTAAAAAGATATTTTATAGGTACATCTAAGTATGTGGATTATGCTATCTTAGAACTCTAAAAAGATATACACATGTGGATAGTTCTTATCAGGTAAAACTATATTAAGACTATGTGAAAAACAGCAGAGAAAAATACCAGATCCATGGTGTCATGAAATTGTTCTATAATCTGAAAGCACCCAGGCTGCCCAGAGCTGAAACCAAGAGGTGCTTAATAAGTATTTTTAGGGAGGAAGAGAAAACACCTCCCACATCCTACCTCCATCCAAACCTCCTTCTACGGAGATCCAGGAACCAAAATGAATCTTCCAGTTTGAGAAGACATACCTCGGCATCCCCACCCACCTGATAGAAAGGCGAGAGAATGACATAGCGCTCCCCCAACCTCTCAGCACCCCCTACCCAACACACCAGATCTTCACTACCCTGGCCTCAGTGTGAGCTTTGGGGTAGCAACAAAGTCGGGGACACCTGGGTCTAGGTAGAAGTGGCACAGATGGGCATGTGCCAGGGGCACAAGGGCAGCTCATGCCTGGCTTCTCCTCCGGCGGCAGACAGACTGAGGTTTTAGTCTCGTCATTGTCACCTGCTAGCTGTATGACCAACTCACTTCACCTTTTTGAAATCTGTTTTCCTCGCTAAGAGGGCTGATACCACCCACCTGCTGGGGTTGGTGAGAACGAGCTGAAGCAGCACGTGTGAAGGCTGTTTGGTGGCTGCTGCAGAGTGAGGGCTATTGTGCATCCAGGGGCAGTCCTGTTTCTCCGGGGCATATCCTGGGCCAGATTCGGGGATCTGTCTTACTTCCAGCTACCTGACGATGGGGAGTCTACCAGACGGCTAAAGTCTGAACTCTCTGAGAAATGCATGGCATTGACAGAAATTGCTAAAAATGTCCTTTCTCCACAGTGTGAGGCCCTCCTGCACCCTGCCCTTCATTTACCGTGGCCCTTCACCTGAAATGAAAATGGTCACCTCCAAGGAGCCAGAAACAGAATCTCCCTAATTGGGTGTCTCTGCCAATGGGGGTTGTCCGGCCAGCTAAGGGCTGGCTCAGCACAGGCTTCTCAGCTGAGGGAGGTCACGGAAATGGAGTCCCAGTGCCCCTTTCCAAGTCTCATCTACTCATGACATCGGGAGGGAAGAGTTGCTGCTCTGCTGAGTCATAGCTATTTAAGCTATCAGTACTCCGGGCTCGGAGACTCCCCAAGGACCTGGGAAAGACAGCTCAATATCCCTTTGATCAGGACTGCTTCGGGTTTCTATTTCCAAAGTTGAGAAATCCAGATAATGCTGACTCCTGCCCAGGAACGAAGTGAGCTCAGGTCTCTCTCACTGACCTCCTGCTGAGAATTGTAGGCCAAGGTGGCCGGGCTCTCCCTTCCAGCCTAAGTCAGCTTCCTTCTGAGTCAGCATTCTTCACCTCCCTATTAATAGCCACTGCTTTGGCTGACTCCATGCACAGTATGATTACAGTTTAATAATACGTCTCAAACCAGGAAGCAGTCACCTTCCTGGAGCTGGGCTGTGGAGGGCCCCCAGAGCAGAGGCTCCATCCCAGAAAGCAGAGGCCAGAACAGCTGCAGAGAGGCTGGGGAGACAACGTAATTGGCCTGCAAGACAAGTCACTGCTTTGGGGGTTCTGTCTCACTGAGCTTCCTTTTGTTTAGGGCAGGAGACATGGACACAGGCTAACTTTCATTTTATTCTCACAGATATTCTTGGGCAGGACTGAAAAAGTGTGGCTATCTTATCCAATTATGCAGACCCCTCAGCTCACTGGAACGGCCAGTTCTAGGCCAACCTGGGGTTAGCCCCTTCCAGTGTCACCTTTTCCCTGTCACGACAGTAACACTGTGGCCTACTTAAAGAGGCTCAGGGCCAGGTGCAGTGGCTCACACCTGTAATCCCAGCACTTTGGGAGGCCAAGGTGGGCGGATCACGGATCACCTGAGGTCAGGAGTTCAGGACCAGCCTGGCCAACATGGTGAAACCCCATCATTACAAAAATACAAAAATTAGCTGGGCATGATGGCGGGTGCCTGTAATCCCAGCTACTCGGGAGGCTGAGGTGGGAGAATCACTTGAACCCAGGAGGCAGAGGTTGCAATGAGCCAAGATCGAGCCACTGCACTCCAGCCTGGGCAATACAGTGAGACTCTGTCTCAAAAAAAAAAAAAAGGATCAGATTGTCCAGATGGGATGGGATGCTGAGACCAGATTGAACCCCAGCAAAAAATAAATAATTTTTTTTCACTTCACCCCTCTTCCCTTTCTCTGTTTCTCCCCAGGAAAGGCAAACAAGCTAAACGTGCTTTAGCATTAGATCATACTGAGAAGCAATGAAGTCAGGCCACCCGGTAATTTGTTCCAGACTTCCCATCCCTTGTGGGCCCTGAATGGGCAAAACATACAGGTTTAGGAGCCAGACATCCTGGGTTCAAATTCTCACTTAGCCTCTGAGCTGAGAGGGCTTAGTAAATTTACTCCACTTTTCTGAACCTCCATCTTCTTATGTATATAAAAGGGATAATAATATATCCTGAAATGATTTTAATGCAAATGAAATGAGACAACTTTAAAAAGTATGCCAAGTACTGTGCCTGGAGTATAGTAAGTGATCAATAAACTGTCTTAATTTCTCTTTTCAAAAAATAAAAAATGGGGAAATGTGAGGACAAGCCAAGATCATCCAAACCCCTCACACTGGTGGGAAAACATGACCAGCACCTCTCAGTGTGCAGGCCCATGATGTAAACGTCTGTGGTATGAGGGCCCATGAGAACAAACAGAACGTTGTTTCTCTCCTCTGGATTCATACCATTCAGAAATTCCAAAGAGTGGCACAATCTGGACCGTGACAGGTTCCACTGAAGCCAAAGTGAGGCGTCTCCTGGCTCCATTTATCCTCCCTGTTAACAGTTCTCAGAAGTCTCATAGTTCATAGGCTGGGCGTGGTGGGTCATGCCTGTAATCTCAGCACTTTGGGAGGCCGAGGTGGGCAGATCACCTGAGGTCAGGAGTTCAAGACCAGCTTGGCCAACGTGGCAAAACATCGTCTCTACTAAAAATACAAAAATTAGCCGGGTATGGTAGCAGGCACCTGTAGTCCCAGCTACTGGGGAGGCTGAGGCAGGAGAATCACTTGAACCCGGGAGGTGGAGGTTGCCGTGAGCCAAGATCGCACCACTGCACTCCAGCCTGGGTGACAAAAGGGGACTCTATCTCAAAAAAACAAAAAACAAAAAACAAAAAAGTCCCACAGTTCATAAACAAAGGATGGCACCATGAAAAACACAGGCAAGCCGAGGGTACAGAAGGGCTTCCATGAGGCTGGGTGTTTATCTATATTTCAAGGTCCCCCTTAAAAGAAACAGGTCAGCCAGGCCTTTGGGTGAACCCTGCTATCAGGAAGGCCAAAGGAGAAACAAAATATCATGGGTGCCCTGTTTTTCAACCTGCTGAGAAATAACCTGCCCCCAGACACCTGATTATTAGATGACAAATAATGGTCTCTTTAGCCCAGTCCCAGTTGGCGTCCCTCAGCAGCCTGCAAGTCTGGGGTGGGTGGGGGTGGGGTCGGACTTTGTTCTTGCCACAGCTCTCTTCCCTCTTGCTTGCCAAGAGCTCACATATATCTGATGGGAGCCAGCCAGCACTGCTGGCAGCACAAAGTGGGGCCAGCCCCCCCATGACCTACCCTCACCCAACATTGCCCCCAGCTGACTAGGGGCTTCTGTGGCAGAGGAGAGAGCGGGCACTGAATTGACTTGGGCTCATTGCCATAGAGGCAGCCCAGAATTCCCCTCACCTCAGTAGGCAAAAGAGTGGTCCTTGTGTCCTTTGTGTTAACTCTAACCTGGGTTCTACCTACAGGCAGATGTTGAGGGGGATGAGAACGCTGTCTTTTTTTTTTTTTTTTTTTGAGATAGGGTCTCATTCTGTCACCCAGGCTGGAGTGCAGTGGTGCAAACACAGCTCACTGCAGCCTTGACCTCCCTGGGCTCAGGTGGTCCTCCCACCTCAGCCTCCTGAGTAGCTGAGTCTACAGGAGCATATCATCATGCCTGGATAATTTTTTAAAATTTTTTGTAGAGACAGGTTTTCGCCACATTACCCAGATTGGTCTCAAACTCCTGGCCTCAAGTGATCCTCCCCTGTCAGCCTTCCAAAGTGCTGGGATCACAGGCATGAGCCACCACACCCAGCCTACACCATCACTTATTTACATGCCACAAAGACCGCCCAATTTAAGGATCAGCTACCCTAACACCATTCACTCCTGCTGCCACTCAGCAAATAGTTTTTGAACATTTACCTTGTGCCAGCACTGTTCTAGGTTCTGAATGCACATTGGTGAATAAAACAAGATTGTCTCTGCCCTAGGGGAAGAGCCAGACAAAGAACTTGAAAATTAATACATAAATAATTGCAAATTGTGAGCAATGCTATTGAGAGAAGTACTTGGGGACAGTGATAGAGAATAACGGTGGTGAGGGGAAGGTGTCTGATTTAGATGAGAAGGTGAGGGAGGACCTCTCTGAGAAGGTGACATTTAAGGACTTGGGATTTCCTCTTTCTCCTCAGCTAAAAGTTCTCTCAGTGAAAGGCTCTGAGAAGAATGAAAAGGTACTTCAGCCAGAGGTGCAGTAAAAAGCATTCTGGAGACTGGGCATGGTGGCTCACCTCTGTAATCCTAACATTTTGGGAGGCTGAGGCAGGAGCATTGCTTGAGCTCAGGAGGTCGAGGCCAGCTTGGGCAACATGGTGAAACCCCATCTCTACAAAAAATACAAAAATTAGCCTGGAGTGGTGGCACGCACCTGTGGTCCCAGCTATTCGGAGGCTGAGGAGGGAGGATCACCTGAGCGCAGGAGGTTGAGGCTGCAGTGAGCCGATATCACATCTCTGCACTCCGGCCTGAGTGACAGAGTGAGACCCTGTTCCCAAAAAAAACAGCATTCTGGAAGGAGAGCAAGGGCTACAGAACCCTCGTTCCAAGTTTCCTGCTGTGGATGCATTTACCCTTTCTGCCCCATGCTCAGCATCCATCTTTCCTCCTTCCCAGGGCCTTTCTAGCACCTTGTCCTGTCCCCTAGCATGTTCTCTTCTCTGTGAGGACATTGCTCTTCCTTGCATGACATCTGACATGGACATACTGTCTTTGAAAACACTTTTTTTTTAAGACAGAGTCTCACTTTGTCACCAGGCAGGAGTGCAGTAGGGTAAACTCTGCTCACTGCAACCTCTGCCTCTTGGGTTCAAGCAATTCTCCTGCCTCAGCCTCCCAAGTAGCTGGGATTATAGGTGTCCGCCACCATGCCTGGCTAATTTTTGTATTTTTAGTAGAGACGGGGTTTCACCATGTTGGCCAGTATGGTCTCAATCTCCTGACCTTGTGATCCACCCGCCTTGGCCTCCCAAAGTGCTGGGATTACAGGTGTGAGCCACTGTGCCCAGCCTGAAAACACTTTTCTCTAGAGACCCTACAATCCTGGCCTTGAATCTCTGCAAGTCAAATAGTTCTGATCTGTAGGAGATAAAACTTGCCATTCCTCCTGGGCCAGCAGGCTGATTACAGAATCTGCTTTCTATAACTCTTTATCTCAGGACTGTTTTCCCAAATTAGCATTAGCTAGGTGGCTATCAGGCCATCTGCCCCGAGTTAAGGAGTTGGCCCCGAGATTGTTGTGAAAGCAGCCCAGACATTGCAGCCAAACAGACCTGGGATGAATCCTAGCTCCTTCTTTATCAGCTTTGTGACCTTAGGCAAGTCACAGGGCTTCTCTGGGCCTCAGGTTCCTTACATGCAAGATTAGGAGGAGGATAACATCTACTCCCGCAGAGTTGGCACAGCAATTAGCTAGGAGGCATGCAAGATGGATGGAAGTCATATGTACTCCACGAATGGGAGTCTTTGTTATGACATCAACTATAAAACAATCTGAGTAGAATTTTGGCAGTGCCTTTTATGAAGGTGACTGATTGCTCCATTAAGAATGGTGGCCAGGTTTCCATTTCAGCAACCATTTGGCCACAGGAGCTTTTTATTTTTTATTTTTTAATTTTTTTGAGACGGAGTCTCACTCTGTCGCCCAGGCTGGAGTGCAGTGGTGCGATCTCGGCTCACTGCAGCCTCCGCCTCCTGGGTTCAAGCAATTCTGCTGCCTCAGCCTCCCGAGTAGCTGGGACTATAGGCGTACGCCACCACGCCTGGCTAATTTTGTATTTTTAGTAGAGATGGGGGTTTCACCAAGTTGGCCAGGCTGGTCACGAACTCCTGACCTCAAGGGATCCGCTCACTTTGGCCTCCCAAAGTGCTGGGATTACAGGCGTGAGCCACCGTGCCCAGCTGACAGGAGCACTTTAATCTGGGGATTGCTACGAACCAGGTGAAAGGAGAACACTTTGGGACCTGGGAAAAGGCATGGCTCCCAGAATCCCAGATTGCTAAGAATTCTGAGAAAAGTCTAGTCCAAGTTTTTACTATCAGGCAGGATTGAATTTAAATCTCAGATATGGGTAAGCATATTTCCAGAACTTAAAATGAAATAAAAAGTAAATCTCAGACAGATGGAAATATTTCCAATACACAGTTGAACAGCCATCTCAAATGCTGCCATGGCTGTACTGCGTGATAATATGCTTTATTGTAATTACTTCACTCAGTCATTTAATTATCAATTCAAAAACATATTTATGGCCAGGCGCGGTGGCTCACTCCTGTAATCCTAGCACTTTGGGAGGCCGAGGTGGGCAGATCACCTGAGGTCGGGAATTCAAGACCAGCCTGACCAACCTGGAGAAACCCCATCTCTACTAAAAATACAAAATTAGCTGGGCGTGCTGGCACATGCCTGTAATCCCAGCTACTCGGGAGGCTGAGGCAGGAGAATCACTTGAACCTGGGAGGTGGAGGTTGCAGTGAGCCGAGATCTTGCCATTGCACTCCTGCCTGGGCAACAAGAGCAAAACTCCATCTCAAAACAAACGAACAAACAAAACGAAAAACAAAAAAACGTATTTATGGAGCACCTACTATGTACCACGTACTATTCAAGGCATGTGGGATATACAGGCAACGAGACAAGGTCTTATTCCTTGTGGAAACCACTTACACGTAGAGATAAAGTAAGAAAAAAAAGAGACGAAGAGAAAGAAAAAGGAAAGGGCTGGGTGCAGTGGCTCATTCCTGTAATCCCAGAACTTTCGAAGGCCGAGGTGGGCAGATCACTTAAGTGTAGACACTCGAGACCAGGCTGGGCAACATAGATGAGAACCTGTCTCTATAAGAAATACAAAAATTAGCCGAGTGAGGTGGTGCACACCTGTAGTCCCAGGTACTAGGGAGGCTGAGATGGGAGGATCACCTGAGCCCAGGAGGTTGAGGCTGCAGTGAGCCAGGATTGTACCACGGCACTCTAGCCTGGGTAAAAGAGTGAGACCCTGTCTGAAAAAAAAAAAAAAAAAGGAAGAAAGGAAGGAAATGGTGATAAGTGATATGAAGAAAATAAAACAAGGTAATAGATAAAGAGTGACTGGAGGAGGAAGGGGTGAGGTGGGGCTAGAAAGGGCCAACATTTGAGCAGAGACCTGGTGGGTAAGAAAGAGCCAGGTATGAGAGAACCCAAGGAAAAACCATCCTAAGCGAGGAGTGCCGAGATCAGCTCGGTCAGGGAGACCCTAACCCAGCTGCGCTAGAGGAATTAAAGACACACACACAGAAATATAGAGGTGTGAAGTGGGAAATCAGCGGTCTCACAGCCTTCAGAGCTGAGAGCCCCAACAGAGATTTACCCACGTATTCATTAACAGCAAGCCAGTCATTAGCATTGTTTCTATAGATATTCGATTAACTAAAAGTATCCCTTATGGGAAACGAAGGGATGGGCCAGAATAAAGGAATAGGTTGGGCTAGTTACCTGCAGCAGGAGCATGTCCTTAAGGCACAGATCGCTCATGCTATTGCTTGTGGCTTAAGAATGCCTTTAAGCGGTTTTCCGCCCTGGGCAGGCCCGATGTTCCTTGCCCTCATTCCGGTAAACCCACAACCTTCCAGCGTGGGCATTGTGGCCATCATGAACATGTCACAGTGCTGCAGAGATTCTGTTTATGGGCAATTTGGGGGCCAGTTTATGGCCAGATTTTGGGGGGCTTGTTCCCAACAAGGAGACCTCAGTACAAAGTCCCTGAGCAGAAACAAGCTTGATGTGTTCAAGGCACAGAAAGAATGTCCAGGTGCTTGTGGTCACGAGGCTGCGAGTGACAGACAGAATATGTAGGACCTTGAAGATTCTGAGTTTCATTCTGATTGCAGAGGAGCAGCAAGGTCTGCTTTATACCTTGAAAAGCTCACTGTGGCTATTCTTGGAAATGTACTATAAGGGGCATAAGTGGAAGTGAAGAGACCAGATAAGGAGGTTATTGCCGGAGTTCAGGCAAGACATGGTGGCTTGAATCAGATTGTAGCATTGGAGATGATGAAAACCCGTCAGATTTGAGACCTCTTTTGGGGGCAGAGCTAACAGGACTTGCCTAGGGGTTAGATATGGGTGAGGCGTATTGACAGAGAGGAATCAAAGCTGACTCCTGGATTTTGAACCTAGTAAACTGGGAGGATGGTGATGCTTAAATTAGATGGGATTGTTGGGAGAGATTACTTATTCCATGTCTTCCTCCTCCTCTAGAGAAGCTGGAGCTATTCAGAAGCATCATTCGTTACTTCCATAGCTAAAAAGTACAACAAATCTTAGTCGTGGCCCATGAGGATCAGCTCACAATGTTCTTAGTACTGCAGCCTTCTCCAGGAGTCTGCCCTCAACCTAGTGCACATCCACGCGATGACCCAGGCCAGGAACTTGGGACCCAGGCTACAGCCCTCCCTTCCTCTCACTAAAGGATAAAAACAGAAAAGTAGCTGAGCACTTCCGGTGTCAGACACTGTGCTAAGCACACGGATCTCATTTGATTTTTGCCACAACCCTGTGCTGTAGGTGCCATTATTATCACCATTTTACTAATGGAGAGACTTAAAGTTAAGCAACATGATCAAGTTCGCTGCTAGGAAGTGTTGGGTGGAGCCATAGCCTGTGAGGTAACCAAGCTACTACCTCGTGGTGAAACAGCCCTTGACTCCCATGGCTCTGCCTTCCTTATCTGTTTCTTCCTCTCTGTCCCCAGGGGCACTGCCCTTGGTTAGGCATTTCACTTTTTCTCACCTGCATTATTGCTACATCCTCCTCAATCACCTCTCGCCTCCATCCAGCCTCTGTGCCTCTCTGTAGTCCTTCCTTCCATAACTGTCCAAGTGGAAATGTGATGTGTATCTGACAACGTCATGCTTCCGCTCGAAAATCCTTTCCCCCCACCCCGTAAGTAAGGAAACAAGCTTGAAATTCTTTAATGACTTCTTGATGCCTATGAGTTAAAACCTAAACACCTTACAAGGCCCTTCAAGACCTGGCGCCAACCTCCCTGTGTGGCCTGATCCTCTCTTCTGCTGTTTCCCTTGAACTCTGTGTTCCAGGCATACCAGATGCACTTGAAGTCTCAGGTCTGAGGACTGGGCCAGATGTCCCCTCTGCCCACAATGCCTCTTCCTTTTCTCTTCTGTGCAACCCCTGTGCATATGCACACACACGTGTTACACACACATACACACACACACAGCATATCCATTTGGTGATTCCCACAAATTCTTTGAGACTCAGCTCTGAAGATGCCCCCTGGGAAGCTCTTCCTCACACTCATAATCAGATATAGGCACCTATTCCTCTGACACCACCCCTTCAGCCCTCTGATGAAGCAAATTATTTTTTATTGTAATTTTCTCTTTACAAACTGTCCGTCTTAGAGAATATAAGGTCTGTGAGGGCAGGAACCATAGTTATGTTGTGACTGTTGTATCCTCAGCATCTGTACATGTTCATAAATATTTGGCTTTTTGTTATTTATTTTTTTCTTTTTTTGACACAGGGTTTTGCCCTTGGTGCCCAGGCTGGAGTGCAGTGGCGTGATCTCAGCTCACCGCAACCTCCGCCTCCCGGGTTCAAACGATTCTCCTGCCTCAGCCTCCCAAGTAGGTGGGATTACAGGTGCCCGCCACCACGCCCGGCTAATTTTTGTATTTTTAGTAAAGACAGGGTTTTGTCATGTTGTGCAGGCTGGTCTCGAACTCCTGATCTCAGATGATCCACCCGCCTCAGCCTCCCAAAGTGCTGGGATTACAAACGTGAGCCACTGTGCCCAGCCTAATATTTGTTAAATGAATAAATAAATGGCTTCTTAAAATGAATTGATCTTCGAAGTAGATTCTGAAATCTTGGAAACACTTTGTCCTCACATTTTCCCTTTGTTGGACTTATTTCCCTGGGGATTTTTGCTATAGTGGGGCTTGGGTTGGAGGCTGAATATCTGGTGGTTAAAATATAGACTCCAGGCTGGCCATGGTGGTTCACATCTGTAATCCCAGTGCTTTAAGAAGCTGAAGCAGGAGGATTTCTTGAGCCCAGGAGTTCAAGGCTGCAGTGAGCTATGATTGCACCACTGCAATCCAGCCTGGGCAACAGAGCAAGACCCTATCTCTTGAAAAAAAAAAAAGAAAAAAAAGAAGTCACCATCTCAGCCTCTGTTTTATTTATTGTAAAACTGAGTTAATAATAGGACCTACCTTAGAGGGTTAATGTGAAGGCTAATGAAAAAGTACATGTAGGCTGGGTGCAGTGGCTCATTCTCTAAGAGTGCCTGTAATCTTAGCACTTTGGGAGGCTGAGGCGGGCAGATTGCCTGAGCTCAGGAGTTGGAGACCAGTCTGGGCAACGTGGTGAAAACCAGTCTCTACAAAAATACAAAAACTAGCCAGGCATGGTGGCGTGTGCCTGTAGTCCCAGCTACTTGGGAGGCTGAGGCATAAGAATTGCTTGAATCTGGGAGGCAGAGGTTGCAGTGAGCCAGAATCACACCACTGCACTCCAGCCTAGGTGACAGAGCAAAACTCTGTCTCCAAAAAAACCAAAAAGTACATATGGAACATTTGGTGTCTGGCACAGAGTGAGTGCTCAATACAAATGAGCTATTATTAGCAGCTATTTTCCTGACAGCTTCACTTGACCCCATTGTGTCACCATCACTTTTTGAACCAAATGTCTGGAGTCTGGTTCTCAAACATGGGCACTCGATTTCAGCAGGCTTTACATTTGCCATCGTACTGGGTCACACTGTATACTAGGCCTTGGGGGAAATGGATCCAGATGGTGTCTGAAACTAGGGAGTAGCCTTTTGCTTGTAAGTCATTATTTATTGCCTAGAAACGAAAAGTAAGCATTACCCACCAGTCAGCAGATTACCTGAATTCTTCAAAAGTCCCACCAGTCTATTCCCTGCTGCCCCTCGCTCTTTCTCAAATTTGGTCAAACAGAGGTGACTGGTGATTGTTGCAGCAATTTCCCCTTGGAGGAAAGGAAGTGGGACGCACAGACCCTCAGAGTAAGCTGCCGGATGTTTTGCTCCTTCCGTTGGCTACACAGGGTGTGTAAGAAAGCAACTCTGGGTAGACGGAGACCCCATTGTGACAGTCCCATACACAGCTGGAAGAAATGCCTTTCTTTCAATACTCAGGCAGAAGGAGGAGGTTGTAGTCTCCATTCAGGCTTGAGTTTTCTAGATGCTGGTTCAGCAGCCTCTTTGAGAGGTCATAATAGTCTCACTGGAGCCTTGAACTAAATAGCCCAGATTATAAATTGGGAGATTGGCCAGACATGGTGGCTCACATCTGTAATCCCAGCACTTTGGGAGGCCAAGATAGGTGGATGGCTTGAGCTCAAAAGTTCAAGTCCAGCCTGGGTAACATGGCGAAACCGCGTCTCTACCAAAAATACAGAAAATTAGCCAGGTGTGGTGGTGCACATCTGTGGTTTCAGCTACTCAGGAGGCTGAGGTGGAAGAATTGCTTAAGCCAGGGAGGCGGAGGCTGCAATGAGCCAAAATCGTGCCACTGCATTCCAGTCTGGGTGACAGAGTGAGACCCCATCTCAAAACAGACAGATAAATAAACAGCAAATTTGTATGCTAATGAAGTGAGGAGTGACATGATTTAAAGTAACAAAATGACTCCTCAAAAGGATTAAATGACTCTTCATGTCAAATGACTTTTTTTTTTTTTGAGATGGAGTTTTGCTCTTGTTGCTCAGGCTGGAGTGCAATGGCAAGATCTCGGCTCACCGAAACCTCCACCTCCCAGGTTCACGCAATTCTCCTGCCTCAGCCTCCAGAGTAGCTGGGATTACAGGCATGTGCCACCACGCCCGGCTAATTTTGACTCCCAACCTGAGGTGATCCACCCACCTTGGTCTCCAAAAGTGCTGGGATTACAGGCGTGAGCCACCGCACCCAGCCTTTTTTTTTTTTTTTTGAGATGGAGTCTCACTCTGTTGCCCAGGTTGGAGTGCAGTGGCATGATCTCGGCTCACTGCAGCCTCTGTCCCCCAGGTTCAAGCAATTCTCCTGCCTCAGCCTCCCATGTAGCTGGGATTACAGGTGCACACCGCCATGCCCAGCTAATTTTTGTATTTTTAGTAGAGATGGGGTTTCACCATGTTGGCCAAGATGGTCTTGATCTCCCAACTTCATGATCCACCTGCCTCAGCCTCCCAAAGTGCTGGGATTACAGGCGTGAGCCACCGTGCCCAGCCATCAAAGGACGTTTTAGAGCCATTAAGAAATAACATAATTTTGGGTCAGGGGTGAGGTCTTCTTTTAAATATGCAATCGTTTTGTGTTTTGTTTTGTTTTTTTTTTGAGGCAAAGGCTTACTCTGTTGCCCAGGCTGGAGTGCAGTGGTGCAATCTCGGCTCACTGCAACCTCAGCCTCCCAGGTTCAGGCAATTCTCATGCCTCAGCTTCCTTCATAGCTGGGAATACAGGCATACATCATCATGCCTGGCTAATTTTTGTATTTTTAGTAGAGACGAGGTTTCACCATGTTGGCCAGGCTGGTCTGGAACCCCTGGCCTCATGTGATCCACCTACCTGGCCTCTCAAAGTGCTGGGATTACAGGCGTGAGCCACCACACCTGGCCTAGTTTCTTATAAATTTAAACCTCCGCCTTACCATATGACCCAGCAACTCCACTCCTAGAAATTTACCCAAGAGAAATGAAAATGGAGGCACAATATCCATAAAAATCTGTACACAAATGTTTATAGCAGGTTTTTCAGAATAGCCAGAAACTGGAAACAAAACAAATGTCCCTCAACTGGTGAACATATGATGGCATATCCGTACAATGGAATACTATTCAGCAATGAAAGGAACAACCTATTGATCCACGACCATAATGAACCACGACATTATGGTTGAATCTCTAAAGCATTATGCTAAGTGAAAGAAGCCAGACTCAAAACGCTTTGTATGGCATTCTGAAAAAGGCAAACTATAGGAACAGAAAACAGGATTGTCAGGGGCTGGGGCTGGAGGAGAGAGGTGATTACAAAGGGGACATGTGGAATTTTTTGAGGTGATGAAAATATTCTGTATCTTGACTGTGGTGCATGACAGGTATACATGACTGTGTACATTTGTCAGAACTTGTAAAACTGTACACCTTTATAATTATGTATTTATTTAGAGACTGGGTCTCACTCCATCACCCAGGCTGGAGTGCAGTGGTACACAGCCTGGAACTCCTGGACTCAAGTGATCCTCCAGCCTCAGCCTCCCCAGTAGCTAGGACTACACGTGTGAGCTACCACACCCAGCTGATTTTTAAAATTATTTTTGTAGAGACAGGGTCTTGTTACGTTGCCCAAGCTGGTCTCAAACTCCCGGCCCCAGCAATCCTTTCACCTTGGCCTCCCAAAGTGCTGGAATTACAGGTGTGACCCACGGCACCCACCTTTTTTTCAAAGGTGAATTTTACTGTTTGTAAATTATATCTGATTTGAAAAAAATATGTGTATCTATCTCTCTGGCTCTTGAGTTTCATAATCCTAGGCCATCAAGGGTAAGAAAAAAAAAAAGAAAAAAAAAGAAGATTCTCAGTAAGGGCAAAGTATTTGGGAGAAAACACCATAAAAGAAAGCCATATTTTCCCACCTCCATCTCTCACTTGAAAGGAAAGGAAAGAGATTCCCTAGAGCAAAGAACAAGGAATAAGAGAGATTAGTGGGGCCTGGAGATGAAGAGGCTGGTCCTAAAGGGACCCCGCTGAAAGTTTTGCAGTCCATGCTCACTGACTGTGCAGCCTCTGACTTCGTGGGCTCATACATTGCTTGCATCCAGGCTCTACTTGTGAGAACTTCCTTTGGGCAACAGAGAGCACACCGCCCTCTGACCAGCCCCCTGAAGGGATTCCTGTTTGTGCTCCCAAGACTTTGCTCAGCATCCTCTCCAACATAGCCCATGTGGAGAAATCTGCCGCTTTGCTACTCCATGAGTAACTGCTAATCACCCCATTCTTCCCACCACTTGTACTTAAGTTGGACTGAATGGAACCATTTGAGGACCTTCCTTGCCCCCCCAACACTGGTTGTAGAAAACATCTGTCTACATGCTTTACTTAGGTTTCCCGTCCTCTAAGCTTCTCTCTCATTTACCTTAGAGTTTCCAGTGGAATAAGGTAAAAGCTAAAGTAATCTTTCCTTTCTCCCGCATATGTTCAATAAATATCATGAGTTTCCTTTTGGGTTAGAGTTGAAAGGAAGAATTCTTTGAGCATCTGTATATCCACTTGATTATTCCTTCAGCAACCCTTCATTGAACCTTTAGTCTGGGTAGCTGTAAAGAAAGAGTCTGGGCTGGGCACAGTGGCTCACGCCTGTAATCCCACTGGGAGGCTGAGGTGGGAGGATCACTTGAGCCCAGGAGGTCAAGGCCACAGTGAGCTGTGAACATGCCACTGCATTCCAGGCTGGGCAACAGAACAAGACGCTGTCTCTAAAAAGAAAAGAGTCTGGGTCCCTGCCCTCAAAGAAGGGCTAGGGAGGGACACAGATAATACAACTCGATAAGGACCATACCAGAGGCCTGGGCCAAGTGCTGCAGGGACCCAGTGGAAGAGGGGCCATGGTGGCAAGGCCCATGGGAAGCCTTTCTAGAACTTTACTTTCTAGTCCAACCAGTAACTGCTGTGGCAACACAGATCTTTCCTTCACTGGGCAACTACCCACTCCCCTTTTTGCATAAGCATTCCCAGGGGGACTGAGAAAACTCCCTAAGGGCAGAGACCTTGTCTGTTTATCCCTAGCATAAAGCCTAGCTCATAAATATTTGTTGAAAGAATGTGTGAGTGATTGTCTTTGGGGATATTTAGCATTTGCCAAATTCCCTGGAAAGAAATATAAAATAAAACATGTTTAGAAAGAACATGCTGGGAGCTAAATGATGAGAACTTAGAACACAAAGAAGGAAACAGACACTGGGGTATACTTGAGGGTGGAGGATGGGAGCGGGGAGCGGAGCAGAAAAGACAACTATTGGGTACTGGGCTTAATTCCTGGGTGGTGAAATAATCTATATAACAAACCCTTGTAACATGAGTTTGCCTATGTAACAAACCTTCACATGTACTCCTGAACCTAAAAGTTAAAAAAAAAAAGTACATGAGAAAAAAGGGATCATTATCATCCATGATATTAAGAATCCCTCTCCTCTGTGCAGTGTTTCACATACATTTTCTTTTTTTCTTTTTTTTTTTTTTTTTTTTTTGAGATGGAGTCTTGCTCTGTCGCCGAGGCTGGAGTGTAGTGGTGCAATCTTGGCTCACTGCAACCTCTGCCTCCCAGGTTCCAGCGATTCTCCTGCCTCAGCCTCCCAAGTAGCTGGGATTACAGGCATACGCCACCATGCCCAGCTAATTTTTTTGTATTTTTAGTAGAGACACGGTTTCATCATGTTGGCCAGGATGGTCTCGTACCTTGTGAGACTCAGTTGACCCATCTATAAAAAGGGGTTACAGGCCGGGCACAGTGGCTCATGCCTGTAATCCCAGCACTTTGGGAGGCCAAGGTGAGTGGACTGTTTGAGCCCAGGAGTTTGAGACCAGCCTGGGCAACATAGTGAGACCCTGTCTCTACAAAAAAATTGACCTCAGGTGATCCACCCGTCTCAGCCTCCCAAAGTACTAGGATTACAGGCATGAGCCACTATGCCCGGCTTTCACATGCATTTTCTACTTTGAGTAACATAAATCCATGCCTTGCCCTCACACTACTGAAGCAAAAATCATGACCATTTCTTCAGCTATACAGTGCCAGGCTTTCTCTATGTGCATGATCTCACTTAGTCCTCACAGTAACTCTTTTTTTTTTTGAAATAAGGTCTTGCTCTCTTGCCCAGGCTGGAGTGCAGTGGCACAATCATAGCTCACTGCAGCCTTAACCTCCCAGGCTCAAGCAGTCCTCCCACCTCAGCCCCCCAAGTAGCTGGAACTACAGGTGTACACCACCATGCCTGGCTAATTTTTTAATTTTTTTGTAGAGACAGGGTCTCACTATGTTGCCCAGGCCGGTCTCAAACTCCTGGGCTCAAACAATCCACTCACCTTGGCCTCCCAAAGTGCTGGGATTACAGGCATGAGCCACTGTGCCCGGCCTGTAACCCCTTTTTATAGATGGGTCAACTGAGTCTCAGAAGGTAACTGATCTGGCCAGGTGTGGTGGCTCACGCCTTTAACCCCAGTACTTTGGGAGACCAATGTGGGAGGATCATTTGAGGCCTGGGCAACATAGTGAGACTCTATCTCTACAAAAATAAAAATACAAAAATTAGCCGGGTGTGGTGGTGCAGGCCTGTAGTCCCAGCTACTTGGGAGGCCGAGATGAATAGCTTGAGCCCAGGAGATTGAGGCTGCAATGAGTTATGACAATGCCACTGCACTCCAGTGGCCTGGGTGACAGACCAAAACCCTATCTCTTAAAAAAAAAAAAGGAAGGTAACTGATCTATCCATGGTCACACATCTAACTAGCAACAGAACCAGGTCTGACTCTGGTGCCCGAGTTTTAAACCACATGCCTGTGCGTCTCATGCCCACTGGTAGAAAAGTCTTTTGCAGGCATTCTCCACCAGGCGTGGTGGCTCAAGCCTGTAATCCCAGCACCATAGGAGGCTGAGGCAGGTGGGTGATGTCGGGAGTTCGAGACCAGCCTGGCCAACATGGTGAAACCCCATCTCTACTAAAAATGCAAAAATTAGCTGGGCATGGTGGCACACATCTGTAATCCCAGCTACTTAGGAGGCTGAGGCAGGAGAATCGCTTGAACCCAGGAGGCAGAGGTTGCAGTGAGCTGAGATCGTGCCACTGCACCCCAGCCTGGATGACACAGTGAGACTGTCTCCAAAAAAAAAAAAAAACAACAACAGGCATTCTTATGTTGAGTTCTGTCTGCCTCGTCCCACTGCTTGCTTTTTCAAGCAAGCCTCCCTCAGGCTAAACCTGGGTTTACCCAAGGCAAGAGGAAATGTCTGATGCACTGGACTCAGAAAGTCCATGCCAGTTACTTCTGAGAGAACGCTGACCTTTTCTTTGCAGGATGACTACCCACTCTCCCTTGTTAAACAAAAACTCCCAAAGCGGTCCCTCCTACAGCAAGGGCTCCAGGAGGTCAGCGGCTCTCTTTTCCCTCCAGCCTCCTCTCTCAGATGGCTGAGAATTCTCGCCAGTAAACTATTTCTTTTCTAATATCATTGAGATCTAAAACGAAATGAAATCTGAACCTTGGGTATGTCTCGTCTCCATGGAAACAGCTTCAAGCCTGAGTGCCTCCAAGAGATATGGGTGCAGTTCTTCCAGCTGCCCTGGAAATAAATGACTGAGAACTGGGCAGTGCCAAAACAAGGTCCTGTTGAATTAGCAGCAGTTTTAATAATAACCACAACAGGTTCAACATAGGATTAGGTCATCAGCAGCAGCATTATCAACCTGTATTTTCAATTTTTAAGTGTGCTGGCTTGGTCAAGAACCAGCCAAATGAATGACAGCACAGATCATCCTGTCTACTTTGGGAAGGGATGTTTTAAACTCTATTAAGGTGGTGCAAAGACTGTGGTAGGAAAAAACATAAACAGTAATAAATTTTAAGAACATTCTGTAGACGCATTTTCGCTTCTGGGAATGGGAAACTAAAATTTCCCCAAGAGGCTTCATTATTAAAGCCATAAATAAAACATCCCCGATTCGACTGCTTGGTTGCTTTGCTTGCGTGGCCTTGCTCTGGCGAAGTGGCTCAGAATTTGAGGCAGACACGTCCAGGGGAAGCTGGGGAGGTGAGTGAATTTGACAGCATTGGGCCTCCTCCTCTCCAGCACGTTACCTGCATGCCAGACCAGAGTGCAGGGATGATGAGTGCATTTTGCTGTACTGAAGACCACCAGAGAGGATTAGCGTAAAATTCAAGGATGATTTTTCTAGCTGATGTCCCCCTACCTTTCTTCTTTCCATAAACGTACACTCTCCTCTAGAAGTAAAAGCAAGCAGTATGGTGCAAGGACCACTAGCTTCATTGCCTAACAGGGCTGCTGCTTATTAGGCCCAGTAACCACGATTACTTCACTTCTCTGGGTGTCAGTCCCCTGTGTAGAGGTGGGCTCAGAGGGATGAGTGCTGAATCCTACATATCCTATGTGCTCACAGTGTTCACCACAGTGAGTTCCAATCAATCAGTAAAAAGACAAGTGACACTTGCGGAGACCCATTTGTGCTGGGCACTTTATGGCTGTCATTATATTTGACCTCACGATAACTTACATGGTTGCTGGTGTTCCCTATTTACAGATGATGGAAACGAGACCTCATAATTGCAGTGACTTTCTCAAAGTGATAAATGTGTAAACATGCAGCCAGGCTTCAAATCCATCTGTCCAACCCCAAAGCCAAGGTTCTTTCCACTTGACTCTGTTGATTTCTGAGCTCATGAGCTCGGGATACATCATTAACATTATTTTAATTGAAAATAAATATAACTCGCCAGGCACGGTGGCTCACGCCTGTAATCCCAGCACTTTGGGAGGCCGAAGCGGGCGGATCACCTGAGGTTGGGAGTTCAAGACCAGTCTGACCAACATGGAGAAACCCTATCGCTACTAAAAATACAAAATTAGCCAGGTGTGGTGGCACATGCCAGCTACTTGGGAGGCTAAGGCACGAGAACTGCATGAACCCAGGAGGTGGAGGTTGCGGTGACCCGAGATCGCACCATTGCATCCAGCCTGGGCAACAAGAGCAAAACTCAGTCTCAAAAAAAAAAAAAAAAAAAAAAAAAAAAAATATATATATATATATATATATATATATATAAAATTCTTTATCATTGGGAATTACAGGTACCTTATATGCAACATGAACTTTTTCAATCCTTGGCTTGTTCCAAGCTACCCTGGAGAATTACCTCTGAATGGCTCCATAAAGATGTTGTCATGTGTTAGAATACCTTAGTCATTTTCATGTGGGCAAGGGTCTGGATTTTTTTTATCTTTTAAAATCATTTTGAGCAAATGAAAACAACATTTTTTCCCCTCAAAAGAAATATAAGGCTGGGCATGGCGGTGCATGCCTGTAATCCCAGCACTTTGGGAGGCTGAGGAGGGTGGCTCACTTGAGGCCAGGAGTTCGAGAGACCGGGAGGTGGAAGCTGCAGTGAGCCTTGATCGTGCCACTGCACTCCTGCCTGGGCAACCAGAGTGAGAGACCCTGCCTCCAAAAAAAAAAAAAGAAAAGAAATATAAAAGCATAGTGCCACAATCAAAAAGGCTGAACTCCTGTAAAATAAAAGTATAATACAACCCAACCATCCCACAGTTCTAAGCTCTGTTTCTCCAATGCTTGAAAGGCCAGGATTTCCATTTTATATGTAAAAAGAATAAAACATGAGTGAACAAAATAGCCATGACATTTTGGTGTACGCTCAGATCTGCCAGGAAGTTTCTTTCTGGTTGATTTTCATGGCAGGCTGGGGCCACAGATAGGGTGTGGGCTTCACAGAATCAGAACAAGAGTGAAAATCCTCGCTTTTCCACAGGCAGGCTATTTATACTTCTTGAACCTCAGTTTCTTCTTCTGTGAAATGGGGGGATTATTGTGTGAACTAAACAAATAATGTGCATAAAGAGCAAATATAATATTCTTCATCCCACTCTCAATTCAAAATAGACTTGTGCCATGCGTGATAACAATCATCTTCTTGACTCCTTAACTTTGTGCCAGGCACTGGGCTGAGCCTTTTCTACAGATTATCTAAGGGAAATCAGTATTTGAGCTCAGTTGCTCTAGCTCCAGAGCCTACCCCATGCCCCGCTCTAGGACACGAGCCACTTACTGGTTTCAGATGAAAGGCTTTATGAGCAATTGCTTCAGCAGAAAGTAGGTGCCTGTGAGGGTCCAGTGGTCCTGTGTGAGGGTCCTGGCTGATGTGGCGAGCCATTTGGCCCAAAGTGGGGAGGACCTTGCATAATAATCCCTCATCCTCTCACACTGCAAAATTAGTACCACAGCTTTCTGCTCCCTTGGATTGGTTTCCCTACTAGACTAGGCATATAATAGATGTCCAAAAAAAATGCTTGTAGGATAAATAAATGCAAATAAACCGAACCATTTCCCTATGTGGGAAGCATTTTATGCTTAACTTCTCCATTCTCCTCTTAAACATACTGACATGATTGAACAGATTTTTTTAAAAGCTGTTAATTCTCCACCATCCAATTCAAGGCCCATCAAGCATTTATTCAGCACCTATTATTAATGTAGATGGCCAAGGATTACATATGTAATCCATTAGAGAGTACTGAAAAACAACAACAAAGCCCAGTGTAAAAATATTGAGCTATGAAATACATAATACTTTCCAGGTAGCATTGACTTCTGTAGCTGTTTTATCTTAATTTTCTAATTTGCATTCCCTGAGCTCTTATTAAGCAGTCAGGGTGGGCAGACTGGGAAAGTGTCATGTGAAGCAGCACCAGAATTAACATGGCAACATGCCGAAACCCCAGCTCTACAAAAAAATACAAAAATTAGCTGGGTGTGGTGGTGTGCACCTGTGGTCCCAGCTACTTTGGAGGCTGAGGCAGGAAGATCACTTGAGCCCAGGAGGTGGAGGCTGCGGTTAACAGAGATTGCACCACTGCACTCCGCCCTGGGTGACAGAGCCGGACCCTACCTCGAAGGAAAAAAAAAGACTTAACAAGGCTAAAATTGGAATATGGTTTAGTAATGAGACCTTGCAAAACCTCAATTTCATTATCTACAAAATGGGGATAGTGTCCTCTCCCCTCCCTTTCTCCCAGCAGGGAAACAAGAGCTTGAAAGAATGAGGACCCAAGGATGGCTTGACATTGGTTGTCTCATGCATATTCTTTTTCTCTCGTCCTTCTCTGCAAAAGGCAAACAAGAATGAAATGATAACAGGCACATCCACTGAAGCAAAACAGGTCACTGGAAGAAGATAATATACTGAAGGACAAATAAAAGTCAAGTGTAGCTGGGCCCAGAATGGGTAGGTGAAAATGTGTGGGAAGGAGAGAAGGCATGTCCTTTTTCATAAAACAGATTTTTTTTGTTTTTTTTAAGACAGGGTCTCATTCTGTCACCCAGGCTGGAGTCTGGTGGCACAATCGCGACCCACTGCAGCCTCAACTTTCTGGGCTCAAGCAATCCTCCCAGCGCAGCCTCCCAAGAAGCTGGACTGCAGGCATGCACCACCATGCCTGGCTAATTTTTTTATACAGATAGGGTCTCACTATGTTGCCCCGGCTGGTTGTAAACTCCTGGACTCAAGCCACCCTTCTGCCTTAGCCTCCCAAAGTGCTGGGATTATGAGCATAAGCCACAGTGCCTGGCCATAGAAAGGCTTTAAAAATATTAGCAATGTGAAACATGCACACTTGTGTGGTTTTAGTATCTTCTTTGCCATTTTGGCTGCCTGTACAAGATGGGTACTCCATAAGATATGGAAGCAAGCTTTTGAAAAGGTACTTTAAGATATAGTATAAAATGATAAACTGGGCACGGTGGCTCACACCTGTAATCCCAGCACTTTGGGAGGACGATGTGGGCAGATCACTTGAGATCAGGAGTTCGAGACCAGCCTGGCCAACATGGTGAAACCCCGTCTCTACTAAAAATACAAAAGTTAGCCGGGCGTGGTGGCACGTGCCTATAATCCTAGCTACTCAGGAGGCTGAGTCAGGAGAATCACTTGAACCCAAGAGGCAGAGGTTGCAGTGAGCCGAGATGGTGCCACTGCACTCCAGTCTGGGCAACAGAGTGAGACTCTGTCTCAAAAATAAAATAAAATAAAATAAAATAAAAATAAAAAATAAAATAATGATGATGCCGAGACAAAACTGTTTAGCTTATGTTAAATGAAGGCACCAGCTCACAAAATTTACTTACAATGACTGGATATACAAGACAGTGTGTGCATATGGATCAGACCAGATGAAAAGTACTTGGCAAACAAAAACAGCTTATTTATTAGGATGATAGAACTGCCTTGCCCAGTGCCTGGAATCAAACACATGTTTAATAAATGTGTTGATAATAAAAATAAAATAAAAATGAGAACATCTGATATGCCATGTTATAACTGTGAATGCTGGTCTCTATTAGCCAATCATTCAGAGATGATACCACCCCTTTTTGACATAATTTTGTTGTTTTACTTCTTTTTTTCCCTTTACTTCATGCAATACTATTTCCAAAGAAATTGGTGTCATCAGAAAAGTCTGCAGAGTCTATGAATATGGGGCTTTGTACACAGAACTGGATAAAGGTCACTCATGCATTTCTGATATCTAAAGCCAGGAGAAGCATTTGCAGATAAGCAGGAGACCTGCTGTTATTCATTAGTTAGCTGACTGTCCTTGGGAAAAACAAGCCCTTAGGGTCTCAGTCAACAGATCTGTGACTGGATTTAGATAGGCCTTTAAATACTTTAATATGAAATGTCAAGATCAAACACACTGGGTCAACGAAGACAGATGAGCTCTTCAAAGAGTTAATATTTGAAAACTTTTATTTTCTCAAATGAGCACCAACACAGATTGGAAATATGACAGAAACAATGCACTTTTCTCTAATACTGAATCACTATGTACAAATACAGGAAAAGGTGAAGACAAATTATTTGAAAACAATTACCTTTGTTATAGAAGCAAAGTGACCTGAAAAATGCCACCAAAGAAAACAAAAACCCAAACCCAACAAATACAGTTTGTAAACACAAGCATAAATAGACAGATTCTGTATTGGAAGATAGTCTCTGCAGGTTGGGAAAGGGAACCGACTCCCACTGTCACCGAAATGTTATACAAAAACATATGCGCAGATAGAATTTGGTAACATGAGAATAGCTTTCATAGTTTCTTCTAGGCTTTACCTTTTCTGCCAGATTTCATAACTATTTTAATTTTTAAAAAAGTAAATATCTCTTTCCTCTATCTAGATAACTAGCATATTTTCTCATTTGAGGCAGATTCCTTTAAAATATGTAAGTTGATTGTGTTCAAGATTTGATTTCTCAGCCTCTTTCTAAACCTGAGGCAATCTGACCTTAAAAAAAAAAAGCTGTTTACCACTAAGATATGTGTATTATAATATTAATGTTCTTTTAATCCAAACCAGTTAATGTTTAACATGATGTGGCTTCTAAAACAGCTGGAGCCCTGCGATACGTGATTAATACACTCTCATCTCAGTTAGAAGCACAGATTTGACTCTGCTCCATCTTCACAAACAACACATCTCCTTTACAGTCTGTAAAAACTGAGCACGCAAAGCAAGAAAAAGGAGCAAACCCGCAACAGCTCCATACTCAAAACAAATCCTCGTGGGTTCTGCTGTTGGTCCACTCAGAAACAGAAACAACCAGAGAGAAAGAGAAGAAAAACTTTATGCGCCCGAGGTGTAAACTGTAGTTAAAGTGTCCCCACTCGAGAAAACAGGAGGCACAATCGAAAGTGCTTTTTACACACGTGTGCGCGCACACGCACAACTAAAAACGTGATTCTGATTTGTTGGAAATTCTTCCAACAGGAAGAATCACTGTAAGTTGTTACTACTAAATTAACTTGGTTTTATTTATTTTCTTTTCTAGCCAATACTGATGCAAGAAAATATTTCAATTCTCAACCTGATTAATGTACTGCAGAGTCTGTTCCACTGGGGAAAAAATGCAGAGAGGCATTGCTTCAAAGCCTTGATCCAGATTAAAGTGATAGAGACCTTAAAAAAAAAAAAAACTGAAAACATGTATTGGTGATCACTGTTTCCCTTAAAATATACTTCAAGAAATGCAAAGGAAACCATAGAATTTAAAAGGAAAATAAAAAGTGCTCTCAGGGGATCTGAGAAAACAGCACCAAATATATTATTTAAAAAATTAAATATTATTTACAAAAGTATATTTTACAAGCAACTGTTTCTTTTATATATATCCACTTGAAAATCTCTTTATAAAGGGTCATCTCTTTCGCACACACTGATCCACCAGTAAAAATGCACTCTAGCCTATCCTCGTGAACTCAGGAAGAACACTCAGTCAGGTTCAGCTGACAGCTTGTGGGTATCGAGTTTGGCTGTGTTTGGTTCATGTCAAATCAATCCATCAGCAGCCTGAGACTAATGTCCCGGGTCCCGAGGGGTCTGGGTCTACTCCAAGGTGGCCAAGGTCATATGACCTAGGGTGGCACAGGGGAGATGGAGCTAGAGAGTCTGCTGGCTGGACTTCAGTTCCAAACGAAGGCAGCTGCTGGCTGAGGTATAGAACTTCATGCCTTTTCCTTTCTCACGTCCCCTTACCCTGTCTCTACTCCCAACACCCCGCCCCCAAACTTCACCAACAAACTCCAATTACCCCAACCCACCTGGGGTGAATGAATGAGGTCTTTGGTTATGCTCTAAGTCAATAATTTGGTGAGGAAATTAAAGAATGAACTGACTGAGGCCATGAGTTAATTTAGCATCTCCATAGCTCAGCTGTGGCCTCTCCAATGCTGCTCAATGTTAGATAGACAACCCATGAACAGAGCGAACGTTGTAAGAAGCACTTTTGGTTTCACTGACACAAAGGGAAAGCCTAATGACTTTTTTTCCCCCTGTAGTTATGGAAAAACCAACACTCTACTCAGCTCTCTCACAGCAAGTATGGCGCCTTGCACCCACTGAAGGCTCACTGGATAGTCACCGAAAAAAAAAACATTCAGAACCAGGGTCTGACTGGAGCCTGCTCTGATCCATCCAACAGTCAAAGGCCTCATCCCCAAGGAAGAACAGTGGCACATTGGTCCCCTTGGAAACTTGAGGGCACCCCATGTCTAGTTTATGTCACCACATTCCATTTGTAGTTTGAAAGACAAAATACCTACCCCATGTTTAACCCCATTTTCTTATGGGAAGGACTATCAATAAACAGCCAGGACAATCGCTGAGGAAAGAGTCCAATGAAAATCCATAAAGGAAGACTATTTCCTTGAGGAGGGGGAAGGGAGAGAGGGGAAATCCATGGCTTCTGTGCCGGGAAGCCAGCTTAGGAATGTGAAAGTTAAAAAACGATTTCATTGAGAACTTGGGCCTGTGAGCCAGAGAAACTATTCTTCTGGGAGCAGAAATTCAGTATTTCTTCTGAACTTCAGTCTACCTTGCAGTAAAGTGGGGAGAACAACTTGATCTCCCAGGGCTATGAAAGCACTGGAAAGATCTGGACAAGAAGCCTTGGGGAACAAAAGTTGATTTCTAAGCCCACACGTCTTGGGGCTCCCATTCCACCATCAGCGCGTGGAGACACACAAAAAAGCATTTCCACCAAGGACGCGCTCTGAATGGAAACTGGTTCTGCTGCAGACGCTATTCTGAAAAGCTCCTGGGCTGTTGGCTGCTTTCATCTCAGTTCATCACTTTACAGAATCTCCCCATGAACTCATTCTTTTGTGAGACTTTTAGGGTGAATTTTCCGAGAAGGTCGGCCTACTTGGAGGAGATGCTGAGAATTACCTAACACGCACACGTATCTTAACAATAATATATTCAGTCTAAGAAATGAAATTAACCCAGTTAAATGAGTTTCAGTCATATACTGTGTAATGGCTGAATTGCTGTAGAACAGACTTCACAGTGTTGATTAAATGTAACAAACTCCTCTTTCTCTTATGGGCCTTACAGGGATGTGCTCTCCACTTCCCTAATCGAAGGATGCTTGGATGGGGGAAGGGGTGATATCGGAATTTGGGCAGAACTCCTCCCTGCTGCTGGACCACACTGACAGGAGATTTCTCTCCATGCAAGACATTCAGGCCTAAGTGGGACAATTAGGGGCATGAGGAATCTACCAGCCAGGTTATTACTAAGCTCAGAGCCTGGGGCCCGTGCTTTCTACAGTCTACAGTAACAAGACTGGAGAAAAACACCCGAAACTCTAAGAACAAGAAATTGACGATCCCACGGAAGCCACTGTAAAACCGAAGAGGAAAGATGCACCGAACCTGAACTGGTTCCAATGTAAACCCCTCCTCCTGGGATGACCCCTACCCAGTCCCCTCCCTCACCACACTCCTCTTATGAGGGGTCAGAAGGAAGGGCAGTTAGAATTGCTAACTGATCCTACTTTTTATTTCTCTGACTCAATATCTGAGCCATTTCTTCAGGAGCTCCCAAACTGCAGCCCCTTTGTGCCCTGCTCTCCTCAATTACTGATTTTACTTGGTTGCTGGTCAAAGCCTTTGGGATATTTGGATGGTAAGCCCATTGCAAACAGCAGTCCCTTCACACCTTATCTACGGTGGCTAGAGGCAAAGATGATGATTGCCCAGAGACTGAGTGAGGCATCAGAGTCATCGCACCCACCTGGCCACTGCCCAGGTCACTCGCTGCTGCCAGGACACTCCCCCACTCAGCCCAGGAGAACCAGGCCCTTGCCCCACCAACTAGAATCAGGGCCACATCTTGTGCTCATTTGCTAACCTGGCACATTTGGTGTCAGGAACAGAAGCTTCTAGTCAGAGAGAATGCAGTCATGAGGTATTTTTTTTTTCTCTTTGTCCTTTTAGACAAGTCAATTATTTCAAGCCTAAGTTATCAGGTCTCCAGGAGCGGCGCAATTTTGTTCCTACCTCCACCCTTCCACCCCTTCCCCGCGCCAGGACCCTTAGAGTTTCCCCTTTCCCTCTTCCTCACGCCCCCGTGCCACTGCTCTCCTGACAAGAGGCCATCAGGCAGCTCTCGCATGGGCCCTGGGGCCCTTACCAAGGTGGGCTGCCGCCATGCGGTCAAGGATCTGTTCCTTTTGTTGTTTTGTTTTCAGCCAAAACTAGAACAGAGAGAGAAGCCAGGATCAACTCACAAACAGATACAAAGCAAAGAGACAGAGAGACAGCGATTTAGAGGCCGGTCACCAGAAAGATGGCGTCAGGGTGGGAGGATGCCCCGGATGGCAAGGCCCCTAAATGGATGGAACCAAGTGTCAGTCACTCTCTCACGCTTGGGAAGAATGTTCGGTTGAATGGCGTTCACGTGGACACTGGGTTGGGTAGATGCTGTCCAATCAGTCCCAGCCATTGTCCTTGATCATGTGTGCTAGTTCAATGATGTATTTGCCTTCTTTATATTTCTGGCTGCTTTCAAAAGCATGTTCCTAGGAAATACAGAAGCAGAGAAGAGATACTGAACGACCAAAGACAAGAAAATGATTTTTTTTTTCTTTTTTGAGGCAGTCTCACTCTGTCACCCAGGCTGGAGTGCAATGACGCAATCTCCACTCACTGCAATCTCCGCCTCCCAGGTTCGAGCGATTCTCCTGCCTCAGCCTCCCAAGTAGCTGGGATTACAGGCACCCACCACCACACCTGGCTAATTTTTGTATTTTTAGTAAAGATGGGGTTTCACCATGTTGGACAGGCTGGTCTCTAACTCCGGAGCTCAGGTGATCCACTCACCTTGGCCTCCCTCATGCCTGCTGGGATTACAGGTGTGAGCCACCATACCCGGCCAAGGAAATGCCTTTTGTAGCAGAGAAGCAGGGGCAGATGACAGGTATCAGCGTCACCACGGTCTGGTCCCAGCTTCACCTTGACTCAGCGAGATGATTCCTACCCCTCAAGCGCTTTATGTCCCCCTCGCTTAGCTGCAGAACTGAGGCAACACCAGGACTTTCACAATATTACAACACAATTTTCCAGGAGCTTCGCTCATTTAAGTCTTTGCAATGTCACCCCCTCAGTAAGGTCTTCCCCAGCTACCCTACTTAAAATCCAACTTCCACTCCAGTACTCCCTTTCTCCCTTCTGCCCCAACCCCTGCTTTAGTTTTCTTCACTGTACTTCTCACTTCTGAATATACATTATAATTTGCATTTCTATTTTGTTTATGCTCTGTCTCCCATGACTACAATATAAACTTCATGGAGTGCAGAGACTTTCATGTTTAGCTCATGGCTGTAGCCTTAGAAGACTGCCTGGCACATAACAGAATTTCAATACATAATTGCTGAATGAATTAGTACATTTACATATATAAATTTACATATATATAAATCTTGGTTTACTGGTGCTAACGGAAGTTTGCCCTGGGTTAGATCCATAAAGTTTCTGTGTCATTCCTGCTAGTTTCTAAGAACATAAGAAAACCTGGTTCTAATTTTATTTATTATTATTTTGAGACGGAGTCTTGCTCAGTCGCCCAGGCTGGAGTGCAGTGGTGCAATCTCGGCTCACTACAAGCTCCGTCTCCCGGGTTCAAGCCATTCTCCCTCCTCAGCCTCCCGAGTAGCTGGGACTACAGGAGCCTGCCACCATGCCCAGCTAAATTTTTTTTGTATTTTCAGTAGAGACGGGGTTTCACCATGTTAGCCAGGATGGTCTCAATCTCCTGACCTCGTGATCCACCCGCCTAGGCCTCCCAAAGTGCTGGGATTACAGGTGTGAGCCACCGCGCCCGGACGCCTGGTTCTAATTTTAAACTGTAATTGTTAGGCTTAGAGAAGACAGGGAGAGGAACAAAATACCGTGAGGCCAGACAGGTCTCCTTCTCAATCGGTTTTTCTTGCTGCTTCTATGTCAGATGTGTGGAGACAGGAGCTGTATAAACTCCAGGCCAGAGAACCTGGCAGTCCTTAAGCCCCACCTAACTGCCAGGCCCCCAGAGGGAGAACGTCATACTAACCACCTGGCAGGTGACTTTTCTAAACCCACAGCACTGTGGGCTCTCCCAGCGAATAAACAGGGCTCTTTTGTTTGCAGAGATACACACATAAGAACATCTTGGTGTATTCTCTGAAAAACACTGGTCATCTGTGTCTCAGCTCCATATGCACAAGCAGTGGACATCAGCCCTTCCCTGAGCCCCCAGAATTAGTAAGGAATTGAGGCGTACCCTTGCGGGGTTCTGGGTCACCGTTGTATCAACTGTGTCTTCTGTTCTAGAGCTCAGGGGCTTTGTGTTTCAGAACAAGAGCTCAGGCACACCAGAGCAGCAATGTCCCTGACACTTCATTATTCCGTCTCTGTGCACACACATGCACACATGCGTGTATACACATGACAGAGCAATGTGTTTTGGGAATAAGGTCCATTGTTCCACGGTAATGTGTTTGGGGGGGAAGGAGGAAAAAGCAAAACTAAGAAAATGAGTTTCCTGTCCCTCTCCCTCTCCCTCTCCCCACGGTCTCCCTCTGATGCCGAGCCGAAGCTGGACTGTACTGATGCCATCTCGACTCACTGCAACCTCCCTGCCTGATTCTCCTGCCTCAGCCTGCTGAGTGCCTGCGATTGCAGGCGCGTGCCGCCACGCCTGACTGGTTTTCGTATTTATTTGGTGGAGACGGGGTTTCGCTGTGTTGGCCGGGCTGGTCTCCAGCTCCTAACCGCGAGTGATCCGCCAGCCTCAGCCTCCCGAGGTGCCGGGATTGCAGACGGAGTCTGGTTCACTCAGTGCTCAATGGTGCCCAGGCTGAAGTGCAGTGGCGTGATCTCGGCTCGCTACAACCTCCACCTCCCAGCCGCCTGCCTTGGCCTCCCAAAGTGCCGAGATTGCAGCCTCTGCCCGGCCGCCACCCCGTCTGGGAAGTGAGGAGCCTCTCTGCCTGGCCGCCCATCGTCTGGGATGTGAGGAGCCCCTCTGCCTGGCTGCCCAGTCTGGAAAGTGAGGAGCGTCTCTGCCCAGCCACCATCCCATCTAGGAAGTGAGGAGCGTCTCTGCCCGGCCGCCCATCGTCTGGGATGTGAGGAGCCCCTCTGCCTGGCTGCCCAGTCTGGAAAGTGAGGAGTGCCTCTTCCCGGCCGCCATCCCATCTAGGAAGTGAGGAGCGTCTCTGCCCGGCCGCCCATCGTCTGAGATGTGGGGAGCGCCTCTGCCCCGCCGCCCCGTCTGGGATGTGAGGAGCGCCTCTGCCCGGCCGCGACCCCGTCTGGGAAGTGAGGAGCCGTCTCTGCCCGGCCGCCCCATCTGAGAAGTGAGGAGACCCTCCGCCCAGCAGCCACCCCGTGTGGGAAGTGAGGAGTGTCTCCGCCCGGCAGCCACCCTGTCTGGGAGGGAGGTGGGGGTCAGCCCCCCGCCCGGCCAGCCGCCCCGTCCGGGAGGGAGGTCGGGGGGTCAGCCCCCCGCCTGGCCAGCTGCCGCGTCCGGGAGGTGAGGGGCTCCTCTGCCCGGCCGCCCCTACTGGGAAGTGAGAAGCCCCTCTGCCCGGCCACCACCCCGTCTGGAAGGTGTACCCAACAGCTCATTGAGAACGGGCCATGATGACAATGGCGGTTTTGTGGAATAGAAAAGGGGGAAAGGTGGGGAAAAGATTGCGAAATCGGATGACTGCTGTGTCTGTGTAGAAAGAAGTAGACATGGGAGACTTTTCATTTTGTTCTGTACTAAGAAAAATTCTTCTGCCTTGGGATCCTGTTGATCTATGACCTTACCCCCAACCCTGTGCTCTCTGAAACATGTGCTGTGTCCACTCAGGGTTAAATGGATTAAGGGCGGTGCAAGATGTGCTTTGTTAAACAGATGCTTGAAGGCAGCATGCTCGTTAAGAGTCATCACCACTCCCTAATCTCAAGTACCCAGGGACACAAACACTGCGGAAGGCCGCAGGGTCCTCTGCCTAGGAAAACCAGAGACCTTTGTTCACTTGTTTATCTGCTGACCTTCCCTCCACTATTGTCCTATGACCCTGCCAAATCCCCCTCTGCGAGAAACACCCAAGAATGATCAATAAAAAATAAATAAATAAATAAAATAAAAAAATAAAAAATAAAATAAAATAAAAATAAAAAAAAAGAAAATGAGTTTCCTATTATGAAAAAAAAAATTCGGCCAGGCGTGGTGGCTCACACCCATAATCCTAACCCTTTGAGAGGCTGAGGCAGGAAGACTGCTTGAGGCCGGTTTGAGACCAGCCTGGGAAACATGACAAAAACCTCATCTCTACAAAAAAAAAAAAAAATACAAAAATCAGCTGGGTGTGATGTCATGCACCTGTGGTCCTAACTACTCATGAGGCTGAGGCAGGAAGATCATCTGGGTCCAGGAGGTTGAGGCTGCTGTGAGCCAGACTGCACCACTGCAGTCCAGCCAGGGGCCTGTCTCAAAAAATAAATAAAATAAATCAATAGCCCCGAGACACAGAGGCATTTGGAAAATGTCAGAATTGGATTCCAATGGAAAGTGCACTAGACCTGGTGTCAACAGAAACACACCAACTAATCCTGCCTCTACTGCTTCCCAGCATTGAACCATCACTTACAGAACTGGGAGATTCACACTTACTTCACAGAGATAACAATGGAATGAAAGGAGGGCCAGGTGCGGTGGCTCACACCTGTAATCCCAGCACTTTGGGAGACCAAGGTGGGGGGATCACCTGAGGTCAGGAGATGGAGACCAGCCTGACCAAATGGTGAACCTGTGTCTCTACTGAAAATACAAAAAATTTAGGGCCGGGCACGGTGGCTCACACCTGTAATCCCAGCACTTTGAAAGGCTGAGGCGGGCAGATCACGAGGTGAGGAGTTCGAGACCAGCCTGACCAACATGGTGAAACCCCGTCTCTACTAAAAATAGAAAAAAAATTAGCTGGGCGTGGTGGCGCACACCTGTAATCCCAGCTACTCTGGAGGCTGAGGCAGGAGAATTGCTTGAACCCAGGAGGTGGAGGTTGCAGTAAGCCGAGATCACACCATTGCACTCCAGCCTGGGTGACAGAGTGAGACTCCATCTCAAAAAAAAAAAAAAAAAAAAACGTGCCCTGAGCTGGCACATAGGAGGTGACGGATGCATATTTGGGGTGTTGGGTGTTTCCCTGCTGTGCTGTGCACATCACAGTACTTGTCAGGCTGTTTGATCTGTTTTCATGTTGGTTTTCCTCCTCAGCTGGCATCATGACTGTCAACACTTTGAGGACAGACACTGGATCTTATCCATTTTTTTGGTATTTAGTCAAAGGCTTTTGATAAACCTTTGTCAAAAGAATGAATTGTTTTACCTGAACCTCAAGTGGGGAGCAAAACCAACCAACTCAGGCTTATCATGTATCTTCAATCCAACACATCTTCAGGGCAGTAAGACAGCCAAGAGGCTGGGAAACAGGGGCAGGGGCAGAACTTTTCTGCACTTGATCTTAGCCAAAAGGCCAAGAAGCAATGAAGAACATTTCTGGATAACCACAATTAGAACTGTGTCCCCCACCCATCATCACCCAGAGGGGGCCCGTGACTGTACAGAGGGAATAGAATGGCCAAATCCAGCTTCTCCCACAGGAACAACCAAGCCAACCATAGGAAGCTGTGGCTAACCCATCTTGGCACCACACAACACACTATCTAGGTTTTTTTTTTTTGCTTGTTTTTTGAGATAGAGTCTCACTCTGTCGCCCAGGCTGGAGTGCAATGGCATGATCTCGGCTCACTGCAACCTCCGCCTCCTGGGTTCAAGCGATTCTCCTGCCTAAGCCTCCTGAGTAGCTGGGATTACAGGCATCTGCCACCATGCCCAGCTAATATTTTTATTTTTGGTAGAGACGGAGTTTCACTATATGTTGGCCAGGCGGGTCTCGAACTCTTGACCTCAGGTGATCCACCCACCTCGGCCTCCCAAACTGCTGGGGTTATAGGCCTGAGCTATTACGCCTGGCCCCATTTTTGTTTGTAATCCTGAATGTTTCCAGGGAGATGGGGAAAATGGAATCTAAAGGCAGTGCTACCAGGCTCCACCTGGGACAATTTTTTTTTTTAATGATTTCCACATTTTCAAACTATTTCAATGGAATCATAATTCAGTGCCTGGCATGTACTGCTCACATTATTTTATATGTGTGTAAATATATTTTTTTCCCAAAAGATGTTATTTTTAGAGCAGCATTAGGGTCACAGCAAAATTGAGCAGAAAGTACAGAGATTTTCCACATACCCGCTACCCACCTCCAGACTCCCCCACTATCAAAATCCCACACCAGATTAGAACATTTGTTACAATGGATGAACCTACACTGACATATCGTCAGCACTCTGCGGCAGGTTTGACAACTCCTTCAGGCTCCTTCAGAAGCCAGAGGCAGTTCATGAGCCATATGACAGGACAGGGAATTTGAGACATTTTACATGGACTAAATTGCCTTCCCAGAGACAGGAAGACCAACTTTTCAGTATCCTCACAATGACAGGGAGGGCAAGAACAGAAAGGAATGTGCAATGCATGGATGTACACGTGCAGGCTGAAAAAAATCTGCTAATAATAAAAATAACAATTTAAGTTAATTTTCACTGACATATGCTCTATGCAAGGTGATGACCTAAGTGTTTTATAGGCATGATCCTATTTAACACTCAAACCAACTCTGTAAGTATGAGGAAACTTAGCATAGAAGCTAAGTAGCTTGTCCAAGGACACACAGACAAATAAGTCATGGATCCCAAATTTGAACCTGACTCTAGCTGCCTAGATGGTTCTTAACCACTAGCTAGAGGGACTGTAGGGGCAGTGTCTATGGTTATGTGGTGACCCCAGCGCATGTTAGGACAATTAGTCCCCAGCGTTCAAGCAGCAGATCCCAGCCCTTCCCTCCTCTCACTCTGGCAAAGGACTGCTCACTTTCCCCAGGCCCCAAAGGGACCTTAACATTTTTTGCTGAGTTAAACAATGAAAGAATAATTGTCCATTTGGGAGAGGTCCAGCCATGATCACATCTGACAGTGGATGTTAATTAAGGCAGTTTTTGATAATGCCTTGCTCAGGGCCTGGGACCTAGGTGTTTTAGGAACATTTATTGGAGTATCAAAGTACAGTGGCTTCAGAACATGGGTTCTGGACCAGGCAACAGTGTGGCTCACGCCTATAATCCCAGCACTTTGGGAGGCCAAGTTGGGAAGACTGCTTGAGCTCAGGAGTTTGAGGCCAGCCTGAGCAACACAGTGAGACCCTGTCTCTATTTATTAAGAAATAAATTTGTTGGCCAGGCATGGTGGCTCACACCTGTAATCCCAGCACTTTGGGAGCCTGACGGGGGTGGATCACCTGAGGTCAGGAGTTCGAGACCAGCCCGGCCAACATGGTGAAATCCTGTCTCTACTAAAAATACAAAAAATAAGCCAGGCATGGTGACGCGTGCCTGTAATCCCAGCTACTTGGGAGGCTGAGGCATGAGAATCGCTTGAATCTGGGAGACAGAGGTTGTGGTGAGCTGAGATTGCGCCACTGTACTCCAGCCTGGGCGACAGACCAAAACTCTGTCTCAAAATAAAATAAAATAAAATAAATTTGCCTAATATTTAAAAAACAGCATGGGCTCTGTGTCAGAATACTACTACATGGTCACGTCCTTTGAGAATGAAAAATTTAGAAATAAAAAATAAATAACAGAATATTACATGGATTCCTATCCTGGTGTGGCTATTTAATGGCTAGATTGCCTTGGACATACTATTAACCTCCTTAAGTCTCAGTATCCCTATCCATAAAATAGAGGTGAAGATAGCATCTAACCTCTAAGGCTGCTGATGCATGCCTGGCATCTAGTGAGCTGTCGAGTAAGGTTATATGCCATTACTATTATTATTTATTAAATCTAAAGGGGTGTGTGTCTCAGGGGGTAGGTGTGAAGGAATGAATAGGAGGAGGGAAATATATCAGCAGAAAGGAAAGAATGAGTGTGGTAGACAGGTGACTATTCTGGTCTAAGACAATCCCACAAGGCCATGGAAAGCGAGTAGAAGAAAGTGTTCTGGCATAAGGCTCTTGGCAATTCCCTTCCAGCCCTCTACCAACCAAACTCCTTTATACTTACGTATTTCCAGCCCAGAGTGGTTTTGCAGTTTTCACAGTAAATGTCTGCGACTGCATGCAGTCCTGTTAGCAACACTCGCTCTTCTGCAGGCCCACAGCCCACATTAACTCTATGTCGAGGCACAAGAAGAGAGAGTGGGTAGTTAGTGACACGCACATCAGGCATTCAAGCTGAGCTTCCAGCAAAAATTAACTGGGAAAGGCTGTCCCAAGGGGAGCCAACCCTGAGCTGAGCAGATCTAAACCAATCCCCAAAAGGTGGCCACAGGGAAATATCTCAGCTGGAAGGAAATTCAGATCTGCAAGTTCTAGTGGAGTGGGTCTACCGAAATAATCTTTATGGTTGAGAGTTTGCTTAAAATTTTAATTTTTCTAACAAATACTTTAAATCTGTGACTTAGGGGGACAAGCTGACAGCCACACTGTGAAGTCCACAGCCATGGGCACAGGTCCTCACAGCTTACTGAGGACTGAATGAAGCTGAAGATGCCACACATGATAGCACAGTGTGGTCCTGATACAGGAATGAGTGATCCCTGGGTGCTGAATAGGCTCTACTCCTTCACAGGGTGCCCAGCTCAAGCCACAGGCCAGATTTTCATTTTTACAGTTTATCAGGCTTATGTAGGCTTCACCTTCCCTTCCCAGGGAAGAGGTGATAAACCTGGTGCCTGGGGATGGCTGAGTGCCCTGGAAACTGTGCATCTGCCCGAAGTGGGCCTTCCTTCCTCCTTAGGTCCCGCAGCAGATCTTGGTGTCTTTTTCACCCATATTCTCTTCCCCAGTGACAAATCTCAGATCTCATTATGAGCCCTTCAGGTTGAGGCTCTCAGAATCTCCTCAGCTTCTTCCCTGTGGGACTACAGTCCTCTGGTGTGCCCTCTGAGGGGAATGTAGTGAATATATTATTTTTAGCCAGAGATGTTGGCAAGAAATGTTCCCCAAAGGTAACTGACTACCAATTGTGGACAGTAATGCTCCACAGAGTTTTACTGTGGCAGACAGGGCAGGGTTCATTGTTTAATTATCACCAAGGATTGCTTTTTCCCATCCCTCGAATCTGTACCCCACAAGGAATGTACCATTCAGAGGCACTCACACTGAGTTAAAGAGGTATGCTCGTCCTTGACTTCCTTGGAATGACTGAAATGCAAGAAAACAAATCGATAGTTAGACATCCATTTCACCTATCTGTTTGGGAAACCAACCCCAATCACAGTTAAGCATGACCTTCCAGGACTGACACAGCAAAAGGGAGTACTGAGCCAGTTAACGGTCCCGCTGGCAGATGGTGTGGGGGCGGAGAAGAGGGCGGAATTAACAGAGCCACAAAGCTCGATCTGGCCCACCGGACTGTTTTCACTAGCCCAGGTGAGAAAATGAAAAAAACCCAAAACCACTATGTCATTAAAAACTTCTTCCCTCCTGACATTGCCTGATGTAATTAATTCACCTGAGATCATTAATCCGCATTGGCGTTTCCTGGTCCCACCTGATTTCAGCCATCTGTGCTGGCCACAGCTTTCCCAGGCTGGCCCAGGCATGGAAACCACCACAAGCTCCTTCGCTTGGCCTCTTGGTCCAGCTCTACCAAAGGCAGCAAAAAAATCCCTGACCCAAGAAAAAACTATCCAACCCACACTTATCGCTTGTCATGCCTTCTAGAAGATCCTAAGTGCCATGACAGTTTACAATCCTAAATGGGAGCACAGGAGCTCTTTTGAGATGTAAGCAACTTGATCTCTGCATCACAGAAATGCTCATGAAGCAGCAATTCCACTTTAACCTCTAGCTTACATATTAGTTTCTTTCTTTTGGCTGGAGGGCGGCAGGGAACAGGAGAAACAGGAGCCAGAGCCTGCCATGCAATCTGGCGTCTGCTTCCATTAACACGGGCCCTGTCCATGTTTTCCTTCTCTGGTTACACTGAGAAGTCGGCCTGACATGAGCCAGCCATGTTCTGCACTGCCGCCTGCATTTTTAATGTGGTCTAACAACAGTGTCCTGAATTTAGTATCTTAGTCTGCTCTGAAAACCAACCAACAAACAAGGAGATGAGTGGCTAACAGATGACCAGAGGGTAGGTGAGCACCAGATAGGACTCAGATCAGCACGCGAGACAATCATTTTTGTCAGATGTGCAGGACGTCAGGGATCAGTGCTGCCAGCCAGTGTGAAAGACAAAATTCTTTTTTTTTTTTTTTTTTTTTTTAGATGGAGTCTTGCTCTGTCATCCAGACCAGAGTGCAGTTGCGCGATCTTGGCTCACTGCACCTCCATCTCCTGAGTTCAAGCGAGTGTCCTGCCTCCGCCTCCTGAGTAGCTGGGACCACAGGTGTGCACCACAACACCCGGCTAATTTTTGTATTTTTAGTAGAGACAGGGTTTCACCATGTTGGCCAGACTGGTCTTCAACTCCTGACCTTGGTGATCCACCCGCCTCGGCCTCCCAAAGTACTGGGATTACAGGTGTGAGCCACCACACCCAGCCAACAAACTTCTTTACTTGTGGAAAAACTGCCTCTGGGGCAGCTGGATTGTTGGTTGCCTCCAACATTCAAATACACCAGACACCTTCACTCCCAGGTGCATCTGCAAGGGGCAGGCAGATATTCCCCAGCTGGTGCCCAGACCCAAACCAATTCTCTCCTTTTTGGGGTCTTGAAACATCCCTGGGGAATATAGCAGCTTCCAGGCTACAACTGAGCAGCTATGAGTGTCAAAGCCTCAAAACCTGGAACCTGGAAGTCCATGCTGAGTGTTTGGATAAGACAATGTCCCAGCGACACAGGTCTAGACCTGGCCACACTGTTCAATCCTGGAGCACAAACACCACTCCAGGGCTTCATGACCTGGCCATGCCACCTCTCCTGCCTCTTCTCTTGCTACCTCCCCATTATGTCCTTCACTCCAGTCAGGCCAAACCACAGGCAATTCCTGGAAGTTGCATTGCACTAACTTTGCCCATGAAGTTCCCTCTGATGGGGAGGCTCTTCCACCTGACCCAATAAGCCTCAGCTCAGCTCCCCTCTTTCATTAAGCTTTCCCTAAACTCCCCAGAAAAAGGCACCCAATGATACTCATGTTCTAGACTCTTCATGTTCCCTGCATTTCCTTTTTCTTTCTTTCCTTTTTTTTTTCCCCCAAGAGAGTCCCACTCTGTCACCCAGGCTGGAGTGCAGTGGTGTGACCATGACTCACTGTAGCCTCCACCTTCTGGGCTCAAGCGATCCTCCTGCCTGAGCCTCCAGAGTAACTGGGACCACAGGTGCATACCACCATAACCAGCTATTTAAAAAAAAAAAAATTTATAGAGACAGGGTCTTGCCATGTTGCCCAGGCTGGTCTTGAACTCCTAGGCTTAAACAATCCGCCTGCCTCAGCTTTCCAAAGTGCTGGGATTACAGGCATGAGCCACCGCACCCGGCCTGTTTTCCTTTGCCTTAGCACTAGCATCCTGGATTGAAATCATCTGTTTATTTATCTCACTCCCTCAGTAGACTGTGAGCTCCCTGAAGGTGTGCGCCATGTCTTCAATCTCTCTCTGAATGCCAAACACATAAGAATGTGCATCTGGCACACAGTAGTCATTTATTAAATATTCTGAGTCAACTAAATTGTCTCTAGTTTTTTTTGTTTTCTATAAACAACTTTTTTGAACTATAAGTGACATAATAAACGGTGTATATTTGAAGTGTACTATTGGATGAGTTTTGATATCTGTATATACCTGTGAAAACATCACCACAATAAAGATTAAACTACCCATGACACCCAAACATCTCCTCATATCCCTCTGAATCCTCCCCTCCTCATCCTCTTACCACTTATAGATCCATAGGCGATTACAGCTTTCTGTCACTATAATTTGTATTTTCTGGAATCTTTTTTTGAGACAAGGTCTCGCTCTGTCACCCAGGCTGGAGTGTAAAGGCACGATCATGGCTCACTGCAGCCTTGATCTCCTGGGCTCAAGTGATCCTTCTGCCTCAACCTCCTGAGTAGCTGGGACTACAGGGGCGCACCACCATGCCTGGCTAATTTTGGATTTTTTGTAGAGACGGAATCTTGCCATGTTGCCCAGGCTGGTCTCAAACTCCTGAGCTCAAGCAATCCACCCAATCGGCCTGCCTTGGCCTCCCAAAGTGCTGGGATTACAGATGTGAGTCACTGCGTCCAGTCTAGAATTTTTTAAATAAATGAAATGTATTTTCTTTTACAGTGTATATGTGTTTGTCTGACTTTTTTCACTCAGCACAATTCTTTTAGGATTCATTCATGTTGAACATATCAACAATTTATTCCCTTTTTGTTGCTGAGTAGTACTCTATTCTATGGATATTATAGTTCATTTCTTTTTGGTTTGGTTTTAATAAGAGATTTGAACTAGCTGACCTTCAAATCCCCTTCTAGCTTCAAAATTATATTCTCTTATTATTCCATGGTCCTAAGTTACAGGTAATTTGGAATGTCATCCTCTAAGAAACATTTGCTAAGACCTTCAAGTTCGGAGCTTAGAAGAAGGTGGCTACTGGGAAACAAATCCCAGAAGAAAGCAGACAGGAAAGTAACAGGAAGCAACAGAGCTTCACCATTAATGACAGAGAAAGACTTTGAAGAATGCATTCACTTCTTTCTCACTCCTAGATCACTGACTCTCTGCCAGACACAATTAGAAATACAGGGAGACAGGCAACATTGTGAGACTTACCAGGGCAGTGGTATCCCAGCAAGGTGTGCAAGACAAACCCCCAGACAACCCTTTTCTCCAGGGCAGGGAGAAAATACTAGCTCATTTTATACATTTTATCTTTAAAAAATAAGTTTTGCTAAACAGTTACAATACATGGATTGCCACTAGGACCTTCCCTGGACTGGTATGTGTCCTGTATGTATAGGTATCTGGAAGAAAGGGGCTCCACTGTGGGGGTTAGAGGTGACAAAGGTGTTCTTTTTCTGTCTCTGCTTTCAGCGTATTGTGAATACTGTTGTTTCTGTGAATAAGGCCAATCTTATTTTTTTAAAAAACACGATTTTAAATAGCAGGGTCTTTGCAATGTTTTGCATATGAGATGAAGTACTACAAAGGGGTTCACTTATGGTAAAGTACCTGAAACCTATGCTACAGAGACAACTTGTTTTTGTCAATATTTTGTGGCTAAAAAATGATATGCTTGTACAAAATTAATTTGAAATGGAGGATATTCAGAAGAAAGTCTTTGTGACCTTGTGTTAGAAGAGGTTCTTAGATACACCAGAAACACAATCCATAAAAGAGAAAAAAACTGATAAACTGAACTTCATCAGAATCAGTCCACATTAGAATGGTTAAATTTTTGTTCTTTAACTGACAAAACCAAGTGTTGGCATGAATGTGTAGCAACTGGAAGTCTCAAACATTGCAAAATGGTACAGCAACTTTGGAAACGAGTCTGGCAATTTCATTTACCCAAGTGAAACGAAAGCCTATGTTTATACAAAAACCTATATGAGAGTGTTTTTCACAGCTTAATTCATTATCGCCCCAAACTGGAAACAACCTAAATGTCTCAAATGGTGACCGGATAAATAGATTGGTATATCCATATACTACTACTCTGTAATAAAGAGGAACAAACTATTGATATACAGAACAACACGGATGAATCTGAAATACATTATGCTAAGAAGATCGGTGGCTGCTAGAGGTTATGGGTAAAAAGAATGTTTAACTATAAGAGTTAGTAAGAGATATGGAATTGTTCTGTTATCTTGGTAACAGAAGAATGGTACTCTTAGGCCCTATAACAAAAGAAAGTCTTATAATCACTATTAGACCATATATATATATATATATATATATATATATATATATATATATTTTTTTTTTTTTTTTTTTTTTTTTTTTTTTTTTTTTGAGACAGAGTCTTGCTCTGTCACCCAGGCTGGAGTGCAAGCTCCACCTCCCAGGCTCATACCATTCTCCTGCCTCAGCCTCCCGAGTAGCTGGGACTACAGGCACCCACCACCACGCCCAGCTAATTTTTTGTATTTTTAGTGGACACGGGGTTTCACCGTGTTAGCCAGGATGGTCTCAATCTCCTGACCTCATGATCCACCCGCCTTGGCCTCCCAAAGTGCTGCGATTACAGGCGTGAGCCACCACGCCCGGCCTAGACTATGTATTTATAAGACTGTAAGACTAAATAGACTATAAGACTCCAAGGTCCTAAGACTTATCTATGTTAAAACTCGTATGACTATTCACCAAAGAGTGAATTTTACTGTATGTAAATATAAAAATAAAATTTTTAAAATTCAATAAATTTGTAAAATAATAATCCATTTCTAAAATCTATGCCTGCACACTCAATTCCTATATCTATACAATTAGGAATTGTAAGCAATTCCCTAATCTATTTAAAACTATTCCAAACAAAGAGTTTCAGAGGGGTTTGAACCCTTGTTCATTTTCATATTTTTAAATTCTCTTTTTAAAATTATATTTGTGAAGGATTTTTCCGAAATATTGTAAGAACACTTTTCAGTGCTAGGCGTGATGGCTCATGCCTATAATCCCAGCACTTTGGGAGGCCGAGGCAGGAGGACCACTTGAGGTCAGGAGTTTGAGACCAGCCTGGTCAACACAGTGAGACCTCATCTCTACAGAAAAAACCCAAAACCAAAACCAAAAAACCACTTTTCCTAAGAGTTTTCAAGAACAACCCTCTCATTAGAATACGTCTTTTGAATTACTGCATCAGAAAGTGATGAACCAAGATTTTTTTTAAAGGAGTATATCCAATTGCATATACCTTCAATAAAATTTAAAACCATTTTCTAATTTTTCTTTCATCCATTTAAATTATACAAATGTTCATTAAAAATTGTATGCTTACAATGTACATATTACATGGCAGCACACATATGTAATTCATAAATAAGTACATATATATTAGGAGTTTATGCTCAAACATTTTACTGATAGGGGTATGTCATTTTAAAAGTGTGAAGGCCAATGTTCTGGGGGTTTCTGTCTGCTTCCAGGCTGGGCCTAAGAGTCACTTTCTCTGGCCTGACACAGATTAGAATTCCTAGAGAGAGGCGGGGTGGAGGATGGCACGTGGCAGAGCAGAGAAATGCCAGCCAGGCCCTAAGGCACCTCCAAGGGCCCATGGCTTCTTCCAGGCCTGTTTTGAGAGAGTCTGCGGGGAGAGGCCCACATGTACAAAGGGTACTGAACCCCCTCAGGGCTGTCCTGGTGGCCATAGCCACTCAGGTTCCCTTGAGGAGCAGTATCTATGAACCTCTGTTTCCTCGGCCTGGCACTCGGGATCAGCTGTGTTTTTTGAGGCAGAGTTCTGGAAGACTTTTCCATCATGGGTTCCATTCTGGGGCCCCTGCCAAGTCAACATTTATGATGAGAAAAACAGCCATGGAGAACAACAGGCATCTTGCAGATAGACAAGAATAGCCCCAGCTGGGCTGCTGGATCCTGTGGGGCCCAGCCCAGCCTGGCACAACCTGGCACGGCCTGGAGAGAGGGTGGTACCGAAGGTGGGGAGACTGAAAGGAAGTTAAGGAAGCAATTAGAATAAAGCAAACAGAATTTCAGACCAGGAGATGCCAAACAGACTGTCAGACACATTTGTTTGCTGTCATTACTGCCAGGCAACAAGGCGGCTCTTTTCCATGTTGTGTATCAACCAAGGCTGGTGTGCAGGCCTCCAGGAAAGGGTTTTTGTTTTGTTTTTTAAGCCACACAAAACTTTTCTTCTGTCCTTTAAAGTAAAGTAATAGTTCCAGGCCCAGCCCTTCCAGCCAGCTCAAAGGAACAGAAAGGGCTTTGAGTTTCCTGTTTAGTAGCCAAAACCACGGATTTTGGGCCCCTTTGCAAGTCTGGAAGGCAGAAACTCCTTTTAAAAGTAGGAGAACCACTGAAAAATGAATACTCTGGATTGAAGCAGGAGGCAGCAACAGAGCAAATGTGTGAGTTTCTTCCCCCTGGTGATAGATACAGGTCCTCACCTTGGAGTCCTATTCACTTGAACAGACTTCTCCCTAAATGAAGGGTCTAGCAGAGGAGCAGAGCCTCTCAAACTTCAGCCCCCTTCTCTGTCTAGGAAGATCAACCATCAGCTACCAAGCATGTGCCTCAGGAGGTGCAGAGAGAGATGGGGAAAGCAGACGCCCACCTGCCACACCATCTAACATCTGGGAACTAGGTGATCCCTTGCATATCTGCACGGTGTAAGAGGATCTAGTCTTGGCATCAGAAGATTCAGGTTCAAGTCCTGGCTTTACAACTTCAACTTATTAGCTACTTGACCCTGGAAGAGTCAGTTAACCTCTGAGCTGCCACATCTTTTTCATCTGTAAGTAGAAACCATGTCCATTTCCTAGGGTTGCTGAGAAGAATAAGTGAGGTCAATGAAGCACAAAGTAAAAAGTCCCTACCTCTCCTCCTTGGCCTTTACAGGAGCCTGGAGGAGAGAGATGAAGAGGTTGACTCTAACCTACTTGGTTCTTCAAACCTCTTTCTTTGGTGACTTTGGTCTCCCTCTTTCTCTATTACGCCAAAAGGCAAGGCTTCCCCACTTTGCAATTCAATGTCTCCATTAAAATGGAGGGATGGGACTGAAGCTCCCAATGATACTTTCCAGTTACAATTTTCTGTGAATCCACCGCTTTTAAAGCACCTGGCACTTGCTTCCCCAATTTACCACTCATACACAGTGTTAACTGCACAAGCTTCAAAGAGTCATATTGCCAGGGTATGAGTCCTTGTTGTACTGTATACTAGCTATGTTACTACCTTGAACAAGCTCATTAACCTCTCTGAGCCACAATTTTCTAGTCTGTAAAACAGGCATAATAAAATAGCTCTCACTCACACCTGATTTGTGTAAAAGATAAGTTAGGGCTGGCCGTGGTGGCTCATGCTTGTAATCCTAGCACTTTGGGAGGCCAAGGAGGGCAGATCACTTGAGGTCAGGAGTTCGAGACCAGCCTGGCCAACATGGCGAAACCCCGTCTCTACTAAAAATACAAAAATTAGCTGGGCGTGGTGATGCATGCCTGTAATCCCAGCTACTTGGGAGGCTGAGGCAGGAAAATCACTTGAACCTAGGAGGCACAGGTTGTCGAGACAGCACCACTGCACTCCGGCCTGGGAGACACAGCGAGACTCCATCTCAAAAAAAAAAAAAAAAAAAAAAGAAGTTAGATACTGTTTATCAAGTGCTTCATAAACTTCAAGACTATATACTTTGTTACTGTTAGAATGTTTCTATTATGCAGCTTTAAACAAAACTCATTAGGCTGAGCGTGGTGGCTGAAGCCTGTAATCCCAGCACTTTTCCCAGCACTTTGGGAGCCTGAGGCAGGTGATCACTTGAGGTCGGGAGTTCGAGACCAGCCTGGCCAACATGACGAAACCCAGTCTCTACTGAAAATACAAAAATTAGCTGGGCGTGGTGATGCATGCCTGTAATCCCAGCTACTCGGGAGGCTGAGGCAGGAAAATCACGTGAACCCGGGAGGTAGAGGTTACAGTAAGCCGAGGTCACACCACTGCACTCTAGATTGGGTGACAGAGTGAGACCCTGTCAAAACAAAACAAAACAAAACAAAAACCCCAAACTTATTGATGTGCTGAGTTCACTCAGAAACAAAAAAAACTTACTGGTACAAACGTAAACTTGAGCTTTTAAAAATTGAGATATAATTCACATTACAAAAGAGTGTGAGATATATTCACACTCTTTTAAAGTAGACAATTCAGTGGTTCTTATATTCACAAGGTCACGCAACTATCACCACTATTTCCAGAACATTTTCACACTCCAAAAAGAAATCACACACCATTAGCAGCCAGCCTGTCTCCCGTGCCCCCAGCCTCTGGCAACCATAAATCTACTGTCGGTCTCTATGGATTTGCTCCAGGCACTATACATTTTAACTCCTTTTAGGCGTCTCAGTGAGAAGGCATCAGAAGTGTGTAGGTAGAGATACAAAGGAGGATTAGTAAAACCTTTGCCCTTGGAGTGTCGTCTAAACCCCTCCAACTCAACAGATCTCACATTCTGCAGGGAAGGGTCAGATCAGTCCTTTTTCCATTCTTTTCTCCAACCATGGTTAGGCCTGGTGAGCTTTCCTATATTGGGTCAAAGTAAGCTATAGGTTCCATTCCAAAGAGTTGGAACCCAAACAAAACAGCCCTAGATCCTGTTTAAGATTTCAGCCTTGGGGATGCATACGGAGAAAGTGAGAGGGGTGATGATAAAGAACAAAGTTAAAAACTTCCAGAATTAGAACCCGAGTGCAACTTAAAGAAGCTGTGAACATTTAGCTAAGAGGAAAGACTGAAGGGGATTTATTCCATCTTCTCTGCAGTAAGAACAAGAGGACACAGACGGAAATGAGAGAGACTTGGGTTAATTATAAAGGAAGAACTTCCTGACTCTATTCGTCTTCCACATGGGGACATAGGTCACCAGTAAAGACTAGGATAGAACAAAGCCACTGTATATGCTTATGATTTTAAAAAGACTGTCACACACCTGTCTAGGAACCTTTGAGATGGGGGTAAAAAGCCGAGGGGCAGAAGGATGGCTTTCTTAAGGCCCCTCCTCCCGTGGATTTGAGCTATGGTAGTCTCCAAGCACTCACACATTCCCACAACAGATGGAGGGAGGGGCAGGGAAGCCACTGGCTCTAAAGGAGGAAATATCTGCTGTGTGGAGTCATAAAATTCCAAGAGCATGGGAACATTCACGATGCTTGGAACTACAAAAACAAAAGGTGGTGAGGGGGCCTGGGTGCTGGTGTTTTATTGATGAAAGGGAGAGATCCAGCCAGGCACGGTGGCTCACACCTGTAGTCCCAGCACTGTGGGAGGCTAAGGTGGGTGGATCACCTGAGGTCAGGGAGTTCAAGACGAGCCTGGCCAACATGGTGAAACTCCGTCTCTACCAAAATTAGCTGGGCGTGGTGGTGTGCACTTGTAATCCCAGCTACTTGGGAGGCTGAGGCATGAGAACTGCTTGAACCTGGGAGGTGGAGGTTGCAGTGAGCTGAGATCACGCCACTGCACTCCAACCTGGGTGACAGAGTGAGAACTTGTCTCAAAAAAAAAAAAAAAGGAGGAGACTCTGGGACTTAAGCCATTTAATGATCAGACTTTCAAATTCCCTTCCTGTTGACCTACACAAACTGGGCCCTTTTAGAGTCCTTTTAGGAGTCTCAGTCACAAGGTATCAGAAGTGTTTTGGGGGAACTAAGCCACTTTCAGGGATGGGCCTAGGGAATGGGACAGAGAGAGATCCTATAAGATCTGTTGCCTCATGGTGTCGTGTTGCCTGATGTTCAAGGGAAAGGATGCCGGCTTTGGAGCCTGAGAGGGCCTGGAGCCAGCCCTCACTAGCTGTATAAACCTTGGGCCAGTCACTTCATCCTTCCGAGCCTCAGGGTTCTCTACAGAAAGGAGGAACATATTGCCGATTCAATAACGCCCTATTCCAGAGGGACGTGGTGAAGATGAAATGATTGTGTGTATAGTAAGTACCAAATGTGGCTCATAAAAAGCATTTAATAAACGTGTGCTTCCCTTCACACCAGCACAGGCTTTCAGGATTTAAAATGGGAGCTGCAAAACTAGTCTGGAAGGGCCAGGCTGTTCAGCCTGAGCACCCCAGATTCTTCCAAATCCCCCTACGGCTTAGACCCCATAAGCTCCTCTCCCACACCTCTTCCAACTGTCCTAAGAGCTTCAAATGGGGCTTTGGCAGTGTGCTGTTCTCTGCTGAACCAGGAGCAGGATAAACCTCTCCAGTCTGTGGCATGGGGTTAGAACAGCAGATGCCAAGGTAAACATGCAGCCAGTGGGAAAGCAGATGCTGCCAGCTCTCAGCATCCTGCAGAGAGGGAGTGAGGCATGGGAAGTATGCCTCGTCCAGAAGGATGGAGTGGGGGATGCCCATGATCAGATATCCCCATCCTCTACAGAAGAGAGGCCAACATGCCATCCTCACCAGGTCTGTTCAGGGAGTCTAGCTTCTGAGTTAGACACTGACGGTGGTGCCAGGATGCAAGGGCAGTCAGCCATTAAGAGCTGGGCCCTCTGCAGTTCAAATATAAGCCAGAACCTTTAGGAGGGCTGAAATATTGGAGCTCAAATGTCTCTCAAAGCCATCGGGCCCTTGAAAACAACTGTTAGAGTTAAAAAGGATAATATAAATTAATATGCCTAGGAAGAACAAATATCAATTTCCTGATTTATGTTTCAATTTGCATTCCTGATCCCAAAGCCAAATGGGCACTGGCCAATGAAAATGTTCTTATACTTCAAAGGTTGTCTATGAAGTCAGTGGGCAAAACCTACCGACTCCCAAAGTAAGACTTCCTTTGTAACCAATCTAGGCAAAAAGGCCTGAGAAAGCCACCCTCCACAATGGAAGCCACATGCTACAGAAGGGATTGCTTTCAAAATATTTTCTTTCTTTCCTTTTTCTTTGTTTTTTTTTTTTTTTTTTTTTTTTTTGAGACAGTGTGTTGCTCTTGTCACTCAGGTTGGAGTGCAGTGGTGCCATCTCTGCTCACTGCAACTTCTGCCTCCCAGGTTCAAGTGATTTTCCTGCCTCAGCCTCCCAAGCAGCTGGGAGTACAGGCGCCCACCACCACGCCTGACTATTTTCTAATAAGCAATCACTACAGTGAAATTAGAGTTTGTAAATGAGACTGAGGTGGCTCATAAAAATGAGTTAGAAATTATGAAATAACAGTCATGGCTCACACTCATATGATGACTACCATGTACTAGGGCAGGATTCAAACAGTAACTCAAAGTGAAGTAACTTAATCCTCTCAACAAAAAACAACGAAAACCAGGTGGGTATAATCATTCTTCCCACCTTACAGATGAGAAAAGTACGGAGAAGAGAGGCTAGGAAATATGCCTAAGGTCAAACTATCTGGCCGGACATGGTGGCTCACACCTGTAATCCCAGCACTTTGGGAGGCCAAGGCAGGTGGATCACCTGAGGTCAGGAGTTCCAGACCAGTCTGCCAAAATGGTGAAACCCCGTCTCTATCAAAAATACAAAAATTAGCCGGATGTGGTGGCGGGTGCCTGTAATCCAGCTACTAGGGAGGTTGAGGCAGGAGAATCACTTGAACCTGGGAGGCAGAGATTGCAGTGAGCCCAGATCACGCTATTGCATGCCAGCCTGGGCGACAGAGAGAGACTCCATCTCAAAACAACAACAACAACAAACCCACAATCAATAAATGATGACAGAGGTCCAGGCAGTCTGGCTCTAAAGTCTAGGGAAGAATGAAGATGGGGTCATGAAGGTGTCATCCCAATGACTTCCTAAAAAGAAGGGAGCCTAAACAGAATGAGACTAAAACTGACAGGTATATAGGATGTCAGAATATGCAAAACACTTTCACATGTGAACTGATAAAACCTCCAAGACAGAGGAGGAAACTGAAGCCTAGAGCTGTTAAACTTCCCCAGTTTCACACAGCTTGTAAGTCAAGGTCAGAACTTTAAACCCACAGCTTTTGACTCTAAGTCCCAAAATTTTTCTAGAGGGTATTCACTGGAAAAGTCTGTCTCTCTGATGAAGGAGGATGGCTCACTCTGTTAGAACTTATGAAAATCTCTTAGGCTATTCAAATTTCTCTGCTCTGATTCCATATTGACTTAGCAATCGCCTAAATTTAATTCTCTCGCTCAAGTGGGTTTACCTTCAACAAAGACAACATACAGTCCAAGCTTTCAGGATTATCTGCTCCACTGTAAATTAATGAATTAGAATTGCAGTTTCCAAATTAATTTCCTGTGAGTTGTGTTACTGTGAATCACTTCACCAGAGCTTGATCACTCGAGTGAACGGATAATATTAAATTTGTAGACCTGCAATGCTTAAGGCTGTCTGAGGACCACCGAGGGAACACCCTCTGAGTCCCAGCCTAAAAACAGCTTTTTCATCTCAAGACTGAATGAATGATTCTAATTTAAAATCTCTTGGAAACAAATAAGTAAAAGCTAAGAAACTCTAAATCCCTTCTTGCTTTGGCACCTGGACCACATAGCAAAGAACTAGCAAAGAATACTGAAGAATGCTTCAGGAGTTGCAAAGAGAAATATTTAAGTAATTACAGGCCACTGGAATCTCATGCAGTGGGCTGTAGTTTGGGTACAGTGAAGGATCTCAAAGGAAAACATACATACATGACTTTATCCAGTTTTAAATACACTCACAGACACTGGGATTTGAAAGACCCCTCCCTATGCGCAAAGGTCAACCATGCACCTGAAGCATGGCTCTCCCCCACATTTCTACCAAACCTCTCCTTGAATACTTTCAGGGGCAGAGAACTCACTACCTCCAGAGGAAGCCCATTCTACTGCCAATCACTCTGACAATGCCAAAATTCCTTATGTGAGCTGAGCTCTTTCTCCTTAGAGCTTCCTGATTCCTCCATCTTTAGATCCTTGGCACTGTAACACTTCAGGTCATAGATTTAAAGCTCTTATCTCTCCCACATCAGGTTTTCCTTCTATGGGCTAAACTTCTCCCAGTTTAGTAGCTTGGTAGAATGAAGAATTATGTAGTTGGATAAACTGACTAGGTTCAGTTCCCAGTTCTAGCACTTCCTCTGCCACGTACTCTTGGTTTGTTCGGCTTTCGGGTCAAAAGTTCCTCATCTGTGAAATGGGATAACAATATCCACCTTCTTCCTACCGGTCCCTTCAAATTTTCCCTATGTGGCCTGGTCTGACCATGTTCACTATTGTTTTCTACACCTTTTTCATTTCATACTAAAAGGTGTTCCCTAGACACTTCCTACACTTTCCTTCTAATGTTAATCAAAGCACCAGGCCTTACTGAAACAATTAATTGGGCTTCAGGTTACATGCACAAACCGAAGTACATTGTGACTGTCCCTGCTGTGGCAGTTGTCCAACATCAGACTTTCCTCTGGTGAGCGCCATTAGCATATATCCACCTTCAGCCTCTCTATTCCAACCCTCTGGGACTGGATTCAAGAGTAGAGTTATGTGAAACAGTATCAAGGAAGAGACAGTGTTACTTGAAAGGGTCATGGTGGTAAGAATTATGGTGGGGACTGAAGAACTCCTAGCCAAAGAGCCTTATGAAAGAGACATGGGCATATAATTATTAGAAGGATTTGAGCATAGGGTGCTTGCCAAAATGCAAGAGCACACACTGATGCTTCTTGGTATTCCCTCTAGAAATGGAACATAACTGGGTCAGAATAACCAGACTACCCACTCCAACCCTGCCAGGCAAGGCTAGATCATCTGCCTTCAACTAGGATGGTGTCCTTAGCTAGAACCCCGATACTCTGAACTGGGATTGCATCATCTGTGAAATGAAGGGATTGAGCAAGGTCTCTTACAAGGGTGAACATTCTGTGAGTCCATATTCTCAAGAGAATAGATGCCTCGCATATTAAATGAACATTTCTGACTCAGACTTCTCTTGTGTTTTCAAACTTCCTGTTTATCTGCGTAAAAAGCAAGTCTTTTCTGCTCATCAGATGACCGACCTTATCTGATAATTCCTTAAGACTCCCATCCTTAGACATAGAAACATAAATCCCTTCCACTTATTTGGGTGCTCAATCTTTCTTGGCCAACGCAAGTGCCTGACTTACTGTGAAATATCAAGCATTGGAAAATCATCTCCTGAGCAAAACAGCTTTGAGTCCCACTAAAGCGATCTCTGATGGTAAAAAAAATTACAGGGAAACCCAAGTGTCCAACAAGAAGGGAGTGACTCAGAATGTTGTGATAGGGCCACATGAAGAAATATTGTGTCTCCATGATGATCAATCAACAAATATCTAATGAGCAGCCATGTCCGGAGCCTTGCTGGGCACCGCAGAGAGTATATAGCTAGTCCATCTAGCCACCTAGAAAACGGGACTAAAATACATTAAGTCTAAAGCAGTATAAATCGCGGCAATAAATTATGGCTGTTAAAGGAGTTCAGAGAAGATGGATGGGACAGGAGGAGATGAGAGCGCTGTAGGAGGGCTGATCACAGCAGAGGGCTTTCATGAAGAGGAAGTAAGGTCAAAGAGGCTGTGAGGCCTTGAAAGCCAGCAGAAGCCCCCGGCAACCTACTCCACCTATCATGATTAAGCAGCTGGAAGTGCATCTGTTTTGCTGCTAAGGACTCCTCAGTACAGTCCAGCTACATCCCCATCTCTTTCCTACGGAGAATAACAACTCGAGGAGAAATCAATGGTGGCCCTGAGATGTTTGCAACATATAATAATAAAAATAGGCTGGGCACAGCAGCTCACGCCTGTAATCCCAGCACTTTGGGAGGCTGAGGCAGGTGGATCACGAGGTCAGTTCAAGACCAGCCTGGCCAACACGGTGAAACCCTGTCTCTACTAAAAATACAAATTACCTGTGTGTGGTGGCACACGCCTGTAATCCCAGCTACTCAGGAGGCTGAGGCAGGAGAATCACTTGAGCCTGGGAGGCAGAGGTTGCAGTGAGCCGAGACCATGCCATTGCACTCCAGACTGGGCAACAGAGCCCATGTCAAAAAATTAAAATAATAATAACAACACTACACTGTATGTCCCATGTTCTGATACTGCCTCGGGGCATTGTCATAAGCACTATTTACTTTAACTTCTCACAACCACCTTGGGTATGAGGAAAGGCAACAGTGGATGGGGACAGAGTCAGTCCTAGGACACACATCTTACAAGGCTCCTGCCTCTCTTAGGCATCTGCTTTGTGTGGTGAGCATTGTCTATTGTGCCCACATCTAAACACAGGGCATTCTTATCACTCTTCAATGCACAAATATTTCCTTACTGAAGGGAGCGGAGAGGGTGTGGGATCCTTAGCAGCACTGGGCAGTAAATCTGAAAGCAGAACTTGTTAGTTTCTAAACAAGGACCAGCCGGTTAGACCACAGAGTGGGTGTTTCCATGCAAATTCCAGCACTTTCATGTTGCTCCATGAACTGAGCCCAGCCAGGACAGCAAGCCATGCTTTTTGTATTTTACTTTTTTGCAACCAGCTAAGGAGTCTTTGATTGGGCCTAGAGAGGGACTCAATTAGCATCATGGAAACAGAGGAGATTTCAGAAAGGAAAGGTCAGCCACAAGCCTAGCATTTGCTATCAGCCATCTGCCAAGCAGGAAGTGCTACTCAGATCTATTTTTAATCATCTTCCCCAGGCTAGGGCTTCTGGGAAAATTCAGAGGCCAGGGTTATTCCAAGACAAACATTTAATTGCTACCTTTCTGTACACATTTTAAAACAGCCTCTGGACACTCAAGACCAACTTATACACAGAGGCCCAGTTTCTGGGTTCTGTCACTCTGGTACCTACATCCAAGGTTATCTTTGGAAGCCATGATGGGGGACCTCTCCTTGGGGACTGTCTGGGATATCAAGTACTCCACATAATGTAATAATTCCTATAGCCAGCAGGTTTCAGATACTTGGTTACAAGTGACAGGAAGAGAGGAGGAGGTGGGAATTCAGGTCCAAGAGTTCATGTTCATTCCCCAAAGAAGTGAGACCAGTGAAGTGAACTGTGCAAACTTCCTCGTCACTCCCATATTCATTTTAAGCACATTTATCACTTTAGAAAGGTAAATTAAAACCAGTTCATCCAGGCAGTAATCTCATTTGTTACTAAAGATATTGACTGGCTAAAGAAACAGGAGAGGTTTCATCTTAATTCCCAAGGCCCCAGTCTGTGCTGTGGCTGGTGCATCCAGGCATGAGAACATTCTGTCCACTGGCTCCTTCTCCCTCCTGTCTCGCGGCAGGGCTATGTCTCAGTTCAACCCAGCCCAAGGAATGAAACATCTCTGAGAGGTCTGGACAGGGAGTCTGGCACAGCCAGGGCAGACTCTGCAGAGACAGAGCCTGGCTCAGGCAGCCCCTGCATTCTCCAGCTCACACAAACACAGAGTTTGCTTGCCTCTCAACACTTACAAACTTTCAGCCTCCAATTTCCACCCCAAGGTAAAGCCGGAGCATATGTACGATTGTGCCCCAGCCAAGCCATGTTCCACCTGCCACTAAAGAAGTGGAGGATTGGGGACAGGCAGCTGGTCACCACCCAGGGCCTGCCCCATCCAACACGATACTGGGGAGCTGCAGAGCCCACTATGCCTGCAGACAAAGGGGTCTGCTCAGCATTCTGCCCACCTCCGACCTTCCCCCTTCCCTACTGTTAGAAGCTTATCTGTCTGCAAGCAGCCGGTGGGAAAGCTAAGCCGAAAGGGCACCTTGGCCATGGGATCTTTGCCTAAGGATGTGAAACAGGAGACTGGGTATTTGGGGCAACTTAACACCAGCCAGAGCCCAGCCAGCAGGCCAGGGAGGAAGGGACCGACTAGACAGGCCTGTGCTTCACAGGAGCTCTAACTCCCTCGGCTGGGGGCTGGAATCCCTCCTCCCAGTGTGCGGAACTCTACTCTAGTAAGGTGGGGGCACACATGCTCCTGGGGAAAATAAAACAAAAACAAAAAAACAAAAAAGGGCCACTGCACAGGGTCACTCCCCCTGACCCAGTTGGACTACACATTAATTGGGGCTTCTGAGCCCTGCTGACTCTTGAGTTCCTCTTGTCTGGTTTCAGCAGAGAAGGGAGTTAATCAGCAAACAGCTTAAGGAAGGATAACTCTCTGCCCCTGCTGAGGGCCACCTGTGCCCCTCCTCTGTGTGCCATGGCTCGATGGGCCAGCAAACCCTATTGAAACAAACAGCAAAGAAACAAGCCGAAGCAATCTGGGGTGCCATGTTTGGTCCCAGTGTAAGACGCCAGGAACAGGGGGTTACCTGGAGATTTCAAAGCGAGGCAGACAGTCTGAGAAGGACCAATGGAAGGGCTTGTGTTGGGTTCCTCTGTTTAGTCAAAGCAAGAAATAGGTTGTGTGATACAGCACTTAATGGTAGACCCTGAGATCAGGCCTGAATTTACATTCTAGCCTGCCTGGCCTGAGGACCAGTGAAAACCAGAATATATGACAGACCGTTTTGCTGCTATTTCATTTGTTCTGACCTGATAATAAAAATCAGAATCATTAAAAAATAAAAATAAAAATTCTGGCTGGGCGCAGTGGCTCCCACCTGTAATCCCAGCACTTTGGGAGGCCGAGGCGGGCGGATCACGAGGTCAGGAGATCAAGACCATCCTGGCTAACACAGTGAAACCCCGTCTCTACTAAAAAATACAAAAAATTAGCCGGGCATGGTGGCAGGCGCCTGTAGTCCCAGCTATTCAGGAGGCTGAGGCTGAGGCTGGAGAATGGCGTGAACCCAGGAGGCAGAGCTTGCAGTGAGCCCAGATCGCGCCACTGCACTCCAGCCCAGGCGACAGAGCGAGACTCCGTCTCAAAAAGAAAAAAAGAAAAAAATTCTGGTTCTGCCATTTCCTAGCTGGGTCTCCTTGGTCAACTCAATCTGTCTGAGCCTCACATTCCTCATCTAAAAATGGAGACAACAGTAGTACATCTCTCTTTGGATTAGTCTGAGGCAAAAGACATGATTCACATATAACATGCCTAGCACAATGCCTGCCCCTTAGTAGACACCCAGTAAAATGATGGCTATTGTTAGGATAATTAAAAGAAGGCCTCCAAAGAGCTGTTTCCTTTTTCAAATAAAGGTCAGTCAAAACCACTCTTTGGACCTCCAGGGAACTACTACAAGTGTAAAGTGCTGGATGGCAGGCAGCGGACATTAGGGACAGCACGTGTATCTTCCAAGTACTGAGAACGCTTGTCCTAGAGCTGTGGCTCCCAAATATTAGTACTGGTTACATCAGACCGGGACAGGGATACTCGTTAAAATACAGATCCCCAGTGGGTCTGGGACTAGGGTCAGGCGAGCCAGAAGGCTGGAACATGAAATTTAAGGAGGCACTGTTTGTGGGGTGCTGACCCTGTACTGTACAACTCTGAGAGTGAGTGTCTCCTTAAATCTTGTGTCCTAGGTGACCTGCTTCCCTCGGCCATCAGGGCCCTGATTCCACAACACTCTCAGACCCTCAGAAAAGGAATCTGTGAGGTGGGGTCTGGCAATCTGCCTTTGTATCTCAGGTGATTCTGATGTACTGTCAGATTTGGGAATCACTGTCCAAGAATCCCCATTTTCCAATGCCTGTTTCAATGATTCTCTAAATACATAAAGACTGCAGAAGCTACTTATTTCCACCTTCACTTGGCCGTATTCCAAACCTCATGGCTACACCAAAGCCACTGGAATTCTGCAACTGAATTCTCTCTTTAAATTTAGAGAAAAACTCATCAACAGGGAGTTGCAATTGCCCGCTTTCAATGATTTGGGGAGCCTTACTCAAGAAGCCAGGAGTGTCAGATGAGACAGAGGGCCCAGGACCTGCAAACCCCCAGACCTCCATGAACTAACAAAGGCCCTCTTCTTAGAGTTATGACTGCCTGCTGTTTGCCAGTGATCTACCTGCTTGCTATTTAGCTGAAGGCACCACCAAGGAGGGACCCAGCCTGACTATTTTTAAACAGCTATGGCATGTTATCAATGCCCACTACTCCACAACATCAACATTGTATAATCACACAAAGCTCAAGGATACATGGTTTACAGAAGCTAAAGAAGTTGATTTTCCAAAATAGGCTATGTTTTATTCTCATCCAATCTCAATAAAATCCTATCACTCCTTTGCTTAAAACCTTTTAGCAGCTCCTCACAGCATCCAGAACTCTGTCTAAACTCCTTAGTTTGGCCTTCTAGGCCTTGCATGATCCACCCTGACCTGCTTCCCTAAAGCACAGACTCCCCATCTGTCTTCCCTGTGGTCCCTGGACTTGGCCTCGTGTCATGTTTCTCTGTCTCTGCTCAGAATGGACTCCTCTTGTCTTCGTCTTCTTGTCCACTTAGTAAATGCTTCTAAACACTCATCTTAGTAAACATTCATCCTGCTCTTTACCCTCATAACATCTGGAACAATCACTTACAGTGAAACAATGACTGTGTTTCACTACATTTTATCACTGTTTATCTATTTGCCTTCCCCATTAGATCATAAGCTACTTAAGGGCAAGAATTCCAGGCAAGTGCACGGTTCACGCCTGCAATCCCAGCACTTTGGCAGGCCAAGGCGGGCTGATCACTTGAGCCCAGGAATTTTAGACCACCCTGGGCAATATGGAGAAACCTCATCTCTACAAAAAATAGAAAAATTAGCCGGACATGGTGGCGCATGTCTGTAGTCCCAGCTACTCAGGAGACTAAGGTGAAAAGATCATCTGAGCCTGGGAAGTTGTGGCTGCAGTGAGTTGTGATCATGCCTCTGTACTCTAGCCTGGGCAACAGAGTGAGACTCTGTCTCAAAAAAAAAAGAGAATTTCATCCATTTCTGTATTTGTATCCATTTCTGTATCCCCAGTGCTTCATACAGTAGGATTTAATATATGCAGGGTGATGAGGGAGGTTAAGTGACTTGCTCAATGCCACACTGAAAATTTAGCACAAAGCCAGGTCTGGAGCAGAGGTGGCTTGACCCTCATTCAAGGCTTTTCAAATGGTGCCACAGACTCTCCTCAGCAGGGCCCCACACTGTCTTCCCATTACAGTGATGACACTGTAGGAAACTATGTGCCCTATCTGGCTTGATCACCTTGTAACCTATGGTGGGAACCTGTGGGTGCTAGACGGCTGGGGCTGAAGTCTGGCCTATGGAATAGAATTCTCACCAGGGTGTCAATTAAGACCTTGTCAATTAGCACAGTGCCTCAACCCCTACACTCTTCATACAAGCCACCATGCTGGTTTGAGATTCCTCTTGAAATCACAGAAACCTATTTCTCCAACACCCATTTCACAACAGTCATTCTAATCATCTTACCTAGGGTTAAGTAAACCAGTCCAAGGGCCTAATTGGGCCTTTCACCTGTTTTGCAAATAAAGTTTTTCTGGAAAACATCCATGCTCATTTGTTTATATATTCTCTGTGGCTGCAGATTTGAGTGGAGACCCTATGTCCAGCAAAGCGTAAAATACTATCTGGCCTTTATAGAAAAAGTTTTGCAGACCTTTGGATCTAGCCCAAAAAACAGGGAATCAAGACTGCAAACAGCCCCTCCCTTCTACCAAGGGACTGGCTGCCCCTACTCTGGAAGTTAGTGAACCAACTGGCTTTTGAATGAAGTCATTTCTTTTTTTAGCCCTGGTTACAGGCCTGGGATCCAGGAGGAGATTTTGCCTGTCAGAGGCACACAGGGACCTGCAACACCTAGCACATGGCCTGGCACATAATGGCACTCAATTAATGTTTACTGAATAAATAAACAAAGACATGAGAAATCAGCCAGGCTGAGCCTCGAACAAAAGTCCATACTCCTCCTGTCAGTTTCAAGGTGGCCAGTCACACAGGTACCTGGCAGCAGCCGGGTGACCTAGATTTGTCAGACCTTATCTTATTGGCTTTCCTTTCTCGTGTATTTACCCAGCACCTGCCCCCACGATGCTCAGAGCAGGTTGGCCTCTTGTTTTTATAGAGAAAGAGATGGACAGGGAGGAACTCTCCTCCCACACAGACACACTTTGTGTTTTTTCTTTTTTTCTCCCGCTGCGGGAAGAATCAAGAAATATGGGGGCTTCGAGCTTCAAAAAGCTCCATGAAGTCTAGTTTCACTGGCTTCCTCTCTCCTCAGGCTTCCTAGGTGAATGTTTCTGGCATGAACCTTAACGGCCCTCTCAGAGTTGTACCTGTCGTTTGGAACATTTGGCATCTGAAGGGGAAAGGCCAGCTGTGGATAAAGCTGGCAGCTTTCAGAAGGTCAGGAATGTAAACAAAGCAGCCCCCACCCAGTGGGGAGAGGCCTGGTCCTGAGAATACAGACATTCCTCCAAAGATGCATCAGAGAACAAGGGGCTGCCCGACTCGGCTGGGCTAGCTCAGGCCGACTCTGCAGGGGAGGACAGGGACCATCAGGGAAACAAAAGGCACTTCAGCCTCTCATGAAAATTAGGCAAACTGAATGGAAAGCACTATGGAAATGCTGGTTTTTCAGCTGCCCCGGATAACCTTAGGGGCCAGGCTCAGGAAGGAGATCCTTGTTGCTGCTGCCACCAACCGCTTTTTCAGGTGCTGGGTCTTCCAGGAACCAAAGGGTACCGTGTGACAGGCTCAGTGAAGGCAAAGCTTGCATCTGTTTGCCACTGTAATTCCCAGGGTCTAACACGTAAGAGGAGCTCACACAATGTGGAATAAATGACAGGGCCCTCTGCAGGAGGGTTTGCTCAGGGATTTTTTGTTTTGGTGAGGAAACACTTTTCTGTTTCCTCATTTATCTGCTGGGACGCTAAGGTCACAGTTAGCTTCCCAACAGATAAATGAGGAAACAGAAAATTGCTCTTGGTGGAGCCAACCCTAACAAGAAGGAAAAGGAGCTCCTGGGCCCCCAAAGATAGAGAATTTTCCTTTTGATGATCATAATTTACCCCTTCAAAGACCCAAAGGTGTCAGGGGCTAAAGGGGAGGGGAGAACTAGTGCCACCTGCTCCACCTCTTGACATCACTGTAGTCTGGAGGGGAGGGAGTTTATGGACTGATTAGATGTTGTTGTTTCTAGCGGCAGCTGGCAGAGCCATCTCCTCCTCTCTTCCTCTCCCCCTCCTCCTCCAACTCACTGTCCAGCCACCAGCAATAAGCCAGGGAGAGGAGGGAAACAGCTAAAGCTCCCCTTGGCTGGGCAGCCCTTACCCCAGAGATAATACTCTGGGTCACCAGGTCAAACCCTCCTCTCAGCAGCTTTGCTGAGTGCTTTGGAAACAAAGGTTATCAGAGATTCTCTTTTGGTTTTGTTCTTTCAAGATAAAGAAAGTGGTTTCTTTCAAAAGATTCCCCCCCACCCGAAGTGTCACAGAAGGAATCAAACTGACAAGCAACTCTCAGCTCCAGCTTCACTCTCCAGGCCAGGGACTTCTCTTCCAGCCGCCTGGGCTGCTGTGTCACAGCCAACTGAGGTCCTCGGGTGGGTCAGAGGCACAGTAACCACCTGACAGACTAAAAGGGAAGGAGGCAGGGACAGGCTTTTCCATTTACATTCTAGAGAGGCTTCGCTGCTGCCTGCAGGTAAGGCCCCAGAAAGCTGTGGTGGAAGGTGCTGCTGCTATTTCATCACCTCCTGAGACCTGCTGGTCCCCCTGGGATAAGGAACAAGCGATTCCATGAGGAGAGGCCTCAAAAGACGACAGATGACAACTGTAGGGCTCAAGGGCAACTGCTGAGACTCTCCAAAAACAAGGGCAACAAGCAAGAGTGCCAGGCTTGTTGGGGTGCCAGGCCCTAGTTCTGTCACTTTCCATTTGGTTTTCTTTAGTGACTATTCATAGAATAACACTAGCTTCCAACATTTATTGAGCACTTATCACGTGCCAGGCCCTGTGGTAAGAACTTCACATCAATAACCTCATTTAATTTCCACAAAAATCCTATCAGGTATCTAATATTACTATTATTCCCATTTGCCAGTGAGGCCATTAAGACGCAAAGGCGGATGGGCGCAGTGGCTCATACCCGTAATCCCAGCACTTTGGGAGGCCGAGGCCAGTGGATCACCTGAGGTCAGGAGTTCGAGATCAGCCTGGCCAACATGGCGAAACCCCATCTTCTACAAAAAATGAAATAAACAAATAAATAAATAAATAGCCGATGTGGTGGCAGGCACCTGTAATCCAGCTACTTGGGAGGCTGAATAGGAGAATTGCTTCAACTCGGGAGGTGGAGGTTGCAGTGAGCTAAGATCGTGCCATTGCACTCCAGCCTGGGTGATAGAGCGAGACTCTGTCTCAAAAAAAAAAAAAAAAAAAAAAAGACACAGAGGGATTACTTAATGTACACAGCTACTAAATGAATAAGCCAGGTGGTTGGGCTCGGAGTTATACCACGAGCTGCTATGTTATATGGCCTCATATCATCTTATGCTACTACATTAGACTCAGAAGACGCAGGGGGGAAGTAGAAGGAACTTTAAAGACAGTCTAACCTATTGCACTCATTTGGATAAATGAAGAAAAGGGAGAGCCAGAGAGATGAACAGTCTTGCCCAAGATCACAGCGCTTGACACTGTCAATCTTCCAGATGCCAGCCCTCTCCCAGGGCTATGTGCACCAGCTATGTGCAAAGTGGTGTGTCGGGGGAGGTGGCAAAGTGCAAAATCAAGAGGCCCTCAGTTTCTCTCTGGGCCTTGGTTTCCTAATCTGTAAAATGAGGAGTTGAACTAGAAACTCCAGGTTCAAAGGTACCTCCAGCCACAAAGTTCTGAGCATCTATGACTCCAGGACATTGAGAATCTTGTTAGGAAGCAAGACAATTATACATAAAAAGTGCACGCAACCATAACAACACAGACCATACCACAAGACAGTCATTAATTTCCAAATGAACAACCAGAGAGTGAGTTCTACAGACATTCAGAGCATCCTATAAGCCAGGAAGACTCACTAGAAGAAAAAAAGATGTGAACTGGTCTTCAAGAATGGGTAGGAACTGAATAGAGAGAGAGGAAAGGAGAAGGATTCACCAAGGCAAAGGAAATGACAGGAGGGAAGAAAGGGTGGGATTTGCCACAAGGATTACTGAGTAAGACCATAAAATAGGCAAGGCCAAAAGAACCTAGGCCACACTGCGAAGCGGTAGCAAAAAGTACATGAGCAGATCTGAATCTGAACCCATCTGGCTTCTTGGTAACCTGGTAACCTATGGCCTTAATCCCCACATTGAAAGGATGTTGTAAAATAAGTGATGGAGTAAGTAAAATACCTAAAGGAGTTCCTGGCACACAGTAGGTGCTCAATAAAGAGGAAAGTGTTCAGCTGGGTGCGGCGGCTCATGCCTGTAATCCCAGCATTTTGGGAGGCTGAGGCAGGTGGATCACTTGAGGTCAGGTCAGGAGTTCGAGAGCAGCCTGGCCAACATGGTGAAACCACACCTTTACTAAAAATACAAAAATTAGCCGGGCCTGGTGGCGGATGCCTGTAATCCCAGCTACTTGGGAGGCTGAGGCAGGAGAATTGCTCGAACCCAAAAGGCGGAGGCTGCAGTGAGCAGAGATCACGCCACTGCACTGCAGCTTGGGCAACGGAGTGGGACTCCATCTCAAAAAAAAAAAAAAGAAAAAAAAAAAGGGTAAGTCTTTAGGACCAGTGTGGTGGCTCACCTGTAATCCCAACACTTTGGGATGCTGAGGTGGGAAGTCTGCTTGAGGTCAGGAGTTTGAGACCAGTCTAGGCAACATAGCGAGACCCTGTCTCTCTCTCTCTCTATATATATATCTATATATACATAGAAACTAAGAAGGTGTTCAATCAATAGTAGCTAATAGCAGCAACATAGATTTTCCATCTTGTGTGTTTGTTACAACACCAAACAACCTTATCTGTAACATTCTTCTACCCTCCATGGTGAGCCTTGCATTCCCTTGTTTCCTAAACATCACAGGCTCTTTAAGTGCAGGAATCATCTTATCCCTACCATCTAGGTTTAAATGTTGTTTAAAGCACAAGAAATATTGAACTGAACAAGTAGTGTATGACAGTGGATTCTAGTCAGCCCCCAAACGCAAACAGCCAAGCTAGCAATGGTGCAGATTTACCATTCCAGAGGCCAGAGGGAGTGCCACTGCTCAAACAGAAACAGAGGGATCCTGCACCCACTCCTTGCTTCCCAGGTTGAACACCCTGATGAAAAAGAGTTTCTTTGGATTTCTGACTGGGAACACAAGCTTGATTACCAGTGTCCCTGCTGAGAGCCTAGACGCTAATATACAAACCAGTCTTATGATTGGAACCTTAAAGGCATCTGCAAACCACAGAGTTAATTTTCAGGGTACGCCTCATCGCTCAAGTCAACATTTCCTTTTGGTATTTAAAGTAACCACACAGAAAGAATCACATTTGAGCAGATTTTGTGCTCCAGCTGCCTGCAGTCTGCAGCAAAAGAAAAACAAAACATAAAGATGATTCACCAGATTTGGTCCCAGCAGCTCCCTTGATACTAAATTGGTGAGCAACTCTATGTGTGCCCAGATCATTAATTTTCACAGGGAGCAGGCGTGACTGTGCGACAGGTCTGCCTCCCATTTAAAGCATGTGACTTCCTGAACCCAATTCCCCTTGTCCATGCCTACACATGATAAACACAATTAAAAAAAAAAAAAAACCATAGAATGCTTCTATTTCTTTGCCAAGCAGTGGTCAATGAGTATTTGCTGAATGACCACCATGTACCTGGAACACATTCGGACCACTGCAATGGACAGACACCACTTGCCCCATTCTAGTCTCTTCCTCACTAGTTCATCTACCACACCACAGCAGCACTAACCATTTGCTGGTCATGTCATTACTTGCTTAAAAGTCTTCAGTAGCAACCAACTGTCAATGGGACAACATCCTAGCTTCTATTCTTCTAATAATCTGGCTTCTACCTACACCTTTAATGTTTTCACAGTTTTTCAACCTCTACCCCAAAGAACGGCTGCTCCCTGTGTGCTCCCTGCCTCTGGCTCTTTGTTCCTGATGCTCCTTTTACCAGCTCCTCCCCATCATTTGAGGCTTCTGCTTCCAGGCACACTTCAATGCCACTTCTTCCACCAAGTCTTCCCAGAACTGCATTTTCTAGAAAGATGGATCTTAAAGTTTGGTTGTGTGTGTGTTTTTTTCCTTTTTTAACCAACAGTATCTTTGGTGGAGAGCCTGATGAAAGCCATGAAACCCTCTCTAGAAAAATATACATGCCCACAGAATGACACATGCAATTTCATGGAGTCCTTGAAGCCAGTCCACGGACCCAGATTGAAACTCACTGATAAAGATCTCTATCTGAGTAATAAGTCATTCACTCAAATATTCACTGAGAATCTACCAGTCTTAGGAGCTGTGCTGCTGCTAGAGACACAAAAACGATGTCACAATCATCTCCTCAAGTAATTCACAGGCTAATGGGAAACATGCGTCATCACACTGTGATAACTGCTTTAAGAGAAACATAAGATGAAGTAGAAACTTCAAGAAGGCATAACATGAATCTATTATCTCCCAAACTAGGATAAAAGTTCCCTGACAAAATTTTTGAGTAGTATTATAATATCTAGAATAGTGCTATGTGCATGCACGCGCACACACACACAGAGTACGTAATTAGTATTTGTGCAAAGACAGAATGGAATCAATAAGATGATAAGAGCAAGTATAGGCACAGTCCCCACTGCCGTCACCCACATACACCAGAAACTCTTCAGATATAGTTAAAATGGTCCCACTGTGGACCAACCGTGCTATACAAATTATCCCAAGCTGCGTGCGGTGGCTCACATCTGTAATCCCAGCACTTTGGCAGGCAGAGGCAGGTGGATTGCTTGAGGTCAGGAGGTCGAGACCAGGCTGGCCAACACAGTGAAACCTCATCTCTACTAAAAATACAAAAATTATCTGGGCATGGTGATGCACACCTGTAATCCCAGTTACTCAGGTGGCTGAGGCACGAGAATTGCTTGAACCCGGGAGGCAGAGATTGCAGTGAGCCAAGATTGCACCACTGCACTCCAGCCTGGGTGACAGAGTGAGACTTTATATCAAAAAAAGAGAAAAAAAATCCCAGCCTAATTCATGGCTCTTTTCATCCTGAACGGGTTCAATCTCTGCCCCTATGGAGGAAAGGTACCATAAGATACTATATACTTTACACGAGCCCCAAATAGTTTCTTTTCACCAAGAAACACTGTAAAGTAACCACATCCCTTTGTTTGGAGACTTTCTGTACAGATTTGATTCACCTGCCACCCCTTCCTGGGTGGTCAACAGATACTTCTAGAGGAGTACAAAAGAGCCAATGCTTCATTAGTAGGAGACAGAGCTTTCAAAGGTCACATAGTTGAAGAAAATAATTAAGTAATTTGGGGTTGGGAAATGTGATTCTCTTTATAAAAGCCAACTTGGTAGAGCATGTCTTGCAACTGGACTTATTGGGTTGTGCTGGAACTCTTCCCTAATTTGTCACTTCTGCCTTGGCTGTAGCTTAGAAGTGATGTCTAAGAATCACTAACACGGCCGGGCGCAGTGGCTCACGTCTGTAATCCCAGCACTCTGGGAGGCCGAGGCAGGCAGATAACTTGAAGTCAGGGGTTCAAGACCATCCTGGCCAACACGGTGAAACCCGTCTCTACTAAAAAAGTACAAAAAATTAGCCGGGCGTGGTGGCGGGTGCCTGTAGTCCCAGCTACTCGGGAGGCTGAGGCAGGAGAATGGCGTGAACCCGGGAAGCGGAGCTTGCAGTGAGCCAAGATCGTGCCACTGCACTCCAGCCTGGGCAACAGTGCAAGATTCCGTCTCAAAAAAATAAATAAATAAAATTTAAAAATTACCTGGGTGTGGTGGCGCATGCCTGTAATCCCAGCTACTCAGAAGGCTGAGGCAGGAGAGTCTCTTGAACTCAGGAGGCGGAGGTTGCAGTGAGCCGAGATCGCACCACTGCACTCCAGCCTGGGCAACAGAGTGAGACTCCGTCTCAAAAAAATAAATAAAAAAGAAACACTGACATTCAACAGCAAAGTGGCAGAGGCACCCACTAGAGCTCAGGCCATACAGAGCAGTTGTTCCCACCCTTCTGTTTCTTAGTACCACTGCTCTGGCAAAGAGCCAGGTCCCACTATTCTAGAAACAAAAGGTTTACTTTTTGAGATAGACATTTATGCCTGCAATCTGATTTTTCCCTCCTCTTAAAACATACTCGAATTTTATTCGAGTATGGTTTTTGTAAAAATCATTATGTCATATATCCACTGAATATCAAAAATTAGAGTTCAATTAACAAAATTAGGGCTAAAAATACCTATTTTGCAAATTAGATAAGTTCATAGAATAATTATCTTCAAGGGCTACATCTCATATTGTATATATTCTTTATTATTTCTTTTCATCTTTATTTTTAATTTTTGCTAACTGGCATTCTGGTCTGATAATATTGTACATATCCTTTATGAATTATGCTGTCTGATGTGACACAGTAGCCACTAACAACACTACTAGTGATATAACTCAATGCTCACTATACCGTTTTCCAGACATCTAGAGAAAAAAAAGAAATGAAGGGATTTTTAGAAATTATGTTCCTATATTTATTATTTACATGAGGTTTTCAGGACACAGATAATTCCATCAAGATTTCAGAGAGTAGTTTTATTGTACATTAAAAACACAAACTGGCTGGGTGCAGTGGGTCACGCCTGTAATCCCAACACTTTGGGAGGCTAAGGCGCGTGGATCGCTGGAGGTCAGGAGTTTGAGACCAGCCTGGCCAACATGGCAAAATCCCGTCTCTACTAAAAATACAAAAATTAGCCAGGTGTGGTTATGTGCACCTGTAATGCCAGCTACTTGGGAGGCTGAGGCAGGAGAATCACTTCAACCCGGGAAGCAGAGGTTGCAGTGAGCTGAGATCATACCACTGCATTCCAGCCTGGGCCACAGAGCAAGACTTCATCTCAAAAAAAAAAAAAAAGAAAAAGGAAAAAAAAAAAGGCCAGGTGCAGTGGCTCACGCCTGTAATCCCAGCACTTTAAGAGGCCGAGGTGGGCGGATCACCTGAGGTCAGGAGTTCGAGATCAGCCTGGCCAAAATGAGAAACCCCATCTTCAGTAAAAATACAAAATTAGCTGGGCGTGGAGGCGGGCGCCTATAATCCCAGCTACGCAGGAGGCTGAGGCAGGAGAATCGCTTGAACCTGGGAGGCAGAGGTTGCGGTAAGTCAAGATTGTGCCACTGTACTCCAGCCTGGACAACAAGAATGAAACCCCGTCTCAAAAAAATAGAAAAACAAACAACAACCAAAAAAAAAACCACAAACTGATGAGCCGTGGGAACTGAGAAACTCTACCTGCCCTGACAGGTAGAGTGGACAGGATGGGTCAGATCTCGGTACTTCCTTAGCACTGCCCCTACGCCACTGCATGGGGGTACTACACTACACTACACTGGTGTACAACACCAGGGCTCAGAGCCAGAGGTGGGAAACCAAGGGCAGAGTCTACCTCTTGGCAGCCACTAGATCAATACAAGGATTCAGAACATCTCACTCCCTGACTCTTCTCAAAGAAATGCTGCATCTAATCTCTAGACAGGAAGGGAAAACCAAAATGTCACCACTGTAAGCCCAATGGAACCCCATAGGGAATAAAAACCACCTGCCTTCTAAATGCTCCCAACCTCAGAAGGACTGCCCAGAGCTTGAAAACAAGTCAGGCCAGGGCTCCTCACACAGAACACTGTGGAGGGGTATGAGGTGGATGGCCCTGGCTCTGAGGCTGTGTGATCTCATTCTGATCACTGAGTCACCCATGGCCTGTCTCCTCATGAAGAGAGGCTTGAATGAGATGACCCATAATTCTAGAAATTCCTTATTTGTCACCAGAAGATAATCTGACCTATAGATCTGACATAACAATAGCGTAAATAGTTTTGGAGACTGAGCAAAAGGTTTCCTCATCCCACCTCCACTGGACTACCCCTCTACAGCACCCTACCACTCCTTTCCTCCAGGACCCAGAGCACTAAAGCAACCGTGTGTTGGCATGAAGTCACAGGGCCCCGAAGTGGGTCTGTGATAGATTAATCCAATTTATCCTTCCTAAATGGCCTACTCCACAATGCCATCAAGGGGTTGGCAGGAGGGAGGCAAAGGGAGGATGACAGACAGAAAATTTTCATACAAAAGCTTTGTGAAGACCCAGGTTTCCATAATAGATTATGTCCACTAAAATGAGTGTTTAGATTATTCTCACTAGGGCTGGCTACTAACTGTTCCAATTGAAGCTATTATTATTTTATAAGCAAAGTATATTTTTATACTAGGGCTTGTACCATTAGGGAAGAAACAACAATGTGAGCAATTCCTCATGCCAACTCAAAATACCTCTGTGTGCAAACACTCCAGCATTTAGACCACAACACCCCCTAAGAAAAAAATTGTAGGATGCCTCAGCACATTCCCTAGATAGTTCTGTCATCAATTCAAGAGTTTTTCCCCCTACCCTCTTTACCATTTTACAGAGAAAATGCCATGTTACCTTTCTACAGACACACTTGGCTTTCTATTACCCCTTCTCATATCCAATCTTGTGCCTCAGGTTCCAAAGTGAAGCCATCTTAGCCAAACTAAAACTAGTTGGTGTCAGGCAGGAATAATCCCCTCCAACCCACCCCCTTGTCTTTTTGTTCTTTTCTTTTGGACAGTAAGGCCAAGAGAAGCAAACAGACTACTTTATATTTACATAAAGGTTTGTAATTTGCAAACCACCCACACATCCATGATCTCAGCTGAGCCTCATAACAATCCAATGAAATAAACCTGCTCTCCCCAGTGAGGCATGCCCACTCCACAGGACTGTTGCTGGGATAGCACATCACGAGCATACACTAGGTGCTGGCTGCTAGAGACATCTGCTATGGTCTGAATGCCTCCCCAAATTCATAGATTGAAACGTTCACCCCAAAGATAATGGCAGTAGGAGATCAGGCCTTTGGGAGGTGATTAGGTCATCAGGGCAAAGCTCTTGTGAATGGGATTAGTGTCCTTATAAAGAGGACAGAGAGAGACCCTTCCCTTCTACCATGTCAGATTAAGTAAGAAAAAGCTGTCTGTGAACCAGAAAGCAGGCCCTCACCAGACTGAATCTGGTGGTGCCTTGAACTTGGACTTCCCAGCCTCCAGAACTGTGAGAAATAAACTTCTGTGGTTTATAAGCTAACTAGTCTATGGCATTTTGTTTTAGCAGCCCTAATGGACTAAGACAGCATTAAACATAGTAAACATTATTTTACCCATTGTATGAGTGAGAAACTGAGGCTTGGAAGTTGGACAATTGATTGCAAGCAACTAGGCCTCTAGGGATCTAAAGCAAGCTGTGAAGGTAGAAAGCCTGGTACTGGATTCTTTCCACCACCATGGCAATACAGACTCCATTTGTTTTTAAAAACTTTCTAACTATACATTTCCATGTAGGCTTAGGCACACTGATAGAAGGGAGCCTGAAGTTCTAGTCCTAGTCCCAGTTCACTGCTGGTCACACTCAGACCTTTGTATCCCCTTCTTCATAATGAAAGCACTCACTTTTTTTTTTTTTTTTGCACCAAACGAATGTCAAGCTTTCAGATGAAAGGCCCTATTACCAGTACAAAGTATCATTTAATTACACTGCTGATCCAGCTCCAGTTATCTGCTTCCCAGCTCCTAACTCCCACTGGGCAGATTCTGAAACTGCATAGGAGATTAAGTCAAGAGAGGAGAACAGGAGAGACATTCTCTCCTTGAACTTTCTTAAATGGAAGAGGGAGGGAAAAATGAAAAGAAAGGCCTATTTTCCAAGGAGGAGGCTGGGGCAATGATCTTTCCATTAGGCAGACCTGCATAAGAATCTATAGATTATTTAACGCCGGGGGTGGCTGTGGAGTGAAATAAAGGAAGCTTTGTGCAATGCCAGCCACAGCTCCCTCAGCTCTCCCCACAGTCAGGCATTTCACCCAACCCTTTAAATCATCAAGCTCTAATGCACCCCATCTGTGTACCGGCCTGAGCCAATGAAATTGAAGCCTGTGCTGACTTTGGCCTGGACTTGTGAATGAGCCTTTCTGCCCCAAAAGGGACAGGAAGGACATGAGGCCAACAAAGTATTTTTTTTTCTCATTACTTGTCTTCTCCAAGGCTCAACCTCCATCTATTCATTTATCATTTACTGAGCTCTTGCCATGGGTCAGGTTCTGACCCCGAGATGTAAAGCAGATATAGGCCATGCCCAAGGATGTATAAGAAAGAGCTCAGGAGAAAGAGGAGGGAGGTGTAGGAGGAGGGAGGTGAAGGAGAACGGACACTCTTGGCTAAGGCACAGAGCCCTGAAACACCCATACCTGCATATTCAGGCGATGTGGCTTGGTTCCAAGTGGCTGAAACAAAGTGAAGAGCTGGCTGGAGACCTACCAAAAAAGCCAGACTCTGCCAAATTGTCAAAGGCCTTGTATGCCAGGCCAAACAGATAAGACATAAATTCTGAAGGCCATTACCATCTCCACATACTCAACTTCTGCCCATCTTACAAGGCCCAGATCAAAGAACCATCTCCTCCAGCAATCCCTCCTGAACACCCACTCAAAGTAATCACTCTTCTCTGAACCTCTGATTTGACATCTTGGACAAGTTTTATGAGTTTCAGCTTCTTCATCCGCATAAAGTATGACTCATGTCAACTACCTTAAAGACTTCATATGAAGGTTAAGTTAACATTGATAAAGTGTCAAGTTGCAGTTTTTAGTACATAAAGGGTGCTAAAATACCTTATTGGTACCTCAATTTCTTATGATACATGGCACTGCTTCCTTGCATTAAAAAAATGATGCCTTGGCTTCCCCAGTAGATACAGGCAAATAATTTCTCTGGAGATTTCCAAAGGGGGGGAAAAAAAAAAAAGGACAACTCACAATTCCCCTACAACTTTGCAAACCCAATTCCAACGTCCAAGAGACCAACTCCTCTCTTCTCTCACTGACACCTCCACACATTCAAACTTCCAGACTCAAGGGGTTCCCCAAAATTCGAAGGGAAGCTGAGAAGGAAGCTAAAGGCTGGCTGAAACATAAGCAGCATAAAGGAGAGGAATTAGCAGAACCATAAAGAAAGGAAAGTGGGGCAGATTCACAAGTCTGGCCAGAGGATAGGACTCTAAGGGGCTGTACGCTTCAAGCTCTGTGGTCACCTTAGACCCTGGAGTAAGGCTAGAACAAGAGGTTCGGTCCTCAGGCCCGATTTGAAAAGCCTCACTACTACAGATGTGTTTGTTTGGGCAGCTTTCTTCACCTCCTAGGTCAAATCAGCCAGCTGGAGAGGACTGTTCTACAAGAGCTGACTAGATCCTTCATTCCTCTCTGGCTGGGGCTACCAAACCAGAGGCAAAGAAAGCAACAGCCACCTTTTCCAGCAGGTCTTGTAAACAGATGAGGAACACATTTAAAAACAAAACAAAAAACTTCGTCTCGGTCTGCGTAAAGATGGGTTGGTTTTTTTTTTTACTTTAATGGCGTGAAGTCCAGGTTCTGGGTAAAGATGCTTTTGTAAGGGAAAAGTCTCCCATTATCTCTTTCTCTTTGTCATGCAGCCTAGTAAAACCTGTTTCTCTTCCCCTGGGAATCTAGGGCCAGGAGGGAAGCAGTTCCCCTGAGAACGCTCCCTGAAGGATCCATTTCCTGAACTGCACAACTGGCATGTTGGTTTATTTACTTATTAATAATCCCCCAGCCCCAACTTTAGAAAGCAGCTGCCTAAGCACCTCAGGAAAAACAGGGTTCCATTCTTCTGATCATGATCAAATGTCATGCCATATTACCTCATGTATGAGCCCTAACGGCCCCCACAGGCCAGAAGGTCAGCTCTTCAACAAGCCACTTTTGGTCCCTGCCAAAAGCCACCCATTTTAGTAATTCCACAGTCTCACAACTTCCTGGTGGCTCTCTCATCTTGCTAAGGAACCCCTCTTACAAGACATTCCCCTGCTTTATCAGAATTCACCTTCTGAGCAGGGAGCACTCTTCACTCTTCGTCCGCCAACCTAAACCAAGCAAGCTGAGAACAAGGCTCCCATCAATCCCCAGCCCCTCCCTTCTCTGGCTTGCAAGCTGCCAGCTCCCAAAGCCTCCAACAAGGATGACACCTCATTTCCAAAATAACAAATTAAATGACTACTCTGTCCCTCCAACTCAGAGTTTTTCTCAGTTGAGTGAGACGGTCACGTGGGTCAGCCCTCCCTGTACAAAGATGGAGTACAAATATTCTTGAGAGCTTGTAAACCTCTGCAACTTCAGGAGCACTAAGCGCCCTCCCCGGGGTAGGCAAGGAAGGCCTGCTGGAAATGTGTACCTTGGAAATTAGTTCATCATGATTGGCCAAGTGAGCTCTGCAGTGAATGCAGCTGTAGGTCCGGTGGCAGGAGGGCAGATATGCCTGGAAAGTCTTCGATCTTGTCATCTTCACCATTGGTGCTGCTGAGTGTGGGGTGAACTCTGGGGCAGCCCACGAGGCACTCCCACAGGATGGGTCGCACGGGAAACACCGGAAGACACAGGTAAAGGCCGTGGTTTGGCAGCGGGTGGGTGTGGCAGGCTCCACACACTGGTGATGTCTTCGGCAGAAGAACCCTCACGCAGAGGTCTAGGGCTAGTTCTCAGCAGCCTGTAACATCAAGGGAAGAGGACTAACATTGGCTGATGGAGCAGGGCTCCCTACAAAGCAAGCAGAATCCAACTGCCACCCATGAAGAAGGCAACACTGACAGGATCAAATGACCCACTTCTCTGTTCCTGGTATCATGCCCAAGATACCCAATGAATGAGAAAGAAACCACTGGAGACTCCAGTCTCGCTGCTTTTCTGGAGTGGGAAGTTCAGTATCATCCCAGCAGTTTCATTAGACACCCAGCACACACATTATCATCATTCCCAGGCAGCCCTAGATAACATCAGGCTTGAAGATGTGCTACCACCTACAGCCCCAGGGAGAGGACTCCTCAGGGACCCCCTCTCCTGAGCCAACCAAGGTGAGTGGTTAAAGGAGAAGGGAAAGTTCAGCCTCTAGAGGTTCACCACATCCAACAGTCACACCTGGGTTTCTCATCTATTTCCAGATGTCAAGAGTCCAACGCTTGAAGCCATCACCTGCAGAGGCAGCAAACCCCACACCCCAGCCTTTGCTTTAGAGATTGAGCATGGGATATAAAGGAACAAGTTCCCAATCAGCAGGATCCCTAGTGCTAAGCCAGCTCTTTCAGAAGAAGTGATTCTCTTTATAACACACCTCACTCAGAAGTAAATACTCAGTACATTTTTTTAAACCAAATGAATGAAATCAATGGCATAATCAGAATCCTGCATCTAAAATTCACAGTAACAGTGAATTTTACCAGAATTTCTCCCAGCCCTTAGACTTTCCATTACTCATCCCATAGGACCATACATCTTTCCTACCACAGCCTCAGCTCTTTTACTGGGAACTAAGGACAATGAGAAAGTGAGGTGGCTCCCAAGGTAACTAAGTGAGCAGCAAGTCCCAGTAAAGGTCTGAGGGCAGGGCCACGAGGTCTAAGACTCCCTCTGCTTCTCTGTGGCTCACCTGCCTAAGGCTTCCGCACCTGCTATCCCCTGGGCTTCACTAATAGGGGTGGTGTTTCCACTTGCCTACCTCCCAGGAGAGCAGGCAGTGTTAATTAACACCTGCGTCATGCTTTGAAGATAAAATTAAAAATTATTTAGGGAGATGGGGAAGGAAGACAAACAAAATCAGATCTTCCTGGCTGGACTACGTCTGGGATCCATCTGGATCTTTAGAGAAAGCCTGCAAATCATCGTCCTCTTTTTCCTCTAAACCTCCCTGGAACCAAATCTTCTAAGGCGAAACTGCCATCTTCCCTGGAATCCTTCCCACCAAAACAGTCACTGAGGCCGCCATACTTCTGGGACACTTTATACCTTCCTGAGTGGCCAACTAACTAACTAGCACTAGGCTGAAGGACAATATCAGCCACCACCCCTTAACCCACAGTGAGAGCACTTCTCTTCTGCAGCCCTGAGCCAAGGAAGCTCCTCATGCAAAGCGACCAATTATATGTGAGCTATCTGACTGTTGAAGGGATTCAGACCTTTGGGGGCCAATGTATGATGTCGCCCCTGCTCAGTCTCCCACCTCTAGTTTTAAAGATGTAAAATCAGTTTACAGTGAACATTATAGCAACACTTGAAGGAAATGGAAGTGGGAAATAATTCTCTCGGCTTTGCCTCAGTTAGGTCTGGCCATCACAGGAGATAGGACGAAAGATACATAAACTTTTGGATCCAGAACCCCTTCATCACACCCTGGGCACACTCTGGGTAGCAGGTAAGGTGAATGACAAAACAGCCCACAGAAGACCAATGCTGTTGGGTGCCAGAGTGTTACAGATAGAAAGGGTGGTAGAGCCAAGTACCCTGCTTGGAGTTTCCTGAAATACCCTCAACCTTTCTTTTTCTTTCTTTTTTAAGACAGAGTCTCACACTCTGTCTTCCAGGCTGGAGTACAGTGGCATGATCTCGGCTCACGGCAACCTCCGCCTCCCGGGTTCAAGCAATCCTCCTGCCTTAGCCTCCCATGTACCTAGAATTACAGGCGCCCGCCACCACGCCTGGCTAATTTTTGTATTTTTAGTAGAGACAGGGTTTCACCATGTTGGCCAGACTGGTCTTGAACTCCTGACATCAGGTGATCAACCCACCTCAGCCTCCCAAAGTGCTGGCATTACAGGTGTGAACCACCGCACCTGGCCCTTCCACCTTTCTAATACTCCTGTTCCATTTCAGGATAGACAGCACATCCAGGAAAGGAAGGGGTGGTGAGTTAGAGTAAGGAAATAGGAAAGACAGGCAGGGGAAAACAAGCAGTAGGCTTCCCCCAGGCCAAATGCTGCTAGAGTCCACAGCCTTAGCTGCCCGCTGGGGAGCACAAAGAGCACCAGACCCATCCGTCTTACACAAACACAGAGGGGAGAAAAAGAAACAATGACCCTGGCTGCCAGGCTGAGTTTAGAGAGCAGATACAGAGTCTGTTTTCTTATACATGCAGACAGCTTCTAAATTATACATTTCCCCAGAGTAGAATTATTTCTTCTCTCACTTCTCCTCTGAAGGAAACCCCCAAAAAAAGTTTACAGGTAGAAGTTTCTGGTTATGTTCAGCTTCAAATCTGAATCCCGAAACTTATTCAAAGCTACCTTCTGTGAAATAAGCATTTCTTGTTTGTATTAAATGTGAGTGTGTCACATACAAACACACACATGCACATTCCATCCTCACCACAGCTCTGAACCTAAAAAGACAAGAGAAAAATCTACCATATAAGCAATGGCCCAGGCTGTCTGGTGCTAGAAAGGCTCTGGAAGGCCTAGACAAGAAGCCTTACATTTTGCTGTGGCAGGGTCACTCTGCTCCCCATTGCTCTTAAATATGAATAAACAGGCATCCTAGAGAGGGACTCCTTTCCTAAGAAGAAAAAAGGAAAAGCCAGATGCGGTGGCTCACACCTATAATCCTAGCACTTTGAAACAGGAGGATTGCTTGAGCCCAAGAGTTCGAGACCAGCTTGGACAACACGGCAAGACCTCAACTCTACAAAAAATTCAAACTTAGCCAGGCATGGTGGCACGCGCCTGTGATCCCAGCTACTTGAGAGGCTGAGGCCAGAGGATTACTTGAGCCCAGGAGGTTGAGACTGCAGTGCACAGTGTTCACTCCAACTGCATTCCAGCCTGGGTGACAGAGCATTAAAAAAAAAGAAAAGAAAAAGGGAAGAAAAAGCGGCTTGCTGAAATATGAATCTTGTTCAACTGGTACAGGACAAACTAGAAGAAATGAGAGGAGGTAAGTAGAAAGCAAGGAGAAGCAGGATCAAGAAAGGCCTGTAGGGCCAGGCACAGTGGCTCATGCCCGTAATCCCAGCACTTTGGGAGGCTGAGGCGGGCGGATCACGAGGTCAAGAGATTGAGACCATCCTGGCCAATATGGTGAAACCCCGTCTCTACCAAAAATACAAAAATTAGCCGGGCATGGTGGCGTGTGCCTGTAGTCCCAGCTACTCAGGAGACTGAGGCAGGAGAATCGCCTGAACCTGCGAGGTGGAGGTTGCAGTGAGCCGAGATCGTGCCACTGCACTCCAGTCTGGTGACAGTGCGAGATTCTGTCTCAAAACAAAACAAAACAAAACAAAAGGCCAGCCTGTGGGGGCCGGGGAAGGTGGTCACGCCTGTAATCCAGACACTTTGGGAGGCCAAGGCAGATCACTTGAGGTCAGGAGTTTGAGACCAGCCTGGCCAACATGGTGAAACCCTGTTTCCACTAAAAATACAAAAATTAGCCAGGCATGGTAGCGCACGCCCGTAGTCCCAGCTGTAGTCCCAGCTACTCGAGAGGCTGAGGCAGGTGAATCACTTGAGCCTGGGAGGCGGAGGTTGCAGCCTGGACGACAGAGCGAGACTCCGTCTCAACAAAAAAAAAAAAAAAAAAAAGAAAAAAAAGGCCTGTGGGCTGAGAAAGGGGAGGGCAGGCTGCATGAGAGGAACAAGCTGAGAGATGGGGACCAAAAAATCAACATCTGCACTGTCTTCTTCCCTTTTAAGCAAAAATTTTAAAAGCTTCTTTGAGTCAATTCTTAGGAAAGAAAATTGATTTTTTTTTTTTTTTTTTTTTTTTTGAGACGGAGTCTCGCTCTGTCACCCAGGCTGGAGTGCAGTGGCGCCATCTCGGCTCACTGCAAGCTCTGCCTCCCGGGTTCACGCCATTCTCCTGCCTCAGCCTCCCGAGTAGCTGGGACTACAGGCGCCCGCCACTACGCCCGGCTAACTTTTTGTATTTTTAGTAGAGACGGGGTTTCACCGTGGTCTCGATCTCCTGACCTCATGATCCGCCCACCTCGGCCTCCCAAAGTGCTGGGATTACAGGCGTGAGCCACTGCGCCCAGCCAAAATTGATTTTTTTTTAAAGGAAGAAATTAAGAGTATGGAGCTTAACTCATCATTCTAATTTTTGAACTTTAGCCCCTGTTAATGGGGCAACAGGGTCCATGGGGCTTCATGAGTCCAACTCATAGAACATAACTGTGGAGTTCCAAATTGATTTCCAACAGTCATCAAATGAGCTTAATATTTAAAAGCCTCAGGGCACATGTGCAAATTAAACACCATTTTAAGTGAACTAATAATCCATCACAGTGGAAATTAAAGGAAGATTTGCCGCCACCCCTAGCTAGCTTTCACTGAGCAGCACAGAAAGAAAATATGTGAGATATTATGATTAAAAACAAAGATCTTCGATACACCACCTCGAGAGACAAATGCACAGGGAGCACATGCCAACCTGGCCAGCCCCCACCCCATGCCGCCTCCCCGGCCAACAGGCCTTCCCCAAAAGGGAGTAACTGCCGCTGGAACTCAAAACAGAACCTTCTGAGTGCCACCAGGATGGAGGGGCGGGAGATGGGACGCTCTTGTTAAGCCACAAAGGAACGTGAGGAATGATGTGGAAGCAAGGCTGGACCACCACATGCCGAGCCACGGAAACTGACCTGAGAAGTGGGACTCTCTACAGGAAGGAATTCCTCCAGACATGAGACAAGGCTGGCCCCAAGGCATGCCTCTGTGTTGTTGTTTCCATGGGGTGTCTGAGAGGAGGTGAAGACTGGAAAAGAAGTGGGCTCTGGACTCACACAAACCAGTTCTGCTCCTTTCTAGCTGCGTGACTTCTGGCAAGTTACGAAACCACTCTGACCCTCAGCTTCCCTATCTCTAATAAGACCAACCTCCACAGGGGTTCTAGGTGTTAAGTGAGATGATCTCAGTGCTTACACAGAGCTGGCGCACAATACACACCAAAATTTCATCTATTATTTTTAATGGCCAATGGGGGAGAAAAACAGATGCTGCTGCTTAAAAAAAAAGAAAGAAAAAGAAAAAGGAGAAGGCCTGAGAGTTCAGACAGACATGGAGTTTGGGGTCCTTTGGGAACATCCTATTTTTCCTCTTTCCTATTTATGTTGAACCTGATGCCTGTGTGTAGCCAAATTCCAGCCTGCCCCTTCCATTAGGATCCTTTAACTTGTCTTCAAGCATCTCTTTGAGATGATACCACTGGGACATCTCCCCAAATCTAGAATTCTCTTTTCAAGATGAGACAAGGCGGCAATAATATTGGAGGAACCACAGGCATGCGTTAGTATTGAGGTCCTTCTAAGAGGTGCTTCCTCAGTGGCCATGCTCTCAACAGCCTGAAGGTAAGCATCTCTGACTTATACAGCCCTGGCAGGCCTTTGGGCCTCTTTCCCCCTCAAATCCACCCACTGCATGCCAGCCAGTGTTGTCTATTTAAAAAGGAGATCTGACCACGTCATCACTCTTAAAGTTTTCAGAAAGGCAACACAGAGCAGTGGTTAAAAAGACAGGACCGGCTGGACACAGTGGTTCATGTCGGTAATCCCAACACTTCGGGAGGCTGAGGCAGAAGGACTGCTTGAGGCCAGGAGTATGAGACTAGCCTGGGCAACACAGTGAAACCCTAAAAAGAAAAAAGAAAAAAAAGGACCTGGAACTAGTTTCAAATCTCAGCTCTGTCATTTACTAGCTGTGTGACCTTGGACAAATTACCTAACCTCTCTGGACCTCACTTTCCTCACAAAAAATAGAGACAATAATATCTACTTCATAGGGCTCATATGAGGATGAACTAAGTTAGTAGAAAAGTATTCAGCATATGTGCCTGGCATGTAGTAACCACATAATACATTCCAGGTGTGTATTACCACTAACGCCCATGCATAGCTTCGGACTCATCTCATCCTCTATACCTTATCCTCCATCTCCATTTATTGAAATGACATTTAAGAGTCTACCATGTGTCAGGAACTCTCTTAGGAGGCATTTGGCAACTTGTACCACTCCTTGTAGGTCCCCTCAGTACACCACGCTTGCACTTTACGCTTCCATGGTTTTGCTGATGCCATTCCTTCAGGCTGATACAACCTTTCCATCTCTCCTCACAAGGCCCTTACTTGTCCATTGAAACTCAGCTCAAATGTCACCTCAACACCGGGCTTAGTGGCCTCTCCTGTGCTCACCTCCATCTTAACCCTACTGAAATTGAAATTACCCTTTCTGCCTCTGTATCCTCTACTAGAGGTAGGCTCCAAGAGTCATCTTTGTACCCCATGAACTCAGCAGCACAGGACACACAGTAGAAGCTAAACACCATCACTGAACTGAACCTCCTCTGCTTCCCATTGGCTGCTCACTGGACAGGTCCACCTACCTGCACAGGTAGCACATGTGATAAGGCCCCTCCCTCCCTCTCCAAGCAAGGAGGAAGGAGGCGAACTTACTCTGCGTCCCGAGACTCCATCTAACCCAATTCTCTCCTCACCACCTCCACTCTCATCCCGTGCTGTGATGCCCAGGAAAACCACAATTCCTGGGTGCCACTCAAAGGCCTGTCATTGGCATCCATGCCTATTCTTTACACTGCTGGTCTAGGTTTAAAAAACAAACAAATTAAAAACTCTTAGAAAGACTGAAAGGGACCTTGTGCTAACTTTAAGGACGGGAGGGTAGGAACGTGACTAAGTAGCCATAGCCTGTCCCAACATCTGTGAAGAATGAAAGCAGCCCTGGCTGGAGGCACTAAATGGTGGTGGCGGCAGAAAGGAGGAGGCAAGCTACTTCTGGGAGTGGGAGACAGAAAAAAGAGAGAGGTGGAATTGTGAGAAGGCCTTTATACTGGGAAAGTTGTCCTCCTTCCCCATCCTACTCTCCCCAGAATCCTGAGCCTAGAGCAGAGAGCACAGAGAGACCTGTGCCCGCCCAATGAGAGAGGTGGGCAGCAGTGTTGCCCAGCGGTTAAGAGTGCAGGATCTAGAGGTGGGTGGACCTGGATTCCGTCTTGGTTCTTCTCACCAGCTACATTACCACTGGGCAAATTGCCTGAAAGGAGATAACAATAGAGCCTACCTCCTGCAGGAGACAGAAGGATGAAATGAGATAACGCAATTGGAGTATTCAGCACAGCACCCAGCACATGGCTAATACTCAATAATCCCGATTAGCTACAGTCACCCTTACCAGTGAGGGAGAAAAAGCACAGGAATTGTTCCTATTCACAAGACCAAAAGGAATGGCGTTCCCGTCCCCCAGGTTGACTCACGGTGGTTAGGAGGTTAGGGCCTAAACTAATCGACTTAAAGGTACATTGTGGTTTAAGTAGGCTTCTGTGGCTTAGCTGGGGACCTGATATTATTGCTGTCATTCCTAACACAGACCACTCCATCACTTACTGTATTGAAAAAGTTATCTCTGTGGTCTACACTGACTCTACTAATCTCAGGACGGGGCCACTGCTAAAACTTCTCTGAAAATCGTCTATTAAAGCTGCCAAGGAGCTGATGTGCAAGGCCCACAGGAAAATCATCATTTTCTAGACACCTCTTTTACAGCACTGGAACCAGGTGGGACTTCACATCCATCCAGCTGGTAATAAAAACCAGCTTGGATACTCAAGAAACCACGCTCCTTCATAAACAAAAACAACCATTCATCTCAACCCTGGATGCAGGGTCTAGTCTTGGTTTCGGGGGCTTATACGTCAGATGATAATCCTACATGATCTCTAGAATTCTCTCAGCCTTTAAAGTCCTGGTTCCATGTAGTAGTGATGCTCTGCCTGCCGAATCCTGCCTCAGGAGAAAGTATTCCTCTGTCAGCCTTCAAAACGCCCCATCAGGTCAGTGGCGGCATTAGATTCTCATAGGAGTGCGAACCCTATTGTGAACTGTGCATGCCAGAGATCTAGGTTGTGCACTCCTTATGAGAATCTAACTAATGCCTGATGAGCTGAGGTGGAACAGTTTCATCCCAAAACCATCCCCCACATCCGTGGAAAAATTGTCTTCCACAAAACCGGTCCCTGGTGCCAAAAGGTTGGGGACCACTGCTCTAGAGGGATGGAAGAGCTACAGAGCCTTCTGGCAATGCTTCATGAATATCATTTATCATAACCAGGATTTTCGGTAACAAAAATACGGGCAGTCTCCAACATGCCAAGTCCAAACACTAATACTTTTTTTTTTGAGACGGAGTCTTGCCCTGTCACCCAGGCTGGAGTGCAGTGGCGTGATTTTGGCTCACTGCAACCGCTGCCTTCCAGGTTCAAGCAGTTCTCCTGCCTCACCCTCCCGGGTAGCTGGGATTACAGGCGTGTACCACCATTGCTGGCTAATTTTTGTATTTTTAGTAGAGACGGGGTTTCGCCAAGTTGGCCAGGCTGGTCTCGAACTCCTGACCTCAGGTGGTCCACCTGCCTCAGCCTCTCAAAGTGCTGGGATTACAGATGTGAGCCACAAACACTAATACTTTTGAATGCTAACACTATTTGGACTTGGTGCTGCCTTCAGTTGCCTTCATCTGAAATGCTCCTTAATGGGCTTTACTGTGTTTCTCTGGATTCTTCTCCTACCTCTCTGTTTGAGCCTCAATCTCCCCGGCTGTTCTCCTTCCATCGTTCTTGGCAGTGCTTCTGCCATGTGCCTCTGACTTCTTGTTCCCCTGGGCCTTCTTACCCACACCCTCTCAAGCCCTCTAAACCTGTGCCTTCTACTCCTGAACCCTTGACCCCTTTATAAAGGATGTCTCCATGCTGGGCACAGTGGCTCATGCCTGTAATCCCAGCACTTTGGGAGGCTGAGGTGGAAGGATCATTTGAGCCCAGGAGTTCCAGACCAGCCTGGGCAATGTAGTGAGACTCCTGTCACCTTCATTCCAATTCTGTTCCTGCTTCCAGTTGCCCAAGCAGGAAACCCCCTTTATGCTCTCCCTTCTATGTCATACTTCATTTGTCCCCTAGACAGTTGGTTCTGCTTCCTAGATGCACCCTCCCATTGCCACCCTCAGTCACCAGCAGCAGCACTGTGAACCCCATCTTCTCTCATCCTGGACTACTGCGACAGCTTCCCATAGGTCTCCCTGACTCAGCTCTTACCTCTCCAGCCCATTCTAGAATTCTGTTTATAAAACACAACCTGATCACACACTTTCACATTTCAAAACCTCCAGTGGTTTCCTAGTAGCTTACAAGATGTGGTCCAACCCTTCAGGTGGCACCAAGAGCCTGGGTCCAACTCTCCTTATATTGTCATCACCTCCCCACCCTACTCCAAACCTGTTTCCTACAGATCAAACTCAGTCATTATCCTGTGCTCCTTACATTATTCCAGCTCCTATAATGCCTTACCCTACCCTTCTCTGCCTACCTTATTCGTTAAGGGATGAGTAAATGCCTGCTCATCCCTTAATACTCAGCTCCAGTAGGACCCTAACAGAGCTGGTGGTCCCTTCTCCCAGCACACAAAAAACTTAATTTTTCTCTGGAATGGCATTTTATCACACTGTTCATGAGTCTCTATCCCCATAAGACTGGGAACTTCTTGCAGTCAAAGGTCCGGCCTTCCAGATCCCCCCAACCCCACCCCCAGTAGTGTCTACAGGACTCACAGCTCCAGCATACTGGAAATCCTTGATAAATGTTAACTGAGTAAAATGAATGGCCATCAGTGAAACCACACTGCCATGTAAAGCTGGTATTTTTTAAATCACCTTACTCAGTTTGCCACTCTCCAGTACATTTAAAATATCCAATCTGGGCATTACATGGGACTTACACACCATTAATGCTCTACAAAGTTAAAAAGCCAGTAAACTCTTGTGATGCCAACTCATTTGGGCCAGCAGATAGAGTATGAAACTCAGTAGGGCCATGAAATTACCCAGATGAGCCACACCACACAAGCCTCTGATGCTTTTACCTGGCTGCTGTCTGACAGCAGAAACGTTTCCTGCTCTGCCCTTCACACAGTCTGTGTATGCTCCCTTGGGTTAGCTTCCCAAGTGACCCTCCCAGGCGGGCAGGGACTTCCAGACCCCTAGTGAAAAGCTTAGAGTTCCAACCTAGGAGTCTTCTTCCAAGGTGGTCCCCACAAAACCCCCAGGACAGTCTGAACTGCTACCCCAGGCAAGAATGAGTCACAAAAAAATGAAGTGTCAGACTTGATTCAAACCAAGAAGGCAAGGGATCCCTCAACCCTGCCTTGACTATGCAGACGAGAGAGCCAAATGTGCCCTTTTCCTCCAGCCCCAAGAGACTGCCGCCCTTCAACACCAGTCCTTCCTTTTGTATTTGATCATGCTCAGAGATGATAATCCTGGTTAAAACAAAACAAATAGATTTTTCCCATGATCTGTGACCCAGAGAAAAATCTGGTCCATCTTTCTGTCCCCAGACAGGGCTATACTTAAAGTATAATGAAAAACAGCCATTTACAAGATCTAGGAAGAAAAGAAGGTCTTGGAAAATAGGGTAAGAGATACGGCCTATCTTCAGAAGTTACTGCACCAGGGAACCCTCCCCCTGGCCTCGTCCAGCCCCAACTAAGTCAGGCTCCCCTATGCCACACATATAGCACTATCCACAGCTGTACTTTTACTGAGGTGATTATTTGATTGTCATCTGTGTTTCCCACATTCAAATATCTGCTGAATACATGAATGTGTTGTAGACTTTGGGCACTGTGTGACCTTGATTTCTCTTTAAACTGCTGGTCCCCCAGGGCACAGCTGGGGCCCCAATTAGCTACAAACCACCCATCCTAAATCTGCCAATACAATTCTGTTGTTCAGCTGTCAGCATGCCTTTGGCTTTCTGACTTTAATCTCCCAATTCAAATAAATCCAAAACTCTAGACTCTGACATCTGTGGCTGGGCTCCCCGCCTTTCCGCAATTGGAATTTGGAAATTGAACTTTTTAAAAACTGAAGAGCAAAAAAGGGAAGAGGCACTTTCAAAAGGTTGCTTATATGTCTAAAGACCCAGCCATCGCCAGCCCAAAGTTGGAAGTTATTTTGTTCTGGGAATTATTAAACTGTCATCCAGTGGTGCCATTTACTGAGGGAGAGGAAAGGCGGTGGGGTGGGAAAGGGAGGAGACTCACTCTACAGCACATTTCTGGGTTTCTTCTCTGAATGGGAATAGCAGATAGATTTTAACAAGAATCGAAGTCCCTGTTCTCCTTCAATCCTCCTTCTTAAAAGTGCTTCCACCACGTGCCTCTGATCCTTTGAGGTCCAGCAAATGCACGCAGCCTGTTTACCTTTTTAATATAACTTTTTTTTTTCCTGAGACGTTGTTTCGCACTTGTTGCCCACGCTGGAGTGCAATGGCACAATCTGGCTCACTGCAACCTGCGCCTCCCAGGTTCAAGCAATTCTCCTGCCTCCGCCTCCCAAGTAGCTGGGATTATAGGCACCCGCCACCACACCCGGCTAATTTTTGTATTTTTAGTAGGGACGGGTTTTGCCATGTTGTCCAGACTGGTCTGGAACTCCTGACCTCAGGAGATGCTGGGATTACAGGCATGAGTCACCGCGCCTGGCCTTTTTTTTTTGAGACGGAGTCTCGCTCTGTAGCCCAGGCTGGAGTGCAGTGGTGCGATCTCCGCTCATTGCAAGCTCCGCCTCCCGGGTTCAAGCGATTCTCCTGCCTCAGCCTCCCGAGTAGCTGGGACTACAGGCACCAGCCACCACGCCTGGCTAATTTTTTGTATTTTTAGTAGAGATGGGATTTCACCTTGTTAGTCAGGATGGTCTCCGCCCACCTCGGCCTCCCAAAGTGCTGGGATTACAGGGGTTTCGCCATGTTGGCCAGGCTGGTCTGGAACACCTGACCTCAGGCTATCTGCCCGCCTCAGCATCTCAAAGTACTGGGATTACAGGCATGAGCCACCGCGCCCGGCCACCTTAATTTTTTAAAGTTCCGCAAAACAGCCGGGTGCGGTGGCTCAAGCCTGTAATCCCAGCACTTTGAGATGCTGAGGCGGGCAGATAGCCTGAGGTCAGGTGTTCCAGACCAGCCTGGCCAACATGGCGAAACCCCGTCTCTACTAAAAATACAAAAATTAGCCAGGCGTGGTGGCACACGCCTGTAATCCCAGCTACTTGGGAGGGTGAGGCAGGGGAATCACTTAAACCCAGGAGGCTGAGGTTGCAGTGACCGAGATGGCGTCACTGCACTCCAGCCTGGGCAACAGAGCAAGACATCGCCATTTCAAAAAAAAAAAAGTTCGGCTGGGTGCGGTGGCTCACGCCTGTAATCCCAGCACTTTGAAAGGCCGAGGTGGGCGGATCACAAGGTCAGGAGTTCGAGATCATCCTGGCTAACACGGTGAAACCCCGTCTCTACTGAAAGTATAAAAAATTAGCCGAGCGAGGTGGCGGGTGCCTGTAGTCCCAGCTACTTGGGAGGCTGAGGCAGGAGAATGGCGTGAACCTGGAGGGCGGAGCCTGCAGTGAGCTGAGATCGCACCACTGCACTCCAGCCTGGGCGACAGAGCAAGACTCTGTCTCAAAAAAAAAAAATAAATAAAGTTCCAGCTGGGCACGGTGGCTCACGCCTGTAATCCCAGCACTTTGGGAGGCCAAGGCGGGTGGATCACCTGAGGTCAGGAGTTCGAGACCAGCCTGGCCAACGTAGTGAAACCCTGTCTCTACTAAAAATACAAAAATTAGCCGGGCGTAGTGGCAGGTGCCTGTAATCCCAGCTACTCTGGAGGCTGGGGCAGGACGATCGCTTGAACCTGGGGGGGTGGAGATTGCAGTGAGCTGAGATCACACCATTGTACTCCAGCTTGGGCAACAAGAGTGAAACTCCATCTCAAAAAAAAAAAAAAAGTTCCACAAAATTAGTTGTTTCTCAGTCAGACTTCCCACTAGATTGCAAACCATTCCTGGCCATGGTTAATCAGACATGAGACCATGTCTGGTTAATCAGCCCTCATACGCAGCCCAAAGCTTGGCAAGAGGAGCTCAGAAAGCTCAGTAAGCCTTGGTTGGAGGAAGGTAGGAAGTGGGGGCAGTTTGGGAGAGAGACCCTGGAACAACTGCAGATAAACCTCCAGGATTCTACAATTTATTAATTCCCTGTTATGCGTCTATGAGGGGTCATATCTCAATTAATCCTCACAACAACCCAGGGAGACAGGCATTATGATGATGACCCCTGCTTTCCAGACACAGAAAAAGGAACAATTTGCCCAAGATCACACAATTAGAGAGGACCAAAACCAGGATTCAAATCCCCCGTCCCTTGCAAGTAGATCCTTCCTCCCCAAACCAGCCAGAGAAGAGTCTGAGGAAGTGTATTCTCAGTCCCTGAATTCCTTCCAGAGCTTCAAGCAGAATGGGAGAGTCTAAGTCAACTCAACATAATGCAAAATGAAGACGTCAAGTTCTCTCTAAACACCCTCAGACTCTCAGCTCAATGCTTCAACATTAAATTGCCGAAATGGGAGAAAACAAATGAGGGATGGGAATAACCTGAGCCAGAAGGTGGGACAACAGATTAGGCACAAGAAAAAGGGAGTTTTCAGCTCTTGTTGTACCTCTCTGCTAATGAAGCACTTAGCTTTAAGGCTGCAGTTAAGTGTGGGGATAACTTTTCCTCAAATCCTAACAGAAAAAAAGAGCCCCGCGAGCAAAACAAACTGCAAGCCCTATTTAATTTAGGTTTATGTAATGTGCACGTTCATACCATTAACGTAACCTGTCCTGAAAGTTAATTCATTTCTCTCTTATGGTTCATTTGGCAATGGGTCAATGTAGGGAGGGACCCCCAACAGACAAAGACCGAAGTGGTAAAAGAAGAAACAAGGCGTTGGGGTGGGGGTGGGGGTGGGGGGCGCAGATATCCTGGATGACGTGTAGGGGCAACACAAAGGAAAAAGCAAAAACAGAAAGAGCAAGGGCAAGGGGGCCAAAAGCCAAGGCTGCTTGGTAGCTCCTGCCAGAGGGATCAAGCACGACCTCAGTGGTTTCCAGACCTCAGTCATGTGTGGGGTTGGCTGCTTTAGAAGAACCTGGGAAACAGTTTTTCAGGGGTTGTTACTATTTTCTTGTTTTTGTTACAAATTCCCCATCCTGAAAATTCTGATTTTGTAGGCCTTTAGCAGGACGATGAATTCTTAAGGCAGCCAGCTTCGAGAATCCCTAGAGATAGCCTCCCTCCTGGAGACGCCTATGATCTGAGGCAATTAGCCATTGTGCAGTGCTCTTCACCCTTACTGTGAAGGAAGTCACAGTCCACTCCCACGGAGTGCTCTATCTGCAGCCATGGTAGCTGAGAACTACATCCCAGTGCCCTCTTTCCCCATCTCACGTGCTTCCTGAACATTCCCCATACACTCCCTCTTATATTCACACCTCAGTGCCTCTGCACAACTGTTCCCCATGGAATGTTTCTGTATGTGTAAATCCTCTTCATTCTTCACCAATCCATCTCAAAAATAGGGATCAAAATATTCCTGATGGGCAGGATCTGTTCCGTGCCTACACTTATTTGCCTCAGGTACTCCTGAACAGAATGTCTTGAGAAAACAAAATACCAATCACTAGAAAGGTCAGTATTTCCTAGAACTAAAAATTTCGTATCAGGTAAAACAAAGCCACTTTCTCTGGTGCAACTGAACTTGGTCACCATTCACACCCAGAAGATCATGTTTGAGCCTCAGTGGCACCCATCTGCCAACTGGATGTCAAGCCTTCCTTTCCCAGTGAGAAACAGACAAAGGAACTCCAGACACTGGAGGGTAAGCTCACATGGAGCCAGCAATCCAGTTTCGAATCAAAGCCACTCAGTCTAGACACACTGCTTTTAAGACCACAGGGGAGGGCTGACTCCTCTGTAGCTCAGGAGACCCAGGTATTGCTGAGCCATCCAGGTAACAGGAATGCAGGTGGCACTGCTGCACCTCGCAAGCAGAATGCTGCTCTGTCTCGTTTCAGAGAGAAGGTAGACTCTGCCTAGAATGGAGACATGGGCTATTTAGGGTTTAGATGAGGAGCTGGTATTATTCCAGAATGCGCAGCAGTAGGAAGAGGCCTGGGTCTGGGAAACAGAAGGTATGGTTTATAGCTTCCGCTTTGCCCTAATTAGCACTATGTCTTAAAGCAAGTCCTTTTTGTCTGTTTGAACCTCAGTGTGTATATCTCCAAAATGTTAACACCTAAACAGACTTTAATGCCCAACCCAGTATATACCTAATTAATAGAAAACAAAAATTACAAGGTTAACACTAGAAAAAATTAGGATGCAGGGCCCTACATAGTCACTAAAATCAAGCCACAAATTTCACTCTGTACTTCCTGGTAGCCAAAGCAAAAAGCATTTATCATTTATAGCATTTATAGCATTTATCATGCTATAAATTTCCAATTTCCACAAAAGAAAAAGCATACCAGGTTTTCAGGAGAGGCAAAGCTTTTCAGAGACATTAGGTTCTAAAAGAATTTCTCCCGGCCGGGCGCGGTGGCTCACGCTTGTAATCCCAGCACTTTGGGAGGCCGAGGCGGGCGGATCACGAGGTCAGGAGATCGAGACCATCCTGGCTAACACGGTGAAACCCCATCTCTACTAAAAATACAAAAAAAATTAGCCGGGCGTGATGGTGGGCGCCTGTAGTCCCAGCTACTCGGGAGGCTGAGGCAGGAGAATGGCGTGAACCCGGGAGGCGGAGCTTGCAGTGAGCCGAGATTGCACCACTGCACTCCCGCCTGGGCCACAGAGCGAGACTCCGTCTCAAACAAAAAAAACAAAAAAAAAGAATTTCTCCCATGAACTTCTTAAAGGGGGCATTGAATCTGTAGCTAGTCTTCAACAATATAAACCCTTATAAGAATTACAGTAACAAGTTATATAAAGCTATTTCTGACAGTGTCCTTCCATAAAGCAAAGGGCAGACACTGAAGCCCAACTCGGTAAAAATAACAACGGAGGGGCTGACATAATGGCACATGCAGATGGCCCAGCCTAATCAAGTCTAAAACCAAGAATCGCCACAGGAGCAGATAGAAAACTCGTCCTTCCAAAAACTTCTGTAACTGTTACTTCTTCCAGGTGGGTGTTGGGCAGCAGTCAGCTTGCGAATACATGGTTTCTAAATTCCATTCCAGTTCAAATAGATGTAAGTGGCATTTTCAGTCTTTACTTACTTATATTAAGAAGTCCTCCTCTGACCCCACCACACACTGTCCACTCCCAAATCAATGGATTGAGAATGGATTCCTCTGAGCCAGAGAGAGGGGAATCCACCTATTAATGTTAGTGCTGTTATTAATAGCTAGCACTGAGTGCTTAGGTGCCAGGCTCTGTACCTGGTTTCCCCTGCAGTCTCATTTAATCCTCCCATCAGTCCCGTGTGATGCAAACTATTATTAGTACCATTTTAAAAATAAGGAACAAAGATTTAGAGAATTTTAGTAGATTGCCAAGGTCACAGAGCTAATTATCCAGGTCTTTCTGATTCCAAAGTCCAGGCTCTTAGCCCCACATATAGTGCCTCCTGGTATTAATGAAATGTGATTACTGATAGAAATGCTAACATTTGTTAGAAGAAAACAAACAGCGAGGCCTAGAATAAGGTTACTGGGGTAGGTAAGAGTTGTTTATTATTAATGACAACAAAATAACAATGGAGCTTTTGGAGGCTTTGCCAACCTATAAATGGAATAAAGGAATGAAAACTATTGTGAAAAGCAGAAATAGTGCAAGTGAAAGTAATTCTGAGAGCATACTATATTATCCCAGAAAAAGAGAATTATCTTTTCCTCTTAAAGTATATTTCCTCCTCTAGAGATTCTAAACCTTGGTTCTCTTGGTCATTCACGCATTCAACCAACAAATACTTATCCAGTGTCTACTCCACACCAAGCATTTTCAGCAGCAAGCAAGACAGAGAAGCTCTCAAGCTTCCGTGTCGGCAAACAGGTAGATAATATATTTCCAGACGGTATTAAAGTGCTTTGAAGAAAATAAAGTTAAGGGGATTAAGAGAGGCTGAGGGGCAGAGAAGGGAGGAGCTGTTCTAGATAACTGGTCCGTCAGGAAGTAGCTCTGAGAACCAAGTGAGAGTCAGCCACGCAAAAATTTGGAGAAAGAGCCAGGCACGGTGGCTTATGCCTGTAATCCCAAGACTTGTCAGAGGCTGAGGCAGGCAGATCACCTGAGGTCAGGAGTTCAAGACCAGCCTGGACAATATGGTGAAACCCCGTCTCCACTAAAAATGCAAAAATTAGCCGGGCGTGGTGGGGTGCGCCTGTAATCCCAGCTACTTGGGAGGCTGAGGCAGGAGAATCACTTGAATCAGGGAGGCAGAGGTTGCAGTGAGCAGATCACACCACTGCACTCCAGCCTGGGCAAGAGCAAGACCCTGTCTCAAACAGAAAAGAAAAATCTGGAGAAAGAATCCTGGAAAGAGTTACTACCAGTAGAAAAGCCCTATGACAAACCTAAGTATGGCATGTTTCAGAAACCTCAGAAAGGCGAGCTTTTCTCAAGCAGGAAGAAGCAGAGTGGACAGGTTGGGGATTGGTAAGAGATGAGGCAGAAGATGGGGGAGTAGGACAAGCCGTGTGGTGCCTACAAGGAAAGGAATTAGATTATATCTGAAGGGCAATGGGAAGCCATTGGCAAATTGGCGACAAGAGAATAGCAAATTCTGATTTACTTTTAAGCTCTCCAGTGCTATATCCACAGCTCCCAGGTAAACAAACTCAGGCAGTACAATACTTCACAGACTCAAGTGTATCACCTTTTGTTAAGGACAATGTCACTGAAAACTAACAACTCTAAAAAATATCTTTAGCCTGCAGGCCCTGGCTGGCTTTCCATCATTACAGGCTCAAGTTGAAAATGATGCTTCTTCCTTTTCCAAAACTTTATACCTTTTTATGCTCAGGGGAATGCAGTTGTCAGAGCACCTAGTGGTTTGCCTGACAAACCCTAAGGAAATGCCAAGGTAATTTACAATGGGAATTGATCACATCCTCCATCTGAATCTCACTTCAACATCTCTTCCTTCTGGCTTTTCCAATCCTGGGACATCTTATCCCTTGCCATCCTTTTGTTGCTTTCTTTTCTCCATATGCTCAAAACTAAACATTCTGAATGTGAGTTGCTTGGCCAAACTGAACATTATTAAAGTTAATTTTTAAAATCCCACGCTTGATGCTCCCATAAGGCACACCTTTAGCAAGAAGGGCTACAGTGGAAGTTGAATTTGGATAGAGTCCTTTTTGAAGCTAAATCGCAGCTTTCATTAATTCAAATAAATGTATCCTACCAATATGTCTGGACACAATAACTAAGAGGGAAAAATCTAACCTGTGGCTGCATCAGGCGTGTGTGTGTGTGTGTGTGTGTGTGTGTGTGTGTGTTTGTGCCTGAAGGCAGATAACAGCATCAGAAACTGGATGCCTAACAAGATTCGCCTGCACACAGGGACTGGGCCATCACAATGGGAAGTAACCAGGACTGGGGTAGCCCAGGAGGTATGGGAACTTGTGCCTCTTATTAAGACCTGATGGTAGACAAACTCCTGACTCCTCACCCCCCCCCAAATAAAAAGAGTCACCTGCCTGCCTTCCCCCGAGGCTATGCAGTCTGGAATACACGGATACTAAACAAAATCAACCTCTTCTTCAGCTGGCCAATTGTGAATCTCCCAGGCACAATGACTGTGTGGCTGCCTCAAAACCGTGAAAATCATTACGACAATGAAGAATTCACATAATCTATGAACAGCACAGCAACTCACGCAACTCATCGGCACTACTCACATCTCCAACCCCCACACACCTAGAAACATCTCCTGGTACACAACACTGTGCAGCAGCCCTCAAACAGGCTGGAGTGGAGAGGGAGGGATACCAGTCTCTTAAAGCCAACTGCTTCATGGCAGTTGAGAACAAACAATACTGTGCCCTTAGACTTTTCAAAGCCTAAGCTAGTGTGATTGGCAGCTGAGTGATTTTGGGATTGCAGAGTATGGGGTCACATACCTGACTGCACTTCAGAGCCAAGTTAATACCTTTCATTGTTCACTGCCTCCAGTTCCCACTAGATCAGGGGCTCTTATCAAGCACCTGCATCACAATCTCATAGGTCCCCTGGTAAAAATGCAGATTCCTGTGGCCCACTGAAAATAAACATCTGCGGAGTAGCCTGACAAACTATTTTTAAACACTACCCAGGTCATCTTTATACACATTTAAGTTTGAGGACCTCTGCCTTAAAGCGATGCTTCTCAAACTATGGGTCAGGACCTGCTTGGTCAGGAAATCAAATTAATGGGTCATAACCAGCAGTTGATTTTTTTAAATGAAGTAGAAAAAAAAACCTTTAAAACAGAGCACACTGCAGGGAGTAAGGGTAATTATTGTTCTCTGAAACTTATTTCAGTTACAGACCTGTATGCAGTGCAGGTCCCACTCAAAGTCTGAAAACCATGCTCCTAGAGGGAAGAAGGAAAACAGTTTTCTCGCGCATGGTGTTTATTTTCCATTTTCCACCCCTAACTCTAAGCTTCTTGATTTTGGTTCAAGCACAGAAATATCAAGACAGATCCAAGAAATGCTGTCATTGAATGCTAACCTGCGGCGGCAAAGCCCAACTGAGGAAGCGGATGAGGCTCCCACTGCACTCCTGCCTGAGATCCTATCATGGAGCTGGGGACAGGGGATGGTGCCAAGGGGGAAGTCTGCACAGCTCTCCCCAGGCTGGGCCTGTTTCTGGGGAAAAGAACTTGCAGCCACTCAAAACACAGTTTAGAAGAATGAAAATGTTCCTCACCGGAGGCAAGACTCAGCCATTCATAGGCCCTGTGGCCCCCAGAGGCAGGAAAGCACGGGGGAGCAATAACCATGTGAAATCAAGTCCCACCCCAGAGCCAGTGAGGCGGTTTACTGAACTTCTTGCATCTTTAATGCTCTGTGAGGCACAGGGAAGCTGACCGCTACCCTTCTTGCCCAATGCTTTGGAACAAGGAAGAACAAGGAAGGAAGGGCAGGGAGGAAAAGACAGCTGTCTCGTTAGCCTTCAGATTCACCAAAGGCAAGGACTCACTCAAGAGCCTCCCAAGTTGCAAGGACAGCAAATCAGCAAGGAGGCCAGAAAGCAAAAACCCCAGCAAAGCTTCGGAGCAGTTCTCTGGGGCCTTTCACAGCGGCGGGACTGGGGGGCGGGCGAGGGTGCAGCTCCGCTCCAAGCGGAGGAAAACAAGACACTCGCTCACCTGGCTTTTTAAACTCTCGCAGCTAAGACTGAAGGCAGAGGTAGCAATCTTCCGGACAAGAAGTCCAGAAGAACAGGTGTCCCCCACCCCCGCACGCCCCCAAGACCGGAGAAAAGCCCACCACTCCGGGAAAGACACCAGAGGAGGTCGGCGGCCAAGCAGGGTGAACTGGAAGTGGCGAAAGGTCGGGGCCGCCCCTAAGCGCCAGCTCCGGGGAGGCGCTCGCGGCAGAGGCTCCCGCGTTCCGTCGGGCAGGACCTCGCGCCCACCCCCTTGGCAAGGACACCGGGGAGGCGCCGAGACGCGGCCAGGGAGGAACTCGGCTGCGGTTACCTCGACCCGGGTCGGGGCAGACGACGCGCTCCGAGAAATTTCGAGGGCGCCCAGTCCCACAGTGGAAGGCCCCCAGGGCGGCGCCCCTGGACCTAAGTGTCCCCAGGACTCTCCGAGGGAAACGCGGCGTCACGAGAGGACGGAGGGCGTCCCCAGCCCCACCCGGACCCCATGGAGTCCGAACCCATGGGGACGACGCGGAGGAGGAAGCGGCGATTCCAGCTCCGCACCCCCGCCCCAAACCTGGCCCCGCAGACTCGCCCAGCCCCTGGCGCGCGTCTCCCGCCCCGGCCGGGGGTCCCGCGCCCTTGGGCTCCCTCCGCGAGCGGCCGCGGGCCCGGCAGTGTTTGTAAACAAACCGGTCACGTGGCCCGGCGGCCGCTCCCCGTCCCCGGCGCCCACGGGGACCCCACGCGGAACCGAGGGCGCCGCACCCCCAACCCCGCGCAGGCCCGGCCGGGGGAGTCCGGAGGCCGGGGCCGGGGACCCAGAGCCCGAGCTGACAGCGCGCCCCACGCCCACGCGCGCCCGGCCCGCGCCGCACTCCGGTGCACTTACCCGGCGACAGGCGGCCCTGTCCGGCCAGCGTGGGGCTTGGCTCCGCTGGGGTGCGCAGCGGCGAAGCGCGGCCCGGCTGGGGCTCGGGCTCCCGGCACGCTCTTAAAGCCACAGTCTCCGCCACCGCCGCGGCCGCCACTCCGCATCCCTCCGGGTCCGGGCCGGGGGCTACCCCGTGATGGACGCGCCCCCGCACCTATCCCCTCGGCTCAGCACATAGCAACACGCCGCGGGTTGGCCGGGCGCAGCCGCAGCCCATCCGCGCAGAGCCAATCATCAGAGGACGGAACTCCGCCCCCCGCTTCCCCGACCGCCCACTCCCCCACCCCTCGGCCCGGCCCAGCCTGGGCTAGGGGAGAGCGGCTGGTTAGGGTCCCGCCCGTCCCGGCAACTTGCCGGAGGGCAGGGACCCAGAGTGCCAAAGCTGGGTGGGCTCTCAGCGCCTAGGAGGAGGCCGTTTATTTGAGTTTGGGGTTTGTCCCCAGGGCAGGGCTGGGATTCCCAGAACCTGGGTTGTATTTTGGGGCGGGGGGATTTGCAGTGCATCTCCCTGGAGGCTCAAGATAGTCATTCCTTTCTTACGTTTTAAACCTCGCCCTAAGCCATAGCCTAAGTTACCAGAAGTGGCCCTCAGGCCCCGGGTAATTGAATTTAAAATGATAGGGGGGAGGGGGGAGGGATAGCATTAGGAGATACACCTAATGCTAAATGACGAGTTAATGGGTGCAGCACACCAACATGGCACATGTATACATATGTAACAAACCTGCACATTGTGCACATGTACCCTAAAACTTAAAGTATAATAATAATAAAATTAAAAGAAAATGATAGTGCTAGTTGCACCCAGCCCACCCATGCCTTGCTCAGAAGCCAGGCATTTCCCCTCTTCTCTCTGCCCTGCTAGTAATTTCGGCGAATTAAAAGTACGAAAGGGGCTTAGTGGAATTGAAGACCGCCCCATTGCTGCTAATTTTCCATGACTTTCAGAGGCAGATGACGGTAATTAGAGTGGGATGGTCCGAGTGACCAGAGGGGAGGAGTCCACGTTCTGGGTCACCGGGGTGGTGCTTTTCAAGGAAGAGCAGGTTAAAAAATAACCTCGTGGCAGTCAGGAAACCAGGGAGGCACCAGGTGGGTGGAGTGGGGCAGTTTCCCAGCAGGAAAACAGGACAGTTTGATAAAGAATGTTGGCACGGACAAGGTGAACAAAGCAGGTCCTGCCTTTCGCTCAAGACACTGGGGTTCCGCAGTTCCTCTGGGAACTCTTCCTCCAAGGAAACTAGTGTTTTACTGTGCAGCCATCAGGATGTGAGGTGCTGCAGGAGGTGCAGCTGACTCTCCGCCTTCCACACACTGGTTTGCACGTACACCCAGAATGCTGGCTCACCTGCATCTCCACCCAGCTGTTTTTAAAATATGCTTGGTCAACCAAATTGTATTCAGTTAATATCTATTGCATGTGAATCCAGTCACCAAGGTTAGTAAAAACAACAAAACACCCCAAATACCTCAGTATTGTGGGGCTGACATATCAGCCTCAGATTTGCAGTTTCAGTGTAAACAAAGGCTATGTCCTGGTTCACAACTGACTAGTTTGGAGAGTCTAAAACGGGGGGGGGGGGGGAATGCTTTCAGATGAGAGGAATCACAAACAAGAACTGTTTAGCATTTAATCCTTAATCTAAGATGTGATGGATTCTTTAGATTAGTAAGAGCTTGCCGTCTCGCCCTGATCTGCTTCTTGAGCAAGTTTCTTTGTCTCTCCAGGCCTAGGTTTCCACAGTTTAAAACAAGGAGGGTTGAAATAGGATGATCTCAAGTCCCTTCCAGCTCTGAAATTCTAAGTAGGGCCAGAAAGTCATGTTTGTTACAACGTTTCCGCAATATTGTGTGAGCGAATATTTGTGTTGCCACATCACCACTTCCTAACAGTAGATGCTGAATTAGTTTAACACCCTAGGATATTGGTATGTTATGTAACAAGACTGGTGGCTACTGTTTCTGTTTAAATAAAAGATAACGTTAGCTAAAGAAGACTAGCCTGATACAGTGGTTTCAGAGGGAGCTCTGAGGACCCCTTCAGGCCTGCTGTGTGTATGCAGGGGACTGGAAGAGGCCCCAGACCTTAGGGTCAGGAGACAATAAAACCAGCCAGCCGGCCAATAACAAAAAAAGTGTTAAGCCTGATCATGCCTCCTCCCAGTCAAAAAGAGCCAAGCATTTTGAGCTGGTAAAGGAGAAGGGAGAGGTGAAACAATGAAGTAAGTGAAACAAAGTAATAGATGCAACTTCTCTGAACCCAGAGGGGGCACTTGAATTGTCCCTCAATACATTTTCTCAGTGCCTACTATGAGCAGAATTCCCTGCTTGACTTGGATGATAGTATTCTGAAGAATCTACTGAGAGGAGAGACGCTGAGGCCAATGGAGAGTTGGTGAAATGAGACAGATGTTTATCCTGGAAAGCAAAAAGAGATGGAGAGAGAGAGAGAAATAAACAGATCTGTTCAGAGTCAGCCAAGGCTTAAACAAACAAACAAACAAAAACCCTTGCTGGTAAAAGTTTGAGAGATTCCTGGCCTCACAGATTATCAGCCTGCCTTTGTCAATGGAACAGTACCTCTGTCTCCTCTGTGTGAAGCCAAATTCATTCATTCCCAGAGCCTTCACGGAATTATTTTCCAGCAACCTCTCACTAATCCCATCTTCCCGCTGTTGCCATATTGGTGCTACTGCTGCTGTGAACAGAGTCACTTTTATGTGTTCACCTTACTTAACCTCTCAACCTTCACATTATTAATTTGAAATAATTAATTACATCTTCCTTCCCCTCACCCGCCATCCCCCAGTTCATCAACAGGTCCTGTCAGTTTCACTTCACAAATATGTATTTGCTGTGAACACATCTGCCTTTGCTGCTGCACCCTGGTTGGAGCCACCAACATCTCTTGCCTAGAATAAGCAGCAGCTTCCCAACTGATCTCCCTGCTTCCAGCCCATTCTCTGTGCAGCAGCCAGATGGTACTTCTAAACAAACTCCTTCTGGTGGCCCACAGGCCCTAGTAACCAGGCCTGCCAACCTCTCTGGTCTTCCACCATCTGTCCTTTGCTCAAACTGCTGCAGTCAAGCTGGCCTTTTTTCTGTTCCTCGTCCTGTTGTAGGGTGTTTGTATTTGCCATCCCCTCCACCTGGAATACCTTGCCCCCAGAAGGCTGCCTCTTCACCATTTGGTTCTGAGGTCAAATGCCAGGTGCAGTGGCTCATGCCTGTAATCCCAGCACTTTGGAAGGCCAGAGCAGGCAGATCACCTGAGGTCAGGTGTTCGAGACCAGCCAACATGGTGAAACACCGTCTCTACTAAAAATACAAAAATTAGCTGGGCATGGTGGCGGGCATCTGAAATCCCAGCTTCTAGGGAGGCTGAGGCAAGAGAATCGTTTCAACAGGAGGCGGAGGTTGCAGTGAGCCAAGATCACACCACTGCACTCCAGCCTGGGAGACAGAGCAAGACTCTGTTTAAAAAAAAAAAAAAAGCCTCCTCCAGAGAGGAGGACTACCCATTCATACATGCCATGCCCCCTTTCTATCATAACCCCAATTTATTTTCTTCATAATACATATCACTCTCTCAAATAATCTTTTTCATTTCTTTGTGCTTTTTTTTTTTTTTTGGTCCCATCCAGCTCTGAAGTGTAAACTCTGTGTAAACATCAGAGGGACCTGTCTGTCTTGCTTCCTGTTGTGTCCCCAGTGCCAAGAACAGTGACTAGCACTCAACAAATTTTTGAGTGACTATCTGAACAAATGCATGAATGTGCCTACTGCCTCATATCTTTGTCCCTGCGGCTTCTTTCACTTGGAATATTGTTCTCTCCTTTACCCCCTTCCCCACCCCTCAGCCCTTTCCTCTCATCCCATCTCAAATCCATTTGCCTGATGATTCAGTCCAAAGATTGGATCAAGTATCACTTCTGTGGAGGAATTTCCCGTAGCCTCCCCAGAAAAATTAATTTTCCTTTTCTTAGTACCCTACATAGCACTTTACTCAGAGCTCCATTACATCACCCCACACTCTACACTCCCAATTAAGAGTTATCAGTTATCTGTCCTCTCTGCCAGTCCTTCTTGGGCTGGAACCTTATCAGATCGTCCTTGTATTTTCAGCACCTGGCACATGGTAGGCCCTCCCTAAGGGTTTATATCTGAGTTGAATCCAGTGGGAATCCAAGCAGAAATTGATAGGATCTGTTCTCAGAGTATACTGATCAACAGATAGAAGTCTTACTTTGTAGTATGATAACATTAAACTTGAAACTTCAGGCTATTCTATATAAAAGGGACAACCTACATTTTAAAAATCACAATACAATGGAAACTTCCTGAAGGCTAGAGGCCACAGGCTCTCACGCTACCATACCACCTGGGAAAATGGCCAGCTCTGCCTATGTAGGAGGGAGAGCTGCTCCTCACAGGTCTCACCATACCCCCTCCAAACCTCACTCCAGTAAAGTCCCACAACATTACATCACAGAAGAGGGCCTGATGCCATTTTTCCGCAGATTATGGTAACAGTGCTTTGTTTCTTTATGTACAATAAATGCTTTCTCTGAACCCTGTCCAAGTCTCTTATTTTCAGTCATGAAAGTGGCTGATTCTGTGCCTTTCAGACTGTTAACAAGAGAGGGTTGTACCTTGGGCTTCCTGAATGCTTTAACAAAACATTTGCTACCATTTATTGAGCACATATTGTGTGCAGAGCAGTTTATCTTCTATCTAGTTATATTTAATCCTCAAAGCAACCAGCAAGATAGATATTTCCCTCATTTTAAAAAGGAACTGATGCTATGAAATTTGAACCCTGATCCAACTGGCTTCAAAACCTAATCATTCTTTTTCTTCTACACCGTCAAAGACTAAAACTGCTTACCTTCTGTTATCCTGAAATATCCCAATTGCCTTTACAAGAAAATACCCAAAGATCAAACTACTCCACAAAGCAAAACCCTACGCCAATCTAAAAGATCTGGAAGCAAGAGTGGTGAGGGCTTAGCACCTCCCTCTTAACTACAGTAAAAATCATTTATTTGGTGCTTCCTATGTTTTAGAAACTGGTATAGACATGTTACATGCATTGTTTAATTTAATCGAATATTCACAAGAACCACAGGTCTACATTTTTAAAGCATAATTCCAAAGTCCAAAAAGCTCTGAAAATCCAAAGTTAGTTTGATGTGGCTCACTCGATGGCAAAATTTATCTGACGTGACGACATTTCTAGTCTTTGTTAATTCCACCTAGAATATCCATATGTTTCTTGTAGAAATATTAATGATTGAAAGAGTACAAACTCAGCCTGGCAAGGTGGCTCACGCCTCTAATCCCAGCACTTAGGGAGGCGGAGGCAGGCTGATCACTTGAGGCCAGGAGTTTGAAACCAGCCTGGCCAACATGATGAAACCCTGTCTCTACTACTAAAAATATAAAAATTAGCCAGCATGGTGGCACATGCCTGTAATCCCAGCTACTCGGGAGGCTGAAGCAGGAGAATCGCATGAACCTGGGAGGCAGAGGCTACAGTGAGCCAAGATGGCACCACTACACTCCAGCCTGGGCGACAGAGCTAGGCTCTGTCTCTAAATAAATAAATAAATAAATAAGTACAAACTCCCTGGCTTCTCTGTAATATGCAGTATATGAGCTGAAAGATGTCGGAATCTAAAACACATCTATCTCAGGGTTTCAAATAAGAGATTGAGAACTGGCAAGTAAATGTAGGCTCAGAGAGGTTCAGTAATTTTCCCAAGGTCAGCTAGTAATGGTAATGCTAGAATTAGAAATAGATGTGAGGCTGGGCAGCTAGTAAATGGTATTGCTAGAATTAGAAATATATGTGATGCTGGGCACGGTGGCTCACGCCTGTAATCCCACCACTTTGGGAGGCCCAGGCGGGCAGATCACCTGAGGTCAGGAGTTCAAAACCAGTCTGGCCAACATGGTGAAACCCTGTCTCTACTAAAAATCCAAAAAAAAAAAAAAAAAAAAAAATTAGATGGGCATGGTGGTGCATGCCTGTAATCCCAGCTGCTTGGGAGGCTGAGGCAGGAGAATCGCTTGAACCTGGGAGGTGGAGGTTGCAGTGAGCGGAGATTGCACCATTGCACTCCAGGCTGGTTGACAAGAGAAAAAACTCCATCTCAAAAAAAGAAAGAAAAAAAGAAATATATTTGAAACTGAAAAAAAATATTTGGAGCACGTATGACAGACTAAGGACTAATTTTTCTGAAGGCAAAGATATGAAGTGACAGTTCATGGTAGAAGAAAAACAAATAACTTGTAAAGATATGAAAAAAAGTGTTAAATCTTATAACAAGAAAAATTAAAATTACAATGAGGTGCTATTTTTATCTATCAAAATTGGCAAGTAATGGTGGGGCGTGGTGGCAGGCGCCTGTAGTCCCAGCTACTTGGGAGGCTGAGGCAGGAGAATCGCTTAAACCCATGAGGTGGAGGTTGCAGTGAGACAAGATCGGGCCACTGCACTCCAGCCTGGGGTGCATAGCGAGACTCTGTCTCAAAAAAACAAACAAACAAAAAAATTGGCAAGTAGTAAACTGTTCAATAACACTGCTTTGGAGAAGATGTGAAAAAACAGCCACTCATATATTGTTAGCAGTAAGGTAAATTGGCATAATTTATTTCTATAGAGGACAATTTGGTAATCTCTCTCAAAATTAGAGATTAAAATCTCTCAAAAATCTCAAGATTAATATACTCAGAAATTTCACTTCTAGGGATTTATTTATTTTAATTTATTTTTATTTTATATATTGTTTAGAGACGGGAGCTCTCTGTGTTGCCCAGGCTGGTTTCAAGCTCCTAGCCTCAAGCAATCCTCCCACCTCAGCCTCCCAAAGTTCTGGGAATACAGGCATGAGCCACCACACTGGCTAGGAATTTTTTTAAAGCATTTTTTGGAAATAGGCTCTTGCTATGTTGCCCAGGCTGGCCTCCAACTCCTGGACTCAAGCAAGCCTTCTACCTGTCTTTCCAGTCACTGGAATTATAGGCAGGCACCACCATGCCTGGCTAGGAGTTTATTTATTTATTTATTTATTATTTTTATTTTTTGAGACGGAGTTTCACTCTTGTCACCCAGGCTGGAGTGCAATGGAACGATCTCTGCTCACTGCAACCTCCACCTGCCTCAGCCTCCCAAAGTGCTGGGATTGCCCAGCGCTGTGTGCAAGTTATTTTAAAAATAAATTCTGGCTGGGTGTGGTGGCTCACACCTGTAATCCCAGCACTTTGGGAGGCTGAGGCGGGTGGATTCCATGACACCAGGAGTTCAAGACCAGCCTGGCCAAACCCGGCCTCTTCTAAAAATACAAAAATTAGCCAGGCGTGGTAGTGTGGACCTCTAATCCCAGCTGCTAGGGAGTCTGAGGCACTCGAATCACTTGAACTGCAGAGGGCTGCAGTGAGCTGAGATCGTGTCACTGCACTCTAGCCTGGGTGACAGACGGAGACTCTCAAAAAAAAAAAAGAAAAGATAACACACATGTGCACAAAGATGTATGTAAATAGATATTGTAAAATTGTTAGTATTATCAAATGACTGACTCTCTAGGGATGTAACTTTGCAATTGGTTAAAGCCCATTTTACAACTCTCTAACATTGATAATGGTGGATGATTATTTTTTTGTCCAGGAGAAGAGAACCTGAAAGGTTATTATTTTTACCATGCACGACGTTAACTAGTTTTGTATCAAGCTTAGAAATTCAGAATTTCTTTGTTAAAAAATCAGATATCAGATTACAAGCTTCAACAAAATTTCTTTTTATCCATTGACTTTACTCATCTCAAATTTTTTTTTTTTTTTTTTTTTGAGACAGTCTTGCTCTGTCACCCAGGCTGGAGTGCCATGGTGTGATCTTGGCTCACTGCAACCTTCACCTCCCAGGTTCAACAATTCTCTTGCCTCAGCCTCCCGAGTAGCTGGGACTACAGACGTGCGCCACCACGCCCGGCTAATTCTTGTGTGTGTGTGTGTGTGTGTGTGTGTGTGGTTTTTTTGTTTTGTTTTTTGTCTTTTAGTAGAAACGGGGTTTTACCATGTTGGCCACGCTGGTCTTGAACTCCTGGTCTTAAGTGATCTGCCCGCCTTGGCCTCCCAAAGTGCTGGGATTACAGGCATGAGCCACTTCGCCCAGCCTCATCTCAATTGTCGTATTCTCTTTTGAACAGACTTTGTCGTTCTGCTGGTTTCTTCATTAATGAGTTAAATAAAACTCTAATAATGCTTTCTATGCATTTTTATTAGAAATATGCTTTTCATCTTTTGAGACTGATGCTTTGAAATAACCCAAATCTGTCTATAAAGGACTGGTTGAAGAAATTACAATGCTTCTATACAAAGCAATACTATGCAGCCATTAAAAAGAGGCAACTCTACGCATAGATGCTCCTTAAGAGCAAAGATCTTTGGTTCCCTAATGAACCTAAGTGCCTACAGTTGTTTCTGGGCACATAGTAGGTCTTAGTTTATTTCTGGCTATGATAATAACCCCAGTATATCAGTGGCTAATACACATGCACACACACATTCAGATACAAAATTTATTTTTCCCTCATGAATATGTAGAGAAGCTATGGCATACTGCTTCAGGCTGAGGGTCACAGACTGAATTTAGGTTGGTTGGTTTCTACTGTCATTTAGAAACCCTTAATGTGCAAGAAATATATGGATACCTATGATGGTTCTTAAGCCTCTACTTAGAACTGACCCACTGTCAATTCTACCCACAGTCCATTGGTCAAAGGAAATCATATGGCCAACCACAAAGTCAAGAGTGAAAGGAAGTCATACTCTATCTTCTTTACTGATAGAGTATCCAAAGTTACAGAGTAGAGAGCATGATATATAACCTACTGTAAAGAGTAGCAAACAACAATCCAGTCTGTTATAGTGCTTGGTAAATATGTGTTGAATGAATGAATGAAGAGTAAACAAACTCCAGGATTTACATGAAAGAAAAGCATGCTACACAACAATTGTACAAAGTATGCCATCATTTGTTTTAAAATATATACTTATGGCCAGGCGCGGTGTGGCTCACACCTGTAATCCCAGCATTTTGGGAGGCTGAGGCAGGCGGATCGCCTGAGGTCAGGAGTTTGAGACTAGCCTGGCCAGCAGGGTAAAACCCCGTCTCCACTAAAAATACAAAAATTAGCCAGGCGTGGTGGTGGGCACCTGTAATCCCAGCTACTCGCGAAGCTGAGGTAGAAGAATCACTTGAACGCGGGAGGCAGAGGTTGCAGTGAGCCTAGATGGTGCCATTGCACTCCAGCCTAGGCAACAGAGCGAGACTCCGTCTCAAAAAATATATGTGTGTGTGTATATACATATATATATATATGTACACAAGTATGCTTGAATATGACTTTACTATCACCAGAAGAATGTACAAAGCATGCCTAACTGTGGTTGCTGCTGGAGAAGAAAACTGGGACACTGGAGGTTGAGGATGAAAGGGGGCCTTTCCATTTAGTATCATGTGTATGCGTTGCTCTTAAACAATAAAATTAAATTCTCTAAGGAGAGAATAGAAGGAACAACCAAAGACTGCTTATAGGGTCCACACCCTAAAACCCTCTTCTATACACTGTGTTTTGATTAAGTATGGATTTCTTCTTCTTTTTGTTATTAATTCTTTGCAGACACACTGGGCATAGGATCTCTTCTGTCTCTAGTTCCTCCAGACTTACTTATTGCACAGAACTAGTTATAACAAAAATCCAACCAAACCCTCCCAAAGTGCTGGGATTACGTGTGCAAGCCACTGTGCCCAGCCCTACAGCAGTTTTTTGGTTTTTGGTTTTTGGTTTTTTTTGATACAGAGTCTCACTCTGTCACCCAAACTGGAGTGCAGTGGCATGATCTCAGCTCATTGCAACCTCAGCCTCCTGGCTTCAAGCAATCCCTCCCATCTTAGCCTCCAGAGTAGCTGGGATTACAGGCGTATGCCACCACATAGGCTAATTTTTTTTTAAAATAGGGATAGGGTTTCGCCATGTTGCCCAGGTTGGTCTCAAACTCCTGAACTCAAGCGATCTACCTGCCTCGTCCTCCCAAGTGCTGGGATTACAGACTTGAGCCACCATGCTTAGCCTTCTACAGCAGTATTTTCAAACTCAGTAGAAGCCTCCCCATACCTGGGAAGCCTCGTAGGTGAAGTCGCTAAGGAAATAAGAGTAAATTTGTTTACCATGATTCCTTCAACCAAATTAGCTCTTTTAGCTACGTTGCTTCTGAGTAAATAAAACCATTCCTTTAGGCCAGGCTCAGTGGCTCACGCCTGTAATCCCAGCACTTTGGGAGGCCGAGGTGACCAGATCACCTGAGGTCGGGAGTTCGACACAAGCCTGGCCAAGATAGAGAAACCCCGTCTCTACTAAAAATACAAAAATTAGCTGAGCGTGGTGGCACACACTTGTAATCCCAGCTATTCAGGAGGCTGAGGCAGGAGAATCGCTTGAACCCAGGAAGCAGAGGTTGCAGTGGAGCTGAGATCATGCTACTGCACTCCAGCCTGGGAGACAGAGTGAGACTCCCTCTCAAAAACAAAAAAACAAAACAAAACAAAACCCCATTCTTTTAATAGTAAAACATGGCGATGACTGTGGCCTCCTCATACTTTGTGGGTCTGTATAGTCACGTGTAGTCCATATGCACTCCCAGAACTTCAGATATAGTACCTCTCAGAGAGTAACAATAAGGAAAATCAAAATATGATGGAAGAGATTAAACATCTACACAAAAGACACCTTGTCAGCAAGTAGGTGGCTAGAGATTTGGGGCCATCCATATCCAATCACAGGGATTAGGGCATAATTTTTAGGCCCTAATTTAAGAACAATTGTATATTGCTATTGTATCCAAAGCTGTAAAATATTCTAGTCTCTGAGTGAATCCATTGTATTGTATGTTGTCTGAAGAATAGCCTGATGAATTACTGAGGTATCCCAGGGAAGAATAAAAACATCACAGCTGTCCGGGCACGGTGGCTCACGCCTGTAATTCAAGCACTTTGAGAGGCCGAGGCGGGTGGATCACGAGGTCAGGAGATCCAGACCATCCTGGCTAACACAGTGAGACCCCGTCTCTACTAAAAATACAAAAAAATTAGCCGGGCGTGGTGGCGGGCGCCTGTAGTCCCAGCTACTTGGGAGGCTGAGGCAGGAGAAAGGCGTGAACCCAGGAGGTGGAGCTTGCAGTGAGCCGAGATAGCGCCACTGCAACTCCAGCCTGGGTGACAGAGCAAGACTCCGTCTAAAAAAAATAAAAAATAAATAAAATCACAGCTGAAGGAGTTGACAGTGACACCTCAGTTACTAGTCTTACCTCAGCATACCATGTGGGACCCTGCAGTTACTGTATCCTGTTTAATGGATTTACAGATTGTATTACATCATTCCTCTTCCACTAAGCTAACCATCACAAAATGGATAACGGTTTAACAAGATTCTTGCAAAGAAACCACAAATTGAAGATAATAATAATTAAAGCATAAGCAGGCAGGGTACTGTGGCTCACGCCTGTAATCCCAGCACTGTGGGAGGCCAAGGCGGGTGGATCACCTGAGGTCAGGAGTTCAACACCAGCCTGGCCAATATGGTGAAACCCTGTCTCTACCAAAAATACAAAAATGAGCCAGGCGTGGTGATGCATTCCTGTAATCCCAGCTACTCAGGAGGCTGAGGCAGGAGAATCGCTTGAACCCGGGTGGCGGGGGTTGCAGTGAGCCGAGCACCACTGCACTCCAGCCTAGGAGACAGAGCTAGACCGTGTCTCAAAAAAAGAAAAAGAAGGCCGAGCACGATGGCTCAAGCCTGTAATCCCAGCATTTTGGGAGGCGGAGGCAGGCAGATTACAAGGTCAGGAGATTGGGACCATCCTGGCTAACACGGTGAAACCCCATCTCTACTAAAAAACAAAAAATTAGCCAGGCGTGGTAGCAGGCGCCTGTAGTCCCAGCTACTCAGGAGGCTGAGGCTGGAGAACCACTTGAACCCGGGAGGCGGAGCTTGCAGTGAGCCAAGACCGCGCCACTGCACTCCAGCCTGTGCAACAGAGTGAGACTCCGTCTCAAAAAAAAAAAAAAAAAGAAAGAAAGAAAGAAAAAGAAAAGTGTTAATCTTACCATGTTGGCCAGGCTGGTCTCCAACTCATGACCTCAAGTGATCCACCCTCCTCGGCCTCCCAAAGTGCTGGGATTACAGGAGTGAGCCACAGGAGTCCGGCCCCACTTCCTTTCTTTTATTTTCTTTCCATCCAAACACAGGGTCTTGCTCTGTCACCCGGGCTGGAATGCAAGGGTACAGCCTTGAACTCCTGGCTCTAAGCAATTTTCCCACTTCAGCCTCCCAAGTAGCTGGGACTACAGGTGCACACCACCACACCCAGCTAATTTTCAAGTTTTTTTTTTTTTACAAGTTGGGTCTTGCTTTGTTTCCCAGGCTGGTCTCCAACTCCTGGCCTCGAACGATCCTCTGCCCTTGGCCTCCCAAAGTCTGGATTAAAGGCTTGAGCCACCACACTCAGCTAGGTTGACACTTTACTTACCCTTAATACATCTGTCAGCCTGTCTGTCAGACACATTACATTATAAAAGCAATTCAGATTCGACAAGATGATAATACCAAAAAAAAAAAAAAGAGAGAGAGCGCTAAATTATCCACAGATGACTAATGTGTTAGGGTTCTCTAAAGGGACAGAACGAATAGGATAGATGTATATATGAAGGGGAATTTATTAAGGAGTATTCACTCACACGATCACAAGATGACGTTCCACAATAGGCTGTCTGCAAGCTGAGGAGCAAGGAAGCCAGTCCGAGTCCCAAAACCTCAAAAGCAGAAAGCCAACAGTGCAGCCTTCAGTCTGTGGTTGAAGGTCCAAGAGTCCCAAAGCTGAAGAACTTGGAGTCTGATTTCAAGGGCAGGAAGCATCCAGCACGGGAGAAAGATGGAGGCTGGGAGGCTAAGCCAGTCTAGCCTTTTCGCATTCTTCTGCCTGCTTTTATTCTGGCCACACTGGCAGGTGATTAGATGGTACCCACCCAGACTGAGGGTGGGTCTGCCTTTCCCAGTCCACTGACTCAGATGTTAATTTCTTTTGGCAACACCCTCACAGACACACCCAGGAACAATACTTTGCATCCTTCAGTCCAATCAAGTTGGCACTCACTATTAACCATCATAATTTGAAAGGTAGATTTATAATTTTTTACCATTAGGAACACACAATCAAAAAAATTTGGAGACCCTTGGTCTGAAAAAAGTGATGGCTTGTTTTGTTTTTGTTTTCAGACATGGTCTCACTCTGTTACCCAGGCTGGAATGCAGTAGCGCAATCTCAGCTCACTGCGACCTCTGCCTCCCAGGTTCAAAGATTCTCCTGCCTCAGCCTCCAACTAGCTGGGATTACAGGCGCGCATCAGCAAGCCCCCGCTAATTTTTGTATTTTTAGTAGAGACAGAGTTTCACTATATTGGCCAGGCTGGTCTCGAACTCCTGACCTCAAGTGATCCACCCACCTCGGCCTCCCAAAGTGCTGGGATTACAAGCGTGAGCCGCCACACCGAGCTGAAAAAAGTGATTTCTGCAGAGCAAGAATTTCGGCCAGGTGCGGTGGCTCACACCTCTAATCCCAGCACTTTGGGAGGTCAAGGCGGGTGAATCACCTGAGGTCAGGAGTTCAAAACCAGCCTGGCCAAAATGGCAAAACCCCATCTCTACTAAAAAATACAAAAATTATCTGGGTGTGGTGGCTTGCGCCTGTAGTCCCAGCTACTTGGGGGCTGAGGCAGGAGAATTGCTTGAAACCAGGAGGCAGAGGTTGTAGTGAGCCGAGATTGTGCCACTGCACTCCAGCCTGGGCGACAGAGCAAGACTTCATCTCAAAAAAAAAAAAAGAAAGAAATTAGCTGGGCATGGTAGCATGAGCCTGTGGTCCCAGCTACTCCGGAGGCTGAAGTGGGAGATCTATCACTTGAGCCTGGGAGGCAGAAGTTGCAGCGAGCCAAGATTGTGCCACTACACTCCCACCAGCCTGGGCTGACAGAGTGAGACCCCGTCTGAAAAACAAACAAACAAACAAAAAAACAGAGCAATAATTTCTCCAACATGGCAGAAAATATCCTGCCACAGTCTCAGGTATTTCATTCAGCTTAACTGGTTACCCCTACAGAGGAATTGAACAAATCCAGCTAGGTACTATCTTTTAAGGTCATCCAACTCATTTCTTTATTATACCCTTGATTTTCAAGTGTAACTTAAGGTTCTAACTGGGCTCACCAACATATATTTCTTTTTTATTTTTTTGAGACAGAGTCTCTCTCGTTCACCGAGGCTGGAGTGCAGTGGTGCAATCTGGGCTCACTGCAACCTCCGCCTCCCGGGTTCAAGCGATTCTCCTGCCTCAGCCTCCTGAGTAGCTGGGATTTCAGATGCCCGCCACCATGGCCAGCTAATTTTTGTATTTTTAGTAGAGACAGAATTTCACCATGTTGGTCAGGGTGGTCTCAAACTCCTGACCTCAGCTGGTCTGCCCACCTTGGCCTCCCAAAGTGCTGGGATGACAGGCGTGAGCCACCGTGCTGGCCCCAATGTGTATTTCTTACAGGTAAAGAATGCACCATCCAGTGGTAACGTCTAGTCATTGCATAATGCAGCAGTGGTCTCTTGTGAACTTGGTTAACGTGGATTCATCTCCAAGACACTGCTCACCTCTCAATAACGAGGTCCTAGATTTGTTAAGGTAACCTAGGCTTTGTTTCCAAAAGAAGGAAGTTTCTAGCTCTGAATTATATTAATTCTGTAGGACACCTAACTTTTTTTCATTTTTGTTTTGAGCCAGGGTATTGCTCTGTCTCCTAGGCTGGAGCACAGTGGTGGGATCTCAGTTCACTGCAATCTCTGCCTCCTGGGCTCAAGCGATCCTCCCACTTCAGCCTCCTGAGTAACTGGGATTACAGGCGCAAGCCAACACTCCCAGCTAGTATTTGTATTTTTTGTAGAGACAAAGTTTCGCCATGTTGCTGAGGCTGGTCTGGAACTCCTGGGCTCAAGTGATCCGCCTGCCTTGGCCTCCCAAAGCGTTGGGATTACAGGCATGAGCCTGGCCACCTAATGTTATCCTTGCTTAACAGCTCTTTCTTCTGTGGCCTGTTTTTTTTTTTTTTTTTTTTTTTTTTGAGACGGAACCTCGCTCTGTTGCCCAGGCTAGAGTGTAGTGGCACCATCCCAGTTCACTGCAACCTCCGCCTCCCAGGTTCCAGCAATTCTTGTGCCTCAGCCTCCCAAGTAGCTGGGATTACAGACATGTGCCACCACGCCTAGCTAATTTTTGTATTTTTAGTAGAGATGGGGTTTCATCATGTTGGCCAGGCTGTTCTTGAACTCCTAACCTCAGATGATCCGACTGCCTCAGCCTCCCAAAGTGCTGGGGTTACAGCCATGAGCCACCATGCCCGGCCTCTGTGGCCTGTTTTTGAACAGGGTTAATTTACTAATTTGTAAGCTTAATTGTTGCTTTGATCTGCCCAGCACGGAGGCCCAGGCTCCCAACAGAGGTTCATCAGACAACATGATACACAAGATCAACTGAGATGCAGAGGCGAGAGTTTAAACAGCAGCTCAGACCAGCGTTCTACCATGGCAGAGTACGAACTCATTGCATGGCCAGCTACTTCTCCTTTCTGCTGCATTCTCCTTCCCTTGACTGGGCTCTTCCTTCTTTGAGTGAAACAAATAGGTCCATTTCATTTAGTCAAATGACAATATCATCTGCTGTCCTAGCAGCTTGACTGACCAGACTTTTATTTTACCTTCACTTCCTGTTGGGAATATTCCAACTCCATCAGTTTTGCAGGGTGATGAGCAGTCTGTGCAGACAGGGTAACATTGGGCCCCCATGGAATTGGGCAGACTTTAGATCAATTAGGACAGCAGTTCTCAGCTTTGGTTGTATATGCGAATCACCTGGAAAGCTTTTGAAAAATACCAGTGCCACGCATGCCCTACTCCTAGGCAATTCTAATTGCCTTAATTGGTCCAGGATAGATCCTGGTCATGGATGCCTTTATTATTATTTTGTTTTATTTTTTGAGACAGAGTCTTGCTCTGTCACCCAGGCTGGAGTGCAGTGGTGTGATCTCGTCTCACTGCAACCTCTGCCTCCCGGGTTCAAGGGATTCTCCTGCCTCAGCCTCCTGAGTAGCTGGGATTACGGGCACCCACCACCACGCCTGGCTAATTTTTGTATTTTTAGTAGAGATGGGGTTTTACCATATTGGCCAGGCTGGTCTCAAACTCCTGATCTTGTTATCTCCCGGCTTTAGCCTCCCAAAGTGCTGGGATTACGTGAGCCACCACGCCCGGCCATGGATCCCTTTAAAAACTCCACAAGTGGCCAGGCATGGTGGCTCATGCCTGTAATCCCAGCACTTTGGGAGGCTGAGGCAGGAGGATCACTTGAGGTCAGGAGTTTGATACTAGCCTGGCCAACATGGTAAAACCCCATCTCTACCCAAAATACAAAAAAAAAAAAAAATTAGCTGGGTGTGATGATGCATGCTTGTAACCCCAGCTGCTCAGGAGGCTGAGGCAGGAGAATCATTTGAACCTGTGAGGCAAAGATTGCAGTGAGCCAAGATTGTGTCATTGCACTCCAGCCTGGGTGACTGAGCCAGACTCTGTCTCAAAAAAAAAACAAAAAAACAAAAAAAACAAAACTCCACAAGTAATCAGTGATGAGGACCATGGGCTTGGGATCTTCTATTCAAAGGGCAAATTTAAAGCTGACAAAATTTTCTTCTAAGCCTTCTGGTCGGAAGTGCGCTTCAATCATCTGCACACATTCCATTTTACAATTAACTCACACACATATTTGCAGAAAGCTGGAAAGTAAAAATGTGTTCGTGATACAATGCCCTGCTTCACGGGGTGCAAGACATTTTCTCATAGATTCTCTCATTTAACCCTTAAAATAACTCAGTGAGGTCAACAGGGCAAGGTATTATTATCCACAATTTTCTGGTAAGGAAATTGGTATCCTGAGCCAAAGGAGGATCCAGACTTCTGGTTTTTGTTCAGTGCCATTTAATTATATCATACCTACTCTACAGTGCAGTGAATAACCTCGACTGTCACACGGTGGGAGGAAATATTGCCAAAGAGTTAAGAGTGAATATTTTTATTTTATTTTATTTTAAGACAGAATTTCGCTCTTGTTGCCCAGGCGGGAGTGTAACGGCATGGTCTCAGCTCACTGCAAACTCTGCCTCCCAGGTTCAAGCAATTCTCCTGCCTCACCCTCCCGAGTAGCTGGGATTACAGGTACCCACCAATATGCTTGGCTAATTTTTGTATTTTTAGTAGAGACAGGGTTTTGCCATGTTGGCCAGGCTGGTCTCAAACACCTGACTGCTGATGATCCTCCTGACTTGACTTCCCAAAGAGCTGAGATGACAGGCGTGAGCCACTGTACGCAGCCAAAACCCAGGTCTTAATGTCTCATTTAAAAATATTTACTCTTGCCAGGTGCAGTGGCTCATGCCTGTAATCCCAGCACTTTAGGAGGCTGAGGCAGGCAGATCACCTGAGGCCAGGAGTTTGAGACCAGCCTGGCCAACATGGTGAAACCCTGTCTCTACTGAAAATACAAAAATTAGGTGGGTGTGGTGGCCGGCGCCTGTAATCCCAGCTGCTCAAGAGGCTGAGACAGGAGAATCGCTCGAACCCAGGAGGCAGAGGTTTCAGTCAAGATCGCACCACTGCACTCTAGCCTGAGCAACAGAGCAAGACTCTGTCTCAAAAAAAAAAAAAAAACAAAAAAAACCTGGGTTTGAATTTTAGTTTCGTCACTTGCTAGCTCTGTGATCTTGGGCAGATTCATAATCTCTTCAAGACTCAATTTTCCTCATCTGAATATGGTACTGGGATATAGTATCAACTTCGAAGGGATAGCAATGAGATACAATAGTTCTTATTCACCTCACATGATCATGCCACTTTTACACACCTGTTAGAATAGAAAGAATTATTTAAAGTAGTTGGGCCAGGCATGGTGGCTCACGCCTGTAATCCCAGCACTTTGGGAGGCCGAGGTGGGCAGATCACTTAAGGTCAGGAGTTCAAAACCAGCCTAGCCAACATGGTGAAACCCCATCCCTACTAAAAATACAAAACTTAGCTAGGTGTGGTGGTGTGTGTCTGTAATCCCAGTTACTCGGGAGGCTGAGGCAGAAGAATCGCTTGAACACAGGAGGTGGAGGTTGCAGTGAGCCAAGATGGAGCCATTGCACGCCAGCCTGGGCAACAGAGCAAGACTTCATCTAAAAAAAAAAAAAAAAAGCCAGGTGTGGTGGCTCACGCCTGTAATCCCAGCACTTTGGGAGGCTGACGTGGGTGGATCGCCCAAGGTTGGGAGTTCGAGACTAGCTTGACCAACATGGAGAAACCCCATCTCTACTAAAAATACAAAATTAGCCAGGCATGGTGGCACATGCCTGTAATCCCAGCTACTCAGGAGGCTGAGGCAGGAGAATTGCTTGAACCTGGAGGCAGAGGTTTCAGTGAGCTGAGATCGCACCATTGCACTCCAGCCTGGGCAAGAAGAGTGAAATTCCATCTCAAAAAAAAAAAAAAATAGTTGGACTTCTTTATTCTATTCAAAGTTTTTTTTCTTTGGTGTCAATCTTCGTTTTTCTTAACTGATACTGCTGCATAAAGTGAGAAGATGGATTTGTTTGTGAAGGTGGCATTTCACATGACAGTCACCAAATTATTCCCTTGAGATCAGCAATAAGATTCTAAGGCCGGGCGTGGTGGTTCACACTTGTAATCCCAACACTTTGGGCCGCCAAGATGGGAGGATCCCTTGAAGCCAGACTGGGCAACAGCAAGATCCTATCTCTACAAAAAATAAAAATAAGAAAATTAGCTAAGCGTGGTGGCACACATCTATAGTCCCAGCTATTTGGGAGGCTGAGGTGGGAGAATCACTTGAGCCCAGGAATGCAAGGCTACAGTGAGCTATGATCATGCCACTGCACTCGAGCCTGGGTGATGTAATGAGAACTAAGTCAAAAAAAAAAAAAAACAGAATTCTAGGAAATTCATCATTTTAAAGGCTTCTTTGCTTATTTTGCCAAGGCAGTACTTGATCAGATGCTTTTTAAAATTAATAGACCATTTTAGGCCAGGCGCAGTGGCTCATGCATGTAATCCCAGCAATTTGGGAGGCCGAGGCGGGCAGATCACCTGAGGTCATGAGTTCAAAACCAGCCTGGCCAACATGGTGAAACCCCATCTCTACTAAAAATACAAAAATTAGCCGGGCGTGGTGGCGGGCACTTGTAATCCTAGCTGCTCAGGAGGCCGAGGCAGGAGAATTGCTTGAACCCAGGAGGCAGAGGTTGCAGTGAGCCGAGATCATGCCAGCCTGGGTGACAGAGTGAGAATCTGTCTCAAAATAAAATAAAATTAAATTAAAATTAATAGACAAATTTTAGAGTGGTTTTAGATTTACTGAAAAGCTGAACAGCATATAGAGTCCTCATATAACCCTGCCCTTGACATAGTTTCCTGTATTATTAATATTGCATATTAGTGTAGCACATTTGCTATAATTATGCAGATTTCTTTAGTTTTTACCTGATGTCCTTTTTTCTGCTCCAGTATCCCAGCCAGGAGACGACTTTACATTTAGTTGCCATGTCTCCTTGGGCTTCTCTTGGTTGTCATAGTTTCTCAGACATTCCTTGGTTTTGATGCTGTTTTCTTTTTTCTTTTTTTTTTTTTTTTCCGAGACAGAGGCTCGCTCTGTCGCCCAGGCTGGAGTGCAGTCGCATGATCTCAGCTCAAGGCAACCTCCGCTTCCTGGGTTCAAGCGATTCTCCTGCCTCAACCTCTTGAGTAGCTGGGACCACAGGCACTCGCTGCCACACCCAGCTAATTTTTGTATTTTTAGTAAAGATTGGGTTTCACTGTGTTGGCCAGGCTGGTCTTGAATGCCTGACCTCAGGTGATCCATCTGCCTCGGCCTCCCACAGTGCTGGGATTACAGGCGTGAGCCACTGCGCCCAGCCAGTTTTGATGGTCTTGACAGTGTTGAGAAGTTCTCATCAGGTATATTGCAGGCCACCCCTCTATTAAGATTTGTCTGATGCTTTTCTCATGACTAGACTGGGGTCATGTGTGTTTTGGGGGGATGACACAGAGGTAAAGTGCCATTTTCATGACATCATATCAAGGGTACATACTATCAATATGATTTATCAGTGTTGATGTTCTCCTGGATCACCTGGCTGATTGTCAGGTTCCCCCACTGTAGTGACTCCTCCCAGTCCTTGTCATACTCTTTGGACAGAAGTCACCATGCAGAGCTTACACTTAAGGAGTGAGGAGTTATAGTCCCCTCCTTTGCAGTAGAGTAGTTACATAATTTATTTGGAATTCTTCTGCATGGGAGATTGATCAACTGCTTTAGTGTGTAAACCTACTGTCACCATCCACCAAGTCATAACAATCTATTTGGTGGCGCCCTTAGCCCTGTATTGTCCAGATTAGAACTATAATGGGGTCTAGGGAGACCTCTCGTGGTAAAATAAGGGCATAACTAGCCAGCTACACGCTCTCATTTTATGCCATTGACTTTCCTTTAACGCAGTGGTTCTCAATCAAGGGCAATTTTGCCCGCCAGCCCCAGGGAGCATTTGACAATATGGGGAGAAATTTTTGGTTGCCACAACTTTTGGAAAGCGATGTTATTGGCACCTAGCAAGTGGAGACGGAGATCCTGCTAAACATACAGTGATTAAGACACAAACAACAAAAAATTATCTGAGCCAAAATGTCAATAGTGCTGAGGTTTAGAAACTCTGTGATTAACAGCTTTATAAAAGTTACAGATAATGTTCAAAGGGATACATTATAATGTGAAGGAGGAAAAGACCTTATTTTGTGAAGGATGAATTCTTAAAAAAAAAAATACAGCTGGAAGGGTAGCAGAATATGTCACACCAAAATATGCCATTTCAGCATATTAACTATGTTGAGCTGAAGACAATTGAGAAGAAGCAAATACAAGGAAAACTCTCTGCCATCCCCGTATTTGTCTAAAAGCAGGTCATAAATTTGTAAAGGTGGCGCCTCTCCTGAGACAGAGTCTTCCTCTGTTGCCCAGGCTGGAGCGCAGTGGCACCATCATAGCTCACTGCAGCCTTCATCTCCCAGGCTCAAGCGATCCTCCCACCTCAGCCTCCTGAGTAACTGGGCCTACAGGTGTGCACCACCAAGCTGGGCTAATTTTTCTATTTCTTGTAGAGACTGGGTCTCCTTATGTTGCCCAGGCTGGTCTTGAACTCCTGGACCCAAGTGATCTGCCTGCCTCGGCCTCCCAAAGTGCTGTGATTACAGGCATGAGCAACTGCTGGCCAATTTATTTTTGAGTCAGGGCCTCACTTTGTCGACAGGGCTGGAGTGCAGTAGTATGATCATAGTTCATAGCAGCCTTGAACTTCCAGGCTCAAGGAATCCTCTCTCCTCAGCCTACCAAGTTGCTAGGGGCTACGGGCACTTGCCATCACACATGGCTAATTTTTTTTTTAATTTTATTTTATTTTTGAGGTAGAGTTTGGCTGTTTTTGTTTGTTTGTTTGTTTTTTTGTTTGAGACGGAGTTTCGCTCTCGTTGCTCAGACTGGAGTGCAATGGCGCAATCTCGGCTCACTGCAACCTCCACTTTCCGGGTTCAAGCGATTCTCCTGCCTCAGCTTCCCGAGTAGCTGGGATTACAGGCATGCGCCACCACACCCGGCTAATTTTGTACTTCTAGTAGAGACGGGATTTCTCCATATTGGCCAAGCTGGTCTCGAACTCCTGACCTCAGGTGATCTGCCCACCTCGGCCTCCCAAAGTGCTGGGATTACAGGCGTGAGCCATCATGCCAGGCCTGGAGTTTCACTCTTGTTGCCTAGGCTGGAGTGCAATGGTGCAATGTCTGCTCACTGCAACCTCCGCCTCCCAGGTTCAAGCAATTCTCCTGCCTCAGCCTCCTGAGTAACTAGGATTACAGGCGCCTGCCACCACACCCAGCTAATTTTTTCGTATTTTGAGTAGAGACGGGGCTCTACCATGTTGGCTAGGCTAGTCTTGAACTCCTGGCCTCAAACGATCCGCCCACCTCAGCCTCCCAAAGTGCTGGGATTACAAGTGTGAGGCACTGCACCGGCTGCTAATTTATTTTTATTTTTATTTTTTTTTGAGACAGGGTCTCACTCTGTCGCCCAGGCTGGAGTACAGTGGCGTGATCTGGGCTCACTGCAGTCTCCTCCTCCCGGTTTCACGCCATTCTCCTGCCTCAGCCTCCCAAGTAGCTGGGACTACACGTGCCCGCCACCACGCCCCCCTAATTTTTTTGTATTTTTATTAGAGACAGGGTTTCACCGTGTTAGCCAGGATGGTCTCGATCTCCTGACCTTGTGATCCGCCCGCTTCAGACTCCCAAAGTGCTGGGATCACACGTGTGAGCCACCGTGCCCGGCCCCGCTAATTTTTTTCTTTTTCTTTTTTTTTTTTTGAGACAGAGTCTCGCTCTGTCGCCCAGGCTGGAATGCAGTGGCGCAATCTCGGCTCACTGCAAGCTCCGCCTCCCGGGTTCATGCCATTCTCCTCCCTCAGCCTCCCGAGTAGCTGGGACTACAGGCGCCCGCCACTAAGCCCGGCTAACTTTTTGTATTTTTAGTAGAGACGGGGTTTCACCGTGGTCTCGATCTACTGACCTTGTGATCCGCCCGCCTCGGACTCCCAAAGTGCTGGGATTACAGGCGTAAGCCACCGCGCCCGGCCAGGCCATGCTAATTTTTAAAAGTTGGTTTTTCTGTAGAGATGGGGATCTCTCTATGTTGCCAAGGCTGGTTTCAAACTCTTAGCCTCAAGTGATCCTCCTACCCAGCCTCCCAAAATGCTGGAATTACAGTAGTGAGCCACCCCACTCAGCCCATTTTTTTAGCCCATAATTTTCTTAATGATAATTTTTAAAAACTACAAACAATTTTGAGAGGGAGAAAAAAACCACCTCCAGTCCTATTACAACTACAATCCACAACTATTTTCAGTTGCACCTGACTTCCTATATACGCATATTTCTATGTTGTTGCAATTAATAAATATAACCACTTATATTCTGCTTTTTTTCACTGAATTGAATATTTGAAATATTTTTCGTGTTCCTAGTGTCTCCATATATATACATATATATATACATATATATATGTATATATGTATTTCTTCTCTCTTTTTTTTTTTTTTTTTTTGACGAGGTTTTGCTTACGTTGCCCAGGTTTGAGTGCAGTGGTGTGATCTTGGCTCACTGCAACATCTGCCTCCCAGGTTCCAGCGATTCTCCTGCCTCAGCCTCCCAAAGTAGCTGGGATTACAGGTGCCCGCCACCATGCCTGGCTAATTTTTGTATTTTTAGTAGAGATGGGGTTTTGCCATGTTGGCCCGGCTGGTCTCGAATTCCTGACGTCAAGTGATCCACCCACTCGGCCTCCCAAAGTGCTGGCATACAAGTGTGAGCCACCGTGGCCTGCCTACGGTGTTATTCTGATTTGTAAAGGTTGATATAAAGGAATAGTATATTCATGTGTCATGTGTCCTATTTCCAAGTTTTTTTTCTTTTTCTTTTTAACTTTGTTTTTTCTTTTTTTCTTTTTTTTTTTTTTGAGACAAGAGTCTTGCTCTGTCGCCCAGGCTGGAGTACAGTGGCGCCATCTTTGCTCACTGCAACCTCCGCCTCCCGGGTACAAGCGATTCTCCTGCCTCAGCCTCCGGAATAGCTGGGATTATAGGCGCCCACGACCACGCCCAGCTAATTTTTGTATTTTTAGTAGAGACGGGGTTTCACCATGTTGGTCAGGCTGATCTCAGACTCCTGACCTCGTGATCCGCCTGCCTCGGCCTCCCAAAGTGCTGGGATAACAGGCGTGAGCCACCGCTCCCAGCCTTAACTTTCAATTCTTACTGATAAATTGAAGTTAAATTTTTTTTGCAAAAATCCTGAAATTTATTATTTCTTTTTCCATTTGTACTTAGAAAGTTATCCCTTTTTAGAATTAAATACCTACACGTTTCCTTCTAATTTTTTTTAATTTCATTTTTTACATATAATTATTTAAAATCTGGAATTTGGGTGGGACGTAGTGGCTCACGCCTGTAATCCCAGCATTTTGGGAGGCCGAGGTGGGCGGATCACCTGAAGTCAGGAGTTCAAGACCAGCCTGACCAACATGGTGAAACCCCATCTCTATCAAAAATACAAAAATTGGCCGGGTGCAGTGGCTCAAGCCTGTAATCCCAGCACTTTGGGAGGCTGAGGCACATGGATCACAAGGTCAGGAGTTCGAGACCAGCCTGGCCAAGATAGTGAAACCCCATCTCTACTAAAAAAAAAAATACAAAAATTAGCCGGGCGCGGTGGTAGGCGCCTGTTAGTCCCAGCTACTCAGGAGGCTGAGGCAGGAGAATCGCTTGAACCTGGGAGGTGGAGGTTGCAGTCAGCCGAGATCATGCTACTGCACTCTAGCCTGGGTGACAGAGCGAGACTCCATCTCAAAAAAACAAACAAACAAACAAAAAATACAAAAATTAGCTGGGAGTGGTGGCAAGCGCCTATAATCCCAGCTGCTTGGGAGGCTGAGGCAGGAGAATCGCTTGAACCCAGGAGGTGGAGGTTGCAGTGACCCGAGATCGAGCTGCTGCACTCCAGCCTGGGTGACAGAGCAAGACTCCACCTCCAAAAAAAAACAAAGTCAAATATAGAAAAGTTGAAAGAATTGTACAATGAACACCCAGATAAACTTTAAAATCATCTTGCAAGGCCCAAATGAAAACAAAAATGAACCCCTAAAAAAATTCTCTTTGAGAATTTGATGGAATCTACATGAGCAATTACTTTGATAATATCTTTATTCTAACCAGATTCTCCTTCAAAAATATGGTTTATTTTTCCACTTACTCAAGTATTTTTCTTTCTTTCTTTATTTGAGACGGGATCTTGCTCTGTTGCTGGGGCTGGAATATAATGGCATGATGATGTCTCATGGCAGCCTCCCGTGCTCAGGCAACCCTCCTGTCTCTGCCTCCTAAGTATCTGGGACTACAGGGGCACACCACCACTCCCGGCTAATTTTTTAATTATTTGTAGAGACAAAGTTTCCCTACGTTGATCAGGCTGGTCTGCAACTGCCAGGCTCTTGCAATCCTCCTGCCTTGGCCTCTCAAAGTGCTATGATTACAGACATAAGCCATGGTGCCCAGCCTCAAGTATTTCTTTGTGTGTGATATTTTTCTTTTTGTTGCCTTGGTAGAAAGAGTGCAGAGAAAAGTTTTCTTATGAAATTTTCACTGGTTATTATGAGGCCTTTGGGTTACAAATTAATGTTAAAAATGAGGGGTATACTAGACTCAAAGAAGAATTGTTAATTAATTCACTCATCATGACATCTATTGCGCATATGTTGTATGCCAGGTTCTAATGACACCTGAATGAATGTGTCCATTTCTTTATCCTTGGGGAGCTGATGGACTCTTGGAAAAATAAGGCTGGGCGCAGTGGCTCACGCTTATAATCCCAGCACTTTGGGAGGCCAAGGCGGGCAGATCACCTGAGGTCGGAAGTTCGAGACCAGCCCAACCAACATGGAGAAACCCTGTCTCTACTAAAAATACAATAAATTAGCCGGGCGTAGTGGTGCATGCCTGTAATCCCAGCTACTCGGGAGGCTTAGGCAGGAGAATTGCTTGAACCCGGGAAGCGGAGGTTGTGGTGAGCCGAGAGTGCGCCATTGCACTCCAGCCTGGGCAACAAGAGTGAAACTCCATCTCAAAAAAAAAAAAAAAAGGAAAAAGTAGATGGTCAAAAATATTACAAATCTGGCCAGGTGCGGTTTCTCACACCTGTAATCTCAGCACTTTGGGAGGTCGAGGAGGGCGGATCACTTGAGATCGGGAATTCAAGACCAGCCTGGCCAACATGGTGAAACCTTGTCTCTCCTAAAAATACAAAAATTAGCTGGGCGTGGTGGCGCATGCCTGTAATCCCAGCTACTAGGGAGGCTAAGGCAGGAGAATCCCTTGAACCCAGCGGGTGGAGGTTGCAGTGAGCCAAGATAGCACCACTGCACTCCAGCCTGGGTGACAGAGCCAGACTGTGTCTCAAACAAACAAACAAAAAAGTTACAAATCAGGACAATAAAATGCCATAAGGAAGGTTGGTAAGGCTCCACCAATAATGTGATATTTGGTACACAATACAAAGTTTAAAAAAAAATTTTCACCAAGCAAAGGGGAAAGTGCATTCTATGGAGCAGAAAGAACTTGTGTAGAGATAGGGGAAGTTGGGACATTTCTTTCTGAGGGCTGAGGTAGAACACATGGGGATTGATTGGGAGGTGTTGAATAGCACAGAGAATGGTGCGTTTGTTTGATGCAGCTGAAGTTCAGGGTATTTGGAATGGGGGTGGATTCTGGAAAGGTAGGTCGTTAGGAAAGGTAGGTAACATGTTAAGGAGTTTGAACTTTATCACAAAAATAACAGAATGAGCAAAGGTTTTGAAGCAGGAGTTCTAATCGGAATTTGTTTCATTGCTGTGACACCAAGGATGGCTTGGAGTGGGAAGAGAAGAGGCTGGAAAGGTGATGGGAGTCAGATTGTGAAAGGCACTGCATGCCTGAGAGCTTAATCTGCCATTTGAACCTTAGCCTGAAGGAAGGTTCAAATAAGTCATAAAGTAATAAAATACATTGGGATGGGCCAGGCACGATGGTTCACACCTGTAATCCCAGAATTTGGGAGGTTGAGGCAGGTGGATCACTTGATGTCAGGAGTTTGAGACCAGCCTGGCCAACAGAGTGAAACCCCAACTCTACTAAAAATACAAAATTAGCCAGGTGTTGTGGCAGGTGCCTGTAATCCCAGCTACTTGGGAGGCTGAGGCAGGAGAATCGCTTGAACCCAGGGAGTAGAGGTTGCAATGAGCTGAGATTGTGCCACTGCACTCCAGCCTGGGTGACAGAGCAAGACTCCGTCTCGAAAACAAAAACAAAACCCCACATCGCAATGATGAACAGCACAGACAGTAATAACTGCAAATGTTCAGAGGAGGCAATTATTATCACAGGAAGATAATCTTGTCCTTGAAGTCAGATCTGGGTAGGAATTCCAGGTCTTCCACTCATCTGTCATCTGTGAATACATTTTATAGCCCTTTGAGCCTCACTTTATTGACCTATAATAAAATAATGAGGCCAATAATACCTATCTAACTACCTGTTATGAGGATTAAATAAGAAAAACCTGTTAAATGCCAAATACATAGTAGGTATTCAATAGACATTATTTCTTTTTCTATTTAAGTTTTATTTTAAGTTCAGGGGTACATGTGCAGGTTTGTTATATAGGTAAACTTGTGTCATGGGAGTTTGTTGTATAGATTATTTTGTCACCCAGGTATTAAGCCCAGTACCCATTAGTTATTTTTCCTGATCATCTCCCTCCTCCCACCCCCCCACCCTCTGAAAGGCTCCAGTGTTTGTTGTTCTCCTCTATGTGTCCATGTGTTATCATCATTTAGCTCCCACTTATAAGTGAGAACATGTGGTATTCGGTTTTTTGTTTCTGCGTTAGTTTGCTAAGGATAATGGCCTCCCACTCCATCCATGTTCCTGTAAAAGACAAGATCTCATTCTTTTTTATGGCTGCATAGTATTCCATTGTGTATATGTGGCTCAAGGGATCCTCCCGCCTCAGCCACTGGAGCCACATTTTCTTTATCCAGTCTATCACTGATGGGCATTTAGGTTGATTCCATGTCTTGGCTATTGTGAATAGTGCTGCTATAAACATACATATGCAGATCGGGTGCAGTGGCTCACGCCTGTAATCCCAGCACTTTGGGAGGCCGAGGCAAGTGGATCACTTGAGGTGAGAAGTTAGAGACCAGCCTGACCAACATGGTGAAACCTCGTCTGTACTAAAAATATAAAAATTTTCTGGGCATGGTGGCAGGTGCCAGTAATCCCAGCTACTTAGGAGGCTGTGGCAGGAGAACTGCTTGAACCTGGGAGGTGGAGGCTGCAGTGAGCCAAGATTGTGCCATTGCACTCCAGCCTTGGCAACAAGAGGCAAAACTCCATCTCAAAACAAAACAAAACAAATAAAATAAAATAAAATAAAGCAGAACATACACATGCATGTATCTTTGTAATAGAATAATTTATATTCCTCTGGGTATATACCCAGTATTGGGATTGCTGGGTCAAATGGTATTTCTGTTTTTAGTTCTTTGAGGAATCACCACACTGTCTTCCACAATAGTTGAGGTAATTTACACTCCCACCAACAGTGTATAAGCATTCCTTTTTCTTTGCAACCTCACCAGCATCTGTTATTTTTTGACTTTTTAATAATAACTGTTCTGAGTGGTGTAAGATGGTATCTCATTGTGGTTTTGATTTGCATTTCTCTAATGATCAGTGATGTTAAGCTTTTTTTCACACGATTATTGGCCACATGTATGTCTTCTTTCAAAAAGTGTTCATGACCTTTGCCCACTTTTTAATGGAGTTGTTTTTTTCTTGTAAATTTGCATAAACATTGTTTTCAACCACACCAAACTCCTATCCTGATTAGGTTTATAGTGGAGAAGTTTGCATTTTTATTTATCACTGTTTCATGCTCCTGTACTTCTCAAAATCCTCCACCCATTTCACTTTCCCCATCTTTACTGAGGCATAACTGACAAAAATTACATATGTTTAAGGTGTACAACTTGATGTTTTGATATATGGATATCCAAATAATCACCATAATTAAGCTAATTAATGGATCTATCACCTCTCATAGTTACCATTTCTTTTTTCTTTTGTGGTGAGAATACTTAAGATCTATCCTTTTAGCAAATTGCAAGTATACAGTGCAGTATTGTTAACTAGAGTCATGTGGCTATATATTAGACTTCCAGAACTTATTCATCTTGCATAACTGAAATTTTGTATCCTTTGACCAACGTCTCCTCAATTTCCCCTCCTTGCAGCCCCTGGCAACCACCATTCCACTCTCTTCTACTATTATTTTGACTATTTAATTTTATTTTTAATTGTTTTAGACACAAAGTCTCACTATGTTGCCCAGGTTGGACTCGTACTCTTGGAAACAAGGGATTCTCTTGCCTCAGCCACTGGAGTAGCTGGGACTATAGGTGCATCCCACCACACCTGGCTATTTTATTTTATTTTATTTTATAGTAGGTAAAAAAAATTTTTTTTGAGACAGTCTCGTTCTGTCGCCCAGGCTGGAGTGCAGTGGACCTATCTCGGCTCACTGCAACCTCCTGGGTTCAAGTTATTCTCTTGCCTCAGCCTCCAGAGTAGCTGGGACTACAGACCCGCGCCACCACGTCCGGCTAATTTTTTGTATTTTTAATAGAGACGGGTTTCACCGTGTTAGGCAGGATGGTCTCGATCTCCTGACCTCATGATCCACCCGCCTCAGCTCCCAAAGTGCTGGGATTACAGGCATGAGCCACTGTGCCCGGCAGAAAAATATGTTTGTACTCGCAAAAAGCAGTACCTGATGAATGGTGAACTACGGAAACTCACAGAATTGATTTTGCGTTTGGAAGTATTCATGTGCGATACCCTGCTTTCAAAGGGTTACAGAGGCAAGTTAGTTTGTCTTAGGTGATTTAGACTGCTTTAGATCCACATATAAGTAAGATCATACAGTATTTGTCCTTCTATGTCTGGCTTATTTCACTTAGTATGATGTTCTCCAGATTCAACCATGTTGTCACAAATGGCAGGGTTTCCTTCTTTTTTTTTTTTTTTTTTTTTTTTTTTTGAGACGGAGACTTGCTCTGTTGCCCAGGCTGGGGTGCAGTGGCGCGATCTCGGCTCACTCACTGCAAGCTCCGCCTCCTGGGTTCACGCCATTCTTTTGCCTCAGCCTCCCGAGTAGCTGGAACTACAGGCGCCTGCCACCACACCTGGCTAATTTCTTTTTGTAGTTTTAGTGGAGACGGGGTTTCACTGTGTTAGCCAGGACGGTCTCGATCTCCTGACCTCGCGATCCGCCCATCTCGGCCTCCCAAAGTGCTGGGATTACAGGCGTGAGCCACCGTGCCCAGGCGGTTTCCTTCTTTTTAAAGGCTCCATAATATTCCACTGTATATGTATACCACATTTTCTTTATCAATTTGTCTGTTGATGGACATCTAGGTTGTTTCCATATCTTGGCTATTGTGATAGTGCTGCAATGAACATGGGAGTGTAGCTATCTCTTTGACATGCTGATTTCATGTCCTTTGGATATATATACCCAGAAGTGGGATTGCTGGATCATAAGGTATTCTATTTTTAATTTTTTTAGGAACCTCCATACTATTTTCTGTACTGTTGGCTGTACCTACCCATTTCATTTTTCACATCTACATTCTTGCATTTAAATTCCCCCTCAAACATTATGTTAAGGAATAAACAGGAACAGAAAGTTAAACAACGCGTGATCTCACTCATATGTGGAAGCTAAAAAAAAAAAAAAGGTGATCTCATAGACGTAAAAAGTAGAACAGAGGATGCTATAGGCCAGGAAAGGTAGGAGGAAGGAAGCGATAGAAAGCTAGATAGGAGGAACAACTTCTAGTGTACCACTATAGGATGACTATAGTTAACAGTAACATGTAGTTTCAAGTAGTTAGGAGAAGGATATTGACCGGCCTGGGCAACATAGTGAGAAGAAAAGTAAAGAGAAGAATAGAAGAGAAGAGAAGGGAAGAGAAGAGAAGGAAACGAAGGAGGGAGGGAGGGAGACAGGGAGGGGGAAGGGAGAGGAAGGTAGGGGAGGGAAGAAAAGAAAAAGAAAAAGATAAAAAAAAATTAGCCAGGCACGGTGGCACACACCTGTGGTCCGAGAGGCTGAGGCGGGAGGATCGCTTGAGCCTGGGAGGTCAAGACTGCAGTTAGCTATAATTATGCTACTGCACTGCAGCCTGGGTGACAAAGCAAGACCATGTCTCACAAAAAAGGATATTGAGCATTCTCAACACAAAGAAAGGATAACTGTTTGAGATGATGGATATGCTAATATCCTCACCTGATCGCTATACATTATATGTATTGAAACATCATTATGTCCTGTGTGAAACACAAGTGATAGAAAACAATGTTTTAAAAAGGAAAAAAAGGTAACATTACTATGTGCTGCATGAATATGTACAATTATTGTCAATTAAACACATAAATAAAATAAATTCCACCTTAAGACAAATTTATTTTTGTTGTATATTCCTTATCCTCTCCTTGTATTTTATCTTTCAAATCAAAAAGAGCATTTTAGATCCGGAGGGACCATTTCCTCTACCTGCATATGTCACCCTGTAAATATCACATTTTTTTTTTGTTTTGATTTGTTTCACTTTGTTTTGAGACGGAGTCTCGCTCTTGTTACCCGGGCTGGAGTGCGTTGGTGCAATCTCGGCTCACCACAACCTCTGCCTCCCAGGTTCAAGAGATCCTCCTGCCTCAGCCTCCCGAGTAGCTGGGATTACAGGCATGCACCACCACACCTGTCTAATTTTGTATTTTTAGTAGAGACGGAGTTTCTCCATGTTGGTCAGGCTGGTCTCGAACCCCTGACCTCAGGTGACCTGTCCGCCTTGGCCTCCCAAAGTGCTGGGATTACAGGTATGAGCCACTGTGCCCAGCACTATCACATTTCTTAAGATTTGCTTTCCTAATTCTGTCTGATTCCAGGGTCAAAGTCCTTGACTATAGCACAAGCAGTTTAGCTTAGGAAGACCATGGCTTATTCATTTTCCTCTTCCTCCACTCTACTGCCTTCTTAGCTTTGGGCTTAGAAGTCAACCAATAAAATCTCAGTGCCTGCAACACATGGATTGATATCATTGTCCCCAAACCCATTTTGCAATCTGTGATCAACTTTTAAATTAGTCATAGTGCTTATTATCAGGAAAGGGGAGTATTTCATGTCCAGACAAAAACTAATTTGTAAGTGGATCCACAGCTGAAGCTGCAATATAACAATTCATTTATTTAACAAATATTTATTGAGACCTTCTATGTGCCAAGCATTGTTCTAAGCTCTGAGATAAGGCAGTAGCCAAAACAAATTCCTTATGGTTATGGACTTATATCCTGGTGGGAAGAGACAGATAAAAAACTAGCAAATATATCAATATATAAAAAAAATGTCAGCTAGTGATATGTGCTATGGATAAAAATGAAACTGGATAAGGGTGAGAGATAATGAGAAGGTATAAAGGGCTATTTCAGATGAGTACCTTTGTTTTCTTTCTTTCTTTTTTTTTTTTTTGAGACAGAGTTTCGTTCTTGTTGCCCAGGCTATAGTACGATGGCCCGATCTTGGTTCACTGCAGCCTCCGCCTCCCGGGTTCAAGTGATTCTCCTGCCTCAGCCTCCTGAGCAGCTGGGATTACAGGAATCCGTCACCATGCCTGCTAATTTTTAAAATATTTTTAGTAGAGACGGGGTTTCACCATGTTAGCCAGGCTGGTCTCCAACTCCTGACCTCAGGTGATCCGCCTGCCTCCACCTCCCAAAGTGCTGGGATTACAGGCGTGAGCCACTGCACCCGGACTTCTTTCTTTCATTTTTCATTTCTTAATTATCAAGGGTTGTGGCATTGTAGGAAGTAAGAAGGTGCTGGGCGAGGTGTTAGAGCCCCGGCATCGAAAAGTGGTCAACCCGCTGTCTGGTAAGAAGAATTGACTGACAACAGTACAGGTTTGATAAAGGAAAGTTGTATTAGAAACAAAGAACATTGCAGAAGAAGCCAACGAGGTGCCTCAGCAAGAAAGGACTTGGATTTTCCTTAGAAATATTTATGGACCTTAAGGCAGAAGCTTGAGGGTAATTTGGACCATATTAGTAGGCCATGATAAATGATTACGTTTGTAGCTATTTTGGTGCCTTAATGTCAGCAAGGATTGCATAATGATTTTCCATATGACATTCCTGAGATGTATAGAAATTCTAGCTACTTAGAAATTGTTTTGAAAGAGACCTGGAACCAGATGCAGACTTTAGATACAAAGGAAGTTTAATTACTTCTAAATTCTCCAGGTAAGGAATTTTTGTCCCCAGTGCCTGCTTGATCATCAGGTGATCTTTGCTCTCCTCAGAAGGGATTGGATTCTGGATACATTTTGAAGGTAGAGCTGACAAGGTTCTTTGATGGGATTGAGGTATAAGAAAAAGGGAGTATCGGCCGGGCGCGGTGGCTCACGCCTGTAATCCCAGCACTCTGGGAGGCCAAGGTGGGCGGATCACGAGGTCAGGAGTTCGAGACCAGCCTGGCCAACATGGTGAAACCCCGTCTCTATTAAAAGTACAAAAATTAGCCTGGTGTGGTGGCATGTGCCTGTAATCCCAGCTACTCAGGAGGCTGAGGCATGAGAATCGTTTGAACCCTGGAGGCGGAGGTTGCAGTGAGCCGAGATCTTGCCACTGCACTTCAGCCTGGGTGACAGAGCGAGATTCCATCTCAAAAAAAAAAAGGTCGGGGGTTGGAGGGAGTATCAAGTATGATTCTAAGTTTTCAGACTTCAGCAGAATGTGATTGAACCCAGGAATTCTCTTGTTTTATTTTGTTATTTTATTTTATTATTTATTTGAGACAGACTCTCACCCTGTCACCCAGGCTGGAAGTGCAGTGGCACGATCTCAGTTCACTGCAACCTCCACCTCCCAGGTTCAAGCGATTCTCATGCCTCAGCCTCCTGACTAGCTGGGATTACAGGCACCCACCACCATGCCTGGCTAATTTTTGTATTTTTTTTTGTAGAGACAGGGTTTCACCATGTTGACCAGGCTGGTCTCGAACTCCTGACCTCAAATGATCCACCCCCCGCCCCCCACACCCCACTCAGCTTCCTAAAGTGCTGGGATTACAGGCGTGAGCGACAGTGCCTGGCCTTATTTTGATATTTTATTTATTTATTTACTTATTTATTTTTAGAGATGGGGTCTCACTATATCGGTCAGGGTGGCCTTGAACTCCTGGCCTCAAGCAATTCTCCTGCCTTGGCCTCCCAAAGTGCTGGGATTACAGATGTGAGCCAACATGCTTGGCCTTTTTAAATTTTTATTTCTTTTTTTGAACCCAGGTCTTCCGTACAAACTTTTTGTTACTATTGATAACACAGAGAAACAAGCAGGAATCACTCCTCCAAACCTCAATTCTGTAACATCCAGTTTAGCAACTATTCCATGTGACAAGGCTTTGCCAACCTTTAACCTACTTCTACCTGTAACCAAAAAGTCATTTCTACTGGAGGAATGCCAGTTTACAATGATAAGTGACAAAGAGTGGCTGTGTTTACAAATCTCCCCCAAGGGCTCTACACATTTCACAAATCTCCTATGGCCAGTTACTTACCTCAAAAACAAAGCCATTTCAAAAGCAGGTAATTAAGAGGTGTGAAAGAAGCAAGAGAATCTAGGGCAGAAAAGCTAAAACCTTCTCACATGAAAACAGCACAAAGCTATCTTGCAATTCTTAGTTAAGGTAAATAGAGCTCCGGGTCTTTCAAAAGCGCTCAGAAATAATCCAGACAGGAAACAAAAGTACTCCTCTTGCTCCCAGAGCAAGGCTACCGGAATTGCTTAGGGCATTCACAGAATGATATGATCTTGGTCAATAAAACGTTCAAGATGAATATTAAATTTGCACAACAAATTTACTGTTTTACTTTCTTGGATAATTATCTGAAAGGCTTATGAGTCAGTTTTCCTATAGCTGCTCTAATTATGGGGATGAGGAGCATGTTACAATTTGTGTTACTCTACTCTGAAAAAGTAGAATTCAAAAACTTTCCAGTGGCGGGGTGTGGTGGCTCACGCCTGTAATCCTAGCACTTTGGGAGGCTGAGGCGAGCGAATCACTTGAGGTCAGGAGTTCGAAACCAGCCTGGCCAACATGGTGAAACCCCGTCTCTACCAAAAATGCCAAAAAAATTATCCAGAAATCGCTTGAACTCCAGAGGTGGAGGTTGCAGTGAGCCAAGATTGCACCACTGCACTCCAGCCCGAGCAACAGAGCAAGGCTGTCTAAAAAAAAACAAAAACAAAAACATAACAAACAAAAAAACTTTCCAGTGACTGAATGTGGATAATCATCAGTAAGCTATATTAGAAATGGAAGCATGAGGAAATGGCATCTTTTATTGGCTTCTTCTGGTGACAATAATGGCCCACATCTTCAAGTTACCGGCAAGAAATGAGGGCGGAATTTGAGATTGCAACATGTTCACCAGTGCAAAGGTAATTTGATCATTCACATGAGGATTAAATCCACAGCCTTGGCCTCATCACCAGATCCTGATTAACTGAACTAACCAGTCCTTTGTAGCAGGGACTGTCAAACTATGGTTCACAGGCCAAATCCAACCTGTTTGTAAGAATGGATGTTATATTTTTTAGATGGTTAGAAAAAATCAAAAGAAGAATAATATTTTGTGACACATGAAAAGTACATGAAATGCAAATATATATTGGAACACAGCCCCACTTATCTATTTAGGCAAGATCTATGGTTGCTCTTGTACTGTAACAGCAGAGTTCAGTAGTTGTGACAAAGACCCTATAGCCTGCAAGACCTGATACATTTGCTGTCTAGCCCTTTACAGAAAAAGCCAATTCCCAGCTCAAGGCTCGGCTCAGTGGCTCACGCCTATAATCCCAACACTTTGGGAGGCCGAGGTGGGAGGATAGCTTGAGCTCTGGAGTTCGAGGCAAGCCTAGGCAACATAATGGGACCTCCTCTCTAATATTTCCATCTCAATATTATAAATACTACACTGATGTATAAAAGGCAGAAATAACAGTTGAAAGAACTTATATTTCCAAAATGCAGTTAAGTACACATCCTGGAAATGGAAAAGCACAGAGACTAAATGGTTAATGTTGCCTGTGTATAGCTTTTACCTTCAGCACTTGGCATTTATTCTTTCCAGGCAAGAGAAAGGAGAATGATTGCTTTTCCAAAAAAGAAAGGAGTACTAATCCGTTTAATCAATTAAAATCAGATGCCATTCAAGTTTTCTGCTCTTAGATTGTTCTTTTCTGTGGGGAGTTAATAAAAAAGAGTGCTGAGGCCAGGCGTGGTGGCTCATGCCTGTAATCCCAGCACTTTGGGAAGCCAAGGCGGGCGGATCACTTGAGGTCACGAGTTTGAGACCAGCCTGGCCAACATGGTGAAACCCCATCTCTACTAAAAATACAAAAATTAGCCAGGCGTGGTGGCACATGCCTGTAACTTAGGAGGCTGAGCATGAGAATCGCTTGAAGCTGGGAAGCAGAGGTTGCAGTGAGCCGAGATCATGCCACTGCACTCCAGCCTGTGCAATAAAGTGAGTCTCCGTCTCGAAAAAAAAAAAGCGTGCTGAGTCAGATAAAATACAATGGTGGTTTAGTCAACCTGCACACAAGTTGGATTAAAATTTCAGAATGGACTTTCAGAACAGGAACCTTGTCTGCCTTTTTCACTACTTTATCCATAGAACCTAGCACATTGTAAACACTAAAATATATAGATATTTTAGGAGACGGGGTTCCGCTATGTTGCCCAAGCAAGTCTGAAACTCCTGGGCTCAAGCAGTCCTCCCACATCAACTTCCCAAAGTGCTGGGATTACAGGTGTAAGCCACCATGCCCGACCTCAGATAATTTTTTTTTTTAATTGGGAGAGAGTCTCACCCTGTCGCCCAGGCTGGAGTGCAGTGGCTTGATCCTGGCTTACTGCAACCTCCGCCTCCTGGGTTCAAGCAATCCTCATGCCTCAACCTCCGGACTAGCTGGAACTACAGGTGCCCACCACCACACCTGGCTATTTTTTGTATTTTTAGTAGAGACAGGGGTTTCATTAATTTGGTCAGGCTGGTCTCAAACTCCTGACTTTAGATGATTCTCCCGCCTTGGCCTCCCAAAGTGCTGGGATTACAGGCGTGACCCACCGTGCCTGGCCCAAAGACTGCTGATTATATGAGAAGAAAATAAACCAAACCAAACCAAACCAAACCAAACCACAATAAAAACCAGAGTGCTCTTACTCAAAGGAAGCTATTTTCTTTTTCTTTTTCTTTTTTTTTTTTTTTTTGAGACGGAGTCTCACTCTTTCACCCAGGCTGGAGTGTAGTGGCGCGATCTCGGCTCACTGCAAGCTCCGCCCCCCGGGGTTCACGCCATTCTCCTGCCTCAGCCTCCCGCGTAGCTGGGACTACAGGCGCCCACCAGCTCGCCCGGCTAATTTTTTGTATTTTTAGTAGAGACGGGGTTTCACCGTGTTAGCCAGGATGGTCTCGATCAAAGGAGGCTATTTTCTTTTCACCCACTAAACACTGAAGGAAGTTCATAGATTTCTTAGCTATTTCTTCTAATTGCAAATATGGGACTAATTAAATTATCTGAAATATTAACCCTGAAGAATTCTGTTGTTGTTGTCCACCCAAAAAGAGACTTTCCATAACTCAGTTTCTCTTTTCTTGCTCTTTTCCACTTCAAGTTTTAATGAGCATCTGCCATGTGCCTCATATGCATTTTGCCAGGTTGGGAAAGATGGAAATAGAGGTGGATAAGATGAGTTTCTGGCGCTCCAGAAGCTCGGTGTAATAAAAGGTCTTTCTGTACGTCACTGCAGTACCCAAAGGAAAGTGGAATTTATATACCTGCTCTACATATTTTAGACAAACAGAAAAATGTAAGAAATCTCTGCTCTACTGAATAATGCGTACTTCAGTTTTGTGACACAGAAATTTCAACAAAAATACTTTGGAGTTTTATGATATCATTTAAAATCTTTTTAAGATTGTTGCCTAAGTAGTCTCAAGAGAGAAATAGCCAGAACACCACCAGTTCTCAAAAATATCAAGTACAAATGTACTTAACTATCAGAATAAAATTTTCCTTATGTCTAGCATAAAAAGGGAAGGAGATATAGAGAAAGAAATCAGAGCTCCAGGCTCTCTCTAAATTTAGGTACAAAATATTAATCCTTGTTGTATATATCATGAGCTATGTCATCAGAAAACTCCACTCTGTGATTTATTTGATGATCAACCTTGAGCAATTCTTGGAACTCTGAGGCTGTATTTCTCTGTTTATGTATTTATTTATTTATTTGAGACGGAGTTTTGCTCTTGTTGCCCAGCCGGAGTACAATGGTGCCATCTTGACTCACTGCAACCTCTGCCTCCCGGGTTCAAGCGATTCTCCTGCCTCAGCCTCCTGAGTAGTTGGGATTATAGACATGTGCCACCATTCCCGGCTAATTTTTGTATTTTTAATAGAGATGGAGTTTCCCCATGTTGGTCAGGCTGGTCTCGAACTCCTGATCTCAGGTAATCTGCCCACCTCGGCCTCCCAAAGTGCTGGGATTACAGGCGTGAGCCACAGTGTCCAGCCTGCTCTATCTCTTAATGCCTAGAATGAAGAATAAAGTAAGGTAATATATATAATGCCTTGCAAAGTGTAATTGCCCATCAATCCCTTGCAAGTAGGGACTGCATCTTATACTTTATAAAATCTTCAACCTCTAGGACAGTGCCTGGTACACAGAAGACACTTAATGTTGCTTGAAGGAATAATTCACTATATAAATATTAGTTCTTACACAGCTACTTTCAGTATAACTTATGGATTAATAGTAGGTTAGTAACTAAATATAAGATGACAAGTTAGAAACTGTCCTTAGGCCATTAAGCTCTTATTCTAAGTCTTTTCTTCTAAAATATGGCTTTCTGGCCGGGCATGGTGGCTCATGCCTGTAATCCCAGCACTTTGGGAGGCCAAGGCAGGAGGATCACCTGAGGTCAGGAGTTCGAGACCAGCCTGGCCAACATGGTGAAACCCCATCTCTACTAAAAATACAAAAATTAGCCAGGCATGGTGGTGTATGCCTGTAATCCCAGCTATTTGGGAGGCTGAGGGAGGAGAATCACTTGAACCTGGAAGGTGAAGTTTGCAGTGAGCCGAGATCACGCCACTGCACTCCAGCCTCGGCAACAGAGCGAGACTCTGTCTCAAAAAAAAAAACAAAAAAGATTTTCTTGAGGGTAGGGCCCAATTTCAAAGTTTTGTACACATTAGACATTCCATATGTGTTTACTAAACTAATGAAAATTGGATGTGCACATTGAGGGAAAAAGTCACTCCAATATGATACCTTTTATTTTGAAGATGATTTTACTGACAATATCAGTTGGATATTGTGCTTCAGATTTTCTCAACAGTTTACAATGAGCCAGCTGCACCATTTCTCTCTGGTTTCCTGTGAATAATGGCACACGTTTGTGAAGGCAGATTGCCAGAGTTCAGTGATATGGAACAGTTCTTCTCAGCAAGAGGTGACAAATTGTAATGTGGATCAAAGTCATACCAACATCTCATTAACTCAAGGTTCCAATTAATTAAACTGACCAGACTGGCCAGGTGTAGTGGCACATACCTATAATTGCAGCACTTTGGGAGGCCAAGGCAGGAGGATCATTTGAGGCCAGGAGATCAAGACCAGCTTGGGCAACATAGCAAGACCCCCCATCTCTACAAAAAAGAAGAAAAACTAGCTGGGCATGATGGCGTGTGCCTGTAGTCCCAGCTATTCAGGAGGCTGAGGTGGGAGGATCACTTAAGATCAGGAGTTTGAGGCTACAGTGAACTATGCTCATGCCACTGAACTCCAGCCTAGGCAATAGAGTGAGATCTGGTCTCAAAACAAATAAACAAACCAGGCTGTAAAATGGCAAAGATATGGGGCAATTACAGGACTAAGTAAGCCTGGAAGCTCTGAGGAAGAGAAGCAGTAAGTACACATTCTGAAGATTAACTGCCCTCAAAACTTTTGGTATATATATATTTTTTTCTTTTTCATATTTGATTTCCTAGAACTGAAAAAGTTTTGGTTTATAACAAGAGATTTATTTTAGAAGTTTTTCTCACTAACTTGCCTATTTATATTATTTTCCCCTATTACTTTTTTTTTTTTTTTTTTTTTTGACACAGAGTCTCACTCTGTTGCCCAGGCTGGAGAGCAGTGGCGCAATCTCGGCTCGCTGCAGCCTCTGCCTCCTGGGTTCAAGTAATTTTCCTACCTCAGCCTCCAGAGCTGGGATTACACCACCATGCCTGGTTAATTTTTGTATTTTTAGTAGAGACGGGGTTTCACCATGTTGGACAGGCTGGTCTTGAACTCCCTGCCCACCTCGGCCTCCCAAAGTGCTAGGATTACAGGCATGAGCCACCACTCCTGGCCTCCTGTATTATTTTTGGATTGTTCATCAGTTCCTTCTTCACTTTTATGAACTATCAAATGTGCTGCAATATTTTTCCCTGTCTTTTGACTTATGATATTTTTGGACATACAGGAGATTCAAATATTTATAGATTAAGATGTAATTCATACAGGCCGGGCATGGTGGCTCACACCTGTAATCCCAGCACTTTGGAAGGCCGAGGCGGGTGGATCACCTGACGTCAGCAGTTTGAGACTAGCCTGACCAACATGGTGAAACCCCGTCTCTACTAAAAATACAAAATTAACTGGGTGTGGTGGGGCATGCCTGTAGGAGTCCCAGCTACTCTGGAGGCTGAGGCAGGAGAATCGCTTGAACCTGGGAGGCAGAGGTTGCAGTGAGCCAAGATTGAGCCATTGCACACTCCAGCCTGGGCAACAAGAGTGAAACTCCGTCTCAGAAAGGAAAAAAAAAAAAAGATATAATTCATACAACATATGATTCCAGAAGATTGTGGGGAAAAGAAAGAGAGATCAGATTGTTACTGTGTCTGTGTAGAAAGAAGTAGACATAGGAGACTCCATTTTGTTCTGTACTATGAAACATTTTTCTGCCTTGAGATGCTGTTAATCTGTAAACCTACCCCCAACCCTGTGCTTCCTGAAACACGTGCTGTGTTAACTCAGGGTTAAATGGCTGTGCAGGGTGTGCTTTGTTAAACAAATGCTTGAAGGCAGCATGCTCGTTAAGAGTCATCACCACTCCCTAATCTCAAACCACTCCCTAATCTCAAGTACCCAGATACACAAAACACTGCGGAAGGCCGCAGGGACCTCTGCCTAGGAAAGAGACCAGGTATTGTTCAAGGTTTCTCTCCATGTGATAGTCTGAAATATGGCCTCGTGGGAAGGGAAAGACCTGACCATCCCCCAGCCCAACACCCGTAAAGGGTCTGTGCTGAGGAAGATTAGTAAAAGAGGAAGGAACGCCTCTTTGCAGTTGAGATAAGAGGAAGGCTTCTGTCTCCTGCTTGTCCCTGGGCAATGGAATATCTCGGTGAAAAGCCGATTGTATATTCCATTTACCGAGATAGGGGAAAACCGCCTTAGGGCTGGAGGTGGGACATGCTGGCAGTAATACTGCTCCTTAAGGCATTGAGATGTTTATGTATATGCACATCCAAAGCACAGCACTTTTTTCTTTACCTTGTTTATGATGCAGAGACATTTGTTCACGTGTTTACCTTCTGACTTTCTCTCCATTATTATCCTATTATCCTGCCACGCCCGATAATGATCAACAAATACTAAGGGAACTCAGAGGTCTTGGCCTCTGATTACCTTAAGGAAACTGAAGCAGCAACCCTTGATAGCTTTGCTCAACCTCAGGATTAGAGACCTGAAAAATCTAGTGGCCCTAGGCCCCCTCTTTGTACTTGTATCCAAGGGCAAATACAGCTCTTATTTAGTTAAGTCTCAACTAGAAGATCTGGAAGATTTATTTTTGACTCCAGATTATTGGGTTGGACAACATCAGATAGGACTGGGCCAGTATGAGCAGAGCCGTGTTTACAACCTTGCTCTCCTCCCCTGGAGTCAAAGTTCTTTCTCCTCAAAGTGTTTTTCAAAGACTGCTGGTTATTTTATTGATTGATTGATTGATTGACTGATTTTGAGATGGAGTTTCGCTCTGTCGCCCAGGCTGGAGGGCAGTGGCACGATCTCGACTCACTGCAACCTCCGCCTCCTGGGTTCAAGCGATTCTGCTGCCTCAGTGTCCCGAGTAGCTGGGACTACCGGTACACACCACCACACCCGGCTAATTTTTGTATTTTTAGTAGAGACAGGGTTTCACCATGTTGGCCAGGCTGGTCTCAAACTCTTGACCTCAGGTGATCCTCCTGCCTTGGCCTCCCAAAGTGTGAGAATTACAGGTGGGAGCCACCGTGCCTGGCCAATTGAGCGTATTTTTTTTTTTTTTTTGAGACAGAGTCTAGCTCTGTCGCCCAGGTTGGAGTGCAGTGGCATGATCTCGGCTCACTGCAACCTCCACCTCCCAGGTTCAAGCAATTCTCCTGCCTCAGCCTCCCGAGTAGCTGGGATTACAGGTGTGCACCACCACATACGACTAATATTTGTATTTTTAGTAGAGACGGGATTTCACTACGTTGGCCAGGCTGCTCTTGAACTCCCAACCTCAGGTGATCCTCCTGCCTCAACCTCCCAAAGTTCTGGGATTACAGGCATGGGCCACCACACACGGCCATCAGCCTAATTTTTTTTTGAGTCAGAGTCTCGCTCTGTCGGCCAGGCTAGAGTGCAGTGGCACCATCTTGGTTAACTGCAACCTCCGTTTTCCGGTCTCAAGCAATTCTCCTGCCTCAGCCTCCCGAGTAGCTTGGATTACAGGTGTGTGCCACTACGCCGGGCTAATTTTTGTATTTTTAGTAGAGACGGGTTTTCACCATGTTGGCCAGGCTGGTCTCCAACTCTCTAACCTCAAGTGATCCACCCACCTTGGCCTCACAAAGTGCTGGATTACAGGCGTGAGCCACCTTGCCCGGCCTATCAGCCTATTTTTTAAAAGAATTTTTATTGTTTCATTTTCTTGATATTTAAATCTTTGTTCCATTTGAGATTTGTTTTGTTTTGTTTGTAGAGATGGGGTCTCCCTATGTCGCTAAGGCTAGTCTCAAACTGCTAGGCTCAAGCCATCCTCCTGCCTTGGCATCTCAAAGTTCTGGGATTACATGCCTTAGCCACTTCGCCCAACTAGGTGTAGTTTTAATATCAATGTTGGCCGGGCAGGGTGGCTCACGCCTGTAATCCCAGCACTTTGGGAGGCTGAGGAAGGAGGATTGCTTGAGGCCAGGATTTCCAGCCTGGCCAACATTGTGAAACCCTTGTCTCTACTAAAAATACAAAAATTAGCCCAGTGTGGTGACACACACCTGTAATTCCAGCTACTTGGGAGGCTGAGGCATGAGGAGTGCTTGAATCCAGAAAGCAGAGGTTTCAGTGAGCCAAGATTGCACCACTGCACTCCAGCCTGGGAAACAGAGTCTGTCTCAAAAAAAAAAAAAAATATATATATATATATATATGTGTGTGTGTGTGTGTGTGTGTGTGTGTGTAAATATCAGTTGGCCAGTTTACACATAAGTTTATCAAATTTATTTTGACCTTTTTTTTTCTTTTGGGGACAGGATCTCTGTTGCCCAGGCCGGAGTTCAGTGGCACAATCATGACTCACTGTAGATGCCTGGCTAATCAAAAAAAAAAAATTTGTTAAGACCTGGAGTCTCGCTGTGTTGCCCAGGCTGTTATGGAACTCTTGGCCTCGAGCCTTAGCCTCCTAAAGCACTGGGATTACAGGCATGAGCCATAGAGCCTGGCCTGTTTTTGTATTTTTAAAATAGTAGCCATTCTTATAGGTGTGAGTGGTTGTAATAACTTTAAAAAACAAGTTATTTGGGAGAAGTTATTCCAAAAATGAATGAATTTAGAAAACTATAATATTTTCCCTAGGGAAATGTCATACTTCTCAGCTTTCCTCATCTGAGTCAAGAGGTTTCTTTCTTCTAAGAGGATATCATTTATCTTAAGTTTCTGATAGGTTAAATTTGGATTGTTCTTAGTGATCAGTAGGACCAGGTGCATCCTGTTATATTTTGCAAAAGTGCCTAAATGTTTCTTATTTCAGAATCACATGACCTAAAAAATGATGACTGCAGGCATATCCATCAAAAAGGGAAATGAATCAGCCACAGAGGAGAAGGGTGTTGGTTGGGCATGGTGACTCATGCCTCTAATCCCAGCACTTTAGGAGGCCGAGGCAGGAGGATTGCTTGAACCCAGGAGTTTGAGACCAGCCTGGACAACATAGGGAGACCCTGTCTCTACAAAAAAATGCAACAAAAAATTAGCCAAGGCAGGAGGATCACTTGGGCCTGGGAGGTCAAGGTTGCAGTGAGTTATGATGGTGCCACTGCACTCCAACCTGGGTGACAGAGTGAGATCTTGTTTAAAAACATTAAAAATAAAAAAAGAGAAAGAGAAGGGTTAGGAAAGAACTTGTGAAGGATTATATAGTTCATCTGTACTTTCCGCATAAGTAGACACAACTATAGACTCATCATCAGTAAATTTTACTATTTGGCCTCCAAGAGAACAGAAGACAGAAAAGGTGAAATGCCTGTATTTTTAAAAATTCAAATTTCTTTCTTTCATAAATATGATGAAAATGGTTAGAATGAAGAAGTGAAAAAAATTCTCTCCATAACACCATACAGCAGTTGTATTAGACATCAACGTTAATATTAAACATTAAGCATCAAACGTTAGTGTATTTAATCCAAAATCTTACTTGGAAGAGAAAGGAAAACAATCACATGAGAGTTAATTTTCTTTTTTCCTTTTTTTTAAGAGAGTTGCCCAGGCCGGAGTGTAGTGACATGATCATAGCTGACCGCAGCCTCAAACTCCTTGACTCAAGTGATCCTCCTTCCTCAGCCTCCCGAGTAGCTACGACTACAGGTGTGCACCACCATGCCCTGCTAATTAAAAATTTTTTTGTAGAGAGGCTGGGCACGGTGGCTTATGCCTTCAATCCCAGCACTTTGGGAGGCTGAGGCGGGTGGATCACAAGGTCAGGAGTTCGAGACCAGCCTGACCAACACGGTGAAACCCCTTCTCTACTAAAAATACAAAATTAGCCAGGCATGATGGCATGTGCCTGTAGTCCCAGCTACTTGGGAGGCTGAGGCAGGAGAATCACTTGAACCCGGGAGGCAGAGGTTGCAGTGAGCCGAGATTGAGCCACTGCACTCCAGCCTGGGTGACACAGCGAGACTCTGTCTCAAAAAAAAAAAAAAAAAAAAAAAAAAAGTTTTGTAGAGTTGGAGTTTTGCTATGTTGCCCAAGCTGGCCTCGAACTCCTGGCCTTAAGCAGCCCTCCTGCCTCGGCCTCCCAAAGTACTGGGATTATAGGCATAAGCCACTGCATTCAGCCAAATTTTATTTCTTTTACGACACTCTTTCCAAAGTATTATTTAAGAAGTTCAGTGACAAAGGTTACGGAGAAAGAATAGCAGCGCTTGTGTTAAAAACAGCTTTGAACTTGCTCTCTCAAGATTTAGGATTAAAGGCTGGGGACGGTGGCGCACGCCTGTAATCCCAGGACTTTGGGAGGCGGAGGTGGGCAGATCACTTCAGGTCAGGGATTTGAGACAAGCCTGGCCAACATGGTGAAACCCCGTCTCTACTAAAAATACAAAAATTATCCAGGCATGGTGGCAAGCACCTGTAACCCTAGCAACTCAGGAGGCTGAGGCAGGAGAATCACTTGAACCTGGGAGGCGGAGGTTGCAGTGAGCCGAGATTGTGCCACAGCATCCCAGCCTGGGCGACAAGAGCAAAAACTCCGTCTCGAAAAAAAAAAAAAATAGATGGGTTTGAATGCCAGGTTTGTCATCTTACTATCTGTGCAATTTTTCGTGAGTCTCTCAACCCATCTGAGCTTCTATTTCCCCATCTATAAATCAGAAATAATACTACTTATCTCGTAACACTATGGTGAAGATTAAATAAGATGATGAGTGTGATAGCAACCTGGCATACAAAAGGTACTAAATAAAGGTTAACTGAATTCCTTCCTTCAAAGTAGGGTTGAAGTTGTCTAGTCATTTTGTTGAGCCTAAGGTATGCATACTTGGGCTTGGGATGTTTCTCACTTGATCTTAGCCAAAAGGCTGAGAAGTGATGGATAATGTTTCTCAAAATGTGAATTGAATCAGAATGTTTCACATTCCCATTGGAAATCTGTTTCCTTCTCAGTTTTCTCCATCTCAGTAAGTGACCCCACTATTCATCTATCTAGTTGTATAAGCCAAACCAATTCTGAGTGTTGAATGACAAATGTTTAATATTACTTTGTTCTTACCTGGGATTTCTTAATTTCTCAAAAAGGTAGTGGTATAGTTTTCCATCTGTTCCCACAGGCAATGGTTTCAGTTATTCATGGGAATAGTAGCTTGATTCCTATCTCCACAAATGCTATTAATAGTGTTTAAGTAAGGGAACAGTAAGTACATTTGGCATATGGGAATTTTCTGTTTTGTAGCTTTTATTTGGAAAGTTTACTTTCTATAGCATAACATTGCAACTGCCCTTTCTCCCGGCTTTTTACGTTTCTCTCAGCATTGAATGGTGAATGGAAGAAAAATTAGAAAAGTGAGAGTGAGTTGGAAGGTTAAGGAGACCCAACCACATCACTTCTAGCCAGGTGACCCTGTAAATTCCCTTTGAAGGTATCATCTAACTCACAGTTTCATATAAAAAACAGGAAGGTGATAATCTCAACTGCTCTACCAGGTTGTAGTAAGAAACACAGGAATACATGTAAATGTGAAGAAAAATTTAAACTTCACATAAATGTAACATTTACCGTTTTTTAACAATGCCCAAACTTTCAAATTCACTATTCCTCAAATTAATCAGAATTTAAACATTTGAGGCTGGGTGTGGTGGCTCAAGTCTGTAATCCCAGCACTTTGGGAGGCCGAGGTGGGTGGATCACTTGAGGTCGGGAGTTCAAGACCAGCCTGGCCAACATGGTGAAACCCTGTCTCTACTAAAAATACAAAAATTAGCAGGGCATGGTGGTGCATGCCTGTAATTCCACCTACTCGGGAGGCTGAGGCAGGACAATCACTTGAACCTGGGAGGTGGAGGTTGCAGTGAGCCGAGATCATGCCACTGCACTTCAGCCTCGGTGACAGAGTGAGACTCTGTCTCAAAATAAAGAATTTAAACCTTTGAAAAGTTTATTTCCTCCCCCTAGTGATCTAGATTGTTTGTTATCAATACTCTAAATCTCCAAGTAGGTATCCAAGGAAACAAAGAAATACACAACCTCTTTCTGACAATCCCTGGCTACACTAGATTTCTTCTCTCTCCTAGCCCTTCTGTGGTCAGCTGCAAGTGCTGCCTTTTCCCCTTCCCATCTCTGCCTCCTCTCGCACATAACCAATCTCCAGCTCTCTGCTTTGACCCCCATCCCCACCTGTTATGAACTAAATTGTGCCCCCCACGCCCCCCTCCCCCACCAAATTCATATGTGTAAGCCCTGACCCCCAGTGTGACTGTATTTGAAGACTGAGTCTTCAGCAGGTATTAAGGTTAAGTGAAGTCATAAGGGCGGGCCCTAATCCTATAGGACTGATGTCCTATAAGAAGAGTAACAGACCACACTAGTTGGCTTTACTACTTTATCCTCTTTCAAGTGCAAATCATCCCAGTCTTTCTTTTTTTTTTTTTTTTTTTTTGAGATGGAGTTTTGCTCTTTTTGGCCAGGCTGGAGTGCAGATGGCACAATCTTGGCTCACTGCAACCTCCACCTCCAGGTTCAAGCAATTCTCCTGCTTCAGGCTCCCGAGTAGCTGGGATTACAGGCCTGCACCACCACGCCTGACTAATTTTGTATTTTTAGTAGAGATGGGGTTTCACCATTTTGGCCAGGCTGGTCTCGAACTCCTGACCTCAGGTGATCTGCCCGCCTCGGCCTCCCAAAGTGCTGGGATTACAGGCGTGAGCCACGGTGCCTGGCCCATCCCAGTCTTTTATACTTTTCTTCCCATCCTTCCCTGAAGTATGTATAAAAAAGATACCTCTTCCTTCTCTCAGCTCTGGATAACTTAACTAGACCATAAGTACCAAGGGCAGGAAATGTTCAGTATGATTCACAGGTGCTTGGCAAGGCAGGCATTCAGCGAATCTAAGGATTCGTTGAATAAATTACAAGCCACACAGTCTTGAAGCGATCATTGCTCACATGTCCTCTCTCTCCAATATCTCCAATCTCTCCACTAGCTCCTTCTTGTTTTCACACATTTATAAGCCTCCCACATAGAACACAACTCACTTGATACTGCTGCCCTTTCAGATGTCTTGATTTTCTAATTCCTGTGAATAAGTGGCTGATTTTTACTAGCCTCATTTAGTATAATTCAGTCCTCTTGATTCCTTTGCAGTCTCATATCAGTTCCATCAACTATAGAGATAATTGAATCATAGTTACAGAGGCCTCCTTTTGAAACAAATGCAGGCCAGGTGCGGTGGCTCATGCCTGTAAACCCAGCACTTTGGGAGGCCAAGGAGTGTGGATTGCTCAGGAGTTTGAGACCAGCCTGGGCAGCATGGCGAAACCTCATCTCTACAAACAATACAAAAATCAGCCAGGCGTCATGGCGCAAGCCTGTAGTCTCAGCTACTCTAAAGGTTGAAGTGGGAGGGTCGCTTAAGCCTAGGAGGTCAAGGCTGTAGTAAGCCATGAGGATGGCACGGCACTCCAGCCTGGGTGACAGAGAGAAACTCTATCTCAAAAAAAAAAAAACAAAAAAAACGCAGTTATCCCTTTTCTGGCCCTTAATCTCAGTATTCTCTTTTGGGCATTGATGATAATCACCTTCTTTCTTTCTTTTTTTGAGATGGAGTCTTGCTCTGTCGCCCAGGATGGAGTGCAGTCGCACGATCTCAGCTCACTGCAACCTCCTGAGTTCAAGCAATTCTCATGCCACAGCCTCCCAAGAAGCTGGAATTACAGATGTGCACCACCACACCGGCTAATTTTTTGTATTTTCAGTAGAGACCAGGTTTCACCATGTTGGTCAGGCTGGTCTCGAACTCCTGACCTCAAATGATCCACCCACTTCAGCCTCTCAAAGTGCTGGGATTACAGGCTTGAGCCACCGCGCCCAGCCTACCTTTTCTCTTAAATTCTGTTTTCATGGGGTTGAAAACATACTCTCCCTTGCTTCTATTTCTCAGACCACACCTTCTCTCCCTTGAGCATATTCCAAACTTGACTTTCTGGGTCATTCTTTTTCCTACTGAACTCTTCCTTCAGCTTTTTCTCTTAATTTCAATGATTAACTCTTTTGTTGATGACTTGTGAAATCACAACTGAGTTGAATGATTTCATCTTATTTTTTTCTGTATTTATATATTTATTTTTTTGAGACAGAGTCTCGCTCTGTTGCCCAGGCTGGAGTGCAGTGGCACAATCTTGGCTCACTGCAAACTCCGCCTCCCGGGTTCAAGCGATTCTCCCACCTCCGCCTCCTGAGTAGCTGGGATTACAGGCACCTACCATCATGCCCGGCTAATTCTTGTATTTTTGTAAAGACGGCATTTCACCACGTTGGCCAGGCTGGTCTCAAACTCCTGACCTCAGGTAATCCACCTGCCTCGGCCTCCCAAATTGCTGGGAATAATGGCGTGAGCCACCGCGCCCAGCCTTCTTACCACAATTAAAAAAAAACACTATTAACATTGGCAGATAGCATTTCAGACCTTTAAGATGAATATTTTTTATTTACACAATACACAATTTTGTGGCTTAGTGTTTTCACTTAATATTCTCATATCACTAGATATAGAACATTCATATTTTACAAGGATCTATCATAATTTATTTAACCAGTCCCTTGTTTTGCGATTTTGTTTTTTTATTTTTATTTTTATTTTTTTGAGACGGAGTCTTGCTCTGTAGCCCAGACTGGATCTCGGCTCACTGCAAGCTCCGCCTCCCGGGTTCACGCCATTCTCCTGCCTCAGCCTCCCGAGTAGCTGGGACTACAGGTGCCCGCCACCACGCCCGGCTAATTTTTTTGTATTTTTAGTAGAGACGGGGTTTCACCGTGTTAGCCAGGATGGTCTTGATCTCCTGACCTGGTGATCCGCCCGTCTCGGCCTCCCAAAGTGCTGGGATTACAGGCGTGAGCTACCACGCCCGGCCATACATTTTGTTAAATAAACTTAAAAAAAAAAAAAAAAAAAAGGCGGGGCATGGTGGCGGGTGCCTGTAGTCCCAGCTACTCGGGAGGCTGAGGCAGAGCTTGCAGTGAGCTGAGATCCAGCCTGGGCAACAGAGCAAGACTCCTTCGCAAAAAAAAAAAAAAAAAAAAAAAAAAAAAAAAAAAAAAAAAAGTCTAATGTGAAAATGTACATGACCTAATTTTTACATCATAGTAAAACAGGACCTATAGAGAGAGGGCATAGGTTTCTCTGCTGAACAGCCATTATTTTTACTCATTCCAAGGCTTCTAACATGACGATACTATTTCCTCATATTACGTCCATTCCAATATTGTTCTGTTGCCTACTAGTCGCCATCTCCACACATTCATCTATCACAAGATTCATAAAGGGATCAAATCTTCACAATATGTCTGCCATCATTTAATTTCAATGATAATTTCTTGTTCATAAATTTTTTCAACTGGGGAGAATGAGGTTTGCTCATGGTGTCTGCTCTGTGGGCTCACAGATGCCTTGGAATGGAATGCACGGCCTCCCTCACTGTTTCGTTGCTGTTTTTTTATTTTTTTGAGACAGAGCCTCGCTGTGTCACCCAGGCTGGAGTGCAGTGGTGCAATCTCGGTTCACTGCAACTTCTACCTCCCAGGTTCAAGCGATTCTCCTGTCTCAGCCTCCCAAGTAGCTGGGACTACAGGAGCCTGCCACCACGCCCAGCTGATTTTTTTTTTTTTTGTATTTTTAGTAGAGACGGGGTTTCACTATGTTGGCCAGGCTGGTCTTTAACTCCTGACCTCATGATCCGCCCACCTTGGCCTCCCAAAGTGCTGGGATTACAGGCATGAGCCACCACGCCCGGCCTCCCTCACTGTTTTTTGTTTTGTTTTGTTTGAGATGAAGTCTAATTCTGTCAGCCAGGCTGGAGTGCACTGGTGTGATCTTGGCTCACTGCAACCTCCGTCTCCCGGGAGGTTCAAGTGATTCTGGTGACTCAGCCTCCCAAGGAGCTGCGACTACAGGCCCGCACCACCACACCCATCTACTTTTTTTTGTATTTTTAGTAGAGACGGGGTTTTGCCATGTTAGCTGGTCTGGAACTCCTGGCCTCAAGTGATCCGCCCGCCTTGGCCTCCCCAAGTGCTGGGATTACAAGTGTGACCCACCATGCCTGGCCTAACCAGTCCTTTAATGTTGTATATTTAGGTTGTTTCCAATTTTTCACTCTGCATATGTATCTTTGGACACTCATCCTATTTTTTTCTTGGAATATTATTCCTAGCACTGGAATTTCTGATGAAAGGATGTATTTGAAGGTACTGTCAAATTTATCCTAGAAGTGTTCTGCCAAGGCCAAGTGTTGTAGCTCACACCTATATTCCCAACACTTTGTGAGGCTGAGGTGAGCAGATGGCTTGAGCCCAGGAGTTTAAGACCAGCCTGGGCAACATAGCAAAACCCTGTCTCTACAAAAAAATACAAAAATTAGCTGGCGTGGTGGTACATACCTGTAGTCCCAGCTACTCAGGGGTCTGCGGTGGAAGGATTGTTTGATTCCAGGAGGCACAGGTTGCAGTGAGCTGTGATCATGCCACTGCACTTCAGTCTGCAACAGAGCAAGACTTTGTCTTAAAAAAAAAAAAGTGGGGGAGGAGGCGTGGGCTTTGTCAATTTATATTCCTACCAACAGTTTATGAGTGCTTGTTCTCCTATGCCTCTCATCAACACTTTCATTCTTGCTTACCTGAGAGTCGGGAATTAGTATCATATTCAATATCATTTCATTTTGTAAGTCTTTTATTATGAGGGAAGTTAAACATTTTTCATGTCTCTTGGCCATTTACACTTGTGAATTAGCTGTTCATATCCTATGCCTGTCTCTCACCCCTCCTTCCCCACCTATTGGTTGTTCTTGAGAAGTTTCTGACCAGAAAAAAATAATCATAAACCATTAAGGGAACTGACTGAATTTTTAAAAGGCTTTGAGTGAGTTATCAGGGAAGGAAGGGAGGGAAGAAGAAAGAGAGGAAGAGGAGGGGAGAGAGGGAGGTTCTATTAAAGTCCGGAGGGAAAAATCTTAGAACAAAGAATGCAAAAAAGGTTTTTGCAGATAATTCCTATTTCAAATCAATTTTATGTTGAACTCATATATGAAACAGAAAAAAGTGGAGCAGCTCTCATCAAAGTGGGAATGGGTAACCTGCTACACCTGCTCAGCCTCCTCTTGCCCAGGAGAGGCTGTCCAGGACCTGCCTTGTTATCTTAGGACTTTAAAAAACTAAATTTAAAAACTACTCAACAAACCAGAATAATGTATTCTTTTCATAAATAATGCGATGAGTTAAAATTATGCCTGTTTTGGCTGGGCACGGTGATTCACGCCTGTAATCCCAGCACTTTGGGAGGCCGAGGTGGGTGCATCACTTGAGGTCAAGAGTTCAAGACCACCGTGGCCACATGGTGAAAGTGCATCTCCACTAAAAGTACAAAAATTAGCTGGGTGTGGTGGCATGTGCCTGTAGTCCCAGCTACTTGGGAGGCTGAAGCAAGAGAATCGCTTGAACCCGAGAGCAGAGGTTGCAGTGAGCCAAGATTGCACCATTGCACTCCAGCCTGGGAGACAGAGTAAGACTCCATCTCAAAAAAAAAAAAAATTATGTCTGTTTTAATAGAGCTCTCTACTTTTGAAAGAAAAAGGCATAAATGAATGAGATCATTTGTTATGTTGTATGTTATTATTCAGTCTCACTAGGCATTCACGAACTAGGCATCTGGTGGCATGGTACTATTCAAACTGCAAGTAGTATACTGAGAAGCAACTAATATCACCTCTAAAGAGCTAACTTTGCAAATTCATACCTGTGAAGTACAGGAAATGCCTAAATCTATTCCTCCAGATTTAGCCTTTCATCCAAGGGCGAATATATCTAAAGCATAGCCACTCAAACTTCTTTTTGCCCTTTCAAACTCAAGTGCGCCCACATTCATCATCTTTACCACCACATTGTTTCTCCTCTCCAGGTTCCCCATTTTTTTGCAGCTTTGTAACTTTCCCTTCTTCTTTTAAGCTTATCCAGTCGCCAGCTCTTATTATTTCTTCCCTCTTTTAACTTTTATTTATTGAGACAGAATTTCACTCTTTTTGCCCAGCTGGAGTGCAATGGCATGGTCTCAGCTCACTGCAACCTCCACTTCCCGGGTTCAAGTGATTCTCCTGCCTCAGCCTCCAGAGTAGCTGGGATTACAGACACCCACCACCACATCCTGATAATTTTTGTATTTTTAGTACAGACAGGGTTTCACCATGTTGCTCAACCTGGTCTCAAACTCCTGACCTCAGGTGATCCACCCTCCTCAGCCTCCCAAAGTGCTGGGATTACAGGCGTGAGCCACCGCACCTGGCCTAATTTTTCCTTTACAGAGACACATAGATTCATTGTTTCCCTACTTATAGTACCATTACTTCCTTTTTTTTTTTTTTTTATTTGAGATGGAGTCTTGCTCTGTCGCCCAGGCTGCAGTACAGTGGCACAATCTTGGCTCACTGCAACCTCTGCCTCCCGGGTTCAAGTGATTCTCCTGCCTCAGCCTCCCAAGTAGCTGGGACTACAGGCACGTGCTACCACGCCCAGCTAATTTTTTGTATTTTTAGTAGAGAAGGGGTTTCACCGTGTTAGCCAGGATGGTCTTGAATCTTCTGACTTCGTGATCTGCCCGCCTCAGCCTCCCAAAGTGCTGGGATTACAGGCATGAGCCACTGCACCCGGCCTCTTCTTTTTTATTTTGAGATGGAGTCTCACTCTGTTGGCCAGGGTGGAGTGCAGCAGTGCCATCTCAGCTCACTGCAGCTTCCGCCTCCTGGATTCAGGCAATTCTCCTGCCTCAATTCTCGTGTAATCCCAAGTAGTTGGGATTACAGGTGTGCACCACCACACCTGGCTAATTTTTTTTTTTTTTTTTTTTTTTAGTAGAGATGGGGTTTTGCCATGTTGGCCAGGCTGGTCTCGAACTCCTGGCCTCAAGTGATCTCCCTGCCTCAGCCTCCCAAAGTGCTGGGATTACAGACGTGAGCCACTGCACCTGGCCACCAAATTTTTATGCCATCTAATGGCAATTTAGATTTGTATTAATCTGTTTAGACTTCTGACCTGGTTTCTGGACAGTTCTCTGCTCTAGGCTTGTATCTTTCTTTCAGATTATAGGATGATCAACTTTCCAAACATTAATTTTTCAGCGCTACCTAAATGAGGCACAGAAAATGTCTTCGTATGCTCCGAGCATTTTGATTTCCTCTCTGACGCTTGCATCTGACTTCTTTAGTTCTGCTTTTGTTTTGAGGCCTGGTTGCAGACTGTTTTTCACATTTTTCTTTTGTGTCTGAAATCATTATGTCATATTATTGCCTAGCAGTTTTGGTTCTTGTTTCCATTGTCTCAAGTTTAGCCATCTACTTGAGCTGTATGACTTTCAGTTTAGAACAAACTCTTCAGCCTGGCATTCATGGCCACCCTTAACTTGTCATTCTTATCTATTGCAGAATCTCTTTTGATTTTTTTTTTTCCAATGGATTCTTTCTGGGGTCACCATTTTGCATAACTCTAGGCAAAATCATTCAGGCTGTGTTATATATTAATGGTTTCCCATACTGGAGCATACTATGATTTATTATTTATGTTCTGTTTTCTCAACCCATCACAGCCATCCTTTCTTCACAGTGTGGCTATGAGATGACTCCCTGTAGTCCCTCCCCACTCCTCAATTTCTAGAACTGAAATGAGAGCTTTAAGAAATTCTGAGGCCGGGCGCAGTGGCTCGTGCCTGTAATCCCAGCACTTTGGGAGGCCAAGTCGGGCAGATTGCTTGAGCCATGGGCAACATGGAGCAACCCTGTCTCTACAAAAAAATACAAAAATTAGCAGGGTGTGGTGGTGTACTCCTGTACTGGCAGCTACTCAGGAGGCTGAGGTAGGAGTATCACTGGAGCCAGGGAGGTTGGGGCTACAGTGAGTGGAGACTGAGCCACTGCACTCCAGCCTGGGTGGCAGAGCAAGACCCTGTCTCAAAAAACAAACAAACAAACAAACAAAAAACTTGATGCCCCTATCAAAAAGCAGAATTCAGATGTTAACTGAATGATGACCAACTTCCTTGTTAGAAAATACTATGTTTTTATTAAGAAAATTAAAGTCACCTTGACTATAAAATCACCAAACTTTTGAAACATTATTTTCTAAACATCTTTACCTTGTTGGGTACTTTTTCTTCTACTGGTTTACATAAAATATAAGCTGGCCCTTTAATATGATCTGTTCTGAATCATAACAAAGCAAAATTTAGAAAGGAGAAATAACAAAAAGAATTCTATCAAAGATGATCAAAATGATCCCTAGCAACTATAACCATAAGTTACAATAAGTGAAATTGAAAATGACTGATTCAGTGGATTACCCTCCCAAGTTATTTGTTCAAATGCCAAGAAGTAACTTTCTTACCATAAAAGTGTTTCCATATTTTCTTTTCTTTACTAGAGAGAAATCTCAGGTGCATTTATTATTCATATGATTAAAGCATCACCTCATTAAATTCTGCAAAAAAATCTATAAAGTATATTTGGAATTAAAACTGAAAAAGAATGAAGAATGCTTACTTTGTTCTTGGAAAACTTTATTTCAGTTTAAACAACAAAGCAAATGATATTTATGTCATCCAGGGACAGATAGGAGAGTACAGTCATTCTTCATAGCAGTTTCATTGCCAAACTCCAAATGAGAGATGTAATCTAGGTAAAAGACACTTATTATTCCAGATTACATTTACCTCACAATCTGAGATCATGAAAATTAGTCAAATATATTAGAAACAGATGTACACGAAGTCACCTCAGATAAACTGAGAAAGTGATGTCTAATGCTTTGGAAAATTCTGTTTCTACTTAATACTCAGATTAATGAGTTTTAAAGATCAGGAACATCTTTATGGGGGTTCATAAATGTTAGGAACAATGATATGCACTTTCATCAGTTTAATTATTAGGATTCAAGATGGTATTTAAAATCTAGATGTAGGCTCAGTTAGTCAGTGCCAAAAATGGAAATCTTACATTTTTTTAGAGGAAACACAAAAATATGACTATTTGGATCTTGTCTTAATTTACAACTGGTAAGTTCCTTTTTAATGCTTAAAAAAATGGACATGGTAGAATTGCTACACACCTGAAAAAGGTCTCAAATAGAATGTTCCATTAACAACAACAACTCAGAAATCTAATTCACTCTACAGATTTTATTTCTGATCAACTAATCAACTTTTATTTTCTTGAGCCTGGCTGCTGCTGATTATGTATAACTTGCCAAATAACTACACATCACTGATTTCCAAGCTTTTTTCCGTTTTATTTTTCCTCTTTAACTAAGGTACACCTAGAAATAACAAGACACTACCAAATAGCTGCAATGGCCTTCAAAATTTCTTTTACTGGCCGGGTGCAGTGGTTCAAACCTGTAATCCCAGCACTTTGAGAGGCCGAGGTGGGTGGATCACCTGAGGTCAGGAGTTCGAGACCAGTCTGGCCAACGTGGCAAAACCCTGTCTCTACTAAAAATACAAAAATTAGCTGGGCATGGTAGCAGGCACCTGTAATCCCAGGTACTCGGGAGGCAGAGGCAGGAGAATTGCTGGAACCTGGGAGGCAGAGGTTGCAGTGAGCCAAGATCGCACCACTGCACTCCGGCCTCGGCGACAGAGCAAGACTACATGTCAAAAAAAAAAAAAAAATCTTTTACTAATTGATTGTATTCCAGTGAAGACTATTGCCAATTTTTTTTCTTTTTTTCTTTTTTTGAGACGGAGTCTTGCTCTGTAGCCCAGGCTGGAGTGCAGTGGCGCGATCTCGGCTCACTGCAAGCTCCGCCTCCCGGGTTCACGCCATTCTCCTGACTCAGCCTCCCGAGTAGCTGGGACTAAGGTGCCCACCACCACGCCCAGCTAATTTTTTGTATTTTTAGTAGAGACGGGGTTTCACCATGTTAGCCAGGATGGTCTCGATCTCCTGACCTCGTGATCCGCCCGCCTCGGCCTCCCATTTTTTTTTTTTTTTTTTTTTTTTGAGACGGAGTCTCACTCTGTCTCCCAGGCTGGAGTGCAGTGGTGCTATCTTGGCTCACTACAGCCTCTGCCTCCCGGGTTCAAGCAATTCTTGTGCCTCAGCCTTAAGAGCTGCTGGGATGACAGACGTGTACCACCACGCATGGTTAATTTTTGTATTTTTGGTAGAGATGGGGTTTTGCCATGTTGGCCAGGCTGGTCTTTAACTCCTGACTTCAGATGATCCGCCTGTCTCAGCCTCCCAAAGTGCTGGGATTACAGGCATGAGCCACCACACTCAGCCCAATGCCAAATGTATCCAATAGTCTTTGATTCCAGAATTACTTATGATAGAACACTGCATCATCTACAGAAATCTTGATCAATAACCTAGATAACCTAGTTTCTAGGTTATTGATCAAGATTTCTGTAGATGATGTAGTATGTACATTTCTGTGTATGTTATTAATCAAGATTTCTGTATAAGATCTAGAAACAAAAATGCACATTAAGAAATTAAAACTTACATCTCATAACCAATTATCTTTCTAAACAATTTACAAACATAAAATATACAATATTATTTAAAATAAATATACATATAATATATAGTTTCTACATTCTCATACAGGCTTAAAAATGAGGTAATAAAAACTGATTAAACCTTTTACCATTCTGGAAATGGCTTAGGGAAATGATCATGAAATATTTTTTTCTTAGGTCTTCATTTTTTCCTTCAATACTTCTAAGTACCTCTTTTTCTATGCTGAAAAGTTATGTAAAAAATCCCTAAGCTTTGTTGGATAGTCTGTCATCACCCCAGTTGCTCCCAAATCAAAAGCTCTTTTGTATTCTTGTTCTTCATTTAATACCCAAATATACACCTGAAAATTAGAAGTGTGAGAAGTATGAGAAGAAATGTTAAAATAGAAAATTATTTTTATAACAGTATTTATCCACTACAGTCTTGGTACATTTAGAAATAACCTTTTAAAGCTATCATTTAAATAAATCATTAGATCCTTTTTTAAAATTCCACTTTGTTCCTTACAGGAATGAGGAGTGTTAAAAAAAAATTCATGGTGCTTGTTAAATATACAGACTCCTGGCTGAGCGCGGTGGCTCACGCCTGTAATTCCAGCACTTTGGGAGGCCAAGGCAGGCAGATCACCTGAGGTCCGGAGTTCGAGATCAGCCTGGCCAACATGGCAAAACCCAGTCTCTACTAAAAATACAAAAATTAGCCAGGTATGGTGGTGCATGCCTATAATCCCAGCTACTTAGGAGGCTGAGGCATGAGAATTGCTTGAACCTGGGAGGTGGAGGTTGCAGTGAGTCAAGACTGCACCACTGCACTCCAGCCTGGGTGACAGAGTGAGACTCCATCTCAAAAAAAAAAAAGAAAAAAGTAAAAAAAGAAATATACATACATATATTTATATATATATACACACACACAAACACTGTCCCACCCCTCTGGCATCAGCTATTCTGTACATAAGAGGAATCTAGATCCAGAAATGCCAATGCTTTATTGCTAAGTGTAAGGAAGAGCTTAAGGTCCTCATTTGTGGATCAGTAAAGCAGCAGCATCAGAGTCAAGGGCCAAACTAAGTCAGTTAAAAGTTCTTGCCCTTTATATTTGTGTTAAACTGGTGAGCTATGCTGCTTCCAAAATGCATCATTCCAGAAACTTACTTGAATGCCTCGAGCAGTTAGGTGGTCAAACAAAGCTTTCCTCATTAGTAAGCTAGAAAAGAAAAAGCAAAACTGATTTAGGAATTTAGTCCTTAGTCCTAATTTAGTCAATTTAGAGTTTAGTAATTCCAGTTTAATTTAATCCCAATGCTTCAGCAATAAAAGAAATGGTCTCAAGTAATAATAGCTGTTGTGAATTAATTTATGTCTTAATTGCTGGATCTCCTTTCACTGCAGGCTGCTGGTTGGTGGACAACCAGAACCTCCTTTCTACTTCTTGCTGCTACCAGATTCATAGGAGACCCATTCTTGTTGGCACAGCTCAATGGAAAAGAGGCTGCCTCATTTTCACTGCTGAAGAAGGAGAAAGAGCTGGCTTTCCTTTCTTACTATTAATGTGTGTTCCTAACTTTCCAAGTTAAAATAAGTCAACAAATGCAGGTCAATTTCTATAACATCATAGTTCATTACACAATGGATTAGTCTTTTGTAAGCGATGTTAGAAGCATTATGTCCATTAATTACACTATCCTATGTCTAGGGAAAAAATATTTTTTTGTTCCAAGTAACTCACTGATAAGTGAACTTTCAAAATACAAACCTCTTGAGCAAGATAGGAATTCATTGCACTGGAAAGACATTATTTCTATTCTGTTATGTCTATTAGAATGATTAAATAACAGAAACTAGAAATCATGTGCTTTTAACACCAATTAACAATGCATCTTGTCAGTTAATAGGGTTGAAAAAAGAAAAAAAATGCATCCTGGTTTTACTTGAGTACAAAAAAAAGGCATCCTTGAAAACTAGAGCTTAAATCAAGAATAAAGCAAAAAAGAATAAACACTGACAGAGAGAAAAGATAAAACTAATTGTTTAAGACTCTTTGAAAAAGGCGTTAAGGCTGGGCGCGGTGGCTCACACCTGTAATCCCAGCACTTTGGGAGGCTGAGGTGGGCAGATCACATGAGGCCAGGAGTTCGAGATCAGCCTGGCCAACATGATGAAACCTCATCTCTACTAAAAAATACAAAAACTAACCAGGCATGGTGGGAGGCACCTATAGTTCCAGCTACTCGGGAGGCTGAGGCAGAAGAATCACTTGAACCCAGGAAGCGGTGAGCCGAGATCACACCACTGCACTCCAGCCTGGGCGACAGAGAAAGACTCCATCTCAAAAAATGAATAAATAAATAAATAAAATAAAATAAAATAAAATAAAATAAAATAAGAAGAAAAGGCGTTAAATAATAAAAAGTTGTGATTTGGGACTATTAAAATATTTAAGCATTCAAGGTTCCATCTTAAAGCAAAATATAGTACAATTATTTAGTGATTTTTACTAAAATTAAACTCATCATGTCTAAATTAAGGCATTTACTTTAAAGTTGATATCCACTCTATAGGTGGGATTTCCTTTCTGCTGTTAAGTCTTGGTGCAGAGCAAATTTTTCTGAGAAATGTGCTGTAGGCAACATACACTTTTATATATACTGTGTTGCTACACTTCTTTTCACCAGCAAGTAAGCTAAAGGGAATGGTTATTTAACCTAGTTCTGCTACTAACTAGCTAGATAACCCCAAGTAAATAATTTAACTGGGTATATGGGGGCTCAGTTTTCTCATGAAGTTGGAGGACATTATCTCTCAAGATTCTTCCTAAGATTTTGTGATTAGTAATTAAGATATTTCTAAATGATTCATACACATTTTACATAGCAGGTGCTCAATTTGTCCTTGTTACAAATTACATGTGGAAAGCTTGCACAACATTTTAAGGGTAGTATTTAATAAATATAGCTGAAGCAATAACTTGCATATTAAGAAATTAAAATTCTTACAGATCAGAAAGCCAGATGAGAAACTTTTGACTTCTGGACATGGTGTGTGGTTCTTTTAGCCTAGGGTAAAATAAAGTTTGAATTACAAATTAGAAACACAGAAATATATCAGTGTGATAAAATGAAACAAATTCAAAAATGAAAACAGTGCCTTGTACTTTGTATATTCTCAAAAAATATTTGTAAAAAGGACAAAAATAAAATAAAGGCCAGTTGGGTTCTGTTTGCACTGGTCTCAAGCTAACTTTTTGCCATCCCTATTCAAAAGTAATAAATAAATAAATAAATAAATAAATGCATACATAAATAAATAAATATTGTCTTTCCAGAGACCCTGGTGCCCTAGGCTCATATCTCGTTTCTTTTTTGGTGAAATCTTTCTCCTGCTTTGTCTCCTACAATTTAGTATGTGGCAAATTTAAACATACAACGGAACTGTATTATAGATCAAAGTGAGCAGTTTACCACGTGTTTTCCTTTCCTTTAAAATATCTGTAGGCCAGGCATGGTGGCTCATGTCTGTAATCCCAGCACTTTGGGAGGCTGAGGCTGGTGCATCACCTGAGTTCAGAAGTTCCAGACCAGCCTGGCCAACATAGTGAAACCCCCCCCCGTCTCTACTAAAAACATAAAAATTAGCCGGGCATGGTGGCGCACACCTGTAATCACAGCTACTCAGGAGCCGGAGACAGGAGAACTGCTTGAACCCAGGAGGCAGAGGTTGCAGTGAGCCAAGACTGCGCCACTGCACTCCAGCCTGGGTGACAAAGTAAAACTCTGTCTCAAAAAAAAAAAAAAGTACAAAATAAAGTACAAGTCCTTTTTTCCCTAACTCTGGCCCCAGTGGAAAGTCCTGGTTGCAATTTCAGGAATATTAGGGATTTAGTAGCTCAAATACTGATTACCTCATTAAACAATCACTATATTGTCTTAGAAAATATCCATTGTCTTCTATAGAAGTATTAAAACACACAAAATATATCCTGCTTGTGTCTTAATCCATAATCACTTTTTAGAGAAAATATTAATTCTGTGGAGTTTGTTCTTATGTCTGTATTTCAACAATATTTGCTTCTAAAAGGAACATATGAAGATAAATATAGAGCAAACAGTCCACTCCAGGCCAGAGGAAAGCTAAGTACTTTAGGAATAAATGTTTTATTTATTTATTTATTGGCAGAGTCTTGCTCTGTCACCCAGGCTGGAGTGCAATGGCGCTATCTCGGCTCACTGCAACCCCCACCTTCTGGGTTCAAGCGATTCTCCTGCCTCAGCCTCCTGAGTAGCTGGGATTACAGATGTGCGCCACCATGCCCAGCTAATTTTGTATTTTTAGTAGAGATGGGAGTTTCACCATGTTGGCCAGGCTGGTATGGAACTCCCGACCTCAGGTGATCCGCCTGCCTCTGCCTCCCAAAGTGCTGAGATTACAGGCAGGAGCCCCTGGCCCAGCCAGGAATAAATGTTTAGGGATCATTTTAATCTAGCAAATAAAATAGGGTGTTTTTTGGGGGGGGGGGTAGACAAGAAGCGTTTTCTATTGTTTTGTCTGAGAAACAGCTACAAAGATGTTCATAAATATAATTTAGGAATAAATAAAATAAACATGTTTATCACTAAGATACTGAAATTGGAAAACAGGCATGAAATAGAAGTTGAGCACAAGAGTACTGACTAAATTGTTTTTCTTTTCTTTTCTTTTTTGAGACAGAGTCTTGCTCTGTCGCCCAGGCTAGAGTGCAGCCATCTCGACTCACTGCAACCTCCACCTCTGGGGTTCAAGCGACTCTCTTGCCTCAGCCTCCCGAGTAACTGAGATTACAGGTGTCTGCCACTGTGCCCGGCTAATTTTTGTATTTTTAGTAGAGACGGGGTTTCACCATGTTGGCTAGGCTGGTGTTGAACTCCTGACTTTGTGATCCACCCGCCTCAGCCTCCCACAGTGCTGGGATTACAGGCATGAGCCACCACGCCCGGCCAATTGTTTTTCTTTCTTATTTTTTTTTGAGAAGGAGTCTCGCTCTGTCGCTCAGGCTGGAGTGCAGTGGCGCGATCTTGGCTCACCGCAACTTCTGCCCCCCGTGTTCAGGCGAGCCTGGCTAATTTTTGTATTTTCAGTAGAGATGGGGTTTCACCATGTTGGCCAGGCTGGTCTCAAACTCCTGACCTCGTGATCCTCCTGCCTCGGCCTCCCAAAATGTTGGGATTACAGGCGTGAGCCACTGCACCTGGCCTGCTTTTCTTAGCAATATTGTCTGATGACTGCTACACTAACGTTCAGCTTTATTTTTTTCCCCCAAGTCATTACCTTTATTGAGACATGCTATAAAAGAGGAAAGCTCTTCAGCTTGATTTTTTAAAGTTCTGTTGGATATGAAAAGTGTTTTCTTTTCTTTTTTTTTTTTTTTTTTTTTTTTGAGACAGAGTCTCGCTCTGTCGCCCAGGCTGGAGTGCAGTGGCGCAATCTCCGCTCACTGCAAGCTCTGCCTCCCAGGCTCACGCCATTCTCCTGCCTCAGCCTCCGGAGTAGCTGGGACTACAGGCGCCCGCCACCACGCCCGGAGAATTTTTTTTTGTATTTTTAGTGGAGACGGGGTTTCACCGTGTTAGCCAGGATGGTCTCGATCTCCTGACCTCGTGATCCACCCTCCTTGGCCTCCCAAAGTGCTGGGATTACAGGCGTGAGCCACCGCGCCCGGCCATGAAAAGTGTTTTCATGCAAATAAAATCACATTTAAATCATCTCCCCAACGATTCCAAATTCCTTTGCCATAATTCAGTTATGAATCTACAGCTAGAAATCACATTCTACGTGTGTAGAATTTTGAGATGAAGCTATCATTCTTTATAATAACAAAGATAACAATAAAAGCTATCACTCTTGAGTGCTTAGTATTTGTCAGGCAATCTAAGTGTTTTTATGTACCTATGTATTTTTACAATCTATGTATTTTTATCTTGCTAGTAAATTAGCAAGTGAAATGCAAGGCTTTTCTAGTAGTGGAATTACGTAAATATAAAAGGATCCTGGCTGGGCAAGGCGGGTCACGCCTATAATCCCAGCACTTTGGGAGGAGGTGGGTGGATCATCTGAGGTAAGGAGTTGGAGACCAGCCTGACCAACATGGTGAAGCCCCATCTCTACTAAAACTACAAAAATTAGCCAGGCAAGGTGGTGGGCGCCTATAATCCCAGCTACTCGGGAGGCTGAGGCAGGAGAATCACTTGAACCCGGGAGGCAGAGGTTGCAGTGAGTCGAGATCACACCTTTGCACCCCAGCCTAGGCCACAACAGCAAAACTCCATCTCAAAAAAAAAAAAACAAAAAACCACTATAAAAACAGTATCCTATATAAACTAACTATACCCTTTTATTTTCCTATCTCCAGAGGTTTTTATGGTGGTGGTGGTTTTTTCTTCCTAAATGTATTACAGTAATACCATTGTTTAATTTGGAGTTTAATGGAATTTGAGCTGGGTAAAGCTGTCAATGAAGTAGAAAGCAATAAGGGAAAGTGGAGGGCAACTGCTATTTGATGTGAGAATAAAATAATTATTTACCTTCTGTAATTAAATTAAATTCCTTTTATCTGATTTCTGACTATACAGGCACAGAAAATCATAATCTGAGATGGGTCCTGATTATTTGTTTTAGAGAATGTGTCTTAATTATATAAAAATGCATAATATAGGTCAGGTAATAGAACATGGAAATCACTACAGAAATCTCTTCTTCATCATTGATATTGATATTAGTGAGCTTTTATCTTAGTCTTTCTGTAATTGATAATTGATTTTAAAATAAAAGGGTAACCACTTACTTCAGTATAATAGAAGGCATTGGGATTTCAAAAAACTGTTCTCGAATGGGCACAAAGGGCAAGAGGCCAGTGAAGAAAAGGCCAAGAATGAGCAGGACACGTTGTAGACTGAAGAGTATAGGAATATCTGAATTCTAAAAGACACAAGCAATATTACATGTTATTTTTACAACTGCTCAAATAAAGAGGATTACTTCACAACTCTCAGTATTTCCCAAGACAATGTGTTGAAATCTATTACAAGCATTCCTGGGATTATGAATATTCATTTGCAAATAACACCACACTTAATAGTGGCTAGTCCTTGATAAATGGGTCAGGATTGATCTTGGAGCCTCATAGTATAATGATGTTACTAAAATTTCTCTATTACCGTCTCTGCTTTTGCAATACCACTTCTGCGTTGGTTACAGTACTTACAGCTAAAGACTAAACATGTCAGAATCCAATGGAACAAAATGAAAAGATGAATATATGGAATATTCAGTAACTTTACTCCTGTTTAAAAAATATGTAGCTATATATCTCTATATATGAGTATATATAGATACATATCAATACTGTTGCAAATGTGTCATCTTTTAGCTATGTTATGAATCAAATATAAAATATAAATAGGATTTGTAAACTAATCCAAGAATCTAACCACCATTTTAAGTTTCTATTGGAAAATATGCTCAATATCCCAAAACTTTAAAAATACAAGATAGACATACATATATATATAATTTTAATTGTGCTAAAATACACATAACACAAAATTTAAGATTTTTTTTTTTTTTTTTTTGAGACGGAGTCTCACTCTGTCACCCAGGTTGGAGTGCAGTGGCACAATATCGGCTCACTGAAACCTCTGCCTCCTGAGTTCAAGCAATTCTCCTGCCTCAGCCCCCCAAGTAGCTAAGATTACAGGCGCACACCACCATGCCCAGCTAATTTTTTGTAGTTTTAGTAGAGATGTGGTTTCACCATGTTGGCCAGGCTGGTCTCAAACTCCTGACCTCAGATGATCTGCCCACCTTGGCCTCCCAAAGTGTTGGGATTACAAGTGTGAGCCACCGCACCAGCCAAATTTAAGATCTTAATCATTTTTTAAATCTATTTTCTCACCACCCCCACCCCCCGCCACCCAGCAAAATTGAATGTCAATCATTTTTAAATGTACAGTTTGGTGGTTTTAAGTATATTCACACTGTTGTGCAACCAAAGTCCAGAAGTCTTTTCATTTTGCAAAAGTGAAAACAACTCTATGCCTTTTTTTTTTTTTTTTTTTGAGATAAGGTCTCACTGTCACCCAGGCTGGAGTGCAGTGGCACAACCAAAGCTCACTGCATCCTCGACCCTGGCTCAGGCAATACTCCCACCTCAGCCTCCTGAGTTGTAATAGATGGGACTACAGGTGTGTGCCACCATGCCCAGCTACTTTTTTTGGTATTTTTTGTAGATATGAGGTTTCACCATGTCACCCAGGCTGGTCTCGAACTCCTGGGCTCAAGCAATCCACCTGCCTCAGCCTCTCAAAGTGCTGGGAATACAGGTGTGAGCCACCTTGCCTGGCCAACTTTATACCATTAAATAACAAATCTCCATTCCCTCTCTCCTTGCCCTCCTATGTGTACTATATATAGATATATATATATTAGACAGGGTCTCGCTGTCACCCAGGCTAGAGTACAGTGGCTGGATCATGGCTCATTGAAGCCTAGATCTCCCAGGCTCAAGTGATCCCACACCTCAGACTCCCAAACAGCTGGGACTACAGACATGCACCACCATGCCGAGCTAATTTTTTAAAAATTTTTTGTAGAGACAGAATCTCATTATATTGCCTAGGCTGGTCTTGAACTCCTGGGCACAAGCATTTCTCCTACCTCAGCCTCCCAAAGTGCTGGAATGACAAGCGTGAGCTACCATGCCAGGCCCTGCTATATTTACTGGAAAAAAAAATTATGCTTACAGTGAACTTTTAATAAAAACATAATATATATTTTTAAAAATCACATAAAAATAATTTATTTTAAATAGTTAGTTCTAGGCTGGGCGCGGTTGCTCACGCCTGTAATCCCAGCACTTTGGGAGGCCAAGGCGGGTGGATCACTTGAAGTCATGACTTCGAGACCAGCCTGGCCAACATGGTGAAATCCTGCCTCTACTAAAAATACAAAAATTAGCCGGGCGTGGTGGCGTACAACTGTAACCCCAGCTACTCGGGAGGCTGAGGCAGGAGAATCTCTTGAACCCAGGAGGTGGAGCTTGCAGTGAGCCAAGATTGAGCCACTGCACTACAGCCTAGGTGACAGAGTGAGACTCTGTCTCAAATTAAAAAATTATATAAATAAATAAATAGTTCTAAATTATCTACTCCTTTATTTTTTTAAAAAATAGAGTAAATAAGTTTGAGAATTTATTTTGCCCCTTTGTTTACATGGTGCTTTGTAATGTTCTTGGCTTACTTACATACAGGTGTTTCAGCTGTAACAAAATATACAAGTCACTGCAAAATCTTGAGTTTTGCAAAATCATACACTAAGGATAACAGAGCTTATGGGAAAACAGGGTTAGGGGCTGACCCTCAAAACTTACAGCCAGGTGCGGTGACTCACACTTGTAATCCCAGCACTTTGGGAGGCCAAGACGGGTGGATCACTTGAGGTCAGGAGTTCGAGACCAGTCTGGCCAACATGATGAAACTCTCTCTACTAAGAATACAAAAATTAGCCAGGCGTGATGGCAGGCACCTGTAATCCCAGCTAGTCTGGAGGCTGAGGCAGGAGAATTGCTTGAACCTGGGAGGTGGAGGTTGCAGTGAGCTGAGATCGTGCCACTGCACCCCAGTGTGGGCAAGAGTGAGACTCTGTCTCAAAAAAAAAAACTTGGCTGGGCACAGTGGCTCATGCCTGTAATCCCGACACTTTGGGAGGCTGAGGCGGGTGGATCATCTGAGGTCAGGAATTCAAGACCAGCCTGACCAACATGGAGAAACCCGGTCTCTACTAAAAAATACAAAAATTAGCCAGGCATGGTGACGTGTGCCTGTAATCCCAGCTACTCAGGAGGCTGAGACAGGAGAATTGCTTGAACCCAGCAGGCGGAGGTTGCGGTGAGCCAAGATTGCACCACTGCACTCCAGCCTGGGTGACAGAGCGACATTCTGTCTCAAAACATAAAATAAAATAAAATTAAATTAAAAATACTTATGCAACTTTGGAACCACAGCACTAAAAGAAAGAACCACTGCGTTAAGTGTGAATGAATGAAAAGTCATTAAGCGCCACATTTTCCCACTACCACTGTGTGCCCCAATTCCTTTAATGTTTATATTTTGGGTTTACATCTGGAAATTAAAAGGCTGATGTAAAATTCTTATAAATCATACTGTAAGAATTGCAAAAGTAGGCTGGGCGTGGTGGCTCACACCTGTAATCCCAGCACTTTGGGAGGCCGAGGCAGGTGGATCACCTGAGGTTGGGAGTTCAAGACCGGCCTGACCAACATAGAGAAACCCCGTCTCTACTAAAAATACAAAAAATTAGCTGGGCGTGGTGGTGCATGCCTGTAATCCCAGCTACTCGGGAGGCTGAGGGAGGAGAATCGCTTGAACCCGGGAGGTGGAGGTTGTGGTGAGCCGAGATTGCGCCATTGCACTCCAGCCTGGGCAACCAGAGTGAAACTCCGTCTCAAAAAAAAAAAAGGAAAGGAAAAAAAGAATTGCAAAAGTTGTATCAATTATATAGTATGTTGGCAATATGAAAGACAAATTTTATTGAGACATTTTTACTGTGATGTTTGGAAAAGTATGGAAATCAAGGGAAAAGTTCTATGATTACAGGCCAAAAGTGAGCCTTTTATTTTGAAAGAATTATAGACTTAATCTCAGCACTTTGGGAGAATGAGACAAGAGGATTGCTTGAGCCTAGGAGTTTGAGACCAGCCTGGGCAATACAGAGAGACTCCATCTCTACAAAAAATTTCAAAATTAGCCAGGCATGGTGGTACATACCTGTAGTATAGTATAGTCCCATGTGGCCTTCACCCAGCTTCCTCAAAAGGTGACACTTGATGTAACTATACTATAGTATCAAGACCTGGAATTGACATTGGTACCTTACTGTTCATTAGACTACATAATTTATTCAATTTTCATCATTTTTTAAACACCGCATTCATTTGTGTGTGTGTAGTTCTATGCAGTTTTAACCCATGTATAGATTCATGTAACCACTACCGCAATCAAGATACAAAGCTGTGGCCGGGCACGGTGGCTCATGCCTGTAATCCCAGCACTGTGGGAGGCCGAGGTGGGCGGATCACCTGAGGTCGGGAGTTTGTGACCAGCCTGACCAACATGGTGAAACCCTATCTCTACTAAAAATACAAAAATTAGGCAGGCTTAGTGGCGGGCGCCTGTAATCCCAGCTACTCGGGAGGCTGAAGCGGGAAAATCGCTTGAACCCGGAAGGCGGAGGTTGCAGTGAGCCAAGATCGCACCATTGCACTCCAGCCTGGGTGACAGAGTGAGTCTCAAAAAAAAAAAACAAAAAAAAACAAAACCAAGATACAAAGCCGTTTCATCACTACACAAGAAATCTCTTGTAGTGGTACCCACTCTCTACCCTACCCTAAGTCCCTGTCCCCTAAATCTGCTCTTCCAGGCTACAGTTAATGGAATCTACAATACAGTTTGAGGTTGATTTTTTTCACTAAGCATAATGTCTTTGAGGACCATCCAGTTCGTTGCATGTATCAATAGTTCATTCCCTTTTAGTGCTGAATAATATTCCATTGTATGGAAATGTCAGAGTTTGTTCAGTCATTTACCCACTGAAGGACATTTAGGTTATTTTCAGGATTTTGCTTTGATGAATAAAGTTGCTATAAACATTCATGTATAGGTTTTAGGGAATGTGCCTTCATTTTACATGGAAGGCTGCATCTCCCTGGTAACGTATTTTTATTTTTAAAAAAATGCCTGTACGCCTGTAATCCCAGCACTTTGGGAGGCCGAGGCGGGCGGATCACGAGGTCAGGAGATCGAGACCATCCCGGCTAAAACGGTGAAACCCCGTCTCTACTAAAAATACAAAAAAAAATTAGCCGGGCGTAGTGGCGGGCGCCTGTAGTCCCAGCTACTTGGGAGGCTGAGGCAGGAGAATGGCGTGAACCCGGGAGGCGGAGCTTGCAGTGAGCCGAGATCCCGCCACTGCACTCCAGCCTGGGCGACAGAGCGAGACTCCGTCTCAAAAAAAAAAAAAAAAAAAAAAGCCTGTAATCTCAGCACTTTGGGAAAACGAGACAAGAGGATTGCTTGAGCCTAGGAGTTTGAGACCAGCTTGGCCAATACAGTGAGACTCCATCTCTACAAAAAATTTAAAAATTAGCCAGGCATGGTGGTACATACCTGTAGTCCCAGCTACTCAAAAGGCTGAGGTGGGAGGATCACTTGAGGCCAGGAATTCAGGATCAACCTGGGCAACAAAGTGAGACCCTGTCTCTGCAAAAAAAAATCAAAAAATTTGCCAGGCATGATGGCATGCACCTGTAGTCCAAGCTACACAGGAGGCTGAGGCAGGAGACCATCTGAACCCAGGAAGTCAAGGCTGCAGTGAACCAAGATCACACCACTGCACTCCAGCCTCAGTGACAGAGCAAGTCCTTGTTTTAAATAATAATAATAATAATAATAAAATAAATCATTAAATTAAAAAAAATCATTTATAGGTTTTTGTAAGCATGTATTTCATTTTTCTGGGATAAATGCCTAAGATTGCTGGGAGTTATGGAAGAGTCTAAGTTCTAAGTTCTTAGGAATCTAAAGCCACTCAGTCCAGTGATTGCTCTGTTCTTCCCTTTTGTACACAGCTACCTTGGGATCTCTCAGCCCCTGCTGCACATAAAACATACTTGCTTTAGGCCAGGTGTGGTGGCTTACACTTGTAATACCAGCACTTTGGGAGGCCGAGGCAGGCAGATCACTTGAGGTCAGGAGTTCGAGACCAGCCTGGCCAACATGGCGAAACCCCATCTCTACTAAAGATACAAAAATTAGCTGGGCATGGCAGCACGCACCTGCAATCCCAGCTAGTCGGGAGTCTGAGGCAGGAGAACCTCTTGAACCCAGGAGACAGAGGTTGCAGTGAGCCTAAATCATGCAACTGCACTCCAGCCTGAGTTGGAGTCTCCAAAACAACAACCACAACAAACTTACTTGCTTTAGTGGGAATCTCAATTATACTCTGAATTGTGATGATGCTGACTGTGCATGTTTTTGCCTTCTCTGTTAGGAAGGAAGGCTTGCCCAAAGAGGTTGTTTGTTTTGTTTCTTTGTTTTTTAAGACTAGTCAAATGAAGCAGTGGGAGTGGAGAAATAAAGAAATCTGTAACTGGTTGTAATCAATTAATTGTAAACACCATTACACTCAGATCAGCCACCAAAGAGTTCTTTGTATTTGAAAATTGCTACTTACATCATGATATTTCTTCTATATTACAGATTATTTCAGCATCTTCAATGCTCAAGATTTTTTAACATCTTAAATTTCAAATTCTCTTACCTGATGATGTATGTAAACTTGATTATGAAGGTTTAACTATCATTTTAAAGCATATAAAATTAATTTTTATACACTTTTTTTTTTAGAAGAGTCTCGGTCTCTTGCCCAGGCTGGAGTGCAGTGGTGCGATCCCAGCTCATTGCAACCTCTGCCTCCTGGGTTCAAGCCATTCTCCTGCCTCAGCCTCCTGAGTTGCTGGGATTACAGGTGCGCACCACCATGCCCGGCTAATTTTTGTATTTTTAGTAGAGATGGGGTTTCACCATGTTGGCCAGACTGGCTTCAGACTCCTGACCTCAGGTGATCCACCCGCCTCAGCCTCCCAAAGTGCTGGGATTACAAGCGTGAGCCACTGTGCCTGGCCGACATATTTTCTTTAACCAGAAAATTTTCAGTGGGTAGATAGATGGTCCTGCTTTTATATCTTGCTTAATAATCATGATCTTGCATGATCTTGGCTTAACTTGCTTAAATCTATTTGGAAGTTTAGGGTAAAAAGAAGCTAAAGCTATAGATAATAGGATTTTTTTTTTTTTTTTTTTTTTTTTTTTTTTTTTTTTTTTGAGACAGGGTCTGGCTCCGTCACCCAGGCTGGAGTGCAGTGGCAGGATCTTGGCTCACTGCAACCTCTGTCTACTAGGCTCAAGCCATCCTTCCACCTCAGCTTCCCAAGTAGCTGAGACTACAGGCATGTGCCACCATGCCTAGCCAGTTTTTGTATTTTTAGTAGAGATGGGGTTTCCTCATGTTCCCTAGGCTGGTCTCAAACTCCTGGGCTCAAAGTGATCTGTCCGCCTTGGCCTCCCAAAGTGCTGGGATTACAGGGGTGTGAGCCACTTAGCCTGACCCTAAATAATTTCTTTTCCTTTCTTTTTTTTTTTTTTTGAGATGGAGTCTTGTTCTGTCACCCAGGCTGGTGACATCTCGGCTCACTGCAACCTCTGCTTTCCAGGTTCAAGCAATTCTCCTGCCTCAGCCTCCCTAGAAGTTGGAATTACAGGAGCACGCCACCACGCCTGGCTATTTTTTGTATTTTTTTTTTTTTTTTTTTTTTTTTGAGACAGAGTCTTGCTCTGTCACCCAGGCTGGAGTGCAGTGGTGCGATCTCGGCTCACTGCAAGCTCTGCCTCCCGGGTTCACGCCATTCTCCTGCCTCAGCCTCCTGAGTAGCTGGGACTACAGGCGCCCACCACTACGCCTGGCTAATTTTTTGTATTTTTAGTACAGACGGGGTTTCACCGCGTTAGCCAGGATGGTCTCAATCTCCCAACCTCGTGATCCGCCCTCCTCGGCCTCCCAAAGTGCTGGGATTACAGGCGTGAGCCACCGCGCCCGGCCTCTATTTTTTGTATTTTTAATAGAGATGGGGTTTTGCCATGTTCGCCAGGCTGGTCTTGAACTCCTGACCTCAGGTGATCCGCCTGCCTCGGCCTCCCAAAGTGCTGGGATTACAGGGGCGAGCCACTGTGCCCAGGATTTTTTTTTTTTTAATAGAGTTAGAAGTCTTACTATGTTGCCCAGGCTGGTCTCAAATTCCTGGCCTCAAGCAATCTTCACCCCTTAAATAATTTCTTTCTTAAAAAAAAAATAGGCACATGTTCTCAGGATCTCCTGAGGGCTGTGTTACAGGCAAAAGAAAATTAAAAATAATTAATAATAATAATAATAGAAAGGGGGTCTCACTATGTTGTCCAGGCTGGTCTCAAACACCTGGGCTCAAGCAATCCTCCCACTTTGGCCTCCCAAAGTGCTAGGATTACAGGCATGAGTCATCATGCCCAGCTAAATAATTTAACTCAAAATTACACACAAAAAATTTAATTACCTAACACAAGACAGTGATTAAAAGATAGAAACTGTATTTTTTCCTTTAATACACATAATGAAATATTGGTAAGCAACTAACATTAGCATGTGAAAATAATAATTCCTTGAACCAGTTCAACTGCATTGACCTTATATTGCTAGGTTCAAATCCATTATCTCTACTATATTAAACTTCTGGCTAGTTGCTTCCACCCAGTACCATCTACCTGTGTATGAAGGCTATGAAATAAGATAAGTGTTTGTTTGTTTTTTTTGAGACAGAGTCTTGCTCTGTTGCCCAGACTGGAGTGCAGTGGCATGATCTCAGCTCACTGCAACCTCTGCTTCCCGGGTTCAAGTGATTCTTCTGCCTCAGCCTCCTGAGTAGCTGGGACTACAGGCACGTGCCACCATGCCCAACTAATTTTTATATTTTCATAGAGACAGGGTTTCACCATATTGGCCAGGTTGGTCTCGAACTCCTGACCTTATGATCCACCTGCCTTGGCCTCCCAAAGTGCTGGGATTACAGGCGTGAGCCACTGCGCCCGGCCTGAAATAAGATGCTTTAAAAATTATTACTGTAATAAGGGCCAGGCACAATGGCTCACACCTGTAATCCCACCACTTTGGGAGGCCAAGGCAGGAGGATTGCTTGAGTCCAAGAGTTTGATACCAGAGTGGGCAATATAGTGAGACCTCATCTCTACTAAAGATTTAAAAATTAGCTGGGTGCAGTGGTGTGTGCCTGTAGTCCCAGCTACTTGAGAGGCTGAGGCAGGAGGATCACTTGAGCCCAGGAGTTTGAGGCTGCAGTGAGCTATGATTGCACCACTGCACTCCAGCCTGGGTGACAGGGTGAGACCCTATCTCTAAAAATAAGAAAAAGAAAAAAAATTATTACTATAATAACTTATCATTTGTAGATACAAAACAACAACAAAGATAGATAATTCTGTATCATTTTTGAAGCTTACCTCTTTGTAGCACTTTTCTACAATTTCATAATTGGCATTACCCCACACTGTTAAGTGTTCTCGATTATACCGCTTCACCAACTCTGAAACCTACGTGTGAAAATTCAAAATTTTATGCATGTGCCTATTTGCAAATCCACTAACAACATTTCACTTAAAAAATGAATTAGAATTGACTATCTGTGAATGAATAGCATAACTTTTGGAAGAATCAATATGTAAATTTAGAATATTTTATAAAATGCAAAATTTATTCACATTATATCATTATATAATTTATTTAACAGAATAGAGTTATTTAGTAATTTGACATAAACTAACCATGAATGAAACAAGTTAAACTAGAAGATAATTACATAAATGCCAGAATGATTGGTTCATACAACCTTATTTTATCCATGACATGCCAACTCTCTCTGAAAATAGGCTCTCTCCTACAGTAAAATGATCTCTTCTACTAAGGCATTATTTAAAACAATGCTGATCCCTAGGGTATCACATTTCCTTGAGCATTATCAATCTATGCAGTCACTGACTCTAACCTTATTTAGTTTGTGAAATAGGATGCAACACACCCAGAGGAGGCAATGCCTTGAGTACCTTCTTAATCAGCACATTGTTGTTGACTTTGATATCGATGTTAATGGGAGTGTTAGGAAAGGCCTCAAAAACTTCCTTCAGTAATGGAATTCGGTTATCTTTTCCTTCACACTGGCATGCTGAGAAAGCAAGATTTTTAAATGTATTTTTTAAATATAAGTTTTACTTTTTGATGACTAGAGAAGGTATTGTATATATTCATTAAAGGACATTTATAAAATAAGGAAAAGTATAGAGAAGAAAAAAATCATGTAAATCCAACAACTTAGATATAAATGCTATGACCATCTGGTGTACTTTCTCTACTCTTTTTTCCTATGCATGATTTAATATACTAATAATATGATGTGCTACAGATTTTAACTTGATATTTTCACATAAAAATAAATATTTTCCTGTTGATTTACTGTGCTTATGATTATGATTTATTAATTTTTTATTTTGAGATAACTACAGATTCACAATCAATTGTAAGAAATAATAGGGTCCATGTACCCTTTACCCAGATTTCCCAGTGGTAACCTTCTTGCAAATCTATAGTACAATATCACAACCATGATACTGACATTGATACAATCCACCGATCTGATTCTATCATAATTTTTTAAAAGATGTCAAAATACTCCATTGAGTAGCTATACAATAATTTATTTTAATTTAACCATTTCCCTACTAGTAGATACTGAGATTGTTTCTAAAGTTTTGCTATATCATCATTGACTTTTTCAGAGATTAAAAATAACATTCAGGCAAGGGAAGTATACACTAAATCAGTAATGTGTTGAAGAATTATATGAATGCAGTTATTCAAAGAAAATTCAAGTAATGAAAAAATTAGAAGGGGACTTTAATTGTTCTTTATATTTCCTGAGGATTATTTTCTTTAGTCTTTCTCTAGTCTCTTTTTTGTTTGTTTGTTTGTTTGAGACAGGGTCTCACTCTGTCGCCCAGACTGGAGTGCAGTGACACGATCTCAGCTCACTGCAACCTCTGCCTCCTGGGCCCAAGTGATCCTCCCACCTTGACCTCCTGAGTAGCTGGAACTACAGGAGCACCATCACGCTCGGCTAATTTTTTTGTAGTTTTTGTAGAGATGGGGTTTTGCATTTGGCCAGGCTGGTCTCAAAATCCTGAGCTCAAGTGATCTGCCCGCCTCGGCCTCCCGAAGTGCTGGGATTACAGGCATGAACCATGTACCCGGTCCCTTTTTTGTTGTTTTTTTGAGACAGGATCTTGCTCATAGCCAAGGCTGGAGTGCAGTAGCATGATGATGGCTCACTGCGGCCTCCCACACTCCAGCAATCCTCTGGCACTACAGGCATGCACCACCACGCCCATATATATATATGTGTGTGTGTGTGTGTGTATATATATATATATATACGTGTGTATATATATATATATATATACGCGTATATATATATACGCGTATATATATATATACATATATACGCGTATATATATATATATATATATATTTTTTTTTTTTTTTTTTTTGAGACGGAGTTTCGTTCTTGTTGCCCAGGCTGGAGTGCGATAGTGCGATCTCGGCTCACAGCAACCTCCGCCTCCCAGGTTCAAGTGATTCTCCTGCCTCAGCCTCCTAAGTAGCTGGGATTACAGGCGCCCGGCACCACACCTGGCTAATTTTTTGTATTTTTAGTAGAGGCAGGGTTTCACCATGTTGGCCAGGATGGTCTCAAACTCCTGGCGTTCGGTGATCCACCAGCCTTGGCCTCCCAAAGTGCTGGGATTACAAGCGTGAGCCACTGTGCCCGGCCTATTGTTTATTTTATTTTTTGTAGAGACAGGGTCTCACTGTATTTTGCCCAGGCTGGTCTTGAACTTCTGATCTCAAGCAAACCTCCTGCCTCAGCCTCCCTAAGTGCTGGGATTACAGGTGTGAGCCACCACACCTGGCTCTCTAGTCCCTTTTGACTCTAATTACTCTAATCATTTATATAATTTACTATACATACTATATAACTATTGTAAAAATTGTTCTGCTTCCGTCTGAACCTTCAATTCCACTAATCTGCAAATAACAAAATGGTGAAAATCCTTTATTCCGTCTTATTATATGGCAAATCAAAATAAAGATGCATTATCAAAAAGTAAATGAAATCCATGTCAGAAAATTAAATTATTTATAATTATACCCTGTGTGAAAAGCAGCATGTACATTAAAGGGGAAAAAAAGGAAAAGTCTGTTACTATACTTCTTGTAATTCTGATGGGGCTCTGGGTTACTCTGATGGGACTGTCAATCATTGGCTCTGCCTCTCTGACCACAGACTAAATATATGACCAGTCTAACCTGTTAAGCATAACAATATGGACACTGGGAGAGAAGCCTCTTGAAATCCTTTGCTGAACGGATCATGTACAAGCTGCCAAGAGTTCATCTCTGTGGAAAGGGTGTCCCTAAAAGCAAAGCTAACACAAATGAAAGCAAAAGCAAGAAACGGAGATAGAGAGAGACCAATTACTGCTTGAGCAACTGGAATCAGTCATGTCTGAGGGCATATAACCCCTGGACTTTCTAATTATGAAAACCAATATATTCATTTTTAATTTTTTTCTTAAGCTATCTTGAGATGTGCATCTAACACTTATAACTGAAAGAGTTTAAACTTATCATAGGCTACATAATTAAACTCTAAAAATTATGTTTATAGTAGATAGCTTATATATATATGTATATATATTTTGAGACAGGGTCTCAATCTGTCACCCAGGCTGGAGTGCAGTAGCATGACCACAGCTCACAGCAGCCTTGAACTCCTCAGCTCCAGTGATCCTCCTGCCTCAGCCTCCAAATAGCTGAGATTAGAGGCATGTGCCACCACGCTTGGCTTTTCTTTTTTTTTTTTTTTTTTTGAGACGGAGTCTCACTCTGTCACCCAGGCTGCAGTGCAGCGGTGCCATCTCGGCTCATCGCAACCTCTGCCTCCCGGGTTCAAGTGATTTTCCTGCCTCAGTCTCCAGAGTAGCTGGGATTACAGGCATCTGCCACCACGCCTGGCTAATTTTGTATTTTTAGTAGAGACGGGGTTTCTCCATGTTGTTCAGGCTGGTCTTGAACTCCCAATCTCAGGTGATCCGCCTGTCTCAGCCTCCCAAAGTGCTGGGATTACAGGCGTGAGCCACCGCACCCGGCCCTTTTTTTTTTTTTTTTTTTAAGTAGAGATGAAGTCTTGCTTTGTTGGCCAGGTTGGCCTTGAATTCTTGGCCTCAAGGGATCCTCTCACCTTGGCCTCCTTGAATGCTGGGATTATAGGCATTATCCAGCATGTTTTTTACCTACCCAACATTCTTCCTTCCTTTGGAAACCTGTATTTCACATCTCACATTGTTGTGATAGAGCTGTCACCACAGTACCCACTGTCCATTCACCCTCGGGGATGGGCATATGATCATAATAGCCCATTTCTTTTCTTCAGGATGGCCACATGACCCAAGCTGGGCCAATCAGTGTCTTTCTCCGGGACTTCACGCTTGAAGCTCATAAGGAAGACTGCCTTTTTGTCACGGTGTGGGCAAATTAAAAAATTAATTTAGCAGTCAAGTAAGATGCATGTAAGAATCAGTTTACAAAAAGGTCAAACAGATGAAACTAACTTTGGAACAGCAAAAAAATACATAAGAATATTCTATCTAACAGCGAGAGAATGAGAAAACTAAAATGTGTGCTGAGGCAAAAAAAGTGCTATAGTGATGTAAAGATACAAATATTAGGCCAGGTGCAGTGGCTCACTCCTGTAATCTCAGCACTTTGGAAGGCTGAGGTGGGAAGATTGCTTGAGGCCAGGAATTCAAGACCAATCTGACCAACATAGCGAGACCTGATCTCTACTTAAAAATAATAATACATAAATTAGATGCCTCAGCCAGCTTAGAATGTAGAAAAACATTTGGAAAAAGAGAAGTTTGCCCCAGTATTTTTCTAGGCAGAAGATAACCAGCTAGGAAGTGGTGGACTACAAAAAGAAAAGAGGAAAATAACAGGAAATAGGAAAGATAGACAAGGAGTATGCCATAGGATGTGTTGGTTGATGGAATAGTGGCCCCTATGCAAGTTAGGGGCCACTATTTAAATAGTTTTCACTATTTGGGGAACTTTAAAACAATAATTATAGTCAACTGTAGATTATCCAAATTTTGTGTTTTCCATGAAAAAAAAAGGTTACCTTCAAATAATCAGGATAGATAATAACAAACCATTTGGTTAACACTTTTTTTTGTTGTTGAGACAGTCTCGATCTGTTGCCCAGGCTGAAGTGCAGTGGCATGATCTCGGCTCACTGCAATCTCCACCTCCTGGGTTTCAGCGATTCTCCTGCCTCAGAAGTAGCTGGTATAACAGGCGCACGCCACCATGTCCAGCTAGTTCTTGTATTTTTAGTAGAGACGGGGTTTCACCATGTTGGCCAGGCTGGTCTCGAGCTCCTGACCTCAGGTGATCTTCCTGCCTCAACCTCCCAAAGTGTAAGGATTACAGGCGTGAGCCACCGCACCAGGCCAATTCAGCGTATTTTTTTTTTTGAGACAGTCTCGCTCTGTTGCCCAGGCTGGAGTGCAGTGGCACGATCTCTGCTCACTGCAACATCTGCCTCCCGGGTTCAAGTGATTCTCCAGCCTCAGCCTCCCGAGTAGCTGGGGCTACAGGTGTGCACCACCACAATTGGCTAATTTTTGTATTTTGGCCAGGCATGGTGGCTCATGACTAATCCCAGCCCTTTGGGACGCTGATGTGGGTGGATCACCTGAGGTCAGGAATTCAAGACTAGCCTGGCCAACAAGGTGAAACCTCGTCTCTACTAAAAATACAAAAATTAGCTGGGAGTGGTGGCGGGCACCTGTAATCCCAGCTACACAGGAGGCCGAGGCAGGAGGATTGCTTGAACCTGGGAGGCAGAGGTTGCAGTGAGCTGAGATTGTGCCACTGGACAACAGAAGCAAAAGCTCATCTCAAAAAACAATAATAAAAATTTAAAAATTTTTGTATTTTTAGTACAGACAGGGTTTCGCCATGTTGGCCAAGCTGGTCTCAAACTCCTAACCTCAAGTGATCCACCTGCCTCGGCCTCCCAAAGTGCTGGGATTACAGGTGTGAGCCACCGTGCCCAGCCTGGTAAGCAAGAATTCTATGCAAGGGAATAGGATAGAAAAAACGGAACCACTTTTTGACTAATCTGAGTCAAGTTTCTTGTTTTCTTTTCTTTTCTCTTTTTTTTTTTTTTTTTTTTGAGACTGAGTCTCACTTTGTGCAGTGACACAATCATGGCTCACTGCAGCCTCAACCTCCTGGGCTCAGCAATCCCCCCACCTCAGCCTCCCTAGGTAGGCCCACAGGTGCATACCACCATGCCTGGCTAATATTATTTTTATTATTTTTGTAAAGATGGAGTCTCTGTATGTGGCCCAGGCTGGTCTCGAACCCCTGGGATCAAGTGATCCTCCTGCCTTAGCCTCCCAAAGTGCTGGGATTACAGATGTGAGCCACTGCCATTGTTCTGAGTCAAGTTTTTACACACGGTTTATTAGTCTGTTCCAAATGCAGTCAACTTCACATTTGAGGATCAGTCCTAAAGTCAATTATGACATGAGATGAATGCAATATAAAATGAAAGCTTATTATTATTTCTTTCAGATGTCTGAAACTTGACAGTACACAGTGTTGTTCTTTTTTTTTTCCACAGCATTGTTCTTTTTTTTTTTGAGACACAGTCTTGCTCTTGTTGTCCAGGCTGGAGTACAATGGCGTGATCTCAGCTCACTGCAACCTCTGCCTCCCAGGTTGAAGTGATTCCCCTGCCTCAGCCTCCCAAGTAGCTGGGATTATAGGTGCATGTCACCATGCCCGGCTAATTTTTGTATTTTTAGTAGAAACAGGGTTTCACCGTGTTGGCCAGGCTGGTCTCGAACTCCTAACCTCAGGTGATCCACCTGTCTCGGCCTCCCAAAGTGTTGGGATTACAGGCGTGAGCCACTGCACTGGACCCACAGCATTGTTCTTAATACAACATTTGGGAATAGTGTTCCAATGGAGAGGGAGTATGGTACAGCTGAACACTGGTCTGCTAAGATAGAGACCTAGTTCAAGTTCTAGCATTGTTATTTCCTTGTTATATGAAATTGATTAAGTTAATTTGCATCTTTAGACTTCAATTTCCTTGTCTATAACAGAAGACAAGATTAGACAGTCTCAAAGGTCTCTTCACATTCAAAAATTGGCCAGGTGTGGTGGCTCATGCTTATAATCCTAGCATTTTGGGAGGGCAAGGGGGGGTCAGGTAAATCAGTTGAGGCCAGCAATTCAAGACCAGCCTGGCCAATGTGGTGAAACCTCGTCTCTACTAAAAATACAAAAATTAGTCGGGTATGGTGGCGGGTACCTGTAATCCCAGCTATTCAGGTGGCTGAGGCATGAGAATCCCTTGAACCCAGGAGGTGGAGGTTGCAGTGAGCTGAGATTGAGCTACTTCACTCCAGCCTGGGCAACAGAGCAAGATTCTGCCTCAAAAGAAAGAAAAAACAGTTTCATGACTTTCTGAGGGACATACAAACCCAGGAAAACAAATAAAACTTTTTTTTTCCTCAAAGGATTTTTTTTTTTTTTTTTTTGAGACAAGGTCTCACTGTCACCCAGGCTGGAGCATAGTGGTGTGAGCATAGCTCACTGTAGCCTTGAACTCCTGGGCTCAAGGGATTCTCCCACCTCAAGTCTCTTAAATAGCTGAGACTATAGGCATATTCCACCATGACTGGCTAATATTTTTTTTAGAGACGGGGTCTTGCTATGTTGCCCAGGCTGGTTTCAACCTGTTGGTCTCAAGCAACCCTCCCGCCTTGGCCTCTCAAAGTGCTGAGATTATAGGTGTGAGCCACCACATCTGCTGGATTTTTAAATTTTTATGGGGCTTTCTTTGGCTTTGCTCTACAAAGTGAAAAATAGGAAAAACTTCATTTCTGAAATTTTCTTAACTTTCACAAGTCCAAAATTGACACAAATATTACAATAGTTTGGCAAGTATAATCGTATAAGTTACAAGAATGAAGAAAAGTTTCCTCAAACCAACAACTTCAACTTACCTGGAAATTGAAATCAAACACATCTGAGGTTTAAATATCCCTTAGAAATAGCTAATGTTAAATTTTTTCTGATTTTTATTTCATTTTCAAAAATTCCCCTATCAGTGGTCAATTTTTTTTTTTTTAAGAGACAGGGTCTTGCTATGTAGCCCAAGCTAGACTCCAACTCTTGGGCTCAAATGAGCCTCCCAACTCAGTCTCCCAAGTAGCTGGGACTAGAGGTGTACGTCACCACACCTGGCTTGGCCAATTTAAAATCTAGTTCACGGAGCAGTTATAGTTCTTTTAAAAAATTAATATAAATGGAGCTGACATTTAACCAAGGTTTCAACTATATACAAATCATACCAAGATTCATGATATGTAACATCTTTTGGTTTTATTGAGTTATACATTTGAATCATTCAAAAATGTGAGGCTGACTTGTGACAATGAGGGAGCCTATATATGTTCAGCACATACCTTAAGGTGGTATATTTTCCATTCTAACATCTGAAGTAACTAACAAGTTGGGTCAAGGGACATGTTTCTTTGTGAGAAATGTTCCCTCAGAAGAAAACAGCTAACTGAAGATGACTAGGAAATGTTTTATTTGAATGACAGAAGTCTGTTTAATCATTTAAAATATGGAGCAGCTAAAAGACAGAACTAAATATTATGGAACCAGAAAGGATTTGAAAGGGGTCCTTTCCATTTCTTTTCATTTATTTATTTATTTATTTACTTTATTTTCATTATATATATTTTTTTGAGACAGAGTTTCGCTCTTGTTGCCCAGGCTGGAGTGCAATGGCGCAATCTCAGCTCACTGCAACCTCCGCCTCCCAGGTTCAAGCCATTCTCCTGCCTCAGCCTCCCATGGAGCTGGGATTACAGGTGCGCATTACCATGCCTAGCTAATATTTTTTGTATTTTTAGTAGAGACGGGGTTTTGCCATGTTGGCTAGGCTGGTCTCGAACTCCTGACCTAAAGTGATCTGCCCGCCTCAGCCTCCCAAAGTGCTGGGATTACAGTCGTGAGCCACTGTGCCCAGCCCTTTTCATTTATTTTTTATTATATTTTTTGATGGATGACTAATATAAGTTGCGGCAATATTCTAGAATTTGAAGCTTTAGAAGTGAAATGTTTCTTGCAATCAGTGTTCAGGTTTAAGTTAACTGTACATGAATTTAAGCAGAATGAATCACTTAACTCTTTGGACCTGATAATTTCACGTCAGATAATTTTCAAGTATTCAGATTTGTAGGCCTGAGGGAACAAACTTAGAGGTCAGTTACTTTTAGTAAGAACTTACTATGACAAGAAAACACACATATGCTTCTCAACACAAATGTTTAAGCCACAAACAAAAAATATTACCTCTTTGAAATGAGACATCCAGTTTGCCAAGGTAAGGTGGGAGCTCCTTTAAAAAGATATGATTGAAAAAAAAGTTAACTCTCAAAAAATAATAAGATTTTTATGTGTTACATTAAGACACAAAGATATGCTTCTTTAACATACAGAAGACTAAAACACTTTACTAGGCACCCTTAGCAGAACATCCCCAACAGCAAATTAACCATATTACTTACTTATGCCATCTACAAAAAATATATCTGTACTATTTAATATAGACCTTTTCACAATAATATACAAAGATTTCAGTAGAAAAATGTCAGGAATACATTTTTCATTGACACAATTCAATGAAAACCAAAGAAAAATAACTAACAATTAATAGATCTTTAAACTAATTAATAATTAATGAAATGTTAATTAAAATTTAATTAGCAAATTTTGGTATAATTATAATGCTCAATACTAGTAAATATTATTTTATTTTATTTTATTTTATTTTATATTTGAGACAGGGTATCACTCTATTGCCTGGGCCGGAGTGCAGTAGCACAATTACACCTCACTGTAGCCTTGATCGTCTGAGCTCAGTGGATCCTCAGAAGGATCCATCCTTTTGGGAGGCCTTCTTTTGGCAAGCCTCAGCCTCCAAAAGCACTGGGACTATAGGCATGAGCTACCGCACCCAGCTGGCAAATGTTCTTTTACCCAATAATTTCCCTTCTGGGAGTATATTTAGAGAAATAATCTTAGAATAGAGAAAACGTTATATAAATAACTTTTATAAATACAAATATTTATATATCTTTATAAATAACTATATAAAAAGCTAAAGATAGAGAAAGCTTTATCTTTATGCATAAAGCTGTTCAGTGCAGGCTGGGTGCAGTGGCTCACCCCTATAATCCCAGCACTTTGGGAGGCTGAGGCAGGCATATCACCTGAGGCCAGGAGTTCGAGACCAGCCTGACCAACATGGTGAAACCCTGTCTCTACTAAATACGAAAAATTAGCCAGGTGTGGTGGCGCATGCCTGTAATCCCAGCTATTTGGGGGGGCTGAGGCAGGAGAATTTCTTGAACCCGGGAGGCGGAGGTTGCAGTGAGCCAAGATTGCGCCATTGCACTCCAGCCTGGGTGACGAGAGTGAAACTCTGTCTCAAAAAAAAAAAATTCAGTGCAGTGTTATCTACAATGGTGAAAACTTAGAACTAATCCAATGTCCATCAATCGAAGAATGGTTAAAAATAACTATATATCCACACAGGAGAATAACTATAGTCATTTGAAATGTTTATGAAAGATGAGTATGGAATCTGAAAGGCCAAATACAGTATGATTCCAACTATATGACATTCTGGAAAAGACAAAACTATGGAAACAGCAAAAACATCAGCGGTTGGCAGGGGATGAGGGAAGGGGGGACTGAATAGGCAGAACACAGAATGTTTAGAGCAGTGGAACCATTTTGTGTAATAGTATAATTGTGGATACATGTCATTATAAATTTGTCCAAAACCACAGAATGTACAAGAGTGAACCCTAATGTAAACTATGGACTATGAGCATTAATATTGTGTCAATATATGTACCAATCTGGTGCAGATGTTAAAAGTGGGGGACTCTGTGTCTGTGCGGTAACTGTGCTGGTATGTGGGAACTCTGTATTTTCCACTCAATTTTGCTGTAAACCCAGACGTCTCTAAAAAATAAAGTCTATTTTCTTTAAAGCATGGAAAAGGCTGGGCGTGGTGGCTCACACCTGTAATCCCAGCACTTTGGGAGGCCAAGGCAGGAGGATCAACTGAGGTCAGGAGTTCAAGACCAGCCTGGCCAACATGGTGAAACCCCGTCTCTACTAAAAATACAAAAATTAGCCAGGCATGGTGGTGCATGTCTGTAATCCCAGCTACTCAGGAGGCTGAAGCAGGAGACTAGCTTGAACCTGGGAGGCAGAGGTTGCAGTGAGCCGAGATCATGCCACTGCACTCCAGCCTGGGCGATGGAAAGTGTGGAAAAATGTTTATCTCTTATGTTTCCTTGCTCTTTTTTTTCTTTTTTTCTTATAATGTTTCTTTTTTTTTTTTTTTTTTTTTTTGAGATGGAGTCTCGCTCTTTTCAACCAGCCTGGAATGCAATGGCACGATCTCGGGTCACTGCAACCTACGCCTCCTGGGTTCAAGCGATTCTCCTGCCTCAGCCTCCTGAATAGCTGGGATTACAGGCGCATGCCAACATGCCCGGCTAATTTTTCTATTTTTAGTAGAGATGGGGTTTCACCATGTTGGCCAGGGCGGTCCCGAACTCCTGACCTCAGGTGATCTGTCTGCCCGGCTAATTTTTGTATTTTTAGTAGAGACGGAGTTTTGCCATGTTGGCCAGGCTAGTCTCGAACTCCTGACCTCTGGTGATCTGCCTGCCTCAGCCTCCCAAAGTACTGAGATTACAGGTGTGAGCCACCGAGGCCGGCCATTATCATGTTATAATTTTAAAGTGTCTAAAATTCAATATACATGATGCACAGTGAGAATACAAATCTAAAAAACATAAAAGGTAGAATCCTTCTACATAAGGTAGAATCCTGTTAACATAAGTGTTTTTTTGGCAGTAACATTATGCATGATTTTTCCTTCCGTTCATGAGTATTTACTATAATGAATATATACGTTATAATAATCTTTTTTTTTTTTGAGACAGAGTCTCACTCTTGCCCAGGCTGCAGTGCAGTGGCGCAATCTTGGCTCACTGCAACCTCCACCTCCCAGATTCAAGTGATTCTCCTGCCTCAGCCTCCCAAGTAGCTGGGATTACAGGGGCACCACCATGTCTGGCTAATTTTTGTATTTTTTAGTAGAGATGGGGTTTCACCATGTTGGCCAGGCTGGTCTCGAACTCCTGACCTCAGGTGATCCACCCGCCTCGGCCTCCCAAAGTGCTGGGCTTACAGGTGTGAGCCACTGTGCCCAGCCAATTTTCCTATATTTTAATGAAGATGGAGTCTTGCTATGTCGCCTAGCCTGATCTCAAACTCCTGGCCTCAAACAATCCTCCCATCTCAGCCTCCCAAAGTGCTGCAGTTATAGGCATGAGCCAGTACAGTTGGCCTCAAAGTAGTTTTTTAAAATTTCCTTTGATGTTTAGTATTTAATCAGTATTTAAATAATATTAGAAATTTTTTGCTGATATTCGCTATTTTAAAAAAAATCTTATAGGCCGCGACATCTATTAGATATTAGTTTATCATGCATTTTTACTTACACAGTATTTGAGATCAGAGATGTTTACATTGACCCCAGTTGCTCTCTTTAGATTCTCATCATGTGACACTACAACTTGTTCATCTTTTGTGATATGGCAGTCCAATTCTAGCATATCAGTTCCGATTTTAACCGCACTGAAGAAATAAAAGAAGAATGACATCTGACACTTAAGTATACATTTGGGTTACATGCATGAGATCTAACAATTCAGAGTTACAAATCCAAAATCCCATAATACTAAAATATCTCCTTAATACCATCACTTAGTATGACTTATTAATATGAAAATATTCTAAATGAACTGAGAATAAAAGAATCATGTTGCCTCCTTTCCATATCCAGTTATCCTTAATTCTTCAACTGAATATAATAGACAGAATACTGAATCTGAAGTTAAGAGATTTGATATTAATTCCTGCTTTGCTGTGAATTTGCATAACTTTGGGCAAGTAAATTCTTCTCTCAGGGACTACATTTTCACTTCTATAAAATGAAAGGATTAAATAACAAGACAAGGATGCTTGTTTTTATTTTTATTTATTTTATTTTTTTGAGACAGAGTCTTGCTCTGTTGCCCAGGCTGGAGTGCAATGGCATGATCATGGCTCATTGCATCCTCAAACTCCTGGGCTCAAGTGATCCTCCTGCCTCAGCCTACTGAGTAGCTGGAACTACAGATGGATGCCACTGTGCCCAGCTAATTTTTTTATTTTTAGTAGAGATAGGGTCTTGTTATGTTGTTCAGGCTGGTCTTGAACTCCTGGGCTCATGTGATCCTCCTGCCTCAGCCTCCCAAAGTGCAAGGTTTTAAAAGCATGAGCCACTGCACCTGGCCACTTTTATTACTTTGATTTAACATAGTATTGAAAGCTCTAGCAATTAGGCAAGAAAAAAATTAACAAAAGCATCCAAATTAGACAGGCACGGTAGCTCACACCTGTAATCCCAGCACTATGGGAGGCAAAAGCAGGCAGATCACCTGAGGTCAGGAGTTTGAGACTAGCCTGGCCGACAAGGTGAAACCCCATCTCTACTAAAAATACAAAAAAATTGGCCAGGTGTGGTGGCTCAGGCGTCTAATCCCAGCACTTTGGGAGGCCAAGGCGGGTAGATCACAAGGTCAGGAGATTGAAACTATCCTGGCCAACATGGTGAAACCTTGTCTCTACTAAAATACAAAATGCTCTTCTAGGAGCATTCGACTGGTAAGGGAAGAATGCCTCAAGAGAGCATGAGTACAACTCCAGTAAACACACTGCACATGTGGCCCCTCCCAAGTAGCGGCAGGCTACTGTGCATGCAGACAGCCCATCCCAAGGGAAGAATCAAGGGAGAAGGGACGCAAGACCCCGGAGTATCCCAACATATAAAACCCTAAGTCAAAGGTCAAACTGGGCACTTGATCTCTCAAGTCACCACTTGGCCCTCTTCCAAATGTACTTTACTTCTTTTCATTCCTGCTCTAAAGCTTTTTAATAACCTTTCACTCTTGTGGTAAAACTTGCCTTGGTCTCTCCTTCTGCCTTAAGCCCTCGGTCAATTTTTTTCTTCTGAGGAGGCAAGAATTGAGGTTGCTGCAGACCTCTATGGATTCACCGCCACTAACAGAAGGGCCTATGTCTGTTCCATATTTTCTAATGTTTATGGTGTTGGGCACATTGTAGGTACTAAATATATTTCTAAATGAGGGGAATGGAGCCATGTTTTCATTATCAACATCTATTAATATTTTAAATTTTAATTAATTCCAACTCAGTTGGCACCTAAGTGTTTATCAATCATGATCCAAATCCATAGTATGTAATGTGTAGTCATTCAAAGAATATAGAATTCACATGGAATAGCATTGTTGGGGTATATCTGAATTTTAAAATAGGTACGATGATGGAGATAGGAGACAGCCAAGGATCCCTGGTGGAACCCCACCTTCAAGCCTAAAACAGCCTGATGGCTGAAAGACTGAACTGTTGGTCCAGGATAAAACTGCAACCCAGAGGGAGAACTGCCCCAGTTCGCTCACTTTTTTTTTTTTTTTGGTTGGGGGGTACTGAGTTTCGTTCTTGTTGCCCAGGCTGGAATGCAACGGCACAGTCTCAGCTCACCGCAACCTCCACCTCCCAGGTTCAAGCAATTCTCCTGCCTCAACCTCTCAAGTAGCTGGGATTACAGGTGCCCCACCATGCCCACCTAATTTTTGTATTTTTGGTAAAGACAGAGTTTTACCATATTGGCCAGGCTGGTCTCAAACTCCTGACCTCAGGTGATCCACCCTCTTCGGCCTCCCAAAATGCTGGGATTACAGGCGTGAGCCACTGCACCCAGCCTGCCCACCTTTTCCTGAATAATTTTTTTTTTCTTTTAGACAGAGTCTCACTCTGTCACCCAGGCTGAAGTGCAGTGGCGTGATCTTGGGTCAATGCAACCTCTGCCTTCCAGGTTCAAGCAATTCCCACACCTCAGCTTCCCGAGTAGCTGAGATTACAGGTACCCGCCACCACACCTGGCTAATGTTTGTATTTTGAGTAGAGATGGGGTTTCACCATGTTGCCCAAGCTGGTCTCAAACTCCTGACCTCAGGTGATCTGCTTCCCAAAGTGCTGGGATCACAGGTGTGAACCACCATGCCCAGCCTCTGGACAGATTCTTTCTGAATAATGCCCACATGTGCACTGCAAGGAGGGGGTGGAGCCATGGGAATTCATCCCTTGTGCAGGGGTGAGGGGCCTGGCCTCTTCAGCTCATGTGTGGTGGCCTGGTGATCAGTCTATGAGGTGGGAGCCTGTTAGCAGGACTTCTTTTTTTGCTGAGAGCTTTCTTTTAATAAATTCCTGCTCTCGTCACCTTTGAATGTGTCTGTGTGCCTAATCTTTCCTGGTCATGTGACAAGAACCTGGTTTTAGCTGAACTAGGAGCAAAAACTATCTGCATCAATCATATGATTTTATTGATGTAAAATAAAGTTTATGTAAAAAAAGTTTGTGTGTAAATTTTTAAAATAATAGAAAGATATAAGGCCAAATCATAACAGGAGTTACCTCTTATAAGTGAGATGAGTAGGAATGGGAGTAGGAAAGTGAGCAGGCCAATTTTTTACTTCACATAGATTATTTGAGTTGTTTGAATTTTTAGAATATAAACTTTTATAATGGAAAAACAAATATACTGCCATTAAGAATATATCTCTTAGCCAGGAATGGTGGCTCACACCTGTAATTCCAGCACTTTGGGAGGCCAAGGCAGGCGAATCAACTGAGGTCAGTAGTTCAAGGCCAGCCTGGCCAACATGGGAAAACCCTGTCTCTACTAAAAATACAAAAATTAGCTGAATGTGGTGGCACAAGCCTGTAATCCCAGCTACTCGGAAGGCTGAGGCAGAAGAATCTCGTGAACCCAGGAAGTGGAGGTTGCAGTGAGCCAAGATTATGCCACTGCACTCCAGCCTGGGTGACAGAGCAAGACTCTGTCTCAAAAACAAACAAACAAACAAAAAAACCCAGAATATATTATCTCTTATCTACAAGACAATATTATTGACATCAATTTATTCAACCTCATCATAGTAAATTACAGCAGGAATTTAATCTAATAAACACTGAGCATCCTTTTATTTTTATTTTTTCAGACGGAGTTTTGCTCTTGTTGCCCAGGCTAAAGAGGAGTGGCACAATCTCGGCTCACTGCAACCTCTGCCTCCCAGGTTCAAGCGATTCTTCTGTCTCAGCCTCCTGCGTAGCTGGGATTACAAGCACCTGCCACCACGCCCAGCTAATTTTTGCATTTTTAGTAGAGATGAGGTTTCACCATGTGGCCAGAGTGGTCTCGAACTCCTGAACTCAAGTGATCCACCCGCCTCGGCCTCCCAAAGTGCTGGGATTACAGCCATGAGCCACGGCACCCAGCTCAGCTAGTGTATTTAAAAGGATGCTCAGAGGCTGGGCACGATGGCTCATGCCTGTAATCCCAGCACTTTGGGAGGCCAAGGCGGCAGATCACCTGAGGTCAGGAGTTCAAGACCACCCTGGCTAACATGATGAAACCCCGTTTCTACTAAAAATACAAATAATTAGCCAGGCATAGTGTCGCATGCCTGTAATCTCAGCTACTCGGGAGGCTGAGGCAGGAGAATTGCTTGAACCCGGGAGGCAGAGATTGCAGTGAGCCAAGATCGCACCATTGCACTCCAGCTTGGGCGACAAAAGCGAAACTCCGTCTCAAAAATAAATAAATAAATAAATACACTAGCTCACATGATTCTTATTTTATCTGTGAATCACCTATGTGGGGTAAATGTATACTCCTGTATTCTTACAACACATAATATAAAAATATTATAAAGTCATGCACCACTTAACAATGGGCGTATGTTCTGAGAAATGTATGGTCAATTTTGTCATTGTGCGGACATCACAGAGTGCACTTACACAAATCTAGATGGTATTTAAACATCTATGTTATAGAGTATAGCCTATTGTTCCGTGGTTACAAATCTGTACAGCACATTACTGTACTAAATACTACAGGCAAATGTAACACAGTGTTAAGTACTTGTGAATCTGTCTAAACACAGAAAGGGTACAATTAAAATATGATATAAAAGATAAAAATGGGACACCTGCATTAGGGCACTTATCATGAATGGAGCTTGCAGGACTGGAAGTTGCTTTTGGTGTCACTGAGTGAGTGGTGAGTGAATGGAAGGCATAGGACATTACTATACAGTACTGTAGACCTTATAAACACTGTATACTTAGGCAACATGAAATTTATTTTAAAAATAGACCTGGCACGGTGGCTCATGCCTGTAATCCCAACACTTTGGGAGGCCGAGCCAGGAGGATTGCTTGAGGTCAGGAGTTGGAGACAAGCCTGGGCAACATGGAGAGATCTCATCTTTACGAAAAAAATTTAAAAATTAGGGAGGTATAGTGGCACATCCCTGTAGTTCTAGTGACTTGGGATGCTGAGGCAGGAGGATCGCTTGAGCCCAGGAGTTCATCTATGATCATGCCACTGTACTCCAGCCTAAGAGACAAAGTGAGACCCTGTCTCTTAAAAATATAATAAAATTTAAAAAATACCTATTTAGCTTACTGTAACTTCTTTATAAACTTTTAAATTTTAAAAAACTTGACTCTTTCGTAATAATACCTTAAAACACAAACATTTTACAGCTGTACAAATATATTTTCTTTCTTTATATCCTTATTATGTAAGTTTTTTTCTATTTAACATTTTTAAACTTCTTATTTTTTTTTTTGAGACAGAGTCTCACTCTGTCACCCAGGCTGGAGTGCAGTGGCATGATCTCGGCTCACTGCAACTTCCGCTCTCCAGGTTCAAGCGATACTCCTGCCTCAGCCTTCTGAGTAGCTGGAACTACAAGCGCGCATCACCACGCCAACTAATTTTTGTATTTTTTAGTAGAGACAGGGTTTCACCACATTGGACAGGCTGGTCTCGAACTCCTGCCCTCCTGATCTGCCCGCCTCGGCCTCCCAAAGTGCTGGGATTACAGGCATGAGGCACTGCACCCAGCCAAAGTGTAAAATTAAAGGTGCAGTTGCTCCGGCCTATAATCTCAGCATTTTGGGAGGCCGAGGTGGGTGAATCATTCTACAAAACCCCGTCTCTAAAAAAAATATGAAAAATTAGCCGGGCATGGAGGCATGCCCTGTAGTCCCAGCTACTAGGGAGGCTGAAGTGTGAGGATCGCTTGAGCTGGAGAGGGGGAGGTTAAAAAAAAAAAAACAGTGTGTCCTATGCTGGCAATTAAAAAAAAAAAAAACTATACATATTACCTCAGAAATCTTTCTAAGTTTGAAGTTTGTCTCTAGCTGAAATGCTGGCTATTTTTAGAAATGTTTAGGAATTATTTGAAAAATATTTTCTATGTATGCTTATTGTTATTGACAAACTAATAGATAAAAAAATTAGAACAATAATAAGTGTATCTAGGACAACTTGTAAATTATTCTAGTAAAATTATCCCAAATTTGATATGTAAATAGCTAGAACACAGTGAGAAAAATTTTTTTATCACTTTTGCCTTCAAAAATTTCCATGAATAACAACATGCACCTACTTCCATTGAAATATCAGATATTTTATAGCTGAATTTCTGACAAGCTGTTGACAAATACAAAAAAAAATACAAAAAAGAAGTTGGAGATGCCAAGGTTTCAACATTTCCAGAAAAAGAAATAAAAACTCTAGCTCTAAAAGAAAATGTGAAAGAAACTCCACAGAAACAATGCATAACAACTTAAAATAGGCACCATGTTAAAGAATTTATTTGAATCTCATTTACTCTTCACAACACTGAGGTTGTATCACTATTCCCATTTCATAGATAGTCATATTAATTAGATATTCTAAAATATTTATCATGAGAACCAGGTCACTGATTAATTACTCTGGCTGTCTGCCAACTTACACTTCTAGCTATTGCTAATACAATTTGCTTCTTTCTCCTTACCATTCCGGCTAATACTATAGGTATCACATTGTCCTACGGGTATTTCCTAAGGCAGCCTGGTTTAATAACCTAGTTTTATTAGCCCTTGAGAACCACATCTTACATACTCAAGGGTTTAGTGGCTCTGTGTATATGTGTATAGTACAATTCCTTAGTTTTTGCTTCTGTGCTTTACTATGAAGGAGGCTCTGTCTCCTTCATCAGTCTTTTGCTAATGTTCTGCTTTATTCCTGAATGTCCCATTCCATATTTCATTCAGTAAGCAACTAGTGAGTGTCTATTTATGTCAGAGCCTGAGTTAGGCATTAAGAATTTTGAAATCAGTAAGAAAAGATTCCTGCTCCTAATGAAATAACACAAGGCTGGGTGCGGTGGCTCACACCTGTAATCCTAGCACTTTGGGAGGCTAAGGCAGGTGGATCACAAGGTCAGGAGATCGGGGCCATCCTGGCTAACATGGTGAAACCCTGTCTCTACTACAAGTACAAAAAATTAGCTGGGCATGCTGGCATGCGCCTGTAGTCCCAGCTACTCGGGAGGCTGAGGCAGGAGAATCGCTTGAACCTGGGAGGCAGAGGTTGCAGTGAGCCGAGATCTTGCCACTGCACTCCAGCCTGGGCAACAGAGTGAGACTCCGTCTCGGAAAAAAAAAAAAATAAAAAATAATAGAAGAGCCATATTCATAACCTAAGGGAGATGGTGTTTGTGAAAGCATGTTATAAACCACATTAAAGGATATTTCATACATTGTGAGACATAATTACTTCTGTCAGTTTTAATTACTTCTTTTTTTTTTTTTTTTTTGAGATGGAGTTTCACTCTTGTTGCCCAGGCTGGAGTGCAATGGCACAATCTTGGCTCACTGCAACCTCCGCCTCCTGGGTTCAAGTGATTCTCCTGCCTCAGCCTCCCAAGTAGCTGGGATTACAGGCATGCGCTACCATGCCCAGCTAATTTTGTCTTTTTAGTAGAGATGGGGTTTCTCCGTGTTGGTCAGTCTGGTCTCAAACTCCCGACCTCAGGTGATCCACCCGCCTCGGCCTCCCAAAGTGCTGGGATTACAGGCATGAGCCACCATGCCCGGCCTTTTTTTTTTTTTTTTTTTTTTTTAAGACGGAGTCTTGCTCTGTTGCCCAGGCTGTGCCCAGCTAATTTTTAAATTTTTAGTAGAGATGGGGCTTTGCCATGTTCGCCAAGCTGGTCTCGAACTCCTCATCTCAAGTGATCCGCCTGCCTTGGCCCCACAAAGTGCTGGGATTACAGGTGTGAGCCACTGCACCCAGCTGACCCTACATTTTCAAAATAGCTCCTTCTTGTCTTCAAATGACAGCCCTTCTAGTCTTAATACCTTTTGATTTTCTGGTTAATTTTAATCAGGCTTCCCACACCAACTATTTATATTGTCATTAATATCTCCTCATCTTCACCTCCATTTTGAAATTTATATGCTTTGTGAAATGTGTATTTAAATATGTACATAAATAAGATCTAAGTTTTAGCTGGTCATTTTATTTTTACTATCTCTCCCTCAACTACCCATGCTATCAAGAATATACCATACTTAAGCATAGTATGTATCTTCTCCTGATTGTACATTACAACTCTTTAGTATTTTAATATACAGTACCTTTAAAACAGTATGTTTATTTATTTTTATTTATTTATTTATTTTGAGACAAGGTCTGGCTCTGTCACTCAGGCTGGAGTACAGTGGTGCCATCTCGGCTCACTGTAACCTTTACCTTCCAGGCTCAAGCCATCCTCCAACCTCAGCCTCCAGAGTAGCTGTGACTACAGCTTGCACCACCACGCCCGGTTAATTTTTTTTGTGCATTTTCTAGAGATGGGGTTTCACCCTGCTGCCCAGGCTGGTCTTGAACTTGTGAGCTCCAGTGACCTACCAGCCTTGGCCTCCCAAAGTGCTGGGATTACAGGTGTGAGCTACTGCGACTGGCCAAAATAGTATGTTTAAACAGTCTTTTCTTGTTATTCAATGAAACAAGTATGAAAACAAAACAAAACAAAAAAAAACCTTCTAAGTTTCCTAGCAGTTAACAGTAGAATATTTGTAATTTTTTGAACTACAATTTTAAAAAGTATGTATTCATAGCAAGGGCACTAATGTGTAACACACATACACAAACCACCACCACTAACAACGAAAAACTCAAAAAAAGAGGGGTTTTATATAAATTTCTAGGTCAGTTGATAAGCAGCCTTACAAATAAATACATCTAACAAACATTAACAATAGCATATGAAAGGTTGGGTGCGGTGGCTCACGCCTGTAATCCCAGCACTTTGGGAGGCCAAAGTGAGCAGATCACTTGAGGTCCGTAGTTCGAGATCAGCCTCGCCAGCATAGCAAAACCTTGTCTCTATTAAAAAAATAAATAGATAAAACTAAAAACTAGCCGAGAGAGGTGGCGGGCACCTCTAATCCCAGGTATTCGGGAAGCTGAGGCAGAGAAATCATTTGAACCTGGGAGGTGGAGATTGCCGTGAGCTGAGATCCCGCCATTGCACTCCAGCCTGGGTGACAGAGCAAGACTCTGTCTCAAACAAACAAACAACAACAACAACAACAACAAAAATAGCATGTGAAAGAGGTGTTCCCTTCTTCTGAAGTACTAGAAAAATCTCCAAAAAATTTTTTTTAAGTAATAGAAAGCTTCCACATGATACAGAAGGCTGTGGTACTTTTCAGTAGTTACTATTTGAACAAAACTATATAAAAACTGTTCAAGATGAAAAATATGTTGTATTTAGCAAGTAAAAACCATTTAAATTAGATATCCTTTAAATATCAGAAAAATGTTAAGAGGATTAAAATCTTCAAAGGTTAGAAAAAATTGTGATATTTTCAAATGTATCATCCTTTAAAATAACTTATTGTATAACCCAGTGTTTTAATTTCATAAATAATGGTGGTTGGTAAAAATTTAACAAAAAAATATGGAGAAAAACATAAAATAATGTACCTTAAGCATGAAGAATGCTAAAATCACTCAAAGTTATGAGTAGTTTTTTTCTCAAGTTATATGTATGACCTACCTCAGGGGCAACAGATGATATATGATAGTGTGTGTATATGTTGTATAATTTGTACACATAAAATTATACATCTATATTTAGTTATGGCTAGCTAGCCAGATATGTAATCCAAGTAGAGAAAATAAATAAAGTATTTAAATTAAAATAGTCCATTTCATGGTCTGTGATAGGAGGAAAAATTTTACTTTTTTTTTTTTTTTTTGAGATAGAGTCTCACTCTATTGCCCAGGCTGGAGTGCAGCAGTGCAATCTCGGCTCAATGCAACCTCTGCCTCTCGGGTTCAAGCAATTCTCATGCCCCAGACTCCCGAGTAGCTGGGCTTACAGGCGCATGCCACCACGCCCAGCTAATTTTTGTATTTTTAGTAGAGATGGGGTTTCACCACGTTGGCCAGGCTGGTCTTGAACTCCGGACCTCAGGTGATTAACCTGCCTCGCCTTGGCCTCCCAAAGTGTTGAGATTACAGGTGTGAGCCACCATGCCTGGCCAAAATTTTACATTTTTGTAAGAGGCTTTTGAGATCATAAACAAAAGGCATCATAGTATAGAACAAGAAGAGTAAGAGATGACAAATACAAGGAAGATAGGATTTAGGTGAAACTAGAATATGAAAAAACAATAGCTTTGTACCTAATAATAATAGGAAAAATAATCTCTAAGGTGTCTTTGAATGGTGAGAAGCAGAACAAAAAGTGAAGTCAAATTCTCCAAATTTCTTAGTCCCAATTATATACATTAATTGGCTCAAAAATTATATAAGAAAATATTTATCTTACTAAATATGGACCTTACTAATTATGGATAGGTAATGTCTTTCATTGGGTTTAACTTTTCACATCCTTTGCTTTATTTTTCAGGAAAAACAGTGTTCTCATGATTACCATAGACTGATGATAATCATTGACTCTAAGACAAAGAACGAGGTATTAATTAGTTTTCATTCCTGTCTCTCCTGCTGCTTCTCTGTGAGGTGCTCTAAAAGACACTTATATGAAATTATATATAGGAATTTAAAAATGTATTTTATTTGAAAAAAAAAAAAAGATCAACACTCCTGAGGCTTCCAAGAAGAAACCAGATTGCAGGTTCAGTTCTGTACAAAAATTACTGGGTACAAAGACACATAATCCTGTTCATAAATAGCAGCCACTGTAACAGTTGTTTCATTTTCTCTTTCTCTCCAAGACTAATTAGCATTATACACAGTACATTCCTTGTTACAAATGTCTTCTTTCAGCTTTGTAACTATAGTATCTTTTGATTACCCTAAACTCCCATCTGCTTTTTCAGTAATACAGAAGCCAAACTCTTTGTAACACTTCTGACCAACTAATTAAAAAAAGAAATTTTAACAAAATAGAAACAACTATCACAAACTGATGCTACACTTACACTATCCTCACTTTGTGGATCATCATCACTTTAAAGAAAGCCTGCAAACTGTAAAAGAAAAGAGTACCTTTTACCTTTTTTACATACTTACTGCTGAAAGGCTGCCATTGTATTCTCCAAATTTTCTCCAGCACCTGTGAAAATTTAAACTATATTTACTTATTTTGAACATTTTAATTTTCCTGAAGTTAATTTTAATAAAATACACCTAATGAATCTTGACCTTTTTTTTTTTTTTGGGGGTAGACATTACAAGTGTTTTTTTGGGTTTTTTTGAGACGGAGTCTTGCTCTGTCACCCAGGCTGGAGTGCAGTGGCGTGATTTCGGCTGACTGCAAGCTCCGCCTCCCGAGTTCACACCATTCTCCTGCCTCAGCCTCCTGAGCAGCTGGGACTACAGGCGCCCGCCTCCACGCCCGGCTAATTTTTTTTTTGTATTTTTAGTAGAGACGGGGTTTCACCGTGTTAGCCAGGATGATCTCGATCTCCTGACCGCGTGATCTGTCCATCTCGGCCTCCCAAAGTGTACAAGTGTTTTAAAGAGTGTAATGGTACAGGTTCAGTATCCCTTATCCAAAATGCTTGGGCCTGGAAGTGTTTTGGATTTCTGACTTCTTTAGATTTTGGAATATCTGCATATATATAATGAGAGATCTTGGGGATAGAACCCAAGCCTAAACATAAAATTTATTTAGTTTTCATATACTCCTCATACACATAGCTTGAAGATAATTTTACACAATATTTTAAATAATTTTATGCACGAAACAAAGTTTGTGTACACTGAACCATCAGAAAACAAAGGAGCCACTCTCTTCATCATTCATGAGAACAATCTGTAGTTGTTTGGCATCACCATCATTCTTGACTGAATTTATAGGCTACCGATAAGCATTTTCTTACACTTATTCATACATAAGTACTTAACAGTAAAAAATACGAAATACCACTAATGCAATGAAAAAATAATGTTCAGGGTAACTAAGTAACATAGTAGCATCACCAGAATACCTATATCAGTTGTTAAAAACAGCAACAAAAAAGGCAGGTGTTTAGTCTCCACCTGTCTCATTGTTTTGTTTTTGTTTTTTCTTTCTTTTTTTTTTTTTTTTTTGAGACGGAGTCTCGCTCTGTCGCCCAGGCTGGAGTGCAGTGGCACTATCTCGGCTCACTGCAAGCTCCGCCTCCCGGGCTTACGCCATTCTCCTGTCTCAGCCTCCCGAGTAGCTGGGACTACAGGCGCCCACCACCACGCCCGGCTAATTTTTTGTTTTTTAGTAGAGACGGGGTTTCACCGTGTTAGCCAGGATGGTCTCCATTTCCTGACCTCGTGATCCACCCGCTTCAGCCTCCCAAAGTGCTGGGATTACAGGCGTGAGCCACCGCGCCCGGCCTGTTTTGTTTTTTCTTGAGACAGATCATCACTCTGTTGCTCAGGCTGAAGTGCAGTGGCATGATCTCGGCTCACTGCAACCTCCACCTGAAAGGTTCAAGTGATTCTTGTGCCCCAGCCTCCTAAGTAGCTGGGATTACAGGTGTGTGCCACCATGCCTGGCTAATTTTTATACTTTTAGTAGAGATGGGGTTTTGCCATGATGGCCAGGCTGGTCTTGAACTCCTGGCCTCAAGTGATCTGCCCACCTCAGCCTCCCAAAGTGCTGGGATTACGGGTGTGAGCCACTGCATCCAGCCTCACTGTGTTTTGATTAAAAAATTACCATACACTGTTATTTTTTTTTTAAGTGAGAAGAAACATCAGAAGTAGTTGAAGGACCAGGAAGTGGGTTCTCTAGGAGTGAGGGGGAATTCTGCTAGATGGCTTTTTAAAATGTTTCCTCCAGAGTCATGTGCCTTACTGACAAGTTTTTGTCTTAGAAGTCTCTCTTTGATTTTATAAAAGAACATGATTTCTTGTCCTGTTATAAATGCACCCTGCTCTAGTCCTTCAATAAGCTCATCACATATTTTCATCATGTTGTCTATGGGCACTTTTTATGCCATGTTAACATCATCTATATTGTTATAATGTCTATTATCATGATCACCTTGATTCAGAACCATTTTGGCTATTTCACCATTGGTCAATTAATGAACAACTAGAACCTCATGATCAACGTTAAAAACTTCTTCGATATCCATTTCTTTCAGTGTACTGACAAATTTTTTTTTTTTTTTTGAGACGGAGTCTCGCTCTGTCACCCAGTCTGGAGTGCAGTGGCGTGATCTCGGCTCAACGTAACCTCCGCCTCCCAGGTTCAAGCGATTCTCCTGCCTCAGCCTCCCAAGCAGCTGGGACTACAGGCATATACCACCACACCCGGCTAATTTTTTATTTTTAGTAGAGATGGGGTTTCACCATATTGGCCATGCTGATCTCGAACTCCTGACCTTGTGATCCGCCCGCCTTGGCCTCCCAAAGTGCTGGGATTACAGGCTTGAGCCACCGCGCCCAGCTTGTACTGACAAATTCTGAAGGCAATTTTTTGTATATGTAAGGAGGTCAGACATCATTTTTTTCTCACTTTGTCGACATATGGCATCCTTAAAAGTCACCAACTTGTTCATTATCATCGCTAAACATAGTCAAAGGCCAGAGTTGTGCCAGACATGCACAAATTTATCTTTATTCACTGATTTCCAAGCATTGGCAACAGTATACAAGACATCCTTCATGCTAAACTCCTTTTGAAAACTTTCTGGCAGGGCATGGTGGCTCATGCCTATAATCCTAGCATTTTGGGAGGCTGAGGTAGAAAGATCGCTTGAGCCCAGGAGTTTGAGACCAGCCTGGGCAACACAGCAAAAATAATTTTAAATAATTTTATGCATGAAACAATGTTTGTGTACCCTGAACCATCAGAAAGCAAAGGAGTCAACGATGTTAGTCATCCATGGGGACAATCTGCAGTTGTCTTAATTTTAAATAAAAAAAACTTAAAAAAGAACAAAAGGTCACACCCACACCTCTGTTTATCACTGCTTGCACAATAAAATGTTTTTGGCTGGGCGCGGTGGCTCACGCCTGTAATACCAGGACTTTGGGAGGCCAAGGCGGGTGGATCATGAGGTCTAGAGATTGAGACCATCCTGGCTAACATGGTGAAACCCCGTCTCTACTAAAAATACAAAAAATTAGCTGGGCATGGTGGTGGGTGCCTGTAGTCCCAGCTACTCGGGAGGCTGAGGCAGGAGAATGGCGTGAACCCGGGAGGCAGAGCTTGCAGTGAGCTGAGATCGTGCCACTGCACTCCAGCCTGGGCGACAGAGCAAGACTCCGTCTCAAAAAAAAAAAAAAAAAAAAGAAAGAAAGAAAATGTTTTCATATTTACTCTCATTGATCCAAGCATAGCCTGGTCACATGGAATTACTAAAGTCACGTTTAGGGGAAAGTACATGGCATAAACATTATTTTTGATGAGAATGTCAGCTGGTGGATAAGCAGAACAGTTATCAAGGAGTAACAAAATCTTGCAGTTGTCATCCAGTCCAACTTGCCAGCAGTGAGCACGAGCCGCTGGTACAAAATGTTTGTGAAACCAATCAGAAAAGATGTCCCTGGTGACCCATGCATGCCTTTTTGGTAGCATAACGGACTGGTAAGAAATTCACTCCTTGAAGACAGTGAGGAAGGAAGCTTTTGCCTACCACAGCAAGTTTACACTTATGCATGCCTGCTACATCAGCATATCCTAACACAGTTATTCTGTCATTGGCATCCTTAATTTCCATCTCATCAGCTGCAGTCAGTGTCTTTCTGGGGCAATAATGCCAAAAGAGTGTTGTTTCATCAGGATTATAGACTTGTTCTTGTGTCAGATTTTCAACAGCAATGACCCTGGCAAACTTGTCAATGTATTTCTTTGCTGCTTCGTGACCAGCAGATGCTAATCACCTTTAATCTTTAAAAATGTAATGCCATGTCTTCTCTTAAATTTCTGCAACTGGGCCGGGCATGGTGGCTCACACCTGTAATGCCAGCACTTTGGGAGGCTGAGGCAGGCGGATCACCTGAGGTCGGGAGTTCAAGACCAGCCTGACGAACATGGAGGAACCCCAGCTCTAATAAAAATACAAAATTAGCCGGGCATGGTGGCGCATGCCTGTAATCCCAGCTACTCGAGAGGCTGAGGCAGGAGAATCGCTTGAACCCGGGAGGCGGAGGTTGCAGTGAGCCAAGATCGCGCCATTGCACTCCAGCCTGGGCAACAAGAGCAAAACTCCATCTAAAAAAAAAAAAAAAAAAAAAAAAAAAAAATTCTACAACTGGCCTGTTCAATATTCACAGTTCCTTTCATTTTAACTTCATCGCTTGAGATCTTCATTTTAGCTTTATGCAGTTTTTCTATTTTTAATTAACTTCTGTTCATCACTTCCACTTTATATATACTACTTCTGATATATATAAAACTTCAACAGTTTATCCTTCTTTTTCTTCAGGTCATATATAGTGGTCATTCTAATACCATATCCTCTGTAAGGTATTTCACACTTACACCAGTGTTCAGTTTCTATAACACCTTGACTTTCTGTGCTATAGATAAACATAAATGTTACCTATTTTTCTCATCACTATAACCCATAGGGGTATCTGTGGTCCTTTTTGATATTTTCACATCTTTATACCAAAGAGCAGAGAATAAGCAAGCAAGCAAGCAAACAAAAACACACAATAAATAATGCATATAGGTCTTGGCACCATGTAGGGCATCATGGGGAATCTGCTGTTGGTGTGATCAGTCTGAACATGTGCCATTTTATTACCCTTTGTGGGCACGCTTGCATAAGGAAACCTGGACATACTCAGAAAAGATATATTGTAACTGAAGGGAGCTGGAAGAGTCTTTTTTCCCTTGGGGACGCTGAATAAGCCGTGTGTTGTTTGCTTTTGTTTTGACTGCAACCTGTCACATGAGGTCAGGTGTGGAATTCGTTATATATATATTTTTCTTTTTAAAAAATTTATGGCTGGGCGTGGTGGCTCATGCCTGTAATCCCAGCACTTTGGGAGGCCGAGGCGGGCGGATAACCTGAGGTCCAGGAGTTCGAGACCCACCTAGCCAACATGGTGAAACCCCCATCTCTACTAAAAATACAAAAATTAGGCCAGGCGCAGTGGCTCACGCCTGTAATTCCAGCACTTTGGGAGGCCGAGGCGGGCAGATCACCTGAGGTCAGGAGTTCGAGACCAGCCTGGCCAACATGGCGAAACCCCATCTCTACTAAAAATACAAAAATTAGCTGGGTATGGTGGCAGGTGCCTGTAATCCCAGTTTACAGGCACTTCTGTGTCAAAAAAAAAAAAAAATTTAGCCAGGCATGGTGACGGGCATCTGTAATCCCAGCTACTCGGAGGCTGAGGCAGGAGAATCACTTGAACCCAGGAGGTAGAGTTTGCAGTGAGCTGAGATTGCACCACTGCACTCCAGCCTGGGCGACAGAGCGAGACTCTGTCTCAAAATAATAATAATAATAATAATAATAATAATAATAATAATAATAATAACAATTTGAGGAAAAAAATTTTTTTCCTCATGTTATTTTTTACTAGGAATTTTCTACTTGTGGAGTTATGTCTGTGCTCAAAAAGTTTCAGATTTTGGAGCATTTCAGGTTTTCAGATTAGGGAAGCTTAACCTGTATTTTGAATTTTTTTTTAGCTGCAACAGTAGAAATCAAAAATCAAAACACAGCCACAGTAACACAGGAGGGTTAAAACAGAACCTAAACTGATTTTTTTTTTTTTTCTGAGACAGGGTCTCACTCTGTTGCCCAGGCTGGAGTGCAGTGGCATGGTCGGAGCTCACTGCAGCCTCAAACTCCTAGCTCAAGCAATCTTCCAGTCTCAGCCTCCCAAGTAGCTAGGACTACAGGCACATGCCACCATGCTCAGCTAATTTTTTTTTTTTTTAGAGACAGGGTCTTACTATGTTGCCCAGGCTGGTCTCAAACTCCTAGACTCAAGCAATCCTCCTGCCTCAGCTTCACAGTGCTGGGATTACAGGCATGAGCCACTGTGCCTGGCTGGCCTAACCATGATTTTTAAGCTATAATATCCACTTATTTGTCAAAGGAAAGACAGAAGAGGATTTGGTACACATAAGTCTCCTCAGACAGAGTTAAACAGTCTCTCCTCTGTATCCCCATAGTCTCTTATGCATAGCTCTACTAAGGCATTTATCATATTATGGCATAAATTATTTACCTGTTTCTCTCCTCCCATTCCCATGAATTGCTTAAAAGAAGTGACTGTGTTTTAATCACCTTGACTGAAGGCAGTATAGTCTAGTGGTTAAGGGTGAGACTCTGGAGTTTTAGGATGCTTGGTCTCCAATCTGTTTAATAATTGTGTGACCTTAGAAAAGCTACCTAAGAAACTTTCATAGAATTGGTATAATCAAATGAGTTAATATTTAAACTGCTGTATTTTATCAATTTTTTTTTTTTTTTTTTTTTTTAGATGGAGTCTTTCTTTGTCACCCAGGCTGAAGTGCAGTGGCACAATCTCGGCTCACTGCAACCTCCACCTCCTGGGTTCAAGCAATTCTCCTGCCTCAGCCTCCTGAGTAGCTGAAACTACAGGCGTGCGCCACCACACCAGGCTAATTCTTTTGTATTTTTAGTAGAGACGGGGTTTCACTGTGTAGGCCAGGCTGGTCTCAAACTCCTGAGCTCAAGCAATCCTCCCACCTCGGCCTCCCAAAGTGCTGTGATTACAGGCGTAAGCCACTGTGCCCAGCCATTCAATTCTAAAATGATAACTTTTCATTTCTTAACATCTCTGAAGTTAAGATGTATTTTACAATTAATGCTGTATAATGAACAGTTTAATTGGCAAGATTTTCTCTCTTATTTTAAATCAACTTTTATAGAGGTCTCTTTCTTAACAGTATGTAAAAATTGTGTATTTATAACCAATGGCATTAGATTCAATGAAATACTAGAGTAAACATTCCATGAAAGTAAAGGATTATTGCTATTATTAGAATTATTATTACTATTGCCATTATCATAGTAACTGGTAAAGAATAGGTACTTGGTAAATGTCCATTAACTGCAATAATAAATAATATTGTAATTTTTAAAAAAGGACACAGATTTTGATGTGAACATATTGAATTATAAAATATTGTCTAATATTATATACTATGTAAAAAGAGTTAACTAACTTTATGCATGCTACCCAAAAGTTTTAAATTTTTTTTTTTTTTAGTTGGAATCTTGCTCCGTCGCTCAGGCTGGAGTGCAGTGGTGCAATCTCAGCTCACTGCAACCTCCACCTCCTGGGTTCAAGTGATTCTCCTGCCTCAGCCTCCCGAGTAGCTAGGACTGTAAGCACATGCCACTATACCCAGATAATTTTTGTATTTTTAGTAGAGACGGGGTTTCAACATGTTGGCCAGGCTGGTCTCAAACTCCTGACCTCAGGTGATCCTCGGCCTCCCAAAGTGCTGGGATTACAGGTGTGTGCCACCATCACCAGCTTAAAATGTTTTAAAACTAAAACATTTCAGTGTTACCAAATAATTGATGAAATATACAGAAAAATACTTTGGAAATAATTTTCCATACACTTTGGAAAAACAGTCAATTTCTTCTTAATAGAAAGAGACAATTCAATAAACTCTCAATAAAAAGGTACTGCTCAGGGTGGGCGCGGTGGTTCATGCCTGTAATCCCCACACATTGGGAGGCCGAGGTAGGTGGATCACCTGAGGTCAGGAGTTCAAGACCAGCCTGGCCAACATGGTGAAACCCCGTCTCTACTAAAAATACAAAAAAAAAAATTAGCTGGGTATGGTGGCAGATGCCTGTAATTCCAACTACTCGGGAGGCTGAGACAGAGAATTGATTGAACCCAGGGGGCGGAAGTTGCAGTGAGCTGAGATCGCGCCACTGCATTCCAGCCTGGGCAACAACATCAAAACTCCATCACACACACACACAAAAGGTACTGCTCAAAGTACCTAAAGGACTTAAGTATTAGCATTAAAATGTTTTATATACAATACCATCTGAACATATTTGTATTAAATTTTTCTTCTTTTATATTGTTAGGTTGTATTTTTATGATGACCTAATTAATAATCAACAGAAATACAAGATATGCAGAAACAAATACATTAGCTTTAATATGCTAAAATTTTATAACTTTAGCAGAGGGAAGATACCCACGTAAAAACAAAAAACTACTAGTTTGATTTTAGGTTCACTTGGTTACTAGAGTTGATGCATGATAGAAAACAGATGCAGTAAATATGAAGGGTATAGGTTTTTTTTTTTAAGTCTCCTTTCAAGGTTAGATAACCCTTTACTGGATGAGGCTAGTTGGCCCTTGTTTTGATCTAAAACTATGGAAATACATTATATTCAGATAATATTCAAAAACAAAGCACCACAAAATATTTCTAAAAAGACAAGAGTGCTAAAGGGGTTACCAGTAAGTTAAGTTAAACTACTGACCACTTGTACCAAAGAGCAAAGAAATTAAAAGAACACAAAAGCCAGCTTGAAGGACCTCTCACTGGACAAATCTGGGACAGTGCTAGCATCAAAATAATGATAGTAAACAGATTTTTAAATCAGTGAATAAGAAATTCTGAATCCAGGCTGGGCACGGTGGCTCATGCCTGTAATCCCAGCACTTTGAGAGGCAGAAGCTGGTGGATCATCTGAGGTCAGGAGTTTGAGACCAGCCTGGCCAACATGGTGAACCCCATCTCTACTAAAAGTACAAAAATTAGCCGGGCATGGTGGTAGGTACCTGTAGTCTCAGCTACTTGGGAGGCAGAGGCAGGAGAATCACTTGAACCCTAGAGGTGGAAGTTGCTGTGAGCTAAGATCCCACCACTGCACTCCAGCCTGGGAGACTAAGCAAGACTTCGTCTCAAAAAATAATAATAAAATAAAATAAATTTTGAATCAATTTTAATAAATGGATTGATAATTTGTTAAGGAATTGGGTATTTGTGTAGTTTTAAAGTATCTCCCTCCAAAAATTGGCCGAGCACAGTGGCTCATGCCTGTAATCCCAGCACTTTGGGAGGCCGCGGTGGGTGGCCTCTTATTAATTATGAGCCTTTTCTCTTATTAATTATAAGGAGAAAAAGTAACCTCACAGTGGAAAAGCTTGGCAGACACCACCTCATCAAGTGATCAAAGTCAACTTCATTAGTTCCTTCAAGCTGATTTCTGCATCCTTTTAACTACCTTGCTTTGAAAATAGGCCAGGTGTGGTGGCTCATGCCTGTAATCCTAGCACTATGGGAGGTGAGGCAGGCTAATTGCCTGAGCTCAGGAGATCGAGACTAGCCTGGGCAACATGGCAAAAACCCATCTCTACTAAAAATACAAAAAATAAAAAATAAAAATTAGCTGGGCGTGGTGGCACCACCTGTAACCCCAGCTATTCAGGAGGCTGAGGCACCAGGATTACTTGAACCTGGGAGGTGGAGGTTGCAGTGAGCCGAGATCATACCACTGGACTCCAGCCTGGGCAACAGAGCAAGATTCCATCTCAAAAAAAAAAAAAAAAAAAGAAAAGAAAGAAAATAATAAACACATTATATGTTAAAATAACATTTTTATGAAAAGTAACTGTTTTTCTAAATAAAATAATGTATGAAAAGAGTGGTATTGTTTTATATTTTTGCAAATCTCTTTAATATCTGACTTAACAGAAAGCAGCAAGATTCTCATATCTGCTTCATATATACCCATTGTCACACAGATATGTAGTTGGAAATGAGTCTTCTTTGATATGGCATCAAATTTCAATAAGTGGTAATTTGTTTACTTTACAGACAGGGTCTTGCTATGTCGCCCAAGCTGAAGTTCAGCGGCTATTCACAGGCACGATCATAGCAACAACCTCAAATTCCTGGGCTCAAGTGATCCTCCTGCCTCAGCCTCTCAAATAGCCGAGACTACAGGTAGGCACCATCACACCCGGCTCAACAAGTCGTAGTTTTTTTTGTTTTTGTTTTTTGTTTTTTTTTTTTTTTGAGATGGAGTCTCGCCCTGTCGCCCAGGCTGGAGTGCAGTGGCGCGATCTCGGCTCACTGCCAGCTCCGCCTCCCGGGTTCACGCCATTCTCCTGCCTCAGCCTCCTGAGTAGCTGGGACTACAGGCGCCCGCCACCACGCTCAGCTAACTTTTTTTGTATTTTTAGTAGCGACGGTGTTTCACCATCGTTAGCCAGGATGGTCTCGATTTCCTGACTCCGTGATCCGCCCGCTTCGGCCTCCCAAAGTGCTGGGATTATAGGCATGAGCCACCTTGCTCGGCCCACAAGTGGTAGTTTCTTACAAGTGGTAGTTTCTTAAAAGGTCATTGCAATATGGAATTTGAACCATATGAGTAATCACTTCATACTCTATTATGTGAAAATCCATTGGCCCATCTTGAACTTTGAATGATCTTTCACCCATGCATGATTTTATAATAGCATGCATAAATCATTTGGAAACTATTGATTCATTGAATCATGCTGGTCTTCTATATGTTGACACGGTATGCAATATTTTAAAAATCACATTTGTTAACATCTGAGTTCATTAGGAAAGTCTTTAAGAATTAAATGATGTCAAGCTCATCATGATGGCAGTGATTGCATCACTGCCCTCCAGCCTGGGTGACAGAGTGAGAACTTGTCTCAAAAAAAAGGTGGAGAGAGAAAGAGCCATCTGTCCATCTGTGATTCAACCCCTCGGAGTGCCCTGACGGAGTCTCGCACTGTCGCCTGAGCTGGAGTGCAGTGGCACCATCTCGGCTCACTGCAACCTCCGCCTCCCAGGTTCAAGTGATTCTCCTGCCTCGGCCTCTTGAATAGCTGGGATTACAGACATGTGTTTTTGCAGTAGACATAATATTCTAGAAATAGAGTAGATATTCAAGTTTTAGGTTATGTCAATTCAGTTGCATATACTTTATACACATAACATGATTAATGTTTCAATGGTCACATATCTAATTTACAAGAAATATCACTGTTTCCTTACTTATAGGGAAAAATAAGTAAATATCAGGTATTTGCAGTTATGGCAGTAGAGAATAAGCCCAAATTGCACAGAGAGACCAGTGATTGCTATTATCCGTGTCGAAGACAAAAATTAAAGGCAATCAATGGAGTGATTCCTTCCTAGTTACATTGTCTCTTATTTTCCAGAGACGTAGTATCTTGAATTACAAAGTGTTTTATCTCCTCTATCACTCTGGATTCAACTGGAGTATTGAGTGTACATATTCAACAAAAGCATATGAAGCACTGACATGGGAACTTACCACAGTGTTTATAGGACCATTATATAGGTAAAACAGATTTTGAGTCTGCAGATATTTAATAAGATTATCACAAAAAGTTCCATTACATCTTTAAATATATAAATACTGATGCCGCATTTACAAATAATGAATGGAAATTTTTATATAAGAGGTAATATTGAAATGACCTAATATCTAGGAAGAAAATAGTTTTAAAGTATTTTCAACAGTAAACGAAAATTTGAGGTCTAGCTTATCCTGGCTTTGATACTTGTTGTGATAATCTAGCACACAGTCTTTAACGCCTATGGAGTGCTGGGTTTTTTCACCTGCAGAGTGTTGCAAAATTTCAAAGATCGACAAGTATTTCTTCTAAAATAAAATTTTGATCATTCACAATGACAGTTTAGATAGCTTTTTAGAGGATCTGGTTTTGTTTTGTTTTGGAGTTTTTAGTAAGCATACTTTTTGTAAATCGGTAAACAACAAACAAAAAAGTAATGTGTACTGCCTATCCCCAGAATAGGACTACTATCATTGAAAATTGCCTCTGGCAGGGTGCAGTGTCTCACGCCTGTAATCCCAACACTTTGGGAGGCTAAGGCGGGTGGATCACCTGAGGTCAGGAGTTTGAGATCAGCCTGGCCAACATGGTGAAACCTCGTCTCCACTAAAAATACAAAAATTAGCTGTGCGTGGTGGCGGGAGCCTGTAATCCCAGCTACTCGGGAGGCTGAGGCAGGAGAATCGCTTGAACACAGGAGGCAGAGGCTGCAGTGAGCCAAGATGGCACCACTACACTGTAGCCCGGGCGACAAGAGGGAAACTCTGTCTCAAAAAAAAAAAAAAAAAAAAAAAAAAGGCTGGGCACTGTGGCTCACGCCTGTAATTCCAGCACTTTGGGAGGCCGAGATGGGCGGATCACGAGGTCAGGAAATCGAGACCATCCTGGCTCAGACAGTGAAACCCCGTCTCTACTAAAAATAAAAAAAATTAACTGGGTGTGGTGGCGGGCGCCTGTAGTCCCAGCTACTCGGGAGGCTGAGGCAGGAGAATGGCGTGAACCCGGGAGGAGGAGCTTGCAGTGAGCCGAGATCGCGCCACTGCACTTCAGCCTGGGTGACAGACCGAGACTCCATCTCAAAACAAACAAACAAAAAAACAAACAAACAAAAACACAAAAAGAAAAAAGAAAATTGCTTCTGTGACAGCAACTTGAATACTAAAAGTCGGTCCCTGGTTCCAATGGTTGAAGGCACCTTAGTAGTTAAATGTCATCCTACAGTTTAACCAGGTAGCTATTAAAACAGATAACCCAAATAAACAATAACAAGGCATTTGGCTGACCACCCTTTAAAACCTCTGAGGCTTTTCATGAGTGGGAAGGCTAGAATACTATTGAAGTCACTCATTAGAACTATGCTTAACTAATAAAATTATATAGAAGAATGATAATGTACTTCCGTATTTATATTTCAAAACCTTTTTCCTTGGCCAATACTTGTTAGTAAAGTGATTATGGTACTACACCAAGTTTTAGACTGTAAACTCCTAGAAATTATCATTTCAAGTGTGTATTAAATTTCAAGCAAATTTTAAACCGGTTTAAGATTCAGCCTTAAAGAACAGTTAAAATTGATTGAAAATAATCCAATTTCACCGCACTTTATACATCATAGTTGAAATGCAATGAAGACACATTATTACACAATAATGAAGAAGCAAAGATTTGGCCTGTTATCTGGGAAATTAGAGGGTGGACTACCTGGGCTCCTTTTAGCAAAACACTTTTCCAAAAGAAACTTATTTTTGTTTTCTTTAAACAATACTGTCCTGTCCTAAACGAAATCATTTTTAGTCTGTTGAAAATCCACGTGTCTTTGCGTGTTTATTTATTTATTTATTTATTTATTTATTTATTGCAGTGTTCAAAAAAAAAAAAAAAAAGATGCAAGGTTTCCAGCCCTGAGGACCAGGACGCTGTAGCTCCTGTCTCAGTTCAGCCCTAGCTCTAATTGTGACCTTGGGAAATGTCCCTGGCTCGGGGGACTCGGTTTCCCTCTCTTCTCAATTATGAGTGCTCGGAACGTGGGGGTGGGACGGGCCCCCAGCACCGCAGACAAGGGGTTACAGCTCGTCCAGCTTCATGCAAATCCCCAGCCCTCCTCGTCGCCTCGGCTCTTCCCATCCACTCAGCCACTAGCTCGCTCGGAGCAGTGTGCTCCCGGTGCCCCCCGCGGGGTACCCTCGGTTCTGCACGGCGCTCCCCCTTTGTGTCTTGCTGCTAGGAAGGGACCTTGCGATCATCCTTCCATCCGCCGAGAAACGCTCCACCTACCCTTCATTCTCGACCGTGTCTTTCCCGTTTCAGAGAACCCCTCACACTGCTGCCCTCGAGAGACCCCCGCCGTGGCTCTGACCGGGAATCCCTCTCCTTCCCTCCCCTCAGGAGACCTTCCCTTCACACAGCCTTCACCTCCGGAAGAGCCCTCAATTCACACAACCCCATTCTTCCTCAAACTCTCAGGGATTGGCACCCGGCTGCCTTTTGCGGAGCCGCAAAGGACCCTCAGCCTCCCCCACCTCCGTCATCGGGTTCTGGGGACCCCTCTCACCTCCGCGGTGAGAGATGTGTTTACTGAGGAATCGCTGCTTCTTTCTCTGGTGCAGCAAGGTCGGGTATTTAAGCAACAAGAATGAGGTCACCAAGTATCCTCCTAGCGTAGAGAGAAGGTAAAAAGCCGCAGTGGACGACATCTCAGTCACCGTGTGGGAAGTCTCCCACCTCCGGGCCCTCTGAACTCCGCTGCGGCAGTAGCAACGACGGCGGCGGCGGCGGCTGCTCGAGGTCGGCTCGCCCCCAGCCGGTGCCACTGGTGCAGCGCACTTGTCGGTGCCGGCCTACTGCGCACGCGCAGCTGGACCCCAGCGCCCCAGCAACAAAGAGGCTCCGACGCGCAGGCGCTCTCCGGCTCCCGTGTAGGAACCTGCAGAGATCCTGGACTGAGCGTTTGTCACCTAGCTCTGTGGACGGACCCTCATGAAGAGAAAGCTTGCAAACCTGCCAGTGTGTTGGCCATCACTCAAGCAGAAAAGACTATTCACGGGCAGCCTTTCCTAATTGGAAAATCCACATCAAAAAGGAAAGATTCCAGGGCGCGTCTTATCCCTTGCTCTAGAAAATGCAAATAATTTGTACCTATGGAGGCGATAAAGCTTGCTAAAACACTAAATAAACTCCTCCGTTTATCTAGCCTAGAGAGAATTTCCCCTATGGTCGCATATACTAGAAAAGGTACTGGTTTATCAGTCAAATATCTGAGAGATCGGCCCCTGTCCTCCCTCATTTCATTGTGAAAGTGCAATCCTCATTCTTTGTACACAATAGGCACTGTAGAAGTATTTGTTGACTTACAAGTCCGTATAAAATAAGGAAACTTTGTTAAGGTTATAAGGTATTACCTAAAAGTCCTAGAAAGACAGATAACTAAGTTCCAGAAGGCCCTACTAGTTTTCCTTTTACCCGACAAATTACAAACTGCTAACACACGAAAAGCCACACACTTCAATGCAAAAGAAATAAATCACCCAGGACTGAGGGAGAAATTTTACGGAGAAGACCATATCTCCCACAGGACTAGAAAAGCAGAGTGAATATTTAAAATCCTGATTCAGCCGGGCGCGGTGGCCCACGCCTGTAATCCCAGCACTTAGGGAGGCCGGGAAGGAAGGGTGGATCGCTTGAGCCCGGGAGTTCGAGACCAGCCTGGGCAACATGGCGAAACCCCATCTCTACAAAAAATAAAACAAAATAAGCCCGGCGTGGTGGCGTGCACCTGTAGTCACGCTACTTGGGAGGCTGAAGTGGGAGTATTGCTTGAGCCTGGAAAATCGAGGCTGCAGTGAGCTATGACTGCACCACTGCACCCCAGCCTGGGCGACAGAGCAAGACCCTATCTCAACTATAAAAAGAAAATTAGAAGAAAATAGGGGGTGGCTGGGCACGGTGGCTCAAGCCTGTAATCCCAGCACTTTGGGAGGCTGAGGCGGGCAGATCATTTGAAGTCAGGAGCCTGGCCAACATGGCGAAATTCCATCTCTACTAAAAATACAAAAATTTGCCAGGGGTGGTGGCGTGTGCCTGTGATCCCAGCTACTCAGGAGGCCGAGGCAGGAGAATCTCTTGGACCCGGGAGGCAGAGGTTGCAATGAGCCGAGAAGGCGCCACTGCACTCCAGCCTGGGTGACAGAGCGAGACTCCGTCTCAAAAAAAAAAAAAAAAAAAAAAAAAAAAAAAAAAAAAAAAATTCCTTTAGTCGAGGTTGAAGTGAGCCTTGATGGTGCCACTGCACTCCAGCCTGGGCAACAGAGCAACATTCTGAGGAAACTTACAGGTTAAAAAATCATGTGTTCTGTTTAGGGCTGTTAAACTATTTCCTGTAGATCAACTGACGCACATAGTTCTATTTTTCAAAATATCACCTGATGACTATGGAAGCGTCTAGAATAAACCACTGTGGCATAAAAATTATTTTGAGGCTGGGCATGGTGGCTCACGCCTGTAATCCCAGCACTTTGGGAGGCTGAGACAGGCAGATCACCTGAGGTCGGGAGTTCGAGACTAGCCTGGCCATCATGGTGAAACCCCGTATCTACTAAAAATACAAAAATAAGCCAGGCATAGTGGTGCATGCCTGTAGTCCCAGCTACTAGGGAGGCTGAGGCAGGAGAATGGCTTGAACCTGGGAGGCGGAGCTTGCAGTGAGCCAAGATCATGCCACGGCACCCCAGCCTGGGCGACAGAGCAAGACTCTGTCTCTTAAAAAATATATATATATTGAGCTGAAGGCATTTAAGTTCCTGGAATCCCTTATCAACCTAAAATCAAAGGCTCCCAGAAGAACTTAACTGTCATAAATCTCCTCCCTGGGAACAATTCTAATCCTGTCAGAGATGAGAGACATTGTCACAAAAGTATGACATCTCATGGGTATTCTCCTAAGGACACATTTATGTTTCCAAAAAATCATTTCTTTTTCCAAAAAGTGCTTTCTCCCCAGCTTCTAAGAAGTCATTTGTTCTTCTGGAAGTACCCCCTACCCCTTCCCACCCGTAAATTTTAGATTATATATAAACCTCAAATTCTAACCGCTTTTTTTTTTTTTTTAGACAGAGTCTCACTCTGTGGTCCAGGCTGGAGTTCAGCAGTGCCATCTCGGCTCACTGCATCCTCTGCCTCCCCGGGGGTTCAAGTGATTCTCCTGCCTCAGCCTCCTGAGTAGCTGGGGCTACAGATGCGCACCACCGCGCCTGGCTAATATTGTGTGTGTGTATATTTTTCTTTTCTTTTCTTTTCTTTTTGAAAAGGAGTTTCGCTCTTGTTGTCTAGGCTGGAGTGCAATGGCACGATTTCAGCTCACCACAACCTCTGCCTCCCGGGTTCCAGCGATTCTTCTGCCTCAGCCTCCCGAGTAGCTGGGATTACAGGCATGCATCACCTGGCCCGGCTAATAGTAGAGACAGGGTTTCGCCATGTTGGTCAGGCTGGTCTCGAACTCCCGACCTCAGATGATCCACCTGCCTCGGCCTCCCAAAGTGCTGGGATTACAGGCATGAGTCACTGGGCCCGGCTAATTTTGTACTTTTAGTAGAGATGGGGTTTCACCATGTTGGCCAGACTGGTCTTGAACTCCTGACCTCAAGTGATCTGCCCACCTTGGCCTCCCAAAGTCCTGGGATTACAGGTTCATTCTTATATTTTCTAAGAAGACAGAACAACAGGAAAAGTATGAATTCAAAGTCAGAGTTCTGAATTCTTTTATTATTTTATATAATTTTCTTTTAATGAAGGCGAGAGAAGAAAGAGGAGCATTTACTTTTTTTTTTTTTTTTTGAGATGGAGTCTCACTCTGTTACCCAGGCTGGAGTGCAGTGGCGCAATCTTGGCTCACTGCAACCTCTGCCTCCTGGGTCCAAGTGATTCTCCTGCCTCAGCCTCCCAAGTAGCTGGGATCACAGGAGCACGCCACCAGGCCTGGCTAATTTTTGTATTTTTAGTAGAGACGGGGTTTCACTATGTTGGTCAGGCTGGTCTCGATCTCCTGCCTCGGCCTCCCAAAGTGCTAGGATTACAGGTGTAAGCCACCGCACCCAGCCTATGTATATTTTTAAATTAAAAAACAATGGCTTTAAATGTAGCAAGATGTGTTAAATACATATTTCCTATATATTGAGACTAAAATCTACAATTCTATTTGTCCAACGTTTCAAAATTAGTGTGTCTATGGAAATGTAATCAATTACACAAGAGTTTAGGTATGTTAACTTAATTTGTACTTACCTAATTGGTGATATATCACAATATACCACTATATTGCCATCTGATTGGTGATAACAACTAGATGGTGATAAAAATTAGATGGTGATATAGTGGCATATTGTCATGTGGATGCTGGTGAAAGTTACCATAGATTGGTAAGAATTTTTTTTTTTTTTTTTTTTTTTTTTTGAGACGAAGCCTCACTCTGTCACCAGGCTGGAATGCAGTGGCGCAATCTTGGCTCACTGCAACTTCCGCCTCCCGGATTCAAGTGATTCTCCTGCCTCAGCCTCCCGAGTAGCTGGGACTACAGGGGTGTGCCACTACACCCAGCTAGGTTTTGTATTTTTAGTAGAGATGCGGTTTCACCATGTTGGCCAGGATGGTCTCGATCCCTTGACCTCATGATCCACCTGCCTCGGCCTCCCAAAGTGCTGGGATTACAGGCATGGGCCACTGCACCTGGCCCAAGATCTTTTTTTTTTTAGACAGGGTCTTGCTCTGTTGGGGTGGTATGATCACAGCTCACTGCAGCCTAGACCCACTGGGGTCAAGCCATCCTCCCACCTCAGCCTCCTGAGTAGCTGGGACTACAGGCATGCACCACCACATCTTTATCTTTTTTTTTTTTCTTTGTAGAGACAAGGTCTCACTATGTCTTCCAGGCTGGTCTTAAGGGATCCTCCTGCCACCTAAACCTCCTAAAGTGCTGCAATTAAAGGCATGAGCCATTGTGCCCAGCCTGATTGATAAGATTTGGATCACTTAGCAAATTGTTTCACAGTACAGGAATTTTTAAAGAATAGTCTGCATTGACCAGGCAAGGTGGCTCACGCCTGTAATCCCAAGACTTTGGGAGGCCAAGGCAGGTGGATCACCTGAGGTCAGGAGTTCAAGACCAGCCTGGGCAACTTGGCAAAATCCCACCTCTACTAAAAATACAAAAATTAGCTAGGCGTCATGGCACGTGCCCATAATCCCGGCTACTCAGGAGGCTGAGGCAGGAGAATCACTTGAACCCAGGAGGCGGAGGCTGCAATGAGCCAAGATCCCGCCACTGCACTCCAGCCTGGGTGACAGAGTGAGACTCCGTCTCAAAAAAAAAAAAAAAAGAATAGTTCGCATTAATATACTGGATTAAAAAGTTTAGTTTAGATAATATTCGTTTAAATTATGGTATCTCATCAGGCCAAGATAAGAACAAAACCGTTTAACTAAAGTACCAGAATTGTGAGTCAACCAATTGTGCTTTTTTTGGAATTAAATCAAGTATCTTCATATTATTACCAGATAACCTAATGTATCAACTTGTTTAGAAGATAATTTCAAGACTAGTATCTTAAAAAAAATCCCAGCTAGGCTGGGCTTGGTAGTTCATGCCTGTAATCCCAGCACTTTGGGAGGACAAGGTGGGCGGATCACCTCCTGAGGTCAGGAGTTCGAGACCAGCCTGGCCAAGGTGGAGAAACCGTCTCTACTAAAAGTACAAAATTAGCCAGGCGTGGAGGCGCATGCCTATAATCCCAGCTATTTGGGAGGCTGAGGCAGGAGAATGGCTTGAACCTGGGAGGCGAAGTCCACGGTGAGCCGTGATTGCACCATTCCACTGCAGCCTGGGCAACAAGAGTGAAACTCTGTCTCAAAAAAAAAAAAAAAAAAAAAAAAAAAAAAAAAAAAACCAGCTAAAACATTATTTTAACAAAAACAAAATTTTGGCTCAACATGGTTATGCAACATTCAGTTATAATAGAAACATGTTTAATTATGGAGAGTAAAACAGAAACGAGAAAAAACAGGTATCATCCATGTATTTTATATTCTTTTCTAGAACAACCAATCTTTATTAGAAAGTTGTAGTCACGTTTACAATAAATATCAACAATATAATGAAAAAGTAGAACAAATTAGTTTCCAAATACTGAACTCCTGTAACCAAAACACATTTTGGATTTGGGAAAACACAGTAAACACATACCAAAAACACAGCCACAAATACCAAAAACAAAAACCAGCTCAAGTATAGGATTGAACTGGCTGGAAAACACTTATTGTGTTACTGCCTTAAGAACCCCACGGAGCACCTTGTAGCTCATTAACTGCACATTTTCCTTAGGGGGGAAACAAGGTCCTCTCTCAGTCACATATGCATAAGGAAATCTCAAAACCCAAAGGCCATCAGGTGGAAGGGTGATTTCTTGTTTTTCTGGGTAGAATACCGGACATGGTGGTGGGCCTGGCTGAACCTGAAAAACACAGGTAGTATAATTATTTTCACATTTCTCAATATGAAACAACTGAAAGATAAATGCCTAAACAGACGATAGGTTCAAAGAACATACAAGGCCAGACCTGGTGGCTCACGCCTGTAATTCCAGCACTTTGGGAGGCTGAGGCAGGTGAATCACGAGGTCAGGAGTTCGAGACCAGCCTGGCCAACATGGAGAAACCCCATGTCTACTAAAAATACAAAAAATTAGTCAGGTGTGGTGGCGTGTGCCTGTAATCTGTTACTGGGGAGGCTGGGGCAGGAGAACAGCTTGAACCCAGGAGGCGGAGGTGCAGTGAGCTGAGATTGCACCACTGCCCTCCAGCCTGTGCAACAGAGCGAGACTGTCTCAAAAAAACAAACAAATAAATAAATAAAAGAATATATAAGATTAAGCAGATATGGGTACACTCCTAACTCTAATTGTATCCAATAGTATATTATTTAGTCTCAAATATTATTCTGCTTTTCCCCAGAACTTTTTTTTTTGCAGGGGGAATGGAGTCTTTCTTAGTCACCCAGGCTGGAGTGCAATGGCGCGATCTCGGCTCACTGCAACCTCCGCTTACAGGTTGATTCAAGTGATTCTCCTGCCTCAGCCTCCCAAGTAGCTGGGATTACAGGCGCCTTCCACCACGCCTGGCTAATTTTTTGTATTTTTAGTAGAGACGGGGTTTCGCCATGTTGCCCAGGCTTGTCTCGAACTCCTGACTTCAGGTGATCCGCCTGCCTTGGCCTCCCAAAGTGCTGGAAATACAGGCGTGACTCACTGTACCCGGCCTTTTCTCCAGAATTTTAACTTCAAGTTCTGCCTTTGAATGAAATGATGTGAATTGATAGCATGAACGGATTAAAATACCCACAATGTATTTTTTAAAAAACAGAATATTAGGTATGGAAGGTATTTAAATTTAAGACCTGTTTAATTAAATAATTCGTTTTTTAATTTAATTTTTTGTAGAGATACAAGTCTCACTATGTTGCTCAGGCTGGTCTTAAACTCCTGGGCTCAAGCAATCCTCCCACCTTGGCCTCCCAAAGTTCTGGGATTACAAGCATGAGCCACTGCCCTCAGCCTGAAATAATTAGTTTTGAGGCTAACTTGTACTTTTTAAAATCAATCAAAACAAACATCAGCATTTTTTACTTGTTTGGGGCTGCAGAGGGTTATATTTCTTACCTGAGGCATTAGTATTATCTGCAAAGGAGCATCAGGAACCACAACAAAAAGCCTCATAAGTTGAGCATAATGAGGTTTCAGCCCTCTACCTTGAGAGGATGACAGAATATATAAGGGCATGTCACTATTTAGGGCTTTTAAAGCTGATTCCTTTGGCCCACTTCCCATTACTTTCATTACTTTGTCAGGCCCAGAGCACATGAATCTCCGACCTCGAGAGTCTTCATATTCAAAGCCCACAAAAGCTCGAGCTATGTCATCTCGCCGTCTTCCTCTTCCCATTACAACCGCACTTCTCTTTCCAGGAATAGCTTTATTTGGAGCAGGCCAAGAGTTTGTGTCTAAGTCTCCTTCATCTTCAGCTCTAGTCCTGATGACAATGTCCCAAGGCATAAGATAATTTGTTCCTGGAATAAAGCCCTGTTGGTCCAAACCTGTATGAAAGTTATAAGACTTAGCAGGGCCTAGTTTAACCAAAGACCAGCTGGAGAATTTGGGTAGGAGACCTTTAGGGCAATTTGAATGTAGCATGCCTGGGAGATACTCAACTGTGGATGCCTGTCGATCAACGAAGTTTGGCCTCTTCTCAGTTTTCACTTCTACTTGACCATGAACTTCTGGATTATCTCCTCCTGCTTGTGGATCAGCTGGATAGGTACCTAAGCTATCTGTGGATTGGCCCAAACTCAAAGCTAAACTCAGGCTCGTGCTCTCTCCTTGGGTTTGAGGTTCTTTTTCTTTAAGTTTATCAGCATCCGAATCTGGAGGAGCAGGAGAGGATTCATTTTTAGCAGGAGCAGGATCTGGAGTACTTGGTTCAAATACTGGGAAATTGATATGATCCAATTTTCCACAACACTTTTCTTCCAGAAGCTATAGAGGGTAAGAAAAAAAATCCAGTAAGTTTTTCATTTTAAATAATATTCTTCATTCTAACAAGATCAATAATTGATGTGTAAGTAAATATGTACACATAAAGAATTTGCTCCTGTTTATATATTATACTGCAGTTGCATTTGCTTTTCTACTTACTCTGCTATTGAAAATATGTTTTTACTCAGATGATATTTAACAAAAAAAGACAGAAGAGGAAGAAGAAAAAATTCAGAGTCTACCTGATAGAAGTCATAATTGGCTGCTTTGATATCAAAGGGATCATCTCGAGGTGCTTGTTTCCTTCCACAGTTGCAAGCACCAGTAGATCGAGCTCGGCTATTGTGATATAGCACAGGCGGATTTCTATCAGCCTCTGGTTTTTCTCCTGGAAAATATAACAGCCACTATTAATTTCATAAACACAATGTGCGAATTTACTTTGCATTCTACAACATCTAACCCCACAAACAAAAACCTTACCTAAATACACATAACAGAAGAAGCAAGTGAAAGTATATAAAATACTTTATATTATAAATGTAAAGTTTAGAGTTTTTAAGTGAATTTTTCCTCCTGCTACCATTATCATGTACCATCATCTAACATAACATTCATTTTAGTTCTACAAATCCTCCAAGGCAAAGTGTTAATATGAGATGTCTGAAATTTTATACTACTTAATAATTCTCACTTACCAATTCACTAGGACGTATCCTTTAAATGAAAAAAAATAAGAAAGTAGTCATAGCTGATATTTTCCTTTTACAGCAGGAGAGAAAACGTATAGCTGATGCACCTAAATTTCTGTAGGGCTCTTTCTAAAATATCAATACATAGTGAACAGACTATCTTAAAACAAGAATGAAAACACAGCTCAAAGTTTTTATTTCAAAATGCTGAACAAATTTTAGCTACCTGATTTAGGTAATGAGTGAAATTTGTGCACACAGTGTTGATCAGTTAAACTCCTCTCCTCACAGAGCTGATGGCCATTGCTCCAAAATTTGTAGCAGTCCTCATGTAACTGCATGGCGTATTTGTGAAATGCTGGACCTCTAGCATGTTGACTGTACACTCGAAGAGCCTGGGCAAGCTGATTCTTATGGACAGTCATTGTGTAATTATGAGGCAAATTTGACTGGTAGGCACTGTGGGCCATGGGTAAAGCTTTTTGGCATCGGTTTTCTGAGAATTTTGTGTCAATATCCAAAAATCCTTCCAAGACTTTAATACTGCTTAAAATCTTAGATGTTAGCTCTCCAGTGGGTGACCCCAAGTCCTCTTCTTTCCCATCAATAGCCACCTCATACAGTTTTGAAGCTGCTGAGATCCACTTCTGATAAGTAGGAAGTTCAAAATGGGAAGGCTGTGGGTTCCTGCCCACACTGTCATCGAAACCTTTCTTGCTTAGAACTAGCTCCACATGCTGCCATAGGAATTCCCGAAGAGTGAAATCCACTAGCTGGCCTGAAGAACTGGAACTGCTGCTGTCAATGTGAAAGGAAAGTTGTTGTCGGCTGTGCTGCCTCATCACCTGGTATCGCCTAGGCCCAGAAAGGGGTGCAGGCACCAGCAAAGATTCCGGGTCCTTCACAGTACAATGACTCCTAAGTTGGTCCAGCAACATACCTACTGGGTCCTCCTCCTGGCTTCCCGGTACTATGTACACGAAAGCTTGGTTGGCAGGCACAGTAAAGAGGCAGTTGATGCTCTGATTAGTCAAGACACGACTCTTCCGGAAGATTCTATAGATCTGGTCCTCCAGGGCATGCTGCAGCCTCCTTTTGGGAGAATGTTTCTTGGGCTTGTCTGGATGAGCTGGGTCTTGGTTCCGAGGAGGTTCTACCTTGAGGGCTCCATTGAGTTGAAAGAGGAAAAGGAGTCTAGGTGGGCAAGGTCGGCAGTTTAGCTTCCAGTCTTTGCCAACTGGACAATCCTTAATGGCTGTTTTAAGGAGCGGCAGGACCTTCTGTCTCAGCCCATCCAGGGCTCTGAATACTCGATCATAAGTGATATCAAAGGAACAAGTGGGATGGACCAGAAGCAAGATATGACAGACAGAGAATAGGTAAAGGAGACTGAGGCACTGCAGCTTCTCTTGATGCTTCCAGAACTCGTGTGCTTCTGCATGAGGTAAAGAGAGTCCACCTCCAGCTTCCCCGCTCTGAAGAGCCCGACAAGCCCGGAGAAGCTGTGAATTGTCACAGATGGAGGTGAGGAGAAGATACAGAACTTTGCTTTCCTGACTGTAGTAGGCCTGCAGAAGGCTGTAGTCCTGGGAGCCTGCCTCAGTTCGGTTACCTTCCGCGACAGCTCCACTTCCCCGAACTGAACCCCCGGCTGCAGCCCCAGGGTCCTCGGCTCCACCGGCCTCACCCACGGCGCCAGCCTCAGTTCTGATTCCAGGTCCTGGATCCCCAGGATCTTGGTGGCGAAAGAGAGGAAAGACCTGTCGGTCGCACACCGTATTCACAAGAGAGAACTTCTCGGAATTCAGGCGTAGAGCCGTCTTGCCGAAGATTCCCACAACGCAGATCTCATCCTCCCGCCATGGAGGCTCCGGTCCGCCAGCCGCGCTCCCTCCGCCCTCAGTAGGGGACCCTCCGGGACTTTCAGAGCCCATCCAGGCTGATGCTCCCATTAGAAGGTCTCGCAAGCTCACGGGACCAGCCATAGTGCAGAGCGTTCTCTAGAGTCCTTCCGGTCCGTTAGTAAAACCGACCGGCTTTCGTCCAATTTTGAAATCCTTCCTCCGCTTCTTCAGTTCCTGCTTTCCCGTCACTTGAGTTCCGCCTCCTCTTCTCCTCTCCTAGTTTGTTTCCTCAACTGTAGGAATTGAGATATCAAAAACAAAAAACAAAAAAACAAAACAAAACTGGGACTACTGCGGTGGCTCACGCCTGTAATCCTAGCACTTTGGGAGGCCAAGGCGGGCGGATCACCTGAAGTCAGGAGTTCGAGACCAGGCTGGCCAACATGGTGAAACCCCATCTCTACTAAAAATACGAAAATTAGCCGGGCGTGGTGGCGGGCGCCTGTAATCCCAGCTACTCGGGAGGCTGAGGCAGGACAATCGCTTGAACCCGGGAGGCGGAAGTTGCAGTGAACCGAGATCACACCATTGCACTCCAGCCTGGGCAACAAGAGCGAAAACCGTCTAAAAAAAAAAAAAAAAAAAAAAAAAAAAGCAAAAATTAGGCGTGGTGGCGCATACCTGTAGTTCCAGCTGCTCAGGAGGCTGAGGCAGGAGAATTGCTCGAACCAGGAGGTGGAGGTTGCAGTGAGCCGAGATCACCCCGCTGCACTCCAGCCTGGGCGACAGAGTGAGACTCCGTCTCAAAAAAAAAAAAAATTGCGAAATATCTTTGTATGTAAATTATAACTTGCAGAACCTCTCTAACTAGAAGGCATATTGACAAATAGCTGCCAGGATAAAACTTACAACCAGATTTAAATGTATAATTATAACGTTTATTATTCTGGGGTTTTGTAAAAAATAAAAATCTTTGAATCTAAAAAAATTATCTATAGCACTATACAATAACATGACTGAATCTTTAAAATAAATGTTGATTGAAAGAAATCAGAAACAAAAGTGTATATACCCTATAATTCTATTTTTTTTTTTTTTTTTTTTTTTTTTTGGAGATGCAGTCTTGCTCTGTGGCCAGGCTAGAGTTCAGTGGCGCGATCTCGACTCACTGCAACCTCCGGCTCCCCGGTGCAAGTGATTCTCTTGCCTCAGCCTCCCAAGTAGCTGGGATTACAGGTGCGTGAGACCACACCCAGCTAACTTTTGTATTTTTAATAGAGACAGGATTTCACCATGTTGGCCAGGATAGTCTCAATCTCCTGATCTCATGATCTGCCCGCCTCGGCCTCCCAAAGTGGTGGGATTACAGGCGAGAGCCACTGCGCCAGGCCTGATTTTATTTCTATAGAGTTCAAAAGCAAGCAAAATAAACCATTGCATTTAGGGGTGTGTTCTTACTAAAAGCAAGGAAATATTTATTGTACCAAGTAGGTCAGTGATTACTTAGTGAGGGAAGGGATTATGATATAATATATATATTATATATATACATAATAATATATATTACACATATACATAATAATATATATTATATATATACATAATAATATATATTATATATATTTTGAGACAGAGTCTTGCTCTGTTGCCCAGAGTGGAGTACAGTGGTGCAATCTAAGCTCACTGCAAACTCCACCTCCCAGGTTCAAGTGATTCTACTGCCTCAGCCTCCCAAGGAGCTGGGATTACAGGTGCACCACCATGGGCGGCTAATTTTTGTATTTTTAGTAGAGATGGTGTTTCACCATGTTGGCCAGGCTGGTCTCGAACTCCCGACCTCACATCATCCACCCACCTCGGCCTCCCAAAGTGCTGGGATTACAGGTGTCAGCCACCACACCTCGCCTCCGGCCTAAAATTTTTTTTTTTTTTTTTTGTGAGACAGAGTCTCACTCTGTCACCCAGGCTGAAGTGCAGTGGTGCTATCTGGGATCACGGCAACCTCCATCTCCTATTCCCTGTCTCCGTCTCCTCAAGCAATTCTTCTGCCTCAGCCTCCCAAGTAGCTGGGATTACAAGCACGTACCACCACGCCCACCTAAACTTGTATTTTTAGTAGAGATGGGGTTTCCCCACGTTAGCCAGGCTGGTCTCGAACTTCCAACCCCAGGTGATCTGCCCACCCCGGCCTCCCAAAGTGCTGGGATTATAGGTTTGAGCCATCACGCTCGGCATTGATTTTTTAATTCATATATTTTCTATACTTACTATATACTTTTTTGTTTTTTTGAGACAGAGTCTCACTCTGTTGCCCAGGCTGGAGTGCAGTGGCGTGATCTCAGCTCCCTGCAAGCTCTGCCTCCCGGGTTCATGCCATTCTCCTGCCTCAGCCTCCCAAGTAGCTGGGACTACAGGCGCCTGCCACCACGCCCGGCTAATTTTTTGTATTTTTAGTAGAGACCAGGTTTCACCGTGTTAGCCAGGATGGTCTTGATCTTCTGACCTCATGATCCACCTGCCTTGGGCTCCCAAAGTGCTGGGATTACAGGCGTGAGCCACTGCGCCCGGCCAATATATACTTTTCTATAGGTATTATTATTTCTAGTTAAAAAAAAAGGTTAAAAAGGGAAAAACCAAAACTTTTATTAATCTTTATTTAAAGATGCAAGGTAGAACACATTTTAACACTGTACAATGGCAGTAGCAGCTTTGCAAATGTTTATCTATATGGACTTTTTTTTCCTGCCTGGCTTCGTTATATAGCAAAGCATTTTTCTTTTTTCTTTCTTTTTTTTTTTTTTTTTTTTTTGAGACAGCATCTTGCTCTGTCACCCAGCAGGCTGGAGTGCAGGTGGTATGAACACTGCTCGCTGGAGCCTCAACCTCCTGGACTCAAGTGATTCTCCCACCTCAGTCTCCCGAGTAGCTGGGACTACAGGCACATGCCACCATGCCCGGCTAATTTTTTGTTTTTTGTAGAGACAGGGTCTTGCAATGTTGCCCATACTGGTTTCAAACTCTTGGCCTCAAGTGATCCTCCCACCTCAGCCTCCCAAAGTGCTGGGATTACAGGTGTGAGCCACTGTGCCTGGCCCCCAAGCCTATAATTTTTTAATTTATATATTTTTCTATACTTAACATATACTTTTTTTTTTTTTGAGACAGTTTCGCTCTTGTTGCTCAAGCTGGAGTACAATGGGGCGATCTCGGCTCACTGCAACCTTTGCCTCCCAGGTTCAAGCCATTCTGGCTCAGCCTTCCCAGTAGCTGGGATTACAGGTGTCTGCCACTATGCCCGGCTAATTTTTGTATTTTTAGTAGAGACAGGGTTTCACCATGTTGGCCAGACTGGTCTCGAACTCTTGACCTCAGGTGATCTGCCTGCCTCGGCCTCCCAAAGTGCTGGGATTATAGGCATGAGCCACCGCACCCGGCCAACATTTACTTTTCTATAGGTATTATATTTCTAGTTTAAAAAGAAGGTTAGAAAGAGAAAAACCAAAACTTTTATTAATCTTTATTTTAAAACATAACCAGATGCACCTTGGTTGTTTACATTCTCTGGTTGCCATTCAGTCTCAAAGTAAACACTGGGAGCATATGATAAATCGTAGTTTAAGGAAGCCATAGCACTTACAGAGTTCTCAAATGGTTACAATATAAAATCTGTCATAAAAATCAGTAAAAGATGCAAGGTAGAACACATTTTAACACTGGTACAATGGCAGTAGCAGCTTTGCAAATGTTTGTCTATATGATTTCCACAGGACTTTTTTTTTTTGCCTGGCCTCATTATGTAGCAAAGCATTTTTTCTTTTCTTTTTGAGATGGAGTCTTGCTCTGTTACCCAGCAGGCTGGAGTGCAGTGGTATAAACACAGCTCACTGCAGCCTCAACCTCCCGGGCTCAAGTGATTCTTCCACCTCAGTCTCCTGAGTAGCTGGGACTACAGGCACACATCACCGCTCCCGGCTAATTTTTCGTTTTTTGTAGAGTTGGGGTCTTGCAGTGTTGCCCAGGCTTGTTTTGAACTCTTGGCCTCAAGCGAACCTCCTGCCTTAGCCTCCCAAAGTGCTAGGATTATAGGTGTGAGCCACTGCACTGGGCCATAAAGCATTTTTCTTTTTCTTTCTTTTTTTTTTGAGACAAGGTCTCACTCTGTTGCCCAGACTGTAGTGCAGTAGTGTGATCTCAGCTCACTGCAACCTCCACTTCCATCGTTCAAGTGATTCTCACGCCTCAGTCTTCTGAGAAGCTGAGACTATAGGCACATGCCACCACACCCAGATAATTTTTATATATTTTTTTTGGTAGAGACGGGGTTTCACCATGTTGGCCAGGCTGGTCTCAAACTCCTGACCTCAAGTGATACACCCACCTCGGCCTCCCAAAGTGCTGGGATTACAGGTGTGAGCCACTGTGCCTGGCCCCCAAGCCTATAATTTTTTAATTTATATATTTTTCTATACTTAACATATACTTTTTTTTTTTTTTTGAGACAGTTTCGCTCTTGTTGCTCAAGCTGGAGTGCAATGGGGCGATCTCGGCTCACTGCAACCTCTGCCTCCCAGGTTCAAGCCATTCTGGCTCAGCCTTCCCAGTAGCTGGGATTACAGGTGTCTGCCACTATGCCCGGCTAATTTTTGTATTTTTAGTAGAGACAGGGTTTCACCATGTTGGCCAGACTGGTCTCGAACTCTTGACCTCAGGTGATCTGCCTGCCTCGGCCTCCCAAAGTGCTGGGATTATAGGCATGAGCCACCGCACCCGGCCAACATTTACTTTTCTATAGGTATTATATTTCTAGTTTAAAAAGAAGGTTAGAAAGAGAAAAACCAAAACTTTTATTAATCTTTATTTTAAAACATAACCAGATGCACCTTGGTTGTTTACATTCTCTGGTTGCCATTCAGTCTCAAAGTAAACACCGGGAGCATATGATAAATCGTAGTTTAAGGAAGCCATAGCACTTACAGAGTTCTCGAATGGTTACAATATAAAATCTGTCATAAAAATCAGTAAAAGATGCAAGGTAGAACACAGTTTAACACTGGTACAATGGCAGTAGCAGCTTTGCAAATGTTTGTCTATATGATTTCCACAGGACTTTTTTTTTTTTGCCTGGCCTCATTATGTAGCAAAGCATTTTTTCTTTTCTTTTTGAGATGGAGTCTTGCTCTGTTACCCAGCAGGCTGGAGTGCAGTGGTATAAACACAGCTCACTGCAGCCTCAACCTCCCAGGCTCAAGTGATTCTCCCACCTCAGTCTCCTGAGTAGCTGGGACTACAGGCACACATCACCGCTCCCGGCTAATTTTTCGTTTTTTGTAGAGTTGGGGTCTTGCAATGTTGCCCAGGCTTGTTTTGAACTCTTGGCCTCAAGCAATCCTCCTGCCTTAGCCTCCCAAAGTGCTAGGATTATAGGTGTGAGCCACTGCACTGGGCCATAAAGCATTTTTTCTTTCTTTCTTTCTTTTTTTTTTTTTTGACACAGGGTCTCACTCTGTTGTCCAGACTGGAGTGGAGTGGTGTGATCTTGGCTCACTGCAACCTTCACCTCCAGGATGCACATAATTCTCGTGCTTTAGCTTCCTGAGTAGCTGGGGCTATAGGCACATGCCACCACGCCTGGATAATTTTTATTTTTATTTTTGGTAGAGACGGGGTTTCACCATGTTGGCCAGGCTGGTCTCAAACGTCTGACCTCAAGTGTTTTGCCCGCCTCAGCCTCCCAAAGTGCTGGGATTACAGGCGTGAGCCACTGTGCCAGGCCTTTTTTTTTTTTTTTTTTTTTTTTGAGGCAGGGTCTGGCTCTGTTGCCCAGGATGGAATACAGTGGCACAATCTCAGCTCACTGCAACCTCTACCTCCGGGGCCCAAACCATCCTCCCACCTCAGCCTCACAAGTAGCTGGGACTACAGGCACACAACATCACACCTGGCTAATTTTTTTGATTTTTGGTAGAGACGGAGTTTTCATCATGTTGCCCAGGCTGGTCTCAAACTCCTGAGCTCAAGTCATCCACCTGCCTTGGCCTCCTAAAGTCCTGGGATTACAGGCGTGAGCCATGGTGCCCGGCCCTAGCATTTTTTTAATGATCTCTTATCCCACAAGAATGGTCAAGTCATTTAGCATTAAATGAATAGAGTACACAGTGGTTTACAATATTATAAACATTATAAGCGCCCCATAAAATATTATTGTTATAAATACTCAACTGCTTTATTCTCAGTGATTATTCCCTTTATTTTTACATAATGTAAATGTAGCTAGCAGGTTTAAAAAAAAAAACTTTTACTAGAAGCTGATATATATCTCTTAACGTCACTACCCATTTAATTTTTTTTTTTTTTTTTTGAGACAGGGTCTCTTGCTCTGTCACCCAGGCTGGAGTGGCAGTGTTGCAATCTCGGCTCACTGCAACCTCTGCCTCCCAGGTTCAAGTAACTGGGACTACAGGTGCGTGACACCACACCTGGCTAATTTTGTATTTTTAGTAGAGATGGGATTTCACCATGTTGGCCAGGCTGGTTTCGAAGTCCTGACCTCAAGTAATCCGCCTGCCTCGGCCTCCACAAGTGCTCGGATTACAGGCATGAGTAACCGCACCCGGACACCTGTTTAATTTTCATCCATAAATGTGTTATAAATATAGATGTGGATCTCTGGCCGGGCGTGGTGGCTCACGCCTGTAATCTCAGCACTTTGGGAGGCTGAGATGGGTGGATCACCTGAGGTGAGGAGTTCAAGACCAGCCTGGCCAACATAGTGAAACCCCATCTTTACTAGAAATACAAAAATTAGTCAGGCGTGGCAGTGCGCACCTGTAATCCCAGCTACTCAGGAGGCTGAGGCAGGAGAATTGCTTGAACCTGGGAGGTGGAGGTTGCAGTGAGCCAAGATTGCGCCACTGCACTCCAGCCTGGGTGACAGAGTGAGACTTCATCTCAAAACAAAACAAAACAAACAAACAAACAAACAAAAATCTCTATATATAGATGTGGGTCTCAAAAACAGGACTGCCTCTTAGGTGGTAAACACTGTCCCCAGGTCTGCTTTCTAGTCTGATGACTTTACAACAACACTCTATTTGGCATCTCAATGCAATATTTATCTGTAGAAATACAGTCTTTCTGGGGAGTTGCTTTTTACTTTTTAGAGATGAGTTCTTGCTCTGTTGCCAATGCTGGAGTATAGTGGAACAATCATAGCTCACCATAGCTTCAAACTCTTGGGCTCAAGTGATCCTCCCACCTCAGCTTCACAAGTAACTTGGACACTTAGACTACAGGTGTGCGTCACCATGCCTGGGTAATTTTAAATTTTTGATAGAGACAGGGTCTCGCTATGTTTCCCAGGCTGTATTACTGTCTTTGATTACATAGGTCAGTGACAACAGGGAACTAGGTCTCACAGTGACCTGCTATGGACTTCAGAGATTCCTTGGCAAGGCATTGTCGAAAATATAAGGTTCATGTTGAAGTTGTCATAAAATTTTTATGTAGCTGTATAAATGTGGACAGCAGATATAAAAATAAGGAATACCTTAGACTTCTGTAAGCCAGATATAAGTACCTACCTAAGATGCTAGAAATGATATTCTAATTTAAATTTTTTTTTTAATTTTTAGAGATGGGGTCTTGCTATGTTGCCCAGGCTGGAGTAGAGTGGCTATTCACAGGCATAATTATAGTGCACTACAGCCTCAAGTGATCCTCCCTTCTCAGCTTCCTAAGTAGCTGGGACTATAGGCATGTGTCACCACAGCTGGCTGATTTTTGTATTTTTAATAGAAACGGGGTCTCCCTGTATTATGTTGCCCAGGCTAGTCTTGAATTCCTGGGCTCAAGCAATCCTCCCACCTTGGCCTCCCAAAGTGGTGGGATTACAGGTATGAGCCAAGAGGCTATTTTTTTACTGTCATAACTGCACCTATACAGTACAAACTAGAGTTATCTAGTTAAATTTGAACAACCTCTCTAATCTAAATTGGGTAATTCCAGGATAAACATCACTTTGGAGATTGTATTTTCCCATCTGGTTCTCTTAATCATCATGCAAACTAGAAAATATCCAAATATCTGTATATACACTTTATATCACAGTATGTGTGGGCTCCATACATACTCTAATTCTCCAAATGCAATTATATTAGTATATCTATATAAACCCTACTACATTAAAAAAAAGGATTTGGGTGGGTTTTTTTTGTTTGTTTGTTTGTTTTTGTTTTGCTCTTGTTGCTCAGGCTGGAGTGCAATGACGCGATCTTGGCTCACTGCAACCTCTGCCTCTTGGGTTCAAGCAATTCTCCTGCCTTAGCCTCCCGCATAGCTGGGATTACAGGCACCCGCCACTATGCCCAGCTAATTTCTGTATTTTTAGTGGGGAAGGAGTTTCACCATGTTGGCCAGGCTGGTCTCAAACTCCTGACCTCAGGTGATCCACCTGCCTCAGCCTCCCAAAGTGCTGGGATTACAGGTGTGAGCCACTGCACCCAGCTGGGTGTTTTTATCTGTATTTGTTATGGATCATCTCATGGAGTGAGGCAGAGTTGGCATCAGTTTTGTTCATCAAAGCTGCTTGTAGAAAGTGGCAGAGTTGGAGTTGGGCTTCTAGGGTGAGCCAGCTATAAAAAAAAAAAGTCCCAATTATAATATCAATTATATTCCTGTGATAAGTACAACTCTCCTTTCTCAACAGAACCCAGAATTTTTGCATGGCAACACTGCATTCAGATTGTAAAAACCACTTTTCCCAGTTTCCCTGATGCAATCAGAAGTTCCTGGATAGGGCTTCTTTGAAGAAATGAGGCATAGCTTAATTAACATTTGCCTTTCTCCTTCTCTTGCCTAGAATGTGGACATGAGGCTTCAGGAAATGTAGGCATTTTGTATTAAGAGGATAAAAGCCACACATTAAGGATGGAAGAACAGTGATTATATGGTGAAGCCACTGTATTATAGTTGTGGACTTCCTACTGCCCAAAGAAATATTTAAATTAAAAAAATAAGTCCGGGAGCTAAGCTATGAGGATGCAAAGGCATAAGAATGATACAGTGGACTTTGGGGACTTGGGGGAAAGGGTGGGGTGGGGTGAGGGATAAAAGACTATACATTGGGAACAGTGTACACTGGCTGGGTGATGGGTGTGCCAAAATCTCAGAAATCACCACTAAAGAACTAATTTGTGTAACCAAACACTTTCTGTTCCCCAAAAACGTATTGAAATAAAAAATAAATTTAAAAAAAAAAAAGATAGTTGTGGGCCGAGGACGGTGGCTCACGCCTGTAATCCCAGCACTTTGGGAGGCCGAGACAAGAGGATCACTTGAGCCCAGGAGTTTGAGACCAGCCTGGGAGATATAGTGAGACTTCGTCTATAAATTTTAAAAAAACAGGCTGGGCCCGGTGGCTCACGCCTGTAATCCCAGCACTTTGGGAGGCCGAGGCAGGTGGATCACAAGGTCAGGAGATCGAGACCATCCTGGCTAACACGGTGAAACCCTGTCTCTACTAAAAATACAAAAAATTAGCCGGGCGTGGTGGCGGGCGCCTGTAGTCCCAGCTATTCGGGAGGCTGAGGCAGGAGAATGGTGTGAACCCAGGAGGCAGAGCTTGCAGCGAGCCAAGATTGCGCCATTGTACTCCAGCCTGGGCGACAGAGCGAGACTCCGTCTCAAAAAAAATTAAAATAAAATAAAATAAATGAGTTAGTTGTATATATTAAAAAAAAAAGTCCTAATTTATTTATTTATTTGTCAAGGCAGAGTCTTGCTATATCGCCCAGGATGGTTTCAAACTCCTGGCCTCAAGCGACTTTCCGGCCTTAGCCTCCCAAAGCACTGGGATTACAGGTATGAGCCACTACACTCTGCCATGTCCCTATTTGATTAAACCACTATAGTCAGATTTCTGATACCTGAAGCCAATGCAAAACCTGATACAGTTGCTTCACAGTTTAAGAAAAAAAGAAGCCTAAGGGTTGGGTGGGATAAGTCATCTATATCTAACAACAATTTTAACTAGACATCCTCCTCCTGAGTAGATTTTGGCAGCACAACATATGCCATAGGTCTTATCTGTGATTTTTGTTGTTGTTCAATATGTGGCTTTACAATTTATTATCGTTTATCCATTTCCAGAGTTCTCAACTCACTGTACCTGCTATGAAGTAGGGGCAGTGACAACAAAGATCTTAGAGCTAAACAGAAAAAGCAAGGGGCTAAGACCCGTGAGGCCTCGTCCCTTTGCTCCTGCCCTTCACAATTTTGGGTATCACCAAGGAACTTGATTAGGGGTAGCATGCTCTAAGAGGAGGAAAGAAGAACCTGGTCACATCTCCACTACGCAGAAAGCTGTATAGTGCCCAGTAGGACCAAGTTGATTGGTAAGAGAGAAATTATATTGTCCCACAAAAAGCACTGATTCTCAAACACGGAACAAAAGGAAGACAATATTGGGGTGGAAAGTGTCAGCAGTGGAGTCTGCTATGTCCCTGCATCCAGAGAGAGAACGAACTATAAACTTCAAAGCCAAAGATGCCAGCAGCCCTGTGTTCCAGCACTCCAGCAGGGGCAGCCGACGGATGGCTGTTCTTCACAGATCTAATGATAGAGGCAATTAGGGAGATGACTAAGATCAACAGGGTTTGGAAGAAGTCACACCAGGGCCAGCTGATCTACTGGGTTGGGTATGTGGTTGTATATGAATGTGACAAAGAAAGCTCTCAAGACCTTTTCCTTTCAACTCTGCAGGGTCTGACTCCTAACTACATCTCCATCCCTGTCTTTCACCACCATTGGGCTCCCTCTCTGTGTTACAGCCACACTGGTCACTTCTTAGTTCCTTGAATAGGCCATGATCCCTCACCCCATGGAACTCTTACGAATTTTGTTCTTTTTGCCTGGAACTCTCTCCTTCCTGACACTCATGGTGGACCCACCCCACAGTTACCCTATCCAGTAAATGCCTCTTCCTTCTTCGACTCTCACCTCAAGCATCATCACTTCCTAAGGGAGTCCCTCCTAGATCATCCAGGCTAGATCAAGTTCCTCTCTGGGTTCCCACAGAACCTCATTCCTTTCCTTCATAGCACATACTGCCATGTGATATTATACAAATATGGGATTATTTGATGAATGCCTATTTTCCCCACTAGACTGAAAGCTTCAAGACAGTAATCTGTATCTGTTTTTGCTTACCACTATATTCCCAGTACTTCAACACACTGCTGGGCATATAGGAAGTGCTTAGTAAATATTTACTAAAAATATGTACTAAAGGGATTAATAAAATCAGACATTTACAGATAGACATGATAATCCTACCTATAGTTCTTTTTTTTCTTTTTTTGAGACAGGGTCTCACTCCGTCACCCAGGCTGGAGTGCAGTGGTGCAGTCTTGGCTCACTGCAACCTCCGTCTCCTGGGTTCAAGCGATTCTCATGCCTTAGCCACCCAAGTAGCCGGGATTACAGGCACGAGTCACCATACATGGCTAATTTTTTTTTTTTTTGAGACTAAGTCTCGCTCTGTCACCCAGGCTGGAGTTCAGTGGCACAATCTTGGCTCACTGCAACCTCTGCCTCCCAGGTTCAAGTGATTCTCCTGCCTCAGCCTCCCGAGTAGCTGGGACTACAGGCATCCGCCACCACACCTTGCTAATTTTTGTATTTGGGGTAGAGACGGGGTTTCACCATGTTGGTCAGGCTGGTCTCAAACTCCTGAGCTCATGATTCACCTGCCTCGGCCTTCCAAAGTGCTGGGATTACAGGCGTGAGCCACCGTGCCCGGCCATTTTTGTATTTTTTTAGTGGAGACAGGGTTTTGTCATGTTGGCCACGCTGGTCTCAAACTCCTGGCCTCATGTGATCTGCCCACCTCGGCCTCCCAAAGTGCTGAGATTACAGGCATGAGCCACTCACTGTGCCCGGCCAATCCTACCTGTATTTTATAGAATTTTATGAAGCCTAAATATGAAAATACTTTGCAAAATACGGTACCATTTAAAAATTATTGTTACTAAGAAAGCTGCTTTAAATTATGATCATAAATTATGATTATGATTATTTATTTGAGACAGGGTCTTGCTTTGTCACCCAGACTGGAGTGCAGTGGTGCAATCACAGCTCACTGCAGCCTTGACCTCCTGGGCTCAAGTGATCCTCCAACACAGCTTCCCAAGTAGCTGGAACTACAGGCATGCACCACCACGCCTGGCTAATTTTTTGTATTTTTTGTAGAGACAGAGTTTCACCATGTTGCCCATCTTGAACTGCTAGGCTCAAGCAATCTCCCCACCTCAGCCTCCCAAAGTGTTAGGATTACAGTCATGAGCCACCACACCAGGCCAAATTATTTTCAAGCAAAGGAACCAATATTCTTTTCCTAAAGGGTTACCTGAAACTTTCTCCTTAAGGCCTGCGTCATCACTGGAGTCAGTCCTGTTCCTGTTTCCATATTTTCCTTATTGGTAAGAGGGGTTCCACCTGGGCTCCTGCAAAGGTATTGAAAATAACAGTAGCTGTATTTTATGGCAACTTTTAAAATGGACGTAGAAGGCATAAAGATATGAGAGTGTATTACCTCTCTACATCGACTTTTCTAAGCAGTTTCCGCAGATCCATCTGACTTTTTCCAGGAGTGCTGATAAAACAAAGATATAAAAATTAGAACTTTGGGAGGCTGAGGCAGGTGGATCACAAGGTCAGGAGATCAAGACCATCCTTGCTAACACGGTGAAACCTTGTCTCTATTAAAAATACAAAAAATTAGCCAGGTGTGGTGGTGGGCGCCTGTAGTCCCAGCTACTCGGGAGGCTGAGGCAGAAGAATGGCGTGAACCCGGAAGGCAGAGCTTGCAGTGAGCAAAGATTGCACCACTGCACTCCAGCCTGGGCAATAGAGCAAGACTCTGTCTCCAAAAAAAAAAAAAATTAGAACTTGCCAGATTTTATTATTTTTTTCCCAAAGGAAAGCAATCATTTCTATAGGCAACATCCTAGAAAGTAGTTCTATGTGTTACATTAAAAAATAGCAGTAGAAGCAGGGTGCGGTGGCTCACGCCTGTGATCCCAGCACTTTAGGAGGCCGAGGCAGATGGATCACGAGGTCAGGAGTTCATGACCAGCCTGGCCAAGATGGTGAAACCCCATCTCTACTAAAAATACGAAAATTAGCTGGGCGTGGTGGCGGGTGCCTGTAATCCCAGCTACTCGGGAGGCTGAGGCAGAGAATTGCTTGAACCTGGGAGGCGGAGGTTGTAGTGAGCCGAGCTTGTGCCACTACTCCAGCCTGGGTGACAGAGCTCCTTCTCAAAAAAAGAAAAAAAGAAAAAAAATAGCAGTAGATGCCGATGGGAACATAAGATGATATAGCCATTCCAATATGTAATACTTCTTGACCCAGGAGTTACATGTGTAAGAATCCATCCTAGGGAAAAACTCAGCCATGTACAGAGTTGATAGGCAAGGATGTCCACTGAAGACTTACAGAAATTAAATGTCATAACCTAAGTCAGGCGCAGTGGCTCACCCCTGAAATCCCAGCACTTTAGGAGGCCGAGGGGGGTGGGTCATTTGAGGTCAGGAGTTTGAGACCACCCTGGCCAACATAGTGAAACCCCGTCTCTATTAAAACATACAAAAATTAGCCAGCACTGTGGCACACGCCTGTAATCCCTGCTACTCAGGAGGCTGAAGCAGGAGAATTGCTGGAACCCGGGAGGTGGAGGTTGCTGTGAGCCGATATTGCATCACTGCACTCCAGTCTGGGCGACAGAGCAAGACTCCATCTCAAAAAATAAAAAAATACAAAAAATAAATAAATAAAACAGGTTGCTTTCAGAAATTATATAATATGAAAACTAGTGTGTCTTGGAATCAAGCAAATATGGTATATGTGTGTATCTGTCTGTGTATAATCATATTGTAGATATAGTTTTTCCCATTCAGTATATCATGAACTCTTCCTATCTTTTTGAAAATTAACTTAAAGTGTCATTTTGACATCTTCAAAATATGCAGTTAATTGTATGTAAATTTCATAGATAAAATCCTGTTTTAAGACATTTAGGTTATGATTTTTTTTTTTTTTTTTTTTTTGAGATGGAGTCTCTCTCTGTTGTCCAGGCTGGAGTACAGTGGCACAATCACTTCTTACTGCAGCCTTGATCTCCTGGGCTCAAGTGATCCTCTTTCTTCAGCCTCCCAAGTAGCTGGGACTACAGGCACACACCACTGCATCCGGCTAATTTTTAATTTAATTAGTTTTTTTTAGAGATGGGGCTCTCACTATGTTGCCCAGGCTGGTCTTAAACTCCCGGCCTCAAGCAATCCTCCTACTTCAGCTTCCCAAAGTGGTGGGATTACAGACATAACCCACCACTCCCAGCCTAAAATTCTTGATAGTATATCTTTTTCTCCCAAAATCTGTTATTAAATCAATGCCATATCTTATAATAAACAGCATCTTTAAATGGGGCAATAAACCATATGCCCAGAAAAAGACTAGAATGATAAACAGCAGTATGTTAACAGTGGCTATCTCCAGTGATAGGATTATTTAGATAATTTTTGTTTTCTTTTTTAAACTTTTCTGTAGATTTCAGTTTTTCTATAATGAGCATATATAACTTTTAACATTAGAAATACACACAAAAAATCTTTTTTTCCTTTTCTTTAGGCCTTTGTACAACAATATCATTCTTTTAAGTAGTAGTAGAGCATAGTACTGTGCAGTTCCTTACATTAAGACGTTTGTAACTCGAGTCGATAACACTTTGGAGTTAGGTTTCAGGGTAACATGCTGCAAGTCAGAGACGGTAACTAGTGGATTCCGTGCTTTCGGCGATGGTATAAGCTTTAATTATAAAATGAGACATTATTAAAACAAATTTTAAAATATCACTCAAAATGTAAACATGCAAAAACGGCAAATATCTGAGTGCTGAGTTTGTGTAAGATATATCCAGTATGCTACCCAATTTTTATTCCAGAGCTTCAAAGGATGTCTCTACCTCTTCAGACTAAGGGTTGGGAGATAAAATTGCCTAATTAAATCATTTCCTAATATATACATTTTGTTGGGAAATCCAAAACTACTAAAATAAAAACATCAAAAACTTAACTTGAAATGAAATGACTTCTCCCTCCAGCACCCCCGACCCCAATTGTATACAAATTGAGATGAGGTCTTGCCATATTCCCCATGCTGGTCCTGAACTCCTGGGCTCAGGTGATCCTCCCACCTTGGTCTCCCAAAGTGCTGGGATTATAGGCATGAGCCTATATTGTTAAAAGCAAAAAGAGCATGTATGTGGTCAATGACATCTTACCTTCCTCTTTTCATCTAAACTCTGTGTCTTCTTTAATTTTACAGTCAGCAGATCTTTAACTGTTATCTGCATGGGTCCATCTTTTTTTAATGGTCCAGCCTTAAAATACATGGTAAGGTTAGAATTCAAATTGGAACCAGCACAACTGGTGAAATGCAAATCCAAATCTAGTTTTTAAAGACTCAGAGTTAAGAGGTAACTCTTATCTACCCTAGGAACCTGTCATATTCTTTCTACTCAACCAAGAATAATCGTATTTTTATCACCCATTGAAAAGCATTCATCAAAATGTAAGGCTTCCCCCACCCCGCAATTTTGTTTTTATAAGCTAAGACTTTGCTAACAAATAAGAGATGGACTAGTTTCCTGCAATATTGCATCTTCCCCGGGAGTCATTATAATAAGACAAGAGTTGAAGGAGTTAATCGGGTTAAAGTGAAGTTTTGCTTGAATTACCTAGAAAGATGACTCAGTTTCCACAGAACAAGAATGTATACAATCAGAGAGGTATAATTAGGGCAAATATAACAATAGGCTCCAGGTTTTGTTTTGTGTGTGTGTGTGTGTGTGTGTGTGTGTGTGTGTGTGAGGATTGGGAAGACTCTGGATTTAATTCAGCTACATTAAACCAAATTATCCATAGTGAAAATTCAGCAGATTTTAAAACAGGGTCATGCCTGTCTTAGTGATTCACAAATTGTCTGGTCCCCTTGGTAAATAAGTAACTGAAATAGAGATTGGTTCTCCAGCCTAATGATATGAAACTTTGGAATCCACTAACTCTTTGTTCTGACTTTACTCTCTAAGCAATCTTCTATTCTAAATTTGGTTTCCTAGGGAGGTTTTCTTCCCTAGGAAAAAGCCATGCTGAGAAGCGAATAGAAATCTTCCACTCTACTGGGTTTCACACACATCACTTTCATTTCTCAATCCAGCTTCTAGGAATTTCTCAGGAACTGAGATTTTAAAAACACAATAATTAAGATACGGAATCAGAACAAAATATAGCCTTCTGGCCCAAGCCCTGATTAGCCTGGCCTTAAAAGGCCACTTGGCTTTACTCCTATATTACACACTCACCAAAACATATCAAAACATATCATTACTAGATTGTTACCTACCTGAAGTGCTTTAGCGAGACTGGGTTTTCTGAGCAACACAGGTGCTAGTGGTGGTGGAGGAGGTGGCAGAGGTGGAGGTGGAGGAGGAGGAGGAAAATGGCTGGCTGGCTGTGGCAGTGTGGGAGGAAGCACAGCTTTGGAGTCTCCAGGGGTGATCAGAACGCAGGCAGGCACATTTGTAAGTTTACCACTCATGTGACATGTTTGACCACAGCTTGGACAGGAAGAACTTTCTGAGATGGTCTGGAAGAAGACATCACATTTGGCAAATAAATAACAAGTTAATTTGATTCTTGAGGGTGAGAGTCATCAAAATAATAGCTACCATGTATTGAATGCTTTCTCAGCGTACCATGTGCTTCCTGATATTTTCTCATTTATAATCATAAGTTTCTTCATTTCATTCATTAGTTTATTTTGTATGTGCTATATGCCAGGCACTATAGGTACAATGTGAGCCCTGTGTGTCACCTCATGGAGCTGACAGTTCGGTGACAGAAGACAGACATTAAACATGCACAGAAGGCCAGGAATGGTGGTGCACACCTGTAATCCCAGCACTTTGGAAGGCTGAATCCAGCGAATTGCTTGAGCCCAGGAGTTCGAGACCAGCCTGGACAACATAGTGAGATCTCATCTCAAACAAACATGCACAAACACACTTGAAACAAAACAATACTTCAATAAGAGCAACGAAGTGTGCTATGAGCATGAACAGCTGGAGGCTTGGGAAGTGATATTTAGCCATGATCTCAAGAATAAATTGAGACTTAGCAGACGAAGGGAGATAAGGACTAGGGGAAGAGTTCCTTGCAGAGGAAAAAAATACTTAATACAGCCAAGAATATAGTACTTTCAAGAAACTGATAAAGCAAAGGATCTGGAACATGACTACTGTGGACTGAATTGTGTCCCAGAATTCATATGTTGAAGTCTTAACATCCAGAACATCAGAATGTGACTATATTTGGAGATAGGGTCTTTAAAGAGGTGATTAAGTTAAAATGAGGCCGTTAGGGTGGGGGTCCTAATCCATTCTAACTGGTGTTCTTACAGTAAGAGGAAATTGGACATGCAGAGAGATATCAGGAATGTACTCACACAGAGGAAGACTGTGTGAAGACATAGAGCGAAGACAGCCATCTACAAGCCCAGGAGGGAGCCTCAGAAGAAACTAACCAAGAAGCCACAGACTTCTTGCTTCCAGACTGTGAGAAAGTAAATTTCTGTTGTATAAGCCACCCAGCCTGTGGTATTTTGTTATGGCAGCTCTAGCAAACAAATACAACGACCCTATGAAGTAAAACGGTGTATTAATTTCCTGTGCCTGCTGTAACAAATTATCCCAAACTTGGTGGTTGAAAACAATTGAAGCTTATTTTCGCACAGTGCTTGAGGCGAAAAGTCTGTCATCAAGGTGTCGTAGGAGCTTCACTGCCTCCCATACCTCTGGGGAAGAATCGGTTCCTTGCCTCTTTTGGCTTCTAGTAGCTGTCAGCACTCCTTGGTTTGTGGCTGCATCACTCCAATCTCTATCTCTGTGGTCACATTGCTTCTCTTCTCTGTATGCATTCTCTGTGTGTCTCTCTCATAAGGGCACTTGTCCTGGGACTTAGGGTCCACCTAGATAATCCAGGAAGATCTCCTCATCTCAAAATCCTTACCCTAATTACATTTGTAAAGCCCTTTGTCCAAATAAGGCAGTATTTACAGGTTCTGGGGATTAGGACTTGAATATACCTTTTGGAGGCTGCCATGTATTCAGTCTCCCACAAATGGTATCATCCCAAATTTATAGAGGAGGAAACTGAGGCCCAGAGGAGTTAAATGACTTGCCTTTTTCTCCTTTGGCTAATTCATCCTGAGGCACAAATTCTGGGAGCAGGGATGGAATTCCAGAAGCTTCTCTCCAGACCAATGAGCACAATGTTGAGACATAGGGGCCTTGCTTAGGGGAGTTTGGAGTGGATATTTTCCTGCATATATCAGTCAGGAAAATAGAAACCACTCTGGATATTGAAAAGAGGGGTAATGTAATACAGGCACTTGGTTACATTTATAATGGAAGAGCTGAGAGGCCTACTGGGTACCATGAGGCAATCTAGAGATTAGCAACAGCAGGAAGGCATTAACTTCCTGAGGCTGGAGAAACAAAAGGTGGAGGTGGTATATCCAGAGGTCTGGAGGTAGGTTTACCCAGAGAATCAAGAAACATTAGCTGGGTGCGGTGGCTCACGTCTATAATCCCAGCACCTTGGGAGGCTGAGGCAGGTGGATTACCTGAGGTCAGGAGTTTGAGACCAGCCTAAACAACACAGTGAAACCTCATCTCTACTAAAAACACAAAAATTAGCGAGGCGTGGTGGTGGGCACCTGTAATCCCAGCTACTTGGGAGGCTGAGGCAGGAGAATCGCTTGAACCCGGGAGGTGGAGGCTGCAGTGAGCTGAGATTGCGCCACTGCACTCCAGCCTGGGTGACAGAGTGAAATTCTGTCTCAAAAAAAAAAAAAAAAGAAAAAAAGAAAAAAAGAAAGAAACATGGAGTATTTATCCAGTGGGAGATGGGGCCAGGAAGGCAACAACTACCATTGCTGGAGAAATCATGCAGTAAAGAGGAGGGGAGGAAACTCCTTGCCTTCTCCCTCCCTCTAGTCTCTCATCAGTGTCTCGCAATAGGCCATCATAACCAGGAACCAGGTGACCTGGAGCTTGAGGAATGTATCCTGTAGGAGCCAGCCCTCCCAGCAATACAGAGCAGAGCTTCTGAAGTGGGGCAAACAGGCCCAGGGACTAGCCCTCACCTGTAGCCATTCCTCCTTCTGGTATAAAAGCACCTGGGTTTCCCTTCATTCCCTCAGTCCACGTGATCTGGTCAGGATACTCACTCAAGGACTAGACACATAACCCAGGCCAAGTTCTCTTGGCTGAGATGGTTCTGTTATGAGAATAAGAATCTAAGGCTGCCAGCAGCCATGTTGCTAGTGCAAAGGGAGAGTCTGTCTGAGAAATAAACTTACTGTAAAGAAGGCAGAACTGAAAGATGAGACAGAGCCAGAATGTTGACAATATCATTTGAGCCTCTGAATCCAGCCATACCCTAGACTTACTGGTTTTATGGGCTTAAGCCGGATTGCCCTGTGTTTCTGCCACTTGTGGCTAAAAAGAATTTTGACTGATACAGCCTTCTAGGTGCTTTCTTAGTGAAGGAAATAACATAAGCTTCATTCTTAATTCTTTTTTCTTTTTTTTTTTTTGAGATGGAGTCTTGCTGTGTCGCCCAGGCTAGAGGGCTGGAGTGCAGTGGCGTGATCTTGGCTCACTGCAACCTCCACCTCCTGGGTTCAAGTGATTCTCCTGCCTCAGCCTCCCGAATAGCTGGGATTACAGGTGTGTGACAACACGCCCAGCTAATTTTTTTGTATTTTTAGTAGGGACGGGGTTTCACCATGTTGGCTAGGATGGTCTCGATCTCCTGACCTTGGGATCTGCCAGCCTTGGCCTCCCAAAGTGCTGGGATTACAGGCGTGAGCCACCGTGCCTGGCCCATTCTTAATTCTATATCATCCTCCTCCCTGGTACATTGAGATTAGTGATTTGGGGTTAAAATATAAGGAGAGCTGAAATAGGAGAAAAGTCATGAAAGGTAGAGTGTGTACACTAGAGGTGAAGGAGAGAAGGGAAGGTTTATAGAATTATTTCACACATACACACACACATTCATTCTAGACTTTTTAAAATAAAAGAAAACTTTTTTTTTTTAGAGACAGGGTCTCACTATGTTGCCCAGGCTAGAATGCAGTGGGCTGGAGTGTCCTGAGGCTCAAGGAATCTTCCCACCTCAGTCCCCTGAGAAATTGGGACTATAGGTGTGTATGCCATGACCAGCTAAAAAATTTAATTTTTAAGGTCTGTTTGAATACTGCCTTGTCACCCACAGCAAACTTCTCTGACAAAGTTACAAAATTATAGGAATTCAAAAAAGCAATGAATTTACTTCCAGAACCAAAATCTCAACTGGTCAATTAGTTTTATTTTATGTTTAATTTAATTTTTTTGCTATTTATTTTTGGAGTCCCACCTAGTCTCAATAATTTTATTTAGGCCTGGTGTGGTGGCTCATGTCTAGAATCCCAGCACTTTGGGAGGCCGAGGCAGGCAGATCACTTGAGGTCAGGAGTTCAAGACCAGCCTGGGCAACATGGTGAGATCCTGTCTCTACTAAAAATACAAAAATTAGCCAGGCATGGTGGCGGGCACCTGTAGTCCCAGCTACTTGGGAGGTTGAGGCAGAAGAACTGCTTGAACCCAGAAGGCGGAGGTTGCAGTGAGCTGAGATCACGCCACTACACTTTAGCCTGGGCGACAGAGCGGTACTTTGTCTCAAACGAACAAAAAAAATTATTCTATTTTTTTTTTTGTCTCAAATAATATTTTTTGAGACAGTCTCGCTTTGTCACCCAGATTTGAGTGCAGTGGCACGATCACAACTCACTGCAACCTCTGCCTCCTGGGTTCAAATGATTCTCCTGCCTCAACCTCCTGAGTAGCTGGGACTATGGACATGCGCCACCACGCCCAGCTAATTTTTGTGTTTTTTAGTAGAGAGGGGGTTTCATCATGTTGGCTAGGATGGTCTCGAACTCCTGACCTCAAGTGATCCAACCACCTTGGCCTCCCAAAGTTATACATTTTAATAATACATGGGAACATCCTATAAACACTGTTCTGAATATACCTTTACACTTAATTTAATAATGTATTATTATTATTATTATTATTATTATTATTATTTTTGAGACACAGTCATGCTCTGTTGCCCAGGCTGGAGTGCTGTGGCGCGATCTCAGCTCACTGCAACCTGTGTCTCCCAGGTTCCAGTGATTCTCCTGCCTCAGCCTCTTGAGTAGCTGGGATTACAGAAGCATGTCACCATGCCAGGCTAATTTTTTGTATTTTTAGTAGAGATGGGGTTTTGCCATGTTGGCCAGGCTGGTCTCAAACCCCTGGCCTCAAGTGATCCATCCACTTTGGCCTTGCAAAGTGCTGGGATTACAGGTGTGAGCCACCACGCCTGGCCATTAGTGTATTCTTTAAAAAAGTTTTCCTGGGGGAGGGGGACTGATGGTGTGTTCTTGAGATCATACCTCATTAGTACATACAGAACTACCTCATTCTTCTTAACGGCTACATAGTATTAAATTGAATGAATGGATTATAATGTATTAAATTAATCCCATATTCTTTGACAGTTTTCTTTGTAAGTTTTCGCTATTTTTCAAATCACACCGCAATAAATAACTTTGTACATATGTACAAAATTTGGTTGCATCAAAAGATATATATTTTAAAAATTTTGATAGATGTTAATTAATTATAGCCCACAGAGGTTTTATCAATTTAGGCCATTCTCAATAACAAGAGAGCACCTGTTTCTCCAAAACTTTTGGTCTTTGATTTGTTTGTTCTGTCAATCTGATAGGCTAAAGGCATTACTCATTGAAGTTTATTTTGCATTTCTGTTTTTTGTGTGTGGCAGAGACTACTAATTGCCTCCCAATATACATTTTTGCCTTCTTCTTTAGTAATAGGAAACCTGACTTTTAGCCGGACACACTGTAATCCAGATGATAGATTACATTCCTCAGGTTCCCTAGTTGCTAGGTATAATTACATGACTATGTTTTAGCGAAATGAGATGTAAGTAAAAGTTCTGTAAATGAGTTTGGGAAGTCGCCTTAATAGGGGTAGTAGGATAACTTTTCTCTTTCTTCCTGCTGCCTAAAATAAAGACATTTTGTTTATGCAAATATTCTTTGAGGCTTTGTCACTGGTACCACACCTAGTCTTGACACACTTTTTTTTTTTTTTTTTAATGGAGTCTCATTCTGTCACCCTGGCTGGAGTGCAGTGGCGTGATCTCGGCTCACTGCAACCTCCGCCTCCCGGGTTCAAGTGATTCTCCTGCCTCAGCCTCCTGAGTAGCTGGGATTACTGGTGCCCGCCATCACACCTGGCTAACTTTTGTATTTTTAGTAGAGACAGGGTTTCACCATGTTGGCCAGGCTGGTCTCAAACTCCTGACCTCAAGTGATCTGCCCACCTCGGCCTCCCAAAGTGCTGGGATTACAAGCGTGAGCCACTGCGCTCAGCCCTGATTCACTCTTGAGATGGAGTCTTGCTCTGTTGCCCAAGCTGGAGTGCAGTGATGCGATCTCAGCTCACTGCAACCTCTGCCTCCCGGGTTCAAGCAATTCACCTGCCTCAGCCATCCGAGTAGCTGGGATTACAGGCATGCACTAACAAGCCCAGCTAATTTTTGTATTTTAGTAGAGAGGGGGTTTCACATTGGCTAGGCTAGTCTTGAACTCCTGACCTCAAGTGATCCACCCTCCTCAGTCTTCCAAAGTGGTGGGATTACAGGGGTAAGCCACCGCGCCCAGCCCCTGATTCACTCTTAAGTGAAGTTGAGCACCTACTCATGTATTTATTTATTTTATTTTATTTTATTTTTATTTTATTTTATTTTTGAGACAGTCTAGCTCTGTCACCCAGGCTGGAGTGCAGCAGCACGATCTCGGCTCACAGCAGTCTCCACTTTCCGGGTTCAAGTGATTCTCCTGATCTCAGATGATCTGCCTGTTTTGGCCTCCCAAACTGCTGGGATTATAGGCATGAGTCACTGTGCCTGGCCCTACTCATGTATTTAAGAACCATTTGTATTCCTTTTCTTTCTGCCCAGGATGGCCTCAAACTTCTGTGCTCAAGTGATTCTACCATTTCAGTTTCTTGAGTAGCTGGGATTATAAGTGTGTACCACTGTACCTGGCTTGTATTCCTGTATTTAGGTGAATGCTGTGTTCATATTATTTCCTCATTTTACTGCTAAGTTGTTGGTCTTTTTTGTATTGATTTGTAGTGGTTCTTTATATATTCAATAATTAATCCTTTTCCTGATATTTGAGCAAATATTTTTGCATCTTATTTTGCTGTGCATAAATTTATTTTTATGTCTGACTTGCTATTTAAAAATGTACAAACAAGCCAGGTGCCATGGCTCACGCCTGCAATCCCAACACTTTGGGAGGCTGAGGTAGGAGGATCACTTGAGGCCAGGAGTTTGAGACTAGCCTGGGCAACAAAGTGAGACCCCCATCCCTATAAAAAACTAAAAAATTTGCCGGGCAGGTGGCACACACCTCTGGTCCCAGCTACAAGGGAGGCTGAGGCAGGAGGATCCCTTGAGCCAGTAGGTCAAGGTTGCAGTGAGCCATGATCATGCCACTGCACTCTAGCCTGTGTAACAGAGTGAGATTCTGTCTAAAAAAAAAAAAAAAAAAAAAAAAAAAAAAAAATTACAAACAGCTGGCAAAATTTTTTTCAGATCTTCTGCTTTAATACTGACAATATTGAACTTCACCTGAGCTCTGTGATTCTGGAAAATAAGGATGGCCAAAAAATCTCCCCATCCTAGGTGGGTGCAATAGTGCAAGCCTGTAGTCCCAGCTACTAAGGGAGGCTGAGGTAGGAGGATCACTTGAGCCCAGGAGTTAGGAGTTGGAGTCTAGGCTGGGCAACATAGTGAGATCCCATCTCTAGAAACAAACAAACAAACAAAAATCTTCCCACAGTTTTATGTCCAGGAAATAATTTTTTATTTTGGAAGTGATGTGGAACCAACTTTTTCCACATCAGTTAGATAAGTTTTATGGATGGCTCCCTCATTTATCTGACAAAGCCAGACACAGACCCTCCAAATTCCCATTCTTTGTCTCATAAGTGATTAGCTGAACTGTTCACTGCCACTGACCAATCTGGACAATATATCTACTAACTTGACCAAACTTTAGTCAGGATTTAGCCCTCCCCATAGGCCCTAGAACCTTGACCTATTCTTGGGCTTAAGCAAGCATTGGTATGCTGAAGAACCTTCAGGAAAAGATGTTCCCTGATCCAATCAGCTATCTGATCAGATTATCCCAGCTCTTCATCTTACTTCCCCATAACCCAGTTTGTTCTACCCTTTGTATTCCTTGCTAACAAAGAAAACTTTTTCGCTTAATGTTTGAGATATAAATCTTATGACTTGAGCATTTTCCCTATTGCAATAGTCTTTTCAAAAAAAGTGTCTCCTTACCTAATTCCAGATTTGCTTTTTATTTGACAATACCAACCTTCAGTGCTTCCTGGAGCTTGCATAATTTACTTTCCAAAATGCAAAACTGTTGTTTTACACTGTAAAGTTCTCGGTGGCAGATACGAGATGGAAAGATGGTGTCTTTCAATACTTCTAAACTCTGAAATTAATAATAAACAATTCTGAGTCCTATGAGTAATATGATAAGGACAAGAAAACAGGAACCAGAAAGTGACTTGATGTATGTTTTTATAGAAGCAAAGGCAGACTTGACTCAATAATTTCATCTTATCTAAGTTTAGCTTGAGGGTTGGACTGACTTGAGCACATATGTATATAAACACCAAGTGTGTAGAAAAACTATAGCACTGAAAACAGGGATGTCACATCCATACCTGGGTTATGCAGTTCTGGCACCAGCTGTATATAGACCATACTCTATTTGTCCAAAGTTTTATTGCATCTCTGATGTTAGGAAAATTGAAGTTCCAGGATGATGTTAGCCAGCTTCTGCTTTGAGATATATCTATTGAAGAAATACCGACTCTGTAGGAAAAACAAAATGAAACAAATAAAAAACCCCTAAGTCAGAATAATAGCCTTGGCCTGGTGTGGTGGCTCATGCCTCTACTGCTAGCACTTTGGGAGGCTGAGGTGAGGAGATTGCTTGAGACCAGGAGTTCAAGACTAGCCTCGGCAACATGGCAAAACCCTGTCCCTGCCAAAAAAAAAAAAAAAAAAAAAAAAAACTTAATCAGGCATGGTGGTGTGCCAGAAGAGAGAAGAATATGCAAACCAGGTTTGAAGATGGGTTAAATCAGAGCTTTTCATTCCACAAAAGAGAACTTTTAATGGGGTCAGAACATTGATCTTCTAATATATGAAAGCCTGTTAACTAGGAGAGAGATAGCAAACTGTTTTGTCAGGACCCACCCAGCTCTGGCGGTTTAAAGCGTCATGAATGGAAATTTGAACTCCAGAAAAGCAGAGCTTCCTACCAATGGGACTTCCATAGCAATGGGATCTGCTTCCTCATTCAGTTTGGGCCTTTCCCATGAGCAAGAGACTCCTAGGAGAGCCACAGCCCATTAGGAAGCCATATGGGAACTCACTCACAGGTTCTTTGTTTATTTTTTTGAGACGGAGTTTTGCTCTTGTTGCCCAGGCTGGAGAGCAATGGTGCGATCTTGGCTCACGGCAACCTCCGCACCCCGAGTTCAAGTGATTCTCCAGTCCCCGCTCCTGAGTAGCTGGGATTACAGGCACCCGCCACCATGCCTGGCTAATTTTTTGTATTTTTAGTAGAGACGGGGTTTCACCATGTTGGCCAGGCTGGTCTCACACTCCTGACCTCAAGTGATCCACTTCCTTTGGCCTCCCAAAGTGCTGGGATTACAGGCGTGAGCCACTGAGCCCGGCCAGGAACTGACAGGTTTTTTGGATGGTCTCTGAATGTCATCCAACTCTTTTATTTTTTATCAAAAAAATTTTTTTTGACACAACGTCTTGCTGTGTTGCCTAGACTGGAGTGCGGTGGCAAGATCATAGCTCACTGCAGCTTCTAAGTCCTGGGCTCAAGCGATCTTCCTGTCGCATGAGTCTCCCAAGTAGTTGGAACAAGGTGCCAGCCACCACACCTGGCTAATTTGGTTTGGTTTTGTTTTTTTAGAGATGGGGTCATGCTATGTTGCCTACACTGGTCTTGAACTGCTGGCCTCAGGCAATCTTCCTCCCTTGGCCACCCAAAGTGCTGGGATTACAAACATGAGCCACTGTGCACAGCTGAGATTTTTCGACTTAGTCTTTTTGTACATGCGATATTTTATTCATAGAATCCATAAATGGTAGGGAAATTTCTGAGTTCAGAGCAATACATATGATACAAAACTTAATATATAGACTAGAGTTTCTTAGCCGAACTGGAGGGGCTGGCCTTAGGTAATCCATGGACTCCCTGAAACTGGGGACACCATTGGAAATATGAGTGAGCTCATGGGCAGTTTCCTATGATTTTCAGGCCTCAAAATGTCTCTTGGACTCAAAGATGCCTTACGGCAGAGGACACGTGTACCCCCAGTATAGAATCTCGGACAGTGAATGTCAGTAAACATTCGGCAGAAAAGCTCTGCCAAATTGAGTGCTCTGATGTGACTTTTTCATCAAGTCAATGTTCCTGGGATCTCTTGTATATGATAATCTCACACTTGTAAGGTTTCATAGTTTCTGCTTACCCTAGTTTTCTTTCCCACCCTCCCTCTCCCACCAGACTGGACTCTGAAATGGGCATGTACAGAGAAGAGGAGACCCCAAAATGCTTCAGGCTTTGAGTGGAGAAGACACAGCCTCTGCTGGGACAGGGAACAGATGGATGCGGAGACCCTGAAGATGCTTTTGGATGGTGGTCTGAGGTTGGGACAGTGGCAGGAGATACCATTCACCCAGGATCTCCAGGACAAGAGACCAGCCTGGCAGTTACATGTGTTTTTCTTCAAACTGGTTGCCAGGTTGGAATGACCAATGACATCAGAGATTCCAACCTTCCTGATTGGAAGGACTGGACTCCATGGGCATCTGGGAGCTCAAGTGGACAACTGCATCTTCTCAGAGCTGTTCTCCACTCCTGACTTCTCTCAGCCTCGAGAATTGATAACACACCTTCTGGGTCCTAGCAGAGTCCAGAAGAAGGCCTTGGATAGAACAGAGACTAGGTTCCGTGGGTTGGGATAGATTTTGGGAAAGATCATGACCAGCCATCAACCGCACCCCCAGGATGAGGAGCAGAGCCCCCAGCTGAGCACCTCAGGGTACCCCCTCCAGGAGGTGGTGGATGATGAAGTGTCGGGACCATCAGGTGAGGGGACTGGAGGAAGAAGAGGTGGGATAGGATTGACTAAGGTGAAGGAAGGGGGCCAGGTGCAGTGGCTCACACCTGTAACCCTAACACTTTGGGAGGCCGAGGCGGATGGATCACCTGAGGTCAGGAGTTCAAGACGAGCCTGGCCAACATGGTGAAACCCCATCTCTACTAAAAGTACAAAAATTAGCCAGGTGGTAGTGGTGCGCGCCTGTAATCCCAGCTATTTGGGAGGCTGAGACAGGAGAATCACTTGAGCCTGGGAGGAAGAGGTTGCAGTGAGCCAAGATTGTGCTACCGCACTCCAGTCTGGGTGAGAGAGTGAGACACTGTCTCAAAAAAAAAAAAAAAAAAAAGAAGGGTCAGAGGTCAGGAAGGAGAACCTGAGGAGGGTGTATGGGAAGAATGGAGAAATTCAGGCCAGGTGCAGTGGCTCACACCTGTAATCCCAGCACTTTGGGAGGCCAAGGCGGGCAGATCACTTGAGGCCAGGAGTTTGAGACCAGCCTGGTCAACATGGTGAAACCCCATCTCTACTAAAAGTACAAAATTGAGCTGGGCATTATGGCAGATACCTGTAATCCCAGCTACCTGAGAGGCTGAGGCATGAGAATAACTGGAATCCGGGAGACAGATGTTGCAGTGAACTGAGATTGCACCACTACACTCCAGCCCGGGCGACAAAGCAAGATTCTGTCTCGAAACAAAAAAAAAAAAAACCAATAACAAAAAAACAAGCAAAAAAGGAGGGACTCAGAGAGCCAGGGACCAGGGAAGGACATGAAGAAGTGTTCTGAGGACAGAGATACGGAAGAATGGGGAGGGGAAGGAGCGGCTCATGGGGTTGAGCAGAGGAGAAAGCCAGAAAGATGGCTTGGAGAAGCCAACAGTCTGCAAGGCTGGGGAGGATGGAGAGTGGTTTGGGGTTGGGGTCGGGGTCGGGGTCTAAGGTGATCAGTTGCAGAAGCATTACATGGTGGCCTGGTTTCTTTACTCAGCCCCTGGGGTAGATCCCAGCCTCCCATGTAGGTCCCTTTGCTGGAAAAGGAAGAGGGAGTGGTCGGACCAATCTGAGGAGTCATCGGAGGAGGCGCCAGAGAAGGAGCTCGCCCCTGAGCCTGAGGAGACCTGGGTGGCGGAGATGCTGTGTGGGCTCAAAATGAAGCTGAAGCTGAAGCAACGGCTAGTGTCATTCGTGCTCCCTGAGCACCATGAGGACTTCAACAGGCTGCTTGGTAGGAGGACACCCCAGAGAGCACCTCCAATCCTGTTCTTTTAAAAACGAGGAAAACTTTCAATAACCACACTTTTCCAATGGGAAAAATATGCCCCCAGTGGGTGAGCTCTCCATGCGGGAGGACTCAGAAGTGATCACTCATGAGGGACGCTTAGGAGATGATAGAGGATTAGGCTGGAGTTGATAAAGTTTGGCTCTCGGGATAAGAAAGCTTGGTTTTGGGCTGGGCGCTGTGGCTCACGTCTGTAATCCCAGCACTTTCGGAGGCCGAGGCGGGCGGATTACGAGGTCAGGAGATCGAGACCATCCTGGCTAACATGGTGAAACACAGTCTTTCTAAAAATATAAAAAATTAGCTGGGCGTGGTGGTGGGCGCCTGTAGTCCTAGCTACTTGGGAGGCTGAGGCAGCAGAATGGCGTGAACCCCGGAGGTGTTGCTTGCAGTGAGCTGAGATCGCGCCACTACACTCCAGCCTGGGTGACAGAGAGAGACTCTGTCTCAAAAAAACAAAAAAACAACAAAAAAAGAAAGTTTGGTTTCGGGACAGGTGCTGTGGCTGATGCCTGAGATCCCAGCACACTGGGAGGCTGAGGCAAGAGAATTGCTTGAACTCAGGACTTTGAGGCTGCAGTGAGCTATGACTGCACGACTGCACTCCAGCCTGCATGACAGAACAAAACCCTGTTTCAAAAGAAAACCAAAGGCCGGGCGCAGTAGCTCATGTCTGTAATCCCAGCACTTTGGGAGGCTGAGGCGGGTGGATCACCTGAGGTCAGTTGTTCGAGACCAGCCTGACCAATATAGTGAAACCTAGTCAATACTAAAAATACAAAACTTAGCCGGGTGTGGTGGCGCACGCCTGTATTCCCAGCTACTTGGGAGGCTGAGACAGGAGAATCTCTAGAACCCGGGAGGCAGAGGTTGCTTTGAGCCGAGATAGCACCACTGCACTCCAGTCTGAGAGACTGAGACCCTGTGGCAAAAAAAACAAAAAAAACAAAAAAAAAAAAACAAGGACGGGCCCAGAAGTCAGGAAGGAGCACCTGAGGAGGTGTGTGGGAAGAATGGAGGGACTGAGGCAGGGTGCAGTGGCTCACACCTGTAATCCCAGCACTTCGGGAGGCCAAGGCAGGCGGATCACTTGAGGCCAGGAGTTTGAGACCAGCCTGGCCAACATGGTGAAACCCCATCCCTACTAAAAGAACAAAAATGAGCTGGGCGTTATTACGGGCACCTGTAATCCCAGCTACTTGGGAGGCTGAGGCAGGAGAATCACTGGAACCTGGGAGACGGAGATTGCAGTGAGCCGAGATTGCACTACTACACTCCAGCCTGGGCGACAAAGCAAGACTCTGTGTCAAAAAAAAAAAAAAAAAAAAAGGAGAGACTCAGAGAACTAGGGATGAGGGAAGGAAATGAGGAAGTGTTCTGAGGACAGAGAGATGGAAGAATGGGGAGGGGAAGGAGCGGCTCATGGGGTTCAGCAAAGGAGAAAGACGGAAAGATGGCTTGGAGAAGCCAGCAGTCTGCGAGGCTGGGGAGGATGGAGAGTGGTTTGGCGTTTTGGGTCTGGCTCTAAGGAGTTCAATTGCAGAAGCATTATACAGTGGCCTGGTTTCTTTACTCAGCCCCTGGGGTAGATCCCAGCCCCCTGTGTGGGTCCCTTTGCTGGAAAAGGAAGAGGGAGTGGTCGGACGAATCTGAGGAGTCATCGGAGGAGGAGCCAGAGAAGGAGCTCGCCCCTGAGCCTGAGGAGACCTGGGTGGCGGAGACGCTGTGTGGGCTCAAGATGAAGCTGAAGCAATGGCGAGTGTCACCCGTGCTCCCTGAGCACCACGAGACTTTCAACAGGCTGCTTGGTAGGAGGACACCCCAGAGAGCACCTCCAATCCTGTTCTTTTAAAAAAGAGGAAACTTCCAATAACCACACTTTTCCAATGGGAAAAATATGCCCCCAGTGGGTGAGCTCTCCATGCGGGAGGACTCAGAAGTGATCACTCATGAGGGACACTTAGGAGATGATAGAAGATTAGGATTAGGTTGGCAATTGGGATAAGAAAGCTTGGTTTTGGGCCAAGTGCGGTGGCTCACGTCTGAGATCCCAGCATGTTGGCAGGCTGAGTTAAGAGGATTGCTTGAACTCAGGACTTTGAGGCTGCAGTGAGCTATGATGGCACCACTGCACTCCAGCCGGGGTGACAGAGCAAAACTCTGTCTCAAAAGAAAAAGCACAGTAGCTCAAACCTGTAATCCCAGCACTTTGGGAGGCCGAGGCAGGTCAGGAGTTAGAGACCAGCCTGACCAACATAGTAAAATCTGATCTCTACTAAAAATACAAAAATTAGCCAGGCGTGGTAGCACACGCCTGTAATCCCAGCTACTCAGGGGACTGAGACAGGAGAATCGCTTGAACTCGGGAGGCCGAGGTTGCAGTGAGCTGAGATCATGCCACTGCATTCCAGCCCGGCCCACAGAGCGAGACTCCATCTCAATAAATAAATAAATAAATCAATAAATCACAATAAAAAATCAAAGAAAGCGGCTTCAGCTGTGCCCTCTGAAACTTAATGTCTCTTGCTGACTTTTCTAAACCTAAGTGTCTCCATCCATAGAGGGGGATACCTAGGCCATAGTCACACCCTGATGTGACTGTCTCATGAGGAAATGATGGGAATTCCTTTATGACTCTGCAGTGGTCCCTCTGTGTCTGCTGGGAGGGCATTCTGGCTTTTTGCCAGCTCTACATCCTGTAGATTCTCACACCCAGGGCCTCCTTCAGCCTCTTCTCAGGGGAGTCTCAGAGCGGGAGCCTCTCTCCCTTGCCCAGTGAAAGTCATTCTCCTCTTTCCCATCCACCTCACCTGTGGCAGCAATCCTGAGACTTCCCCCTGGGAGACACACTTCTCCTTGCTGCCCTGCTGCTCCCACGGAAACCCTGTCCTGCTTTTCAAGCTGACATCTACTCTCTAATCACAGAGGATCCTGTCATTAAAAGCTTCCTCGCCTGGGACAAAGATTTGAGGTTGTCAGACAAGGTAAGTTTGTTCTCCACGGAACCGTGTTCCTGCTTCAGTGCACTGCCAGGGGGAGGGTGCAGCTTCTAAACCCACAGTTCCTCTCTTCTCTCCCTCCAGCACTTCCCACCAGATGCTCCCACAGTCTTCTTTTCTTTTTGTGAGACAGTCTCGCTCTGTTGCCCAGGCTGGAGGGCAGTGTCTCAACCTTGGCTCACTGCAGCTGAAGCCTCCTGGGTTCAAGGCATTCTCCTGCCTCAGCCTCCCAAGCAGCTGGGATTACAGGCATGCACCACCATGGCTGGCTAATTTTTGTGTTTTTAGTAGAGATGGGGTTTTGCCATGTTGACCTGGCTGGTCTTGAACACCTGACCTCAGGTGTTCCGCTTGCCTTGGCCTCCCAAAATGCTGGGATTACAGATGTGAGCCACTGTGCCCCTCTGGCTCCCACAGTCTTGAGTCTTGGTGCCCACCTGTTTTTTTTTTTTTTTCGAGACAGTATCTAGCTGTGTTCCACAGGATGGAGTGCAGTGGCATGATCACAGCTCACCACAGCCTCTAATTCCTGGGCTCTTGCAATCCTGCCTCAGCCTCCTGAGCAGTTGGGAGTACAGGCACATGCCATCATGCTCGAATAATTTTTATACAAACAGTCTTGCTATGTTGCCCAGGTTGTTCTAGAACTGTTGGACTCACTTGATCCTCCTGTCTCAGCCTCTCAAACTTCTGGGATCACAGGCTTGAGCTGCCACTCCCGGCTATTCTTGGTCTTTTTATTATTTGTCAGCATCTCCCTCAGGACTCTGCTGGTCTCTTGCTGAGTGAATGAGTGGCCCCTGCCTCTCCTATGGGTCATTTGGGATCTGAGCTCTGGGCCACAGTCAGGCCGCAGCCCTGAAGCTCCTAGCCCCTTTACTCTCAGTTCTTTGGGACAGTTCTCTGCCTGGCACACAAAAGACCCTCCTGATACCAGCCGACCTAGACACACTCCTTCAAAGATCTCATCAGAGCCCACCATCCTGGGAGCATCACCAACATGCCTTCCTCCAGCTTCTCGGATTTGCATCCGACCTTCAAATACCCCACCACCCCGCAATTTCCACATGAGCACAGTCACCCCAACACTCAGGTCCCTTCTCTGATGGGCAAACCCTCCCTAGACCCCCATTCCACTGTCTCCACGATCTTCCTCTCCCAAGATGTGACCTCTCCCTTTCTGTGTTCCTTTCTCTCCACCAGTATCTCCTGGCTATGGTCATAGCATATTTTAGCCGCGCCGGCCTCTTCTCCCGGCAATACCAATGCATTCATTTATTCCTGGCTCTGTGAGTGGTTTGCTTCCTCCTATCTGTCAATATCCAATACCCTGGGACAGCGGGGGAAGTGGGATTCCAGCCTTTCATTTATTCTTGCACCTATTTGTCCTCTTTACTCTGTGTACAAAAAAGAGGATTATACTATCTTGTTTTTAGACTGCTGTTTCTAAAAAGAAACTCAGGCTGGGCGCGGTGGCTCACGCCTATAATCCCAGCACTTCGGGAGGCCGAGGCAAGCAGATCACTTGAGGTCAGGAGTTTGAGACCAGCCTGACTAACATGGCAAAACCCCATCTCTACTAAAAATAGAAAAATTAGCCAGGCATGGTGGTGTGCACCTGTAATCCAAACTACTCGGGAGGCTCAGGCAAGAGAACCCGTTGAACCCAGGAGGCAGACATTGCAGTAAGCTAAGTTTGAGCCACTGCATTCCAGCCTGGGCAACAGAGCGAGACTTTTTCTCAAAAAAAAAAAAAAAAAAAAAAAAAAAAAAGCCAAAAAAACCAAATTCCAACGCCAGTGTACAAATAAAAGAATAAAACAAAAGGAACCATAAACCGCTCCTAAGGGGAGAAGAAAAGGAGCAAAGGAGCGGACACGATGCTTCCCCCAGCAAGCAGACATTTCTGGTTCTTCTGTCTCTCTCCTTCCCATATCAACTGCAAACGCCATCGACCTCCTCCGGGTTCCCATGACAGAGGCAACAGTTCAGGTCCCCCTTGCATCACTCGAATCCACTGTCAAATGCTCCCTGCTGGGGCCTCCTGGAGTCTCTCCCCAAGCCTGGGGGCTTCCTAGTGCAGCCTGAGCGTCTTTCCAAAGCACAACACCCTCACTGCCCACCTGAACAACTTCCTTAGCTGATGTCTTTCTAAATTGAGGCCAGGGTCCACAGTGCAAATTCCACCCTCTCTATAATCTCTACAACCAAACTGGCTCGCCATCTTGGTGTTTCCTGGTGTGGCTTCACCGCTCTTTCCAAATGCCCTCCACTCGACTTTGCGTTTGTGTTTTCTGTCTGGGTGTCCCGCACACATGTGGTTCTGAAGGGAAGGACCCATTCCTTAAAGTCAGTTCACCCCATAGCCTCTGTGATGCCTTCCCTCATCTTGCAACTTTTACATGCTTGTAGCTCTCCAGTTACATCCTATTATAATGTGATATTGGGATTACGTCATCTGCCCTGATTACTCCCAGTCCCATTAGACTAGATGCCTGTAGAAGGCAGGGTCTTGGCACAATATCAATGTATTCAATTTCTTTTATTTTTTTGAGACAGACTTGCCCTGTCCCCCAAGCTGGAGTGCAGTGGTGAGATCATAGCTCACTGCAGCCTCCATATCCTGTACTCCAGTGATCCTCCCACCTCAGCCTCCGGATTAGCTTTGACTACAGGGCTGTGACACCACACCTGGACAGTTATTTATTTATTTATTGAGACAGAGTCTTGTTCTGCCTCTGAGGCTGGAATGGAGTGGCCCAATCTCGGCTCACTGCAACCTCCTCCTCCTGGGTTCATGTAATTCTTGTGCCTCAGCCTCTTGCGTAGCTAGGACTAAGAGGTGTGCCACCACACCAGGCTGATTTTTGTATCTTTAGTAGATATGGGGCTGGTCTCGAACTCCTGGCCTCAAGCGACCCACCTGCTTCAGCCTCCCAAATTGCTGGGATTACAGGCATGAGCCACCACGTCTGGCGTGTCTTTTACATTTTTTATAGAGACGAGGGTCTTGCTATGTTGCCCAGGCTCATCTCAAACTCCTGGCCTCAAATGATCCTCCTGCCTCAGCCTCCCAATGTGCTGGGATTCCAGGCGTAAGCCACCACTCTCGGCCACCAGTTGGGTTTTTGTCTTCATCCTGAAGGAGTGGGAGACGCCCTTCAGCAGGTCTCTGACAATCAGGGCCCTCCTGAGGAAGGCATGGTTCTGCAGGGTGGGTGCCAGTCCTGAGCTGAGGATCGTCCCCTGCCCTCCTCTCTGGGAAGCTGACCTCAGCCAGAGGTCTCTCCTGGTGGTGTCCCTGAGCGGCAACCTGATTTCTGTCCCCAGCTACCTGGCCAATGACATGGAGGAGGACAACGAGGCCTCCAAATGAAACATTTTCTACTTCCTGTACGGGAAGAACCACTCCCAGATACCCTTGTTCCATAAACTTCGGTTCCAGTTCTTCCGTTCCATGCGCTGGAGGGCTTGGGTTTCCCTGGAGTAGTTGGAGGAGGTAGGCGGGGTGGGGGTAGGTGGAGGAGGTGGGGAGGAATCAGGTGGGCTGGAGGCTGGACAAGGGGAGGGAGGGGTATCCTGGGGAGTCCCCATCTTCTTAAGGGGCGTTTGTTTTTCCAGATCCAGGCTTATAACCCAGAGCACTGGGTGTGGGCACGAGATCGCACCGCGTTTCCTAGAGCTCCAGGGACTGTGAGGCCTGAGGTCATCAGCCTGAGGGAAGGTACATCTGTGTCCTCTGGGGTAAAGGCAGAATATTGGGGTCTATTTTGGAAATCCGAGGAACCCAATTGCTTGATCCGGCTTCGAGCCTGGGCAACATGGCGAGATCCCCTCTCCATAAAAATACAAAAATTAGCCAGGTGATGTGGGAGGATCACTGGAGCCTGGGAGGTTGGGGCTGCAGGGAGCCCTGATCCTGCCACTGCACTCCAGCCCGAGCAACAGAGTGAGACCCTGACTCAAAAATAATCATAAATACTGAGTTCGGGGAGGTTCATTATGATTGACACACTTGAGTTACCGATTTGGGTCGAGGGTTCAGTGAAGCTTTGGTTCACATCTTGTGCAGCTAACCACGTTCAGCACAGAGCATGAGACTTCATCATGAGGAGGTAGGATTATGGATTAGGCTTCTGGACTCAGGGTTTGTGATGTTGTCACATTAGAAACGGATCTAGCATGGTTACGAGTTTAGCTCTTAAGTAATGCAAAAGGCCCCAGTTGTGATGAAGTCCAAAGCCACATTCTTTGAGGGTGCCCTACTCCCTGGGCAGACCCACCCAAAGTCCTTGCTATGAAGCAGATCACTGGGGCTGACCTTGGGTATATTGAGTGAGTTTTGGAGTCAGGGTTACCAAACTGTGAGTTTCACAGCTGAACACGATGGTTCAGAAGCAGGCTATAGAATGAAGGACAGGAGATAAAATTTGATTTCTCAACTGCTCTGAACTCTAGTTAGACTTGATGTGGGACGTGAATAACCTTCCTGTCTAGAGAGCCGCCTCCTTTAAGTATGACATCCTCTCTCTCACTTCCAGAACACCGGATCCAGGGGAGATGTGAATTTTCAGCAGGAACTTTATTCCATTGCTAATGACAGACACCAGGAAGGAGGAGAGGAGCCATTTGTGCAGATCATCTAGAAGAACCTGGACTGTTCTAGACGGAGCTGAATAGAGTGATCAAGTCGTCCTCCCAGAACCAGGGGGGTACTTCTGTGTCTGGAATTGGTGGGTTCTTGGTTTCACCGACTTCAAAAATGAAGCTGCCAACCCTCGCCATGTTACAGTTCTTAAAGGTGGCGTGTCCGGAGTTTGTTCCTTCTGATGTTCAGATGTGTTCAGCCTTCTGGCGGGTTCGTGGTCTTGCTGGCTTCAGTAGTGAAGCTGCAGACCTTCGCGGTGAGTGTTACAGCTCTTAAGGCAGGGCGTCTGGAGTTATTCGTTCCTCCCGGTGGGTTCGTGGTCTCACTGGCTTCAGAAGTGAAGCTGCAGACCTTCATGGTGAGTGTTACAGCTCATAAAGGCAGTGCGGACCCAAAGAGTGACCAGTAGCAAGATTCATTGCAAAGTGCCAAAGAACAAACCTTCCACAGCGTGAAAGTGGCCCCCACTGGTTGCCACTACTGGCTTGGGCAGCCTGCTTTTATTCTTATCTGGCCCCACCCACATCCTGCTGATTGGTCCATTTTACAGAGAGCCGATTGGTCTGTTTTACAGAGAGCTGATTGGTCCATTTTCACAGGGTGCTGATTGGTGCCTTTACAATCCCTGAGCTAGACACAAAAGTTATCCATGTCCCCACTAGATTAGCTAGATACAGAGTGTCAATTGCTGTATTTAGAAACCCTGAGCTAGACACAGAGTGTTGATTGGTGTGTTTACAAACCTCGAGCTAGATACAGAGTGCCGATTGGTGCATTCACAATCCCTTAGCTAGACATAAATATTCTCCAAGTCCCCACTAGACTCAGGAGCCCAGCTGGCTTCACCCAGTGGATCTCGCACCGGGAGGGCAGTTGGAGCTGCCTGCCAGCCCTGCGCCATGTGCCCACACTCCTCAGCCCTTGGGCGGGCATGCGATGGGTGCTGTGGAGCAGGGGGCGGCGCTCGTCAGGGAGACTCAGGTGGTGCAGGGGCCCACCATGGCAGGGAAGACTCAGGCATGGCGGGCTGCAGGTCCCGAGCCCTGCCCCACGGGGAGGCAGCTGAGGCCCGGCGAGAAATCGAGCACAGCGCCAGTGGGCCAGCACTGCTGGGTGACCCCGCGCACCCCCTGCAGCTGCTGGTCCGGTTGCTAAGCCCCTCACTGCCCGGGCTGGCCGGGGCAGCCGACAGCTCAGAGTGTGGGGGCCGCCAAACCACGCCCACCCAGAACTCAAGCTGGCATGCAAGCGCAGCGCGCAGCCCCGGTTCCCGCCCGTGCCTCTTCCTTGACACCTCCCCGCAAGCTGAGGGAGCTGGCTCCGGCCTTGGCCAGCCCAGAAAGGGGCTCCCACAGTGCAGCGGCGGGCTGAAGGGCTCCTCAAGGCTGGCCAGAGTGGGCGCCCAGGTGAGGAGGCACGGAAAGCGAGCGAGGGCTGCCAGCACGCTGTCACCTCTCACTTCTAGGAATCCATAGAGAACAGTGAGAAACCAGGGGTGTTTCTGGTTCCACCCCTTTCTGCACCACCACCTCTATTTTTATACCGCTGAATTCCAACCTCCCTGGGGCGGAACCTGGAGGTCCTCTTTCCTATGGACTTGGTTGCCACAGTCCAAGAGCATTTGAAGGCACAGTGCAGACACTCAGATTAGCACAGAATTCTTTGTAAAAATATGAGTGCCATAGACTGTAACAGATAGCTTCATACACACTATGCATTTATTGGTTTGTTTGGAAAATGTTGGCCATCGAATTATTAATAGGTTTATTTCAAATAGCTTCAAAATTGTTGTACTTTTGAAAATATGCTGTTCCTGTAGATTTTTTCATGAGTTATAGCTGTTATGTATATATATATATAAAGATAATTTTCATTTCAACAGAGAATCCTTTTTATCCTAAATCTTTTATCTTTAAATGTTTTCTGTATTATTATATGTGCCCCTGAAGCGAGTACACTTTTTATCTATGATACTTACATAATAATCTCTTCTATTTATAGCTATTGGTAGTTACCCTAAGTTCCTGTCATAGAAATTTTTATTTGCTGTTTAGATTTGTGACTGAATTGTGAGAATTCAGTTGTAATTTTTAACATGTCTTAGATATACTAACATGTCTAATATATACTATATATTTTATTGGTTTATTTTGAAAAAGATGGGCATAGAATTATTACTACATTTATTTTAAATATTTTGAAAATACTGGTATTTTTGGATACTGTTCCTGTAAAGTTGTGAGATGGGTGTCATAGCTGCTATATACATATAATTTTGTTTTCCTTTTTAAGAGAGGATTCTTTTTATCCTAAATCTTTTATATTTAAATCTTTGTATCTATGGTTACATGTGCTGCTGAAGGGAGCACTCCTTTTATCTATGATACTTAATATATGTATTACACTTATAGCTACATGATAGTTCCCCTAAATTCTTATAAAAATAAATTTTTATTTGATGTTTACTGTATGTTTTTGAAATGTGAGAATTCAGATGTAATTTTTTACTTTGTATTGTCATGTTTGTATGTTACTTTTTTTTTTTTTGAGACGGAGTCTCGCTCTTTCTCCCAGGCTGGAGCGCAGTGGCACTGTCTCGGCTCACTGCAAGCTCTGCCTCCCGGGCTCACGCCATTCTCCTGCTTCAGCCTCCCGAGTAGCTGGGACTACAGGCGCCTGCCACCGCGCCCGGCTAATTTTTTTTTTGTATTTTTAGTAGAGACGGGGTTTCACCGTGTTAGCCAGGATGGTCTCGATCTCCTGACCTCATGATCCGCCCGCCTCGGCCTCCCAAAGTGCTAGGATTACGGGCATGAGCCACCGCGCCTGGCCGTGTGTTACTTTAAAGAGGATGTGGGTTTTAAAGGAGGACATGAGCTGTGTGTTTTCAAGAGAACAATGCAGTGCGTCTGTTGGGGAAACGTAATAAAGATGAAGTTTTCTCACCTTCACAGTGAGTGTGATCATATTGGTCTGGATTGATTATTTGCTGTCATGTGACATTTTTCCTTAATGGGGTTTTGGTTATTTGATCATACTAATTAGCTCTAGAAGATAATCCTGCATTATTTTTTATGTAGAAAAAAACATGAGGGTGGGTACAGTGCTCACACCTACATTCCCAGCACTTTTGGAGGTCATGGTGGGAGGATCACTTGAGGCCAGGAGTTTGAGGCCAGCCTGGGCAACACAGCATCAACATCTATTTTTTAAAATTTTTTTTAAAAAGAAAAATAATAGAAGAGAAGGCCAATCCCAAGCTAGAGGTTTTGTTTGTTTGTTTTGGAGACAGAGTGGGAAGATCTCTTGAGCCCAGGAAATCAAGGCTGCAGTGAGCCTTGATCATGCTACTGCACTCCAGCTTAAGTGACAGAGTAAGACTCAGTCTCAAAAGTAAATAAATAAATAAAAATTAAAATAAAAAATTAATTTCAGATAAAGCATGCATAATTTTAGTATAAATATATTCCAAATGTCACATAGGACATAATTATATGAAAAAATTATTCATTGTTTATCTGAAATTCAAATTTAACTGGGCCTTCTTTTTTTTTTCTGAGAGGGAGTCTCGCTCTTGTTGCCCAGGCTTGAGTGCAGTGGTGTGATCTCGGCTCACTGCAACCTCTGCCTCTCTGGTTCAAGCAATTCTCCTGCCTAAGTCTCCCGAGAAGCTGGGATTACAGTTGCCCGCCACCACGCAGGCTAATTTTTGTAGTTTTAGTAGAGACAGGGTTTTGCCACATTGGCCAGGCTGGTCTTGAACTCCTGACCTCAGGTAATCCACCCACCTCGGCCTCCCAAAGTGCTGGGATTACAGGAATGAATGACTGCACCCGGCCTGCCTTCTATTTTTATTTGCTAAATCTGAAACTCTATCTTAAACTGATCAGATCTCTCTAATATTTTTTCTGTTCCACATTAAGCCTTACCTTTCTGGTGAGGGTGGTGGAGGAGGAGGTGTAATTAGCTTGGACTGAAAGTGAGAGGCTTCTTTTTTTTTGAATAATCTTTCGGCTTTGGCTTTTAGCTTTCGTCTTCGTTGTTTGAACTTGGGCATGATTTCTGCAGAGAAATTTTTTTACATTTTTAATTGAAGAATAATATATACATATAGAAAGTACACAAATCTTAAGTGTATAGTTAATGAATTATACCATGAACACACCCTTGAAACCACCATCTTGGTTAAGAAATAGGTCACTACCAGCATCCCAGAAGAGCCCTGAAGTAGGGGAAAATGTAAACACAGATTTAAACTATCTCTGGAGAGATCTTGGTCTTGGCATTATATTACTCTCTCAGTTTGTTTTGCTTGTGTTGCTTTTCTTCATTAAGTTAAATGAATTTTCCTTTCTTTATAGTAGCGAAAATGGCTGTAGGTGGGTTATAGTCAGTTATTAAAATAATATGTTGGCCAGGTGTGGTGGCTCATGCCTGTAATCTCAGCACTTTGGGAGGCCGAGGCGGGTGAATCACCTGAGGTCAGGAGTTCGAGACCAGCCTGACCAACGTGGAGAAACCCCGTCTCTACTAAAAATACAAAATCAGCCAGGCATGGTGGTGCATGTCTGTAATCCCAGCTATTGGGGAGGCTGAGGTAGGAGAATCGCTTGAACTCGGGAGGCGGAGGTTGTGGCGAGCTGAGATTGCACCATTGCACTCCCACCTGGGCAACAAGAGCGAAAACTCCGCCTCAAAAAAAAAAAAAAAAAAAAAGAATATGTTTCTTTACCAGCAGCATCTACTGAGCATCCACTGTGACAGGTGGAATTGGTAGTGAGAAGATAAGGAAACAACATTAACCATTTATTCAATACCCCTTTACTGTTAGGTATCTTCACATACATCTTTTCAGTTAACCCTTACTATCCTGCAAGGTATTATCCCTGACAAGGAGGATTTTTATTCCCGTTTTTACAGAAGAATAAACTGAGGATAAAAAAGATTAGACAATCTGTCAATGCAATGCAGTAAGTCCAAACCTGTAAGTCTTCCATGTTCTTTCTAATACGCTGTGGTGTGACACTAGATTAAATAGGCAATACACTGTAAAATGAAATAACAATTACCCCAAATCTAAGACATGAGTGTTTTAAAACAGTTATGTTATTTTATTTTTTGAGGCACAGTCTAGCTCCGTCACCCAGGCTGCAGTGCAGTGGCATGATCTTGGCTCACTGCAACCTCCACCTCCCAGGTTCAAATGATTCTCCTGCCTCAGCCTCCCAAGTAGCTGGGACCACAGGCACACGCCACCACACTGGTGGCGTAATCCCAAAGTGCTGGGATTACAGGCATGGGCCTTAAAAGAGTTATTTTAAAGCATTTAAAAACATCACCGGCTGGGTGTGGTGGCTCACGTCTGTAATCCCAGCACTTTGGGAGGCCGAGGTGGGCAGATCACTCGAGGCCAGGAGTTTGAGACCAGCCTGGCCAACATGGCAAAACCCTGTCTCTATTAAAAATACAAAAATTAGCTGGGCATGGTGGCACGGTGCCTGTGGTCCCAGCTACTGGGGAGGCTGAGGTGGGAGAATCACTTGAACCCAGGAGGCAGAGGTTGCAGTGAGCCGAGATCACGCCACTGCACTCCAGCCTGGGTGACAAAGCAAGACTCCATCTGATAAATAAATATATAAAATAAAATAAAATAAAATAAAATAAAAACATTACCTAGTAGAACAGAGGATACTAGAGGGATAGTATCTTTCCCAGGATACTGGGAAAGGTGGGGAGGAAGGAGGAATAGGGAAAGATTGGTTAAAGGATACAAAATAGAGACATTTGAACCACAGCAACTCAATCTTGAATAGGAGCTGGGTAAAATGAGGCTAAGACCTACTGTGCTGCATTCCCAGGACGTTAGACATTCTTAGTCACAGGATGAGATAGGAGGTTGGCACAAGATACAGGCCTCAAAGACCCTTCTGATAAAACAGGATGCAGTAAAGAACGTGGCCAAAACCAAGAGAGCAATGAAAGTGGCCTCTGATTGTCCTTACTGCTCATTATACACTAGTTATAATGCATTTGCATGCTAAAAGACACTCCCACCAGCACCAAGACAGTTTACAAATGCCATGGTAATGTCTGGAAGTTACCCTATATAGTCTAAAAAGGGAAGGAACCCTCAGTTCTGGGAAATCCCCACCCTTTCCCCAGAAAACTCATGAATAATCCACCCCTTGTTTAGCATATAATCAAGATATAAGTATACTCAGTTGAGCAGCCCATGCCACTGCTCTGCCTATGGAATAGCCATTTTTTTATTCCTTTACTTTCTTAATAGACATGCTTGCCCTTTATGGACTTGTCCTGAATTTTTGCTTGCACAAGGTACAAGAATCCTCTTTTGGGGTCTGGATTGGGACCCCTTTCCAGTAATATAATTACAGCTAGATAGCAGGAATAAGTTCTAGTGTTCTATGGCACTGTAGGATGACTATAGTTAACAATAATATATTATCTAGTTTCAAATAGCTAGAAGGAGTGCATTGAATTTTACTAACACAAATAAATGACATGTTGAAGATGATGGATATACTAACTACCCTGACCTATTCACTATACATTATATGTATCAAAACATCACTGTGTACCCCACAAATATGTATAATTATTATTGGTCAATTTATTTATTTATTTAGAGACAGAGTCTTGCTCCGTCATCCAAGCTGGAGTGCAGTGGCGCGATCTTGGCTCACTGCAAGCTCCGCCTCCTGGATTCACGCCATTCTCCTGCCTCAGCCTCTCGAGTAGCTGGTACTACAGGTGCCCGCCATCCACGCCTGGCTAATTTTTTGTATTTTTAGTGGGGACGGGGTTTCACCATGTTAGCCAGGATCGTCTCGATCTCCTGACCTCGTGATCTGCCTGCCTCGGCCTCCCAAAGTGCTGGGATTACAGGCATAAGCCACCGCGCCCGGTCCTATAGGTCAATTTTAAAATAATCAAAATAAAATTTAAAAAATAAAAAAATAAAAAGTGGCAATGCCACTTGATACACTAACAGCAAATTAGGATCTGTCTAAATAAAGTGAATTTTTTATACAAATGTCGGGATATAATCAAGAATTATCAAGAGAATAAAAGCTGCTTTGTACTTAAGAATGTAACAAATATTTTTATATAAATATATCTGTTCTTTCTAAGATGCTATACACACTAATATGCTATACACTAACATATATCTATATAAGTATATATCATAATGATCAATTTAACATTAAATATATTACCATTAAATATATGTTAACATTATCTTGGTTGTGACCAAGTGAACATTTTGGAAACTTTTAATAAAAGGGTCCTTCTTGCTGTGGTACAAAATGAAAAAACAAAACAAAAACATTATCTAGTATATTCACATTTCAATCTGGATCCTTTTCTGAAGAAAATTAAGTCACAGCTAGTTTGAGCTGAAGTTCCAGAAGGGCTTTGCTGCTTTTAGTTGTTGCTACTTGAGGAACAAAGATGTTGTTATTCAAGTAGCAGAACTGAAAATGATCTCAAGGCCTGGGCCTCCTTCCCTTCAAACTCAGATTTGAATGGGAACAATTGGCCTTTAAAATACACATTCATTCCACTTTTGTTCACTCAGTAACCTTTCAGCACTTGGTATGCAGCACTATACTTGCTCAGCTCTCAGATTCCACTGGCTGATGAACCCCCACTACCCTGTTGCAGGTTGTAAAAACTGAGCGCTGGCTTGGTTCCATGATTTGCAGAGGGCACCCCTAATGGCAAATAGTGGCAGTGCATATATTGACAGCCCTTCTAGAAATAGATTCCTGATAACATCTAATTGGACTAACTATCAGGTCCCAATTTGACAAGGTGCTTTTCTTAATTGTCCTTACGGGCTTAGAAAACACACCAAAACATAGTTGGCTGACTTCACCTTTATTATATCACTTTTTCTTCCTGCTGAAATAATGAAGGAAGGTGAAGCAGGGATTATTAAACACAAGGGATGTCTAAAGGATTTTTTTGTTTTGTTTGTTTTTGTTTTTTTTTTGAGACAGAGTTTTGCTCTTGTTGCCCAGGCTGGAGTGCAATGGCACGATCTCGGCTCACCGCAACCTCTGCCTCCCAGGTTCAAGCGATTCTCCTGCCTCAGCCTCCTGAGTAGCTGGGATTACAGGCATGCACCACCACGCCCGGCTAATTTTGTATTTTTAGTAGAGACGGGGTTTCTCCATGCTGGTCAGGCTGGTCTGGAACTCCCGACCTCAAGTGATCTGCCTGCCTTGGCCTCCCAAAGTGCTGGGATTACAGGCGTCAGCCACTGCACCCAGCCCTGATTTTTTTTAATTTAAAACAACACAAGCCTGTAGTCCGAGCTATTCAGGAGGCTGAGCTGGGAGGATCACATGAGCCTAGGAGTTTGAGGCTGCAATGAACTATTATTGTGCCACTGCACTCCAGCCTGGGCAACAGAGGGGGACCTTGTTTCCAAAACAAACAAACACATAAACAAACAAAACCAGACCGGACGCGCGGTGGCTCACGCCTGTAATCCCAGCACTTTGGGAGGCCAAGGCGGGCAGATCATGAGGTCAGGAGATCGAGACCATCCTGGCTAACATGGTGAAACCCCGTCTCTACTAAAAATACAAAAAATTAGCCGGGCGCAGTGGTGGGCGCCTGTAGTCCCAGCTACTCGGGAGGCTGAGGCAGGAGAATGGTGTGAACCTGGGAGGCGGAGCTTGCAGTGAGCCGAGACTGAGCCACTGCACTCTAGCGTGGGCGACGGAGCGAGACTCTGTCTCAAAAACAAAACAAAACAAAAAAACAAAACAAAAACGCAAGATAAAAATACTCTGATGAAGATATTTAGGAGAGCCTCCTAGGAAGGAGCGATCTTGTGGCTGCCTGAAGAAAAAAGGTTACATTTCATCAAATCTATGGTCAGGACCTTTTTTTTTTTTTGAGACACGGTCTTGCTCTGTCGTGCAGGCTGGAATGCAGTGGCATGATCTTGGCTCACTGCAGCCTCCTCCTCCCAGGTTGAAGCGATTCTCCTGCCTCCGCTTCCGGAGTAGCTGGGATTACAGGCGCGCGCCACCATGCCCGGCTAATTTTTAAAATTTATTTATTTTTAGTAGAGATGGGGTTTCACCATGTTGGCCAGGCTGGTCTTGAAGTCCTGTACGGCCAGGACCTTCTATAGACAAATGCCACTGGAAACTTCTATCTAAGGCTGAGTCCACTGATTGGGAGCCCTAGAATCCGAAATTTCCTAGCATCTTCCTTTTCTTTGTCTTCCATCTGATCCTTCACAGTCCTCCCCCATTCTTTTTCTGTTGCCCAGGCTGGTCTTAAACTCCTGTGCTCAAGCAGTCCTCCTACCTCAGCCTCCCAAAGTGCTGGGATTACAGAAATGAGCCACTACGCCCGGCCCCATCATAGAATTCTATATTAGGCCAAACTTTCAGTCAGGTGTGAGGAAAGAATTAAGATAAAAGATAAGAATTTTCAGGATAATGGTGATAAAAAAATCTAGGGGAAACAGCTTTGAGCAAGCTTAGGACAGGGGTCAACAAACCTTTTTTGTAAAGAACCAGAAAGTAAATATTTCAGGTTTTGCAGGCCATATGGTCTCTGCTGCAACTGCTCAACCCTGCCAGGGTAGCACCAAGGCAGTCATAGACAATACTCAAGCAAAGGAGCTGTGTCTAATAAAATTTTATTTATGACTGAAATTTGAATTTCATATACTTTTATGTTTTTCTTTTTTTTAAGATGGAGTCTCACTCTGTCGCCCAGGCTGGAGTGCAGTGGCATGATCTCAGCTCACTGCAACCTCCGCCCACCCCCCAAGTTCAAGTGATTCTCCTGCCTCAGCCTCCTGAGTAGTTGGGATTACAGGCGCCTGCCACGGCGCCAGGCTAAGTTTTGTATTTTTAGTAGAGACGGGGTTTCCCCATCTTGGCCAGGCTGGTCTTGAACTCCTGACGTCGAGATCCATCAGCCTTGGCCTCCCAAAGTGCTGGGATTACAGGCATGAGCCACTGCGCCCGGCCAAATTTGATATACTTTTCATGTGTCACAAAATATTGTTCCTCTTTTGATTTTTTTTTAACTGTTAGAAGTTATAAATCATTCTTAGCTCACAAGCTCTATAAAAGCAGTAGTTTGCTGACCTGAGGCTCACAGCCAGTGAAGACTGCCGCAGAAGGACAGGACAGAGGGCTTCAGCAACAATGTCTCTAAGGAAAAACGGAAATAGATAAACTGCCTAGTGTGTTTGACCATTCTGAGCAGAGTTTTACTGTTCTGTAAACTTGTGGCCAAATTGCTGGTAAGTGCTTAAAAAAATAAGCATATAAAAAATAGCTAGGAAAAAAGTTGTATAAGAAAGGAAATGTAATCTTAGTAGCACTAAATGTTAAGCTGTTAAACAATATTTAAAGTATAAGCATTGGCTGGGCATGGTGGCTCATGCCTATAATCCCAGCACTTTGGGAGGCCGGGAGGCAGGAGGATCACCTGAGGTCCCGAGTTTGAGACCAGCCTGGCCAACAGGGCAAAAGCCTGTCTCTACCAAAAATACAAAATTTAGCCAGGCATGTGGCTGTAGTCCCAGCTATCTGGGAGGCTGAGGCAGGAGAATCTCTTGAACCCGGGAGGCAGAGGTTGCAGTGAGCCGAGATTGTGCCACTGCACTCCAGCCTGGGCAATAGAACGAGAGTCCATCTAAAAAAAAAAAGTATAAGCATTGACAATTTATTTAACCAAAAATGATGATGTAGGTATACTAGGAAGAAGGAGAGAAAGTGGGCCAGGTGTGGTGGCTCATGCCTGTAACCCAGCACTTTGAGAGGCTGAGGCAGGCAGATCACCTGAGGTCGGGAGTTCAAGACCAGCCTGACCAACATGGAGAAATGCCATCTCTACTAAAAAAATACAAAAATTAGCCGGGCGTGGTGGTGCATGCCAGTAATCCCAGCTACTTGGAGGCTGAGGCAGAAGAATCGTTTGAACCCAGGAGGTGGAGGTTGCGGTGAGCCGAGATCGTGCCATTGCACTCCAGCCTGGGCAACAAGAGTGAAACTCTGTCTCAAAAAAAAAAAAAAAAAAAGGGAGAGAAAGTGAATGGAAGTCAGTATTTGTCTAAATTTATATAGTGCCTACACTTGAAAAAAAAATCATGAAATAATAGTATGAATGTTACTTAGAAATATGGAGGTAAATACCAGAAGAAATAATTACAAGACTTAATAGTGTTGCCTCTGACAATTGGGAGTCAGGATTACAGAGGGGTGGTTTAAACTGGACTGCTATTTTTTTTTGTTATTTCTTTCTAATTCTAATAAGGCTTGTATTGTATTTGACTTTCAAACTTTGGTATGTACCATTAGCTGGAAAATTTGAGTACCACCATTCTGAAACAGGGCCATTTCTTTCTAGTCCTTTCCTGTTGGCTGTTCCAGTGTCTATGCATACAAATTTCTAGAGTCCTACACAAGCCAATGTCTGTCATTTTGGGAATTATTTTTCAATGATAAAGATGTCTAGGAACTAAGTCATATTTCTTTCTCTCTCTCTCTCTCTCTCTGTGTGTGTGTGTGTGTGTGTGTGTGTGTGTGTGTGTCTGACTTGGGTTATTAGTGCTTCTATCTAATCTCCTTCTAATTAAATACAGTAATTGGCACATGCAGAGGATTAAGGAACCATGCAAAATCTGTCAGGGTAGAAAGATGCAGTCTGAGATAATTCCTAGATAGTTAGTTGTTCCATCCAAAAATAATCACAGCTCTTGCGAAAGTGGAGAATAGCAAATTTCTACCTCAGTCAAAACAAGAACACAAAAAATTAAGGTTTGTTTTAGTATCATTACTTAATTAAAAGCATTAGGTACTTTCCAGAGGATAATTGCCCAAATTGAAAGAGTATATAGCAGTCTTCCTTTAGCTTAAAATACGTATACTTATCCCCTTTCCAAAAGCATAATGAGACCTACAAATTCTTTTTGCTGGATTAGGTGGGATTTTAATTGTTAACACTGAATAGAAGCTCATTCTTTTGTGATTCCTTAAAGCATTTTTCCTTTTGTTTTGAGACAGGTTCTTGCTCTGTTGCCCACGCTGGATTGCAGTGGTGTGATCTCAGCTCTCTGCAGCTTTGACCTCCTGGACTCAAGCAATCCTCCTGCCTCAGCCTCCTGAGTAGTTGGAACTACAAGGGCGTACCACCATGCCCAGCTGGTTTTTTTATTTTTAGTTGAGACAGGGTTTCACCATGTTGCCTAGGTGGTCTCAAACTCCTGAGCTCAAGCAATTTACTGGCCTTGGCCTCCCAGAGTGGTGAAATTACAGGTGTGAGCCACTGTACTCGGCCCTTATGTTTTGTGTGTGTGTTTTTTTTTTTGTTTTATGTTTTTGTTTTTTTTTTTTTGAGACGGAGTCTCGCTCTGTTGCCTGGCCAGGCTGGAGTGCAGTGGCATGATCTCGGTTCACTGCAACCTCTGCCTCCCGAGTTCAAGCGATTCTCCTGCCTCAGTCTCCCGAGTAGCTGGGACTACAGGCACACACTACCACGCCCAGCTAATTTTTGTATTTTTAGTAGAGATGGGGTTTCGCCATGTTGGCCTGGCTGGTCTTGAACTGCTGACCTCAGGTTATCCGCCTCCCTCGGCCTCCCAAAGTACTAGGATTATAGGCATGAGCCACCATGCCTGGCCTATGTATTTTTTAAACTAGTTTTTTTCTTACACTGCTTTCTCAAATAATCTGAAAAATCATTAGAAACATAAACATATAGGCAAAGGGCGGTGGTTCAAAGTGCTGTAATCCCCAGCACTTTGGGAGGCTGAGGTGGAGGTGGGAGGATGCCTTTAGCCCAGGAGTTTGAGACCACTCTGGGCAACACAGTGAGAGTCCCAACTGTATGAAAAAAAGAAAAAAAAAAAATCCTGGCGTGGTGGCTCACCTATAGTCCTAGCCACTCTGAAGGGTGAGGCGGGAGGCTCACGTGAGCACAGGAGCTTGAGGCTGCAGTGACCCATGACTGCGCCACTGTACTCCAGCCTGGAACACAGAGCGAGAAACTGTTTCCAAAAAAAAGAAAAAAACAACATAAATATCCTAAATAACTCTATGATCTCTAGAAATTACTCTCATTTTTACTTACATCTTCTTTTCATTAAGAAAAGATTTCTAGGCTAAGGAACCAGCAAACTGGTACATCTGGAGCTCTTGATAACAAATCAAACAATAATAAAGGTCATATTATAGGCCGTGCATGGTGGCTCACGCCTGTAATTCCAGCACTTTGGGAGGCCAAGGTGGGTGGATGGATCACTTGAGGTCAAGTTCGAGACCAGACTGGCAAACACAGTGAAACCCCATTTCTACTAAAAATATAAAAATTGGAATGAGGTTCAGTCTAAGAAAAAACCCCCAAACCAAAACCGAAACCAACCAACCAAACAAACAAACAACAAGAGGAAGTATACTGTAGGGGTTAAGGATGAGGACCAGGGAGTTATACTGCATAGGTTCAAATCATGGCTCTACTATACTGTCATAACTTATTTATGACCTTCAAGAGATTCTTAGCCTTTCTGTGTCAGTTTCCTCCCCTGTGAAATAATAATATTAATAGGAACTTACTTCAGAGTTTTGAGGAGTACATGAGTAAATCATGTAAAGTATTTACAGTGCCTGGCAGGCAATAAGTTTTATCATTATTATCATTATTATTCTTTGATTCTTTTTTTTTTGCTGCTTGAGATTACTATATCAGATTTTTTAAAATACAAGTTTAATTCAACAACATATAGTGATAACTTGCTATGAAAATGAATAAGACACATTCCTGCCCTCCAAGAGTTTACAGTGGGGAGAGATGGGTAAGCAGAAAGTAAACAGGTATACAATAGTGTATGGGTTATGATGGGATATGTATATGATATTAATGGAGAAATAAAGCAAGGGTACATAATTCTCCCATAAGGGTTGAGGTTTTTGGAAAAGGTTTTGCCTAAGCTGAGCTTTGATGAAGGGGCTAGGTTAAGGTGGGCCTAGGGAGGACTCATCCCATCAGAGGGAATAACATGGAAACATTTCAGAGAAAGGTATGTCAGGGGATTCAGACAAGACTCAGTGTGACTAAAGCATATCCTGCAACGTAAAGTTTTGTCAGGGGGCAATGAGTGATGAAGCTGGAGGGTGGATAAGGACCAAGACATCAGAAACAATAATGGATTTTAAGCAGATAATTGTCATGCTCGTATTTCTTCTTTAGAAAGAATGGTTTGGCAGCATCGTGGAAATTGGATTTATGGGACCATGACTGAAGACAAAGAGACCACTTACAAACCTACTGCAACTGTCTAGGGGATGAGGACCTGATTATAGGAGCGACAGTAGGGTATCTAAATACATCTAACTGCTTATGTTCTATGTTCAAAGTCAGAAGTTCAGGGGAAAGACACTAGAGAAATACTGCACTCATAAGTGTATAGGTAGCTTGAGAAAATAACAACACTAGAAATGAGTGAAATTACCCAGAGAAATATGTGGAGTGAAAAGATCTATGAGCTGATTACCAAACTTTGAGAAACACCATGTATAAGGAGTGGGTAGAGAAAGAACTAGAAAAGGCATGGCCAGGAAGGTGAAAAGAATGCAGAGACAATGGAGCTCCTATTGGAGTAGAGGGTTATAAAAAAAGAGGGTGTGGGAGGCTGGGTGCGGTGGCTCACACCTGTAATCCCAGCACTTTGGGAGACTGAGGTGGGTGGATCACCTGAGGTCAGGAGTTCGAGACCAGCCTGACCAACAGGGTGAAACCCTGTCTCTACTGAAAATAGAAAAATTAGCCAGGTGTGGTGGAGTGTGCTGTAATCCCAGCTACGCGGGAGGCTGAGGCATTAGAATCACTTGAATCTAGGAGGTGGAGGTTGCAGTGAGCCAAGATCACGCCACTGCACTGGGTGCACACCACACCTGGGTGTGGGCCAATGTGAGTATGAATCAGAAATATTTCTCTGATTAATTTACCCTGTCTCTTCTCCTTACCATCCCCCTCCGTTCTGTCCTCTAACTTCAGTTGCCTTCACTTTTTTCATTTTTGTCTTTCACTATTGTCTATTTTCCTTTACTGTTTTTACTTAGAAAAATTTCAAGGCTCCAGGAAATAAAAAATTTACAATAGTATAATAAGCACTCATATACAGTTCACCTAGATTTACCAATTGTCAATTGCCGTCTTTGTACACACACTCTTTCTGTACGTATGTACAAATATATACATACATAAATTTTTTTAGTTTTGGATTGAATAGATTTAGTTGCAGACATCATGATACTTTACTCTTAGATACTTTAGCTTTTGTTTTCTAACATAAACATGGAAATTTTCCAACAAAACCACAATCAGTCAGGAAATTTAACCTTGTTATGAAATGATCTAATAAACAGCCCATATTCGGATTGCCCCAATTGTCTCAATATCCCTTATAGCTTCTCCCACCCTGGTTCCACATGCATTTAGCAGTAGTGTCTCTTTAGTACCCTTTAATTCATAACAATTCTCCAGCTTTTTTATTTATGTATTTGCTTCTTCATATTTATAATTTTGAAGAGTCCAAGTCAGTCGTTTTGGAGAATGTTTCTTAGTTTGGGTTTGCTGAGTGTTCCTTCAATGATTCTCCTGCCTTCAGTCTTTCTCCTTGCCAGTTCATTTTCCATACCAGAACTGATACTTTAAAACAAAATGAGATCTAGATATTCCCTTGCTTAAAAGTATTTGAAGGTTCCTTTACTCACAAAATTAAATTCCTTAGCATGCCTTTCAAAACTTTTCACAACTTAGCTCTAATGGCCCTTTGCCATAGTCTCTTCTAGTGACTAGCGGTTTGTACTTCCAGGTATACTAAACACCAAATACTTTCTGTTTCTTTCTATCAGCCTTTCCTTCTGTTTAGAGTATCCTCTTCCAAGTCAACTTATACCTAGCCTTCAAGATTCTGTTATTTTATCTTATAGATATTAGTTGAGTGCTTATAATCCACCAAGTACTATGCTAGGTGCTGGCATACAATCCTGAACAACACCAACATAGTCTTTGTCCTTCTAGAATTTTTTTTTTTTTGGGGGGGTGGACAGAGTCTCGCTCTGTCACCCGGGCTGGAGTGCAGTGGTGTGATCTCAGCTCAATGCCACCTCCACCTCCTGGGTTCAAGCGATTATCCTGCTTCAGCCTCTTGAGCACCTGGGATTATAGGGGCGTGCCACCACACCCGGATAATTTTTGTATTTTTAGTAGAGATGGGATTTTGCCATGTTGGCCAGGCTGGTCTTGAACTCCTTACCTCAAGTGATCCGCCCGCTTCATCCTCCCAGAGTGCTGGGATTACAGGTGTGAGGCACCATGCCCAGCCTCCTTACAGAATTTATACTGGCTGAAATGTCATCTCTTTTGCACTTCTATAGCACTTTATACACATCTTTATTATAAAATGTATTACATTTCATTGTAATTTTTGCTTGTATGTTTGTCATCCTGCTGGACTGTGAGCTTTTCAAGGGTGTGACAAATTTCATTCATCTTTGTTTTCCCAGCATCTAGAATACAGCAGGAGCTAAATAATGTTTCATTCAATAAAGAATGAAAAGAAGCATTCCTGCTAAGTGTTAGCTAGCAAGTGTTATTTTAGTTAAGGAATATATTCTAATATTGTCAAATTCTCTTGGTTAGGGAGGTTTTTACTTCTTCATATCATACCACATCTTCATATGGCTAAAAGATGGGTCTAAAGCTATTTTCCAATAGGAAGATGCAATAAATAATACAGTAAGAATTACAGTCTTTTGCAGGAGTTGGCGCTGCTGCTTCTGTGAAAACTCCACCCAATGATATGAAAAGTTCTTTGCGGCCGAGCGTGGTGGCTCACGCCTGTAATCCCAGCACTTTGGGAGGCTGAGGCTGGTGGATCACGAGGTCAGGAAATCGAGACCATCCTGGCCAAGAGGGTGAAACCCCGTCTCTACTAAAAATACAAAAATTAGCCGGGCGTGCTGGCGTGCGCCTGTACTCCCAGCTACTCAGGAGGCTGAGGTTGTAGTGGGCCGAGATTGTGCCACTGTACTCCAGCCTAGGCGACAGAGCGAGACTCCGTCACAAAAAAAGAAAAAAAAAAAAAAGAAAGAAAGAGAAGAAAAGTTCTTTGTTCTGGGGTACTTTCAAAGCTGTAGCAGCAACGGAAATGACTGTTGCATTTCATTGCCATCTTCCTAAAACACATTTTTATGGAAGTCTCTTGCGCTCCTCCACAAATAGCCTTCAATTACTTAATTTCCATTAGCAGTCCAATTGATTCTTCTTGAACACCCATAGCACTATTTCTGGGTACTTGCTTTTTTTAAATTTTATGTTTTATGCTTTTTTTTTTTTAAGCATTGCTGTTTTTGTTCTGTCTTGTTTTTCCAAAGAGACTGCAGCTCCCTAAAGTCTCATCCCGCACAGTATTAGGCACTCAGTAAACAGGACACGCATTTAAAATTGACACTCTAACAGCATGCCAGACAATATCGAGTAACATAGTAATATTCCCAGTCAAGAAATGTACCAACTTAAACTTTAATGTGCATAGAAATCACTCAGGGAAATCTTGTTAAAATGTATATTCTGATTTAGTAAATTTGGGTGGAGTCCGATAATTTGCATTTGTAACAAGCAAACAAGAGATGCGGATGCCGCTGATCTGTGGACTTGCATTGAGCAGCAAATATGTAAAGAAATGTTCAAAAGGAAGGCAGATGCTTTGCTCCAAAACGTATCTTGCGAAGTGTTAATTAAATAGAAGTATGGTTAAGATGAAGCCAGGCCGAGCACTTCTTCCCCAGCCCCAAACCTCCCCTTCCTCCTTTCCATTTCCCCTTCGTGTCCAGCCAAAGTCCCCACCTCCCTAAACCATAAAAACACAAGCAGCAACAGGCCCAGCTACTCAAGACGCGAGCTCAGATAACAAAGAAATAATCGTTCCTGCACTTACTAGTCTAAGAGCCGGGGGAGTCGATGGAGTCCGGGCTGTGGCCTCTCCCACGCCATAAAGAAAAATTCAAAATTAAATCCTTGTCAGGGAGAGGCCAATCGTAGACACGGTCTCTGCACGATTCGCTCTTCGGATGGTGTAGGAGCACAGCCCGGCTTGTGATTGGCTGAGATAGCACAGAGCTCCAGCCAATCAGAGCTGAGGCGCTTCTGGTATGAATAAGGAGAAGGCGGGAGAGAAGGGGAAGGAAAGCCGGAGGGGAAAGAAGGTGTGTTACGTCCCCTCTGCTGTCGGTGGAAGCTCTGGTGTGATTGGTTGGCTCTTCTTCCAATTGCACCAATCTCAAGCTCTTCTCTGCAGAGCCCTAACTACAAAATTGAAAGTAGAGAGGAGGGGGCAGCCAATGGAAAAAAAAATTTGCACAGCAGCCAATCCTCCTGCGGCGTTTTGTGCCTTTGCCCAACAGGAAAATGTGTCTCATGCAGAGGGGCGTTACCCAGTCTCCAATGGGCGGGAGCCGGTGGAACGGAGGAGCCAATGAGTGCGAGATGTTGAGTGACAGCTGTCCAATGGAGGCCCTCCGTGCTAGTACGGCTTGCGGCTTAAGCGCCGCCGCGGTCTGCGGAATGTCAACTATTCAACATGGAGGCGGAGGTCGATAAGCTGGAACTGATGGTGAGTGCAAAGTGAAGGAGATCTACTGGGTAGTTTATTTTTCCCCCATGGCCTCGGAGGTGGGGCACAATTTGGAGTCGCCGGAAACTCCGGGCGGCGGAGGCTGGACCAGAGTCGAGTTCCCTCCTCCTGCACCAAAGGGAGCCGCCACCGTCTGGTGTCTAAACCGCCTCGGGTAAGGGGTTACATCCGGGAAACTCGTCAGGGAAATGGCGGGAGATGCTGAGGGTGCGGGGCCTTTGGAATTCCTTGTTCCTTGCCCTCACCTTTACACCCCTTACGAAACTGCGCCGGGTGCAGACCGCATTCTGTGTTTGTACCAAAAAAGATGTGAATGGAACGGTCCCTAAGCGTCCCAAGAAGGGAGAGGTGGTTCACACTCCAAGAAAGGGGAACGGAGGGTGGGGTGGGGAATAAACTGACGGGGGCGAGGAGAAATCCCTGTAGGGCCAACCCGCTCACGTTCTAAAAGGCGGGCCGAGAAAGTCTGAGAAAGGATGCTAGACTTGTATGCACAACTTCCTAACGGCCAAGGAACCCGTTTCTGTTTGATCCGGAGGTGGCAAACCGTGGGTGAGGGAAGAGGTGTGAGCGAAGGGGATCGTAACCACGAGCTCCGCTCCCGGAGCGCGGGCGGGATTGAGACAGGAAAGGCATCCTGCTCTGGAGTTGTGCACTTTCATTCATCTGTGAAAGTAGAAAACGGGGGCGAAGAATTGGAAAGCACTCCCGTTGTTGCTGGCGTGTTTGGCCTGCTCGGGGGGCGCCCAGCTGGGGGGCTGTCCTAGTTTTCTTTAAGGATCCGTCCCTCACTTGTTCTCTTTATTCCCTCCCTCCCATCCTTAGATTACCAGCTTGATCGCCCGCGCTTTTTTCCTCTTAGTGTCCTTGTTCTGTCTTCAGCCCTTTTCGTTCAGCATTATCTTTTTTTTCTTTTCTTTTCTTTTTTTTTTTTTTTCCCAGGTTGGGCTGCTTTCCTTAAAAACCTGGACTTTGGAGGAAGCGCCTGCCACTGAGCTCCTGTCTTTTTTTGTTTGTTTGCTTGTCTGTTAAATACGATTGGCCGGGCGCGGTGGCTCACGCCTGTAATCCCGGCACTTTGGGAGGCCGAGGCGGGCGGATCAAGAGGTCAAGACATTGAGACTACCCTGGCCAACATGGTGAAACTCCGTCTATACTAAAAATAAAAAAATTAGCCGGGTGTGATGGCACGCGCCTGTAGTCCCAGCTACTCGGGAGGCTGAGGCAGGAGGATCGCTTCAACCTGGGAGACGGAGGTTGCAGTGAGCCGAGATCGCGTCACTGTACTCCGGCCTTGCGACAGAGACAACGTCTCAAAAAAAAAAAAGATTAAGTTTTAAAAAAGTAAAAGACTTCTTTCTTCGTTTGTAATCCGTCCCTCCTTCCCACGCCATTCCCTGGCATTACTGCTTAGGTATCCTTTGTGCCTGCCCTGCTTTCTTCAAGCTGAATCTTGGGTCTCTAACTTCTTCCTTGGAAAGGATGGGTGGTGATCCTGGAAGAAACCTCACCCACCCCCCATTCCCACCCCAGAAAAAGTGAGGCCTTGATATATCTTATTTTCTTCTGTTGTGCTAATGAATTGGAGTGCCTCTCATATACAAATTTAATTTGAAGGCTTTCAATTACTTTTAGCATTTTGTGTTTAAATTTTCTTTGTGCAGTGTGTGTGGGGTTGGAGAAGTGTAGGGAGAAATGGGAGGGAAGAAGGAAGAATTTCCTGCAGATTTTCAAACCTGTAATAATGAACTTTTAGTTTTAAGTTTTATTATCATTTAAAAAAAACAAAATGTTAAGCATTGTAATTTGATTCTGTCAACAGGCTTAAATGTTAAGACTATCTTGCCCTTCTCCCATTCTGAATTCCTCCCTACTGATATAGATATTTCTGCTTAAATTCATAATTCATTTCTGCTAAATGATGCTAATTCTGCTTTTAACAGGTTGTTTGCTTCTCAAATTGGCTGTTTCTAATTTTTAAACTTCGTCTGGCTTTTACAGTAGAGTCAGTATTCTCACAGGACTTCTTTAGATTGAACAAATTCTCTTTTAAGTGAACAATGATGAAGTAAACATTTTGAAAAAGTAGGTTTTAGAAAATTATAAGGTAGCCAGACATTTAAACTTTTAGGTATTGTTTGAATGATGGGGTAGTATTTAAATTCTTTTTGAAGACAGGAAAAAAAGAAATGAGGTTTTTTTCCTTTCTTACATCCTTGCAAGTAAATTAGTGGTAGCTTTTTTTTTTTTCCTTTCAGGTTATTAGTTTGTTTCCATAATTATTAGGGTTTAGAAATGAATTTTTATCATGGCTCTAATTATTACTGCTTTGTGTTGACTAGATAATAAAAGACAGTGCATCTCATCTTCAGATTTACCATGTGCTTCTAGAAAAAAATGTTATACTTGTGGACCAGTTTATTTTATAAGATTTTAAGAGTAAATGATTCCTGTGCTATCTTCTGATTTTTGGTTTTACATCAGTTAAATAAAGGATTTGTCAAGGTAAAAGGAAATGCATAATATTTAATTTGAAAAGAAAGTGTTTATCCTAATTTTGTTAATACCTTAAATTTTTTAAATATTTTTCTTGTTTGTAATAACTTCCAATTCAGAAAGTTAAACACTTATCTTTTAAACAGTTGTCTTTAAAACCTGAAACTTGGCTACCAGCGTTAAATATTCTAATATTTTAGTTATGTGGCCCAGGATTTGACACCAAGACACTTATATTTCAGCTGTCCTTTGTATGAGCCCATTTCCTTAGTAGGCTCAATCCGACTAAGTAGTTGAATTGGACCGTTTAAAGGGAGGTTGGTGAAAATAATGAAAATATATTTTTGCATCAATCAACATTACTAATGGGGGAATAAGCTTATTGTAGGGCAATCTTTGTTCTCTGACTTTTTCCCCTTCACTTAATGATGGGGTGGTATTTGTTTAGCTTTGTTCTTTCGTGGTACTACTAGTGACTGTACACAAAAGGTAATGCAGTGTGATACTATGATACTATTTCTGTTTCTGGGTTTACATCTGACTTCTGATTGGGTTCTTATCCGTTAAAAAAGTTAAAATGTCAATTAGCTTGGAACTAAGGAAACTTGTTACTTAAATCTCAGTCCCACCTCCCCCCATCATTATTTTCTCTTTGACATTTCTAAGTTTGAAGGAAATGGAGATGCTTTCTGCCTCTATTTAAGATTTCAGGAGTTAACTGAAATTTTAAAATCCCCTTGGATAGTATTCAGTTAGATAGGGTTAATGTTCTGTTTAGAGCACATTGATTCCCTTCTGTTGTTATGACAGCCCTTAGTAAACTCAAGATAAAAAGCTGTAAGATGGTAAGTGCTTTTGTGTTTTCTTTGTTTAGTGGTTTAGATTCCAGAGTGATAGATTGAGTATGTAGAGATTGAGAAACTTATTATTTTACTTTTCATTTGTTTTCTTTGATACTTTTATTCAAAGGGCTTGTTTTACATGGCGTTTAATCAGTAAATTGCCTTGAAGAAGGAGCTAACCAACATCTCTGCAGAGAACAAAAATATTTTTCACAACTTTGCCTTAGTAGTAATTATAACTGGTTTTGTTAATACCAATCCTAAAGTATTAACAATACCCATTCTAATTACTATTAAGGCTTAGGGCATATTTACAAAATTCCTTTCTACATCTATGCATGTTTCTGTTCGAATGTTAATTTGTATATTAGTCATCAATAAGCAACATCACTTTGATATTTAAGTCTTATCCTTTTTTAAAAAAACATTGATATAAATGTTTTTTGGTTTTGGATGTTTTTCTGTCCAAAATGGCAACCCTACTTTAAATTCGTTTCTCACTGAAGCTTCAACCGATGCAAGATGCTTTTGTGTTCCTTTCCTACTTATTACTGCTAACGAATGCTCTGACTTTATTGCACTACTGTACTTTACAGCTAGCAGTGCAATAGTATTGTCAAAGCATCTGAAAGCAGGATGCACGCCAGAATTTTGATTCTTACCTTACATCTTTCTTCGGTATCAGTAAATAATTTACCACAACCTTTGTTGCTGAGAACTATAATGTTGTTACTAACAGTATATCTTTTAGAAAGTCATAATTTGAAAAAAAAAAACCTTTTAACTAATTAAAAACAATATTTTACTGCATTATGAAACACGTCTGGAGAATATTTTTTATATCTAAGTTGTTATGGTTTGTCTAAATGAGTAATACTTTATAATTTGTTGCTTTCTGTTACATATTTGGATAGGTTCTGTCAAACTTTAGGTTTTATTTGAGTTTTATGATGAATTGGTAGTGATGGAAACAATTTCTGCTGTATATTTTTCCTGCAGTTACTTGCCCCAAGTCATTTTTTTTTCTCCAGAGACAGAGTCTTTCTCTGTTGCCCAGGCTGGAGTGCAGTGGCCCAGTTACACCTCACTGCAGCCTTGTACTCCCGGGCTTAGATAATCCTCCCTCCTCAGCCTCCTAAGTAGCTGGGACCACAGGCGTGTCCTACCATGCCTGGCTAATATTTTCTTGAAATTTTTTGTGGAGACAGGGTCTCACTGTGTTGCCGAGGTTGGTCTTGAACTCCTGGGCTCAAACAGTCCTCTTGCCTTGGCCTCCCAGAGTGCTGGGATTATAGGTGTGAGCCACTGTGCCTAGTCCTCCAAATCTTAATTGGTGTTAATTTTGTGTATTGTCTAGGAAATGGTTGAATTTAAAACCTAAGAGTGTTTGTTTTACAGTTTATTCTTATGAGATACAATAGTGTGGATTCATCACTTTTAAAAAATATGAATTTTATTGAGATACAATTATATAAAATAAAAGTAAGTAAGCTATTTGTTAAGCAAAGCCGAAGTCTTGCTGTGTTGCCCAGCTGGAGGGCAGCGACTATTCACAGAGGCAATCATAATGCAGCACAGCCTAGAACTCCTGGCTTCAAGCAATCCTCCCACTTCAGCCTCCTGAGTAGCTTGGACTACAGGGGTGTGGCATGCCCAGTGAACTGACGAGTTTTGACAAATGTATACAGTCATGTAACCACCACCACAGCCAGGATATAGAACATTTCTGTTACTTTACAAAAAGCTCCTTTGTGGCCAGGCATGGTGGTGCACCTGTAGACCTAGCTACTCGGGTGGCTGAGGTGGGAAGATCACTCGAGCCCAGTAGTTCCAGACCAGGCTGAGCAACAGAGTGAGACCCCTACATTCCTTTGTGCCTCTTTGTGGTCAACCTCTTCTTCCCCAAGTCCCTGGCAACCACTGATCTCTAGTTTAACTTTTCCTAGAATTTCATATAAATGGAATCATACATTATACAGTCTTTTGTGTCTGGCTTCTTGCACTTAGCATAATGCTTTGAGATTCATCCATGTTGTATATTAGCAGTTGGACAGTTTTTATTGCTGAGTAGTATTCATTGTATAGAATATCACAAACTCTTTATCCACCAACTTATAGACATCGGGTCATTTCCACGTTTTGCATATTATGAATAAAATGGCTGTGGTTGGTCTCGAATTCTTGAGCTCAAGTGATCCTCCTGTGTTGCCCTCCCAAATGTCTTTGTTTAATTTTTTTTTTAGCAATATTTTTTTCTTTTTCTTTAGAGACAGGGTCTCATACTGTCACCCAGGCTGGAGTGCGGTGGTGTGATCATAGCTTACTGTACCATCAAACTCCTAGGCTCAAGCAATCCCACCTCAGCTTGCTGAGTAGCTGGAACTACAGGTGTGCATCACCATACCTGGCTAGTTGAAAAATTTTTTTGTAGAGATGAAGTCTCACTATGTTGCCAGGCTGGTTCTCTAACTCCTGGGCTCAAATGATCTTCCCACTTCAGTCTCCCAAAGTGCTGGGGTTCTGGGAGTGAGTCGCCATGAGTATGTCTTTGTGTGGACGTAATGTTTTCATTTCTTTTGAGTAAATACTGAAATGGGATTTCTGGTAGCCTGATAAATGTATCCTTGGGGGAAAAAAAGTATGCTTGATCTTATAAGCAACTGCTAAAATATTTTTCAAAGTGGCTGTACTATTTTGCATTCCCAAAGCTATTGATAAGGGTTCTAGTTTTTCCATAACCTTATCAACACTTGGTATTAGGTTGATGCAAAAATATCAGTTTTAATTTTAACCCTTCTAACAGTTATGTGGTGGTGCCCCATTGTAGTTTCAATTTGCACTTCCTTAACTAATGATGTTAAACCTTTTTTCATATGCTTATTTGTAGTTTGTATATCTTCTTTAGTGAAATGTCTCACAATCTTTTGCCTATTTTCTTTTCTTTTTTTTTTTTTTTTTTTTTTGAGACAGGGTCTTGTTCTATTACCCAGGTTGCAGTACAGTGGCGGTCACAGCTCACTGCAGCCTTGACCTCCCAAGATTCAGATGATACTCCCCCACCTCAGCCTCCCAAGTAGCTGAGACCACAGGCACGTGCCACCACTCCTAGCTAATTAAAAAAATTTTTTTTGTACTAGTCTGGGCAACATGGCAAAACCCCCTCATCTCTACAGAAAAATTGAAAAATTGGCTGGGTGTGGTGGCGCAAGACTGTAGTCCCACATACTTGAGAGGCTGAGATGGGAGGATCACCTGAGCCTGGGGAGGTCGAGGCTGCAGTGAGCCATGATTGTGCCACTGCACTCCGGCCTATTGACAGTGACATCCTATCTCAAAAAAATTTTTTTATTTTTATTTTTTTAGAGATGGGGTCTTGTTATGTTGCCCAGGCTGGTCTCAAACTTCTGGGCTCAAGCCGTCCTCCTGCCTCAGCCTTCCAAAGTACTGGAACTACAGGAGTGAACCACTGTGCCGGATAGAGAATTGTTATGTTAGCAATATCGAGCCCTCTGGTGCACAAACATATCTTTTCATTTATTAGGTCTCTAAAATTTTCTCTCGACAGTTTTGCAATTTTCAGTGTGTAGGTCTGCTTATAATTTTTTAAAATTAAAAACTTTTTTTCTTTTTTTGGCTGGGCATGGTGGCTTATGCCTGTAATCCTAGCACTTTGGGAGGCCGAAGCGGGCAGATTACCTGAGGGAGTTCAAGACCAGCCTGGCCAACATGGTGAAACCCTGTCTCTACTAAAAATACAAAAAATTAGCCTAGTGCAGTGGTGTGCCCCTGTAATCCCAGCTACTTGGGAGGCTAAGGCAGGAGAATTGCTTGAACCTGGGAGGCAGAAGTTGCAGTGAGCCAAGATCTCATCACTGCACTCCTGCCTGGGCAACAGAGTGAGACTTTGTCTCAAATAAAAAAAAAATTTTTTTTTTTTTTTTTGCTTAAAACAATATTTAATAGTCTGTTTAGTGTGATTTCTACTAGTGCTCTTAAAAATAGAGCAAAGGCCAGGCACGGTGGCTCACACCTGTAATCCCAACACTTTGGGAGGCTGAGGCAGGAGGATCACTTGAGCCCAGTAGTTCGAGACCAGCCTGGGCAACATAGCCAGACTCCATCTCTAATAAAATTAAAAAAAAAAAAGTAGATCAAGAACAGTTACAACATGGGTTCTAAACGCATTGAATTTCAGAAGAAAGTAAGCTATTTGTTAAGCAAAAGTCCTTTAAAAATAGTTGGGAAAATACAGATACCAGAGGGAAGAAAGATACCTAAAATGTTAGGCATGAACTCAAGGACATCATTTGTAGAGAATGAAGGACATAAATCCTCATCATAAAGCCATTTTATTCCAAATGTGTGTGTGTGTGTGTGTGTGTGTGTGTGTGTGTCTTATATATAAAATTTCTTTCTTAGTTACCAGCCCTGGCCTTAAGCGCAGCTGCTTTCCTCTTTGGCTTTTAATTACAATTTCTTACTGTTCTCTAGTGGGCTGTTAGAATAGTGGGTAGGATTTTGATTTTGTTTTTGTTTTTGTTTTTGTTTTTTTAATAACCTAGAGGAGGGGCCAAGGGGTTCATTTGAGGACATTGTTTCTTTTTTTATTTTCTGAGATGGCGTTTTGCTCTTGTTGTCCAGGCTGGAGTGCAATGCTGTGATCTCGGCTCACTGCAATCTCTGTCTCGCAGGTTCAAGCGATTCTTCTGCCTCAGCCTCCCTAGTAGCTGGGGTTACAGGCATGTGCCACCACGCCCGTCCCCCCCAAAAAAAAAGAAAAGAAAAAAAGACCATCCCAGATTGGCTAGGTGCAGTGGCTCACGCCTATAATCCCAGCGCTCTGGGAGGCCGAGACAGAGGATTGCTTGAGCTCAGGAGTTTGAGACCAGCCTGGGCAACATAGCAAGACCTCGTCTCTACTAAAAATAAAAGTAAAAACATTAGCTCGGTGTGGTGACAGGTGCCTGTAGTCCCAGCTACGTAGGAGGCTGTGGCAGGAGGATCATTTGAGCCCAGAAGATCAAGACTGCAATGAGCTATGATTGTGCTGCCACTGCACTCCATCCTGGGTTACAGAACAAGACCCTGTCTCAAAAACAAAAATGAAGAAAGAAAGAATATCCCAGATAAATAAAATAGCTATTCTTAATTAGATTTTATAAGCTCGTACTTCTAATTTATCTCAATATATAACATTTTAAAAGTTAGAATCAGTCCTTGATTCTTTGAGTTCAATATTTTTATTCTCATTTTATTATTTATTTATTTATTTTGAGACAGAGTCTCACTCTGTCACCCAGGTTGGAGTGTAGTGGCACCATCTTGGCTCACTGCAACCTCCGCCTCCTGGGTTCAAGCTATTTGCCTGCGTCACCCTCCCGAGTAGCTGGGATTACAGGCGTGCATCGCCATGCCCAGCTAATTTTTGTATTTTTAGTAGTGACGGGGTTTCACCACATTGGCCGGGCTGGTCTCAAACTCCTAGCCTCATGTGATCCTCCCACCTTGGCCTCTCAAAAGTGCTGGGATTACAGGCATGAGCCACCGAGCCTGGTGTAGTCTCATTTTATCAATAAGGAAATAATCTTAGCCAATTTTTGCTAAGGTTTCATCTAGTGATTTAGTGACTGCAAAATAAATATAACTTTTTAAGACATTTTTGTTAGTAAATGTAAGAGCTGTAGTTTTACAAATCCTTTCTCTCCCCACTTAATTTGCCTAATTGTAGATAAAAGTGCTTCCTACTTTGTTTCATTATGTGTTTCCTTTTGTTTTTTTTTTTGAGATAGGGTCTCACTCTGTCACCCAGGCTGGTGTGCAGTGGCTCAATCACAGCTTACTGCAACCTTGACCTCTCGGGCCCAAGTGATCCTCCCACCTCAGCCTTACGAGTAGCTGACACCACAGGTGTTGCACCATGATGCCTGGCTAGTTTAAAAAACTTTTTTAGAGGCGTGGTTTCCCTTTGTTGCCCAAACTGGTCTCCAACTCCTGGACTCAAATGATCCTCCTACCTCAGCCTCCCAAATTGTTGGGATTACAGGCTTGAGCTACCATGCCTGGCCTTATTAAGTGTTTCTAGATCGGGCTAGTAACAGAGGCTAAAGATATTAAGAAACTTATCTGGGAGACACAGATAAATATGTTGACTAATGTATCTGTGATTAAGTACACATATAAATTAAATACAGATGACATGATGGGAAAAATAGATACTAGATATTATGGGGGCACATTGGAAAGAGGAAACTAACCTGGGAAAGATTTCTTCTTAGAGGTGAGATATAATCTGAGACTTGAAAGATGAGTAGGGATTAGCCAACTGAAGGAGAGGGCAAATATTCCAGGCAGAGGAAATAGTACATGTGAACGTCCAGAGATGAGTGTTTATTGTACAACTGGGGGAAACTGCAAGGGTTGCAGTATACTGTTGAGAGGGAGAGCTAGGAGTATTGAGAAAGTAAGATCAATATTCTAGCTATTAAGTTTTCTTACCATACTGTTTATTACGTTTGTGAACTTTTTTCCCTATTTTTTTATTGTGTTAAAATACATGTAACATAATGTTTATGATCTTAACAATTTTAAGTGGTATTAAATACATTCATAATGTTGTGCAACCATCACCATCATCCATCTCCATAACCTTTTCATTTTGTAAAACTGAAACTCTCAACTGGGCATGGTGGCTCACACCTGTAATCCCAGCACTTTGGGAGGCCAAGGTGGGTGGATCATCTGCGGTCAGGAGTTCCAGACCAGCCTGGGCAACATGGTGAAACCCCGTCTCTACTAAAAATACAAAAAATTAGCTGGGTGTGGTGGTGTGTGCCTGTAATCCCAACTACTCGGGAGACTGAGGCAGGAGAATTGCTTGAACCCGGGAGGTGGAGGATGCAGCGTCGCCCTCTAACCTGGGAACCTGGGCGACAGAGTGAGACTCCATCTCAAAACATAAAAAAGAAACTCTATACCCATTATACAATTACTCCTCTTTTCCCCTCCCCCCAGCGTCTAGCAACTACCATTCTACTATCTGTCTCTATGATTTAGACTACTCTAAATACCTCATTTAAATGAAATCATACAGTATTTGTCTTTTTATTATTGGCTTATTTCATTCAGCAAAATGTTCTCAAGATTCATCCATTTTTTTGTGGCAGCATATTGCAGATTTCCTTCAATTTTTTAAGGCGGAATAAGATTCCATTGTACGTATGTACTACATTTTACTTATCCATTCATCCCTCCATGGACACTCGTGTTGCTTCCTTGTTTTAGCTATTGTGAATAATGCTGCTATGAAAATGGGTATACACATATCTCTTTAAGACCCTGTTTTTAGTTGTTTTAGGTGTATACCCAGAAGTGGAATTGGTGGATAATATGGTAATTCTATTTTTAGTTTTTTGAGAAGCCACCATACTGTTTTCCACAACTGCTATACCATTTTACATTTCCACCAACAGTGGACAAGGGTTCCAGTTTCTCCACATCCTCTCCAACACTTGTCTTTTTTTTTTTTTTTATGGTGACTATCCTAATGACTATGAGTAGGTTCCTAAACACTTTTTTTCCTTGAGATGGAGCCTCGCTCTGTCATCAGGCTGGAGTGCAGTGGCGCGATCTCGGCTTACTGCAACCTCGGCCTCTGGGGGCGTGATCTCGGCTTATTGCAACCTCGGCCTCTGGGGTTCAAGCGATTCTCCTGACTCAGCCTCCCGAGTAGCTGGGACTACAGGCGCATGACGCCACGCCTCGCTAATTTTTGTATTTTTAGTAGAGACAGGGTTTCACCATGTTGGCCGGGATGGTCTCAATCTCTTGACATCATGATCCGCCCGCTTCGGCCTCCCAAAGTGCTGGGATTACAGGCATGAGCCACTGCGCCCACACTCCTAAACATTTTTAATCATTTTAAATTCATATTCTATAGTAATCATGAACCTATATTCCTTAATTTAAAACATCTACATGTAAACATCCAGTTAAAGTTTTGGGGCCAGGCGTGGTGGCTCACGCCTATAATCGCAGCATTTGGGAGGCCGTGGCGAGAGGATCACCTGAGGTCAGGAGTTCGAGAAAAATACAAAAATTATGCCAGGAGCAGTGGCTCACGCCTGTATTCCCAGCACTTTTGGAGGCTGAGGTGGGCAGATCACCTGAGGTCAGGAGCTTGAGACCAGCCTGGCCAACATGGTGAAACCCTGTCTCTATTTAAAATACAAAAAAATTAGCTGGGCACGTTTGTAATCCCAGCTACTCGAGAGGCTGAGGCAGAAGAATCGCTTGAACCCCAGAAGCGGAGGTTGCAGTGAACTGAGATGGCGCCCTTGCACTCCAGTGTGGACAACAGAGTAAGACTCTGACTCAAATTAAAACAAAAAACAAATAACGAAAATTAGCCAGGTATGGTGGTAGGGGCCTGTAATCTCAGCTACTTGGGAGGCTGAGGCAGGAGAATTGCTTGAACCTGGGAAGTGGAGGTTGCAGTGAGCTGAGATTGCACCACTGCACTCCAGCCTGGGTGACAGAGTGAGACTCTCTCAAAAAAAAAAGAAAAAAGTTTTGGATAAAATATAGGGAAATTCAACAGCTCCTGATTAAAACCATTATATATTGATTATTCTATACTTGTTATTGCTCTATTTGCTACAAGATACCATAAATAAGAGAGACATCTTTTAAAAATAAACCTAGCTGGGCATGGTGGCTCACGCCTATAATCCTAGCACTTTGGGAGGCTGAGGCAGGAGGATTGTTTTGATTTCTGGAGTTCAGGACCAGCTTTGGGCCACACAGTGAGACACTGTCTCTCTCTCTTTTTTTTTTTTTTTTTTTTTTGAGATGGGGTTACGCTCTTGTTGCCCAGTCTGGAGTGCAATGGCACAATCTTGGCTCACTGCAACCTCTGCCTTCCAGGTTCAAGCAATTCTCCAGCCTCAGCCTCCCGAGTAGCTGGGATTACAGGTGCCCACCACCACACCTGACTAATTTTTGTATTTTTAGTAGAGATGGGATTTCACCATGTTGGTCAAGCTGGCCTTGAACCTCTGACCTCAGGTGATCCACCCACCTCGGCTTCCCAGAGTGCTGGGATTACTGGCATGAGCCACTGCACCCAGCCCTGTCTCTCTTTTTTTTTAATATTAAAATATAAAAATTAAAAAAATACATACATAGGCTGGGCACGGTGACTCACGCCTGTAATCCTAGCACTTTGGGAGGCTGAGATGGGTGGATCACCTGAGGTCGAGAGTTCGAGAGCAGCCTGACCAACATAGAGAAACCCCATCTCTACTAAATATACAAAATTAGCTGGATGTGGTGGTGCATGCCTGTAATCCCAGCTACTTGGGAGGCTGAGGCAGGAGAATCGCTTGAACCCAGGAGGCAGAGGTTGCGGTGAGCCGAGATCACATCATTGCACTCCAGCCTGGGCAACAAGAGCGAAACGCCATCTCAAAAAAAAAAAAAAAACCCACCATATATAAACTAAAGAATTTATCTGAATATTCGTGCAATAACACCATCCCTGTCACTTACATGTACTACCATGACCTACTCTGATTGTTCTCAAAGAAAATAGAAGAATTGTGGTAAAGTGAATAATTCACCCCATTTCTTCACTTCTGCCTGTATCCACATGTTTGTCATGACTTCATGATGGGCAGAGTACATTTTTCTCCTCTTGATGTGCTTTGGTCAATGGCATGTGGGTAGAATTGACAGTGTGCAGCTTTGAACTTGGGCCTTTAAGAGACCTTGAATCTTTCTGCTTACTCTTATGTTTCCTCTAGCTCCATGAGAATATCTCATGGGTTCAAAGAGGATGAGAGACACCAGTAGCAAAGGTCCTACCAGGCATCCTCCAGAATTGCTGTGTGAAGCAAAGCCACCAAACTCAGCCTAGCCTAGAGTACCTGAACCGGGTCAATGTGCAGGTCCATGAAAATAAATGATCAGTTTTTAAGCCACTGAGTTTCTTGGTATCACGTGCCATAATTTTGAAGTATGCCTAGGCTCTCTTTTTTTTTTTTTTTTTTTTGAGACAAGGTCTCGTTCTGTCATGCAGGTTGGAGTGCAGTGATGTGATCACCACTCAATCCAGCCTGGACCTCCCGGGCTCAAGCCTATTTCAGCCTCCTGCGTAGCTGGGACTATAGGTGCATGCCACCACACTGGCTAGTTTTTGTATTTTTTGTAGAGATGAGGTTTCACCTTCACCATATTGGCTAGGCTGGTCTTGAACTCCTGGGCTCAAGTGATCTACCTGCCTCGGCCTCCCCAAGTGCTAGGATTACAGGCCTGAGCCACTGTGCACAGCCGCGGCTGTCATTTGAGTTACACAATTTATCTATTTATTTATTTATTTAGAGACAGAGTCTTGCTCTGTCGCCAGGCTGCAATGCAGTGGTGCGATCTCGGCTCATTGCAACCTCCGCTTCCCAGGTTCAAGCAATTCTCCTGCCTCAGCCTCCCTAGTAGCTGGGACTACAGGCGCACGCCACTATACCCAGCCAATTTTTGTATTTTTAGTAGAAACAAGGTTTCACCATGTTGGCCAGGATAGTCTCAATCTCTTGACCTCGTGATTCACCCACCTCAGCATCCCAGAGTGCTGGGGTTATAGGCATGCGCCACTGTGCCCAGCCGAATTACATAAATTATTTAAGGCTTGGAGCAGTGGCTCACACCTGTAATCCTAGCAGTTTGGGAGGCAGAGGCGGGAGGATCGCTTAAAGTCAGGAGTTCGAGACCAGCCTGGGCAACAAAACGAGACTCTGTCTCTACAAAGGAAAAAAAAAAAGTTAAGTAGTCTACTTTGACTGATAAAACTAGCCTTTTAGGCCAGGCGCGGTGGCTCATGCCTGTAATCCCAGCACTTTGGGATGCTGAGGCGGGTGGATCACAAGGTCAGGAGATTGAGGTCATCCTAGCTAATACGGTGAAACCCTGTCTCTACTAAAGAATACCAAAAAAAAAAAAAAAAATTAGGCGGGTGTGGTGGTGGGCACCTGTAGTCCCAGCTACTAGGGAGGCTGAGGCAGGAGAATGGCGTGAACCCGGGAGGCAGAGCTTGCAGTGAGCCGAGATTGCACCCCTACACACCAGCCTGGGCAACTGAGCAAGACTCCATCTCAAAAAAATAAAAAAATAAATAGTACAAATAAAACTAGCCTTTTAGAGGCAGGGGCTTATGTATATATCCTAGCAATTGTTCCATAAAAGCCTGCAGATTGGGCCGGGCGCAGTGGCTCACACCTGTAATCCCAGCACTTTGGGAGGCTGAGGCAGGCGGATCACCTGAGGTCAGGAGTTCGAGACCAGCCTGGCCAACATGGTGAAACCCCGTCTCTACTAAAAATACAAAAATTAGCCAGGCATGGTGGCAGGTGTCTGTAATCCCAGCTACTCGGGAGGCTGAGGCAGGAGAATCGCTTGAACCCAGGAGGCTTGAACCCAGTGAGCTGAGATCGTGCCATTGCACTTCAGCCTGGGGGACAAGAGCGAGACTTCATCTCAAAAAAAAAAAAAAGCTTGCAGATTGGGAACTGATGAACCTGAAGCCCTTGCTCACTTTTATCCCCTCTGGTTGCCAATTGCCTGAAATAACATGTCTGTGACCTGGTGTTAGGGCATGTTACTGCTTATCTGTTTTGGACAAGCATAGTCATGCATTTGTTCTGTTTGGAAGAGAGAATGGGTAATAGTCAATACTTTCTCCAGCAGAAAAAGGCAAAAACCAATTTTGATTGTGGAGACATGATATAAGTGGTCCTTAGCTTGCTGGGAACTTGAAATATTTCCCTTAAAACGTGTTTTAAAGGGTAGTTGGGTTCCCAGGTGGTTTGTTCTTTCAAATGAATGAATGTTTGTTCTTTCATCTATTCCCTTTTGTCACTGCACATTAGGCTGTATATTAAAAACTAAGGATACAAAAAAGCGATCTCTTGCCAGGAAGATGTTTGAAACCATGTGGCGACATTACCATGTAAACATAGATTAAAATATAATACAGTAGATGGTAAACCAAAGCCATGAACAAAGTAAAAGGAGAGTAGATAAAGGTGTTTCTAAATGTACATTGAAGAGAAGAAAATGTACAAAAAGTAGATTCTGGCCGGGTGCAGTGGCTGACACCTGTAATCCTAGCACTTTGGGAGGCCAAGGCGGGCAGATTACGTGAGCTCAGGATTTCGAGACTAGCCTGGGCAACATAGTGAGCACTCATCTCAAAAACAAAAAAAATTTAAAAATAAAAATAAAAGTAGGTTTTTTGATTATAGCCAAACTAGTTCCATTAAGATACTTAATTCTCCCTTAAAATGTTTCTATGGAAAATGCATTTCTTTTTTTTTTTTTTTTTTTTTTGAGACGGAGTCTTGCTCTGTTGCCCAGGCTGGAGTGCAGTGGCGCCATCTCGGCTCTCTGCAACCTCTGCCTCCCAGGTTTATGCCATTCTCCTGCTCCAGCCTCCCGAGTATCTGGAACTATAGGCATCCACCACCATGCCCAGCTAATTTTTTGAATTTTTAGTAGAGACGGGGTTTCACCGTGTTAGCCAGGATGGTCTCAATCTCCTGACCTCGTGCTCCGCCCGCCTCAGCCTCCCAAAGTGCTGGGATTACAGGCGTGAGCCACTGCGCCCAGCCGGAAAATGCATTTCTAAGCCTGTTTAGTAAGTCCAGAACACACCTGTCTACCAACTCTTCTCTATGCCTAGCCCACCATAGGTGAGACTGAAATACTTTTTTTCACTTTATGTAATTTAATGCTGTTGAGATAAGGTCTCTCATAAGAGGATGTGTTTAGAGCTTTAAGGGCACTGGTCCTTTGTAGGAGAGCATACGGTGGCAATGAGAATCTAGGGGTTGTTTGTAAAAAGCAAGTGTTTTAAAACTGAGGACCACACAGTATATTGTGACAACCGCAATATATTCTTTTCTCCTTGCTGCCTAATAGTTGAGTAGTATGGAATACCTTGTGCCACTTACTTAAAGCCTTAAACTGGTCATATTGAAAACTAGACTAGAACAGGCTGGGCGCGGTGGCTCATGCCTGTAATCCCAGCACTTCAGGAGGCCGAGGCGGGCAGATCACTTGAGCTCGGGAGGTCAAGACTAGTCTGGGCAAAATGGTGAAACCCCATCTCTACCAAAAATACAAAAAATTTACTAGGCGTTGTGGCGTGTGCCTGTAGTCCCAGCTAGTCGGGAGGCTGAGGCATGAGAATTGCTTGAGCCTGGAGGCAGAGGTTGCAGTGAGCTGAGATTGCGCCACTGCCCTCCAGCCTAGGCAACAGAGTGAGACGCTGTCTCAAAAAATAACAAACAAACAAAACAACTGGTTGAGCATCCCTAATCCAAAATTCCAAAATCTGAAATGCTCCAAAATCCAAAATTCATTGGACCATTTCAGATTTTGAATTTTCAGATTAGGGATGCTCAACCAGTAATTATTATGCAAATATTCCAAAATAGGAGGAAAAAATCAGAAATCTAACTGGCAGAATGTAACCTGGTTTCCCTTGGGGTGCTTTCATGATGATTTCCATAGACTTTTTTCACCTAATTTTGTATTTTATATACCACTTTTCAGATCAGTATAAAACTTTTCCCCTTTATTTTTATTACTGATTTTAGAGAAAACTGGTTTCTGAAATACGAATATCTTGGGCTTTACAAAAATCACTAGTTTTATTTTAAATATTCCATTGCCCCTAAAAAGTTAAACAATAACCTCACTGATTTCCAAGGCTTCCAGGAGGCTGATTTGTAACTGAAAGGGCTGTGAATGATGTTTATCAGAATCAAATTTGCGCGATTTATCAGACACTAATGAGTTTTAGATTATCATAATTGCTTAGTGAATTTCTGCCATCTAACTAAAAAAAATTCTGTTTATCACCAGATCCTAGAACCCTATCAATATTGTCTCTGCTGTGTAAATAGTTCTGAGTAGTGCAATATTGCTTATAGGGTTTTGGTGTTTGGAAAGAACAATGGGCAGGCTGCAGAAAGTATGTAGCAGAAACAAGCAAAAGTCATCTTTAGGAAGAAAACAAGGAACTAGATTTCACTATAAACATTAAAATCTGAGGCTTAAATGTAAATTTTTAATTTATTAGAAGAAGGTAACTTTTCTTTTTGACAAATGGGTTTATTTGTAGTATAAAGAAATAATGGAATTTTAGTATTGAAAAGGATCTTAGATTCCAACTCATTTGATAGGAGAGACCCAAAGAAATGAGGGACTTAACCTAGGGACACATAGCTGGTTAGTGATACTAGGACTAGAATTTCTACCATGTATCCGAATTCTTTTATTTTTCTGTACCATACTACCATGTTGTGTTCAGAGGGAATTTTTAGTTGACTAGCTTTGTAACTTTAGTGATATTAATTTAAAACATAAAAAAACTTTAATTTTAGGTGAAGAATGTACATTTTTGGATGGGTGTGGTGGCTGACACCTGTAGTTCCAGCACTTTGAGAGGCTAAGGCGGGAAGATTGTTTGAGCTCAGGAGTTCAAGTCCAGCCTGGGTAACATAGCGAGACCTTGTCTCTACAAAAAAATACAAAAATTAGCTGGGTTTGGTAGTGCACGTCTGTAGTCCCAGCTACTCAGGAGGCTTAGGCAGGAGAATCAAATCTCTTGAGTCCAGGAGGTTGAGGCTGCAGTGAGCTGTGATTTGTGCCACTGCACTCGCCTGGGCAACAAAGCAAGACCCTGTCTCAAAAAGAAAAAAAAGAATTTACATTTTTTCCACATGTGTGACTCTTAATGGCTTAAATATCATCTATAACTTTGTCTAACTACATAAGAAAACAGTAATGGAAATAGAACTAGAGGCAAGTTACTTTGCTATTTTCTCATTTATAAAATGAAGGGTTCAGAGCAGACATTTAAGATGATTTTTCGGCTGGGCGTGGTAGCTCACACCTGTAATCCCAGCATTTTTGGAGGCCGAGGAGGGCGGATCACAAGGTCAGGAGATCAAGACGAGCCTGGCCAACATGGTGAAACCCTGTCTGTACTAAAAATACAAAACTTAGCTGGGTATGGTGGTGCACGCCTATAGTCCCATCCGCTCGGGAGGATGAGGCAGGAGAATCGCTTGAACCCGGGAAGTGGAGGTTGCAGTCAGCCAAGATTGTGCCACTGCACTCCAGCCTGGCAACAGAGTGAGACTCCGTCTCAAACAAAAAAAAAAAAGCTTATTTTTCTATCTTTCAACATTTTGGCATCCTTTTTGCCCCCTGCTTATTCCCTAGCCCACTGACTTCACTAATAAGCCAGTACTGGCCAGGCACAGTGGTTCACACCTGTAATCCTAGTACTTTGGGAGGCCGAGGTGGGTGGATCACCTGAGGTCAGGAGTTCGAGACCAGCCTGCCCAACATGGTGATACCCCGTCTCTACTAAAAATACAAAAAATGAGCCAGGCATGGTGGCAGGCGCCTGTAATCCCAGCTACTTGGGAGGCTGAGGCAGGAGAATCTCTTGAACCTGGGAGGTAGAGGTTGCAGTGAGCCCCGAGATCGCGCCACTGCACTCCAGCCTGGGTGACAAGAGCGAAACTCGGTCTAAATAATAATAATAAGTCAGTACTGCCCCTGTGTGTTATTAGACGTTCTATACAATTTTCCACAGAGGATAACATTCTACCCACAAGCTGTTTTTTTTTTCTTCCTTCCTCCCTTCCTTTTGGAGATGGGGTCTCACTATATTGCCCAGGCTGGAGTGCAGTGACTAGTCACAGGAGAGATTATAATACACTGCAGCCTTGAACTCCTGGGCTCAAGCAATCCTCCTGCCTCAGCTCTTTAAGTAACTGGGACTACAAGTACACATCAAATCTAGCAGAAGCTGTTTTTCTTGTCTTTTTAAAAAAATATTTTAAAAATTATTTTATATTTTTTAAAAATATATTTTTTAAAATATAAAATTAAATATGCAATATAAAATTTTAAAATATATATTTAAAAATTATTTTATATATTTTAAAAATATATTTTTTAAATATATTTTTTCAGGATGGGTGTGGTAGAAAATATTTTTTTCAGCCACCGTGTCCGGCTAATTTATATAATTTAATTTGTAATGATGCCTATGTTTAATAATTGTCTTGCAAAAAATCTTGACAGTTTAGGCTGGGGGCAGTGGCCCAAGCCTGTAATCCCACCACTTTGGGAGGCCAAGCATGGCAGATCACTGGAGGTCAAGAGTTTGAGACCAGCCTGGGCAACATGGTGAAATCCCATTTTACTAAAATGAGTAAAAATTAGCTGGGTGTGGTGGCGGGTGCCTGTAATCCCAGCTACTTGGAGGCTGAGGCAGGAGAATTGCCTGAACCCGGGAGGTGGAGGGTGCAGTGAGCTGAGATTGCACCACTATACTATAGCCTGGATGACAGAGTGAGACTCCTTCTAAAAAAAAAAAAAAAAAAAAAAAAAGACAGTTTAGTTGATTTCATCATACCATTGATTAGAAGGGTACTCTTTGGTATCTTCCTAAAATAAAAGTTATTTAAAAGTAGAAACCGCCTCTTTTTGGTACCATTTGATGGTTAACACATTTTGGGCCCCTAGGTATTGCAGGAAACCATAGTGGAAACCTCTCTCTTAAAAAGATGCCAGGCTGGTGGCTCACACCTGTAATCCCAGCGCTTTGGGAGGCCGAGGCAGGCCGATCACTTGAGGTCAGGAGTTCGAGACCAGCCTGGCCAATATGGTGAAACCCCGTCTCTACTAAAAATACAAAAATTAGTCAGGCGTAATGGCATGTGCCTGTAGTCCCAGCTACTTGGGAGGCTGAAGTGGGAGGATCTGTTGAGCCTGGGAGGTTGGGGCTGTAGTGAGCCGAGTTGTTGCCACTGCACTCCTGCTTGTATGACAGAGTGAGACCCTGTCTCAAAAAAAATAAATGACAAAAATATATATATGAATATAGTCTACATTTGGGAGTTTTGTGTCCCCCAAACTCATCATGTTTTGTGACATATACGTTAGATTATTGTAAAAATCTTTCAAACCTTGGAGGTCTCAGTTGCCAAATTTAGGACAATTTAGGCCTGTAGTCCCAGCTCTCAGGAGGCTGAGGCAGGAGAATTGCTTGAACCCCGGAGGCAGAGGTTGCAGTGAGCCAAGACTGTGCCACTGCACTCTAGCCTGGGCAACAGAACAAGACTCCTCCAAAAAAAAAAAGGAAAGTTACCATTCAAGGAACTACATGAGATTATGCTAAACTTCAAGCAGAACTAAATATCAAGTTAAAAAATATGTAAGTTTAATACTTCGTTTCATAAACATGTTAAGGGTTTCTAGAATAGAGATTCTGTCTTAGGAATCTCTGGAGCCACAAATTCCATAATTTATGGTAAATTAAATGACTAAAACAAGCTTTAAAGACTTGTATTTAAAGTTGTGCTTAAGAATGTTATATAACTCATTGAAAAAAGCTATGGAATTGTGGTCTGTTCAGTAATTAAGACAAACAAAATCAGGTCTTGAGTGCTCACAGCCTTTGTTAACTTTGATTTGCTCTGGCTCCTGGTCTCTCCTCATTCTCTCCATCCACATGTTTTATGGGTTAGTGTACTTTTCTTATTTATAGGAAAAGATAATCCCTAAGTATATCTTAGTATGAGAAATTATGCAAATAGGAATTTCTTAATACACACACAGACACAAACATTAGTATTTTTAAGGAGTTGTAATTATTGATTAATTTAATCGTGGCATCTCATCTGACAAGTATAGAGGATAAATGAAAAGCTTCCACTTTTTGGAAATCATTTTAAACACACTTTGTAATTATGTACCCAACATTAATTTTTCTGGCTTAGAGCAACTCCCTGATGTTAGAGATGGAAATAAGATATTGACCTGGAAAATATGTTTAAAAACAAAAACCTTCTCTTTCTTTTATCTGTACCCTCCCCCCAAGTTTTGGCTATAAAGATAGAATTTTGGTCATTGCAGAGTTTTCCATTCCAATTTAGGTCAATGATAAGAGAAATTATTAGTGATGGAAACTAGTTTATTTCTGAAATTCTGTTTGATGACAGCTTCTGACCTTAGAAGCATTTGAATTTCTGACAGCCATTTTGTCTTACTCTACATTTGAAAGTAGGGTCCTAATAGAACCTTTTATATACTAAAAATAACTGTACATCATTTCTTATTAGACCTGAGAACTGCTTTTAACAGTTTTTCCCCTTCCACTAAGGCTTCAGGATTTTGAGAATCAATCTTTAGTTCAGTGATAAAGTTCATAATAAGAGCAGCACCCTCCCTGCAAACAGCCTCCTATGTTTTGGGATAGGAATAGGAGACCATGCCTGTGGAAATCATGTTTTCCTTTCTGTAGTAAACTCTAAGGACAGTTATATCCCTGATAAACTCGAGGCAATATATGCTTTAAGGTCCTGTAAAAGATGCGGAATTTCATGAAGTTAAGAATAATTCATTGATTATACCGCTTGCAGAAATAAACCACTTTTAGGCTGGACATGGTGGCTCACGTCTGTAATTCCAGCACTTCGGGAGGCTGAGGTGGGAGGACTGCTTCAGCCCAGCATGGGCAACATAATGAGATCCTGTCTCTGTAAAAAATCAAAAATTAGCTGGGTGCCATGGCATGTGCCTGTAGTCCCAGGTGCACTCGGAAGGAGGTAGGAGGATCCCACGAGCCCAGGAGTTTGACACTGCAGTGAGCTATGATGGTGCCACAACACTTCAGCCTGGGCTATAGAGCAAGACCCTGTCTCATAAAAAAGAAAAAGAAAATTCTTTTTAACACTGTCATATATCCATCTCAACTTTGTATATGTATACATCTCTTTTACAAAAAGAGGCCATAACATACTCAAGGCTGTTTTTGTATTTAATGAGTCATAAATATAGTGTCATGTCAAATCTGTCTATACATTATCATTTTAAAAACAAATGACCTTTTGAAAGGTTAAATAGCTGCTCATTACAAATACTACAGAAATAGAGTAAAATGTGAAAGCCCCCCCTTAAGTATTTTTTTGTATATCATCGTTTTCAATAATGGCATGGTATTCCAAATATTGATATTTACTTATTTACTTATTTATGAGATAGAGTCTTGCTCTGTTACCCAGGCAGGAGTGCAGTGGCCAATCTTGGCTCACTGCAACTTCCGCTTCCTCGGTTCAACTGATTCTAGTGCCTCAGCTACCCAAATAGCTGGGACCACAGGCACATGCCACTATCCCCAGCTAATTTTAGTATTTTTAGTAGAGATGGGGTTTTGCCATGTTGGCCAGGCTAGCCTTGAATTCCCGGGCTGAAGTGACCCGCCCGCCTCAGCCTCCCAAAGTGCTGGGATTACAGGGATGAGCCACTGTGCCTGGCCCCAAATACTTATTTTTTTTTTTGTGGAGACGGAGTTTCATTCTTGTCGCCCAGGCTGGAGTGCAATGGTGCAATCTTGGCTTACTGCAGCCTCCACCTCCGGGGTTCAAGCGATTCTCCTGCCTCAGCCTCCCGAGTAAGTGGGATTACAGGCTTCTGCCACCATGCACAGCTAATTTTTGTATTTTTGGTAGAGATGAGGTTTCACCATGTTAGCCAGGCTGGTCTCAAACTCCTGACCTCAGGTGATCCACCTGCCTTGGCCTCCCAAAGTGCTGGGATTACAGGTGTGAACCACTGTGCCCGGCCAATACTGATATTTTTAAATGTAACTTTTCACTTTAATTCAGGCATCCTATATCCATAATGGCCTCAGGGTGGTAGTTCTCCCCTTTTTTCTTCCTTTGAGGTTTACTACAGATCAAGTTCCCATGCTGGCACCCAGGTTCAGTAAATTGGGGTTATTCAGACTGTTACTCCCATATCATATGTAGCTTTTCTTGTGAAATTTGTGACTCTTTAAGCCCTCTTAATTTTAGTGGCACATAGTTGTAGCTCTTTGATCAATGGGATTGCAAATAAAGGTAACAATATGAGTATTCCTGAAATAAATTTGTTCTGTGTTTTAAATTGAAAGTGTATTTTCTGCCAGAGGTAGAAAAACACTGCCTAACTGATGAGAGTATCTGTGACCCTAGGAAATTATTGACGTCATTATTAGTTTTTTGTATTAATATCTGACAATGGCTACTCAGTATCTTGATTTTGGCTCAAAATGTAAGAGAGAGGCATAGAGAAATGAATGACTTTAAAATGTTAACTACTTTTTAAATTTTTCATAGAGCATAGTTATTATGGATAATGGATATTTTATATACTTTTTATTTCCACATTTTCAAATGAGTATGTATCACTTATTGAAATACTAACAAATGTAAAGAGAAAAAAAGAATAAAGTATCATGTTTACTATTAGTCTTTTGGTTTACACAATAATGATTTGTGCTGATCTTTAGTTCCAGAAAGCTGAGTCTGATCTGGATTACATTCAATACAGGCTGGAATATGAAATCAAGACTAATCATCCTGATTCAGCAAGTGAGGTAATCTCCGAAATAAATAAGCTTAAAAAAAATCAGCCTTAACTGAATACTTTAGAATTTTCTGATAGCATTCCTAATAGTAATAGATCATAAGAATTATATTATTAAGTTTATAGAATCTTAAAATCTTGCATTGTGTTGGAAGTTTGGTTATAGCACACTGGAGAAATAGTACCAATAGTCCGTGAAATTTGTGGCTACTTTTTTTCCCCTAACCTTTAAAAAATAATCATTGAGTTCAGAGGTACAAGCCACTGTGGCAGCCTCTGAAATTCCAAGAGAGAATATAGCTACCTCTAGGGCAGTTGTTCTTCAGTAAGTTTGAGGGGAGAAGTCCTGGCAGTCAGCATATTCTCTGAGGAAGGTAATGATACACTATTAGATTTTTTACTTATATTTTATGAATAGTGATTTCTAGATAAAGCTATCTATTTAATTACTCTAAGTTTAGGTTGATTAGAAACATTAACTCTGCTTTATGTCATAAAATCATTAAGTGTAAGTATACATACATGTTCATGGGGGTGAAAGTAAATAATCTCCAAGCATCGTCTGTTAACATTAACACTAAAATCACTAATTCAATAATGTTTATCTTTTTTTCCCCAAAGCCCAGGTATCAGGCTTAATTAATATTTATCTTTTTTTTTTTTTGAGACGGATCACTCTGTCGTCCAGGCTGGAGTGCAGTGGTGCAATCTCAGCTCACCATAACCTCCACTTCCTGGGTTCAAGCGATTCTCTTGCCTCAGTCTCCCAAGTAGCTGGGATTACAGGCGTGCGCCACAATGCCCAGCTAATTTTTTTTTTTTTTTTTTTTTTTGTATTTTTAGTAGAGACGGAGTTTCACTATGTTGGCCAGGCTGGTCTTGAGCTCCTGACCTCAAGTGATCTGCCTACCTCAGCCTCTCAAGGTGTTGGGATTACAGGCATGAGCCACCACGTGCGACCAATATTTGTCTTTGATAGCACTTACCAGCAGACAAGAAACAGTGCATTTTACAGTTAAAAAAAAATTCCATACAATTAAAAAAATTTTTTTTTGGATTGGGTAGAAGTATAAGTTAAACTAACATTTTATAGAAAATTGGGAAAATTTCACGAATGTTCAGTTTTTACTGTTTATTTCATGGAATGCTAGAATTCTATGGGAGTGTAGTTTGTACTGTTCTAGCTCCCTATTCTTTTCTTTCTTTCCTTTCTCTTTTTTCTTCCCTTTTTTCTTTCTCTCTCTCCCCCCCGCCTCTTTCTCTCTTCCTCCCTCCCTCTCTTTTTCTCTCTTCCTTCCCTTCCCCTTACCCTCCCTTCCTCCCTTCCTTCCTTCCCTCCTTCCCTCTTTCTCTCCTTCCTTCCTTCCTTCCCTCCCTCCCTCCCTCCCTCTTTTCCTTCCTCCCATCCTTCTTCTCCCTCCCTTTCCTCCCTTCCCTTCCTTTCCCTTCCTTCTGTTATCCAGGCTGGAGTTCAGGGGTGTGATCTTGGGTCACTGCAGCCTCCACCTCCCAGGTTCAAGGGATTCTCCCGCCTCAGCCTCCCGAGTAGCTGGGATTACAGGCGCAGGCTACCATGCTCGGCTAATTTTTGTATTTTTTAGTAGAGATGGGGTTTCACCATGTTAGGCTGGTCTCAAACTCCTGACCTCAAGTGATCCACCCGCCTCAGCCTCCTAAAGTGCTGGGATTAGTCGTGAGCCACCACACCTGGCCCTTTCCTTCCTTTTCTTCCTTTCTTTCCTCACTTCCCTTCCATTCCTTCATTCCTTCTCTTTCCTTCCCCTGCCTTCCCTTCCTTCCTTTCTTTCTTTTGTCTTAAAGATTCCTGTGATATTTCTTCTCAGCCTTTTGGCTAAGATCAAGTGTAGTATCTGTTTTTATCAGTTTAAAGACCGTGTGTGTGTGTGTGTGTGTGTGTGTGTGTGTGTGTGTATGTGTGTTTAAGATAGGGTCTCACTCTGTCACCCAGGCTGGAGTGCGGTAACAAAATCTCAGCTCACTTCAGCCTTGACTTCCTGGGCTCAAGCAATCCTCCCACCTCAGTCCGCCAAGTGCCTGGAACTATAGGCACACACCACCACACCCAGCTAATTTTTGTATTTTTAGTGGAGATGGGATTTTAACATGTTGCCTAGGTTGGTTTTGAACTCCTGGACTCAAGCGATCTACCTGCCTTGGCCTCCCAAAGTGCTGGGATTATAGGCGTGCGCCACCACGCCTGACCTAGTCAGTATCTTTCAAGTACTGTTTTGAAAGACATTGACGTGTAGTGCTCCCATTTTTCCTCTGACTTCCATCTCTCATCTTTGTTCCACCTGTGGGTATTTTTTTTCCTGCAACTTTTTAAAAAAGCAGCTTTATTGAGCTATAATTCATATACCATTAAATTCACCCCTTTAAAGTATATAATTAAGTGGCTTTTAGTATTCATGGTTTTGTAGCCATTGCCACAATAACATTTTCATCACCTCAGAAAGAAACCCCATACCCATGAGTAGCTACTCCCTACCACCCTTCCCTGCTATCCTGCAAGCTCCCAAAGACGAATCTACTTTCTGTCTCCACAGATTTGTTGTCTGAACATTTCAGATAAATAGAATCATATAATATATGACCTTTCATGTCTAACTTTTTCACTTAGGATGTTTCTTTTTTTTTTTTTTTTGAGACCGAGTCTCGCTCTGTCACCCAGGCTGGAGTGAAGTGGCACTATCTCTGCTCCCTGCAACCTCCGCCTTCCGAGTTCAAGCAACTCTCCTGCCTCAACTTCCTGAGTAGCTGGGACTACTGGTGTGTGCCACCACATCTGGCTAATTTTTGTATTTTTTAGTAGAGACAGGGTTTTGCCATGTTGGCCAGGCTGGTCTTGAACTCCTGACGTCAGGTGATCCACCCTCCTCGGCCTCCCAAAGTGCTGGGATTGCAGGCATGAGCCACTGCACCTGGCCCACTTAGGATGTTTCTAAGTTTCATCCATGTTGTAGCGTCAATCAGTACTTCATTTGCTTTTACTGCTGAGTAATACTCCACTGTATGGCTATACTCCATCTTCTTTTCTCTCTCTTTTTTTTTTTCTGAGATGGAGTCTTGCTCTGTCCCCTAGGCTGGAGTGCAGTGGTGCAATCTCAGCTCACTGCAACCTCCGCCTCCTGGGTTCAAGCGATTCTCCTGCCTCAGCCTCCTGAGTAGCTAGGAGTACAGGTGCGTGCCACCACACCAGCTGATTTTTGTATTTTCAGTAGAGACAGGGTTTCACCATGTTGGCCAGGCTGGTCTCAAACTCCTGACCTCATGATCCACCCACCTCGGCCTCCCAAAGTGCTGGGATTACAGGTGTGAGCCACCGTGCCCGGCCCATACTCCATTTTCTTATCCAGTCATCAGTTGATGGTGGTCATTTGTGTTGTTTCCACCTTTTGGCTGCTATGAACATACATTTACAAGTTGTTGTGTGGACATGTGTTTTCATTTCTCTCGAGTATATACCTTGGAGTAGAATTGCTGGCCATATGATAACTCAGGTTTAATATTTTAAGGAACTACCAAACTGTTTTCCAAGGCATCTAAAGCATTTTACATTCTCAGTTTAAAAAAAAAAATTGTGGGCTGGGTGTGGTGGCTCATGCCTGTAATCCCAGCACTTTGGGAAACTGAGGCAGGCTGATCATCTGATGTCAGGAGTTTAAGACCAGCCTGGCTAACATGATGAAACCCGTCTCTACTAAAAATACAAAATTAGCCGGGCGTGGTGGCACGAGCCTGTAACCCCAGCTACTTGGGAGGCTGAGATAGGAGAATTGCTTGAACCCAGGAGGTGAAGGTTGCAGTGAGTCCAGATTGCGCCATTGAACTCCAGCCTGGGCGACAGATCAAGACTGTCTCAAAAGAAAAGAAAAGAAAAGAAATTGTAGTAAAATGTAAATAACAACATTTACCATTTTAATATGGTCCAGGCTGAACTCCAATTCCTAGGTTTATCCTCTGGCCTCAATATCCTTAGCAGCTGGGATTACAGGCACGTGTCCTTATACCTGATAGCCATCTTAATCTTTTTTAAGTGAACAGTTCACTGGCATTAACTACATTCACATTATTGTACAATATCACCATCATCAATCTCCAGAAGGTTTTCATCTCCCCACATTGTAACTGTATATCCATTAAACAATAACTCCACGTTCCTTTCTTCCACTCCTAGCAGCCACCATTCTACTTTCTGTCTCTATCAATTTGACTACTCTAGGGACTCATATAAGTAGAATCATATAATATTTGTCTTTTTGTGACTCATGTATGTCACTTATAATGTTCTCAAGATTCATATATAGTGTAGCAGTGTCAGTTTCCTTTCTTTTTAAGGTGGAATAATATTCCATTGAATGTATGTACCACATTTTGTTTATCGATTCATCTGTTAATGGACATTTGGTTTGCTTTCACCTTTTGGCTACTGTGAATAATGCTACTATGAACACTGGTATGCAAGTATCTGTTTGAGTACCTGCTTTCAACTTTCGGGTTTATACCCAGAAGTGCAATTGCTGGATCACATGGTAATTCTGTGTTTCAATTTTTGAGGAAATATGACTTTTTAACTCCTGTAATATTCAATAACTTCAAGAAAATCTCTGCTTTCTCCCTTTTTCGTGTGTTATAGTTGAGAATAAAGCCATGATTTTAATCTTTGTAGATTTGTCCAACATCAGTCTTAATGATTTATATACATGTAAAGGAACAGGAAAGAAAGTAAACAACTAGTTGCAGTAGCCTCTAATACCTCTGTCTGGCGGCAGGGTGGTTATAGTAGTAGTAAATATTTATTGAACATTACTATGTGCCAGCCACTGTGGTGTGTGTGTATGTGTGTGTTTGTATACTCACACCCACATCCATACATATAATTTGGTTTAGCTGCATTATCCTCATTCTAGTACCCCTCGTGATTTGGAGGCAGTCAGTAATTCTGCATAAAAGTCAACATTTTTGGCTAGGATTTGTTTATTTACAGAGAGCTAACAAGAAACTATAAGTTTCTATTACTATATTCTTCAACTTTATTTGTTCCAGAAACATAATTTTATTTATTTATTTATTTATTTATTTATTCATTTATTTATTTTGAGACGGAGTCTCGCTCTGTCGCCCAGGCTGGAGTGCAGTGGCGCGATCTCGGCTCACTGCAAGCTCCGCCTCCCGGGTTCACGCCATTCTCCTGCCTCAGCCTCCCGAGTAGCTGGGACTACAGGCACCCGCCACCAAGCCCGGCTAATTTTTTGTATTTTTAGTAGAGGCGGGGTTTCACTGTGTTAGCCAGGATGGTCTCGATCTCCTGACCTCGTGATCCGCCCTCCTCTGCCTCCCAAAGTGCTGGGATTACAGGCGTGAGCCACCACGCCCGGCAGAGAAACATAATTTTATTTTATGAACATTTTCCCTATAGATTCTTTTAAGCTTAGTAGTATAATTCATTTCCTTTTGTTTCTTTCAAAAGACTTAATTGAACTGAGCTTTTTGTTCATATATTGGCTTTTCTTTTCTCCCATCACCAGCACTATCATTAGCAGAGTATTTTTATGTATTTTTGTAATCATTTTTTTTTTTTTTTTGGAGACGGAGTCTCACCCTGTCGCCCAGGCTGGAATGCAATGGCATGATCTCGGCTCACTGGGTTCAAGTGATTCTCCTGCCTCACCCTCCCGAGTAGCTGGGATTACAGGTACCCGCTACTATCCTGGCTAATTTTTGTATTTTTATTAGAGACGGGGTTTCACCATGTTGGTCAGGCTGGTCTTGAACTCCTGACCTCAGGTGATCCACCAGTCTTGGCCTCCCAAAGCTGAGATTACAGGCGTGAGCCACCTCGCTCAGCCATTCTTGTAACCTTTTATCATCCACTCATGATAACTAAAACCCTAAAATGAATTGAAGTATTATAGGCACAAAATTAACTAAAGTGCAGCACAGTTTACAAACACTAATAAAAGAATCGTAGAGGCTCCTGGCCGGGCGCGGTGGCTCATACCTGTAATCCCAGCACTTTGGGAGGCCAAGGCGGGTGGATCACCTGAGGGCCAGGAGTTCAAGACCAGCCTGACCAACATGGAGAAACCCCATCTCTACTAAAAAAAAAAAAAAAAAAAAAATACAAAATTAGCCAGGCGTAGTGGCGCATGCCTGTAATCCCAGCTACTTGAGAGGCTGAGGCAGGAGAATTGCTTGAACCTGGGAGGCGAAAGTTGCGGTGAGCTGAGATCCCGCCATTGCACTCCAGCCTGGGAAACAAGAGCGAAACTCCATCTCAAAAAAAAAAAAAAAAGAATGTAGTGGTTCCCAACAGCCAGTTACTCAAATAAAACAGGCTATGCGCACAACAGTTTTTCCTTTGTGGTATGGTGCTAAGTCCTAACCACAGTCCTAACCTGTCATAAACAGGCCATAAATGCAAATCATGTTGTCCTAAATTACTCACTGCCATGTCAGTCTTATTGATCGAGCTAATGTCATAAAAACATGTATTATGGGTAGCTGCCCAACTACCCTGTCCTCTCTTTTAGCTCTATGGCCATTTATTTCTTATGCTTTATATACCAACTTTCCTTTCCTAGTTTTGTGAGATCCTCAAGGATTAGTTCTTGTCACTTTTATTTTTTCCTGTATGAATCTGTATTTGGGGAACTCATCATTCTCCTGAGTTATATTAATACATGCAGATCTCTGGGTATTTCACTACTGAGCTACATTCCAGTTACCTAAAGATCATTTATAATTAAGTTACATAATTTATTATCACCTCATGAGGAAGATGACTTCTTCCCTCCTACCAATTTCCCTCCCAATGTTAAACTTTTTTTTTTTTCCCCAGACAGAGTCTCACTCTGTTGTCCAGACTGGAGTGCAGTGGCATGATCATGGCTCACTGCAGCTTTGACCTCCTGGGCTCAGGTGATCCTCCCACCTCAGTCTCCTGCGTAGGTGGAAATACAGGTGTGTGCCACCACACCTGGTTCTAATTTTTTGTATTTTAGTAAGGATGGGGTTTTGCCATGTTTACTAGGCTGGTCTTGCCTGGGCTCAAGTGATCCTCCTGTCTCAGCCTCCCAAAGTGTTGGGATTATAGATGTGAGTCACCACCCCGGCCTAAACTTTTATTTTTGTCAAATTCTTGAATATATTTGAAGAGTTGCAGAAATATAAAGCTTATAATTACAAAGAATAATGCTTCACACTCCCACCCTCAAGAAGGATACCACTCATCTCAGTGTCTTATGGTATTTCCTTTATATTTCTAAATAGTTTTCCTTGTACTGCATCTTTATTTTTCCTGATCTGAAACATCTACTAATTTCCTGGATACGAACTGTTATACTTCACATCCTGGCTCTGCCTCTTATTAGCACTGTGATTTTAGCCAAGTCAGTTAACCTTTCTGTACTTTAATTTCCTCATCTGTAAAATGGGAATATTACTATGTACCTCAGAGATTGAGAGAAAATAAAATTAGTTAACATATATAACTGTTTAGTCCAGAGTAAGTGCTATACATTAGCTGTTATCATTAATAATAATTTCCTACTATAGGCCTGATGTAGTAGCTCACACTTGTAGTCCCAGCTACTTGGGATGCTGAGGTGGGAGGATCACTTGAGCCCAGTAGTTCAAGTGAGCTATGATTGCACCACTGCACTCCAGCCTAGGTGACAGAGTAAGATTCTAACTTTTTTTTTTTTTTTTCCTGAGACAGAGTCTTGCTCTGTTGCCCAGGCTGGAGTGCAGTGACATGATCTTGGCTCACTGCAACCTCCGCCTCCCAGGTTCAAGCGATTCTCCTGCCTCAGCCTCCTGAGTAGCTGGGATTACAGGCACATGCCACCCTGCCCAGCTAATTTTTGTATTTTTAGTAGATTCAGGGCTTCACCGTGTTGGCCAGGCTGGTCTCACACTCCTGACCTCATGATCCACCCGCTTCAGCTTCCCAAAGTGCTGGGATTACAGGCATTAGCCATCACACCCAGCCAATTCTAACTCTTAAAAAAAAAAAAAAAAAAAAAAGAATTTTGTACTATGGAAGATAAAGTTTAAATACTTTACTACCCATATTTATTCCTGTCTTCACAATTTCTGTAACTCTTTTATATAAGCCCTATTGAATACTGTGTCTGCTTTCCTTTCTTCACAACTTATTTTTCTAGAGCTAATAATTGTTTTCTTTTTTTTCCTTCCATTTGCTTAGTTTTTCTTTTCTTTTCTTTTCTTTTTTTTTTTTTTTTTTGAGACAAGGTTTTGCTCTGCCGCCCAGGCTGGAGTGCAGGAGTTTGAGACCAGCCTGGCCAACATAGGGAAGCCCCATCTCTACAAAAAATAATTTAAAGGTTGGGCGCAGTGGTTCACGCCTGTAATCCCAGCGCTTTGGGAGGCCGAGGTAGGCAGATCACCTGAGGTCAGGAGTTCTAGACCAGCCTGGCCAACATGGCGAAACCTCATCTCTACTAAAACTACAAAAATTAGCTGGGTGTGGTGGCACACACCTGTAGTCCCAGCTACTCTGTGACCATGGCTTACGGCAGTATCTGCCTCCCAGGCCCAAGTGATCCTCCCTGCTTAGCCGCCCGAGTAGCTAGCACCATAGGCATGTGCCAGCACACCTGGCTAATTTAAAAAATAATAATAGTTATTATTTTTTGAGATGGAGTCTTGCTCTGTCGCCCAGGCTGGAGTGCAGTGGTACCATCTTGGTTCACTGCAACCTCTGCCTCCCAGGCTCAAGTGATCCTCCCACCTCAGCCTCCTGAGTAGCTGGGACTACAGGCGTGTGCTACCACGCCCGGCTAATTTTTGTATTATTAGTAGAGATGAGGTTTCGCCATGTTGGCCATGCTGTTCTGGAACTCCTGACCTCAAGTGATCTGCCCCTCTTGGTCTCCCAAAGTGCTGGGACTTGCAGGCGTGAGTCACTGCACCCAGCCTTTGAATTATTTTTTGTAGAGATGAGGTTTCACGCTATGTTGCCCAGGCTGGTACTGAACTCCTGACCTCAAGCGATCCTCCCGCCTTGGCATCCCAAAGTGCTAGAATTACAAGCATGAGCCACCATGGCCCAGCCTGCTTAGTTTTTCTATATACTTTTCACTAATTCAGCCTCAGACATTTCTAACAACTGTAAAACTCTTCTCAATATTGTCAGACACACTACATGTTCTTTAAGTTTTATTTTCTCCCATGGAAACATCCTATCCTTTCTGGTGTCTCTATCCTGCTCCCATCTGACCTCCTGCTCTATAGGCTTCTTGAATTGCTGTCTTTCTGGGATTTTTTTTTTTTTTCAGATGGAGTCGCACTCTGTGGTTAGGCTGGAGTGCAGTGGCGTGATCTTGGATCACTACAACCTCTGCCTCCCAGGTTCAAGCAATTCTCCCACCTCAGCCTCCCGAGTAGCTGGGACTACAGGCGCATGCCGACACGCCTGGCTAATTTTTTTTTTTTTTTTTTTTTTTTTTTTTGTATTTTCGTAGAGACGGTGTTTCACCATGTTGGCCAGGCTGGTCTCGAACTCCTGAGTTCAGGCAATCCGCCCGCCTCGGCCTCCCAAAGTGCTGGGATTACAGGCGTGAGCCACCGCGCCCGACCTTTTTTTTTTTTTGAGAGGGAGTTTTGCTCTTGTCACCCAGGCTGGAATGCAATGGTGCCATCTTGGCTCACTGCCACCTCTGCCTCCCAGGCTCAAGTGATTCTCCTGCCTCAGCCTACTGAGGCAAGGACTACAGGCGCCCACCACAATGCCCGGCTAATTTTTGTATTTTTAGTAGAGACGGGGTTTCGCTATGTTGGCCAGGCTGGTCTCGAACTCCTGACCTCAGGTGATCCACCCGTCTCGGCTTCCCAAAGTGTTGAGATTACAGTCATGAGCCACTGCGCCCGGCATTTCTGGGATTTCTTTACCATTATTTTGGTACTTCCCTTTGTTTTATTCCTGTGTTGTATCATATGTTTCACTCTTTGGTGGTTTATTTCTTTGATCTGGAAGTATATCATTTAGACGCTTCCTGAGGAAGATTACACAGAAAGTTAACTTTTTGAGATGCTGAATGTTTGAAAAAGTCTTTATTGTACCCTTTAACCCTTTTTCTTTTTTTTTTTTTTTTGAGACGGAGTCTCCCTCAGTCGCCCAGGCTGGAGTGCAGTGGCACGATCTCGGCTCACAGCAACCTCTGCCTCCCGGGTTCAAGCGATTCTCCTGCCTCAGCCTCTTGAGTAGCTGGGACTACAGGTGCCCGCCACAATGCCCAGCTAATTTTTTGTATTTTTCGTAGAGACGGGGTTTCACCGTGTTAGCCAGGATGGTCTCGATTTCCTGACCTCATGATCTGCCCGCCTCGGCCTCCCAAAGTGCTGGGATTACAGGCGTGAGCCACTGCGCCCGGCCTAACCCTTTGTTTGATGAGTGGTTTGGTTGAATATAGGATTCTAGATTGGAGATTTTCTCTTAATTTTAACATCATTACTTCGTGGTTTTCTAGCTTCTATTGTTGCTGTTGAAAAATGGATGCCATTCTCATTCCTGATCCTTTGTCTGTGCTTTCCTCCTCAGCCTACCCCAGTCCCTTACCTATCACCTGGAAGTTTCAGAATATTTTTTCTATCCTGCGAAAATTTACAGTTATGGTATAGATCTTTTTATTAATTGTGCTGTCACTTGGTGGGGCCTGAAAATATATGAATCTTACCTAATCATAAAAAAAGAAATCTGGCAGGATACAGTGGCTCACACCTGTAATTCTAGCACTTTGGGAGGCTGATGCAGGAGGATCACTTGAGGCCAGGAGTTTAAGACCAGCCTGGGCAACACAGTGAGATTCCTGTATCTATTTAAAAAAAAAATTAAAGAAAAGAATTACCAAGTGGCAGAAGGGGTCCAATTGAAATGTCTTTTATGGAATAGTGGTAATGTATATTACAAAATAAATCTGGAAAACCAGCATAGTTTATAAATACAGTTGGGTTGGCATGAATTTTATATTTTGTGTGTATATAAGTAAATTGATATTTATACATACTTTATCCCCATGATAGTATGTTTACGAATTTTGGCCGGGCGCAGTGGCTCACACCTGTAATCCCAGCACTTTGGGAGGTTGAGGCGGGCGGATCACAAGGTCAGGAGATTGAGACCATCCTTGCTAACACGGTGAAACCCCTTCTCTACTAAAAATACAAAAAATTAGCTGGGCGTGGTGGCGGGCGCCTGTAGTCCCAGCTACTCCGGAGGCTGAGGCAGGAGAATGGCATGAACCTGGGAGGTGAAGCTTGCAGTGAGCTGAGATTGCGCCACTGCACTCCAGCCTGGGCAACAGAGTGAGACTCCATCTCAAAAAAAAAAAAAAGATTTTTATAAGTAGTTTCAAGTTCTTATTCTTTAAGAACAAATACTAATAGTGCCTTTTATCTTCTTCTGAATAGCATTTAGAATTGTATTTTAGAAATATTGTATAATTTATTATTGTGAACTATCCATCAAATGTTATATATCTAAGGTGACCCTTATTTGCTGTTTAATATTGCTAATTTTTTTGGTGGGTTATTTCTGTACCTAGGCTATAAATTCCTTGAGAATAGGATCTAGGTCTTATACTTTTCTCTCTTCCCCACCTCCCATCTGATGTCATGTGGCTGCATAATTAAATACTCAACAGTGTTCAATTAAATGGATGGTAGAATGTGTTGTATGTATACAGTATTTTAATTCTTAAAAAGTTTAATCTTTCATAATTTAATACATGTTCACTTTTTTCCTGACATAGAAAAATCCAGTTACACTCTTAAAGGAATTGTCAGTGATAAAGTCTCGATATCAAACTTTGTATGCCCGCTTTAAACCAGTTGCTGTTGAGCAGAAAGAGAGTAAGAGCCGCATTTGTGCTACTGTGAAAAAGACTATGAATATGATACAAAAACTACAGAAGCAAACAGACCTGGAGGTAATGCTTTCAGTTGACAGGTTAGATTTGTTTAGCTTTAGCTCTGAGTGTTGCTTTGAAAAATAAACCTGATGTAACTTAAATTTTGAAACTCAGCAGTCAGTTTGAACTATTGAAAGATTTTCCTGATACCCTGAAGTATAATAGCTCTTATTTCTGTTTATTTAAAAATAAGCATTTGGACTTGACATGGTTAATAAAGAATTGTGCTGTCTTGAATTATGTAACCATGGCAGAAAACTTGGTAATACTTATAAAATCTAGCAGCTTAGCTGGTTCCTGTAAGTACTAGTGAGACTGAGATGTCTAGAAAAGGGTGGCTTAGAGTGCTGTATCAAGGAGCTGTGTCTGGACATGGCAGAAAATAGCGTAGTCTGCCACGAGCATGGGAAGGAGGAAGGGCTGCATATGTGATATTTATTTGCCAACTCTACACTAAATTTTGGCTTAAGATACTTTGAATTATGGGCTTGTAGCTAGAGTAAATCAGAAAGGTTAATTACCCAGGTCAGTTTGATCAAGAATACTTTATATTGCAAATGGAGGGGAAAAAATAGAATAATATCTGCTTAGAACGATAAAATGATACCTTAGATGTATCTGTTATATCACAAGGAGATGAATGATGGAGGAAGGAAGGGCAATTGAACAGGGAATAGAGGTAATGGGGAGACAGAATTTAAAACAGGGTTGTGTCACATGCTAGTAAATTAAATGCAAAAAAAAGTATGTATATGATAAGCTTTTATAAATCATCTCAAATCACACATTCTTCATTATATGTGCCTGACAATAGAGCACATAACCTTGTTCTTGGAAAACAAATAGCTGATTAAGTATAGTTCCAGATGTACATGACAACATATCTGTATAGAACCATAAATTTATTGAAGCACAGAATAAACTTGGGTGAGAGGGCAAAGGGAAAAATGGTATTTTGAATATTTACAAATTTCCCCCACTGGATATAATAAATTGATGGTATATTTTTGAGACTACAAATTGGTACATAAAAGTAGTTATATAGTAATAGAGGATTTTTTTTCTTTTTTGAGATGGAGTTTCACTCTTGCTGCCCAGGCTGGAGTGCAATGGCACCATCTCGGCTCACTGCAACCTCCACCTCCTGGGTTCAAGTGATTCTCCTGCCTCAGCCTCCGGAATAGCTGGGATTACAAGCGCCTGCCACAATGCCCAGCTAATTTTTTGTGGTTTTAGTAGACACAGGGTTTCACCATGTTGGCCAGGGTGGTCTCGAACTCCTGACCTCAGATGATGAATCTGCCTCAGCCTCCCAAAGTGCTGGGATTACAGGCGTGAGCCACCATGTCCAGCCAGTGATAAGAGGATTTCAGTCATCTGAGTATCTGTAAAGGTCTTCAGTTGAAGAAATACCTGAAATGAACAATACTTATGTCAAAGGCTGAAAACTAAGGGAGCTTTTACTTTGGATCAAGTTATGGCAAACAAGAAGAATGATTTAAAAGTTATAAAACTTGAAAGAGGTGGTCATATTTTAGAATCAATGATGACCAAATTGGGAAATGTTGGATATAGTGAGTCTTGTACCTACTGCTTTAAAAATGAGGTAGTATGCTGGGCACAGTGGCTCATGCCTATAATCTTGGCACTTTGGGAGGCCAAGGCAGGAGGATCAGTTGAGGCCAGGAGTTTGAGATTAGCCTGGACAACATAGTGAGAACCTATCTCTACCAAAAAAAAAAAGAAAAAAAAGAAAAAGAAGAAGAAAAAAATATTTTAAATTTACTGGGCATGGGAGTGCATGCTGGTAGTTCCAACTATTTGGGGCAGAAGGATCCTTTGACCCCAGAAGTTTGAGGCTGCAGTGAGCTATGATTGCACCACTGAATTCCAGCCTGGGTGACAGGGTGAGACTGTCCCCCAAAAATTTTAAAATAAACTAAAATAAAAATGAGATAGTAGTAGAAAGTTCAGAGGGAATACAGATATGAAACTTAATCTTCTGAGAGATGTTTAAAAGGGTAGCTTAATAAACAAACCATTATATTGATAAATTTTTATGATCCAAATGTGAATGGGAATGACATCTGTAGAGCTGATAACCAAAAACAGTTATATGAGCCCAGAGTTTAAAGGACTTGCAAGGTACAATTTGTAAATAAATTTCAAATATTAAAAGGTCACAGGGACAAACCTGTGAAATTAGTTAGGAAAGCCAAAGAGGCCGGGTGCGGTGGCTCACACCTGTAATCCCAGCACTTTGGGAGGCCGAGGAGGGAGGATTACGAGGCCAGGAGATCGAGACCATCCTGGCTGACATGGTGAAACCCCATCTCTACTAAAATAACAAAACATTAGCTGGGCATGGTGTTGCACGCCTGTAGTACCAGCTACTCGGGAGGCTGAGACGGGAATCGCTTGAACCTGGGAGGCGGAGGTTGCAGTGAGCCAAAATCTTGCCACTGCACTTCAGCCTGGCAACAGAGCGAGACTCTGTCTCAAAAAAAAAAAAAAAAAAAAAAAAAAGCCAAAGGCAGATAGAGCTAAGGCCTCTGAAATTTTCTAAAATAACCAAAAGGTTATTTTAAAGGGGCTTTAAAATTATCTGGGGAACAAGAAGGACAAGAAAAGGATAAAGTCTCATTGGAACCAATAGTGCTATGTTTATAGATAACAGAATGTATATCTGTTCAGGTATTATCTTGCTATAATCTTTATCAAAGAGTGGTTTTTCATTTGGAAGGGTAGAAAATGTATTTGAATTTGTAATAGTTAAAAAGAACACCTGAATTGATAATACTAAATAATAAATACAGAACAGAAAAGGAGGTAGGAGAAAGGGAATACATACTAATTTCATAATCTTTCTTAGGGGATGTTAAGACATTGACAAAAGAAGAAAAAAAAAGACAAAAGACACTGAAGTTTATTTATTTATTTAATTTTTTTGTTTGTTTGTTTTTTGAGACGGAGTCTCCCTCTGTCGCCGAGGCTGGGGTGCAGTGGCACAATCTTGGCTCACAGCAACTTCCGCCTCCTGGATTCAAGCAATTCTCCTGCCTCAGCCTCCCAAGTAGCTGGGACTACAGGCATGCGCCACCACGCCCAGCTAATTTTTTTGTATTTTTAGTAGAGATGGGGTTTCACCAAGTTGGCCAGGCTGGTCTCGAACTCCTGACTGCAAGTGATCCACCTGTCTTGGCCTCTCAAAGTGCTGGGATTATAGGTGTGAGCCTCCGTGCCCTCATATTTAAACTGAGGTTTAAATATGTTCAATTATAAAGGTGATCTCATCAAAAGAAAAAAGGGACTAAACTTACACCCAAACAAAAAATAGCAAAACAAACGCCCAAAACATATATAATAATAAATAGAAAATTAAAAAGGCATTAAAAGTAGAATATGTGGTATTCTATGATCTTCCAAAATATGTGTGATAAAGAAGAAAAATTTCTACAAACTTTAGACTGGTTAACTTGACTTTAATTCCTGGAAAAATTCTTTGAGAATTTATTAAACAGATGGTCTGAAAGCTTTTGTAGTGATCACAAGGGGCAATGTGGATTCATTAGTCTCATAGCTGGGTATGGCAGTGTGCACCTGTAGTCGCAGCTACTTGGGAGGCTGAGGTGGGACGATTGCTCGAGCCCAGGAGTTAGAGGTTGCAGTGAGCTATGACCGCACCACTGCGCTCCAGCCTGGGCGATGGAACGAGACTCTGTCTCTAAAACAAAAACAAAACGAAAAAGCAAAGTCTTGTCAGAATAACATTTCCTTTTTTTGAGGTAGAAGAAGGAAATCCTGTAACTGGGTTGTAGTAAGACGTATGATTGTTTTTCAGTTTATCCTTGTGAACATGTTGGGCAAATGTTGATCAGTGGAACCAGCTGCATATCAGAATCATATAGGTTCTGTGGCTGTTCTAGATTTGGGCTGTCCTATTTACATAACGTAATGTGGCTATATAAATTTAAATTTAGACTGGGCATGGTGGCTCACGCCTGTAATCCCAGCACTTTGGGAGGCCGAGACAGGTGGATCACCTGAGGTCAGTAGTTCCAGACCAGCCTGGCCAACACGGTGAAACCCCCGTCTCTACTAAAGAAATACAAAAAATTAGCCAGGCATGGTGGCGGGCACCTGTAATCCCAGCTACTCGGGAGGCTGAGGCAGGAGAATCTCCTGAACCTGGGAGGCGGAGGTTGCAGTGAGCTGAGATTGCGCTCCAGCCTGGGCAACAAGAGTGTAACTCCATTTCAAAATTAAAAAAAAAAAAAAAAAGGAAGAAAGAACGAAAAAAAGAAGAAAAGAAATTTACATTTAAGGTAGTTAAATGAAAGATGAACATTAACTTCTTCACCTACTGATTGGACAGTGCTGATAAAGAATATTTCCAGCATCATGGAAAGTTTTATTGGACAGTGCTGCCCTAGAGATTCTGATTCTGTAGGTCTGGGGTGTTCCAGATTTGGCAGTCTCTCTAGAGATGACCTATATAGTTGGCAGAATTGTAACTACTTGATTCTTCAGGTTGTACCTCCTATTAATTCCCCACATAACCCTTTGTTTCAGCCAGCCTGTTTGTTGGTGCTCTGTGAAAGTCCCTTACAACTTCCCTTCAGCCTCCCTTCTTTTGCTGCTACCTGCTTTTGGTGGATGCTATTGGCCATTTTTCTTTCTCAGTATCTGTTATCCTTTCCTGCCTACCAGAATATAGACATGCAGTGCATAATGACGTTTTGGTCAACAATGGACCAAATATATATGACAGTGGTCCCAGAAGATTATAATAGCGTATTTTTACTGTACTCTTATGTTCAGATGTTTAGATATAAAAATACCATGTGTTACCACTGCCTACGGTATTCAGTACAGTAACATGCTGTACAGATTTGTAGCCCAGGAGCAGTAGGCTATACCATATAGCCTGAGTGTATATATACAATCCCTGTTTGTGTAAGTACAGTCTGTGATGTTCACACGATGAAACTGCCTAACGATGCATTTCTCAGAACGTATTCCTGTCATTAAGTGACACATGACTATACTGACTTTCTTGAGATGTGTGTTGTCCCTCATAGCGATGTGCCTGAGATGAATCTGGCCCCATCCTCAGCTCCAGGGGTGCATCTGATTGGCATAGGGAATGGACTTTATTTTTTAACTAACAGTGGTTGAGGAATGGGTTTGTAACCCAAATGACATGTGAGTAAGGATAGTCTGGAAGTAGGTTACTAGGAAGACTTTACTCACTGCTGAGAGAACCCTGAGAAGAGAAAGCTTCTTTTCTTCTTCTGGACATTGTGTAGAGTTGTGATACCTAGCACCGTTAAAGCCATTTGCTGTCAGCTTGAGGGTAAAGGCACTATCCAGGATATTAGAGCTGTGAGATGGAAAAAATGGAGTCCTTACATTGTTCAGTTGCTAAATAAGTCAGCCCAGAAGTCTTTCCTTTTTCTGAAGTTATTGTGGAATGATAATACATTTTCCTTTATCTTTTTTTTTTTTTTGAGACAGAGTTTCACTCTTGTCGCCCAGGCTGGAGTGCAATGGCGTAATCTTGGCTCACTGTAACCTCCACCTCCCGGGTTCAAGCAATTCTCCTGCCTCAACCTCCCGAGTAGCTAGGATTACAGGTGCCTGCCACCATGCCCAGCTAATTTTTTTGTATTTTTAGTAGAGATGAGGTTCCACCATGTTGGTCAGGCTGGTCTCAAACTCCTGACCTCAGGTGATCCACCCACCTCAGCCTCCTAAAGTGCTGGGATTACAGGCATGAGCCACTGTGCCCGGCCTCTTTCTTTTTTTGTGTGATTTAGTCTTGCTCTGTCACCCAGGCTGGATGGAGTTCAGTGGTGCGATCTTGGGTCACTGCAGCCTCCGCCTCCCAGGTTCGAGGGATTCTCCCAACTCAGCCTCCTGAGTAGCTGGGATTACAGGTGCATACCACCATGCCTGGCTAATTTTTGTGTTTTTTAGTAGAGATGGGGTTTCACCATGTTGGTCAGGCTGGTCTCAAACTCCTGACCTCAAGTGATCCACCCGCCTCAGCCTCCCGAAGCGCTGGGATTAGAAGGCATGAGCCACCGCGTCCGGCCTCTTTTTTCTTTTCTTAAGATGAGGTCTTGCTCTGCTGCCCAGGCTAGAGTGCAGTAGCACCATCAGGGCTGACTGCAGTCTCGACCTCCCAGGCTCAAGTGATCCTCCCACCACAGCCTCCCGAGCAGCTGGGACCACAGGTGTGCGCCACCATGCCCAGCTAAAAATTAGTGTACTAATTAGTTAAAAATTAGCTACTCGGGAGGCTGAGGTGGGAGGATTGCTTGAGATGGGAGGTTGAGGCTGCAGGGAGCCATGATTGTGCCACTGCACTCCAGCCTGGGCGACAGAGTGACCCCGTTTCAAAAATAGAAAACAAAAATTTTGGAAAAAAATTAGATGGTTGTATCTGTACTGAACATCTGTAGACTTTTTTCCTTATCATTTATTCCTTCCACAATACAGTGTAACAATTATGTACATAGCATTTACATTGTATTAGGTATATAAGTAATCTAGAGATGATTTAAAGTATACAGGAGGATATGTATAGTTTCTATGCAAATACTACGCAGTTTTATATAAGGGACTTGAGCATCTGTGGATTTTGTTATCCTGGAATCAATCTCCCACAGATACTGAGGGTTGACTGTACTTTTAGAATATGGCATCCAAACATGACTTCTTTGGTTCTGCTATAATCCTTAAATTGTTTGATTTCTTGGTCTTGTTTCTTCAACTTAATTGCAAGTTCTTTAGAAGCTCAAACATCATAGGACCTTGTATATAAATAGCCAAGTATCTGTTTTTTCCCTTGCCTTTCTAAATCTGTGATTACATACATAGTATAAGCTTAGGGAAACATTTATTGGTGTGACAATGCAGAAGTTAACTAAACTGATTTAAGTCTTTGAAAGTTTTTGAAATAAAGATTTTATCATTTATTTTCTAGCTGTCACCACTGACTAAAGAAGAGAAAACTGCGGCAGAGCAATTCAAATTTCACATGCCAGATTTATGAAGAAATGGACTTGGAAAGGAAATTCTAACAGAGAAGAGCTTAATTCCGGAGAAATTTAGGAAGATGTCTTGTTAACCCTTGATGTCTAGAGATTGGGGGCTGGTGAAGGGGGTTTGGCTTCAATGACTGGATAATGATATCTTTCATGAGAGAGATTATAAGAAGAAGGGCAGATAATATATGAATAAAGTTCAGCCAAAAGGATCAAATGAGAATAAAACGATTTAAATATATGTACACACGCATGCACACACACACTTAGTCTTGTAATTTCAGGCCAGAAATTCTCAACACTATTTTGCATCTGTTTTCTTTTTCTAAGTCATGATAATATAGATGTTCTGGTCTATCATAAAAGAATGTTTATGTACATTTCAGTCATTCGGTATGTGGCTTTGTAAATTAAAGTATAGGCAAAACATTTGTGTTATACATGATATATAATTTCATTTTGTAAATGTTGATTGCACATGTGGTCACATTATTGTTGAGACTGCTTTTATGTGACCTGTAGTCTCCCACAGAACCTAAAGTAATAAGCTGGCTTTTCTGTGATAGCCACGTTTGCGTATTTCTTTCCCTATTTCCCTTGCCTGCTAATGTTGAACAGCATGAACTTGCTTTCTGATGCTGTTTTAGACTGTCCCTGTTGTATCTCAATAATATCTTTGTTTTCCTTCAGCCTTTATTACTATAATTGTTCATTCTACATGAAAGCTAGGAAACTGAAATTAGAAGAGCACTTATCTGCTACTTGCCAGTTTTGCGTGAGTGTGTTATATGTATGTGTCAATTTCCCTTTAAAATAACTATTTATTTTAAAATAACTATTGGCAATAAGGAAACTGTTCAAAGTAGAGGCAGATCTTGATAGAAAGATGTTAATCACAGGGTTGTTTATAATAGCAATATACATACACATTTGGCTAGTACTAGGTGAATAGGAAAATAAATCATGCTGTATGTATACAATAAGAGGTCAAGTTGCCAATAAATTATTACTGTTAATGTTCTGGGAAATGCTGAAACTATGCTAAGTGGGGGAGAGGGAAAGCAGGTATTGCAGTTTTGTAGTGAAGATTGGGCTTTGGAGTCATATCTGAGATGTAAGTAGCAGCTTTTAAATTCTAGCTATGACCCTGTGCAGATCACTTAACTTTTGAGTGTCAGGATGTTTGGAAGGACAAGACAGGAAAGTGTTTTAATACAGGGTTCAGTATTTAGTAAGCCTTCAATAAGTGATATTACATACATGTAATAAAAACTAAGCATTGAAAGGACTAGGAAAAATGCATCAAATGTTAGTTCTGCAGGTTATAGAATTATACTTTTATGTAATTTTAAAATTTCAGTTATGAACATGTTTGTCCATTAACAAACTTATAATAGCTGAAAAACAGGGTTGTGAGAACAGCTTCAGTTAAAATTGTCCTGTCTAGTTTGAATATTTCAAGAACAGAAAGCCTTTTTTTTTTTTTTTTTTTTTTTGAGACGGAGTCTCACTCTGTTGCCCAGGCTGGAATGCAGTGGTACGCTCTCAGCTCACTGCAACCTCCACCTCCCAGGTTCAAGCAGTTCTCTGCCCCACCCTCCCGAGTAGCTGGGATTACAGGCGCCCGCCACCACGCCCGGCTATTTTTTTGTATTTTTAGTAGAGATGGGGCTTCACCATCTTGACCAGGCTGGTCTTTAACTCCTGATGGTGATCCACCCACCTCGGCCTCCCAAAGTGCTGGGATTACAGGCATGAGCTACCGTGCCTGGCCCCCTTTTTTTTAATTACAGAGAAATAAGTTACACCTTAGTATCAGATATTAATTTTCTTCAGTGTTCAGGCAATTAGTATTTAGAAAGCTCTTGTCATGAGATGGCTCTGGGATGTGATGATGATTGTTGGGATTGAAAAAACGGTAGTATCATGGAGAGATCATAATAAATTCTTAGTATTAAAAGTGGTTTTGCTTTCAGTTAGGGAGAAAAATTAGATTGTACTATTTTTCCTCTATGATTTCCTTCAGTTATCTTCCAAATGTTGTTTTTTCCCCACAGCCCCCTTAACATTGTTCTCTATGCACTTCTCAATACATTTTCATTTGTTTCTCAAGCCTCTTTGTGGATGACTCCTAAATATAACTTCTTCCACTAGCTCTAGATCCGTATTTCCAATAAAATCCCCTACCTGAATATTCAAGTTAAACATGTCCAGAATACTTACTGATTTTATTGTTAATAGCCACTATTCTGTTGTCTGGAATTAAAACCTGTATAACTAATTTGCATCCCTTTATCTTCTTAGTCAATAAAACCTACAATCCTCTTTCTAAAATGGTCATAGTATACAACCTCTACATTATCTTCACACCTCCTTAATTTAGATCTTTTGTTTCTCATTTGGATTATAATTGTTTTCTCCTATGTGACTATAGTGTCTTTATGTCTTAAGTTATAAATAATACATGTTTAAGAATTTAAAAATCACAGGCATGGCCGGGCATGGTGGCTCACGCCTGTAATCCCAGCACTTTGGGAGGTCGAGTCGGGCAGATCACAAGGTCAAAAGATGGAGACCATCCTGGCCAACATGGTGAAACCCTGTCTCTACTAAAATTACAAAAATTAGCTGGGTGTGGTGGCACGTGCCTGTAGTCCCAGCTACTCGGGAGGCTGAGGCAGGGGAATCGCTTGAACCCAGGAGGCGGAGGTTGCAGTGAGCTGAGATTGCGCCACTGCACTCCGGCCTGGCGACAGAGTGAGACTCTGTCTCAAAAAAAAAAAAAACAAAAACCCAAAAAAACAAAAAAAAAACAACAACAAAACAGGCATATAAATTATCTAGAGGTAATCTGCAAATAATTGCTTCAGGCATTTCTACATGTATACAAACTAAAAAAAATTTTTTTCAACAAAAGTAGGTTGATACTATGCCTTGTACTGCTGCTGTACTTAGATTTTTTTTCATTTCATTATTTTATTTGAGAGAGGGTCTCGCTCTGTCACCCAGGGTAGAATGCAGTGTTGCTATCATGGCTCACTGCAGCCTCCAGGGCTCAAGCAATCCTCTTGCCTCAGCCTCCCAAGTAGCTGGGACCACAGATGCATGCCACCAACCCCTGCTAATTTTTGTATATTTTGTAGGACTTGGTTTCATTATGTTGCCCAGGCTGGTCTCCAACTCCTGGGCTCAAGAGATCTGCCAGCCTCAGCTTCCCAAAGTCCTGGGATACATGAGCCACTGTGCCCGGTCTTCAATTCTAATATATTTTTGTTATGTCACACATCCACCCTTCTTTTTAACAGCTGTAATCCATTATATGGCTATACCATACTTTTTTTTTTTTTTTAATTTTAGACAGGATCTGGCTGTGTTGCCCAGGCTGGAGTGCAGTGGTGTGATCTTGGATCACTGCAGCCTCAAATTCCTGGGCTCAAGTGATCCTTCCATCTCAGCCTCCAGAGTAGCTGGGACCACAGGTGTGCACCACCATGCCCAGCTAGATATATAGTCATTTTTATCAGTTCCTTAGTGATAGACATTTAAGCTCTATAACAGCAAGTTATACAAATAATATAACAAGTAAGTTGTATAACAGCAAGTTATTTAAGGATATGTATGAAGTTAGGAGATTTTTCTTGTGGGGAGGGCAGCAAGGTCAGCCTTTAAGGGATTCTGATGGAGCAGACCGTTGGCTCTCAAACCCCAGGGCTTGGCAAACGATGTGAGTTTAGCATCTTGCCAACTAAATTATTTATTTTGCTCAAGTTATCCTTTTTGCTTGCAACCAACGGCCTCTAATCAGCTGTACAGGTTTCTAATTGTTCGCTATTATGAATTGGTGCAATAAGTCCTTCGACATTCTTAGGTTCTTCGGCAAACATACAAGAATCTTAACTATTTATCATGTAAGTATTGCAATTTGTCTTATTTGTCTTCTGTACTGCTCCTTGAGAGCAAGGGCCACTTCTCATTACTCTGAATCCCAAGTACAGCATTGCATTTTTTTTTTTTTTTTTTTTGAGACGGAGTTTCACTCTTGTTGCCCAGGTTGGAGTGCAATGGCGCGATCTCGGCTCACCGCAACCTCCGCCTCCTGGGTTCGAGCGATTCTTCTGCCTCAGCCTCCCCAGTAGCTGGGATTACAGGCATGCGCCACCACGCCCGGCTAATTTTGTATTTTTAGTAGAGACGGGGTTTCTCCATGTTGGTCAGGCTGGTCTCGAACTCCCGACCTCAGGTGATTCGCCAGCCTCGGCCTCCCAAAGTGCTGGGATTACAGGTGTGAGCCACCACGCCAGGCCTAGCACTGCATTCTATAAATAATTCTTTTAAGTAAAATTCTCATAATATTAACCATCAACCATTTAAAAATGTACAACTGAGGCCATTTTCGTAAAAATAGCTCCATGTAGGTCAAAGACCACAAATAATTCTTACTGAAAGAATTTTTCAGTCTCAGATTAATCTTTCTAAATTATATCTTGTTCATGACCCAAGTAGTTAAAAAAAATTGTTGCTACCCACCACCTATAAGCCTAAATGCCTGATATTCAAGAACTTATTTCTAGATTATTAGTGATTCTCTACATGTGCACTCTAGGTCGGTTAAGTATAATTAGTTGTTTGCAATAAATACAGGAAAAATTAAATTCAAATTACGAATTTGATATGCCCTCTTTGTCTCACAAACCTTCAATTCTTGCAATCTTTACACATCTGGCAGGAAACTGTAGAAAGCAGATCCCATTTATAGGAAAGATGAATATCGCTGATACCCTTTCAATAGTCCCACGGCGACAACTTAGGCGGCAAGAATGAAGTGTGGGATGTGGGAACGAAGACTTCACAGTGTGTGGTCCCGTCCTCTCACCACCGTAATGAGAAATGACACCTCAGTTTGGAGCCTTCTAACTCGATTAGCTTTGGTAGGTGGAACGCAAGTCCTACAAACCTTAGACTGTTCCTTCCAGAGAGAACCACTAACCATGAACCTTCTGCACCAGGGTTTCTCAAAGTGCGGGCCACAGACCACCTGCTGCCGAATCACACGATGCTGGGTGAAAACGCGGATGGCCTGGGCCCCACCCTGGAATCTCAGAGTCCGAATACTTAACTACGGGTGTGGCTCTGAAGTCTGCGCTTTCCACCAGTACGCCAGGTGGCTCCGTCTTTGGCGCGCAAGTTTGAGAGCCGTGGGGCCCCGCCCTCCGCCAAGGTGGGCGTGGGTGGCGTAGCAGAGCCCCAAGCTCAGGCCGCCTGCGCAGGCTAGGGCCGGAGGCACGCAACCCTGAGGCAGCGAGTCGCCAAGTCTCGTATGCGCCCCGCAACGCGGGAACTAGGCGATCGCTCCACGCTCCTCCCCTCCTTTCCCCTCCCACAGCGTCCTGCGCGCATGCGCTTCGCAGCTTCTCTCGCCGCCGCGCCCCCAGCTGCTCTGGTTACGGTTGGTGTTTGCGAATTCTCTGCGGCACCTTCTTCGCTGAACTCCACCGTCAGTTCCATAGGCGCGCGCCCGCGTCACGTGGGCCGAGGTTCCGGCGCGGCTGCTGGCCGGCGGCTGAGCCGGGAGAAAGGAGCTGCGGCCACCGTTCGCCCTACTTCTGCGCCTCGGGGCGGGCGCGCCGGTAAAAATGGCGAAATGGGGGTAGGCGGCGCTGGACCTGAAGAGATGGGGCGCGCAGGTGGGGCGGTTGTCAGAGCCCCCTGACGTGGGCGCCGGGCTTTTATCGGCGATTTGATCTGGCGACCTCGGGCCGGCGCCTAAGAGGTCAGACTGCGGAGCCTGCGGGTCGCCAGCGGCCCCGCCGAGAGCCGGAGGCAATGGATGAACAGAGCGTGGAGGTGAGGGGGTTGTGAGGGTGGTGGTTAGTCCCCGCCCCCACCCGATGAGCGGTTTTTATTCGGGGAGTCGTGCCCATGTCCTCCCTCCAGTAGGGCACCCCTACCCCGCCCCTGCCGCTGTGGAGAGGGCTGGCCCGGTACCAAGGATGCCGTGCCCATTCTGCAGCGCTCCGGGTGTCTTGTGCTCACTGTTCCGCAGTCAGGTGGTGCGTATCCTGGAGTTTTCAAGGATGTCTTGGCACAGGTACTCATCCCCACCGGGTGTTTGCAAACAGCATCCTTTTCCGACCAAAACTGCAGATTCATCAGATGGATGTACCCTGCCACTCGCCACCAGTCCTTGCGAGTTCTTGAGCTGATCTAAATCTCCTTCCAAATGGATAGTCATCTTTCCCTCTCAGTGGCACATTTTGCAGGCTTCTGCCCTTCCTTCCTAGATTGAATCAGCATATATTATCTCATGTGTAGTTTCCAGAACAAACTCTTCTTTTTATAACTGATTCTTGTAAGCTGTGAGTTAAAATAGTTGGGATATGTAGGATATGTAAGTAAAGGCTAGGAATATATTTTAAAAGATTGTTTATTGAACATAATTGTGTAATCATTATCAAATTTTGAACCTTTCAGATACTGAAATAGGAAATCCTTGCTTTTTAGTAAGGGGTAACTATGTTATGGATATTCCACTTGAAACTAGTCATTCAGTAGTCTTATTGTCCACCCCGTTGCAGGTTACAGAATCTGCATCTCCCAGGTTCTTTCTGGCCCTACAGAGTCATGATGAGATTAATGAGTAATTTTCTCCTTAATTCCTCATATAAAGTATTATAAAGGTTTTGTAAACTTATCTTGGTTTTAGGAGGGTTTAATTCTAGAATGGAGTGAAAGTAAATGTCAGTAATATAAAAACAAAGTATACAATACAATAAGTATACGTTTAATTGTATCCTTTTTCTTGTTAAAAACTTTTCAGTTACTTCCTAAATTGATTAAATTGAGGCTTGCAAACATAATACTGTTTCTTGTATTTACATATTTTTGTTGTTGTTGTTCCCAAGATCGCTTTGAACTACCGTCAACATTTTCAATTGGGGCAGAATCTCAGGTTCAAATAAGTAGCTAGTCTGTTGTAACATCAGGGCAGCAATTCAGATTTCTGGATTCTGAATTCATTTTTTTCTGGGTCACAGTACACTGCCTTTAGGATGTGTCTTTTTAAACTTCTTTTTCCTCTAAATTATAAAATCAGTTTATACCTTTTGGGGAAATTGCAGAAAAAGTTAAAAGTTCATGTTGTGTATTCAGTCATATAGTCTGCCTTTTTTCCTTTTTTCTTTTTTTTTTTTTTTGAGACAGAATCTCACTCTGTCACCCAGGCTAGAGTGCAGTGGCACCCTCTTGGCTCACTGCAACCTCCGCCTCCTAGGTTCAAGCAATTCTTCTGCCTTAGCCTCCTGTGTAGCTGGGATTACAGGTGCACACCACCACGCCTGGCTAATTTTTGTATTTTTAGTAGAGACGGGGTTTAACCATTTTGGCCAGGTTGGTCTCGAACTCCCGACCTCGAGTGATCCACCTGCCTCAGCCTCCCAAAGTGCTAGGATTACAGTAATGAACCATCATGCCTGGGCCTTTTTTCCCTGCTGTTATACATTATATGCATTTTTCTATATCATTAGATGAAGAAGTATTTCTGGTGACTGTAATCTATGTGTAACTGCCATAATTTACTTAATATTTGGACATTTGGGCTGTACCTAGATTCTTGCCATTATAATTACTGCTTTAGTGAAAATTTTTCTGCATGTCTGTGTTTGCATTTCCTATATTTTCCTTAGAATAGAATCATCGTGAAACCAAACGGGAGTACATTTTCCAGATGTTTTGAGGTACTCTGTATCTTGACCAACCAAATCCTGATATGGAATAGTTAAAATTGAGAGATCAGCCCAAAATAAATGTAAATGTCAAGTTGTTTTGAGCTTGCCTTTTACTCTTGATTCAGTAGCCTAAACTGGTGGACCTTACATCTTTTACTGTTTTCAGAGCATTGCTGAGGTTTTCCGATGTTTCATTTGTATGGAGAAATTGCGGGATGCACGCCTGTGTCCTCATTGCTCCAAACTGTGTTGTTTCAGCTGTATTAGGGTAAGTTGTATTTCTTTTTACATGCAGTTAGTATATATAGTATATATTGTAAGGATTAACCATTTCCCTTATCTTTTTATTTTACATTTTTTGCCCTAAAGTGCTTGCTTGCACTGTGCTTGGGGTTGAGGAATACTAAGATAAATGACAAATTGCCTGCCTTGAAGGAGCTTAAATCTAATTGAGGGAATGGAGTTTAGAATGTTTATTTTGAAGAATGTGCGGTATCATAAGGAGGCACTAAAGAAGTGCTGTGGGGCTCAGAAGAGGACTGGTTTATATGTGTTTGGTGAGTAAGATAGAGAAAAAGTGTTTAATCTTACAATTACAAGACACTCTAGAGATGAATATAATCTAGTGGCTTTAAAACTTGAGTGTTGGTGCTTTGGGAGGCCGAGGTAGGTGGATCACGAGGTCAAGAGATCGAGACCATCCTGGCCAACATGGTGAAACCCTGTCTCTACTAAAAATACAAAAATTAGCTGGGCATGGTGGCATGTACCTGTGTCCCAGCTACTTGGGAGGCTGAGGCAGGAGAATTGTTTGAACCCGGGAGGGCAGAGGTTGCAGTGAGCCGAGAGAGCGCCACTGCACTCCAGCCTGGCGACAGAGTGAGACTCCGTCTCAAAAAAAAAAAAAAAACTTGAATGTTGGCCTGAGCGCGGTGGCCCAGGCCTGTAATCCCAGCACTTTGGGAGGCCGAGGCGGGTGGATCATGGTGTCAGGAGTTCGAGAACAGCCTGACCAACATGGTGAAACCCCATCTCTACTAAAAATACAAAAATTAGCTGGGCATGGTGGTGTGTGCCTGTAATCCCAGCTACTCAGGAGGCTGAGGCAGGAGAATCGCTTGAACCCAGGAGGCGGAGGTTGCAGTGAGCCGAGATCATGCCAGTGCACTCCAGCCTGGGTGACAGAGCGAGACTCTGTCTCAAAAAAACAAAAAACAAAATAACAAAATGAGGAAGTCCAAGATTTTGGTTGTGTATGCGAGAGTCCAATAGCACATCTACAGAGCATAGTTGAAAACTGCCTTGTTCACATTCCCCTTCAATTATTTATTTTCCTGAGAAAATCAAAGAGGTCACATGCTCTTCACCTCAAACTTTCTGTTTCAGCTGGGCGCAGTAGGTAGCTCACGCCTGTAATCCCGGCATTTTGGGAGGCTGAGGTGTGTGGATCACCTGAGGTCAGGAGTTCGAGACCATCCTGACCAATATGGTGAAACCCTGTCTCTGCTAAAAATACAAAAATTAGCCAGGCATGGTGGCATGCTCCTGTAGTCCCAGCTACTCGAGAGGCTGAGACAGGAGAATCACTTGAACCCGGGAGGCAGAGGTTGCAGTGAGCAGAGATGGTGCCACTGCACTCCAGCCTGGCGACAGAGCGAGACTTCGTCTCAAAAAAAAAAAAAATTTCTGTTTCCTTATTCTTGCCTAAGGAAGATACATATGCCTTTGTCAAGAGTATTATCCGTAACACTTAAATAATTTTTTTCTAGTCACACAGCTCACAATTGATGGTACTGGATTTGAACCCATTAAGTTCAAGAACTCTATAGCCTGTTCTTTGTCACTGTACCATGCGCAGAAGACCCAGTTAAATATGATGTTAGTTCTCATACTTCTAAAACTAAGAGATTCACTCTTTCTTGGCCTTCTTTCTTCAGCTGTAGAATTCAGATATGATTTGCTTTACAGGGTGGTTATGGCATTAAATGAGATAACCTAAGGAGTAATTCAGAAATTATGAAATACTATATCTACTTGTTTGTAAGGTGTTATTTTATTGTTAAAATAGCAACTAATACACATTAACACTTACCCATGTTTTAATAAACAGTGAAACTGATGCTAGATAAATTAAGTAATTGGACTCCGTTATAGTTAATTAAGTGGTAGAATCTGGATCTGGGCGCATTTCTTTTGATGAAGGTCCCATGTGCTTATGGTCTCTGGTTGTTACCTTATGCCTCATTGATTCTGTATTTTTTCATTGTTACATCTTCTTCCTCCTGCCCCTTAAATGCATTTATTTCTTAATTTCCTAAGATCTTGTTGCTGTCGTTCTCTACTCTGAGGTTTCTGGGAGTATTCACCTACTTTGGGAAATTTGATTTACTTTAGCAGCTTTAGCTATCATCTCTGTGTGTATGGCTCCTAAATCTATTCCTTCAGCACTGACTTTTGGATGTCTTGTCCTTCTAGCATCTTGAACTTTGTTCAAGATCAGATTATTCATATTATTTTCTCAAACCGATTCTAAGTTCATTCTTTTTGTTCTGTTCTGCTAGTCACTCAAACTGGAAACTTTATACCAATGATTTTTTTATTTTTTATTTTTTATTTTTTTTTGAGATGGATTCTTGCTCTGTTGCCCAGGCTAAAGTGCAGTGGCGTGATCTTGGGTCACTACGACCTCCGCCTCCCAGGTTCAAGAGATTTTCCTGCCTCAGCCTCTCAAGTTGCTGGGAGTATCAGCGCACTCCATGATGCCCGGCTATTTTTGTATATATATATGTATATATGTGTGTGTATATATGTATATATATAAACATGTATATGTATATATGTGTGTGTGTGTGTGTGTGTGTGTGTATATATATATATATATATTTTTTTTTTTTTTTTTTTTTTTGTAGAGATGGGGTTTCACTATGTTGCCCAGGCTGGTCTCAAACTCCTGACCTCAACTGATCTTCCCTCCTTGGCCTCCCAAAGTGCTGGGATTACAGGCATGAGCCGCTGCCTCTGGCCTATACCAATGATTTTTAAGTGCAATTAGTTATTATCTCCCTGTTTCACTTATATTTGTCTTACCCTTCTGTTTTTATCATTACCATGCTAATAGAGAAGTATGAACATTGGTTACCTCATGCTTAGATTATTTAATTACTTTCTGTCTGATCTCTCAGGTTTGAGTCTTTTCTTATCTCCAGTCCATTTTCTGTCCTGCTACTATATTAATATTTTTCACTGATATCTCTTTCTTTTCCCCAGAAGCCTCAGAAATGTATTATGTAAAGGATAAAATCCAAGAATGTTAGCCTTGTGTTCAGACCATCCAGATCTGGTTCTGACCTTTCTTTCTAGGGCTGTCTTGGTTCCTGAATGCACTAATCATTTGTTCATTCATTCAGCAAATATTGATTGCTTGCCTACTTGTTTTCAAGCCAGTCATTTTTTATTAGGTATAACTGACATGCAGTAAACTACACATATTTAAAGTGTACAGTTTTTTTGTTTGTTTTGTTCTTTTTTTTTTTTTTTTGAGACGGCGTTTTGCTCTTGTTGCCCAGCCTGGAGTGCAATGACGCGATCTCCGCTCACTGCAACCTCCATCTCCTGGGTTCGAGTGATTCTCCTGCCTCAGCCTCCCAAGTAGCTGGGATTATAGGCATGCATCACCACGCTTGACTAATTTTGTATTTTTAGTAGAAACAGGGTTTCACCATGTTGGTCAGGTTGGTCTCAAACTCCTGACCTCAGGTGATCCACCCACCTCAGCCTCCCAAAGTGCTAGGATTACAGATGTGAGTCACTGAGCCTGGCCAAGTGTACAGTTTTGACATATATGTATTCTTGTGAGACAATCATTGCATCCAAGTTAGTGAATATATCTGTCATCCCCAAAAGTTTCCTTGTGCCTCTTGGTAATTCCTCCCTCTACTTGCCTTGTCCCCAGGCAACCATTGATCTGCTTTCTGTCACGATAGATAAGTTTGCTTCAGAGATAAGGGGGATGGAAAAAGAGAAAAAAGATAAGTTTGCATGTTTTGGAATTTTATACAAATGAAAATCATACAATATGTACTCTTACGGATCTGGCTTTTTTTCACTCAGCAAAAATACTGTATGTATCAGTAGTATTCCTTTTTATTGCTAAGTAGTATTCCATTGTATGTATTTACCACAATTTGTTTATGCATTCACCTGTTGATGGGCATATGGCATGTTTACAGTTTTTGCTATTACAGTGAAAATTGCTGCGAACATTCGTGTACAAGAAGCTTTCTTTTCTCTTGGGTAAATAATTAGTAATGGAACGGATAGAGATTATGTGGTAGATGTGTGTTTAACATTTTGAAAATTGCCAAGCTATTTTCTAAAATACTTGTATCTGGGAGCTAAACAATGAGCATACATGGACATAAAGGGGGAAATGCTAGACACTGGGGACTTCAAAAGAGGGAGAGGAGGAGAGGGATGAAGGTTAAATTAAAAAAAGGATTGGGAGGCCGAAGTGGATGGATCACCTGAATTCGGGAGTTCGAGACCAGCTTGACCAACATGGAGAACTCTGTCTCTACCAAAAATACAAAATTAGCCAGGCCTGGTGGTACATGTCTGTAATCCCAGCTCCTTGGGAGCCTGAGGCAGGAGAATCACTTGAATCCAGAAGGCGGAGGTTGTGGTGAGCCGAGATCGCACCATTGCACTCCAGCCTGGGCAACAAGAGCGAAACTCTGTCTCAAAAAGAAAAAAAAGGAAATAGTTTTATAATTTTACATTCTCACCAGAAGTTTATGAGAGTTCCAATTCCTCCACATTAATGCTAACAGTTGGTGTGTTCGGTTTTGTGAATTTTAGCCATTCTCAGGGACGTGTAGCCATTCTTACAGGTATCTCCTTGTTTTAGTTAGCGTTTCTCTGTTGAGTAATGATGTTAGCATCTTTTCCAGGAGTTATTTACCATCCATATGTTGTCTTTGGTAAGGGGTCTGTTCAGTGCCCCCCATTTTGTGCTAAAATAAATATAACAAAATTTTCCATTTTACCCATATTTAAGGGTACAGTTCGGTGTCTTTAATTACATTCATAATGTTATACAACCATATCACTATTTCCAAAATCTTTCATCACCCCAAACAGAAAGTCTGTACCCATTAAAAAAAAAGAAAAAAGAAAATAAACATAAGTAAACATAGAAAAGGTATATTAAAAATACAGTATAAAAGATAAAAAATGGTACACCTATGTAGGGCAGCTCCATTCTAATCTTACGAGACTACTGTAGTATATGCGGTCCATCATTTACCGAAACATCTTTATGTGACACATGGCTATATACCACTTTTTGTTTATCCTTTTTCTTAAGTTTTTTTGTTTTTTGAGACAGAGCCTCGCTCTGTCGCCAGGCTGGAGTGCAATCGTGCGATCTCGGCTCACCACACCCTCCACCTCCGAGGTTCAAGCGAGTCTGCTGCCTCAGCCTCCCGAGTAGCTGGGACTACAGGTGTGCGCCAGTACACCCAGCTAATTTTTGTATTTTTAGTAGAGATGGGGTTTCACCATGTTGGCCAGGATGGTGTCGATCTCTTGACCTGGTGATCCACCCTCCTTGGCCTCCCAAAGTGCTGGGATTACAGGCGTTGAGCCACCGCGCCTAGCCTATTTATCCATTTTTATCTCTTGATGGACACTTGGGTTGTTTTCACTTTTTGGATATTGGATATTGTTAATAGTTCTGTTGTTAACAATTATCTGTTTGAGTTCCTGCTTTCATTTCTTTTGAATATATATCTAGAAGTGAAATTGCTGGGTCATATGGTATTCTGTTAATTTTTTTTTAATTGTGGTAAAATATACCTAATGTAAAATTAGCCTTTTTTTTTTTTTTTTTTTAAATGAGACAGTGTCTCACTCTGTTGCCCACGTTGGAGCACAGTGACACAATCATGGCTCACTGCAGCCTCAATCTCTTGGGCTCAAGCAGTTGGCCTGCTTCACACTCTTGAGTAGCTGGGACCACAAGTGTGTGCCATCGTGCCTGGCTAATTTTTTTATTTTTTGTAGAGACAGGGTTTTACTTTGTTGCCAAAGCTGGCCTCAAACTCCTGGGCTCAAGTGATCTGCCTGCCTTGGCCTCCCAAGTGCTAGGATTACAGATGTGAGCCACTTGGCCCAGCCAAATTTGCAATTTTAACTGTATTTTTAAGTGTACTGTTTAGCGGCATTAAGTACATTCACATTGTTGTGCAGCCATCACCACTATCCACCTTTAGTACTTTTTCATCATCCCAAACTGAAACTCTGTACTTGATAAACAATAAATTCTCATTATTCTCTTCCCCCTAGCCCCTGTTAACCACTATTCTACCTTCTGTCTTTACATTGACTATTCTAAGTACATCATATAAATGGAATCATAAAATATTTTTGTTTATTTCTACCTCTCTATTCTGTTCTATTAGTCTCTATTTCTGTTCTTATGGTAGTACCACACTGTTTTGATTACTGTAGCTTTGTAGTAAGTTTTGAAATTAGGAAGTGTGAGTCCTCCAACTTTTTCAAGATAGTTTTGACTATTTGGCATCCCTTGAGATTCCATGTGAATTTTAAATGCAGTTTTCTACCAATATAAAAAGTACCATTGGAGTTTTAGTAGGGATTACATTGATTCTGTACATGCCTTTGAGTAATATTGCTGTCTTAACAATATTAAATCTTATGATCCTTGAACATGGGTGTCTTTCCATTTATTTAGGACTTCTTTAACTTCTTTGAGCAGTGTATTGTAGTTTTGCACGTATAAGTCTTTCTTTTTGTTTTTTATTGTTTTGAGACAGGATCTCACTGTCACCCAGGCTGGAGTGCAGTGATGCGATCATGGCTCACTGCAGCCTCAACTTCCTGGGTTCAAGAGACCCTCTTGTCTTGGCCTCCCAATGCTGGGATTATAGGTGTGAGCCACCACACTCAGCCTCCATGTATGTCTTTCAAATTCTTGGTTTTTTTTTTCCCTAAGCATTTTATTCCTTTTGATGCTGTTGCAAATGTGTTATTTTCTTAATTTCGTTTTTAGATTGTTCATTGCAAGCTTATAGAAATGCCAGTGTTTTTTGTGTGTTTGTCTCCTGTAACTGTTGTGTTTATTAGCTTTAACAATATTTTGTGGACTCTTTAGGGATTTTTACAGATAAGATCATGTCATCTGCAAAAAGATAATTTCACTTCTTTTTTAATTAGGATACTTTTTATTTCTTTATCTTGCCTAAGTACTCTGGCTGGAATTTTTAGTACCTGTATTATGTCAAATAGAAATGGTAAAAGCTGGCATCCTTGTCTTTTTCCTGATCTTAAGGGGAATTTTTCCTGATCTTAAGGGGAAGAGTTTTTAGCCTTTGAATCGTTGACTATGATTTTTATGAGTTTTTATATATGGCCTTTATCAAGTTGAGGAAGTTCCCTTCTATTTCTATTGAGTATTTTTATCATGAAAGGATATTGGATTTTGTCAGATGCCTTTTCTGCATCAATTGAGATGATCATAGTGGGGGTTTTCCATGAAGTGGTTTATTACATTGAATGATTTTTGTAGTTGAATCATCTTTCTATTCTAGGAATAAATCCCACTTGGCCACAGTGTATAATTTTTTAAATAGTCTGTTGAATTAGTTTTATTGGGATTTTGTTGAGGATTTCCCTAGCACAATTTCTCTAGTAAATATCTTAAACTCCCAGACCACATATACATTAAAATTTTTCATATAGCATTATGAATGAGGATGCACAGTACATGTCAATAATGATATCTCTGATTATATTCTGAAGAAATGGAAGGAATTTAATAAATACTTATATTTTTAATTAATTTCAAATGCAGGATTAGGCATTGGAAATAGTATTTAATCAATCATGAGCCCATGATCTAAGATTTTTAATAATTGCTGTAATTAATGTTTCTTAAAGACCTTGTTTTCTGTTACAAAGTTGGTTTTTTTTTTTTTGTTTTTTTTTTTTTGAGACAGAGTCTCACTGTCACCCAGGCTGTAGTGCAGTGGCACGATCTTGGCTCATTGCAACCTCTGCCTCCTGGGTTCAAGCGATTCTCCTGCCTCAGCCTCCCGAGTAGCTGGGATTACAGGCACCCACCACCATGCCTGGCTAATTTTTATATTTTTAGTAGAGGCGGGGTTTCACCATGTTGGCCAGGCTGGTCTCGAACTCCTGACTCCAGGTGATCCACCCACCTCGGCCTCCCAAAGTATTGAGATTACAGGCGTGAGCCACTGTGCCCGGCTGATGTTTTTTTTTTAAACTCTCTTTTTTTGGTCTCCTGTTACACTAACAGTAATTTTATTTACCATCTGGCTTATTTAGTTCTGTATGCTAGATAATTAATATATACAATCTTTATGATAATTACTCATTCTTACAGGTTTTTGGAAATGAACAAAAGGACAGCTTTTCCCTTTCTTTGGTAGACATACCATAAGAAGTGGACTTTTGTTATAGTTTAGTGGTATAGATGTTTGTAAGAAACTATTTTAGTCTGGGCACAGTGGCTCATGCCTGTAGTCCCAGCACGTTGGGAGGCCCAAAGATGGAGGATTGTTTGAGCCCAGGACTTCAAGACCAGGCTGAGCAACATGGCAAGATCCCATCTCTGCAAAAAAAATTAAAAAATTAGCTGGATGTGGTGGGCACACCTGTAGCCTCAGCTACTTCAGAGGGTCAGGTGGGAGGACCTCTTGAGATGAAGAGGTTGAGGCTGCAGTGAGCTGTGTTTGGGCCACTGCTCTCCTGCCTGAGTGACAGAGTGAGACTTGTCTCAAAAACAAAAACAACCCCAGAAAGTATTTAGCATGTTTTTGTATGTATATATAGTTTGCCTCAAACAGTACATTAGGGGATGTAAGAAATTTTGTATGCTTTCACAAGGCATCTAAGATCCTCTATGATCGGCCTCCTAGTTTCCTTGCAATTTTGAGCTGTTTGGGAATAAAAGTCCTTTGTTAACAAATTTCCTATTTACTGCCTGTTTTCTCTTATAGCTAAAAGTATTTAAAAGAGTGTTTTCCACTCCATTTCCCTGCAACCTTGCCATCTACTTACCCTTCAACCCATTCTAACTTGGCTTTAGCTCCCTCCACACTACTCACATAGCTCCTGCAAAGTGTAGACTCAGTTTTGCTAAATCCAATGAACCTTTTGTTGGCCTTATCTTTCCTTCTCGGAGCATTCAGCATAAATTACTTCATCTGTTTTTCTTGAAACGTTATCTTTGGTATCTTTGCCATAATAGCTATACCATCTTCCTAGTAACTTCATGGTCTATGGATTTTTTTTTTTTAAGAGACCGAGTCTTGCTCTGTCATCCAGGCTAGAGACAGTGGCATGATCATGGCTCACTGCAGCCCTGACCTCTGGACTCAGTTGATCCTCCCACCTCAGCCTCCTGAGGAGTAGCTGGGACTACAGGCGTGTCCACCATGCCCGGCTAATTTTTAAATTTATTGTAGAGATGGTATCTTGCTATGTGACCCAGGCTGATCTGGAGCTCCTGGCCTTAAGCAATCCTCCCACCTTGGCCTGCCAAAGTGCTGGGATTAAAGGTGTGAGCCACCACACCCGACTGGTCCATGACTTTTAACACTACCTCTAGACTTAAACTTCCCAACTTTATCTTTTCAGTCCTGGCCTTTTCTCTGCCTCCAGTATCTAACTACCTTCATTTGGACTTGTAGTATGCATCTGAAATATATCGTCTCTATAAGAGGTTTTTTTTTGTTTTGTTTTTGTTTTTGTTTTTGTTTTTCACCATGCCAAATCTGTTTCTTTTCCAGTCAGGAACCCAGTTTTTTATCCAAAAACCTAGCTCACCTTAATCTTCCTTTTTCCTCACATCCAGTAGTAATTGAACTATAAATGTTAGCAGCCAGTTTGTTTTTTTTTTAAGATTATCTTAGATACTTAGTATATATTGCTAACAGCTTCTCTCTAACCCTTAGAGCGGTTTTGCAGGGTAGATATGTTGATTCTCTTGTTGCATATGAGGAGACGAGCTCAGTCACTTGTCCAATGTCATGTGGTCCATAAGTGCCAGAGCTGGGAATCAGACACAGATCTGAATACTTTCTAAAGCTTGTGATTCTTCCAGTTTAATGAAGGAGAGAAAATAATTTTTAATTTTAATTTTATTTTATGTTTATGATTTTTTAATTGAATGAGGGGGAATGCTCTAAAGATATTTGTTTAATATTATGCATTAATATTGTACCACTGGTTCTTTGGTTTTGGTTTGAGAGAAACATTGCTTTTCTCAAAGTATTAACATTGTCATATTTATTTTGTAATTAAATTAGATTGTGGAGGCTGAGCAATTTCATGCCTGTATGCCTGTAATCCCAGCACTTTGGGAGGCCCAGGCGGGCAGATCACTTGAGGTCAGAGTTGGAGACTAGCCTGGCCAACGTGGGAAAACCCCATCTCTAATAAAAATACGAAAACCATCTGGGTGTGGCGTCGCATGCCTGTAATCCCAGCTGCTTGAGAGGCTGAGGCATGAGAATTGCTTGAACCCGGGAGGCAGAGGTTGCAGTGAGTTGAGATTGCACCACTGCACTCAAGCCTGGGGGAGGGAGTGAGACTCTGTCTCAAAAAATAAATAAATAAATTAGATTGTGGAATACAAGATAAAAATACCACAAATATTCAGAGAATGTAAAACTCACTATAGCCTGGGAAAGGCAGGAAATTTTATGGACATGATCCAGTGACATTTCTATGAGACGGGATATGGAGGGAGGGACCATATAAGCAAATGCACAGATATATCGACAGTGTTATATAGTGCAGCAGTAAGCCTGTTTTGACTGGGAGGGAGGGAGACATTTAAAATACGATCTGGTTACTCCCTATCATAGTCCCAGTCTTTATAAGTTTTATAGTCTAGCAGGGCAAAGGAGACCAACAAATAAGTCGTCGTAATAAAGTATCTGAAGGGGGAAGTGTAGGTTGCTGTGGTAGAGCATGGCAATTGTATCTAAAATAGTCTGCAGAGTGTCAGGGAAAGCTTTTTGGAGAAAGCAACTTATGAACTGAAATCTAAACAATGAGTAGGAGTAACCCAGATGAAGAAAGGTTTTGAAGAATATCTTAGGCAGAGAGAGGAAACATGTAAAGACATTACCTTGCTGGGTTATAGGGCCAGTTCTGGAGAGGAGTTCATGAGACCAGTTCTGGAGAGGAGCTGTGACTTTAACAGAAGAGTGGCATGGTCATGCCATTGTTTCAGGGGAAGAAACCTGACCCAAATTTCGTTTTTGCCTAGGGACCAAGGTAATAATAATGTTCAAGGTTATTAAGAATGGAGGAATCCTTTTCCATAGGCTTTTTATTTTATTTTTATTTTATTTTTTGAGACAGAATCATGCTCTGTTACACAGGCTGTAGTGCCGTGGCGCTGTCTCGGCTCCCTGCAGCCTCCACCTCCTGGGTTCAAGCAGTTCTCCTGCCTCAGCCTCCTGAGTAGCTGGGACTACATGCTCATGCCACCACACCTGGCTCAATTTGTATTTTTAGTAGAGACGGGATTTCACTATGTTGGCCAGGCTGGTCTCGAACTCCTGACCTCGTGATCCACCCGCCTCAGCCTCCCAAAGTGCTGGGATTACAGGCGTGCTCTGTATGCTTTTTCTTTCAGCTTTATTTTCTTTGCTCTGAAGTACCTTGCTTGCTATCATTTTAAGTCTTTTACTGTCCTTTAAGGTTTCCTTGGGAATTTTATTTCTAAGTTAATTATTTGGCATCAAGTTAAAGCTCATGTTCATTTTAAAAAGTAGAAAGAGATAAACAAATAACAGATATTGGGAGTACGTTGGTGTAGGATCATAGTTATTTACCTCTGAACCTATTTATCAGACAATTAAAACATAAAGTTTTTTTTATTATAAACCTGTTGTTTCCTGAAAACTAGTCAGAAAATCTTAACATCTCCTTTATATGTGGTATAACATTGCTCTCAGTTTCCTAATAAATTATTAATATAATTTTTGGTTTAGTAGAGACATTATTCTCTTCTAAAACCTTTTTATAATTATGAGGAAACCAAGATATCTAGAAGCTTCAATTACTGAACTATGAAACCGTTTTTTTTGTTTTTTTTTTTTTGAGACAGAGTCTTGCTCTGTTGCCCAGGCTAGAGTGCAGTGGCAGGATCTCGGCTCACTGCAACCTCTGCCTCCTTGGTTCAAGCAATTCTCCTGCCTCAGCCTCCCGAGTAGCTGGGATTATGGGCGCCTGCCACCATCACCATGCCTGGCTAATTTTTGTGTTTTTAGTAGAGACGGGGTTTCACCATGTTGGCCAGGCTGGTCTCCATCAGCTGACCTCAGGTGATCTGCCCACCTTGGCCTCCCAAATTGCTGGGATTACAGGCGTGAGACACCGTGCCCAGCCCTGTGAAACTGTTTTAAGACTTAAAAGTTGTGCTGTATTGCTTATTCATTTTTTTCGGTTTAATTTACATGTCTATAATGTATGTAACTCAGAATTAGCTTCCTTTTTTTTTTCGAATTAGCTTTTCAAAAAATAAATTTAGTAGTAAACTAGATAGAAATAAATCATCACTGTGGTTTATTTTTGAGTGCAAAGGAGACAGTGCCATTATTATAAGACAATAATAAGATTATATAGACGTTCCCTGTGAGAATCAGTTAGTCCTGAAATCATTGCTTTTCCTGTGTGAGAGTAGCCTTTTAACAGCTATTTTGTGTTGAGTTTTGTCCCTTCAAAAGTTTATCCCTATGAGGATGACAGTGAGGGAAACAGTAGATTGCCTGTTACTTTTATAAGTATCTCTAAAACTAAGCACTAGAGAGTTAAACCCATTAGATTTGTAGTATTTTATATATATAAATATTATATAATATATTATACATTATTATACATTATATATATATTATATATATAATGTATAATATATTATACATTATATATATTATATATATAATGTATAATATATTATACATTATTATACATTATACATTATATATATATGATATGTTATATAATAATATATTATATATTATATATTATGAATATTATATATTTATATATTATATATATTAAGAATATTATATATATTATATATAAATATAAAATATTAAGTAATATATATATATAGTAATGATGTTTTCTAATCGATATCTAATCTTTTGCCCCCTTAGCGCTGGCTGACAGAGCAGAGAGCTCAATGTCCTCATTGCCGGTAAGTGTTTCCTTACGATTATTTGTGAATTTTGAAAATAGTAAGATCAGAATGTGCCTTGGGATTCATAAAGGCAGTTTTCCTGCAGTCTGCCCATTTCTCTTCTTCGTGAAGATAGTTGAGTAGAAATAAGCAATTTGACTAGAAAAAGAAATGCAGGGACTAATTCATGTGACTTAAAATTACGTTTACTATGTTGTACTCTGCCTCTCAGAAAATCATTGTATAACTTCTTAATTTACCTTTTATAATTAAGCAACAAATTTTTAATGTTTCTGGTTAAAAAATCCAGATAGTTAGGGCATAATTTATCTTTTATAATTAAGCAAAAAATTTTAATGTTTTCTGGTTAAAAAAATCCAGATAGCTTGGCCGGGCACAGTGGCTCGCTCATACCTGTAATCCCAGCACTTTGGGAGGCCAAGGCGGCTGGATCACCTGAGGTCGGGAATTCGACACCAGCCTGGCCAACATAGTGAAACCTTGTCTCTACTAAAAATACAAAAATTAGCTGGGCGTGGTGGCGCGCGACTATAGTCCCAGCTACTCAGGAGGCTGAAGCATGAGAATTGCTTGAACCTAGGAGGTGGAGGTTGGAGTGAGCTGAGATCGTACTGCTGCACTTGAGCCAAGGTCACGCCACTGCACTCCAGCCTGGGCCACAGAGCGAGAGTCTGTCTCAAAAAAATAAAAACAAAAAACAAACAAAAAAATCCAGATGGTAGAGATAAATATAAAATAAAATAAAAAGCCTTCTGATTCTGATACTCCCTACCCTGTCTTCTCACTTAATAATACTTTCAGAAGAAATTGTTGGGTTTGGTATCTATTCTTCTAGACTGTTTTTTGTGCATGTATTTTGTAATGCCCTAATCCAGTATGATTGTGCCTATATTTATATATATATATGCGTATGTGATTCCCATATGCTTTTTCTTAAAATGTACCAATGATATAATATTGTTTTGCAGTTTGCTTTTTCATGTAAAATATGGTAGATATCTTTTCTTGATTGTATGTATACATAAGTCATTTTTTAAAAAAGTGACTGATAATCAGTTTTATGACTATACCTTGATTTATTTATGCCCATATTGAGAGACATTTAGGTTATCTCTACTTTTGGTTTCAAAAAATAATGCTGGAGTGCCATCTGTTAACCATTTTTCTTTTTGTATTCACTTTTCTTTTTATTTTTTTGAGACAGAGTCTCGCTCTGTCGTCCAGGCCGGAGTGCAATGGCGTGATTTCAGCTCACTGCAGCCTCGACCTCCTGGGCTCAGGTGATCCTCCTACCTCAACCTCCTTCCTAACTGGGACCACTGGTGTGTGCTACCATGCCAGCTAATTTTGTTTATTTTTTGTAGAGATGAGATGTCACTGTGTTGGCCAAACTGGTCTCGACTTCCTGGGCTCAAGGGATCCTACCACCTTGACCTCCCGAAGTGCTAGGATTGCAGCGTGAACCACTGTGCCTCGTCCCACCTTTCTTACATTATCTTATAAGACCAGCATTATCAAGTAGAACTTTTTATAATGATGAAAGTGTTCTATGTCTACACTGTCCAGTATGGTAGCCACTAGTTGTGTGTGGCTGTCGATCACTTGAAATGTGTCTAGTGTGGCTATATGATGAAATTTTACTTATTTATTTATTTTTGAGATGGAGTCTCACTCTTTCGCCAGGCTGGGGTGCAGTGGCGCAATCTTGGCTCACTGCAACCTCTGACTCCCTGGTTCAAGTGATTCTCCTGCCTCATCCTCCCAAGTAGCTGGGATTACAGGCACGTGCCACCACGCCCAGCTAATTTTTGTATTTTTAGTAGAGACAGCGTTTCACCATGTTGGCCAGGATGGTCTTGATCTCCTGACCTTGTGATCCACCCGCTGTGGCCTCCCAAACTGCTGGGATTACAGGTGTGAGCCACTGCACCTGGCCAAAATTTTATTTTTATTTAATTTTAACTTAAAAGAGTCACATGTGGCTAGTGGCTATCGTTTTGGACAGCACAGCTGTGGATTTGTGTTTTGTTTTGTTTTGTTTTTGAGACAGGCTCTCACTCTGTTCCCCAGGCTGGAGTGCAGAGGCATGATCTTGGCTCACTGCAGCCTCAATCTCCCTGGCTCATGTGGTCCTCCTACCTCAGCTTCATGGGTAGCTGGGACTGTAGGCACATGCCATTGCACTTGGCTAATTTTTTATAGAGACAGGGTTTCATCATGTTGCCCAGGCTGGTCTCGAACACCTGGGCTCAAGCAATCTACCTGCCTCAGCCTCCCAAAGTGCTGGGATTACAGGCGCGAGCCACTACGCCAACAGTACAGCTTTAGACTCAGAAGTTGAGAATTCAGTCCATATTCTGAATCATATGTTTTTGTTTAGCTTTTTGTTTCTTTTCATAAATGACGTGTTAATGTGGTGAAAATAAGTCACAGATAATATTTTTCATTGTCTTTTTTTTTATTTTTTATTTTTTTAGTTTTAATAGTATTATGGGGCCAGGTAGTGGCTCATACCTGTAATCCTAGTACTTTGGGAGGATCACTGGAGGCCAGGAGTTCAAGACCAGCCTGGGAAATATAGCAAGATTCCCGTCTCTACAAAAAATTTTAAAATTAGCTGGGTTTGATGGTGTGCTGCTGTAGTCCCAGCCACTCAGGAGGCTGAGGCAGGAGGATCGCTTGAGCCTAGGAGGTCAAGGCTACAGTGAACCATGATCATGCATGCCGCTGCATTCCACCCTGGGTCATAGAGTGAGACTCATCTCTTAAAAAAAAAAAATAGTGTTATGGTATGAGTATTATTGTGCTCTCTATTTTGAGAAACGTATTTATTTTATAAAATAATCTCAAATTCCTGAATTAGTGTATGTGTATGGATTTTCTCCCCAGTGCTCCACTCCAGCTACGAGAACTAGTAAATTGTCGTTGGGCAGAAGAAGTAACACAACAGCTTGATACTCTTCAACTCTGCAGTCTCACCAAACATGAAGAAAATGAAAAGGACAAGTATGTCCTCAATTTCTTTGTTCAATATTGAATGGATTTTGCCTTTGTATTGTTTAATGACACTATATTGGTAGTTGCCTTTTAGTTATTTATGAATAAGTAGTGTTATATTTCTTGTTTTTAATTCTTTCAGTCATGCGCTGTTACTGTTAAGTAACATATTCTTATTGTGTTTATTTAACAACAGTTATTTCATGCCATGTATACACAGATACCTCTCGCCCTCCCCTCCCCCCACACAGAAAGTACTTTGCTAGATGATAGGCATACAAAGGTAAATGAGACATGATTTCTGTTAACTGTTTAATGGGGACACAGTGATAATACAGTGTTAAGTCATTTAAGGGACAAGAATGAATAAATGGTCTTATGTTCCATGATTGAAGAATTTTGAACATATCTGGAGAGTTGTTATGGGGAGCAGGTAAAGAAAGGAAAGAGTGATGTGGCAGTGATTGGTTTTTATAGATGAAGAAGCTACAACATGGTTAATTGTAAGGCTTCACTGTCCAGCAATAATAAAATAACTTGAATTAGGTGAGATTCCAGGACCCCTGAATGTTTAGAAATAAAGCCTTGTCACTTTCTGTAGAGTCACAACATGGTAAAGCAAGAGGTTGAAACCTCACAGGTCATTAGAAAAAAATTTATCTGTTTCTTCATTATACTGAGGAAATAGAACCATAGAAATAAGAGAACAGGGTGTGGTGGTGTGCATCTGTAGTCCCAGATACTTGGGAGGCTCAGGCAGGAGGATCTCTTGAGCCCAGAGGATGGCTTAGGTAACATAGCAAGAACCCATCTCTTAAAAAAAGAAAAAAAAAAAAAAAAAGAAAGAGGCTTAATTATGGTAGTATAACACATTAATGCATAATCAGAATTAAAACCTACTATTCGGGCGGGTGTGGTGGCTCATGCCTATAATCTCAGCACTTTGGGAAGCCGAGGTGGGTGGATTACCTGAGGTCAGGAGTTCAAGACCAGCCTGGCCAACATGGAGAACCCTGTCTCTACTAAAAATACAAAAATTAGCTGGGCGTCGTGGTGGACGCCTATAATCCCAGCTACTTGGGGGGCTGAGGCAGGAGAATCGCTTGAGCCCAGGAGGCGTAAGTTGCAGTGAGCCGAGATCGTGCCATTGCATTCCAGCCTGGGTAACGAGCGAGACTCCATCTCCCAAAAAAACAAAAACAAAACCAAAAACCTGCTATTCAAGTTTAACTGGACTTTTAAGGAATTCTGTCACTTGTAGCATTGTAGAGGTCTCACCAAAAATAATTATTTAATTTCTTTTCTATACAATGGCACATTTCTTTGGTGAACACTTAGGTGTTTTTCCTCTGAAGTGGTGGGTATTACTGTTTGGAAAGACCTTTTACCTCTTTTTGGGCCTCTTCTATTAGAGCCTCTCAAAAGGAATAGACTGCTACAATTTGCTAACCTGCTAGTCTTTCTTACTTGCTGTTTGATGCCTACTGGCCTCCCCTTGCTGCAAGTGAATACAGGCTGTTAATTAAGAGGAGTTTTGGCAAATTTTCTATATTGTAAAAGCTATATTATAAATTTGGTCTTTTGGAAGTCTTGCTAAATGAGCTTCCAAACAGTACCTGATGTATTCTAACTCTTATTCATTTCCCATTTTATATTCTGATTACTTATGAATTAGAAATATAAAATATAAACTTATGTAAGTATTTTCTCTAAGCTCAGTGTCCTTCATCAATGAAATGCTTTTTGAAAAATGCAAGAGTGGGCCAGGCACAGTGGCTCATGCTTGTAATCCCAGCACTTTGGGAGGCCGGGGTGGGTGGATCACCTAAGGTCAGGAGTTCGAGACCAGCCTGGCCAACATGGTGAAACCCTGTCTGTATTAAAAATACAAAAATTAGCTGGGCGTGGTGGCATGTGCCTGTAATCCCAGCTACTTGGGAGGCTGAGGCAGCAAGAATTGCTTGAACCTAGAAGGTGGAGGTTGTAGTGGGCCAAGATCGCGCCACTTCATTCCAGCCTGGATGACAGAGCTAGACTCCGTCTCAAAAAAAAAAAAAAAAATTGCAAGAGTATGTCTACTTTATAAACAAGAGAATACTTAAAACATTTTAATTATGGTAAAATATACATAAAATTTACCATCTTAATCATTTTTTAATGTACAGTTCAGTTATGTTAAGCATGTTCACATGTTCAGCCAATCTCCAGAACTTTTTAAACTTGCAAATCTGAAACTGTACCCATTAAACAACTCCCCATTCCTTCTTCGCACCAGCCCCTGGCAGCCACCATTGTACTTTCTGTTTCTATCTGTTTGAGTACTCTAGATACTGCATATAAGTGGAACCATACAGTACCTCTCTTTTTGTAACTGGTTTATTTTACTTAGCATAATGTCCTCAAGGTTCATCCATGTGTCAGAATTTCCCACCTTTTTAAGGGTTAATAATATTATATTGTATGTATATGTCACATTTTTTTTGTCCATTCATCTCTCAGTGAAAATTGGTGTCGCTTCCACCTTTTGGCTGTAGTGAATAATGCTGCTATGACTATGGATGTTCATGTCTTTGAGACTCTGCTTTCAGTTCTTTTGGTTATGTAATCAGAAGTAGAATTGCTAGATCATGTGGTAATTCTATTTTTAATTTAAGTTTTTGAGGAATCTCCATACTGTTTTCCATAGTGACTGTACCATTTTACAGTCCCACCAGTAGTGCACAAGGGTTCCAGTTTCTCCACATCCTGGCCAACACTTGCTCTTTTTTGTTTTTTTGATAGCAACCATCCTAATATGGTATGAGGTTAGGATTCACATTTCTCTAGTGATTAGTAGTAATGAGCATCTTTTCATATGCTTACTGGAGATCTTTTGCTCATTTTTAAATTAGAGTTTTTAAAGTTTATTTGTTGAGTTACAGGTGTTATTTATATATTCTGGATGTTAAACCTTCATTCTTTTCTTTTTTTTTTGAGGCAGAGTCTTGCTCTGTTGCACAGGCTGGAGTGCAGTGGTGTGATTATCAGCTCACTGCAACCTCTGCCTCCCGGGTTCAAGCGATTCTCATGCCTCAGCCTTCTGAGTAGCTGGGGTTGTAGGAGTGCACCACCACGCCCAGCTAATTTTTTGTATTTCTAGTAGAGAAGGAGTTTCACTATATTGGCCAGGCCAGTCTCAAACTCCTGGCTTCAAGTGTTCCACCCGCCTTGGCCTCCTAAAGTGCTGGGATTGCGGGCATGAGCCACCGCTGCACCCGGCCTGTAGTTTATTTGTGTATATGGTATAAAGTGAGGGTCTGTATTAGTCTGCTAGGTCTTTCATAACAATACTGCTAACTGAGTAGCTTAAACAATAGAAATTTATTTTCTCACAGTTCTGATAGGTGTTAAGTCCAAGATTAAATGCTAGCAGTGTTGGTTTCTAGTGAGGCCTCCCTTTCTCCTTGACTTATAGATGGCCACCACCTAGCTCTGTCCTCACATGATCTTTGCTATGTGCACGTGCATGCCTGGTGTCTCCTCCTCTTTATAGAGGACACCAGTCCTGTTGGATTTGGGTCCTGCCCTTGTGATCCTTACTTAACCTTAATTACCTCCTTAAAGGCTCTGTCTGCAAATACATTCACACTGGGGGTTAAGGCTTTAACCTATGAATTTGAGGGGGGACATAGTTAATCCATAACAGAGTCTAACTTTATTGTTTTTCATGTGAATATCCAGTTTAAAAGAACATTTAAAATTGAGTTGTTCATTTTCCATGAGGGTCTAGTATTAAATCGTGCAGTTAATCATGTGTCTTGATTATTGTTATCGTTGACCACATGTAGGAAAAGTACTTGTGCATGCTCATGTAGGTATAGATGCATAATCAATATGATTATTAAGCACATGCCCAAAATGTAGTAGTACAATAGAATATATCATCTGTAGTGCTGTGTGGAAATGATGCAATATGTGTTATGTTTTTAAGAAGCAAATCTGTATTTCGCATGTGATTATAAAGTCCAGATCAATGAAAACAGTACTTTACAAAAAATTGTCCGCATAAACTTCTTTAGCTTCCTTTTCAGAAGCCATGGAGTACATTTTATACTGTGTTTCTTGAGATATAATCATTTAAAACTGACCTGTTTGCCCAAGCTTAAGAATTTGTGGAGGTGATTATGTTCCAATTTAATTTATAACTTCATTTTCTTTTCATAATGTATAGATGTGAAAATCACCATGAAAAACTTAGTGTATTTTGCTGGACTTGTAAGAAGTGTATCTGCCATCAGTGTGCACTTTGGGGAGGAATGGTGAGCAGAACAAATTCAGTATTTTTTTTAAGTTAGAGGCTAGAAGGCACTGAAATACTTATTCAGATAGAAAATAGTGTCATTATGCTCTCGTAGAATGAAAGTTAAAATGCATCTGCTTTCTATACGCTTTATTAAAGGTATTGTACTTTTATTCCAGAAGAATCTTGTTTGTGTGGTTTGATGGACCCCTTATGTAAATATTTTAATCTGTAACACCTATAAAACATATCCTCTATTCATTTGCAGATCTTTTCGTTGTAGGATCTAGGTCACTTTTTTCATTAAAGGTCAGTTGATCAGATGTACTGGCCAACATTTCCAATTTTAGTTCCTTTAAAATGGAGCACGAACTTAGACACTTGTGAAACAACATGAGTACGCCTATCTAGATCTTATAATTATTTTTTATTTTTTAGATTATTTTTTCCAATTGAATTCAAGAGCAGTTTTTAAAGACAGTCTACCATTATTGAGCCTGAAGCATTGAAGTTAGCTTTCTTAGAAGCAGCTTTTTTATTTTAAAGTCGTGTTCTGTTGTTTACTGAATACTTTTTTTTTTTTTTTGAGAATTTCGCTCTTGTTGCCCAGGCTGGAGTGCAATGGTGGGATCTCGGCTCACTGCAACCTCCGCCTCCCGGGTTCAAGTGATTCTCCTGCCTCAGCCTCCCTAGTAGCTAGGATTACAGGCATGTGCCACCACCACGCCTGGCTAATTTTGTATTTTTAGTAGAGACGGGGTTTCTCCATGTTGGTCAGGCTGGTCTTGAACTGCTGACCTCAGGTGATCCACCTGACTTGGCCTCCCAAAGTGCTGGGATTACAGGGGTAAGCCACCGCGCCCAGCCTCTGAATACTTAATTAAATGATCTCCTTACAATAATAAGTACAATTGGCATAAATAGGTTGAGAATAAACACAATAGATTCTTAGGAAAAATAAGTTATGGGTGAAATGGAAGTGGGTAGGTATCTAGAGTTGCTATAAGAATTGATCATTCTGTGGGCATCAGTCAGTATGTTTTACGGAGAGAGTGGCAGGCCAGATTGGTTGAGTAGAGCTCAATTCAGAGCTTTCTGCTAGAATTTGAATATTAATGTGCTAACTAGAAAAAATTAAGTTCTCACATTTAATACTTTAAATACATAGGTTTTGTAAGAGACAGTAGAAATGTTTTTTTCTATACTTAAAGTGAACATGTAAAAATCTACATCTTTTTTGGAGACAATAATGGGATACTTTGGCTAAATAAGACAATTCTAGTAAGAACTTATAGGAGGTTTCTTATATTAAAATTTAATAATTCTGGTTACAAATCAAAATTATTTTTAGGTAGTTAGCTATAAAAATTGTTCTTTGAGCTGAATGCAACTGGATTTGTGAGGCTAACTTGTATCAGTCTTCTGTCTCTGTAGTAACTCTGTGGGATGGAAAATGGGTTCATTGCTTTTGTTAATTTTGTATCCTGGGCTTTTTCTTCAAGTGTCTTTCTAATTCATTCAGCTGTGGTAAAGACTAGGGATTTGGTGATGAACATATCAAACAATTACATACTCAATTGGCTTGATAAATTATAGGAATAAATACAGAGAGCTGATGAGGATGCATAACTATAGCAGCTGATCCTGTAAATCTGAGCTAAGTGCAAAGGATGAGTAGGATTAAGACAAACCAAGATGGGAGAGGGAAGATGGAGAATTATTATTATTATTTGTTTTGTTTTGTTTTTTTGAGACAGAGTCTCACTCTGTCACCCAGGCTGGAGTGCAGTGGGGTGATCTCAGCTCACTCCAACCTCCGCCTCCCGGCTTCAAGTGGTTCTCCAGCCTCAGCCTCCTGAGTAGCTGGGATTACAGGCGCATGCCACCACGCCCAGCTAATTTTTGTGTTTTTTAGTAGAGATGGGGTTTCACCATGTTGGCCAGGCTGGTCTCGAACTCCTGACCTCAGGTGATCCACCCGCCTCAGCCTCCCACAGTGCTAGGATTACAGGCGTGAGCCACCATGCCCAGCATTATTATTATTATTATTATTATTTTTTTTTTTTTATTTTTTTTTTTTTTTGGTTTTTATTATTAAAAAATTATTATTTTTTGGGGGGGACAGAGTCTCTGTCACCCAGGCTGGAGTACAGTGGCCCGATCACAGCTCACTGTAAGCTCTGCCTCCCGGGTTCAAGCAATTCTCATGTCTCAGCCTCTTGAGTAGCTGGGATTACAGGTGTGCGCCAACATGCGTGGCTACATTTTGTATTTTAGTAGAGACGTGTTTTTGCCGTGTTGGCCAGGCCAGTCATGAATTCCTCAGTTCAAGTGATCTGCCCTCCTCAGCGTCCCAAAGTACTGGGATTAGAGGCATGAGCCACCACCCCTGGCTAATAATTATTTTTTAATAAGAGGGAGTAATTTTTGTAAAGTCCTGGTGGAAAGAAGTTTGAGGACATGGAAGAAGACTAGTTTGCCTTAGAGAAGAGTGACTGACTGATAAGGTTGTGGCAGATGATTTGGGCTGTGGTTAAAGATCTTGGTTCTTTTTAATAAGTTAATTTCTAGTTAAATGAATATTTTGCTAAAGCCCTTTATTTATAATCTTGAAAGAGTTCCTACTTGGACCAAGTGATTTTAAGCGGGCACTGGCCTGCTTCAACAAAATTAAATTAGCTAATAAGGTAAAGTTCATTTGAGAGATTTACCAGTTTATTAGTGTCCATAGAGTGTTACAAAGGAATGTAAATGCAGATGAGATATGTGAAAGTGTTCTAAAGCTACTCTAATTTAAATAGCATGGCGGACATACCTTTAAACCTTTGGCAGAAATTTATGAGCAACACGTCACTAAAGTGAATGAAGAGGTAGCCAAACTTCGTCGGCGTCTCATGGAACTGATCAGCTTAGTTCAAGAAGTGGTAAGACTACTACTAAAATATAATTATTTTGTTTTTAATCTGTAATATATAATAATATATTTATATAATATAAGTTAATCAGATGTTGAAATCAAGGTTTTCAAGATTTGCAAATTTGATAGGCTGTACCTATAGTCAAATTCCATAAATTTCAGAGTATCTGAGAAATTTGCATACAAAGCCCCTGGCTTGTAAGGAAGCAGTTGGAGTCAGAGAATTACCACTTATGCAGAATTAGAAAATCAGTGAATTTAAAAAGTCTGTTTGTTACAGAGTCAATAATTAACTTATTTTTTCTTTTTTTTGAGATGGAGTTTCACTCTTGTCGCCCAGGCTGGAGTGTAATGGCGCGATCTCAGCTCACTACAACCTCCACCTCCCGGGCTCAAGTGATTCTTTTGCCTCACCCTCCCAAGTAGCTGGGATTACAGGTGCCCACCACCACGCCCAGCTAATTTTTGTATTTTTAGTAGAGACAGGGTTTCACCATATTGGCCAGGCTGGTTTCAAACTCCTGACGTCGTGATCCACCTGCCTTGGCCTCCCAAAGTGCTAAGATTACAGGTGTAAGCCACTGTGCCTGGCCCCAATAATTTACTTCTAAACAGAATCAGTATTGACTTTTACAGTCATTCATTAAGTTATACACTCTTTGGATCCCCAGCTTTTGGGTGAGTTTCTTTTACTAAGCAATGAACTATTTGTGATGTCCTGATTTAGAACTCCACAGACTTGAAAGTGCAATATTTAACATTACTGTTTAGATATTGTTTAGGTCAAACAGCTTTAGTGAGCTATTTATAATGTTATTTCTGTGAAAAAATGTGATAAGCCCCCAAGAATGAAATACTAAGCATGTTTTTAGAATACATTTTGTTTCAAGTTGTTAGAATGACAGTCATAAATGAGGTTTATGGACCATTTCCTAACTTAAAATGAAGTTTGTGGACCATATCCTAAATTAAAAGCAGATGTCTTCTTTGTTTTACCTCTTTAGGAATCAAGAACCAAGTGATCATTTATAACATTCTTTATGCAGAAAATTTGTGTTTTTGATTGCATGTCTGCCATTTTGAAATATAAGCAAGTTGGGTCATTTCCATTTGACCTTCCTCTAACTACCTTTTTCATATTATCTATTCTTGGCAATATTATAATGTGGTGCTTCTGTTTTTAAAATTTACCCAATTAAAATTATTCTTACCTCTTTATCTTCTAGGAAAGGAATGTAGAAGCTGTAAGAAATGCAAAAGATGAGCGTGTTCGGGAAATTAGGAATGCAGTGGAGATGATGATTGCACGGTTAGACACACAGCTGAAGAATAAGCTTATAACACTGATGGGTAAGTGTTTATGTATGCTGCTGGGGTACCTGGTGCTTTCAGCTTCTTTGAGATTCAGTCTTTGAAGAATAAGGGTGATCATCCTAGGAAGGAATCTTGAGATTTTAGGCAACTCCATGTTGTTACAATTTAGACAGATAAATGTTAGACTTGTATTTAGAAATGATAGGAGAGAAAAATTTTCATAGCCATTTGGATGAAAATCCAAGTTTTCATAGCCATTTGGATGAAAATCCTAATGGCCAGTGGGCATCATTGTTAGGTAGCTTTTTCTCCAAATCTAACAGAATTCCTTCTACTAATGTTCCATATCCTTTCCATCCATTTTCATTGGGGATGAAGAAACTGACATTTGTAAACATCGGCGTCATCCCCTGCCAGCATTTTCTTAGAGATTTAAAGTCTCAGCTTTTGATTTCTAGTAGGGTTCATTTTACATATGCTTAATTATATTTATTGCTGACCTTTTTGCTTTTCGAAGATTCCTTCATTCTTCTTTGATTGTGGAGCCTGGTATTGAACTTAAATTTTAAGTAAGAATTTAATCCAATGCTATGGTTTGTTTTGTTTGATTTGTTTTGGTGATCTTAGTCCTTCCAGTGTTTTGCTGACTAAAAACCAGCTTTGCATTTTTTATCATAGTCCAAAGTGAAATATATATACTTTAAATAAGGTGTGAACAAAGAATTTTTTTTTTTTTTTTGGCTATCTTGATTCTCCAAGATTTTAGCCATGTCTTTGTGTCATCCAAAATAATGATTTTATCCATTTTATTTTTAACTTTTTAAAAATGAGATGCAAATATCTTTGAGTTTGTATATTTGTATATCATTTCATGAATTGCTTTTCTATTATAATCCTATACTATTTAATATCTGATTTTTAGTTTTTTTCCCACAGACCAAGTAGCAAATAGTCTTAAACAATCATTCTTCTAGTAGTTAGATTGGAAAGCACAGTTCATCCACCCAGTGGAGCAATTAGACAAAACCTGTAGGTATTGATTGTACTGGTCACAATGCCACTTATATATTTCATGTAAATGAAAATCGTAATTGTTCTTAGATCCTCAGTTGCAGTCATACATATAGGTGATCTTAGTTTTTCAGAACTCTAGATAATATTTGAGATCTCTTTAAGTTCATTAAGCCATGTAGAGTACTGGATGTTGATACGTATTAGGACTTTAAAATTGAGGGGATCTTGACTGTTGATGTGATCTTCAGTCGTAGCCAAATAAACATTTGCATGTGGTCTTGTTTTTCTTGAGTGAGTTTGTTCATTGCTTCATTTATTTAATTGAATCAACTAAAAGTCAAATAATACCACAGTACAGATCTCTTAAGTTTATTAATTTTACTACCTGTATAACTGTGAAATAACTTCCCTTTCTAATAACTGAACTTGCCCTGCTTTTGTGGCTTTCAAATTATTTTTCATTATGAAAAATTATAATTTGTGATTTCCAAGGTAGCTTTTATGATTAAATAGGATTCTTTCTAAGGATAAGAGGTGGGGAAAAGGATATTTTCAGGGTTAGTTTATCTTTAGAATAGTCTTATAAGCCTCAGATTTTTAATTCATACCATAATATCTGCCACTAATTTATTATTATTATTATTATTATTTGAGATGGAGTCTCGCTCTGTCATTCAGGCTGGAGTGCAGTGGCACTATCTCGGCTCATTGCACCCTCCGCCTCCTGGGTTCAAGCAATTCTCCTGCCTCAGCCTCCTGAGTAGCTGGGACTACAGGCACGTGCCACCACCCCCAGCTAATTTTTTGTATTTTTAGTAGAGATGGGGTTTCGCCATGTTGGCCAGGCTAGTCTTGAGCTCCTGACCTCAGGTGATCCACCCACCTCCGCCTCCCGAAGTGCTGGGATAACAGGCGTGAGCCACCACACCTGACCTCTGCCACTAATTTTTTTTTTTTTTTTTTTTTGAGATGGAGTCTCGTTCTGTTGCCCAGGCTGGAGTGCAGTGGCGTGATCTTGGCTCACTGCAACCTCTGCTTCCCAGGTTCAAGAGATTCTTCTATCTCAGCCTCCCAAGTAGCTGGGACTACAGGCACGTGCCACCACGCCCTGCTAATTTTTGTATTTTTAGTAGAGACAGGGTTTTACCATATTGGCCAGGCTGGTCTCAAACTCCTGACCTTGTGATCTGTCTGCCTTGGCCTCCCAAAGTGCTAGGATTACAGACGTGAGCCACCACCCCCGGCCTCTGCCACTCATTTTTAAGTTTAATTATGTATTGTAATGTTGTCCATAGGCTAATGTTTTAGGATTGTGGGATGTGGTTATAGTAGAAATTATGTCTGATAATATTAGATTCTAGCTAATACTTTATTTTAACTCTTTTTGCAACCTAGAAATTCTGAGTTTTGTTTCAAAAATAAAAGTTCTAGGCTGAGGCAGGTGGATCTCTTAAGCCCAGCCTGGGCAATGTGGTGAAACCCCATCTCTACCAAAAAAAAAAAAAAAAGAAAAATTAGCCAGGTGTGATAGTGTGTTCCTGTAGTCCCAGCTACTCAGGAGGCTGAGGTGGGAGGATCGCTTGAGCCTGAGAGGTGGAGGTTGCAGTGAGCCGAGATCACGCCACTATACTCCAGCCTGGGCAACAGAATGAGACCCTGTCTCAAAAAAATAAATAAAAATAAATAAAGGCCGGGCGCCTTGGCTCATGCCTGTAATCCCAGCACTTTGGGAGGCCGAGGCGGGTGGATCATCTGAGGTTGGGAGTTTGAGACCAGCCTGACCAACATGGAGAAACCCCATCTCTACTAAAAATACAAAATTAACCGGGCATGGTGGCACATGCCTGTAATCTCAGCTACTCAGGAGACTGAGGCAGGAGAATCACTTGAACCCAAGAGGCAAAGGTTGCGGTGAGCTGAGTTCGTGCCATTGCATTCTAGCCTGGGCAACAAGAGTGAAACCCCATCTCAAAAAATAAATAAATAAAATAAATAAAAGTTCTACCTATTAAATGTTTTTCCTTATCAAATAACACTACAGATTGATAAAACTTTTGCTGTCCTCATGGATGTACTTCCAGTTTTTCAAATTTTGGGTTTACAAAGAAAATGGCCTGATTTGGTAAGCATACCTATCTTCTTTTTGTTTCAAAACATATAAAGCACTTTCTTCCTTTTCTATAAGGATAATTTCTGTAATTATAATTTTTTTGTTTGTAATTTGAGACAGGGTCTCACTCTGTTGCCCAGGAAGGACTGCAGTGGTGCAATCAAGGCTCATTGCATGACTGCATGCAGCCTTGACCGCTTGGGCTGAAGTGATCCTCATGCCTCAGCCTCTTGAGTAAATTGGGCTGCAGGCATGCACCACCACTCCTGGCTAATTTTTTACTTTTTTGTAGAGACTGGGTCTCACCATGTTGCCTAGGCTGGTCTCAAATACCTAGGCTCAAGTTATCCTCTTGCTTTGGCCTCCCAAAGTGCTGGGATTACAGGCATGAGCCATGGCCCCGGCCAGTAATAATTTGTTTATCCTTTTCTGTCTCCAACTTTTTGAGACTGTTCACCTCTGTGGGCATTTTTTTTTTTAAACAGGTCCTTGTATATTCACAGGACAGACCTTTTGCTGACATTTAACCTAAAAATCTGGCCCACTTTGTATTCTCTTTTAAGCCACAGTTAAATTTGGTGAAAAATGATTTCAGAATAGCTGATTGAATGAAATTCATGTTATTGCTTCTTCCCAAGGGAATATGAAAATCTAGAAAAGTAAATTTTTTGCTTAAAGTATATTGTCATTGCACATTTCGTTTCTTAGATGAATTTGATCTCAGTGGTATCTTGTCTAAAACTAATTAGAATTGGTTCTGAAGTTCCATTTTCAAGGCTACTATAATATTCAGCCTCTTAAAGTTGAATGAGAATTTTTAGGGTAGCTGTAATGAAGAATTTTTGCTTACTTGAAGTGTATTTCTTGTTATTAAATATGTTCATTGGAAGTTAATTTCATTCTTAAACCAATAATGAACCCAAGTGTTGATGATTCACTATTTTTCATCAGGTCAGAAGACATCTCTAACCCAAGAAACAGAGCTTTTGGAATCCTTACTTCAGGAGGTGGAGCACCAGGTGATGAAATATTAAATGTAATGAAATAGTCTTTATCCTTTTTTCTCTGTATACTGTAGTTGTTTTTTTTTTTTTTTTTTTTTGAGATGGAGTCTCTCTCTGTCGCCCAGGCTGGAGTGCAGTGGCGCGATCTCGGCTCACTGTAAACTCCGCCTCCTGGGTTCACACCATTCTCCTGCCTCAGCCTCCTGAGTAGCTGGGACTACAGGCGCCCACCACTACGCCCGGCTAATTTTTTTGTATTTTCAGTAGAGACGGGGTTTCACCATGTTAGCTGGGATGGTCTCGATCTCCTGACCTGGTGATCTGCCCGCCTCAGCCTCCCAAGCTGCTGGGATTACAGGCGTGAGCCACCGTGCCCGGCCTTCTCTGTATATTATAAACGTTTTTTTTTTGACAGAGATTATCTGTATGAGATCAAAAGATCTGTTGATCTTTTGTGTTATAATGGAGATTTTTATGAAATTAGGAATCAGCTGATTCTTGCCAAGTTTTTTCTTCATGTTTGGGAACTGCATTAGAACTACATTCTGCTTTGTAAGAACAGAACTATTTCCATAGAAATCTGAATGTATAAGAGGTTAAAATCTCCCCACACTGTGACTTAAGTGGTGGCTTTGAGATATTATTGCCAGTTACTTTACATGTAGCGATTATTACTCTAAAATTTAGCATTTTTATTTATTGAGGAAATATTAAGTCCTAAATAGATAGCAGGCATCATTGTAGATATTGGTGATACAGCAGTGAACAAAATGGTAAAATTCTGTCCTCATAGAGTTTATATTTTAGATTAGGGTGGGTGAATATGAAGCATATAGTAAATGAGTAAATAAAATATGTAGTGTTGCATAAATATCTGATACATTCACTTGTCTGGAATTTGCTTTTTGTAATTTCTCTCTATGCCTTATACACAGCTGTCTCCTGAGATTTTTATCTTAATCATTCTGGGAATTCCCTTCACATCTTTCTTGTATTGAATCTCATGTTTCCTGATTCCTATGGTTTCCACTTTCTTGGTTTACTTGTTTTGTTTTAACATCACACTTCCCTCAGTAGCTTTCCAGGAAGGGTAGTCAGAACACATTTTTCTTGACTGCATTGTCTGAAAATATTTTTATTTTATCTTTGTACTTGATTGACAATTTGGCTTGTAGGATTCAGCACATAAATATTTACTAAATACTCTTATTTTTCTTCATTATCCCCATTCTTTTTTCCTTTTCTTTTTACATACACACATATATATCTGTAGGGCATTGGCCCCAGGACCTTAATGGATACCAAAATCCGCAGATACTCAAGTCCCTTATATAAAATGGCATAGTATTCTCATATAACCTATACACATCTCCCATATACAAACATGTGTCAAATTATGACCTTTTGGTCAATGACAGACTGCATATGTGACAGTGGTCCCACAAGATTAAAATGGAGCTGAAATACTTCTGTTGCCTAGTAGTGATGTCTAATGACATCATAGCCATTGTAATGTAGTAGCACAAAGCATTAATCATGTGTTTATTGTGATGCTAGTGTAAACACACATACTGCACTGCTAGTTGTATAAAAATATAACACATTATTATGTATGGTATATAATACTTGATAAGCATAATAAACAACTGTGTTACTGGTTTATGTATTTACTATACCATACCATTCATTATTCTAGAATATATTCTAGAGTTTACTCCTACTTTTTAAAAAAACGTTGACTATATTCCAGAAGAAGGCATTGTTAGCATTGTAGATCCATATGTGCTAGTACCCGTGAAGACCTTTCAATGGGACAAGATGTGGAGGTGGAAGGTGGTGATATTGATGATCCTGACCATGTGTAGGCCTAGGCCATTGTCTTAGTTTTTAACAAAACAGTATTGAGATGGGGTGTACACCTGTAGTCCCAGCTACTCAGGAAGCTGAGGTGGAAGGATTGCCTCAGCCCAGGAATTCAAGGCTTCAGTGTGCTATGATTGTACCTGTGAATAGCCACGGCGCTCGCCTGGGAAGTATAGCAAGACCCATCTGTTTAAAAAAGTAAAGAAATAGGCCGGGCGTGGTGGCTCATGCCTGTGATCTCAGTACTTTCAGAGGCCAAGGTGGGCAGATCACTTGAGTGAGTTCAAGACCAGCCTGGGCAACATGGTGAAACCCCGTCTCTACTAAAAATACAAAACTTAGCTGGGCGAGGTGGCACATGCTTGGAGTCCCAGCCACTCGGGAGGCTAAGGCATGAAAATTGCTTGAACCCGGGAGGCAGAGGCTGCGGTGAGCCGAGATCGTGCCACTGCACTCCAGCCTGGGCGACAGAGCGAGACCCTGTCTCAAAAAAAAAAAAAGTAAATAATATTAACTGAAAAATGTAGGCTACATGGTGATATAGCCTGATAGTGTTTATGTAAAGTTTGAAAACATTCAGAACATTGTTTATGGATGTATGTACACACATAGTAATTGTGGAAACACATGTATAGTGATAATAAACTTCTGTTGAAGGGAGCAAGTTGCTTTTGGAAGAAATGGTGTCAAGGAAGGATATACACAGTAAGCATTCAATTAATATAAGTTAAATTTTTTTGTATTATGTGTGTATGTATGTACATATACACAGTGATTTTTAGCATACCTTAAAAATCTTAAGCAAACAGTTCAAATAACTTTAGATCATTTTATATAAATTGTTCAAAAAACCGTAATGCCTTGGGCAATGCCTGACACATAATAATATGAATGACAAAATATGCAGCTGTTTGTTGTTTTCTGCTGTTACCACTTACCATTATGTCATTGGTTGATGCAGTAGCTCAAACATGATATCATTATTCTTGGTAACCCAAGACTATAAACTTTGATATATATCATATGATATATGATACTTTTTTTTTTTTTTGAGACAGAGTCTTGCCTTGTCGCCCACGCTGGAGTGCAGTGGCGTGATCTTGGCTCACTGTAACCTCCGCCTCCTGGGTTCAAGCAATTCTTGTGCCTCAGCCTCCTGAGTAGCTGGGACTACAGGCACGTGCCACCACGCCCAGCTAATTGTTATATTTTTAGTAGAGATGGGGTTTCACCATGTTGGCCAGGCCTTGAACTAGCCAGGTCATGAGGTCTTGAACTCCTCACCCTAAGTGATCCACCCGCCTCAGCCTCCCAAAGTCCTGGGATTACAGGTGTGAGCTATTGTGCCCAGCCATATGATATGTTATTTTTGGTGAGCCTTAAGCAACTGTTATTTAAAAGATATAAACTCACCTGTAGGTGGGTTTATGAATATCATTCATATGGCATTTGATAGTATATTAGCTTGCTAGGCCTGTCATAACAAAATACCAATGACTGTGAGACTTAAACAATAGAAATTTGTTTTCTCAGTATTCTAGGGGCTGGAAGTCTAAGATTCAGGTGTTGGCAGGTTTCGTTTCTTCTGAGGTCTCTCTCCTTGGCCTGTAGATGACTGCCTTCTTACTGTGTCCTCACATGGACTTTTCTGTGTGGTTGTGCAGCCCTAGAGTCTCTTCCTCTTAATAAGGACACCAGTCATGTTAGATTAAGGCCCTACCCCAGTGGCCTCATTTTAACATAATCACCTCTTTAAAGATTATCTCCAGATAGACTGAGGTACTGGAGGTTGAGCCTGCAGTATATAAATTATGGAGGAAAGGGGCACAAAATTCAGCACATAACAGATAGTTTACAAAGCTTTTTCACTATAGCTTCATAATCCTTATAACAAACTTCACGAAGTAAGCAGTGGTGGATATTACTATTTTAGTTTTGTATGTAAACAGACTCAGAGTTATGTAATTAGTCAGTGGCAGAATTGGGAGTTACTTCAAACTGGTTTTTTTGAAGAAAAAATTAGTAGTCTTATCTTTTATCTACCATGGTTATGTTACTGAAGTTAGATTTGTTACTTTTTCCCAAAATAGTGTTTCCCAAATTAGTATCAGATAGTGCGTGTGTGTGTGTGTACACACGGGTGTATGTGTGTACGTTTTGTATTCTGTCACCTAGAATACAATCTGAGAAATTGCTTTTAAAAGCTTTCACCTTGGTCGGGCACGGTGGCTCACGCATGTAATCCCAGCACTTGGGGAGGCCGAGGCAGGTGGATCATGAGGTCAGGAGTTCAAGACCAGTGTGACCAACATGGAGAAACCCTGTCTCTACTAAAAAATACAAAAATTACCTGGGTATGGTGGCACCCACCTGTAATCCCAGCTATTCAGGAGGCTGAGGCAGGAGAATCGCTTGAACCCAGGAGGCGGAGGTTGCAGTGAGCCGAGATCGCGCCATTGCACTCCAGCCTGGGCAACAGAGCAAGACTCTGTCTCAAAAAAAAAAAAAAAAAAAAGCTTTCAACTTACCGGTTTGTTCATTAATACATTCATAAGAACTTCACTGTACCAGCCTGAAAGTATATTTGTACTTGCTTAAAACCTCATTTATCCTAAAATGTAAGGAGAGAAAAATGCATTAGTATTAAGTATACTTATTCATTGACTTTACTGTTAGAATATTATAGAAATAAACCTAGATTCTTTGTACATTCTTAATTCTCAAGCTCACTTTGAGTTATTTTTATCATTTTTTTCAGTTTATAATCAGAATAATTTGTAATTTCTTAAGAATTTTGAGGTGGCAGTGAATAGTAATTTTGTTTGTTCAGATAATTTTTTTCCTCACACAGTTGCGGTCTTGTAGTAAGAGTGAGTTGATATCTAAGAGCTCAGAGATCCTTATGATGTTTCAGCAAGTTCATCGGAAGCCCATGGCATCTTTTGTTACCACTCCTGTTCCACCAGACTTTACCAGGTATGACACAGTTTTTAATTTCATTTTCATTTGAAATTTATGTGGAAATGCATATACTTGTTTCAAAAGAATGTTTTTTTTTTTAATGCCATCTCTCTCTCTCTTTTCTTTTATAGATAGGGTCTCACTTGTTGCCCAGGCTGGTCTCAAACTCCTGGACTCAAGTGATTTTCCCACCTTGACCCCCCAAATTACTAGGGATCATAGACATGAGCCACCACACTTGGCCACTCCATAGCTTTTTAAGGTCTTGTTTATAATGGAGTGGTCTGGCAAGCTCTGTTGTATACATACAAATCTAGTTCTCCTGAAAAGTCTCACAGACTGATACTTTTGACTCTTAAGAGAAAATGACAATGAACTAGAAATCATTTTTTTTTCCAAGAGCTCCATCTTCCGTAGTATAGAAAAAAATAATTGATTACATTAGCTTCATCAGTGTACCTTTTGAATTGAACTATATCTCCTAACACAAAACTCAGAAACTGATGAAATGCCAAAAGAATTTGAAGGTGACGCCATGTTATCTCCGGATACTAAAAGATAGAGAGAGGAAATAATTATGGCAAAAAGTATCCTAGTTTTCATCTTGGGCTAAACCTTAGAATTTTTCTGAACAGCATATTCCTTCAAGCATGTTTGTAATCATTCTGTGGTGTTAGACTGGTGGTTTCTGACTAGATGTTGGAATCACTTGGGATTTGGCTGAAAATTAATCAGTGCTGGGTCATACCATACCCCAGGCCATTTGAAAGAAAATCTTTGGGTGTGTATTAGTCTACTTGGGCTGCTATAACAAAATACCATATACTGGGTGCCTTTAAACAACAGAAATGTATTTTCTCACAGTTCGAGAAACAAGAATTCCAAGATCAGGGTGTCAGAAAATTCACTTTTTTGCCTCAGCTTGCAGACAGCTGCCTTCTTTCTGTGTCTTCACCTGACCTTTTCTCTGTTCTTGCTTGGAGAGAGATCAGTCTCTGGTGTCTCTTTCTCTTTTTATGAGGACACAAGCCTTATTGTATTAGACCCACCATTATCAACTCATTTAGCCTTAATTATCTTCCTAAAGGCCCTGGCTATAGATACAGTCACATTGGGGGTTAGGGCTTTAACATGGGAATTTGGGGAGACACAATTCAGCCTGTGACATAGGGTTCAGATGGACATTTTCAGTTTGTTCTTTTAAAATCTCCTTAGCTTATTCTATGATGAGGGGTGAAGCCACTGCTTCAGATAAACATTTTGGTGTGACAGACTTTATCTTAGAGAGATGACTTATGGAATACTATCAAGTTTTCCTACCATGGTGAGGGCTGTGGCACATTTAGAAAACAGTCTTTGTTATAAAAATGTTTATATGTTGAGCTGCCTTTTCTTTTTCCTCTAATATGTGATGCCTCTGATGACCACAGAGCATTCATTGTACTATTTTATTTTTTATTTTTTTAATTTATTATTTTATTTATTTATTATTATACTCCATCTCACTCTGTCACCCAGGCTGGAATGCAGTGGCGTGATCTCGGCTCACTGCAACCTCCACCTCCCGGATTCAAGCAATTCTCACACCTCAGCCTCCTGGGTAGCTGGGAATATAGGCATGCACCACCACGCCCAGCTAAGTTTTGTATTTTTAGTAGAGACGGGGTTTCTCCATGTTGGCCAGGCTGGTCTCAAACTCCTCACCTCAAGTGATTTGCCTGCCTCGACCTCCCAAAGTGCTGGGATTATAGGTGTGAGCCACCATGCCTGGCCGCATTCATTGTACTAGAGTATATCATATAAGCCAGGGCTTTTCAATCTTGGCATTGTTGACATTTTAAGCAGAATAATTATTTGTGGGGTGGGGTGAGCTTTCCTGTGTTTTATAAGATGTTTAGCAGTATCCCAGTAGCACTCCCCACCCCACCACCTTGCAGTTGTGACAAAAATATTTCCAGACATTGCCAAATGTCCTTGGGGACAAAATCACCCCTGACTGAGAATCACTGTTATAAGCCCTTCTTACTCGTTATAGATGCCACAGTCCTATAAACAGAAGGGCAAAGTTTTTCTGACAGCTAGAACTCCAGTGGTTCTCATTGACCAGTAGAAGTCTTCCTTTCTTTTTGATTAACAACCTCATAAAATATTCATATCTTTTTAAAGCACTGACTTTTTTGTTTAAATCTCATTTCTGAATGACAGCACTGAATATTATTAAAAGGACTATGTATTTGCTGTCATTAAGTAGATTTGGTTGAAGAATGTTCACCAAAATCCCTAGGCTGCTTCATTGATACTGTGGTCAGCTATTTCAGTTTTGAAGATTTGTTTTCTGAACCATTTCATCCCCTGTGGAATGAAACAGATTTTGACCTAAGGGTCATATATAAAAATTAGTATTTTTCAATTCAAAGTGTGGTGCATGGATGACCTAAGTCAGGGCTATGTGTGGCATTTGTCTGAAATGCAAATTCCCAGGCCAATGTCCCCAGAATCTTTAGAGGTGGTATTCAGAAATGCGTCTTGAGCACTCTAAGTAATAATACTGCACTAAAGTTTGGGAACCATTGATGTATGTAAATTCCCATTCTTATACCACTTTCAGCAGCTCATCAGGCAGGCAACAATGCTCGCTAGTCTGTTAATTAATCACTTTCAGGGCCTTCTCTCTTTCTCCAGTAATGCTCACTACCTTATTGGAAACTTTGGCTTTTAATTTAATTCTTATTAGAAACCTGTTTTATTAGTTGCAACATACAGGAAAAGAGGGCCAAATAAGAAAGATCAGCATTCGTGACATTAAGTTACACATGAAACTTTAGATATGCAAAGCAGTGGTGTTTCTATTGCCTTTAGTTCTATCAGTTAGTAATTGGTGATGGAGCCACAATGGAGAAGAAAAGGTCACTAAATCAGTGAAGTGTTATTTATTAAAGACTATGTGCCCAGTATTGTTGTAGGTGCTGCATGGGAGAAGAGGAACTAAATATTTTACTGTGGGCTGGGCGCGGTGGCTCATGCCTGTAACCCCAGCACCTTGGGAGGCCGAGGCGGGCGGATCACCTGAAGTCAGGAGTTCCAGAGCAGTCTGACCAACATGGAGAAACCCCATCTCTACTAAAAATACAAAATTAGCCGGGTGTGGTGGTGCATGCCTATAATCCCAGCTACTCCGGAGGCTGAGGCAGAAAAGAAAAAATAAAAGATACAATAGTATAGCTGTCAGTTCATAGAGAGTTTTATGTTTCAGGGAGAAATAGTCAAGTTGATAAGGAGAACCAGTTTTTATATAGCTCAGCAGTTTATTTCCTTAAGAAACAAATGGATACTTGTGGTTCTCCCTTTTTTCCCTTTGTTGATGAAGTTATGATGAGGTTACTGGTCTGAAGATTTGCAGATCAGTGACTTCCAGATTCCTGGGCTAGAGATGGTTTGAGGGTAGTTTCCCATATTCTGTGAAGACAAAGATTCACTGACACCATCATGAGATGAATCCAGTCATCATAACCAGAGCAGTCTACACTTCTAAGAGAGGAGGAGAAAATTTTAAAACTATGAAAAGATAAAGCAGTGCCTCATCTGCAGACACAGAATGATAACATCAGTATGATTGAAGATAATCTCTAAATGAATGAGCATAATATGGAGATGTGGTGGTGGAATTAGATGGCCTAGCAGTAGCAATAGCTTTGTATATACATATAAAGAATGCAAAATCAGTGAGCCGAGATCGCGCCACTGCACTCCAGCCTGTGTGACAGAGCGAGACTGCGTCTCAAAAAAATAAATAAATAAATAAATAAATAAAATTTAAATTTAAAAAGCAAAGTAATTTCTTTCGCAAAAGAAATTTTTGAGCAAATATTTCCAACTCTACGAATCTGCCAGCAAGTATTTATAAACATTCATTCAGTGAATATATGCCAGCTATATTTTAGGCATGTGTTAAGTGCTAGCATTAAGCATAATACAGAGCTCTTTGGGTTTATAATTATGATTTAGAAAAACAGGTTATTGGAACAGTAATAAAATTAATGTGGTAACTGGTGATAGGGGAAGTAAGTATCCTGTTTAATGCTGCCCCATACCACTAATTTGTCATTATACTATTTGTGTCCAAAAAATTTTCCCTAGGAGAATGTACATATGTAAAAGTATATCACAGTACCTGTTTTCTGTGCTCTGAATGTGGTCATTTTCTCCTAGCAAGTGAGACTAGGGTAAACTGGACTGTACTCTCTTGGTTCATGAGTGTTAGTAACCTATGCTCTTTAGCCTGGAAGCTTTCTACTTCACCATTCTGAGTTGAAAATGGCATCTCTTGTTGTTTAATTTGGGTTCTGCTGAAGTCTTTTGACCCTTAATGGCCAATAAAATATGATAATGATAGTCTGGACTTAGAGCAGAAATAACAGTAACAACAACACAGGAAATAAATTACACTGGACATGGCAGAAGAAATAATATGCAGATTAGCAGGCAACTGGGGATTGATTAAAGTCTTTGCATGTTGTGGAGGATATTCTGTACTTGATGAGAGACCTGATTGAAAGTTGCACAAAATTTCAAAAACATGTCAAATTTGAAGGCTATACTGGGAAGACTCCCTTAGAGCTCTTACTAGGTTTATGGTTCCAGAAAGGCTTCCTAGGCACTAATTGCATTGGTCCTGCTAATTGGAGTTTGTGTATGTTGAGTGCTAGGAGATCATATAATGGGAAGACCTTAGAGCAAACCTCCAAGAGTATGTGACTTCTAATCTGTTATCTGAAGAAATAGTAAGGGTTAACCAGGCAAAAGGATATGGGGATGAGGAATGTGAGTCTTCTAAGAAGGATAACAACTGACTAGGGATATCATAGGAATTCTTGACATAGTCAATTTGGATAGTAGCTATACAGTTAATCACAGGGCAAAGTACATCTGCTTACTGTGTAAAAGACGTGACCTATTTAGCTATACGTACTTACATTGAAATAAAGAATTATTTGTCTATATTGTATTGCAAGCCACTAATTTCTTTAGACACTATCATAGTGTGGCAGTGCTATAGATGTATATTTTATCTTGTTTTGATAATAACCAAAATTATGATGAATTGAACTTTAGAAAATATATCTGAAGATGTGGTGAAATGGTTTGCAGTTTATTGTTTTGGGAAATTTGTAATTTTATATATCAAATTTATAACACTATTAAAACATCGTATGATAGTCTTTTTCATAGTATAGTGTTTTAATGAGTTTTGAGGTGTTCTAATGAAAGTGTACAAACCATCCACATGATTAAAGGTAGTTAGCAGCAAAGTGACTTTTAGTCCATTCTGTGATTATAATACAGTTCTCTCTGAAGAAGATTGGATGGGACTAAAGTTGCTTGAAGTAGTTTTGACTTGCCAAGAAAGTGTGAGTGTGCTAGTCCATCACAGTTGCCCCTTAGGTGATGAGGTATTCATCCTATAAAAATGTGTAGATTTATTTGCTAGTAAATAGTTTCAAAGTATTTGAGGTCTGTTAATATTTCCCATAATCCATTCCAGAGTAGGAAGTTTGGGGATTAATTGTGTTATCACTGACTGTTGTTTCATTTTTTAAAGGATGTTTTATATCTGTTTCATAATTCAGATTCACACCCTAAGCGTCAGTTTCTTTTTCCCATTTCCATGAGTACTTTTTAAAGTGTATTTCTTGTACTTAGTTTAATAATTATATAATGTGTTGCCTTTTTTTCTTTTAGGAAAAAAAGCTTTTATAAAGTATTTATTTATTGATTTATTGGTTGACTGAGACAGAGTCTGGCTCTGTCGCCCTCGCTGGAGTGTGGTAGTGCAATCTTGATTCACCGCAACCTCCGCATCTGGGGTTCAAGCGATTCTCGTGCCTCAGCCTCCCAAGTAGCTGGGATTGCAGGCGCACACCACCACATTTGGGTAATTTTTGCGTATTTTTAATAGAGATGTGTGGTAGTGCAATCTCGAATCACCGCAACCTCCACCTCTAGGGTTCAAGTGATTCTCGTGCCTCAGCCTCCCAAGTAGCTGGGATTGCAGGTGCACACCACCACATCTGGGTAATTTTTGTGTATTTTTAACAGAGATGGGGTTTTACCATGTTGGCCATGCTGGTCTTGAGCTCCCGACCTCAGATGATCCACCCACCTTGGCCTCCCAGAGTGCTGGGATTATAGGGGTGAGCCACCTCACCCAGCCAAAAAACTTTTATAAAGTATTTGTATCTCCAATTTAATTGCAAACTTGATGGTTTTATGAATTCATTTGATTTAATGTTATGTTCAATAAAGATTTAAAAATATTTCTTAGATTTTAGTTTAATAAAGTTTTTAAGATACTAGTGAGGGACTTGGCTTTTTTAGGCAAATGGAATTTTAAACATGTAAGCTAAATAATTTTTTTTGCCTTTTTTTTTTTAGTGAATTAGTGCCATCTTACGATTCAGCTACTTTTGTTTTAGAGAATTTCAGGTAAGAGTTTTTGACAATTCTGGTTTTTTTGTATGTGTATATAAGGAAGAGCCAGAAAGGTATTCTTTGGTAAGACAGTAATCTAGTGAACTGTGTCACTCACTTTAGAAGTCTTAGAAGAATAAGTTTCCTATTAGAAATGTAGAGATAATTTGTGCTGGATTATATTGTATCTTTAGACTGACTGCTTCTCTAGTCTGGGAAAAGGAACCTTTTCTTTTTATTTTGAGACTGGGTTTTGCTCTGTCACCCAGGCTGGAGTGCAGTGGCGTGATCATTGCTCACTGCAGCCTCAACCTCCTGGGCTGCAGCAATCCTCCCACCTCAGCCTCCCAAGTAACTGGGACTACAAGCGTGTGCCACCACACAGATGGGGTCTCACTGTGTTTCCTAGGCTGGTCTCAAACTCCTGGGCTCCAGTAATTCTCCCACCTCAGCCTCCCAAAGTGCTGGAATTATAGGCATTAGCCACGGTGCCCTGCCCAAAGTGAGGAACCATTTTAAATAAGAGAGATCACTTAGCTTTGACTAAGGTGGGGGGCTGGACAGTTAGAGGTTGATGAGCCCCCTCTTACCTATCCTCAGAAATAAAAGTGCTGGGAAGAAATCCATTGAGATCCATTTATCTCAGCTCAAAGTGAAGAATTGTGGATAAGGGGCCATTATTGTAAGAAATGTGTAGGCTTTGTCAGTTGTATGTTAATTTTGTTAGCTTTTACTACTTTTTCTCTTAAGATCAGAAGTGAAGATCGTAACATGCAAAGGTTCTTAGCAATTTGTCTTTGAGGGCAGCATGGAAGTGGAAACAAGGACTATAAGGTCTTCAGGAGAGAAACTCCAAATAATAGGCAAAGGCCATCAAAATAAGGCCACACTGGGCAGGGCATGGTGGCTTAAGCTTGTAATCCCAGCACTTTGGGAGGCCAAGGCGGGTGGATCATCGAGGTCAGGAGTTCAAGACCAGCCTGGCCAACATGGTAAACCCCGTCTCTACTAAAAATACAAAAATTAGCTGGGCGTGGTGGTGGGCGCCTGTAATCCCAGCTACTTGGGAGGCTGAGGCAGGAGAATTGCCTGAAACCGGGAGGTGGAGGTTGCAGTGAGCTGAGATCGTGCCACTGCGCTCCAGCCTGGGCAACAAGAGTAAAACTCTGTCTGAAAAAACTCTATCTCAAAAAAAAAAAAAGCCACACAGAATTTATCCCTCTTCCCATTTAATTTGTCTTTTCTTAGGGTTACTTTTGTGGCTAAAACATAGTCTCTTTGAGGTTTTTCCCACACGTATTAAGGTTTAGTGTACTCTTGTTCTTCAATATTAAAAGATGATTATACTGCAGAGAAGCGAGGAAGAAACATTCTGGGTTTTGTTTTATTTTTAATGGTGAAGACTGCTTGTTGAAGCATTAATTAATTTTGGGAGACTTGGTGATACATTCCTTTTCCCTTAAATGTCACAATTTTGAGGGTTTTTTTTCCCCTGAAACTTAAAAGATATTGCTGAATATTTCAGTATCTTTAAATTTTCTTTATTTCAGGATGTAAGCATATCTAAACTTTTACAGTGGAATTTTGACCTGTTCAGTCACCTTGTTATTTGTCTAGGATTTCAAGTATGTAACAAAGAAACTGGTTGGTCTTTCTTTTTGCCTGTTGCCATTTCACAACAGTTTTGATCTTGGGATTTGGTTGGTTTTCTTTTTCGTTAGCACTTTGCGTCAGAGAGCAGATCCTGTTTACAGTCCACCTCTTCAAGTTTCAGGACTTTGCTGGAGGTTAAAAGTTTACCCAGTAAGTTTTTCATATTTCTAATAAATTTTGAAACCAAGGTCTTTCTTTCAGAGTTCTGTAGTATACTAATTTGATTACTGAGAACTGTTAACTCTTCTTTTTTTTGTTACATATGCTGTCCGCATTCCCTGTTCCCCTTCTTCCCCCATATTAGACAACTGTTTGTTTGTCCACACCTTGTTCTCTAATACATTCTGCTGGAAGGCCTATTGGAAACAATGTTCCCTGAGTTCTCATATGTTGAAAACAGTTTTTGCCTTTTATATTCTAAGGCTAGTATTGCTGGATATAAAATCCTTGGCTCATATTTTCTTTCATTGGGTATCTTCAATATGCAATTCCATTTTCTTTAGGAAAAGTCTGATAATAAACTAATTTTCTTTACCTTTAAAGATGTTTGGTGATATTGCCTAGATGCTAAATAATCTTTTTGAGTCCAGTAATTTACTATTACACATTTTAGCCCTCCTGGGTTAGTATTCTCAGTTACACATTGAAGTCTTTCAATATGTAGTTTCAGATTATTTTTTTTTTTTTAGAAAAGTTTTGTATAATGGCATTACACAATAATATATCATCTTTTATGTCTGGCTTTATTCACCTAGCTGATGAGTCATTTATTCATTGATATCTACTGAGTGATTATCATGTCGAACCTCAAAAGTTGCCTCAGGTCCTTTCAAGCAAAGTAGACTAAAAATGAAGGGGTTAATAGTACTTGTACCTCTCTGTAGTCATATCCCAGTAGACACTGGAGATGTATAAGGATCTCTGTTGTCAGCCTTCATTGTCTCGTTGGGGGAACAGATGTTTAAACAAGTAGTTATAATAAATGTGATTCTTTTAAAACATAGACACCTGAAGTACTAGGGAAATACATAGGAAGTAATTCTCTTTTTTTAAAAGAGTCTTGCCAAATTAAACAAAAAGGGAGGGAGTAATTATCTTTATAAAAATAAAATCTATAGTAGAGATTTAAACAACTTCTCAATCTCTAGACAGAATCTTATATGGAATTCTAATATTAAAATCATATAGAAATTATATTTAATTACTTTCAGCATAGGGTATTACCTTTTTGTATGTTGGTCTTAAAAATTAATTTTTGGTTTAAAATTTTTTTTTGCTTCACTCATTTCTAATGAAATTATTTTTCCCATTAGGGTCTTGTTTTTTTATTAAGGTTGATTTGTAAGAGTTCTATATATGTTAAAACTCTTAACCTTTGTTGTGGTTGTTGATATTTCCCTTCATTTTTGTGCCTTAATAGTTTCACTTTTTTTTTAATGCACAAAAGTTTAAAGTTGTTAAGAACTCAAATCTATTGGTGTTTTTAATTATTTCTTCCATTGCTTTGAGGCTTAGAAGTACTTCTCAATCTAGATATCAGATATTATCTGCATTTTGTTTTATTGTGGCTTAATTTTTTTACACTCAAACTGATTATTCTTCTTTTAGGATGGAAATGGAGTTGTGCGAGGTTACTACTTATCTGTGTTTCTGGAGCTCTCAGCTGGCTTGCCTGAAACTTCTAAGTAAGAAGTGTAATTAAATAACAACCTTAATGTGCATTTACATACCTTCCCCCTAGCAATTTTTGTTAATTTTTATTTTTGTTAATTACTGTATTGGTATGTCTGTTAAGATGTAGAATAATATGTTCTTGGCATCATAGGATGGTATTTTTCTAAAAACAAAATATTTTTAAGAAAACTTGTATTGCTTTGCGTTTTTAGAAATCTCTTTACTATCTGGCTTAGAAGAAGACTACTGGATTCTCATGTCTGCTTTTATATTCAATTTTTTTAAAATATCATTTTGATTGAAATACATGTATGAAATCTGTCTGCAGAGTTCTACAACCATCACCAACATCTAATTTTATAACATTCTATTTACTCCACAAGGAATCCCTGTACTCCTTAGCAGTCACTTCCCATTCCCCGTTTCCCTCAGTCCCTGAGAACCACAAATGTACTTTTTGACAAGGAGGAATATTTTTTAAAGTGGTTTTAGATAATTGTGGATCTTCTTTGATATTACATCCAAACTGAACAAGTGGTAGGTTGTTAAATGTTATTTACAATGTGGGATCTGGAATCATATTAATGATTTTTTTTTTTAACTCTGTTACATGAAATCTGTTAGTTTAGTATGGAATGTCTGCTTTCAGCTAACATGAAGCAAGAGGGATGAGATCTACCCATTTTCCTGCAACAACCAAAAAAAAAAAAAGACCTCATGAAACAACATTTTCTAGACACTGGACATGGTGGTAACAAATGAAAGTAGTCCCTGAGAGATGAGAAACACAAACTAACTCTACAATTTCTCCAGCTTACAGCCTTGAGAGAGTTTTCAGGCTGCAACACAGGGAGGAGCTGGGACTGAGGGAGAATCTGGCAGACTTAGTTGAGGGGATAGTGCTGAGAGTCTAGAAAGGACAATACAGCTAGAGCGCATTGGACAAAATACCAGAGAGGAGAAAGCTGCAGAGACTGAAGTCTAGAGATCCGTAATGGGTTCCCCTTGAGTATTCAGCAGAGTACTTATCAGGGCATATGTCTGAGGAAACTACCTGAGATTGGGGAAAGAACTCCTTGACAGGATTAGAGGGAATAGTGAGTGACTGGTGTTCACACGGGGCCAGGAACTGTGTCTATTGCAACCTGCCACGGTGGAGAAATTTATAATTCATGGGTCACTGATTGGGTATAACACTAAGGAAGTTTTTGTCTCGATAGCAGAAATTAGCCCTAGACTGAACACTGCTCTGGACCCACCTAACAAAAGTGAGACCTGAAAGGATCAAATTGTTTTCAAGTAACTTAACTGCATCCCAGAAGGAAGCTCAAGAAAATTTATAAGGTTGCTGAAGTATCTAACATCCAACAGAGTAAAATTTACAGTGTCTTGTGTTCAGTCAAAGGTTAATATGCCAGACTGGCTGGCCCATACCTGTAATCCCAGCACTTTGGGAGGCCAAGGCAGGAGGATTGCTTGAGACCAGGAATTTGAGACCAGCCTGGGCAATATGGTGAGACCCTGCATACGTCTCAGCTACTCAGGAGGCTGAGGCAGGAGGATTGCTTGAGCCCAGGAAGTCGAGGCTGCAATGAGCTGTGTCCGCACCACTGCACTCCAGCCTGAATGACAGAGTGAGACCCTGTCTCAATTTATTTATTTACTTAATGTATTTTGAGTCTCACTTTATCACCCAGCTTGGAGTACAGTGGCATGATCTCAGCTCACTGCAACCTCTGCCTCCCAGGTTCAAGCAATTCTCCTGCCTCAGCCTCCCAAAATAGCTGGGATTACAGGCATGCACCACCACGCCCAGCCAATTTTTGTATTTTTAGTAGAAACGGGGTTTCACCATATTGGCCAGGCTGGTCTTGAACTCGTATCCTCAGGTGATCCGCCCACCTCAGCCTCCCAAAATGCTGGGATTACAGGTGTGTGCCACTGTGCCCGGTCAAGAATTCTTTATATATTTTGGATACTAAACCTTTATCAGACATATGATTTGCAAATAGTTTCTCCCATTTGGTAGGTTTTCTTTTCATTTTCTTGATAATGTGCATTAATGCACAAAAGTTTATAGGCTATCTTCTTTGTCTTTTTGTAAACCTGAAAATTTTACAAGATTGGATATATAAATTAGAATATATTGGCTTTCCCAATGTATACTTCTTTTCTTTTTGAGACAGGGTCTTGCTGTGTCACTGAGGCTGGAGCACAGTGGCACAATTATGGCTCACTGCAGCCTCAACCTCCTGGGCCCAGGTGATCCTCCTGCCTCAGTCTCCCAAGTAGCTGGGACTACAGGAATGCACTACCGTACCCAGCTAATTTTTTTGTTTTTTGTTTTTATGGAGACGGGGTTTCGCCATGTTGCCCAGGCTGGTCTCAGACTCCTGGGCTCAGGCGATCTGCCCACCTCGGTCTCTTAAAGTGCTGGGATTACAGGTGTTAGCCACTGTGTCCAGCTTACTTATTTTCTTTTTCCTTTTTCTTTTCTTTTTAACTTTTATTTTAGGTTTGGTGTTACGTATGAAGGTTTGTTACATAGGTAAACTCATGTCATGGGGGTTCATTGTACAGATTATTTCATCACCCAGGAATTAAGCCCAGTACCCAATAGTTATCTTTTCTGCTCCTCTCCTTTTTCCCACCCTCTGCCCTCAAGCATACCCCAGTGTCTGTTGTTTCCTTCTTTGTGTTCATAAGTTCTCATCATTTAGCTCCCACAATATAAGTGAGAACACGTGGTATTTGGTTTTCTGTTCCTGTGTTAGTTTGCTGAGGATAATAGCCTCCAGCTCCATCCATCCATGTTGCACAAAAAACATAATCTCGTTCTTTTTTATGGCTGCATACTTATTTTCTATTAGGAAATTTTATAGCCTTTGATTTTCTGAATACACAATAATTTGCTTTCTTATCACTTGTACTGGCAAAATACAGTAGAGTATTTCAAAATTTATATTTTAAAATTGCAAGGTGATAAACCTCAAAGGATAATAGAAATAACAATATTTATGAGGAAACATATGTAGTGAATATATGGAAAAAATATTGCATTAGTAAAACAAAAGCAACTTTGAATTACTTGTTTATTCAAAATTTATTTATTTTTTGAGGTGTTGTTTTATACCTGATATATCGGTAAACATCTTTACGAGGAAAAAAGGACCTATTGCCATTCATGTTTTGGTGGTTCGTTCAAAATACTGCTGTTTTGGCTGGGCGCAGTGGCTCACACCCGTAATCCCAGCCCTTTGGGAGGTCAAGGAGGGTGGATCATCTGAGGTCAAGAGTTTGATACTAGCCTGTCCAACATTATGAAACCCTGTCTCTACTAAAAATACAAAAAATTAGCTGGGCATGGTGGTGTGCACTTGTAATCTCAGCTACTTGGGAGGCTGAGGCAGCAGAATCACTTGAACTGGGGGGCAGAGGTTGCAGTGAGCTGAGACCCCGCCACTGCCCTCTAGCCTGGGCTACAGAGTGAGACTCTATCTCAAAAAAGCAAACAAAAAAATACTGCTCTTTTTCTGGCCGGGTGTGGTGGCTCACGCCTGCAATCCCAGCACACTGGGAGGCCAAGGTGGGTGGATCACCTGAGGTCAGGAGTTCAAGACCAGCCTGGCCAACATGAACCCCCGTCTCCACTAAAAATACAAAATTAGCTAAGCATGGTACACGCCTGTAATCTCAGCTACTCTGTAGGCCGAGGCAGGAGAATCACTTGAACCTGGAGTCAGAGGATGCAGTGAGCTGAAATTGCACCATTGCACTCCAGCCTGGGCAACAAGAGTGAAACTCCATCTTAAATAAATAAAAAAACCCCAAAATACTGCTGTTTTTATAAATGATAAAAGAAATGTAACTGCGTATATCAATAAGGTTTCTTCTCAGGTAATTACTTAGTGACCTTAATGTTTAGATGAGTTTGTTTTTTATTCTTACTTTACTAACTGTATAGTAATGGTCTGTTTTTCAATTTTAGATATGAATATCGTGTAGAGATGGTTCACCAGTCCTGTAATGATCCTACAAAAAATATCATTCGAGAATTTGCATCTGACTTTGAAGTTGGAGAATGCTGGGGCTATAATAGATTTTTCCGTTTGGACTTACTCGCAAATGAAGGATACTTGAATCCACAAAATGATACAGTGATTTTAAGGTAACAGGAAAAATTTGATGTTGTGGTTTTTATTGTGGGGAAATAATATCATCAGAACTATATTTCAAAGATCATTTGGTTAACAAAGATGAATATTGAAATTCATACTAACTATAACCTTATCACCTTTTTTTTTTTTTTTTTTTTTTTTTTTTTTTGGAGACATAGTCTCGCTCTGTCGCCCTGGCGCGATCTCGGCTCACTACAAGCTCCGCCTCCCGGGTTCACGCCATTCTCCTGCCTCAGCCTCCCGAGTAGCTGGGACTACAGGCGCCCGCCACCACGCCTGGCTAATTTTTTACTATTTTTAGTAGAGACGGGGTTTCACTGTTTTAGCCAGGATGGTCTCGATCTCCTGACCTCGTGATCCGCCCGCCTCGGCCTCCCAAAGTGCTGGGATTACAGGCGTGAGCCACCGTGCCCGGCCCCTTATCACTTTCTTAACTGTTTTATTTAAGTGGATAATAATCAAAAATTTGTAGTCAAAAAGTCAAACTTTTTTTGACATCTAGTTAGCAATTCCATTAAAGATAAGCTGGGTGCAGTGGTGCGCCGGTGTTTCCATCTACTATGGAGGCTAAGATGGGAGGACGGCTTGGGCCCAGGAGTTTGAGACCAGCTTAGGAAACATTATGAGACCCCCCATCTTTTTAAAAAGAAAAAAAAAAGGGGGTGGGTGGGAAACTACAACTTCCAGTAAGTATAGTAATGTTCCATTTGTCTGTTGAACTTCTAGTGACCTCACCATTTGGAAATCTAAGAATAGTGAGGGATAAAGTGCTGATTTTTTTCACTTCACAGTGCATATTATATTTGAGTGACTGGTTTTACAACTTAATTTTATAAAGCAACTATCAGTTCTTTGTCAATAACAGCAAATTAAAAGTAGAAGAGTCAAGATGAAAGTTGACGAAAACCAGCAATTTTCTACTTTTTTCTTAAACTTTTATTTTAGGTTCAGGGGTACATGTGTAGGTTTGTTATACAGGTAAACTCACATCATGGTGATTTGGTGTACGGATTATTTCATCACCCAGATACTAAGCCTAGTACCCAATAGTTATTTTTTCTTATCCTCTCCCTCCTCCCACCCTCCACCCTCAAGTAGGCCCCAGTGTCTGTTGTTGTTACCCCTCGTTATATCCTTGAGTTCTCATCATTTAGCTTTTTTTTTTTTTTTTTTTTTTTTGAGATGGAGTCTCCCTCTGTCGCCCAGAGGCGACATATCGGCTCACTGCAAGCTCTGCCTCCCGGGTTCACACCATTCTCCTGCCTCAGCCTCCCAAGTAGCTGGGACTACAGGTGCCTGCCACTGCATCTGGCTAATTTTGTTTTTGTATTTTTAGTAGAGATGGGGTTCCACCGTGTTAGCCAGGATGGTCTCGATCTCCTGACCTCTTGAGCCTCCTGCCTCAGCCTCCAAAGTGCTGGGATTACAGGCCTGAGCCACTGCGCCCGGCCCATTTAGCTCTTAAATAATAAGTGAGAACATGTGGTATTTGCGAAAACCATCAATTTTTTTTTTTTTTTTTTTTTTTTTTTGAGACAGAGTTTCTAGTTGCCCAGGCTGGAGCGCAATGGCGCGATCTTGGCTCCCTGCAACCTTTGCCTCCCAGGTTCAAGCGATTCTCCTGCCTCAGCCTCCCGAGTAGATGGGATTGCAGGCACGCGCCACCATGCCTGGCTAATTTTGTACTTTTAGTAGAGATGGGGTTTCTCCGTGTTGATCAGGCTGGTTTCTAACTCCCGACCTCAGGTGATCCACCCACTTCGGCCTCCCATAGTGCTGGGATTATAGGCATGAGCCACCACGTCTGGCCAAAACCATCAATTTTTATTGTTGATTGTTGGTGTAGTATTTACAAGAAAGGATAGAACGTAAATACTGACTCAAACAACAGCCCTATTTAGCCAGGTGTGGTGGCTCACGCCTGTAATCCCAGCACTTTGGGAGGCTGAGGCAGGCAGATCACTTGGGCTCAGGAGTTTGAGAGCAGCCTGGCCAATATGGTGAAATCCTATCTCTACTAAAAATACAAAAATTAGCCGGGCTGTGGTGGCACGCGCCTGTAATCCCAGCTACTCAGGAGGCCAAGGCAGGAGAATCGCTTGAATCCGGCAGGTGGAGGTTGCAGTGAACCGAGATTATGCCACTGCACCCCAGCCTGGGCGACATAGCAAGACCCTATCTCAAAAATAATAATAAAGTAAATAAAAACAACAGCCCTGTTTAACGTGGGGTAGTCTTTACAGGTCAGAAGTTTTTGGGCATTGGCTGGGTGCCGTGGCTCACGCCTGTAATCCCAGCACTTTGGGAGGCTGAGGTGGGTGGATCACCTGAGGTCAGGAGTTCAAGATCAGCCTGGGCAACATGGTGAAACCCTGTCTCTACTAAAAATACAAAAATTAGCTGGGCATGGTGGCAGGCACTTGTAATCCCAGCTACTTGGGAAGCTGAGGCAGTTGAATCGCTTGAGTCCGGGAGGCAGATGTTGCAGTGAGCCGAGATTTCACCAGTGCACTCCAGCCTGGGCGACAAGAGTGAAACTCCATCTTAAAAAAACAAAAAACAAACAAAAAAAGGTTTTTGGGTATCATTACATGATGTTATAATTTGATGATCAAAATAAGAACTTGAATATTTAAAAAAGATTAAAATATGTTCTGAACTGAGAAGTTTCAGAGTATTTAACAGTTTAAAAAGTTCTCATCACAACAATTTTAAACATTTTTTTCTTGAGAGTGATTTAATGTACTCCTGAATTTCCCTTATTCGGAGCTCTTTGTTCTTGAGCATACTGGACAGATGAGTTGCTATCATATCAGCATTTACTCTTATGTGTTTTCCGTAGCTTTTCTGGAAGTATAAAGAAGTTTAACAAGGGATATGATTTTCAGTGTAGGGAAAAAGATATGTTTTTGTTATTGTTTTGTTTTGTTTAGAGTCAGTGTCTTGCTATATTGCCCAGTCTAGTCTAGAATTCTCGGGCTCAAGTGATCCTCCTGTCTCAACTTCCCAAGTAGGTAGGATTACAGGTGCATGCCACGGTGCCTGGAATCATGTTTTTTGAGGGGAGGGATTATTTTAGTTTTCTTCGTATAGCTTTTCAGACTTTTGGGGTTTAACTATTCACCAAGAGAAATAATTTATTGCTATTTCATGCTTCAGCCATAGAGAGAATTACAAAATTATTCAAACATCAATTTTACCAACCTATAAAAGACCCATTTTCTTATAGCCTTGATTTCATCCTTATTAGCGTTACTTATTAGTACAGAAACAAATTCCTGTTATGACATCATTTTTTTTAAGCAACATTGAGTCTATACCATATGCCTGACACTGAGTTGCTAATAAGAAAAATATAGACATGGTTTTTGTCCACAGGGAACTCAAGATGAAATTGGCAGATAAAAACAGAATTTACTACTCTCTTATTATAAAATAATGCTATAGTAGCACCGTAAGTAAATTGCTATGAAGTTTGTGGATAGGGGGCTTCACATTATCCTATTAATGAGACATTGCTCAAACTTTAAACCTTTTATTTCAAGATTCTGGTGGAATTTTGTATGTATTTATTAGAAAGTTATTTAAGGCTTTTCTATAACTATGAATGTATGTTTCATTCTTTCATTAAAACAGAAAGTTAAGAAATTTTACCTGCTGCTTGGTTTTGTTTTAATGGCAAAATATTAGAACTAATGTGCAGAGTTAACCAGTGGTTTAAATCATTCAAAGAAAATAATAGTGTTTAGACGGTCTTACTTTAATGTCTTACCAGTGGGTACTTCCTAGACTGTGAATCGTCTCTGCTCAGTTGAGTGAATCATCTCTACTCAGTTCCGTTCAGAACGTAATTTAATCTCTTGATTTGATTTGATTTGATTTGATTTGATTTGATTTGATTTGATTTTTTGAGACAGAGTTTCGCTCTGTTGCCCAGGCTGGAGTGCAGTGGTGCGATCTCGGCTCACTGCCACCTTTGCCTCCCAGATTCAAGCGATTCTCCTGCCTCAGCCTCCTGAGTAGCTGGGATTACAGGCGCCCGCCACCATACCCGGCTAATTTTTGTACTTTTAGTAGAGACGGGGTTTCACCATGTTGGCCACGCTGGTCTCGAACTCCTGACCTTAGGTGATCTGCCCACCTCGGCCTCCCAAAGTGCTAAGATTACAGGTGTGAGCCACTGTGCCCGGCCAATCTCTCTCTTTTTTTAATACTCAAGTTCTCATTTTGATCATCCAGTTATAACATATAATGATGCCCAAAAACTTCTGACCTATAAAGACTATCCCAACATTAAATAGGACTGTTGTTTTATAGTCAGTGTTTATGTTCTGTCCTTTCTTGCATTAGTATTCTTCACTAAAACTAGATATCTACTGCCAGATAACTGTTAAATGGTCAGTAGGTTCTTACAATAAGGTGTAAAATCCTAGAAAAAAATGAACAGCTAACATTGTGTAGCCGGGTAAAAGGGCTGGAAGGAATGAGAGAGATGTAGATGTCCAAATTAGTCTTGCCTTGTGGTTTTTCCTTTCTTCAAAAACACCTTCACACATGCACTGCAATTTTTTCACCTTAAATATAGTCACGTTAGGCTATGTAACAAAGGTAGAGGTTTGTTTGCTTTAGTAATAGTTTTTTTTTTTTTTTTAATTAAAACAACTCTGGATAGATTAAGATTCTGTCATTTATATATTAATACGATTTTATGTAGGTGCAGTACTTTTTTTCCTAACCTAAGCTGAAATAATGCCATATTGTAATAAGGGCAGTTTTGATTGCTATCTTGAAGGGTTCAGGATATAGTTTATTTAGAGCATGTAACTCCTTGGGGGATAGTAAAGCAATCCTGGGTGGTTGAGCCAGGAAGTGATTTTTTTTCTGAGGGGCAGGAAATACGGGAACGTGAGATGGAATAGAGAAATATAAAGAGCAGCACTTAAAACTTTGTATTTTGCTACAAAAAATTAGCCGGGCGTAGTGGCGGGCGCCTGTAGTCCCAGCTACTTGGGAGGCTGAGGCAGGAGAATGGCGTGAACCCGGGAGGTGGAGCTTGCAGTGAGCCGAGATCCCGCCACTGCACTCCAGCCTGGGCGACAGAGCGAGACTCCGTCTCAAAAAAAAAAAAAACTTTGTATTTTGCTGGGGCCTCATTTAGGGAAGAAAGGGATAAGAGTTATCTTCCTCCTTATAGGAGGAAACTGCATAGTATATGGCTCTCTTCTTCCCAACTCATGATCATCATTGTATTTTAGTTACATTATTATAATAAATATGCCTGAGTAGGTTAGTTTGGGAAGCTTAACTACAATGTACAATGTTATTTCTTTAGAAAGGTAGTTTGAGGACAACTGGCTTTTCAGAACCTTGTGTCATAATCTGTGGACTACATCTATAAACAACAAATACTAGCAGCTCTAAGTTTATGTGAATTTTGGCCTTATAATCAAGTTAACCCAAATTGCAGAATTCAGTGCTAGACTGATAATGTTTTACTATTTGAATTTTTTTTTTAATGTGGCACAATTCTTTTAAGGTTTCAGGTACGTTCACCAACTTTCTTTCAAAAATCCCGGGACCAGCATTGGTACATTACTCAGTTGGAAGCTGCACAGACTAGTTATATCCAACAAATAAACAACCTTAAAGAGGTAAGAAAATATCTATTTCTGTTTTGGTGTTTCCTATTGTCCTTTTGGCTTGTTATATTTGTAATTAGATTTTATATATTTTATTGCTATTTGTAATTTTGTAATTTGTAATTAGAAAAAAAATCTAGTTATCTTGTTCCCCATCCTTACCAGTTCTGCAGTGTCCAGTTTAGTAGACACTAGCCACATACGGCCATGTAAATTTTTATTTTACTTTATTTATTTATTTTTTTTGAGAAGGAGTCTCGCTCTGTTGCCCAGGCTGGAGTGCAGTGGTGCAATCTCGGCTCACTGCAAGCTCCGCCTCCTGGGTTCACGCCATTCTCCTGCCTCAGCCTCCTGAGTAGCTGGGACTACAGGCGCCTGCCACCACACCGGGCTAATTTTTTTGTATTTTTAGTAGAGACAGGGTTTCACAGTGTTAGCCAGGATGGTCTCGATGTCCTGACCTCGTGATCTGCCCACCTCGGCCTCCCAAAGTGCTGGGATTACAGGCATGAGCCACCACGCCCTGCCACTTTATTTTTATTTTTTTTTATTTTGGAGACAGGTCGGACTCACTCTTGTTGCCAGGCACAATTTCCACTAACTGCAGCTTCAACTTCCCAAGCTCGGGTGATCTTCCCACCTTAGCCTCCCAGGTAGCTGGGACTACGAGCATGTGTCATGGCTAGTTTTTGTTTTTGTGGAGATGGGTTTCTCCATGTTGCCCAAGCTGGTCTTGAACTCCTGGGCTCAAGCAGTCTGCCTGCCTTGGCCTCCCAAAGTGCTGGGATTACAGGTGTGAGCCACTGTGCCTGGTCTGTAAATTTAGCTTAATTAAAATTAAAAATTTAGTTCCTTAGTTGCAGTAGCCACATTTCAAGTGCTTGCATTGGTTACTGCAAATCTAGAGCATTTCCATCATTGCATAAAGTTGTTTTGAACAGTGTGGCTGTAGTTTGAGGTAAGCTGTTTGTGTTTCTGTCAGTGACTTAGTTTCTCTTCCACAAGTTATCTTGGATTTAGAGGATTCTAGGCTATAGCACAATTAAAAGTTGTCCCATCTTGAACTCTTACTATTGTTGAATGAGCACTGGGGAAGATTAATTGATGAATTTTTATTTTACAGTGGTAAACTAAGGAATGTTTCATTTCCCTTAGGAAGTTAGGGTGTGGCAGGAGGTTTGGAGTGCTGAGAGTCGTTAATAGGTCAGGGAGGAAAATGTGAATAAATACATGCTTTCAGAGATTTTCATGTTAAATGTGCTATTTAAAACTGCCTGTATTCACTATACTGTTTGCTAATTGTATGTTTAGCTTAGGCTGGATATGAAAGAAGGAGGATGAGCATAAATGGGGCAGTTTATCTTTGTCATCAATTTTTTTTTATAAATAAAAGGCAGTAGGGATTCAGAGAAATGGTTTAAGAAATGGTGCCAAGTGAGGTGGCTCATTCCTGTAATCCCAGCATGTTGGGAGGCCGAGGCCAGAGGAACATTTGAGCCCAGGGGTTCAAAACCAGCTTGAGCAACATAGCAAGATACCGTCTCTAAAAATAAATAAAAATGAAATTAGCCAAGCATGGTGGCACACACCTCCAGTCCCAGCCACTTGAGAGGCTGAGGCAGTAGGATCGTTTGAGCCCAGTAGTTCAAGGCTTGCAGTGAGCTATGATGGCACCACTGCACTTCAGCCTGGGCAACAGAGTGAGACCATTCTCAAAAAATAAATAAAGCAATGGTTTTAGAAACATCTGGATGCATTTTTTTTTCACTTGAGACATCTTTTACTGTGCCAGTGAGCTGTGGCTAATATTTGTGCTTTTCTTGTTTTAAAAGAGACTTACTATTGAGCTGTCTCGAACTCAGAAGTCAAGAGATTTGTCACCACCAGATAACCATCTTAGCCCCCAAAATGATGATGCTCTGGAGACACGAGCTAAGAAGTCTGCATGCTCTGACATGCTTCTCGAAGGTGGTCCTACTACAGCTTCTGTAAGAGAGGCCAAAGAGGATGAAGAAGATGAGGAGAAGATTCAGAATGAAGATTATCATGTAATAATGAGGCCAGTTTTAGATTTTTGTGTTTGATTAAAAAAAAACAGTAGCATCATGGCTTTTAACATATTATGTGCTAAAACAGTAGGCTAAAAATATTGTCCATTGATTTCCATTAGTAATGTATGTATGCCCTTATGTAAATGTTAATAAGTCAGAAGTTGTTGAATCAAAGCATTTCAAGGTTGTGAAAAAAACAATACATTGTATAAAACAAACCGTGATACACATTTTAAAACCTAAACTACCATACATTGTGGATTTTAAAAATGTGTTCTGGCCGGGTGCGGTGGCTCACACCTGTAATCCCAGCACTTTGGGAGGCCAAGGTGGGTGGATCACATGAGGTCAGGAGTTCGAGACTATCCTGGCCAACATGGCCAAACCCTGTCTCTACGAAAAATACAAAAATTAGCTGGGTGTGGTGGTGCTTGCCTGTAATCCCAGCTACTTGGGAGGCTGAGGTAGGAGAATCACTTGAACCTAGGAGGCGGAGGTTGCAGTGAGCCAAGATTGTGCCACTGCACTCCAGCCTGGGAGACAGAGCAAGACTCTGTCTCAAAGAAAAAGAAAAAAAAAAGGTGTTCTATTTTCATTCACTGAAACTAGTACATGCCTTATCATTACTTACGTAGGTAGACTGATTTAGGATTCGGTAGCTAGCCAGGTTCTATCCCAGCTAAACAACAGTCAGAATCCAGAATAAGAGTTCAAGAAGTAGTTGATATTTTTACATAAGAAGGGATGCATAGACAGTTGGTTTTTTTGTAGTAATTTTTAAGATGAGAGACTTCAGTTTTAAGTTAAAATGAAGGACCCAGTGGGTCGAGAGAATGCACAGATTAAGTGCTTTGATAAACTAGAGATAATAGGGTTTGGAATGGAGCAGTCAGGTGAAGCAGTTAACCTTTGATAAACTGAGTTAAAGGAAGGGTGGAGTTTGCAGGTAAGGCAGCTGAAAAGTTGGGGAAGTTTTTGCTTAATAGTGGGTATTTTTTTTCTGTGCAGATAGGTGACAGTGTTAATTAATGACCTTGATAATGGTAAAATTAGGTAGAATTGAGGAGTGATGGTTTGAAACGTTACTCTGTGAGGAAGCTGATGTGGAATATGTGAAGGATTCCAGTCACACTGAGGGCCCAGCTGAAGGCGGCACGCATAAGTTAGTAAAATGATATCAGTCAGTGTGGTTGTGTGATTTTTCTCTACAGGGCTCAGCAGCTGAGGCACAGGAGCAGAAAATAGATTTTTGAAAACTGTATTATTCTTTGGTGCTTGGTTTATGGGCTGGATGGGGTGATCAACTGAGTAGAAACATTTGGAATAGACGTCTTGTTTTCTTGGCATTGATCTAGCACGAGCTTTCAGATGGAGATCTGGATCTGGATCTTGTTTATGAGGATGAAGTAAATCAGCTCGATGGCAGCAGTTCCTCTGCTAGTTCCACAGCAACAAGTAATACAGAAGAAAATGATATTGATGAAGAAACTATGTGAGTTTCCCACTTTACTACTGTAAAGCATTTAAGTGGTAATTATTAGAAGCATATTAACTAACTCACACTTAAATGTAGGGATATTCAGCACTTTTTTGAAAGATTGAATCAATAGTCAGTTTTCTCTCTCTAATCTCTGGGCTCTTAGCCAATAATTTTTGTTTGTGTTTTAACTTTTAAATTTGAATTTTGAAATTATTTTATACTTAAGAAAAGTTCAGAATTTCATGTTTCCTTCACACAGATTCATTCCCTATGAATATTTTGCTTTATATTTCTCTGTATATAATTTTTTCTGAAACACTTGAGATCGAATATACTTCTCATTGTGTACTTTTCTAAAAACAAGGATATTCTTACATAACTATAGAATAGTTATCAAAATCTGGAAATTAACATTGATGTAATACTGTAACCTTCTAAAAATTTGCCAGTAATGTCCTTTGTCAGGATCATGTTGCATTTAATTGTTAAATCGATTTAGTTATCTTCAATCTGGGTTACTTTTTTTTTTTTCCTTTTTTTTTGAGACGGAGTCTCGCTCTGTCGCCCAGGCTGGAGTGCAGTGGCATGATCTCAGCTCACTGCAAGCTCCACCTTCCGGATTACGCCATTCTCCTGCCTCAGCCTCCCGAGCAGCTAGAACTACAGGCGCCCGCCACCTCGCCCAGCTAATTTTTTGTATTTTTAGTAGAGACGGGGTTTCACCGTGTTAGCCAGGTTGGTCTTGATCTCCTGACCTCATGATCCGTCCACCTCGGCCTCCCAAAGTGTTGGGATTACAGGCGTGAGCCACCGCACCTGGCCAATCTGGGTTACTTTTTTAAAAATTTGTTTTTCGGCTGGGCACGGTGGCTCACGCCTGTAATCCCAGCACTCTGGGAGGCTGAGGCGGGTGGATCACGAGGTCAGGAGATCCAGACCATCCTGGCTAACACGGTGAAACCCCGTCTCTACTAAAAATACAAAAAAGAAATTAGCCAGGTGTGGTGGCAGGCGCCTGTAGTCCCAGCTACTTGGTAGGCTGAGGCAGGAGAATGGGGTGAACCCGGGAGGCGGAGCTTGCAGTGAGCTAAGATCACGCCACGGCACTCCAGCCTGGGCGACAGTTGAGACTCTGTCTCAAAAAAAAAAAAAAACTGTTTTTCATGACTAATACTTTCTGAGAAATACAGAATAGTTTATTTTGTAGAAAGTCCCTCAGTTTGGATTAGTCTGAAGTTTCCTCATGATTAGATAGAGGTTACACACTTTTGGCAGGGATACTACGGAAATGATAATGTATCCTTTTCACTGCGTCATACAGAGTGGAGCATGATGTCAGTATGTCCCATTACTTGTGGTTAATTTTGATCACTTAGTTGAGGTAGCATCCGCCAGGTTTCTTCACTCCAAAATTTGTACTTTTTCCTTTATAATTAATAAGTATCTTATGTATGGGACTGTAAATATCCTATTTTTCATCCTACTTTTTCCTATGAATTTTGACACCCTTTGATGAGTGTTGCCTGAAAAAGGTTACTGTGTTGATTGCCAAGTGGTGTTTTTCTAATTCCATTATTTCTTACTCATTCATTAGTTGCAATTTAAGGAAGAGCTTTTCCTTCTGCCCTGTTAATTGATGAACTAATGAATTTCATTAATGTGGATAATTTTTTTTTTTTGAGATGGAGTCTTGCTCTGTCACCCAGGCTGGCATGCAGTGTCACGATCTTGGCTCACTGCAACCTCCATCTCCTGGGTTCAAGTGATCCTTCCACCTCAGCCTCCCGAGTAGCAAGGATTACAGGCGTGCACCACCACGCCTGGCTATTTTTTTGTATTTTTAGTGGAGACGGGGTTTCACCATGTTGGCCAGGCTGGTCTTGAACTCCTGACTTCAGGTGATCTGCCCACTTCAGCCTCCCAAAGTGCTAGGATTACAGGTGTGAGCCACTGTGCCTGGCGATTTTTGGATTTTTAAACCAAGCTTGCATTCCTGGGACACATCCCACTTGGTCATAGTGTGTAATTTTTTTTCTTTTTTCTTTTTTTTTTTTTTGTGACGGAGTTTCGCACTGTCACCCGGGCTTAAGTGCAGTGGCATGATCTCGGCTCACTGCAACCTCCGCCTCCCGGGTTCAGGCGATTCTCCTGCCTCAGCCTCCCAAGTAGCTGGGATTACAGGCACCCACCACCACACCCAGCTAATTTTTTGTATTTTTAGTAGAGACGAGGTTTCACTGCGTTGGCCAGGCTGGTCTCAAACACCTGACCTCGTGATCCACCCGTCTTGGCCTCCCAAAGTGCTGGAATTACAGGTGTGATCCACTTCGCCCAGCCGTAATTTTTTTTTTCTTTTTTTTTTATTTGAAACGGAGTCTCGCTCTGTCCCCCAGGCTGGAGTGCAGTGGCGCAATATCCGCTCACTGCAAGCTCCGCCTTCTGGATTCACACCATTCTCCTGCCTCAGTCTCCCAAGTAGCTGGGACTACAGGTGCCCACCACCTTGCCCGGCTAATTTTGTTTTGTATTTTTAATAGAGATGGGGTTTCACCGTGTTAGCCAGGATGATCTCAATCTCCTGACCTTGTGATCTGCCTGCCTCGGCCTCCCAAAGTGCTGGGATTACAGGCATGAGCCACGGCACCCAGCAATTTTTTTTTTTTCCTAAGAGAATCTGGCTTTGTGGCCAGGCTGGAGTATGGTGGCATGATTATAGCTCCCTGTAACCTTCAACTCTGGCCTCAAGTGATCCACCTGCCTCAGCCTCCATAGTAGCTAGGACTACTGGTGTGCATCATCACACTCGGCTCATGATTCTTTTTATATGTTACTGCATTCTGTTTGCTAGTACAGTTGTCCCTCAGTATCCTTGCGGTATTGGTTCTAGGACCCCGCCCTTGGATACTAAAATCTGAGGATGCTCAAGTATCTTATATAAAATGGCAGAGTAGTTGCATATAACCTATGCACATCCTCCCCTATACTTTTAAATCATCTCTAGATTACTTATAATACCTAATACAATGCAAATGCTATGTAAGTAGTTGTTATACTCTATTGTATACAGAATAATGACAAGGGGAAAATGTCTGCGCATGACTTTATTTTGTTTTGTTTTATTTATTTTTTTTTGAGACGGAGTTTCGCTCTTGTCGCCCAGGCTGGAGTGCAGTGGCACAATCTCAGCTCACTGCAGCCTCCGTCTCCTGGGTTCAAGCAGTTCCCCTGCCTCAGCCTCCTGAGTAGCTGGGATTATACACGCCTGCCACTACGCCCGACTAATTTTTTGTAGTTTTAGTAGAGACAGGGTTTTGCAATGTTGACCAGGCTGGTTTTGAACTCCTGGCCTCAGGTGAGCCACAGCACCCGGCCGGCTTTATTTTTTGAGACGGGGTCTTGCCCTGTCACCCAAGCTGGAGTGCAGTGGTCGCGTGATCACAGCTCACTGCAACCTCGACCTCCTGGGCTCAAGTGATCCTCCCACCTCAGTTTTCCAAGTAGCTAGGACTACAGGTGCATGCCAACACACCTGGCTAATTTTTTAATATTTTGTAGAGACAGGGTCTCACTATGTTGCCTTACTATGTTCTAGGCTGGCCCGGAGCTCCTAGGCTCAAGAAGTCCCTCCAGCCTCGGCTTCCCAAAGTGCTGGGATTACAGGCATGAACCACCACACCAGGGCTTAAAAAATATTTTTGATCCACAGTTGGTTGAATGCACAGATGCAGAGCCCACAGATAAAGAAGGCCAACTATATTTCGTTGATGCTCTTAATAGTGTTGTATGTTTCTCTGAGTGTTGTATGTGTCTCTGCTTCTCCCCATAGGCAAAATCTCTGAGCCAAAGCTTTGAAGTTGGAGTAAGGATAAAGGTGTACCTCTCTTACTTTAGAAGCTGAGCTAACTGGATGTTGGGGACAGTAGCCTTAGTTCTTTCCTTTTCAGGCTTGGGACCTCCACCTTATGAATAAGCTGGGGCAGGGATGATCTGGGCCCCAGTATTCTCATCATGCTGCATCCAGGTAGAGCATCTAGTCCACAAGTGGGTCTCAGCAGAAGGGAGTCTCCACCTCTTGGCCGTGTGTGCCTGTACTATAGCATCAGCAATAGGTAGCTGGGGGCAGAATGAGAGATGCTGATACCTTGCCACTCCCAGGAATATAGCCCTCCTCTTGGAAGTTCGGGAAGTGGGAGGCCTGTGTTCTTCACTGCACCAGTCTGGAGTGGAATTTCTGTAACACCAAGTTAGGAAGTGGAGTGATCTTGGTTCAAATACTGCAGATGCCCACTTGTCTTACCCAGTTTTTATAGATTTTTTTGAGTAGATGTTTCTTCATTTGCTGTATGCCCTTGGGACCATTTCCAGAGTCGTTAAGTGGTTGTTTTTAAAATAATTGTCACCAGTTTGACTAAAGAGCAGACCTACAGAGCTCCTTACATTGTCAAGCTGGGTGCTTATCTTGAGATTTCCTTAAATACCCAAGACTGTCATTGACTGGTACTGTTTCAAGTAGTATGTTGTTTAAAATAAAGTAATAGTGATTGTTTTTTAACATGAGAGACTTTGTATGGCCGAGTAGGAAGTAATACCCTCTTTGCTGAAATATTATTTTTGAAAAATGGTATTTAGTCATATACAGTAATTTGGGCTTTTTTTGGATGTTAAAATGTAGTGTTTTAAGCCTAACACTACATGTAGTGTTTTAAGCTTATTGCCATTAAGCTACCAGTTCTCTGAAGCTGTAATTTCTTCTAACAGTGGTTCTTGTATTTATTAGTGTTTCTAACACTAATTAAATAGGAGAGATTAATCTCTTCTAATAGTGGTTCTTAGATTTTTTAGTGTTTCATTTATTTCTATTTTTTTGCCTGACACAGTTCTTTTTTTTTAATCTTCCTTTCCTTTCCTTTCCTGTCCTGTCCTGTCCTCCTTGAGACAGAGTCTCGCTCTGTCGTCCAGGCTGAAGTGCAGTAGTGCAATCTTGGCTCACTACAACCTCCACCTCCCGGGTTCAACCGATTCTGCTGCCTCAGCCTCCCGAGGAGCTGGGATTACAGGTCCCCACCACAACGCCCAGCTAATTTTTGTATTTTTAGGAGAGACAGGGTTTTGCCATGTTGGCCAGGCTGGTCTCGAAATCCTGACCTCAGGTGATCCTCCCACCTTAGCCTCCCAAAGTTCTGGGATTTCAGGCGTGAGTCACTGCGCCCGGCCTTGAGATATATATATATATATATATATATATTTTTTTTTTTTTTTTTTTAAATTCCTTTTTTTCTTAGCTTTCTAAGAAGAACTGGCTGATTTTTTTTTTTTTTTTGAGATGGAGTCTCGCTCTGTCGCCCAGGCTGGAGTGCAGTTGTGCAATCTTGGCTCACTGCAAGCTTGCCTCCTGGGTTCACGCCATTCTCCTGATTCAGCCTCCTGAGTAGCTGGGACTACAGGTGCCTGCCACCACACCCAGCTAATTTTTTGTATTTTTAGTAGAGACAGGGTTTCACCGTGTTAGCCAGGATGGTCTCGATCTCCTGACCTCGTGATCCGCCTGCCTCAGCCTCCCAAAGTGCTGGGATTACAGGCATGAGCCACCGCGCCCGGCCGATATTTTTTAAAGGTTGTTTAAACAATAACATTAACGCTACTTAAATTTGGAAAATGACAAAAATCTTTCTCCTTTTTGTATTTAGAAATATCTTATTTCACAGAAAAATCTGCATATCATAAAATTTATTGAGGTGTGAAAAACAACGTTTATTGTATCACTCTATATAAATGATGGATTTTGTATATTCTTAGGTCTGGAGAAAATGATGTGGAATATAACAACATGGAATTAGAAGAGGGAGAACTCATGGAAGATGCAGCTGCTGCAGGACCCGCAGGTAATGAGGTCACTCCACTGCCTCCAAGCCATTCTGTTTTCTCTCTGCTCTTCTCTGACTGTATTATATTTTAAATAGGTGGTAGCCACTGCTTGTACATGGTTCATGGTGTTGGAAGTGGTATATCTTATAATATGGATTTTTTAGAGTTTATTACTAAAGATATTTAAAACAATAGCTAACATTTGAAAAATGTTTTATGTACCAGGCACTGTGAGAAGCACTTTAAGTACCTTATATTAATAAAATTCTGTGTGATACATTCACTGATGCATAGAGAAATTAAAGCAACTTGCCAACTTTTAACAATTTAGTAAATGAGAGTAATTGAATCCCCAGATTTGTTTGTATCCCATGCTCATATTTTATACTATTCTTTCTGATATAAAGTCTTATTTGTATATCTTGCTAGACTATAGAATGATCTCAGTGGAATCATTGACTCTTAGACTTACGAAGGATCTTAAAGAGCTCATTTTATAGTTTTCAGTTACCTGGTCATATAGCTGGTTGTTAGTACAACCAGACTAGAACCCCAGATTGTCCTGGGTTTGTGGACCCAGCATTTTTCTCCCAAACTAAAACACTGCTTCTCCTGGGAAGAACTGACTTATATAATGAGTACTTTTTTGTGTGTTCTCGGATCTATTTAATTAAGTAGTGAATCTTGGTTAGAGTAATTAAAAGTTAGCTTTCTACTGTTTCTGTTTTACCCATGTTCTCCTCAGTATGAACACTGGCATATTCTTTTTTTTTTTTTGAGACGGAGTCTCGCTCTGTCGCCCAGGTCGGACTGCGGACTGCAGTGGCGCAATCTCGGCTCACTGCAAGCTCCGCTTCCCGGGTTCACGCCATTCTCCTGCCTCAGCCTCCCGAGTAGCTGGGACTACAGGCGCCCGCCACCGCGCCCGGCTAATTTTTTGTATTTTTAGTAGAGACGGGGTTTCACCTTGTTAGCCAGGATGGTCTTGATCTCCTGACCTCATGATCCACCCGCCTCGGCCTCCCAAAGTGCTGGGATTACAGGCGTGAGCCACCGCGCCCGGCCTGGCATATTCTTAATATGCTGGGATAACTAAAGATTTCTTAAATACTAGTCCTCACCATTTCAACTCCAACCTAAGCTCTATATTCTTTCTACTCCTGACTTTAATCCTGGGTAATCTTATCCACACCTGTATTTCAGTTACTGTCTATATGCTGATTACTTTTCAAGTTCTTTCTTTAGCCTTTGTCTTTCCATAGTTTCCAAACCCATGTCTTGGTGTGTGATTCAGCACTTCCCAAACACAAATTACTGTCTTTTCATCTGCCAGCCTGCCTGTCAGCAGTAGCCACCGTGACTGATAATGCTATACATTCTTTACTTCTTCCTCTCCCTAAAACTTTACCTTTAGTGTATTACCAAGATCTGTTGGTTCTGTGTCCTAAATCGTGCATAAATTCATTTGGTACTCCCACTCCTTTGCCATTTCTAGTCTAGGCCTCTGTCTTTCACCTGGGTTCCTTGTATTTATTATTGTTCCCCTCCATTGTATTTTTACAGCATGGATTCAGAATGAGGGTGTTTTTTTCTTTCTGATTAATATCTAATCATGTTACTTCTCTACCAGTCTTGGTGACTCACGCCTGTAATCTCAGCACTTTGGGAGGCTGATGTGGGTGCATCGCTTGAGTCCAGGAGTTTGAGACCAGCCTGGGCAACGTGGTGAAACCTTGTCTCTACAAAAAAATACAAAAAAATTAGCCAGATGTGGTGGCTAAATTGCTGCCTGTGGTCCCAGCTATTTGGGAAGCTGAGGTGGGAGGATCACCTGAGCCCAGGAAGCGGAGCCTGCAGTAAGCTGAGATAGCACCACTGTACTCCAGCCTGGGCAACAGAGTGAGACCCTGTGTCAAAAATAGAAATAAAAATAATGAAAAATAATATCTAATCATGTTATTTCTCTACTTAAAAACTCTTTAAGGATTATATTTATTATAGGATAAAGTCCAAACTTGTTAACATGGCACATAAATTCCTTTGTGTCTGGATTCCTGTTTGTTTCCTTAGCCTTATTTCTGTCATTCCTCTGTATCATTCTTTAGTCAGGAGGAACTTCAAAGAATCACAAGATCTACCAATTTGGAGAGAAGAGCTTTAATTCTTATAAAGACTGGCCATCCTGGGCCGGGTGTGGTGGCTCACACCTGTAATCCCAGCACGTTGGGAGGCCGAGGTGGGTGGATCACGATGTCAGCAGATTGAGACCATCCTGGCTAACATGATGGAACCCCCTCTCTACTAAAAATACAAAAATTAGCCAGGTGTGATGGCAGGCGCCTGTAGTCCCAGCTACTCGGGAGGCTGAGGCAGGAGAATGTCGTGAACCTGGGAGGCGGAGCTTGCAGTGAGCTGAGATTGCGCCACCGCACTCCAACCTGGGTGACAGAGCGAGACTCCATCTCAAAAAAAAAAAAAAGACTGGCCATCCTGACAGGCTGGGAAGTGTGGCCTCTGGCAAAGACTAAAAGCAGGCACTTTGCAGGAGGGAAGGGTAACATAGGAATTGATGCTGAATAAGTTGGCCAAGTACAACTAAATCGATTCAGCAGGCTATAGGAGGAGCTGTGAACATCATGAAAAGGGAAACACACGCATGCATAGTAGACAAACATGCATGTTACATGCATTTCATGTTTACTTTGGAGTGGGGACTGAACAATTTAAATGCATTACAATTAGGCCCTGTTGTCAAAAGGTAAAGCCAAGGACACGAAGGCACTCAATGCTCAGCCTCTGTATACGGGCCAGAACCAGTCCATGGTTGGCGACTCCTATCAGGAGAAAGTTACTGAAATCAGTCTCTTGTCCAGTCAAAGCTGTAGTTACGGCTGTGGAACAGGGAGTGAGTCAGTCAGCATCTGGCAGTCAGTAAGCTGCAATTGTTTCAATATTGCTTATCTTGAGGCCAGTGCTTGCTTAGCTTCTAGAAAAAAGAAGAAATTCTGTTGCAGTTAGAATGTAGTTTATTCTTTAAGTATAGGGAGCGTGTGACTTAATCCTTGTCTGGTATGGCATTAGGTCTTACTGACTGACTAACTTTTCAGCCTTGTGTGTTTTCTTTTAGTTAGGTCCATTCTTTCCTCTCTTAAACTGTGTGGTAGAGAGATTCTTGTATATAACATTTATATACACTTAGGGTAAAGAAGAGTTTACATTTTTGAATTATATATTCATCAAATATTTACTGAGCACTTGAGCTGTGTACAGTTTTACTATCTAGAGATACAATATTGAATAACAAGATATCCCTGTTCTTATGGAGCCTATGTTATAATTCTGAATATTCTGTAATAATCCAGGCACTGTATTCTAGATGTTGAAGACATAATAATGAACCAGTTTATTTTTATTATATGCTTTGGGAAATTTATGTATTTGGCAGAAATTTGTTAAATATCATGCCTACCTGGAACATACAACACTAAGTAATTTATAACCTAAGGGTGAGTATATTTATGAACAATTAGCTAGAATATGACAATGTACATACAAAAGAATTCCAAATCATTTAAATACTCCCTTCTCAAGGAGATGAAATATAACTTCTACCCCTTAAATGTAGGCTGTGCTTAGTTACTTGCTTCTGAATAGTACAGTTTCAAAAGGGGGAAACAACTTTGAAGTAGAGAAACTTGGCAAACATTACCTACCCAGGTGATTAAATTTAGTATTGTAAGTGATAGGTCATGTTGATAGCATGTTGACAGTATTGTAAGTGATAAGTCATGTTGATATGTTGACAATGGTACTTTATATCTGTAGTATCTTCCCCCTAAAAACCCACAAACACAATCTAATCATGAGGGAAAAAATCATACCCTTAATTGAGGAACATTCTACAAAATATTTGACATACTTTCAGACATAAGGAAAGTCTGAGAGACTGTCATAGACCAGAAGAGTCTAAAAAGACAGGAGCAACTAAATGTATTTCAGTACTCTAGGTGAGACTCTGGAACAGAAAAAGAACATTAGGGGAAAACTACTAAAATCTCAATAAAGTATAGGATTTAGTTAATAATATATCAGTATTGGTTCATTAGTTGTGACAAATATACCATAGTAATGAAAGGTATTAACATTGGGGAAATTGGATCTGGGTTGTACAGGAACTCTCTGTATTTTTACCTTTCCTGTAAACCTAAAACTATACTAAAATAAAAAAATTAAAAAAGCCTTTTTTTTTTTTTTTTTTTTTTTTTTTTTTTTGAGACAGAGTCTTGCTCTGTTGCCCGGGCTGGAGTGCAGTGGCATGATCTTGGCTCACTGCAAGCTCCGCCTCCCAGGTTCACCCCATTCTCCTGCTTCAGCCTCCCGAATAGCTGGGACTACAGGCGCCCGCCACCACGCCCGGCTGATTTTTTGTATTTTTAGTAGAGATGGGGTTTCACCGTGTTAGCCAGGATGGTCTCGATCTCCTGATCTTGTGATCTGCCCTCCTTGGCCTCCCAAAGTACTGGGATTACAGGTGTGATCCACTGCACCTGGCCAATAAAAAGCTTTTTAAACCAAGGCAATGAAAAAGCTAGATCGGGGTGACACTGGGCAGAGTGTGGAAATGCTTTTTTTTAATATGCTTATTATGAAGGTCCATTTCAAGCCTCGAATGGTTTATGTGTTTTTTGTTTTTGTTTTGTTTTGTTTTGTTTTTTGAGATGGAGCCTTGCTGTATTGCCCAGGCTGGAGTGCAATGGCACGATCTCGGCTCACTGCAACCTCTGCCTCCCGGGTTCAAGCCATTCTCTTACCTCAGCCTCCCAGGTAGTTGGGACTACAGGCATGCACCACCATTCCAAGCTAACTTTTTTGTATTTTTAGTAGAGATGGGGTTTCACCATGCTGGCCAGGCTGCTCTCAAACTCCTGACCTCAAGTGATCCACCCGCCTCAGCCTCCCAAAGTGCTGGGATTACAGATGTGAGCTACCACACCTGGCCTGGTTAATGTTTTAGAACTACACAATTGTCTAAAGAGTTATGTGATCTAAAGAATTACGATGTTAAGTTATGCGTTAAAAAGGGGATGATTGGGCTTATATAAAAGCTAGGTATAAAGTTAAATGTTTACTTAATAATCTTATTTTATAGACCATATTAAATAAGGAGATAGCTTGAAACAAGAAATATTTATTGACTCAACTGGCTGTAGTCCTGGCTACTTGGGAGACTGTGGCCGTAGGATCACTTGAGCCTAGGAGTTCGAGGGTACAGTGAGCCATGATTCTGCCACCGTACTCCAGCCTGGGTGACAGAGCAAGACCCTGTCTCTTAAAACACACGCGTGCACACACACACACACACACACACACACACACACACACCCCCAGCAAATACAAACTAGATTTTTCCTACTCACTGGATTCAATGAGCCAATAATCTGGATTAGAATGATACTTAAAACCTTTTTAGCACAAATTTTTTTTAACATAAATTGTCTTTCATTTAACTTCAAATAACTGAATAAACTAAAAGCAGTTCTCATAAGAAGACGTCTGCAGATGCTACCACGCCCAACTAATTTTTTATAGAGACGGAGTCTTGCTCTCTTGCCCTGGCTGGTCTCCAACTCCTGGCCTCAATTAGTCCTCCTGCCTCAGCCTCCCAAAGTGTTGGGATTATAGGCGTGAGCTATTGCACCTGGACCACAGATGTTAGAAGAATGAATGAGCATAATTTTTAAATGAAAATCCAGCACTGATCATTACAAGATTTTGTGATGGTAAATATCGGTATGTAATTTGTAACAAAGTGAAGGATGTGAAAATGTAGAATATTCTGGAAAGGTAGTTTGAGACTAGACTATAATAGGGCCTTGAGTGTCATGATAATGCATACAGGCAGTATGCTGTAATGAACTCAAGTATATAAGTGTGACATTTTAGCAAGATCCATATGGCTTGGCACAAATGGAGAAGAACCTGTCACCGATCCGTCTGTCTTTTTATGAGGTTTTTTTTCTATGTGAACTTCAGAAGCATGGTTTTTGTTGTTTTTTTGTTTTTTTGGTTTTTTGTTTTTTTGTTTTTTTGAATCTCGCTCTGTTGCCCAAGCTGGAATGCAGTGGCACGATCTCAGCTCACTGCAACCTCTGCCTCCTGGGTTCAAGCAATTCTGCCTCAGCCTCCCGAGTAGCTGGGATTACAGGTGCCCTCCACCACGGCCAGCTAATTTTTGTATTTTTAGTAGAGACGGTTTCACCATTGTGGCCAGGCTGGTCTTGAACTCCTGACCTCGTAATCCACCTGCCTCGGCCTCTGAAAGTGCTGGGATTACAGGCGTGAACCACCGCGCCTGGCTGTATAGCTTTATTCTTAATAGCCAAAAGCTAGAAGCAACCCAAATTGTTTTCCAATAGAATAAAGAAATAAATTGGATATATTCATAAATGGATGCTGCACAATAATAATGAAAATGAGGCAGTGGCTCATGTCTCTAATCCCAGCACTTTGGGAGGCTGAGGCATGTGGATCACTTGAGGCCAGGAGTTCAAGACCAGCCTGGCCAACATGGCGAAACCTCATTTCTACTGAAAGTAGAAAAAATTAGCTTGGTGCAATGGCGCACGCTTGTAACCCCAGCTACTCGGGAGGCTGAGGCACAAGAATCATTTGAAACTGGGAGGTGGAAGTTGCGGTGAGCCAAGATTGTGCCACTGTACTCCAGCCTGGGTGACAAAGCAAGACTTTGTCTCAAAGAAAAAAAGAAAAATATTTAAAAAGAAAATGAATAAGATACTTCTATATACAGCCATATAGATGAATCTCATGAATAATGTTGACCAAAGAAGAAGAGCATAAGAGCATACTCTGTTACTACTTTTATACAAATACAAAACAGGCAAAACCCATCTGTAATTTAAGTTAGGATGAAGGTTATTTTTGTAGAGTAGGAGTAGTGAGCAATTTTAGGAGGCATAGGAGGGGGTTCTGGGGTACTGATAATATATTTCTTCATCTGGGTGTGATCACTTTGTGAGCATTCATTGGGATGTACATTTATATATGAGACACACAGAATAGCTTGGAAAGAGAGAAACTGAAATCAGTGCCAACCCAAAGTCTTTGATGCCTGTGGGGAAATGTGATAGTGGGTAGAAAGGTGGGAACATAGGCCGGGCACCATGGCTCCTGCCTGTAATCCCAGCACTTTCGGAGGCTGAGGCGGGCCAATCACCTGAGGTCGGGAGTTCTAAGGCCAGCCTAACCAACATGGAGAAACCCCGTCTCTACTAAAAATACAAAATTAGCCAGGCATGGTGCTGCATGCCTGTAATCCCAGCTACTAGGGAGGCTGAGGCAGGAGAATTGCTTGAACCTGGGAGGCAAGACTCCGTCTCAAAAAAACAAAAAAGAAAAGAAAGCTGGGAACATTTGAAAGGGGAGTAGCCAAAGGTCATACCCACATTAAAAAAAAAAGCAGTTTTTGTTCAGTAGTGAGAATAATGGCCTGAAAAAGCAGTGAGAAACAGGAGACACCGCTTTCTCTACTGTAAGTGCCTTTAACATGGAAGAATGAGCAACTTACATTTTTAAAGGAGAATCAGATATTAGGGCAATAGATTCCATTCACTGGGCTACTGGACTTAACTATACATAAGAACGATCTGAGTAGCTTTTTGGGAAAAAGTCCTGGATCTCACCTCCGTATCCTTTTTTTTTTTTTGAGATGGAGTCTCACTCTGTCAACCAGACTAGAGTGCAGTGGTGTGATCTTGGCTCACTGTAACCTCTGCCTCCCAGGTTCAAGCAATTCTCCTGCCTCAGCCTCCCGAGTAGCTGGGATTACAGGTGCCTGCCACCACACCTGGCTATTCTTTTGTATTTTGGTTTCACCATGTTGGCAAGGCTGGTCTCTAACTCTTGACCTCAGGTGATCTGCACACCTTGGCCTCCCAAAGTGCTGGGATAACAGGCGTGAGCCACTGCACCCAGCTTCTCACCCCAGTATTCTTGTTCAGTGTATCTAGGATGTAATTTTAAAAACTCCTTCAGCTGACTGACATACAACCCAATTTGGGAATTCCTTAGTAAAAGAAAAGAGGTAAAAACAGTTTTCAGCTGGGTGCGGTGGCTCACACCTGTAATCCCAGCACTTTGGGAGGCTGAGGCGGGCGGATCACTAGGTTAGGAGATCCAGACCATCCTAACACGGTGAAACCCCGTATCTACTGAAAATACAGGTGTGGTGGTGCATGCCTGTAGTCCCCACTACGGGAGGCTGAGGCAGGAGAATCGCTTGAACCCAGGAGGCGGAGGTTGCCGTGAGTGGAGATCGGGCCGCTGCACTCCAGCCTGGGCAACAGTGAGACTGTGTCTCAAAACACAACAAAGAACAGTTTTCAATGTGAAGGGGAAATCGTTTTCTGTTATTTAATAGGAATTGCAGTAATACAGAGGCTGGGAAGAAAAACTGTCAGTGAGATAATAATCCTTAGAAGAGGAGGCAGAAGTGGGAGACAGTGAGAACATGAGGATGTGAAAAGCATAAATTATTAATTGGCTTGAAGCTTCTGAACAATGGAACTTTCCTCCTAAGTTATATCCTGCTGGATCTCTCTGAAATACTCATGGGTAGTTGGAACCTGACTTTTTAATATTTTATATTATCTACTTTCCTGCGTGTAGCATTGTTTTAAAATGTTCTATCTCTTTAAAATATATTTAAACAGCTTTATTGAAGAAGGTCAGTTTTAAGCAACATTTCCATATCTGGTATTTGTTATGCATTATACTAGGTGCTAGAGAAAAGTCAGATGCTTTTCTTGGCTTAAAGAGCATAGTCCAATATAGGGGTATAGGCATAATATCTGCCTACAGATGTCTGTAATGTGCATCAGTCATTAACATGACAGTCCAAAAACTTCAAATTGTACCCCATTATTTAATCAAAGTAGAAAAAGTCTACCAAACTGTCATGACCTATACATTTTACTGTCCAGAGACTTGGGGGAGATTTCTATTTTGGTGTCTAATTCTTTGTAATCTGTTATACTATGGGAATTTGTCTTCTTTTATCTAAAACCAGGTGGTCATGGGATATAATCTCCTTCTCCTTACCCTTACCTCTCATCCCCCCAATTGTGCACATCGTACACATTGTCATCTGTTTTTTTCTAGGGCTCAGGATGGGGTTGAGGCTTGCTTCTGAATTCTAAGTACTAATGAGGCCACCACTCAATCACTGTGCTAATGTACAACTGTCTGGTTCCTTCTTTCTTTTTTTTTTTTTTTTTTTTTTGAGACGGAGTCTCGCTCTGTCGCCCAGGCCGGACTGCGGACTGCAGTGGCGCAATCTCGGCTCACTGCAAGCTCCGCTTCCCGGGTTCACGCCATTCTCCTGCCTCAGCCTCCCGAGTAGCTGGGACTACAGGCGCCCGCCACCGCGCCCGGCTAATTTTTTGTATTTTTAGTAGAGACGGGGTTTCACCTTGTTAGCCAGGATGGTCTCGATCTCCTGACCTCATGATCCACCCGCCTCGGCCTCCCAAAGTGCTGGGATTACAGGCGTGAGCCACCGCGCCCGGCCCTGGTTCCTTCTTTCTGCTTCTTATCATGAACCTGAACTCCTAAGAGATAGGTCCATAGACAAGTATTCATATAATGTTAACCAGTTCATTTTTTCATTTAAGTATAGCTAAGTTTGTGCATATATATATCATTTTCTACGCCTCTTTTGCAGGTAGTAGCCATGGTTATGTGGGTTCCAGTAGTAGAATATCAAGAAGAACACATTTATGCTCCGCTGCTACCAGTAGTTTACTAGACATTGATCCATTAATTTTAATACATTTGTTGGACCTTAAGGACCGGAGCAGTATAGAAAATTTGTGGGGCTTACAGCCTCGCCCACCTGCTTCACTTCTGCAGCCCACAGGTAAAATAATAACAATGATAATTTCCTTTTTTTCTGTGGTTCTCTAAAAGAACTCTTGGATTTTCATTTAAGTATTTCAGCTATGTGTGGAACATGGTGTATTTCTGTGTTTTTCATTGTATACCATAAAAATGACATTTATGTCAACCAAATTAGTTTTTAAATTACCGTTCAAAGGTGATTTGTGCAAAAACAAAGTAAAAATGCCTGCAAGAAGGTTTTTTGTGACTTGCTACTCAGATTTTGCCTGACAGTTTGATCCATATGAAATACGGTTATCTTCTTTATGAATGGACTTTTTTTGGTCAGGCTTCATGAATTCCCTTACTTCCAAGTGGAACTATATCTAAATTGAACGTAGAAAAAGGTGACTTACTCATTCTTTGATGTTCAGTAGCTTAAAAATGTATGCCAGTTGGCAGCACTGTTTTCTGTGCAAAGGTTATTTGTTAAATAGAAATTACATTTGTGTTACTATAATAAAATGGAGATTTGTATAGTCAAATATGGGCTTTTTTAAACTCTCGGGGATAGAGTCATTTTGGACAACTAAGTATTTGCCTTTAAAAGCTACATTTTAAAAACCATTTTTGTTGGAATGCTTTCTAAAGTATAGTCAGTATATTCAAAAATATATGCCAAATATTTTTCTACCTTCTTAAACAATAGTATTATATACATCAAATCAATGATTTAGAACTCTGATTTTGATGTAGTTTTAAGGCAAGATAACTCATTTTTCAATCAAAGTCCAAGGCAGAACCTCTGTGTAAATAACAGAGAAATAGAGCTCTTCTACTGGTGTAGGGACATGGAGCCCAGATTATTTAGGCTTCTTCTTTCCTAAGAGCCAGATATACTTCCTGAAAGTCTGGATCCTCAGCTTAAAAGACTATCTTCAGGTTATGAAACAGTTGCCTTTTATGTGTGCGCCAAGTATGCTTTATATAAAGTTTTACTTAAATGTTAAGTGTTGTTTGCAAAGGCCCAGTGAAACAGACAGGTTCTGATTCTGTAGGTAGATATGTAAGTTGGTTTAACCTTTTTGAAGGACAATTTTGTAGTAGTTTAAAAATATCTATATCCTTTAAACTTGTAATTTCACTTTGAGGAGTATATTCCAAAGAGAAAACAAGCAGATGTTTAAAAATATTCAACAATACAGTTATAGCTGAATAAATTACAGTGTAACCATGCAATGGTATATTTTATAGACAAGTAAAATCGTGTTTTTGAAAATAATCAGTATCATTGGGAAAAATGCAAACTAAATAGTAAGATTTCTGTGTAAAACTAGTTTTCTGTGTAAAAACAATACAAATGAGATGATCTGAATTTCAAATTTAGGTGATAAAATGCTGGCAATAATGAGGGCGGGGAAAATAGTAGAAAGAAAAAGCAAGTTTTGGATTTAAACATCTTGAGTTGGGCATAACAGTGTGACATCAAATTAGAAAGGACCAGTAGACAGCTAAAAATTAAGAACTGGGGCTGGGCGCAGTGGCTCACGCCTGTAATCTCAACACTTGGGGAGGCTGAGGCGGGTGGATCACCTGAGGTCAGGAGTTCGAGACCAGCCTAGCCAACATGGTGAAACCCTGTCTCTACTAAAAATACAAAAAATTAGCCGGCCATTGTGGCAGGTGCCTGTAATCCCAGCTACCTGGGAAGCTGAGGCAGGAGAATGGCTTAAACCTGGGAGTCGGAGGTTGCAGTGAGCCGAGATCGTGCCATTGCACTCCAGCCTGGGCAACGAGTGAAACTCCATGAAAAAAAAAAATGAACTGGAATACAGACAGTTATTTTTCTGGAGGTGATACTGGATAATTAAAACCAAGGGTGTGAGATTGCAAAGGAGTTTTAAGAATATTTTAAAAGAAGAGAGCCAGGAACATAATCCTGATGAATATCTGTTTTTACTGAGTGTCAGGAAGATGAGCCAGATAAAGAGCTTTTAGAAAGGAGAAAAAATACTCATGGAAGCCAAATGAAAATACCTTTCAGTGAAGGGATGTTAATAAAAGCTAGTGTGCAGAAATATATGACTTTCTTTTTATTGAAAAGGCTTGCTTGGGTCATTTTTTGTTTGATTGATTGTTTGTTTGTTTTTGAGACAGAGTCTCACTCTGTTGCCCAGGCTGGAGTGCTCTACAATTTTTTGTAGAGACAGGTTTCACCATGTTGGCCAGGTTTGTCTCAAAACTCCTGAGCTCAAGTGATCCACCTGCCTCGGCCTCCCAAAGTGTGCTGGGATTATAGGCGTGAGCCACTGCACGTGGCCTGCTTGGGCTTTGATGTTTATTTTTTTCTGTGTATTTATTTAACACATATTTAGTGAACATTTGTCAGATTAACTTCATGTTCTTAACCATGTAAAGGAGTACTGTAAAAGGTATCAGGTAATCTAGTTGAACCAGATTTTAAGGTACATATAGTGGTAAGTAGAACTAGAGTCATGTTGGGTCCATTCTATGAAAGGACTTGCATGCTAGCCGGAGGAATTTATTCATACTAGGCATGGAGAGCTATTGTTTTATTTTAGAAGTGGTTAGATTCAAACCGTATTTCAGAAAGCTGACAGTTCTGAGAAAATTATCAGAAATGGAAGTTCTAATAAAAAAATTTTTTTTTGTACAGATAGGGTGTCACTATGCTCCCCTGGCTGATCTTGAACTTCTGGCCTCAAGCGATTCTCTCACCTCAGCCTCCTGAAGTGCTGGGATTACAGGCATAAGCCACTGCACCTGGCCAGAAATATGTATTTTTAATATAATGTTATATATGGCAGATTTGACAAAGTATTTGGTTTCTAGATTTTTCTTTGTCTTTTTTTTCAATTATAAACATAATAAAAGCTCTGTAGAAAGTTTCAGAAAAGTGGAGAAGTTTAAAGAAGAAAGCACAAGGCAGTAGGGCAGCTTTTAAACTTTTAGAATTAAATGTGTAATTCGAACTTGAGTATGATGTGACTCAGATTCTAACTCTGAAGGTGTGAATAAGGTAGGATTCTTTATCTTTATTTTCATTAATGGAATTTAGTGCATGTTTTATTGTTGATACCACGTAAAGCACGCTAGCTTATTTTACACATCAAATTTGCATATATTCATGGTACAAATGATTTCATTAATATTAACGTTTATGTTAACATGACTTGTCAATTTCTCTGAAGCATCATATTCTCGAAAAGATAAAGACCAAAGGAAGCAACAGGCAATGTGGCGAGTGCCCTCTGATTTAAAGATGCTAAAAAGACTCAAAACTCAAATGGCCGAAGTTCGATGTATGAAAACTGATGTAAAGAATACACTTTCAGAAATAAAAAGCAGCAGTGCTGCTTCTGGAGACATGCAGACAAGCCTTTTTTCTGCTGACCAGGCAGCTCTGGCTGCATGTGGAACTGAAAACTCTGGCAGATTGCAGGATTTGGGAATGGAACTCCTGGCAAAGTCATCAGTTGCCAATTGTTACATACGAAACTGTAAGTAATATGTTCCCAGTGTCATTTCTCCACACGTTATTTGGGAAACTAGATGACTGGTTTTTTCAAAAGAATAATATTTAAATACCACTCTTCCAGTGAGTTAAGACTACAAATTACATGTGACTTTTTTCTTCATCCAAAATTGATTCCGTATATTTTTACTATATAATAGAACTAACATTTCTTGATTGCTTACTCTGTATTTGGCAATAAACAAGACAAAATTCTTAACATCATAGATCTTGTATTCTAGTAGTGGGAATCAGACATTAAAAAGTGTAGACAAGTAAGTAAAGATCATTTCAGTGGGTAAAAGGTGCTGTGAAGGAAACAACCGAGGAGTGGGATGGGAGGAGCAGATGAGACATGTTCTATTGGGGTAGTCAGAGAAAGTCTCTGTGAGGAGGCAGCACTTGACCTGAGACCTGAAGTTTAGGAAGGTGGCAGCTATTTATAGATCTAGGGCAAGCAGTGTTCTGGGTAAACAGAACAGAAACTGCAAAGTCACTGACACAGGATTTATTTTGCGTATTTGAAGGATTGAAGGAAGACCAGTATGGCAAAGAAAGCAGAGAGAGGAGACTAGCAGGAGACGAAGTCAGAGAGAGGTAGGCAGAATTTAGATCAGGGAGAGTCTTGCAAAACCTCAAAAAGGAGTTCGAGTTTTATTATGATGTAAGGAGGAAGCCTCTAGAGAATAAAAATAAGGGGTGTTTATAATCTGATTTACACTTTACAAAGATGACTTTGCTTGTTGTGTGGAGAAGGGTCTGAAAAGGGTTGAGGACAGGAATTGTGAGACCAGTAACAGCCTATTACATTATCTTGTGTGAAATATGATGGCATTTTCTGGAGTTACAATAATGGATAGAGGGGCTTGTTCACAGTCTAGCAGCCTTTCTTGACTGAGGTTCCCATCTTTCTTAGTTCTCTTAAGGATGTGCTATTCTATTCTAGATGCATAGGAGGGAAGTTAATCCAGTCTTAGATCAGCAGGGCTGAGTTCTTTCTCAGAACCATAGTTGAAAAAGCCTAAATAGAATTTTAGGAAAGTTCTATTTAGAAAGAAACTAAGAATTATGATTAAGTTTTGGCCTAAGCAACTTAATAGGCAGTGGTATCATTTATTGAGAAGCAAATCAGATAAGAAGCAGGTTATGGGGCTTGGGAGGAGGTAAGGGCAGAAAGTTGGGTATTCTTTTTTAAACATGTTTAATTTGAGACACCTGCTAGATATCCTAGTAAAATGTCATAGACACGTGAATGGTACACAACTTTGAAACTCAGAGAGAGGTCAATGCTGGATATAAACAGTTGGGAGTCAATAGTATTTTATATTATTTAAATCCAGAAGACTGAATAGGGTCAAGTTTGGAGGGAGTTTCAATGGAGAAGCAAAATTTTTGACTCTGTGGCACTTAAACATTTAAAGATCTGATAAATAGGAGAGGCCAGCAAAGGAAATTGAAAGAGCAATCATTAAGGTAGGAGAAAAACTAGAAGGGATAATATCTCAAAAATCAAAAATAATGCATCTCAAGAAGTAGAGTGGTTACCCCTGTGTTAAGTGTGTTAAGTATCACTGAGAAGTGTCAAGGCAAGAGGCCAAGTGGCCTTTTTAAGAACTATTCCCATGGAGTAGTGTAGCAGAAGAGTGAATGAGGTCAGGGACCAGAGCACAAATGCACAACTTCTTTAAAAGAAGTTTCACAATGAAGTGGGTAGAAGCTGGAGGAGGTGCGGGGTCAATAGTTTCTTGTTGGCAGGGGTGTCCTTTTTTGTGTCCTCTCCAATGTCTTTCATCTGTGAATTAAATCCATTTTAAAATTGGGTTGGGTTGTTTATTTGTAGTTGACTTTTAGGAGTTCTGTATATATTTTAAATATTTATCTTTTATCACATATATGATTTGCAGATGTTTTCTCCCAGTGTGTGGGTTGCCTTTTCCCTCTGTGGATTGTGTCATTTAACATTTGAAGTTTTTAATTTGAAGAAGCCCATTTTATGTGTTTTTCCTTTTGTTCCCTGTGCTTTTGGTGTCATAGCCAAGAAAACATTGCCTAATCCAGTGTCATGAAGCTTTCTCCTGTTTTCTTCCAAGAGTTTTAGTTCTTGCTTTTAGTCTTACTTTTAGTCTTTCATCCATTAAGAATTAAATTTTGTTTATGGTGTCAGGGAAGGGTCTGACTTGCTTGCCCATGGATATCCAGTTTTCCCAGCACTATTTGTTGAAAAGACTTTTCTTTCCTCATTGAATGGTTTTAGCACCATTGTTGAAATCATTTGACCATATAGACGAGGGTTTGTTTCTGGGTTCTCTTTGTGTGTGTTGTTTATTAAAATTGGCTGTATTAATGTTTGATAGTGATGTGAATAATCCAATAAAGATGGGTTGGTGAGGAGATAATAGCAAAATATATAGAATTCTCTTAATATAAGGAAGACAATTTAGTAGAATGAATAAAGGTTATGAATAGGCCATTAACATAAGAAATACAGATGTACAATAAAAATATGAAAAGATATTCGGCCTCACCTGCTATTCAAGGAAATGGTATATTAAACCAAATGGTATATTAAAACCAAAAGTACAGCTTTTTGGGTGGACTTTCTCAAAAAGCCTTTGTTACATATTTTGCAGATACAGTTGACCCTTGAACAGCACAGGCTTGTTGTACTGTACAGGTCCACTTAATATTCGAATTTTTTTCAACCAGAGAAAGATTGAAAATACAGTATTCGGGTGATGCCAAACCTGCATATAGGAGGGCCAACTTTCGTATAGGTGGGTTCTGCAGGTCTTACGGTGGGACTTCAGTCGAGGATTTTAGTATACGCAGGGGTCCTGGAACCAACCCCCACATATACCAAGGGACAACTGTCTCTTCCCCATTGCCACCTTTTTTTCCTGCTAATCACAGAGTTTTAAAATTTTATCTTAGACAACTGTATTAATAATATTCATCCATGAATATTAATAATATAATTAACATTCATGACATGAATATTAATAATATTATAATTAATAATAATATTCATGGCAATAATATTCATGGGTCTTATTTTTATTTGGAAGGCTTTTTAACTCCCAGGTTAATAAAAATAACCCTTAATTTCTTCTGGTACTTTTTGTTTTCTAACTTTTTTACATATAGGTCATTAATTCATATAAAGTTAATTTTATATGATGCTGTGTGAGGTAAATGGAATGATGTTTTTCCCCAAATGAATGAAACATGTTTTTTGAAATATGATGCAATATGAAATCCATCCTTTATTATAGACCAGATTCCCAAACATGGTTCTGTTTTTGAACTCATAGAGGTCGAAACAACTGAAATTGCCAGTACTCAAGTTTTGGACATACAAAAACGCAATTTGGTATTGTTTAACCCAGTATTTGTCATGTCCTCTACCAGACTAACACTTTTTTTAACTACTGTAGTTTTATAGTTTGTAATACTATGATAGGATATGTTTATTCTGTTCTTGGTTTTCAAAATGTTATTGGTGGTTCTTGCACTTTTAATCCTCCTCCAAAGTATTTTGACTGGAATTGCTTTACATTTAAAGACTAGTTTAGGGGTGCTGGGCACCATGGCTCCTGCCTGTTAATCCCAGCATTTTGGGATGCTGATGAGGGAGGATGGCTTCTTGAGCCCAGGAGTTCAACATCATATGGCAAGACCTTAATCTCTACAAAAATAAATTTTTTTGATAAGCCAGTCATGGTGGTATGTACCTGTAACCCCAGCTACTTGGGAGGCTGAGGTGGGAGGATTACTTGAGGTCAGGAATTTGAGGTGCAGTGAGCCGTGATCGTGCCACTGCACTCCAATCTGGGCAACAGTCTCTCTCTCTCTCTTAAAAAAAGAGAGACTAATTTGGGCAATTGAGATCTTTTCAGCATCAAACATTCATGTCTAGGAATGTGGTACTTCTCTCCATTTATTCAGGTCATCTGTTATATTCATATCCTTTTTTAGAACTCTCAGTTTTTTCCATATAAGTTCTATATATGTCTTGTTAAATTCATTTCTCAATGTATTATATCTTAGGTAGCTGTTGTGAGTGGAATCTCTTTTTCTCTGATAGTATTTTCTAATTGTTACTGACATAAAAGACAAAAATATTGATTTTTATGTTTATTCTGTATTCAACCAATGTGGCAATTTTTTTTTTTTTTTTTTTTTTTTTGATACGGAATTTCACTCTTGTTGCCCAGCCTGGAGTGCGATGGGGCGATCTCGGCTCACTGCAACCTCCCCCTCCTGGGTTCAAGTGATTCTTCTTTGTCAGCCTCCCAAGTAGCTGGGATTAGAGGCACATGCCACCACGCCCGGCTAGTTTTTGTATTTTTAGTAGAGACGGGGTTTCATCATATTCGTCAGGCTGGTCTTGAACTCCTGACCTCAGGTGATCCACCCACCTCGGCCTCCCAAAGTGCTGGGATTACAAGCGTGAGCCACCACACCTGGCCTGGTGAATTTGTTTTATTAACAGTTTTTCAATTAGTTATTTTGATTTTCTAAGTATTTATATCATCAGCAGATAATCATAATTTGTTTATTCATTTTCTGCTTACTTTTTGTATTGCATTGTCTAGGCAGGTACCTCAACAGTTTCTTAGTAACAGTGGTAGGATTTTTATAATTTTTCAACTTTATTTAGGAATTCCTTTAGTTTTTTTCTCATTAAATTTGAGGTTTGCTGTATGTTTCAATAGGTACTTTTTTGTTTTTGTGTTTCTTTTTTTTGAGACAGAGTCTTGCTCTGTCACCCAGGCTAGGGTACAGTAGCTCTATCTCGGCTTACTGCAAGCTCCGCCTCCTGGGTTCATGCTATTCTCCAGCCTCAGCCTCCCGAGTAGCTGGGACTACAGGTGCCTGCCACCACGCCTGGCTAATTTTTTTGTATTTTTTAGTAGAGACGGGGTTTCACCATGTTAGCCAGGATGGTCTTGATCTCCTGACCTCGTGATCTGCCTGTCTTGGCCTCCCAAAGATTACAGGCCTGTTTCTATCAAGTTAAAAAAGCTGTGTGCAATGGCTCACGCCTGTAATCCCAGCACTTTGGGAGGCCAAGTCGTGCAGATTACTTGAGGCCAGGAGTTCGAGACCAGCCTGGCCAACATGGAGAAACCCCATGTCTACTAAAAATACAAAAAAATTACCTGGGCATGATGGCATATGCCTGTAATCCCAGCTACTCAGGAGGCCAAGCCACTAGAATCGCTTGAACCCAGGAGGTGGAGGTTGCAGTGAGCCAAGATTGCGCCACCACACTCCAGCCTAGGTGACAAGTGAGACTGTCTCAAAAATAAATAAATAAATAAATAAAAAAGTTAAAAGGTACATCCTTCTATTTATAGTAATAGATTCTATAGTATAGTATAGTAATATATTCAATCTTTCTCTGGTTGAAAAAAATTCGAATATTAAGTGGACCTGTACAGTACAACAAGCCTGTGCTGTTCAAGCGTCAACTGTATCTGCAAAATATGTAACAAAGGCTTTTTGAGAAAGTTCACCCAAAAAGCTGTACTTTTGGTTTTAATATACCATTTGGTTTAATATACCATTTCCTTGAATAGCAGGTGAGGCCGAATATCTTTTCATATTTTTATTGTACATCTGTATTTCTTACTAAAGAAATTTAGTAACTAAAGGTTACTAAACCTGTTTAGTAACAACAATACCAATAATGGCTAACATTTACTAAGTGTTAACTGTGTGCCAGACATTATTCTAACTATTCTAAGTCACATGCATTGACTCACTTAATCTTAACAAGAAGTCTAAGAGGTAAGGTAAGTCAATTTCATTCCAGATTTACAGATGAGGAAACCAAGGCAGCAGGCATTGAATAATGTTGCTAGTTTCACATTGGTAATTGGCAAAGCCAAAAACTTGAACTTCAGAGCCTATGCCCTTCACCCTAATACCAAACTGCCTCTTTTCTTACTACGAGAATTTCTTTTCTTTTTAAACTGAAGCTGTGTAGAATTATATCAAATGATGTTTTGACATTTGTCAAAATGATTTACTATTTTGTTCCATTACTTTGTTATCATAAAGTAAATTATATTATTTTTCTAATGTTGACCATTCTGGAAATACTGGAATGCATCCTATTTAGTTTGGGCCTATACTTTTTTTAAAAAAACACTGCTGTATTCAGTTTGCTAATATTTTACTTAGGATCCTTGACTACATAGTCATAAGTGAAATCGATCTATTTCATTACACTATCCTTAACCCACTTTAGTTCTAATTCTGTGCTTGTTTTACAGATTAAATTCAGATGTTTTTGTCCTTTTCTATGCTATAAAATTATTTTAACTATATGTTATTTGCTCCTATGCTGTATTAAACTTTATGTCTAATAAAAAGCATTCATAAAACTAGTATAGTAACTCAGAGTTAGAACTTTAACAGCCTTTTTAATTTCTGTTGGATTTGTTGGTTTCCTCATATTTTTAATTTTTTTAATTTTTAATTTTTGTGGGTACATTGTAGGTATATATATTTATAGGATATATGAGATATTTTGATACACGCTTACAATGCATAATAATCACATCAGGGTAAATGGAGTATCCATCATCTCAAGCATTTATCCTTTGTGTTAAAACAATCCAATTGTACTCTTTTAGTTATTTTCAGAAGTACAATAAATTATTGTAGACTGTAGTCACTGTTGTACTAACGAATACTAGATCTTATTCATTCTATCTAACTATATTTTTGTACCCATTAACCATCCCCCCAGCCACCCACTACACTCCCTAGCCTCTGGTAACCATTGCTGTATTATCTTGAGTTCAGTTGTTTTAATTTTTAGCCCCCACAAATAAGTGAGAATGTGTGAAGTTTGTCTTTCTGTGCCTGATGTATTTCACTTAACATAACGATCTCCAGTTCCACCCATGTTGTTGCAAATGACAGGATCTCATTCCTTTTTTATGGCTGAATAGTATTCCATGTGTATATGTACCACATTTTTTTTTTGTTTTTTGAGATAGAGTCTCACTCTGTTGCCCAGGCTGGAGTGCAGTGGTGCAATCTCGGCTCACTGCAACCTCTGCCTCCTGGATTCAAGTCATTCTCCTGCCTCGGCCTCCCAGCTAGCTGCGACTACAGGCATGCGCCACCACGCCCAGCTAATTTTTTTGTATTTTTTAGTAGAGATGGGGTTTCACCTTGTTGGTCAGGCTGGTCTCAAACTCCTGACCTCAAATGATCCACTTGAGTCGGGCTTACAAAGTGCTGAGATTACGGGCGTGAGCTACCACGCCCAACCTAACATTTTCTTTATCCATTTGTCTGTGGATCTTAGGTTGCTTCCAAACCATGGTTATTGTGAATAATGCTGTAGTAAACATGGGAATGCAGATACCTCTTTGACATACTAATTTGCTTTCTTTTGGGTATATAACCAGCAGTGGGATTGCTGGATCATATGGTAGATCTATTTTTAGTTTTTCTGAGGAACCTCCAAACTGTTTTCCGTAGTGGTTTTACTAACTTACATTCCCACCAATGGTGTATGAGAGTTGCCTTTTCTCTACATCTTCACCAGCATTTGTTATTGCCTGTGTTTTGGATAAAAGCCATTTTAACTGGGATGAGATGGTATCTTATTGTAGTTTTGATTTGCATTTCTCTGATGATCAGTGATGTTGAGCACTTTTTCATATGCCTGTTTGCTATTTGTGTGTCGTCTTTTAAGAAATATCTATTCAGATTTTTACCCATTTTTAATCAGATTATTGAATTTTTTCCTATAGAGTTGTTTGAGATCCTGGTCATTAATCTCTTGTCAGATGTAGTTTTCTCATACTTCTGCTGCTACTTAAGTCAGTTACTATAGTTTTCCAAGAAAAACTAATTATATTTGGGTCTTTAAATTTATTGATATACAGTCATTTATTCTATTTTCTTAAATTTTTAAAACTTCTTGTGCATATGGGTTGTTAACTTCTTTTTCACTTATTTTATTGCTTACTTCTGTTTTTTTTTCTCCTTTGATTTGACCTGCTCAAGGGATTTGCTAATTTTGTTCATCTCCTCAAAGACCAAGTTCTTAGATTTATTTCATCCATTGTCTTTTACCATTTCATTATATTTCTGCTTTTGTCTTTGTTAATGCTTTTTTTTTTTTTTTTTTTTTTTTTTTTTTGAGACAGAGTCTCGCTCTGTCCACCAGGCTGGAGTGCAGTGGCGTGATCTTGGCTCACTGCAACCTCCGTCTCTTGGGCTCAAGCACTTCTCCTACCTCAGCCTCCTGAGTAGCTGGGATTACAGGTGTGTGCCACCACACCGGGCTAATTTTTGTATTTTTAGTAGAGATGGGGTTTCACCATGCTGGCCAGGCTGGTCTCGAACTCCTGACCTCAGGTAATCCACCCACTTTGGCCTCCTGAAGTGCTGGGATTACTGGCATGAGCCACCGCACCCAGACTGTTAATGCATTCTTTTTTCCTTAACCAATAATTCATTTATCCTTTTAGTGGAGAAATTGGTCATCATTTTTCGTAAGTCTAGAACATTTATCTAAGTCTAAGAACATTTTCATTAACCCTCTCCCTAGAACTCCAAACCCATTAAAAGTCGTTCCCCATCTTCCCCTTCTACTATCTTCTGGTAACCACTAATCTACTTTTTCCCTATGGATTTTTCTTCTTCTGGACTTTTTTTTTTTTGAGACGGAGTCTCTCCCTGTTACCCAGGCTGGAGCGTAGTGGCACAATCTCGGCTCACTGCAAGCTCCGCTTCCCGGGTTCACGCCATTCTCCTGCCTCAGCCTCCCAAGTAGCTGGGACTACAGGTGTGCGCCACCATGCCCAGCTAACTTTTGTATTTTTAGTAGAGACGAGGTTTCACCATGTTGGCCAGGTTGGTCTCAATCTCTTGACCTCATGCGCCACCCACCTCAGCCTCCCAAAGTGCTGGGATTACAGATGTGAGCCACTGCGCCCAGCCTGGACTTTTTATATAGACTCATACCATATGAGGTCTTCTATGTCTGGCTTATTTCACTTAACACAGCCCTTTCAAGGTTCATTCATGTTGTGGCATATATTCCTTTTTATGTCTGCATGATATTTTATTGTATGGCTGTACTACATACTGTTTATCCACTCATTAGTTGATGGATATTTGGGTTGTTTTTACTTTTTGGCTATTATCAGTAGTGCTGCTATGAACGTTCATGTACAAGTTTTTGTTTGGACATATGGTTTTGTTTGAGTATATGCTTAGAAGTGGAATTAATGGGTTACATGGCAACTGTGTTTAACTTTTTGAGGAACTACCAGTGCCAGACTATTTTCCAAAGTAGCTGCATCATTTTATATTCCCAGCAGCAGTATATGAGGGCTCCAGGTTTTCCATACCGTTGGCAACACTTATTGTCCCTCTTTTTTTCCTTGCCCATTGCATTGTCTTGGCATCCTTGTCAAAAATCAGTGGACCATAAATATAAGGGTTTGTTTCTAGACTCTCAATTCTGTTTTGATGATATATATGTGTATATGGCAGTACCACATAGTCTTGATTACTTAGTTATAGTAACTTTTGAAATCAGAAGTGAGTGTTCCATTTAAGATTGTTTTGGGTATTGTGGGTCTCTTACATTTTCAAATGGATTTTAGGATTAGCTTGTCAATTTCTGCAAAAAAAAAAAAACACAGCTACTATTATTTTAGAAATTGTGTTGAATCGGTAGATCAATTTTAAGAATATTGCTTTGTTAACAGTATTAAGTATTCTAATCAGTGATGAACACAGGATGTCTTTGCTGTTGTCTCTATTTTCTTTCAAGAATGTGTGGTAGTTTTCAGTGGACAAGTCTCACATTTCTTTTGTTAAATAAATTCCTAAGTATTTTAATTGTATTTTATGCTATTAAAAATGAAATTGTTTTCTTAACTTCATTCTCACATTGTCTGCTAGTGCAGAGAAATACAATAAGTTATTTTGTCTTATATCCTGCAACCATGCTAAACCTGTTTATTACCTATTAATGAATTTTTTATTTTTATTGTTTTTTACAATTTTATTTTTATTCTTTTTTTAAAATGTATTTTTAAAAGAGATTTATTTAACTCACAGTTCTGCAGGCTGAATTCAAGGGCAGGGCCCTGCCTTCTGGCAATAGCATTCTTGCTTGCTTATTTTTATTGTCTTCCTAGCTTTTGAATCTATGCATATTAGGTCATATAGTCCCTTTTTTCCCTAATTAATTCATTTTAAGGCCGTACATTTTCTTTTCACTACTGGTTTGGCCACAGACATTTTGATTTCAAGTACCATAATTGTAATTTGTTTCTAACTCAGCATTGATTTTTCTTTTTAATCCAATAATACTTTATAATTTCCAAATGTTTGACGGGTTATATATTTGTTAATAGTTTAACTGCATTGAAATTTGTATGATTTTTCTTAAGGAGCTCACAGATAATCTTTTAAGTTAAGATTTTACGGGCGGTGTGCGGTGGCCCATGCCTGTAATCCCAGCATTTTGGGAGGCCGCGGCAGGTGGATCACCTGAGTTCAGGTGTTCGAGACCCAGCCTGGCCAACATGACAAAACCCCGTCTCTACTAAAAATACAAAAATTAGCTGGGCATGGTGGCGAGTGCCTGTAATCTGAGCTACTCGGGAGGCTGAGGCAGGAGAATTGCTTGAACCCAGGAGGTGGAGGTTGTAGTGAGCCAAGATCGCTCCATTGCACTCCAGCCTGGGCAACAAGAGCAAGACTCCATCTGGGGGAAAAAAAAAAAAGATTCTGCTCTACAAGCAACAAGATGGGAATGTTTTATGACAAAAGTCTAAACCAATTGGGGCTACAGAATGTTGTTTATTTTTAGACAGTAGAGAGAACAGCTTCCATGCAAGGTAAGATTAAAACTTTTTCTGACAGACTAAATAGTGAGTTTTGTGCTGTAGTAGCCTATTCAGAGGTGTTCTTAAATGTCTTTGCAGCCACAAATAAGAAGAGTAATTCGCCCAAGCCAGCTCGATCCAGTGTAGCAGGTAGTCTATCACTTCGAAGAGCAGTGGACCCTGGAGAAAATAGTCGTTCAAAGGGAGACTGTCAGACTCTGTCTGAAGGTAAATTTGAGGGATTCAGAATGTACTTTTAGTGGGGTAAATATTTATTACCTGAAATTGATGTTATCGTGGAGCTTTAGATCTTGAAGGGCACCAAAAATGCTAAAGTTGGATTTGAAAGTTTCTTTTTTTGAAACAGGGTCTCACTTTGTCACCCAGGCTGGAGTGCAGTGGTGCGATCTTGGCTCACCGTGGCCTCGACCGGTGGTTTAAGAGATCCTCCTGCCTCAGCCCCACCAAGTAGCTGGGACTACAGGTGTGCACCACTACGCCTAGCTAATTTTTGTATTTTTTGTAGAGACAGGTTGCCCAGGCTGGTCTTAAACTCCTGAGCTCAAGCAATCCGCCTGCCTCAACCTCCCAAAGTGCTCGGATTACAGGAATGAGCCCCACCACACCTGGCTGGAAAGTTTCTTGATCTCAACAGAACAGACCCTTAACAAAATACAGCCATTAGACTATGTATTCTAAACACCTTAATTTTATTTATTCTTTATTTTTGTTGTTTTCCTGAGACAGAGTCTTGCTCTGTTTTCCAGGCTAGGGATGCAGTGGTGCAATCATAGCTCACTGTAGCCTTGACCTCCCAGACAAAAGTGATCCTTCCACCTCAGCCTCCCAAGTAGCTGGGACCACAGACACAGACACATGCAGCCATACCTGGCTTTTTTTTTTTTTTTTTTTTTTTTTTTTTTTGCCGAGACAGGGTTTTGCTACATTGTCCAGGCTGGTCTTGAACTTTTGGGCTCAAACAATCTTCCTGTCTCAGCCTCCCAAAGTGTAAAATTACAGGTGTGAGCCACAACACTTGGCCTGGACTCCTTAATTTTAGATGCTTGGCATAAAAAACAAGGGATATGTTTCAAAATTATTTTTGAAGTTTTTTTTTTTTTTTTTTTGAGATGGAGTTTTTTCCTCTAGTTGCCCAGGCTGGAGTGCAATGGTGCGATCTCGGCTCACCGCAACCTCCGCCCGCCGTGTTCAAGTGATTCTCCTGCCTCAGTCTCCTGAGTAACTGGGACTACAAGTGCACGCCACCACGCCTGGCTAATTTTTGTATTTGTAGTAGAGATGGGGTTTCACCACATTGGCCAGGCTGGTCTTGAACTCCTGACCTCAGGTGATCCATCCGCCTTAGCCTCCCAGAGTGCCAGGATTACAGGCATGAGCCACCACACCTGGCCTATTTTTGAAGTTTTTATGTAGTTTTAAAATGATATATATAGTGAGATTTTCTAATGTAACTGAGAGAGACCTTTCATGTTTATTTGCCTTTTTTCTGATTATCCCTCCTTTTATTTTATTTTATTTTATTTTTTGGAGACAGAGTCTTGCTCTGTTGTCCAGGCTGGAGTGTAGCACAATCTCAGCTCACTGCAACCTCCGCCTCCCAGGTTCAAGTGATCCTTGTGTTTCAACCTCCCAAGTAGCTGGGATTACAGGCGCACACCACCATGCCCAGCTAATTTTTGTATTCCATCTTCCTTTTTTTGAAGGCTCCCCAGGAAGCTCTCAGTCTGGGAGCAGGCACAGTTCTCCCCGAGCCTTGATACATGGCAGTATCGGTGATATTCTGCCAAAAACTGAAGACCGGCAGTGTAAAGCTTTGGATTCAGATGCTGTTGTGGTTGCAGTTTTCAGTGGCTTGCCTGCGGTTGAGAAAAGGAGGAAAATGGTCACCTTGGGGTAAATTAAGTTGTTTTGTATATGTAATGGTATAATAGCTAATAGCTTTGTTTGGAACTTTAAGTATGCATCATGATGAACAAATTAATTTCTACCTTGTTAATTTTTTAGTGGACAGAAAATACATTTATTGCACTAAATTTTAACTTTTTTAATTTTTTTTATTTTTTTTAACAGAGCCTCGCTCTGTCACCCAGGCTGGAGTGCAGTGGCGTGATCTCAGCTCTCTGCAACCTCTGCCTCCCCGGTTTAAGTGATTCTCCTGCCTCAGCCTCCCAAGTAGCTGGGATTACAGGTGCCCGCCACCACACCCTGCTAATTTTTGTATTTTTAGTAGAGACGAGGTTTTGCCATGTTGGCCAGGCTGGTCTTGAACTCCTGAGACCTCAAGTGATACGCCCACCTCAGCCTCCCAGAGTGTTGGGATTACAGGCGTGAGCCACTGCACCTGGCCTAAATTTTAACTTTTTTAAAGTATCAGAGATTTTACTTTTTTTTTTTTAATGGGATGAGATAGTACTTTTTTTTTTTTTGAGATGGAGTCTCGCTCTGTTGCCCAGGCTGGAGTGCAGTGGCATGATCTCAGCTCACTGCACGCTCCGCCTCCCAGGTTCATGCCATTCTCCTACCTCAGCCTCTCCAAGTAGCCAGGACTACAGGCGCCCACCACCACGCCCAGCTGATTTTTTTTTTTTTTTGGTATTTTTAGTAGAGATGGGGTTTCACCATGGTCTCAAGAGATAGTACTTTTTTTAATGGGATGAAATAGTACCGGAAGTTTAGTTTAAATATGTTAGAGCTCATTTTCACAATGATACGTAACCTTATCTGAACTCTGCCTTGTAAATTTGTATGTGTTGGCGGTAGGGGGGCGGTCAGCCTTTTTTTTTTTTTTCAGTCTATCCTACACTTGTCAAAGATGTTAGTGTTGGGCTATATTATGTGTCACAGGCATTTATATATATTTTGTATGAAACAAAGCACTTACAGCAACTTTAACACTGCTTTTCTGCTTTTATCTCATCTTTCTTCTCTCCTGTTATCAAAGTATCCTCAAAACTTATAGTTGGAATTTCCCAAAAAGATATATAGTAGTTAACACGTTTATCTCTCCCCTAGGAGACATAAACTCAAATCCCCGGCATGGCAATTAAACTTCCATCTATTCAAAAGATAGAGTGATTATGGATATTGGCTATGGATGTGGCAGATGATTAGCCATTAATATCCATCTGCTTATCTATTTTATGGATATTAAACCTATTTCTAAATTTAAACAATGAAATAGTTCTATTTTGGAGACCCTGAAAAGAATTTTACCTAAATTGGAGAAAGATTAACACCCTTTAAGTTTACTTAATTTTATATAGTCAAGGTCTGGCTCATTACCAAAACTACAAGATCAGCTGGTGGTTTAGCTTTCTGGCTCAAGTTTCAGTAGTAGAAAGGTGTTAAAATCACTGGAGATTATCTTGTCTTCCCTACGTACTACCTAACCTGATGTTTTATACATTTCTTCAAATTAAAGTGCAACTAGCTCTTATATTTTATTTGCTATGGAGATATTTTTATCTGCCTTTAGTCACCACAATTAAATATACATGAACTTAGTTTTTTTTTTTCTAGAGTGTAAAATCCTGTGCAAGTGTGTGCAGCTTGATCCTCATTTTGCAGTTGATTTTATCTGCCAGCCTGGTTCATGTAGGTGCTGTCCAGCTCATGTCTTTTTTTTTCCTGCCTGATTTAAAGTAGTGTAAGCAAAAAGTTTAAATACTAATGAAAGGCTGGGCACAGTGGCACACACCTGTAATCCCAGCACTTTTGGAGGCTGAGGTGGGAAGATGGCCTGAGCCCAGGAGTTTGAGAACACCCTAGGCAACATAGCAAGACCTTGCCTCTGTTTATTTTTTAAATAAAAATAAATATTAAATACTAATGATAAGTGTTTCAAAATGAAAGGAGAAAAGAATAAGTGAAAAATTTCCCATCCTTAACTCCCATGACCTAGTTTTCCAACCCCCTGCCCACACATATTCATGCTGTTATTAATTTTTCATGTGTGCTGTGTCTTCTCAGTTTTTGTGTATATTTAAGGAACTGTGACTATGTAGCTTTTTTAATACAGAAGATGTACTTTATTTTCTCATTCAATAATATCTCTCAGGCCAGGCACGGTGGCTCACACCTGTAACCCCAGCACTTTGGGAAGCTGAGGTGGGCAGATCACTTGAGATCAGGAGTTCGAGCCAGCCTGGCCATCATGGTGAAACACTGTCTCTACTAAAAACAAAGTACAAAAATTGCCGGGCGTGGTGCTGGACACCTGTAATCCCAGCTACTTGGGAGGCTGAGGCAGGAGAATCGCTTGAGCCCAGGAGGCAGCGGTTGCAGTGAGCTGAGATCACATCACTGCACTCTAGCCTGGGTGACAGAGTGAGACTCTATCTCAAATAATAGCAATAATAATATATCTCAAAAGTCTTTCCCTATTAGAACATATTATTTAAAACTTCTATTGGTATTTATAAGTTAAAATTTTATTGAGCTAATTATAGGTTCACATTCAGTTGTAAGAAATAATGCAGAGAGATCCTGTGTATTTTTCTCCCCTAATGATAACATTTTGCAAAACTGTAGTACAATATCACAACCAGGATACCAACATTGATGTAATCCACCATTTCATAACATTTTTTTGTGAATATTTAGTGAAAAAAAAATTTTTTTTTTTTTTGAGACAGAGTCTCACTCTGTTGCCCAGGCTGGAGTGCAATGGTGCAACCTCGGCTCACTGCAACCTCCACGTCCCGGGTTCAAGAAATTCTCTGCCTCAGCCTCCCGAGTAGCTGGGATTACAGGCGCCCACCACCATATCTGGCTAATTTTTGTATTTTTAGTGGAGATGGGGTTTCACCATCTTGGCCAGGCTGGTCTTGAACTCCTACCTCAGGTGATCCACCCACCTTGGCCTCCCAAAGTGCTGGGATTACAGGCATAAGCCACTGTGCCAGGACCTTAGTGAAATATTTTCAGATAAAATTTGAAATTTAGTATTAAGCACCAGAGCACGTACCCTACTTAGTTTGGTGCTCAGTTCAAAAAGAAAATATAGATTATTGTGTCACTAGTTATAGAGAAATATCAAGTTGTTTTCTTCTTTGAGGGCTAATGCTAAAGGAGGTCATCTGGAAGGACTGCAGATGACTGATTTGGAAAATAATTCTGAAACTGGAGAGTTACAGCCTGTACTACCTGAAGGAGCTTCAGCTGCCCCTGAAGAAGGTAAGGAATGATAAACTTATAAGTAAGCAGGAAATGAGAATTCTGTCCCTTTTTTGGTGGTGGGTGGTGGGTGGTGGTGGTGGTGGTGGTGGTGGTGGTGCTGCTGCTGCTGGTGGTAGTGATAGGGATAGGGAGTGGTTGGTTTAATGGAAATGTTACTGAGATCTGCTATTCGACATGCTTGATCTGAACACAACATTCCTTGTGCCACTGAATTTGATTTGCTAAGATACCAAATACAGAGGAAGGCAAAATGGGTAAGTTACTATATAAAAGGACAGGCCTTACTAGAACAGGCATTTGTATGGGGAAAAAATCTGCATATAGTTCATCTGTTCGGTCAATAAATATGTTAAGGCACCTACATACCAGGCATCGAATTTTTGCTAGATTTATTAATACAAAGTTGAATTAGATATGTTCACAATCTAATGGGGAAGATATGCCCTAGAACAACTAATTAGAATAGTAAATGTTAAGTATTTTTTAAAGTCAGTCTTAATTAGTGTCTGTAGATTGCTTTATTCTTCTTAAAGAAGCATTCCAAGTTTTGACCATTTTTTAAATCCTGTATGATGACTGACTTCAGCTTGTTCTCAGCTGTACTTTCTAGTGTTTCTTTTGCATGTTCTTCCAAGTTCATTATTGTTTATCTAAAAGCATAGAAGACATTTTGCAATTTGGGGCAACAGAGGTGCTTAGAACAAGGCTATGTGTATTGCCCTTGCTGTGTCCTTTATAAATTGGTAGAAAAGAATGTCAACTCTCTTAATGATATTTGGCCTTGTAATTTTTTCATTTCTTAGTGAAACTCCACCACCTTCCACCTCTGCACTCATTTGAATTTCAATGATTGATGAATTGTAGCTCAAAGCATACATACAGGTGCCAGCATCTACTCAGCTGCCCTAAGAAGAGGGTGTGTAGGTGGTGGCATTTTCAGGTTTCTCAGTTAAAGAACACTAAATATTTTGGTTTTCTTAATTGGTGCTTCTGTGATGGGCAGCATTATTTCAGTAGAAGAGATTAAATAGAAAAGATTTTTGTAAATGATGTGTTTATTGTTAAAACATCAAGAAAGAAATATTATGATTGAAGATCTTTATAGAATGGGCCTGTGGGGAATACTTTCTTTTTCTGTTGTTTTTTTTTTTTCCCCGAGACGGAGTCTAGCTCTGTTGCCCAGTCTGGAGTGCAGTGGCACAGTCTTGGCTCACTGCAGCCTCCAACTCCCGGGTTCAAGCGATTCTCCTGCCTCAGCCTCTGCATAGCTGGGATTACAGGCGCTTGCCAACACACCTGGCTAATTTTTGTATTTTTAGTAAGAGACGGGATTTCACTGTGTTGGCCAGGCTGGTCTTGAACTCCTGACCTCGTGAACCACTCGCCTCAGCCTCCCAAAGTGCTAGGATTACAGGCGTGAGCCACCAAGGCCGGCCGGGGAATAGTTACTTTCTATGTGTCTCCATACATACTGGATTGTAGTAGCTTAAATTACTACAGAATATGCTGGAATTACAAGCTCATTTTTCTTCCACCAAGCGCAGTGGCTCATGCCTGTAATCCCAGTACTTTGGGAGGCTGAGGCAGGCGGATCACTTGAAGTCAGGAGTTCGAGACCAGCCTGGCAAACATAGTGACACCTCATCTCTACTAAATATAGAAATATTAGCCAGATGTGGTAGCAGACACCTGTAATCCCAGCTACTTGGGAGGCTGAGGCAGGAGAATTGCTTGAACTGGGAGGCAGAGGTTGCAGTGAGCTGAGATCACGCCACTGCACTCCAGCCTGGACGACAGAGTGAGACTCTATCTCAAATGACAGTAATAACAAGCTCATTTTTTTCATGCAACATTTATGAAATGCTTCTAATTTACCGGATGTTGCATTTGATGCCAGTGATAAAATTCCTGAACTTACTATCTAGTTCAGACTTTCTCCACCTTTGCACCATTGCCATTTAGGCCACATAATTCTTTATTTTACAGGGACTGTTCTCTGCACTGTGGAATGTTTAGCAGCATCCTCAGCTGTTAACCACTAGATACCAGTAGTGTTTCCCTCCGGTTACAACAACCAAAAATGTCTCTAGTCATTGCCACATGTTTCCTGGGAGGCAAAATCATCCCCAGTCAAGAACCAATAGTTGAACTAAATAATTCTCAACCAGAGGTGACCACTCCTTGAGAATCACTTGCCAGAGTGGGCCACAGTTATTAATAGAAATAAGTTGTAGCTCTCAGGTATGCTAGGTATGTGTGGTGGTATTGGTAGGAGGGCGGCAAGGAGAGCAGTTGAAAACCAATTGTTAGGTGTCAGGGGAGACTAATAGCCAGTTGTAATATAGGACGATGAGTGCTGTGATAAGGTTTATAGGCAGCTCAAAAATGAGATACGTAATAAAAATAATAGTAATACTAAGTTCTTACTGTGTTAAAGACTTTACCAGTATTCTGTTATTCTCAGAATAACTCTACATGGTAGTTGCTTTTGTTAACCTAGTTTTACAGGTGAGTAAGCTGAGGCCTGGAGATGTAATTTACCTTACCCAAAGTCACAGGGTTAGAAATTGGAAGGCCAGGGCCGGGCGCAGTGGCTCATGCCTGTAGTCCCAACACTTTGGGAGGCCAAGGAGGGTGGATCACCTGAGTTCAGAAGTTCAAGACCAGCCTGGTCAACATGGTGAAACCCCATCTTTACTAAATATACAAAAATTAGCTGAGTGTGGTGGCGGGCACCTGTAATCCCATCTACTTGGGAGGCTGAGGCAGGAGAATCGCTTGAACCCGGGAGGCGGAGGTTACAGTGAGCTGAGATCGCACCATTGCGCTCCAGCCTGGGCAACAAGAGTGAAACTTCGTCTCAAAAAAAAAAAAAAAAAAAGAAAAGAAATTGGAAGGTTGGGCATGTTGGCTAATGCCTGTAATCCCAGCACTTTGGGAAGGCCGAGGTGGGCAGATCACCTGAGGTCAGGAGTTTGAGACCAGCCTGGCCAACATGGTGAAACCCCATCTCTACTAAAAATAGAAAAATCAGCCAGGCATGGTGGCACACTCCTATAATCCCAGCTACTCGAGAGGCTGAGGCAGGAGAATCACTTGAACCAAGGAGGCAGAGGTTGCAATGAGCTGAGATTGTGGCCATTGCACTCCAGCCTGGGTGACAGAGCGAGACTCTGTCTCAAAAAAAAGAAGAAAAGAAAAAAAAGAACTTGGAAGAGCTAGAATTTGAACCTAGAGCCAGTGCTCTTAACTGTCGCCTCTCTCTGCTAACCTAGTCCCTAATCCACCCTTGGAAAGATCATCCTAAGGGATGAGTAGGAGTTAGCCAGATGAAGACTGGTGAAAGGCCAGAAGGGAGACAGACCAGAGGCCAGATCATGAAGAGTTACGTGGAATGTCCCAGCTAGAATTTGAACTTTGTCATTTGAATAGGATCTAAGTTAGAAGTGACACTTTAACATTTCTACTCTAGCTGCATTCTGGAGAATGGATTTGGGGGTGGGAATAGCATATGTGGAACTAGAGGCAGGAAAATTGGTAAGAAGCATGGTTAGGTGAAATGATTTGGACTTCTTTATTTTTAATTTTTTATAGAGACTTGGTCTTGCTGTATGCTCAGACTGGTCTTAAACTCCTGGGCTCAAATGATCCTTCTGCCTCAGCTTCCCAAAGTGCTGGGTTACAGACATGAGCCACCACACCCGGCCGCCCGATTTGGACTTAATTTCAGCCTCCAATTTATCAATTTACATTATCTCAGCACTAATTTTTATATATAAAATGGCTGGTCAGCACAGAAAACACTGGAACTTTTTGACACCAGTTTCATTTCTTATTTAAAGCTAATTGACAGCTTGTCCTAAACTGAAGAAAGGCATTTGCTTGGCCATAGTGAAGATCGGTACATTTTCCAAGTCTTTGAAAGAATGGAGTTATTCATGTAGGATTTAGAGTTAAATGGTCAGTGTTATTCAGTAACACATTTTATCTTTATATGTGGGGTGTTGTGCTATAAATAGCACCTAGAACTCAATAAGAAAAATTGCTGTGAATGTGCAAATCAACAGGGACACAGAAGTACACCCTTGTAATTTGTTGGTATCTGAACAGCTTGTTTACCTCCAGAGTCCCAGGATAGACTGTGAGAAGGAGACTAACTGATGAGGCTGAGAGAAGGTAGTACAGGAGACAAAGGAAGCCCTGTGCCTCCTGTAATCAGCTTTGTTTCTCGAGGAGAGTGCGGCCTTGCTCACTGTTGCCAGTATTATTCTATCATCAGCAAGAGCAAGTTCTCAGGAAACCCTTATATACCTATAAGCCTTAGTAGACAGTTGAATGGATTTGTCTTGTATCCATGCTTAGGAAAAACAAGACTCTTTATTTTAGCTGAATACAAAAAGAAGACATTCGGTGTCATATCACTGTGGGGTTCTCTCTCTTTCTCAAAGAGAAGGTTGTCTGGAGGACTTTAAGGCGTTGTTTGTGGTACTGGCTGGGAATTTGGGACTACTAAAGTGTCTCTTAATTGCTCTTAAGCATCAGTTTAAAAATAACTTTTTTCTTAGATATGAACATAAATAGGCCTTTTCCTTTTTACTGGAACCATATGGGACAACCTTTGGTTGTATTAGTCGCTGGTTTAATGATCTGATGCTGAAAAGGTTGACTTATTTTTTCTTTCAATTGATGACCTGCACAACTGTAGGTAGGCCAGTTTATTTCTTGTTCTTTGTAAAACTAAAGGCTTTGCTCTCTGACTTCTTGCTGAAGTAGCACATACCCCCTTCAGTTAAATCAGGGGTACTCAAAACACCATCTGGGGAAAAGCCTTGGCATGCCTGTTAAAAACCTTGCTGGTGGCCTCTTTAAGAGGAATACAAAGCCTGATGGCCTGCCATTGCTGATCATTTAGGGTAATTATTAAGATGCCTTTAACAAAATTCATCGAAAAATTAACTGACTTGAACAAAAAGGAAAATTAACTCTTTTACATTAACAAATCTCTCAATAAGAAGGTACACCTGTGGTAGAGCAGTTTTCAGGATTAGAAAATTCAGCTGCTCAGTGTCATCAGGAACGTGTGTGTGTGTGTGGGTGGGTGGGGGTGGGGTGGTTTTAGTGTGTGTGTGTGTGTGTGTGTGTGTGTGTGTGTGTGTGTGTGTGTGTTGGAGGGTGGGGGTGGGGTTGTTTTATCTTTTGCCCTGCTATTCTGAGTGAGAGGCTTAGCTCTTCTCAGGGCGGTAAGATGTTTGCTGCAGTTCTAGACATCAGAGTCAGAACAGCATTCTGGGAGTGGAAGAGGATTGATTTATTCTATATATCTCCAGCAACAACCTTTCTCTAAGCACCTCAACAACTTCCTCTTCTATCTCGTCAGCCACTGTCAAGGAAAGTGGCCAAGTCCAGTTATTTATTTATTTATTTATTTATTTTTTGGAGACAGAGTGTTGCTCTGTCGCCCAGGCTGGAGTGCAGTGGTGCAATCTTGACTCACTGTTACCTCCACCTCCCAGGTTCAAGCGATTCTCCTGCCTCAGCCTCCCAAGTAGCTGGGATTACAGGCATCTGCTGCCATGCCCGGCTAATTTTTGTATTTTTAGTAGAGACGGGGTTTTGCCATGTTAGCCAGGCTGGTCTCGAACTCCTGACCTCGGGCAATCTGCCTGCCTTGGCCACCCAAAGTGCTGGGATTATAGGCATGAGCCACCGCGCACCCAGCCAGCCAAGTCCAGTTAGTTGGTCTCCCTCACCAACTCGTTCCACATGGATATGTGGTAAGGGAAAATACCTGAACAATATCAGGGTCCTCTTCGAAAGGAGAAAGGCAGATAAATTGTTGGTGACTAGAATATAAAGTGTCATCTGTACCAGGTGGTTAATGTATTTTCCATAGCATCTGAAATTCGAGCAACTTGATTTAAGGGAGTTATAACTCAAGTTAGCTTTACTGAGCACATACATAGTAGGTGCTCAAAAAATATGGTAGATGATTGACAGAGTAATAAGATGCAGATTTCTTTTGCGTTAACAATCTCTGAAGCTCCTTACAATTAATAGTATCTTGTAATTGCTATCATTGACGTCCAGCCATTTGTCTTTTTCTTTACATTCACAAAGGTAGGAAACTTCCAGATCTTAGTGCTTGATAAAAGACCAGGCGTTTTCATGCAGGAATTTCTTCCTAGCATTTCTTGGGAAATGTGTGTTTTTTTTGAATTCTGAAAAAAATTAGTCAAGAAGTTTAATAAATGGAAAACATTATTCTAATTGTCTTATTAGAATTAATTTTAACAACACAGAAACATTACTGATTTGAAGGAATCTACTTAGGGCAAGTTGAAAGTAAAAACTGGAAATACTGATACCTGGAATCAAAGGTTAAGGTCAACAGGAGCTCCTTGGAAAGAAGTGATTACAAATCAGTCCTCATTATAAATATCGCCGTTTTATGTGTGTTCATGGCCCTGTCTGCTGCTAAGTAAATAATAATGAGTTTACACATGGTATACTTAATAAAAATTGATTGGTGTTCCAAGAAAGATTTTGAAGCAAAATCCTTATATTGGCATTTTTATTAACATGTGATTCTGCATAGTACTGTAAACCTTGCTGAGTTCTAAACGTGACATTATTCACATACTACCCAGTAATACCCACATGCAGTCTAGCATTTGAATATTCACTATAGGCCTCAGCTCTTACAAATACTAATTAAATGATTTGTTTTAAAGATACACATGTAGGCTGGATGCGGTGGCTCACACCTATAATCCCAGCACTTTGGGAGGCCGAAGCGGGTAGATCACAAGGTCAGGAGTTCGAGACCAGCTTGGCCAGTATGGTGAAACACATCTCTACTAAAAATACAAAAAAATTAGCTGGGTGTGGTGGCACATGCCTGTAATCCCAGCTACTTGGGAGGCTGAGACAGGAGAATTGCTTGAACCTGGGAGGTGGAGGTTGCAGTAGGCTGAGATCACGCAGTGGCACGCCAACCTGGGTGACAGAGTGAGACGCCGTCTCAAAAAAAAAAGATACACATGTAATGAATAGAGTTTGAAAAATGTATTTAATAACTTTTTTAAAAGAATAATGTAGATTTGGGGAATTCCAGAGAATTCCAATTCATTGTTTTTGAATCCTGAAGGTTGGTATTTGTCGGGAATTCAGAAACACTACTAATAAGAGGTCAAATTTGTGCCTTGAAGTTCAACTCAGTGTGTTTTAGTGTTTTCAGCAACAGTTCCATGAAGGGCCACAAGGTGGAGGTGGTGCTTCACAGAACTAGCTAGTTTTGGCCTCTTTAACCGTCTCTGCTCTTTTTCTTTTTCCCCTACTTCATAAAATTGTTGTAAACTCTTCACTCTTTTAGAACAGGAAAGTTTGTTTTTTTGTTTTTTTGTTTTGCTGAAGATGGAGACGATTTCTAAATATTTAAGGCTGAAATAATGCTAACCAAACTCTTCTTAAAAAGAGAAAAGGAAGAGTGTACCACTGAAGCCATGTGGGGCCACAGTTGCCTTTGTTGGAAGCTTTTTAAACTAGAGCAGATTTTATTTCTTTAAGAGTTAAAATACCCATCGATTTTTCCTTGAGTAACCTTTGGTAGTTTGTACCTAGGAAAGAATTTGCTCATTTCATCTGTTTTTGGTTTCATGAGCATACAGTTACTGATAGCATTTTATTATATTTTACTGTTTATAGAACCTGTAGTTGATGTCCTCTTTCATTCCTGATATTGGAAATTTTGTTTGCTCTCTTTTTGTTAGTGAATCTACCTAGAGGCTTTTTTAACTTTATCGATCTTTTCAAAGAAACACCATTTTGTTTCATTGTGGTTTTTTTGTTTTTCTGCTGATTTTATTATGTTTTTTATTATTTCCTTCCTTTTACTTGCTTTGAGTTTAATTTCCTTTTTCTAGTTTCTTAAAGTAGTAGTTTAGATTATTGATTTGAGATATTTTCTCTTCTAATATAAATAATGTCATACCTTTCCTTTTAAGCACTGCTATAGTCACATCCCACAAATTTTGATATGTTTTATTTGTATTTAATTCAGAATGTTTTTTATAATTCTACAAAATTTTCAACTTTTTTCCTTTTATCTATTGTCTCTCCTTTGTTATTTTTGCTATCTCTATGGCATTCTATTTGACACAATTTAGACCAGTCCCTTTATCCCCTTCATTCTTAATTCTTCCTTCCTTCCTCTGTCCCTCAGGGTCTTGTGTTCTGTTACCTAGGCTGGAGTACAGTGGTACAATCATAGCTCACTGCAGGCTTGAACTCCTGGGCTCAAGTGGGCCTCCCTCCTCAGCCTCCCTAGTAGCTAGGACAATTACAGGTGCACACCAATGTGTGCCTGGCTAATTTTTAAATTTTTTTTTTTTTTTTTTTTTTTTATAGAGATGGGGCTTTGCTAAGTTGCCCAGGCTAGTCCCAAACTCCTGGGCTCAAGCGATCCTCCTGCCTCAGCCTTTCAAGTAGCTGGGACTACAGGCATGTGCCACCAGGCCTGGCTGATGAGCATTTTATCTAGCTTTAAAGCCCTTAAATAATTCCAGACATCTGTGTCATCTCATCATTGATGTTTGTTGGTTGTCTTTCCTGGTTTTTCATATGCTGAATAATTTGGGGTTGTATCCTGAACATTTTCATTAGGTTTTTTTTTTTTTTTTTAATAAGACTCTGGGTCTTGTTTTAATCTGCCAGTTTTGCTGTCATTCAAATTCAGTCTTCATCAGTATGCCTGTTTCTATTTACTTTTCAAAGTAAATAACTATGAATATCCTTAAATAACTACACTACCCATCTCTCCAGGTTTTATTGCTACTTTCAGTGGAAAAGATAGAGTGGAATGTGCTTGCTCCATTGTACCTAGAACCTTCCTTCCAGAGAGGATTTTACTTTTGCTTTATTCAAATAACACTAGCTCCTGAACAATTTTTATGTTAATTTCTTAAAATTTGAACCTCAACCTTAAATCCCAAACCGAAATTAGGCACATAAATCTTACTTTGAATTTTGAGGTAAGACTTTTTTCCCCCTCTTCAGAGCCCAGTAGAAACAGACAAAATTCCTTGCTGTTTTCCTATGCCAGTAGGCAGACATTTTTCTAGTCTGTTCTTTCAATAGGAATTTTAGCATTGGCCAGGCATGGTGGCTCATGCCTGTAATGCCACCACTTTAGGAGGCCAAAGCGGGTGAATCACTTCAGCTCAGGAGTTGAAGACCAGTCTGGGCAACATGGCGAAATCCCATGTCTACTAACAAATTACAAAAATTAGCCAGGTGTGATGGCACAGGCCTGTTGGGAGGCTGAGGTGGGAGGATCATCTGAGCCCTGGGAGGTCAAGGCTGTGGTAAGCCATGATTGCACCACTGTACTCCAGCCTGGGTAACAGAGTGAGACCCTGTCTCAAGAAAACAAACAAAAATTTTAACATTATGCAGGGGGTGGAGTTTTAGTCTCACTTTTAATTCCCTTTCTGTGGGGGGTTCATTTTTCTATCCCAAGGCAGTGTTTAAAAATCCTCACAGGAAGCTCTCCAGGGCAACTGTGGTCCCTGACCCACTAATGAAAGTTCCTTATCTTTCTTTGTTTCTGACACTGTGGATTTCCTTTCTGCCTTTTAATGTGCTTGTTCATTAAAATAATGTTTTACATTTATATTTTATCTTGCTATTTGTAAGGATTTGTAGCAGAAAGATTTTCAGGTTTTCTTGATTGCTATCTTGCTGAAACAAATACTTTTTATAGAATTATTCTTTTAAAAATCAACTGATGTGGCCAGGCACAGTGACCTGTAATCCCAGCACTGTAAGAGGCTAAAGTGGGAGGATCTCTTCTCAAGCCCAGGATTTCAAGACCAGCCTGGGCAACATATTATAGCAAGACCCTGTCCCTCCAAAAAATTTTTAAATTAGCAGGGCATGGTGTCATGTACCTGTGGACCTATCTACTTGGGAGGCTAAGGCGGAAGTATCCCTTGAGCTTAGGAGTTTGAGGCTGCAGTGAGCTATGATCAGGCCACTGCAGCCCAGCCTAGGGTGACAGAGCGAGACCCTGTCTCTCAAAAAATAAAAATAAATACAAATCAACCGACATACACAAAAAAATTAGATGCCCAATTAGAATACAAACTATTATTAGAATTGCCAGAATTTCTAATATTCATACACCATGTGGATTTGTATAACACATTTATATTTATGTTTTAGGCTAGGGAATATAATTATGTCTATAATGAATCAGGATTAAAAGAGTTCCTGTTATCTCTTGTGACTGAAAAAAAAACAGTGTTTGATTTGGAAAAAAGTATTATCAGTATAATAAAATTAATGCTGGTTTCAAATAATAACTTTCAGGTACTATGGAAAGGGCAATTTTAAACTTTGAGAACAGAAATAAAACCACTCTAAATAGCTAAAGAGAATCGAGGTTTGTGCGGTTACTTTTGTCTTTGTTTTGTTAGTGTTTAGTTTGTTGAATTCTTGGCATTCCATGTAAAATTCAATAGGAATCTCAGTTTAGCAGATACGGAGATTTCTGTTTCCTTTTACTTACAGTGGTTTCTTTTCAGAAACATGTTCTCCTTCCTTCCTGCCAGGAATGAGTAGCGACAGTGACATTGAATGTGACACTGAGAATGAGGAGCAGGAAGAGCATACCAGTGTGGGCGGGTTTCACGACTCCTTCATGGTCATGACACAGCCCCCGGATGAAGGTGCAGCACATGATGTCATTTTACACAGATTACTAAAACCACCGCTGCCGCTTCTCTTTCTTCTTCTTCTGCTGCTGCTACTTCTACTTTTTCCGCTCTACTGCTTTTGCTTCTTCTGCTTCTACTTCTTTTTTTTTTTTTTTAATTATTGTCATTTGTGAGACAACATTCTTTGGTTAACTATTATGGTGAGTACTAAAAAAACACAGCCAGTAATATTTGGCTTGGTTGCACCTAATGAGTGCTACTTACTGGGCAGAGACGGGGTCCACAACCTGCTTTTGTATAGTCTGTGACCTGAGAATGGTTTTTACTTTGTAAAGAGTCTTTAAAAACCAAGCAAAAGAAACAAAGAAGAATTTTCTTTGTGGGTTTTTTTTTTCTTTTTTTTTTTTTTTGCCCCGAGATGGAGTCTTGTTCTGTCACCCAGGATGGAGTGCTGTGGCGTGATCTTGGCTCACTGCAACCTCCGCCTCCTGGGTTCAAGCGATTCTCCTGCCTCAGCCTCCTGAGTAGCTGGGATTACAGGTATACACCACCACGCCTGGCTAATGTTTTTGTATTTTTAGTAGAGATGGAGTTTCACCATGTTGGCCAGGCTGGTCTCGAACTCTTGACCTCGTGATCCACCTGCCTTGGCCTCCCAAAGTCCTGGTATTACAGGCGTGAGCCACCGTGCCCAGCCCAAAGAAGAATTTTCAAGAGAGTCCATTTGTGGCCTACAATGCCTAAATATTTACCCTTCATAGGAAATGATTGCCAATCCCTGGGGAGATTTCAGATGTTTGGGTTTTTTTTCCTTTTCTAGCCTACTGTAAGATAACTTTAACCTTTTAAAATAAAAATAACTTAGAAATACATGCAGATTATGAAATAATTTTTATTCCCTCCTACCCCCAAAAAAGTTATTAGGAAAAAAACAAGAGAAACCTACTATTAATATTTTCCCTTGTTTTCTTCTGTCTTATTTGCATTGCATTTCTTCTTCTTTTTTTTTTAGACAGAGTCTTGCTCTGTCTCCCAAGCTGAAGTGCAGTGGCACAATCTCAGCTCACTGCAACTTCTGCCTCCTGGGTTCAAGCAATTCTCCCACCTCAGCCTCCTGAATAGCTGGGACTACAGGCATGTGCCACCACATCCAGCTAGTTTTTGTAATTTTTAGTAGAGACAGGGTTTCACCATGTTGGCCAGCCTGGTCTCGAACTCCTGACCTCAGGTGATCTGCCCACCTTGGCCTCCCAAAGTACTGGGGTTACAGGTGTGAGCTACCATGCCAGCCCTACCTAAATATTTTATAAATAGTTTTTTATTCTGCTTTTTTCACTTAAATATATTTGTATGTTATTTAAAATTTCATAAACTTCATTTTTTATGGCAACCTAATATTCTATCATGTGGATATACCATAAGTATTCTGCTGTCAAGCAGTTTTCTGGAATACAGATTAATCAGTAAAAGGATATACTGTCAAGTTAGAGAAATACACATTTAAAGTTACCCAGAGGCCTTAATAATCAATCTGAACATTCCTCTGCAAGATATCCTGGAGTGACAACATTGTTAAGCCTATGCCATTTTCTGCTTTATATTTTGCATATTTTCCTGGTGCTCTGGTATCTTTTTCAATACAGAACCAAGCATTTGATGATTTGTAAGTATTAAGGCATCTTTAGTAACTTCCTCTGCTTCTAAAATAAGCATCCAAATTTTGTGCAAGTTATTTGGAGTGCTGGTGGGTTTTTGTAGTGATACTTGAATGCGTAGTTTAATTGGCTTTGAAATATGTTTTATGTTTATAAGGTCTTGAATCTTGAGAATATACACCATTGCTTCTTGTTCCCTTTTTAAGCTGTCCCCAGATTGTCCCCAGGAGGACAAAATGAGACAATTCCTGTCATCTTTTAATTGTGGGTGTCTATTACACATTTTGTTTTTTTCTCCTTTATTTTTCCTTTGTGTTTGCTTATACCTGACTCAGATCACAAATTCTCTGAAGACAGAGATTTGTTCACAACCCAGCACATCTTTATCACTTAAATAACACATTTGGTAAGATTATTTAAAGACTTGGGAAGGAAAATACTGCCCTTGTTATATGCTTTTAAATTTTAAATTTTTTATTTATTTTTTAATCATAGATACACATTCCAGTTTTCCTGATGGTGAACAAATAGGCCCTGAAGATCTCAGCTTCAATACAGATGAAAATAGTGGAAGGTAATTGCCAAATCAAGAGAACTGACTTGCAAGCTACCTTGACCCTGAATTTTGCTGTAGTTGGTGCTCAAATTTGTCATCAGTCAGATAATCAGATTTGGTCTTATTTCTTCATTATCTCGACCTGAAATAGTAATTTGGAAACTGTTGGAAGGTGGCACAGTTTAGTCTAAGACAGCAGTAGTACATGGGAAAAACAGTATGGGAAGAGTTCTTTGTAATGTAAGGAAATAACAATGTAGTTCTCTATTAATTTAGCAAATTTGTACATTCACAAAAGGCAGTTTGTCTACTACAGCAGAAGGCTGGTTAACTGCCAGAAAATGTACCTCCAGGCCCTGCATGCCGTCAGTAACCCGCCCGGCATTGGTGCTCTACTGTCTTTGGCTAGAGCTTAGTTGTGTTTAAATAATCATCTTTATATTTGGGGTTTTAATTACAGTTCCATTAGTGCCTGTAGATTAGTGAACAGAAAATTGCTTTGGAAGAGATTCTGCCCTGTAGACACTATGTGAATAACTGAAGTAACACTAGACTGAATCTCCTTTTTGGAGTATGTATCTTCTCTCACTTGTTCAAGTACAGGCACACTGTTCAACCGCATGGTATCTTTCTGTTGTGTGACTTCTACAAATGTAATTTTAAATGAAATTAAGTTAACATGGATTCATTACGTTCCTGGCCCTGTAGACACGTGTAAGATTATTTAAAATTCTTTCATTTTTTTCTGCCTCTTACTATACGACTGTAGTGCAACAAATATTTTAAAGCCCCCTTTTCTTCTTTATTTTCATTAGTTGTACATTGATTTCAGTGTCAACACATTTAAAGATTCATTCATGTTGCACAGTGGCTTACATGAACGTGAAACTGTGATATAAGGTTTTCTTTCATACTCATAATTAGCCCAAAACAGTTGCCAAACTTTGCCATTGTGCTCCTGCATTTGTGTTTGAGCTGCTATATATTTGTGGAAATTACACTGAAAGTTGACTAAGAGACTATTGAAAAAGCATGAATAATTAAATATACATGTGAGAGACATCTCATCTGCTGTATTTTACTTAGTGAATATTGTTCACTCTTCCGTGTCTGATGTCTTGCTGAATGCTGTGACTCATAGTTTACTTTTGTTCAAAATAGTTTGCACTTTTTGTTAATAAAATCAACTTGAGAAAATATGCCTCTGCTGTTTATTAAATTGGGACCAGAAACCCCTTCTTTTCTACTCATTGCCTCATTAGTAGTGTAGAGAAGATCCAAACATTTGATTAGTTTGTGTTTAGTCTAATGGCGAGGAGTGATGCCTAGCATCGATCCCAGTCATTCTAAAATTAGAATAAACCTGAAAGGCCAAAAGATTTCTTCAGAGATGATAGCTTTTAGTTCAGACCTGTTTGCTTTTAGGACAGGAAAGTAGTTTCCCCCTCGTTTCCAAGCCACCTTATATACTAAAGCTGCTCTGAGTTCCTTGGTGATGTCGGGAACACCGCTGTTTTCCCTCTTCCTTGATGTAGTCTGCTATGCTAAATTTTAGGTAGCAGAGAGGGAAGGAAGAGGCACAGGAGAAGAACCAGTTGCTCCACTCTCTGCTTGTCCTACTTTCTTGCTCTTTCTGTACCCTGATAGAGCCCTCAGCATGTTTTTTTATTTTTATTTTTGTAACCTTTCCTTTTTTGCTGAAGAACAGTCTGCTGTTACCTTGCTTCTGTATTTAGTATTTTATCTCAAGTTCATTCCTGGAAAATCTCTCCTGAATAGAGTTTTCTTAGGGCTAGAGATACATTAATGCTTGTGTTGTCTGTGAACGTGTCCTTTCTGGACAACTTTAACTACTTGTGTCATTGATCTTTAAGTAACCTTTGAGGTAGATGAGTTGTGTATCAAACCTGTTTGGCCATGGAGCCTTAGGTTCAGGGAGGTTGTATGATTCTCTTCAGGTTCAAAACCACTGGCAGGGATGGGGTGAACTGCTGGTCTAGTGCCTTTTCCACTTTATCTCACTTGCAGCAGACCCAACATTCTGATACCTAATAATTTAAAACCTAAAGATTATTCTTTTTTTTTAGCTTTTAATTTTGAGATAATTTCAGGTTTGCAAAAGAGTTGAAAAAATTGTGCAAGAGTTTCCGTATACCCTCTGCCCAGCTTCTCCTTTTGTTAATGCCTTACATAATCACAGAACAGTGATCAAAACTAAGAAGTTAATCCTGGTTGCAATATTGTTTACCAAACTACAGAATTTGTTCAGATCGCACCAGTTATTTCACAAATGTTCTTTTTCTGTTCTAGGATCCGGTCTAGGATCCCACATTGTATTTTGTTACCATGTTTCCTCAGGATCCTTCAGTATATGACAGCTCTTCCGCCTTTCCTTGCTTTCATGACCTTGATATTTTTGAAGAGGATGTGTTATTTTATTAAATGTTCTTCTTATTTGGGTTTGACAGATGCTTTCCTATATTAAATTGAGGTTATGCATTATTGGGAAGGCCCTTAGTGCATCACATCAGGGGGGATATGATGTTGATATATAAATATACATATATATACATACATACACACACACACACACACACACACACACATATATATATACTTTTTTTTTTTTTTTGATGGAGTCTCACTCTGTTGCTCAGGCTAGAATGCAGTGGCACCAGCTTGGCTCACTGCAGCCTCTGCTTCCCAGGCTCAAGTGATCCTCCCACCTAAGCCTCCTGAGTAGGTGTCCACCAACACACCTGGCTAATTTTTCTATTTTTTGTGGAGATGGGGTTTCACTCCAGGCTGGCCTCCAACTCCTGAGCTCAAAGTGATCCCCCTGCCTCAGCCTCCCAAAGTGGTAGGTTGATTGCAGGCTAGATTGCAGGTGCGATGCTGGCCTGATACTGATTTTTTTTTTTTTTTTTTTGAGACAGGTTCTCACTCTGTCGGCCAGGCTGGAGTGCAGTGGCATGATCTCAGCTGACTGCAACCTCTGCCTCCCTGATTCAAGCCATTCTCCTGCTTCAGCCTCCCAAATAGCTGGGATTACAGGCATGCACCACCACGCCCGGCTAATTTTTGTATTTTAGTAGAGATGGGGTTTCACCATGTTGGCTAGGCTGGTCTCGAACTCTGACATCAAGTGATCCACCCGCCTCGGCCTCCCAAAGTGCTGGATTAGAAGCATGAGCCACTGTGCCCGCCCAGCCCTGATGTTGATACTTTTTTATTGGTGAACTTAACCTTGAGATTACTTGGTTAAGATGGTGTCTGTGAGGATTTCCTACTATAGATTTACGTTTTCCCCCTTTGTAATTACTAAATATTTGGGGCAGATACTTTGAAACTATGCAGATACCTTGTTTCTATTAATTATTATTATTATTTTTTTTTGGAAGACAGGGTCTGGCTTTGTTACCCATGCTGTAGTGGTGCGATGTTGGCTCATACAGCCTCAACCCCCTGGGCTTAAGCGATCCTCCCACTTCAGCCTCCTAAGTAGCTGGGACTACAGGCATGCGCAGTCACACTGGGATAATTTTTGTATTTTTTATAGAGATGGAGTTCTTGAGTTCTTGGGTTCAAGTGACCCTCCCGTCTCAGCCTCCAAAAGTGCTGCGATAGAGGCATGTGCCACTGCGCCCAGCCAAAACTCTTGCTTACGAATTTTAGCACCTAGTAGTCGATCTTGCCTATGGGAATTATTACTGTAATGTTTTAATGGTACTTTTCTAATTCACTAATTTCTTCTATGTTTTTTGTTAGAATGCTGTGAGGAAAAGTCCCTTCTTCCCCATTTTTGTAATTTCAGCTACTTATTTATATCAGCTACTTTATATATCTATATATGATGGATATTTATTTTTGAGTTATGACTCAATACTGTTAATATTTTGTAGCTTGGCTTGTTCTAATTTTAGCCATTGGAAACTCTTCCAGATTGGCTCCTGTGCCCTTTTCATATGTCTCATTCTTCTTTTTTTTTTTTTTTAAGCATTTCTTTGCTTTCTGACATCACAAGATGCCTACCCCAGCCATGGAATTAACCACTTCCTAAGGAACCATGGTTCTTTTTATTGGAGAATGCTATCTAGAAACAAAGATTTGGATGCCACATATTTATTATTATTAGACTGTCACTGCTTCTAGTCCCACTCAATGGATAGATAGAAAATGTAAATTGGCTGGGTGTGGTGGTGCACACCTGTGGTCCCGGCTACTTGGGAGGCTGAGGTGGGAGGATCACTTGAGCTTGGGAGGTAGAGGTTGCAGTGAGCCAAAATCGTGCTACTGCACTTCAGCCTGCGTGACAGAGTGAGACACTGTCTCAAAAAAAAGAAAATGTATGGCCGGGCACAGTGGCTCATGCCTGTAATCCCAGTACTTTGGGAGGCTGAGGCAGGTGGATCACCTGAGGTCGGGAGTTCGAGACCAACCTGACCAACATGGAGAAACCCCATCTGTACTAAAAATACAAAATTAGCTGGCTGTGATGGCGCATGCCTGTAATCCCAGCTACTCAGGAGGCTGAGGCAGGAGAATCGCTTAAACCCGTGAGGCGGAGGTTGCAGTGAGCCGAGATCGTGCCATTTGCACTCCAGCCTGGGCAACAAGAGCGAAACTCTGTCTCAAAAAAAAAAAAAAAGAAAGAAAGAAAATGTATATAGACAGCTGTTCCTTAGCATCTGTGAGGGATTGGTTCCAAGACTCCCTGTGGATACCAAAGTCCACAGATGCTCAAGTCCCCTATATAAAACGGTATAGTGTTTGCATATAACCTGTGCACATCCTCCTGGATACTTTGTTTTGGGTTTTGAGACGGTCTCATTCTGTTGCCCAGGCTAGGGTGCAGCTGTGCATAGCTTACTGCAGCTATGAAGTCTTAGGCTCAAGCAATCCTCCCACCTCAGCCTCTCAGGTAGCTGGGACTACAGGTGTGAGCCACCACGCCTGATCTCCCAGATACTTTAAATCATCTCTGGATTACCTGTAATACCTAATACAATGTAAATGCTATGTAAATTATTGTGCTATTTTTTTTATTATTTTTTAAAAATAAATTCTGTCTATTGTTGGTTGACTCCATGGATGCAGAAACCAAAGATAATAGAGGGCTGACTGTATAGTTAACTCATGCAAATACACACATTTATGTGTATTTCTGTACATATCTGTGTGTGTGTGTCACTATGACTGTGAGTCTATATTGGTAACAGTTCAGCTCCAGAGGCCTCATTCTGGCCTTCCCTCTTATTTATAATGCCTTTCTCTGACAGAAGCCTAGCTCTCATTAGCTACAATATATGTATGTACTTGTTCAACCCTAATATACAAGTAGCTTCAGAACCGTTGGCCTCCTGTGGATTCCAGGCTATGCCCTACAAAAAACAGATTTACCACCTAAAATACAGTGCTTGTATACAGTTCTTTTAGTCTTTAGCTTTTCAGTATTGTGTCATAACATTTTTTTCAAAGATATTTAGGTTCAAAATTACATTAGTTCTGTTCTTTCACAAAATCCCTTCATTGTGATTTTGTGCTTCGTTGGTGTAACAGGTTCATCTGTTATGGTCTACATTCTGTCCTCCCCCACATATCCTGGTTAATTTGTAAATTTACATACATTAAAATTCAGTCTTTCTGGCATACAGTTCTGTGGGTTTCAACAAATGTCTTGTATCCGCCACCACAATACTATACAGAACATTTCAGTCACCCCCAAGATTCCCCTGTGCTGGCCCTTTATAGGTAACCACCCCCCTTCCCCACAGCTCCTGGCTACCGCTGATCTGATCTGATCTGATCTGTTCTCTGCCCTTTTAGTTTTTGCTTTTCCAGAGTCATGTAAACGGGATCACAGTTTGACCTCTCGCTTCGCAAAGTGCAGTTAAGTTTCACTCATCTTGTGTGAATCAGCACCTCCTTCTTTTTTATTGCTGAGCAGTAGTAGTCCACTGTGTGGATATACCACTGTTCATTCATTTGCCCATTTGGGTTATTTCTAGTTTAGGGTGATTAGACTCTTGTAAACGTTTGGGTACAGATTTTTGTGTGAGTGTAAGCTTTTATTCTCTAGAGTGTTACATGCTGTATTAGTCTGTTTTCATGCTGCTGATAAAGATATACCCGAGACTGGGCATTTTACAAAAGAAAGAGGTTTATTGGACTTACAGTTCCACGTGGCTGGGGAGGCCTCACAATCATGGCAAAAGGTAAAAGGCACATCTCATGTGGTGGCAGACGAGAGCTTGTGCAGGGAAACTCCCCCTTATAAAACCATCAGATCTCATGAGGCTTATTCAGTATTACAAAAACAGCACAGGAAAGTCTTGCCCCCATGATTCAATTACCTCCCACTGGGTCCCTCCCATGATATGTGGGAATTCAAGATGAGATTTGGGTGGGGACACAGCCAAACCATATATGCCTAGGGACAGGATTGCTGGGTGTGCAATAGAGAATTTGTCTGGCCTTTGTCCTAGTTCCTGGGAAGTGCCCTCTAAATCCTTGGCATTCCTCAAGTGTTAGGAGTTATTTATGGTGGGCCTTGCTAGTGTATGCTAATGAGATGACTCAGGATCGGGGCTGGCTACACCAGAAATGCTGTGGGTGTCATTAGACAGTTGGAGCTCTGAACCATGTGATAGCCCAGTTCAACTCATTGCCAATGATTGTTATGCCTACATAAGGAAGTTCCAGTAAAAAATCTGGACACCTGCCGGGCACAGTGGCTCACGCCTGTAATCCCAGCACTTTGGGAGGCCGAGGAAGGCAGATTACCTGAGGTCGGGAGTTCGAGACCAGCCTGACCAACATGGAGAAACCCTATCTTTACTAAAAATACAAAACTAGCCAGGCGTGGTGGCGCATGCCTGTAATCCCAACTACTTGGGAGACTGAGGCAGAAGAATCACTTGAACCCGGGAGGTGGAGGTTGCCGTGAACCAAGATTGTGCCATCGCACTCCAGCCTGGGCAAAAAGAGTGAAACTCCGTCTCAAAACTGGACACTAAAGCTTGAGTGAGTTTCCCTGGTTGACAGTACTCTGTATTTATATATATATATATATATATTTACATATGTATTTATATATATATAAATATATATAAATATAAATATATATATATTTATATTTATATATATATATATCAGTGTGCCTGGAGAGTAAGTTGTCCTGAAGTCAAGGGGCCTTCACATTTGGGCCTCTCCCAGGCCTCACCCTATGTATCTCTCCCTTTAGCTGGCTTTATTTGTAACCTTTTGTCATAATGAAACTCTGATCATAAGTGCATTTCTGAGTTCTGTGAGTTGTTCTAGTCAATTATTAAACATGAGTAGGATAGCAAATACGCCCAAATTTGTAATCAGCTGATCAGAAGTGAGGGTGGCCTCAGGATCCCGGAACTTGGAGCTTGTGTCTGGAATGAGGGCAGTCTTGTGGAAGACTTTGCCCATAACCTGTACAGTTTGACCTAACTCCGGGTGGTTGGTGTCAGCACTCATTGCACTGAGTCATATGGTAAGTAGAGTCTTTACTGAGACGCTGCCCAACCTCCACAGTGACATACCATTCTGCATTCCCATCAGTAGCACATGAGAGTTCCAGTGGCATCTCACAAATATTTGGCACTGCCAGAAGTTTTTTAGCCATTCTTTTTGGTTTTTCTTCTAACCAACTGAGCTAACCAGCCATTTTTTAGCCATTCTAATAGGTGTGTAATGGTATTTGTTTTGCTAATATTTTGCCAGAACTTTTCCATCTATATTCAGAGCGATCCTGGTCTGAAATTTTCTGTCGTCATCTGATTTGGTGTCAGAGTAATGCTGACCTCATAAAATGAGTGTTCTATTTTCTGGAAAAGAGGGTGTAGAATTGGTGGTATTTATTTATTATTACTTTTTTTTTATCTCGGCTCACTGGAACCTCCACCTCCCAGGTTGAAGCGATTCTCCTGTCTCAGCCTTCCGAGTAGCTGGGATTACAGGCACCTGCCACCACGCGCAGCTAATTTTTGTATTTTTAGTAGAGACAAGGTTTTACCATGTTGGCCAGGCTGGTCTCAAACTCCTGACCTCATGTGATCCACCCACCTTCGCCTCCCAAATTGCTGGGATTACAGGCATGAGCCACCCTGCCTGGCCTTATTCTTTAACTGTTTAGTAGAATTCACCAGTGTAACCAACTAGGAGGAAACTTTTTTCTTTTTTTTTTTTTTTTTTGAGACAGAGTTTCACTCTTGTTGCCCAGGCTGGAGTGCAATACTGCGATCTCAGCTCACTGCAACCTCCGCCTCCTGGGTTTAAATGATTCTTCTGCCTCAGCCTCCTGAGTAGCTGGGATTACAGGCGTGCGCCACCACACCTAGCTCATTTTTTTTTATTTTTAGTAGAAATGGGGTTTCACCATGTTAGCCAGGCTGGTCTTGAACTCCTGACCTGGTGATCTGCCCACCTCAGCCTCCCAAAGTGCTGGGATTATAGCCGTGAGCCACCGTGCCTGGCCAGGAAACTTCTTTTTCTTAGGTGTGGTGTGGTTGGTATTTACCTTGCTTGGTGTGCTCTGATTTTTTTTTTTCTTTTTCCTTTCTTTCTTTTTTTTTTTTTTGAGACAGAGTTTCACTCTGTTGCCCAGGCTGGAGTGCAGTGGCATGATCTCGACTCACTGCAACCTCTGCCTCCCGGGTTCAAGTGATTCTCCTGCCTCACCCTCCTGAGTAGCTGGGATTACAGGTGCGCACCACCACACCCAGCTAATTTTTGTATTTTTAGTAGAGACAGGGTTTCACCAGGTTGGTCAGGCTGGTCTTGAACTCCTGACCTTGTGATCCACCTGCCTCAGCCTCCCAAAGTGCTGGGATTACAGGCATGAGCCACTGGGCCCAGCCTTGATTTTTTTTTTTCTTTTGAGACAGAGTCCCACTCTGTCACCTGGGCTGGAGTGCAGTGGCTCGATCTCAGCTCACTACAACCTCCATCTCCAAGGTTCACACGATTCTTGTGTCTCAGCCTCCCTAGTAGCTGGGATTACAGGCGTGCACCACCATGCTTAGCTAATTTTTGTGTTTTTAGTAGAGATAGGGTTTCTCCATGTTTTCCAGGCTGGTTTCAAGCTCCTGGCCTCAAGTGATCTGCTTGCCTCGGCCTCCTAAAGTGCTGGGATTATAGGTGTGAGCTACCATGCCTAGCCTTTTTTTTTTTTTTTTTTTTTTTTTTTTTTGAGACAAGGTCTTGCTTTGTCACCCAGGCTGGAGAGCAGTGGCATGATCACAGCTTACTGCAGCCTCAACCCTCCTGGGCTCAAGCAATCCTCCCACCTCAGCCTCCTGAGTAGCTGGGACTACAAGCCACACACCATGTCCAGCTAATTTTTTTTTTTCAGAGGGGGTCTCACTGCATTGCCCAGGCTGGTCTTGAACTCCTAAGTTTAAGCTATCCTCCCACCTCAGCCAACCAAAGTGCTGGGGTTACAGGTGTGACCCACCTCACCTAGCTTTGCTTGATGTTCTCTGAGTTTCTTTTATCTGTGGTTTTGTGTCTGTCATTAGTTTTGGAAAACTCTAAGCCATTATCTCTTCGAATATTTCTTCTGCCCATTATCTTTCTCTTCTCCTTCTAGGATTCTAGTTGTGCATATTTTACACAGATACTGTCCCACAGCTTTTGTATATTACGTTCTGGGTTGATTTTGTTTTCCCTTCATTTTTTTCTGTTGTGTTTCAGTTAAGGTAATTTTTTTAACTTATCTTCAAGATGTACTGATTTTCTTTTCAGCAGTTTAGAGCCTACTGATTAGCCAACTGAAGGCATTCATCATCTCTGTTTTGGCATTTTTCATGTCTTACATTTCTATTAATATTTAATTATAGGTTCCATCGATTTGCTGTAATCACCCATATGATCTTGCATAGTATCCACCATTTTTCTTGACATAGTAAACATAATTTTATTTTTTTTATTTTTTTGAGAGAGTCTCGCTCTGTCACCCAGGCTGGAGTGCAGTGGTGCAATCTCAGCTCACTGCAACCTCCACCTCCAAGGTTCAAGCGATTCTCCTGCCTCAGCCTCCTGAGTAGCTGGGACTACAGGTGTGCACCACCACGCCTGGCTGATTTTTGTATTTTTAGTAGAGACGGGGTTTCGCCATGTTGACCAGGCTGGTCTCGAACTCATGACCTCAGGCAATCCTCCCACCTTGGCCTCTCAAAACAATAATTATTTAAAATTCTCTCTCATTTCCAAAATCTCTGTTATCTGACTCTGGTTCTGATGAATGTTTCATATCTTCAGAATGTTTTCTTCTTGGCTTTTCATATGACTCTATATATTTTGTTAATAGCAACACATCTCACATAGGACAAGATACTTTGGTGAATAGTTTTTACACCTGAAAGTAAGGAGGCCTTTCCTGCTGCTAAGACCTTTGTTGGCAGAGGTTGAATTAATATATTATGGCTGGTGGAAAAGTAATTGTGGTTTTCGCATTTTTTAATGGCAAGAACCAAAATTACTTTTATGCCAATCTAATAGTAGTTAGGAGTTGTGCTTGGTTCAAGATTGGATTTGCTATGATTATCCTTAGTGGTCTCGAGTTCCTGTGATGATACCTTGTATTTCTGATTGGTGTTGGATACCAGAGCACTGTGTTTCTGACCCTGAGTTTCCAGGCTCAGAAGCTTTGTGCTGGGTCTCCAAGAGGGTCTCTCTCTCTGCTTCCGTTGCTCTGCTGTCCTCCTCCTGGAAATACTCTGCTGTTTCTTGAAGTGTAACGGGGGCTGGGGAGGGGCTGGCGTTCTTGGATTAGGTTGCAGTTTTAGGCACTGTGTCCCTAGGTTTGGGAGGGTCTCTGTTTACTTGCCCCTTCCCAGCTAATTGTGGGCCCAGTGATATTTCTGCCCCCTCCTCTGGGATGGGGCTTTTCTTCCATAGTCCCTTCTCTCTGCTGCAGTGACTTTTCACCAGTGTCCAGACGGCAACAGTATTTGTGCTCCTTTTCCCTCATAGGGTGCTTTTGTTCTGTGAGATGAGAGAAAGGGTATGGTAAGTTCCTTTACCCATGCCCAAGGCCGCTGTATACTCCCCTGGGTGTGTGTCACAGCCGACACTTCTTAGGGCTCTTTACAGTATTTTCTGAGCCCCTGGTAGAGATTGTAAAGAAAAAGCCTGCAAGATAGGGCGACTCCCCTAGTTTCTGCAGGCCCCCGGGTCTTAACACTCCTGCAGCCCATATTCTGCCTTCACCAATCATCACTTTTAGCTAGCCTATTCTTTCCAGTGTCTGTTTACAACGACCCTACGAAACTAGTGCTAATGTCTTCTCTCCCCTTGCAGGCAACTGCCCCTCTCCATTTGGTGCCACTTGGTTACTCTGCAACCTCAGCTTTCCAATGGATTCGAAAAAATGTCCTAATTTATAGTTCATCTGGCTCGTTTGCATTGTAAGAGTAGAAGAAATGCTCCTTCTACCCCTACATCCCGGAGTGGAAGCTGGAAGTGCTGTGATTTAAAAATGTATATATGTAAAACACACATTTTATTGAATGTAAAACATGAGTGTAATTAATCCTAAAACCAGAATTCAGAAAATGAGCCATTTTTAATTTTTTTATCTAGTTTTTTAAATGTTTGAATTATAAAGGTGATAAGATTAGAAAAATTTGGGAAATAGAAAACCCCAAGAGCTATTTTCTTTTTTGCATATTCATTTGAATTTTTATGTGGTAATATTTTTAGATTTCTCCTCATTCTACCTCTCATTCTCACATCTACCAATACATGCCTTCATAGTCTAGATTTATAGAAGTTTTAGAACTCTGCTTAGGGATGCTTAAGAGCAAATGGTAAGATTAGCCACAGTGTAGTTTGGGACATCAGTAGTACGGGCTGCTCTCTTTCTAAAATCCTTTTCTCTGGCTGGCATGTTGACCGGGAGTCTCCCTTCCATTCCTGCTCTGCAGACCCTGCGGGCCAGAGTCCTTGCCCGAGACCTTCAGGTCAGTCAGTGTCTCCTGGTGTGCATTTGGGAAAGGCTGCTGCATAGGCTCACCTCCCACTGGGTTTCATTTGACCTAGTGAACCCGTAGCAACTCGATTTGGCTTAATTGGCCACCCCTAATCCTGTAGCTGTCATACTACTCAATGTAATGACTAGCAGGGACAACTTTTTCATCATCTTTAGTTAAACTCCAGTTACTCATTTGGAAAATGGTTTCCCCAAATGTGTATCATTCTTGACAGTTTTTCACATTTGTTTCCCTGGTCCTAAAGCAAGATTATAAAAATCAAATAGAACCTGTGTGTGAGGGCCCTTGTTTGCACAATGAGGAGAGGACACACTTCATCTGGAGGTTGCGTGACTGGGGCAGCATCCTACAGCTCAGCATAAGAGGCAGGCTCAACCAACTGCCCAGGGAAGAGCGCTTCTTACTAAACATATTCAACAGTTGGGGCTCTCAGAAAAGAATGTGACTTGTTTTAAATGTAAGTAAGGGATCTTCCATAAGGTTATTCCTAGGCCAAGCAAAAGGAGGTTCCCTAAAGCACAATAGAAAAAGTGTTCTTTACTAATTGCTGTTAAGATGACAGATGGGGCTGGGCGTGGTGTCTCACACCTGTAAATCCCAGCACTTGGGGAGGCCAAGGCAGGCAGATCACTTGAGGTCAGGTGTTCAAGACCAGTCTGGCCAACATGGCAAAACCCCGTCTCTACTAAAAACACAAAAGCCAGGCGTGGTGGCCGACGCCTGTAATCCCAGCATCCTGGGAGGCTGAGGCACAAGAATTGCTTGAACCTGGGAGGCAGAGGTTGCAGTGAGCCGAGATTGCACCACTGCACTCCAGCCAGGGTGACACAGCAGGACTCTTGTCTCAAAAAAGAAAAAAAAAAAAAAAAAAGACAGATGGAAACTTGCAATCAAAAAGAAAATGATGCACTTAGGGAGGCCGAGGTGGGAGGGTGGATCATCTGAGGTCAGGAGTTCGAGACCAGCCTGGCCAACATGGTGAAACCCCACCTCCACTAATAATAATAAAATGAGCTGGGTGTGGTGGCGGGCGCCTGTAATCCCAGCTACTTGGGAGATTGAGGCAGGAAAATCGCTTGAACCTGGGAGGCAGAGGTTGTGGTGAGCCAAGATCACGTCACTGCACTCCGGCCTGGGTGACAGAATGAAACTCCATCTCAAAAGAAGGAAAGGAAATGATGCACACTGACAGCAACAGGGGGCGGGTGTGGGGGGGAATGCTCAGTTATGCAGCTTGTCAGTACAGACAGTTGTTTCTGATAATTTGGTAACTTGGGTAAATTTCTATGATGTTCAAATGATTTTACTGTACCTAGTGGTTCCCTTCTGTCTTGCTGTGTGCTGCTCCTTCAGAAAGAGGTGTTCCTTTTGATCTAAGTAATACTATATTTTAGGGAATTTTTTCAAGTGTAACACTTACTAATCAAAATGTTCCTTTTCTGTCATTCCCTGCTTCAGTAAACCCCTTCAAATATGTCCTTCTTTCAAAACTTCACCTTTTTTTTCTCAATTGTTCATTTGGTTCTATATAAAGTCATGCCAAGGACTGAATGAATTTAGGGAATTAGGAGTTGAAGATTTTTGAAACTATGTAAAATTAATTGTAAAGGCCTTCTTTACTGGTAGGCAGGAGAACAGTGCAGTGTATTGACAAGGTTGACTCGTTTGGAAGGTCAGTTCCCTCCCTTCAGATGCAGGTGTCGTAAGTGACTTCCCTCCCCCACATTGTCCTTTTTGTCTCTGTCTCCTTTTACTCACTTATCAGCAGTCCTTGGGAGGCTTTCCACCACAGCTCATCTGATGATTTCCTTACTTTCTTCTAGCTTGAAACTCAAAGAGGCTAAGCGAAAGGGGAAAGCTTGGTTAGATGCAGAGTTCTAAGAATGAAGTAGTTGGGAGATTTGATGACCACCGCTTAGTCCTTGGCAGGTCGGGTTCCTCTTTTCTTTTAGGATTATAACACCACTCCCTCTCCTCGCAGTTCAGCTAATGAAGAGAACATGTATAAGGCTAAATACCTCTCTTCTGGGGTAAAATAATGTTACAGCAGCATTTAGCAAATCTTCTTTTTAAATGTTCCAAGCTTCCAAACTTAACGTCCATCTCAGGATTTTATTTTCCAGTTCTGAAGAAATCTGCACAAATTTAAACAGTAAATAACTTACCTTTCCTTTAAATAAAAAGACAAATGACTAGTGGTTTTTAAATTGCCAGGTTTTATTAAGATAATTGGCAAAATTTCAACATACACCTTACCTGAATGAACACTTTTAATAAAATATGAAGGATCACTCATGACTACAACTGAACTCAAAAGTGAGATGTAGAGCAGATTTGTAAATTGATAAATTTATTTGGTAAGAAATTATTCACTTCATTCGCTTCACTCCATAGAGAATTCTTTGCAGAGAAATGTTATGAACAAGAGAACAAAGCCTGTCTCTCACCAAAGAGCACCTAGAGTAAGAGTTTACAATGATGTATCTGGATTATCTAATTCATCAAAGTTTATTTCCTTTTCAAAAACAACTGCTGTGTCAGTCTGGAGTTCCCTATTTCATGTTTTCTAATTATTACAATAAATAGTCTTCAAAATAGAAGATAAAATGCTGCTTTAAGAAGTAACAGTTATTTTTCAACACCATACCATTTGTCTGGAAAATCATTGTGTTGTAATACTGGTGGTATCTTACTTTGTTTTGCAAGAGACATTTAAGCTATTTGCAGATCAGAATAGAAGAGTGGGCATTTGTCCTTTAACATCACGTGATTTTCAAAGGTGAAAAAAATTTCTTTTGCTAACTTACGATTCAAAGAAAAATGGTCTCAAATTAAAGTGTGGACAAAACTGTAGTATTCCCTTTTATAGCCTTGCTTAGGTAAGAATGTTCACTGAGTGAATAAATTAGGTTTAAAAATTAAAACAATAATTTAGATCATTTTCCCACAAAGCCTTATCAAGGATTTGATGGGGAAGGAAGCACTTGAACCACAGCAGTTTTATCTGTAAACACTGAACTTGGCCATGCATCATTTTCATCTGCCCACTGGATGTTGCACTTCTCACTGGCACAGTGTTTCAACAGTGGAGTGTGGTTGTCATGAAAATGCAGTATTGACACTATACCACTATAAATGTGGTCAAAATTAGACTCAGTGTTGACATTGACATTGTTGCCATTGTCCTTGGAAAAGGTGTTACTTTCAAGGAGCCTCCTAAATGCAACAGTAACTTTAATCATAATAATTCAAGGACAATGGATGGCACTTCTAGGTAAAGAAAAGGTATATACATATGTGTTTCTACCCATCCTCTTTAGTACAGACCTAAATGGGATTAATAGCCCCAGTGTGTGTTGCTGTAATGTTGCCTAACCTCATGTCCCTCAAAAGTACACATCTAGAAAGTGAACAAAGGAAACCTGTAAATTAGGGACTGACTCCCTTTGAAACTCACAGTGAATGTACAAGGAGTTTGTAATGACTTCAGTTGGTGACCTGAAGTTTGTTTCCCTAACCAATATTACACTCTTGTTTGGATTTATTTTACTATTTCCTATTCTAACTTGTTTAGCAGGCAAACAGATTGATGCAGACCATGTTAAATTGAAAAAGGGATACTGCCACTCTTTAAGGATTGAGTGTAGAACTTTCACCACCACTAAATTACACAATGAATAAAAATACAAAACACATAATTCACAGACTATACCTCAGCATTAACAGTTTATAGATATTATATAGATACTTTTATATCTGTCTAATATTTTTACAATCACCAGGTACACCATCATTAAATACAAGTTACAGAAATATGTAGATACCATTAGTTAGAGGGTTACTTATTGCTTACGTCAGCAAGCAGCAAATAAGGGCACAGGATTTGAACTGAAGGGAACTACTTCCTATCACCAGTGGCGTTAAGAGAGAACACTGCATTTCACAAAGCACTGCTTTTATCTAGTTTATAGAACCAAGAGCAGCATATATCAGACCAATAACCACTATTTTAGTATGTATTATAGAATTTTAAAGGATTTACCTTACAAATGGTACCTAACTACTCTATAAATACGCATGTTGTGAACAAATGAATAGTTGCTATTTTTCACAATATTGGTTTATAACGACCACACTAGAACTACTTTGCTTTATTTTGTAGAGAGCTAATGGCATGAGAAATGAGTTAACACTGCTGTGTAGTCGGACCTACAAAATCCAGACCCCTAAAGATGGGTCTGTGTTTGTCCCAGTTCTATCCAGCCATTTTTTTCCCCACTGAGAAAGCCTAGCATGTGTAGTAACTTTTTCCCTTTACCCTCTTTATTCTGATCAAAAACATTACCAATAGACAACAATAGAAATTTTAAAAAGCTTTTTTTTTTACTTCGCTAAGCACTTTGGACTATAATGTGTACCAATAGTCTGCTGCCTTTGTTTTCTTGTTTTCTTAGATAATTTGATTTGAAACTGACACTGCACCTGATGGGTTAACAAGATCTAGGCTTCAGAAGGTGACAGATATGAGTGAGGACCATGTGTGGGGCAAAGCCTCAGAATGATGAAAAGGTTCCGGCACTATAGTTGGGGCCATGTTGACTCCTTTTCAACCATTTGTCACAGACGTGAGAAGAAGAAATGACTTCAAAATCAAGAGAAAACAAATACTGAAAGTCTCTACTTACATCCAAATTTTAAAAAATAAAATCTGTAGATTAACAATCTGATCATTGCTAAAGTGAAGCTGTTTTTGTCTATTTGATATAGCTATACTGGTATCCAAAATATGCCAGTCATCTGTGTCTTTAAAATTCAGAGATTTTAGTCCTCTGTTATGGGCCTGGGGAACGTGTACTATCCTATAAACACATGATTAGGCGGGGGACACTTCTTAGCGAGAGCACTCACCCTTGTTAGTGAGCACTCCAGAGGGGCCACCCATAGGCATTGGCCAGGCTGGTCTGCTGTTGACTAGGGGAGGGTAACACTAAGACATTCGTGACTCTTAGAGAATCAGAGGCTGCTTCACTGAATGAATGAATCTGATAGTTTGTTGTCTTTAGTTGACAACATGCTTCTAACTAACTTGAAACTGCAGAAATAGCAAAAAGCAGACAGTTTCAAAATATCAAATATAACTAAATATTGAAATGAAAAGCACACGTCCTGTCTCTGCAGTCTGAAGCTACATGTAAGCAGGACACTCATGTGTCTTCCAATTACAACTAAACAGACCTGGCTGTCAGTAATCTGCATTCTCAGTGGCCTCTGGGCTCACTTTAGACAATACTTTCAGCCTCCTTCATTCCAATTACTTCACTACCTTGGGGGAAATAATTTTAGAGAAGATAAAAGTAGCATTTTTCATTCTCTAAAATCACTTTGTATTTTATAGTAGTACATGCCTTTGCTGTCTGAACTAAAAAAAGACAAAATATAGAAATGCTTTTGATTTTCTTTGTAAATGGTATTTTGACTCTATAGTGTATTTGTACCTGACATCATCTCCGTTAAAGCAGTTTTATTCCTGAGATGAGGGTACAGTGGAAAACACATTAGCATCATAGATTAAAACCAGTTGACAGCGGTCTCCTAAAATGCTAAATAATAAAAATTTCCACCAAAAGCACCATAACAGGTTATGAAACTCCCAAATAACTACAGCCCTAGGAAATATTTTTTAATTAAAAAAAGTTCACAATCTTTTATGTTACAGGAAAAAAATCCGTAAATCTTTCTGACTATAAACCGCCTCACAAGTCTGAGAATATGACACTTTTACACTGATTTACCACTTTCATTGTTATCAGTTAAAATCCATATGGCTTTTAGTCTTTTACCTACCCAAAAAGGTGAGGGGGCAGGGGGTTCCTTCATAGTGCCCAGGATTTTGAGGGACATTTCCCAACCAAATGTAATTCAGCATTAAATTTTCCACAGATAAATTAGGCACATCAGACCAGATTTCAACTGCATTGAGATTTCAACACTGTATATCCTGACTGAAATAACTAACTTGAAAGCTTCCACTAGTGACTGAAGGGATGGTGGGAAGGGGGTTGTGTATCTAGTGACATGAAGGATGGTGGGAAGGGGGTTGTGTATTGGTGTCGAGACACATCACAGGGACCAGCTGTGTAATTTTGCAAGTGAAACTGCCAATACTTCTTTTTAGATTGAAAACACTGTACTTTGAGTTTCCTAGAGATCTATTTACATTTAAGAATTGAGCCATCCATGGATTCATAATGAAGCACATATGTTTTAGAAATGTCTACCTTGTTTCTACTCTGATAGTGGTATTTTTATTGGGGGAGAGCTAGCTAACCTACTTGAAAGAAAAATTATTCTATTTTATAGCTCCAAGGAAGATCTGGGCATGGAATATCATGAGTCTTTCTGAGCTTCCTCATGTTTTCACTGTACCCTTTCCAACTATTTTGCCTCCATGGCAGAGAACTTCTTATCCTATTTCTCTTCCCACTTCCAGTAAGTGAGGACAGGCTAGTGCCTATTTTGTGGGAAGGCTCTTGAGCAGAGAGAAATGAATAAAACTTTGGATTAAACCTGAATCTGTGCCACTTCTTTGAGTAGTGGTGGCGTAAATGAGACAATCTAGAAACTCTGTTTCCCGGGGATTTGAACTGTTCATTTTCCAACCCTGAACAGACAGGAGACAAGCTCTGCATTCTGTATATCTGCTCCCCTGTTGAACCCAAATTGAAAGCAGTGGGAAACTCTCCAGCACCACTCCATTCAGGCAATGATGACTGAACTGATTTTTTCTCCATCATTAACTCATTAATAAGATTTGCTTTCTTTGGTGCACCAGGACCAAACATCTCAACTGGTAGCAAAAACTGGGCACTGTGAGGTTTGCTTGCTTCTATTTGTGTGAGATCTAGGTAGCCTGGGTCTTCCAGCACGTTGATTTGGGACCCTGGGCTCAGGCTAGTTCTATCAGTGAATGAATCCACACGCCCATCATAGCCTAGGTCGGCTGGTGCTGAGCACTGGTGCTGAGGCCAAGGGCGTTTGCACTCTCCATGATTCTCCTTATCATCCCCACCATCTTCTTGCCCTCCTTGAAAAGAGTTCTCTGTCCAATCTGATTCCTCACTAACATTTACAGCTTTGTTCATGTCCCTCAGGAATACCACAATAACCGTGATGTTATCACTTGACCCAGCATCACGAGCTGATGCCACTAATTTGTGGGCAACCATGCTGCTGTCTCCATTATTCTCTTTCAGGTGGTCGGACACAACTTTCACTGCCTCATCAGGGTTCACGGTGTCATAGAAGCCATCACAGGCCAGAATGAGGTAGTCTTCGGTCCCATCCAGAACAGTGGAGGCAGAATCTGCATCCCCACAGATATATGGCTTATGTTCAGCATCTCCTGCGGGAAGCAGAGTGTAGGGGCATCATTAGCATTTGTTTTACCTTGCATGCTAAGAACGTTTATGACCAATGCCATGACTCTGATCACAGCTTACTGGATTGTGAACTGACTTGACTGGAAAGAATTTATAAAATAGTTTTTGACAAAATACTTAAATTCTCTGGTAATCAGATCTGCTTACTCCTTACTCCCAGTTAAATAATTGCTAGTTACTGGGCATAAGTCCTTACCTAGCTTAGACTCTGAATCTGCACCTCTGGCTATGATTTAGGCTTAGCTGAGTGTAACAACAATGTCAGATCTAAAAGTTTGTTGCTGTACTGAAAAATTCAGTACACTGTGTAGGAAGACATGGTTGATTCAGTAGATCTGTTCTTTTGCAGGTGGTTTTGATTTAATTGAAATTTGAAAACAAGCCCACATTGAAAGAAGCAAACCAAAGCTCTGATCATTCTCTTCATTAAATAATTTTTGTTCTATTCTTGTTTAGAAATCAATAAATAGCTTCATGCTGCGAGCACGAAGGAAGGTTTGAGTTACACGAGATTTTATAAATCAAGTCTAACTCCCTTAAGCCAGGAGGAGTTATGTGGCTGACCCAAGGCCTCACACATGGGAGCTGAATGCAGTTTTCTTGATTCCCAACCCACTTGGCTTTCTATTTTTTAGTGGTGCTTTACCTGTAACTTCTAGAGAACAGACAAAATGTATGGCCATTTTTCTCTTATATTTAGAGACTGCCATATTCTTCATATGGCTCTGCTCATCGCCCCACTTCTGTCTTTATTGTTATTGTGCATTTCCCCACTCATTAACAACTGTGAGAACCCAAGGTCTTTCTGGGCCTTTCTCTCTTCCTTTTCTTGCTTAGCTTCGTCCTCTCACAGAATGACATCTGAGCTGGTCCTGAAGGGTAAGTTAGTTATCACCAGGCAGAGAAGTTGCCTCAATTGAGGGAACAGGATAAGCAAAGGCAGAGGCAACTGTTAGGGAGTAATGTACAGTTGGAGAGTAGGGTGCTTGGGGTAGGAGCGAGACTGCAGACCTTGGGACCACACTAAACTAGGTTTCTATCACCAGACTACTGAGATAATTGATCATTTAGGGCTTTCAGATCCAGAGCACTTCCAAATCCATTCATTGTTTACATTGATTACATTCCTTTAGGTACCTTGTGAGAGTGCAGCAAAAGGGTCCTTAGCCTATGAGGTAACCAAATAGCTTATGACTACAACAAGGGACTCTCAATTCACTTTTTTATTTTTATTTTTATTTTTTGTCGCCCAGGCTGGAGTGCAGTGGCACAATCTCGGGTCACTGCAGCCTCTGCCTCCCAGGTTCCAGCAATTCTCCTGCCTCCGCCTCCGGAGTAGCTGGGATTACAGGCGTACGCCACCACACCTGGCTAATTTTTATATTTTTATTAGAGACGGGGTTTCACCATATTGGCCAGGCTGGCGTCGAACTCCTGACCTCTGATAATCTGCCTGTGTCGGCCTCCCAAAGTGCTGGGATAACAGGCATGAGCCACCGCATCTGGCCTCTCATTCACTTCTTTACAAAAAAATAAAAACAAAACCACACACAGGGTACTGAGCAATAATTCCTAGAGTAGGGTATCATAAATCATCATTACATAGTATTATAAAAACAAGAAATAAACTCCAGATATTTACAAAGGGCTTTACTGTATAGCAGTGGCATATTGCTTAGTGGTTAAGGACACCAGCACTAGTGTCAGACTGCCTGGGTCCAAATCCTAGCTCTTCTACTTGTCACCTACACAACTCTCATCAATTACTATCCTTTCCATTGCACTAAAACCGAACTTTTTGACTCAGGGAATATTAAAATGAAGATAAACTCACTTGAGTAATCTGACTATATATTCATTATTTCTAGTATCTGTTATAGGTTCTCTTTGACACAAGAAAGTTGGCCAGGCGCATGCCTGTAATCCCAGCACTTTGGGAGGCCAAGGCGGGAGGATACTTGAGGTCGGGAGTACGAAGCCAGCCTGGCCATCATGGTGAAACCTTGTCTCTACTAAAAATACAAAAATTAGCCGGGCCTGGTGGCATGCATGCAAAGTCCCAGCTACTCAAGAGGCTGAGGCAGGAGAATTGTTTGAACCCAGGAGGCAGAGGTTGCAGTGAGCCCAGATTGCGCCACTGCACTCCAGCCTGGATGACAGAGGGAGACTCTGTCTCAAAAAAAAGTTTCTTTCCAACATTTAACATCCCTGTTTAATCCTCAAATAGGCTAGAAAGCTCATTAGGAACCCTATGGATAACTCTGCTAGAACCAATGTGGGCACATGCCCTATCTAGCAGGTTGCATGATTAGATACACAGAGCAACAAATAATTAATATAATTACCTGAGTTAGTATATCTATTAGGTAAGAAATTAGTCTTCGACATTATAAATGTTCATTTCACTCCTTCCATTCACAAACACAACCTCTCATCTTACTCATATCTAGGCTCTTCTCCATTCATTCATTCATTATTTCTTTTTTTTTTTTTTTTGAGACAGAGTCTCACTGTGGCCCAGACTGGAGTGCAGTGGTGTGATCTCAGCTCATTGCAACCTCCACCTCCCGGATTCAAGCAATTCTCCTGCCTCAGCCTCCCAAGTAGCTGGGATTACAGGCACGCACCACAATACCCAGCTAATTTTTGTGTTTTTAGTAGAGACAGGGTTTCACCATGTTGGTCAGGCTGGTCTTGAACTCCTGACCTTGTGATCTACCCACCTGGGCTTCTCAAAGTGCTGGGATTCTAGGTGTGAGCCACCGCGCCCAGCCCTCATTCATTATTTCTTACAGGAGTCAAAACCATCTTTCCCAAGCATGCTTTTGATTTAATCAACTTCACTTATATGCTAAGGTGCCTCCATAGCCTGTTAGAGCTCATTAAAACTCAATCTATTTAAGCAGAAAATGCAAAAATTTAAAAGATATTTAAAAATAAATAATAAATAAAATCCAATATGGGATTCAGTGTCCTTCACCAATTTACTAAAGTTCCCATCCCCTATTCTACCTGACTATATGATTATCATCATTATTATTTTTTGAATTCCGCCTCTAAAAATAAATGTGATCTGAGTCACACTGTTCCCAAAAATCTTGTTTTAGTGCTTCAATTAAAAGACTGCTGCAACTGTTAGTTTGGAACAGAACATACAAAGATTTGTACAGAGAAAATGCTGCCAAAGTTCTGGCTTTTCACCTGCTCTACTGTTGGGTGTCAAATTCATGACATTTCGCCCCCAAATTTGGTAGGAGGGCATGAATATCCATTTCATCGTAGAAATGGCAACATCCTTTTGTCTTCAACCTCTTCTCTCCATATGTTAGGAAACATATCATGCCTCTGTCAACTTTGGATCATAAATCTGAAGGGCTCATGGGGAGAAACTGTTGAAAACCTTTTCATTTTTATAAGTATCATTTCTTTCCTGAGTAGAGCTGAACTCTGCCCAGGAGTCCTTTTTCTTGTCCTTTTGCAGCCCCCCATTTTATTCCATGTGGTTTCCAATTCTTTCTCAAATTCTTCAACTCCCTCATCCACTTAAGCTACTGGATTTTGGTAAATGGCCTAATTTCCTACTTCAAAGACAAGTTGATCAGGCTTGAATTTTCTCAATTCCCCTCCCACCCTTGCCACACATGCACTGTTTAATCTGTAGAGATTCTCCCATATCAGCTACCATTTTCTCAGGGTAAGCAGTGTCCTTTTCCCATCCTAACAGTGAGCCTGTGCTGCTCTGGCTTCTCTACTCTCTCGTCTTCAATTTCTCCTCTACTTGCTCTCTTCCTTGTCCTACAAACATGCTCAAATCTAAAATCTCCTCGTCCTAAAAATAGAAACAATAAAAAGGAACCCTTTCCTGAATCAGCTTTTGCCTTAAGCCACCACACTATTTCCTTTCTCCCCTTCACCATCAAACTGCCCAAGAAACTAAATCTACACTTGCTCCTTTATGTTACTGCCTATTTCCAGTGCCAGATTGTTTGTTGATTAGTAGGTTTTCCCACCAACCAATCCATCTCATCAGTTGATACCCTCCTCCATATTCCTTTTTAGCTCTCCTCATCTCTGTAACAAACTGTATGAATGTCTCCCAGCCAGGCTCTTTCTACTCTAGCCCAGCTTCCATACAAATATCTTTATAAATACAAAGCTGACCCTGTGGCCCCTCTGCGTATTCACCTGGTAAAGTCCAGACTACTTAGCCTCGCACATAAGGCCCTTTGCAATCTGGCACCAACACTGCTAATCTACCACTCCCATCTCTGCTCTAACCTCCTGGACTTGTTGCTTTTCCTAAAACATGCCATGCCTTTTCAAACCCCTGTGTATTTATATTTCCCTCTACCTGTGTAGGGATTTCCTTCCCAGCACATTATCCTCCACATTCAACTCAAAAGTCACTCTATGTATGAAGTCTCCCTTATCCACTCTTAGATTGTTTATTTTTTATTATTAAAATAGAGATGAGGTATCACTATGTTGCCCAGGTTGGTCTCAAAATCCTGGGCTCAGGCATTCCTCCCTCCTTGGCCTTCCACAGTGCTGGCTGCCATACCCAGCCTTTTCTCTGAGATTGTCACTTATTAAGGGACATTCTTCCCTGCTTTGGTTTTCCCTTTTAGAAGAAGAAGCTGGTATTCTCTATTAAGTTAGTTCTGTAACAAGTATTAAAGATGATCCTCAATCCTCTGACAAAGGTCAGATCAGGAGAAATAGGTGTTTGGTTTGAGTTGTAAACCTAATTCACTGGCCACTCAAGCACTCATATAATGATCATTAACGTAAATTGGTTCCACAGATAGTATAGTCCTCTGGTTCGGTGATTTTCAGTCAAGGGTAGCATTTGATGGGTAGTGGGTCCTGCTAAACCTACAATGTGCATGATAAAGACTTTTCCCCACCAATAATAATAATAATAATTCCATATAAGGGTATATTTTAGAAATGAGACATTTCCCCTTTTTGGCCTTATTCTAGAGTTCCTAATAATTCCCTCCAGTCTAAGGTCAAGCCAAATCTCAATTTTTCAGGAGGTATTTGTAGACTCTTTTAGCTATTTCTCTTTCAGCTTTCTACTCATATTTGGGCCACTTCACAGCTTGCTAGCACCTTCCCAAAGAGTGGGAGGAACTCAAATCAGTGGTGAAAGCTAAATCCTTTCAGATTTTCTTCATGTTCTGGAATTTTTGGTAATTTTTAACTAAATTTTGAGACTAGATGTGAATTCCAACCATGTCTAATTACTTCATTTCTTTAGGGAAGCAGAGATTAAAAACTGCAGTATACATGTAATGTACATATCACCCATATAGATATACATATTGATTTATTCTTTTTTAAAAAAACAGGAAGTGAAGCTAAGCCATGAAGCCTAAAATAATAAACCCAGGGCCCAAAGTGAGACAAAGACAGAAATAGCTTAATTCTTTGAACTTATACCCTTGTATTTTGTCCAGCCAACTTAGCTGTTTAATCTCTACGTTTTAGACCGAGTTTCATTGACTTTCCCTTCTTTTGAAAAATTTAAGTCCCAGGGATATAGGGTTCTTTGAAACTCCAGGGTTATCTGACAGGTGACTGTATTCCACATACAGAAAGTAGTTTTCATATAAAAAGCACAATGCTTTTCCTATCAACTTATTCTGTTATTTATGTCATTTTAAAATTCATGGAAATAATTTAGAGGCATAAACAAAATGAATGTGGATAAAATACGGAGAAAGGCTTCCATTCTCTGAAAAATACTGATTTGACCCAAAATGCAATGAAATGAGAAACACTATGATTTTTTGTTTTTGTTTTAAGACAGGATCTCACTCCCTTGGCCCAGGCTGGAGTGCAGTGGCACAATCTTGGCTCACTGCAGCCTCAAACTCCTGGACTCAAGCAATCCTTCCGCCTCAGCCTCCTGTGTACTAGGACTACAGGCACAAGCCACTACGCCCAGCAATTTTTTTTTTTTTTTTTTTTTTTTTTTTTGAGATGGAGTCTCGCTCTGTCGCCCAGCCTGGAGCGCAGTGGCGCGATCTCGACTCACTGCAACCTCCGCCTCCCAGATTCAAGTGATTCTCCTGCCTCAACCTCCCAAGTAGCTGGGACTACAGACGTGTGCCACAACACCCAGCTAATTTTTTATATTTTTAGTAGAGACGGGGATTCATCGTGTTAGCCAGGATGGTCTCCATCTCCTGACCTCATGATCTGCCCACCTCAGCCTCCCAAAGTGCTGGGAATACAGGCGTGACCCACTGCGCCCGGCCTTTGTTTTTTTTGTTTTTTGTTTTTTTAAGAGATGAAGTCTTACTATGTTGCCCAGGCTGGTCTTTAACTCCTGGGCTCAAACCCTCTTCAGCCTCCCAAAGTGCTGGGATTACAGGCGTGAGCCACTGTGCCTGTCCCAACCACTGTGGTTTGAAGCAGATTTGGGTACTGATTAAAGGCTTCCATAAAATTTTAAATGTATAGAAACTAGAAAATTCTGCATTTCTTGATATGGTTCTCTTTTTTTTTTTTTTTGAGACAGTCTCACACTGTCACCCAGGCTGGCGTGCAATGGCGCGATCTCCACTAGCTGCAACCTCTGCTTCCCAGGTTCAAGCAATATTCCTGCCTCAGCCTCCCAAGTAGCTGGGATTACAGGCGCCCGCCACCACGCCTGGCTAATTTTTTGTATTTTTAATAGAGATGGGGTTTCACTATGTTGGCCAGGCTGGTCTTGAACTCCTGACCTCGTGATACACCCGCCTCGGCCTCCCAAAGTGTTGGGATTACAGGCATGAGCCACTGAGCCTGGCAGTTCTCTTTCAATAATGGAATTTAAGTATATAAATGTACAGGTTTAACTAAATCAAACAATTAAAAGAGACGTTATCCAATTATTATTTTAAAGAATAATAAGCATTCTGGTAACATAAATTATCATCTCAGGTTCCCTGTATCAGAGTTGATACAGGAGAATGAGCTAGAAGAGGACAGTTTGGAGAAACAAAAATTTGTTTTTCCTACCAATAGCTCTGGAAACCGACAGACTTCCATTCACCCTCCAGGCACCAAACCAGACTACGCAACCTCCAAGGGCCTCAATTCTCTGCTTTTCATCCTAAACAGCAATGCAATAAAAAGAAGCAAATAACTGGATTCAGGATTTATTCATTTACTTTAACAGTAAACAACAGATATAATACTCATCAGCTCATGAAAAGGTTCTCTTTGTTTCTCCATTGGAGGGTGGGCACAGTTGCTGATGTGATAGCAATAATTGTAATAATTAAGTGAATCCTGGCCGGGCGCGGTGGCTCACGCCTATAATCCCAGTACTTTGGGAGGCCGAAGCAGGCAGATCACCTGAAGTCAGGAGTTCAAGACCAGCCTGGCCAACATGGTGAAACCCCGTCTCTACTAAAAATACAAAAATTAGCTGGGCGTGGTGGCACATGCCTGTAATCCCAGCTACTCGGGAGGCTGAGGCAGGAGAATCGCTTGAACCCAGGAGGCGGAGGTTGCAGTGAGCCAAGATCACACCATTGCACTCCAGCCTGGGCAACAGAGTGAAACTCCATCTCAAAAAAAAAAAAAGTAAGTGAATCCTAATCAATAACTAGAAAATCTAAACTAATAACTAGAGCATGGGCTCTATTAAAACAGACCATACTTACCTCTCTGTCTGGTTTGTGTGGCTTCATTAGTTCAACAGCTTGGCCCTTTCTCACAAGCATAACCTGGGAATCACCCACCCAGGCCACATGTAGCATGTTGCCTCTGATGAAAGTCACCACTCCTGTGGTCCCACATCTTAAGCTCTGAAAACAGTTTAAATAAAACTAGACTCAGTGAAAAGAAATAGATACTACATTCTTATTGAGAAGCAATTTATAATTAAGCTTTTCAGCTGGGAGCTATACTATTAATAATGGAATTTCACACATATATAATAATTCATTGTCTCAATGCATTTGTATATGCATGTATGTATTTATGTGTATATACACACATAAGTCCACCTGATCTGTGATATGCAGGGCGAGGATGATTATTAATTCCACTTTAAATATAGATAAGAAAACTATGGCAGGTTATGTGACTTGCCCAAGGGCAGGTAACTATTAGTATATAAGACAGAATTGAAATTCTTTTTCCTCCCAGTCAAGCACTAAATCCTCTATACCAATCCTCAGAGTAAAAATTTCTATATTCTGCTCTCCATTTCATTACTGACATCGTATTTGTTCAGTGGGAGAGTCCTAGCTGTATAAAATGATATATAAAACATCTGATTGGTACACAACAGATGCTCTAATCTCTGGAAATTAAGCTAAGGGGCCAAGAGACAGCTTACGTTCCCTGGAGTACTAAGATGCTTATACCTTTAAAAAAATATCCTTCCTACAGTATTTTTAGGGGTCTTTGCTTTTGGAACATTGCATAAAGAACTAACAGCCTGGAATTTCACTGCAGTAGCTACGACTGTACTTAAAGCTCTTGGTCCTACTATACGAAAATGACATCCCCATTTGACATGAGTCACCACCAAATGAGCATGACTTTCTGTTACTAAGGACCTGGCCTAAATTAGAACCAATGCGTCAGGGGTGGTAAAAGGTCTCTTGTATCCAATGAGAAAAACAACTTCTCGTTTTCCCTATATAGGGAAAGTTTGTTATAAATCCTCACCCACCAATAAAATGTCTTCCCACACAGAATGTTCAAAAACTCAGCCCCCTAGAACACATGATAAACACACTTCAGTGCATATGCCCTGGAGAGAACAGGAGGCAGGGCTGCTTCATAACAGGAATAGCTGTTTTCTTCCCAGCAGTTAGCAGCACATGGAAGCATAAGAAGGAGAAAAGGGGCGCTGAGACAAACCTAAATTATTCAGAACTATTGGCAGAACTGAGAGACACCAGGGTCACTGACAAAACAAATGAGGTAAACATGGTCAGAAAACAACAACAACAACAACAACACATAATTTTGAGAAGACAGAGGAAAAAAAGAATAGAATAGAGGATGAAGAAGACAGAGTGAATCTCTTTGTTTCACATTGATGATTACGGGTCACCTCTCAGGGGCCGGCCCTTGTCCTCGACTCAGATGATAAAAGCCCACAGCTTCAAGAGAGGCAGAGCCAAGCAGAATGCAGGTCCTCAAGAGACTGGAGCTCTGAGGTCAAGAGTGGCTTTATTCTCCAGACCCACCTCTTTGTGTGGACTCTACTGGTTACTGTTGGATTTGCATATTAATCCAAACTTAGGGGAGGGGAGAGATGAAGAATAATTCTCTTTCTTAATACCAAATAGGTCTGAGTTATTGTTTCATTAATTCTAAGCCCCATTATTGCTTGTAGCATAACTATGCTATCAAAAAATGGATTAAATGATTACCCTGATCTCTCCAAGCCCATTTTAAAAAGAGTTAATGTTTAAGTCACAGGGCAGGAGTCTTATTTTTTGTCTGTATCTACTTCTGTAATTATTTTTAAAAATTAAAAATTCTTTTATTCGTCCCCAGTTAAAAATCCAATATAGAACACTGTAGTTAATTATGTACCAATACCCAGAACGATAATTAGATTAATTTTTTTACTTTTAGACCTTAATATAGAGCCCTTGCCATTTATTCAAAGTAAAAAAAACTTAGGTCTGATTAACCTTCGCAATGTAGGACATGAGCTCTTCTTTTCTCCCTATTAAGAGAAAAATCAGCTCAAGGATCATTTAAGGATTCACCCTCTCCAAGCGAATTTTCCCTCAAGAGATACACAGCAAAACACTGCCTACCCATTTAGAACCAAATGTATGGAAGTAATCCCAGTTTCTGTTTCTTTTTTAGACCATTGTTTTATTCACCATATCCAGATCTTGTCAGCAAGAGTCTGCTTAGAGAGATGGTCCTGGTGTGAACCTGACAGGCAATGGTGAATAAAAGAAAGATGAAACTCACCTGCCAAATCCAGCAGTTATTACAGAAATGAATCCAGAAAATTACAGCTTGAGATTTTCTATACAGTACCTCATTGTACCCCCTGAAACTCTTCCTGAGGAGGGAATTGGAACTACAACAGAATCCAATACTGTGAGTCAAGAATACAGTTTGGATAATGTCTGCCCAGAAAGAGAAAATCTAAATAGCCCTTTAACCACACAGACCAAATTGAGCTCAGCTAGTACATTTCTAGCTGGAACTTATGAGAAAGGGGCATACCTCCCTGGCTGCTTTCTGCACAAACCGCTCATCAGTGACCCGGAAGGCCCTGCACAGGGCCTCAGCAGGATCATGGGGGAACATCTCCTGGCGGACTAAGTTAACGTGGAGGTGAATGGAGGCATAAATAGCAGCATCTACTCCCCCATGGCCATCAAACACTGCAAAGTAAGCTTGTTCTTCCTGGTCCTGTCAACAGAAACACAGAACAGTTATGGGAGTTGGGTATAGCATGATTCAAATGAACCAATCTCCTGGCATCATTGTTGCCCATCCTTTCTCCTCCACTGCATTTGTCATTCAGAATAATGAGACTAAATGTTTTCCTTCTCTAACATGCCTGATCAACTGCTGAAATACCTGCAATATTAGGGTATCTGTGTTTACACACCAGAACACTGGAACATGTCATGCCCAATTAGCTCAAGCTGAAGTGCCCTCTCTCTGTGAAAGTTGTTGTCTTGTACCATGGAAACCACCCACGTACATTTGCTTCAAAATTGCTGTTACAAGTTGGGGGAGGGGGGATAGGGAGGGTATGAGAAGGAATTGAACAAAAGCAGCTCCAGATTGAGTGATTTTTTTCAAAATGAAAGTACTTTAATAGCAAAATTAGAACCTGAGAACAATAGAAAATAACTGGTCTTCCAACACAAGGCCAATTAAATCAAGTTTAAAATATATAAAGATATGAAAGCATAAACATACTTCTAAACTATAATACCTTCTTCATAAATCATTCCCAGTCACACTGCATTCTCACCACAAATAGCACAGCATCTCTAAACTAGTTTACCAAACTTGAACCACATCAGATGCTCAAATGCCCTGTGCGGCTGACCACTTTGCCTCACCCCATGATCTAAGATTTTAGTTTCACATTTCCTTGCAAAGTAAACTGCCAGAGGAGGATCTTCCAACCCTGTGCTTTGTCTTGACAAAAGCCTAATCATAAGATTCCACATCAACCATTAAGCAGTTTGCTGCTTTATCATCTGCTCAAGTGTTTAAATCTCAGATCTGTCTCACTTAGGAGATCTGTGACGCACTGAACTCGCACTGAGTCCTGAGCTCCCTTCAGGCAACAGTATGTAATAATTTTCATTTGCAAGTCTTTTGACTTCTTTTTCTGTTCTAAGAGCCTTAGAGGAGTCCAGGCCTGTCATTGATTCTTAAGCAAATCATGTAGTTTTCTCATCTGTTAGGCAGGGACGAGTTGCTGTCTCATGGGGATTTGGAAGGGCTACTAAAATAACAAGTATATCTGTACTTTGAAAAAGTTCTTTTTATTTATTTATTTTTGGAGTCAGCGTCTCACTTTGACACCCAGGCTAGGGTACAGTGGCATGATCACAGATCATTGTAACTTCGAATTCCTGGGCTCAAAGGATCATCCCGCCTCAGCCTCCCAAGTAGCTGGGATTACAGGCAAGAGCCACTGCACCTGGCTGAAAAAGTTACTTTTAAAAGGGTATATTACATTCACAAAAGTATCAAATATAAATGTCCATAGAATAATAACCAAAATGTTATGAAACCTTTGTCTAACACACACATTACAACTAGTTCTTTCAGCAACTTTAATGACATGAAGGACGGATTAAACAACTCTCTAGAAATAATCCTGGCCGGGTGCGGTGGCTCACACCTGTAATTCCAGCACTTTGAGAGGCCAAGGCGGGCAGATCACAAGGTCAAGAGATCAAGACCATCCTGGCCAACATGGTGAAACCCTGTCTCTACTAAAAATACAAAAATTAGCTGGGTGTGGTGGCACGCGCCTGTACTCCCAGCTACTCGGGAGGCTGAGGCAGAAGAATCTCTTGAACCCGGGAAGCGGAGGTTGCAGTGAGTCGAGATCGCGCCACTTCACTCCAGCCTGGAGACAGAGCGAGCGAGACTCCGTTTCAAAAAAAAAAAAAAAGAAATAAAGAATGCTGACAGGTAGAATTTCTATCCCTACTAAAGCAGTACTCATTTTTAAACAACTCGAAATAGCACCACAAGAAACAAAAGGAAGCTAAGTGGATTTCTTAAAAAAATAAAAAAAGGATAGCTTCTTTTTAAAAAAACACAAAACATTCACTGATGTTTTCCCTATTATAATAATGTATGATAATTTAGACTAATAACAAAGGAAATATCACTAATAATTCCACCATACACAGATAACCAGTCCTCCCTCCCTCTCTCTCTCTCTCTCTCTCTATATATATATATATACACATATATATAAATGAAATTAGGATCAGAATGTGCATGACATTTTATAGCCTACTTTTCGTCATTTTTATTATTGGCATTTCCTCATCGCACTAAGATTTATTTAAAGACATTGTTTTAAATGGCTTAAAATATGCATCTTATATGAGCATATCATAGTTATCATTCCCTTTCATGATTTAGATAATTTTCAATTTATTATAAACAATGTTGTAAAAACATTTATGTCAAACAAAACACATGCCTAAGACTTTTCTGCATTTCTATTTTCTTATAATAAAGAATTAAAAGTGAAATGACCAGATCAAAGAGTGTGAAAATTTATTAGGTTCTACATATGTGTTGCCATATTGCTCTTAAAATCTATTTCACTATAGCAAGGTTCTCCTTTCTGAGTTAAGTCCTTTGGGCTAATTTTGAAATTAGGAGGCAAAACAGAAACCAAGGAAGTCAACGAACAACAACAATGCCCCAAATATGAGTATAATCTTCAAGTAGGTATAGTGATATAAGGATTGTTTATCACACAATCCTTCTGGGTTACATTTGCATGGCCATGGTACTAGAAACAAAGACATCAGCTGATCTATCTTTATAACATAAACACCAATTACCAACCTGCCATCATTGCTGATTAGACCTTGACAGCTAAAATGTAAATTTAGCTGCTAAACAGAGGAAATATTGTGCTTTGTATAAATTACTACATTGTAATTTTTAAGTTATGGACTTGAGTGAAGAAAAGAGGCAAGTGACAGGCAAAGAAAACAAACCTACTTGTTTGCATTAACATAATACATTTAATAGAAAAAGAAAAGAAAGATAACAAGAAAATAGTTATTAAGCTGCCAAGGCTCATATAGATCCAATTTGTCAGATACAGAGATTTATGAAATATAATTCCAGCTACTTTCCTATCTCAGAGACCAAGATTTTAAAAAGAAAATCACATGAAATAAACTGCGTCAGTCTTAAATCTTCCTTTTGTGTTTGTGTTGCTTCAGCAACATAGTAATGTGAGAACTTAATACACCATTTGATTATACTATAGAAATAGTTTGGGTTTTTTTTTTTTTTTTTTTTTTTACAAAACTGCTTTATTGAGATATAATTTTTTTTAATTGTTTTTTCTTTTCTTTCTTTTTTTTTTTTAAGAGACAGTCTCACTATGTCTGTCACCCAGGCTGGTCTCAAACTCCTGGTCTCAAGCAATCCTCCCGTATCAGCCTCCCAAAGTGCTAGGATTACAGGCGTGAGCTACCACACCCAGCCTAATCATTTTCTTTTTTGCTTATATGTTTATAGAATAGCTCTGGAAGGTGACACAAAAGACTACCTTGCCTCCATGGAAGGGAACTGAGTACCTGGGAGGCAAGGATAAGAGACATTTTTATTTTCCCAATTTTGAACCATGTGAATGCATTACCTATTCAAAAGAACGTAAAATAGTTCCTTTTCTGTTGCAAATTTGTGCCACTTTGCACTTAGCCCTACTCTAATCTACCAGAGATACAATTAGAAATATAACAGAAGTTTTCCTTTTCTAACAGGACCATGAAGGTGTTTGTTTTGTCTTTAAAATCTCACTGACTCTCCGAAAGTGCCCTTTACCTCTAGGTTGAAGAGCATATTAAAGTCAGGAATGCAGACATGTTTGTCCTCCATTTTCCTGCGCATGTTTTTGATGGCATGGATTGATGTCTCATAATAAAGCTGGGGTCTCCTGCGGAGGGGGAAGTCTTTCACCCAGCTGCAGCAAATCTCGTGTAGTTTGCTGAAGACAGAACGGGCCAATTTCACTGTCTCAATCTCTGTGAAAGAAACACAGAAACCCCCAATGAAGAGCCTTGTAAAACTGCTTTTCACTTCTCTGCTTGGTAAAGACAGAAGTAGGTCACCTTAGTCAAGTTCCTCCTTCATAGAAGAAATTCATCCTTCTCAAGAAAAATGAAATGCTGCTTCTGAAGAGAGAAAATCACAACCTATCTAGTGGAAAATCATCAGCCTGCAGCTGCCACTAAATATTCTTATGTCATGAGGAGAAAACCTTTGGCCAGGGCTGGACCTATTCCTGGCTTGATTTCTTCCAGCTGGAGAAATGCTCTCACCACACTGCTCCCTAGTTCCCAGCACCGGTTTCTTTTTGGTTGTCTGGTATGGTTATCACCAGGAGAGCCAAGCCTCCTATGCTTAGAAAAATAAGCAGTGATTAACACTGCTTCCGTAGTCCAATTAGCTGGATAAATACAGTGTTTATTGGAATATGGAAGGCCTACGAAAACAGCCCACAAACTACAGAAATAAGAAGGGTTTACGTTGCTTACCATTTGTCTTTGTCCTCTTTCTCCCTGACTTCTTCCTTTACATCCAATTCCCTTTTTTCTCCTATAAATGATCATCATTTGTAACTGAATTGTGTGTGTGTGTGTGTATATATATACTTTTTTTTTTTTTTAATTAAGACGGAGTTTCGCTTTTGTTGCCCAGGCTGGAGTGCAATGGCGTGATCTTGGCTCACTGCAACCTCCGCCTCCTGGGTTCAAGTGATTCTCCTGCCTCAGCCTCCCAAGTGGCTGGGATTACAGGTGCCCGCCATCATGCCTGGCTAATTTTTTGTATTTTTAGTAGAGACAGGGTTTCACCATGTTGGCCAGGCTGGTCTTGAACTCCTGACCTCAGGTGATCCACCCACCTTGGCCTCCCAAAGTGCTGGGATTATAGGCGTGAGCCACCGCACCCGGCCTGTTTTTTCTGTTTGATATTATTTGTTTATTAAAGTTTTAGGCCATAGTTTAAACAGTTTAGCCAATAGGTTAGCAAATGAGTTAAAACTTTAATACTACTCTAAGGAAAAATTACTTAAGTTCTGTCTATGCGTGTGATCCTAGATAGAAAAAGACAGAGAGCAGCCAGAGGAGCAATACTAACAGGTCTCTTGACCCTAAACCTACCGCTTCACCTATGTCTACCACTTCACCTATGTCTACCGCTTCACCTATGTCTACCGCTTCACCTATTGGGTAGAATTGGCGAGCTGACTTCTGAGGCAGACATGTACCCTCAGTAGATGGACACATGTGTAAGCCTTTTAAGCAACACTGAATGATACTGAAGAGATTGTATTTCCTATCATTGAACCCTCCACTCAAGTTGCCCTCCACTTAAGCTGAGCTACTGAAATAACCAAAGAGAGATTAGGTTTTCTCAGGCCAGTATTTTAGAAGTTCCTCCTACATCTCAGGTGAAAAAAAAAAATGAACTTAAATTTTCTTTTTACTTAACTAAATCAGACATAGCTTGACAGCCTGAGAAAATAAGTGACAGATGGCAATGGCTACACGTGCCTCCTCCAATCTAGAATACAAATCCCAAAGAAGAGAGAGACTATATGTTCTAGAACAGCCTGGGACGTGGACTCCCAACTTGATTCTCAGTCCTGTCTTTGCCTTAATCTGTGACTACGTTTACCTCTTTTCGTATTCAAAATTATTTTTTAAATGGCTATATTAAAAAAGCTGACCTCAAGGTTTTGTCCTTTTTTTCCTCATTAACATAGCACAGGGTGGTAAATCCTGTCTTGTGGTTTTGTCTTCTTTATTTTTATTTTTTATTTTTTCTGAGAGAGTCTTGCTCTGTGGTCCAGGCTGGAGAGCAGTGGTGCAATCTTGGCTCACTGCAACCTCCACTTCCTGGGCTCAAGCCATTCTCCTGCCTCAGCCTTCTGAGTAGCTGGGATTACAGGTGCCTGCTAATACCCCTGGCTAATTTTTATTTATTTTTTATTTTTTATTTTTTTGAGATGGAGGCTTGCTCCATCGCCCAGGCTGGAGTGCAGTGGCACCATCTGGGCTCACTGTAAGCTTCGCCTCCTGGGTTCACACCATTCTCCTGCCTCAGCCTCCCGAGTAGCTGGGACTACAGGCGCCTGCCACCACGCCCAGCTAATTTTTTTTTCTCACATTTTTAGTAGAGATGGCATTTCACCATGTTGGCCAGGATGGTCTCCAAATGGCTGGCCTCGAACTCCTGACCTCGTGATCCACCCGCCTCGGCCTCCCAAAGTGCTAGGATTACAGGCGTGAGCCACTGTGCCCGGCCAAGTTTTTTTTTTTTTTTTGAGACAGAGTTTCACTCTTGTCGCCCAGGCTGGAGTGCAATGGTGCATTCTCAGCTCCCTGCAACCTCTGCCTCTCTGGTTCAAGCGATTCTCCTACCTCAGCCTCCCGAGTAGCTGGGATTACAGGCACCCGCCACCACACTCAGCTAATTTTGTTGTATGTTTAGTAGAGACGGGGTTTCACCATGTTGGCCAGGCTGGTCTCGAACTCCTGACCTCAGGTGATCCACCCACCTCGGCCTCCCAGAGTGCTGGGATTACAGGCATGAGCCACCATGCCCAGCTTTTTTTTTCTTTAAATAAGAGGGTCTCTCTCTGTTGCCCAGGCTAGAGTGGGGTGATGTAATCACAACTCACTGCAGCCTCAAATTCCTGGGGTCAAGCAATCCTTCTGCTTCAGCCTCTCAAGTAGCTGGGATCACAGGTGCATGCCACCACACCTGGGTAATTTAAAAAAAAATTTTTTTTGTTGTTAAGATGGGGTCTCACTATATTGCTCAGGCTCATCTCAAACTCCTGGCCTCAAGTGATCCTCCCACCTCAGCCTCCCAAAGTACTGGGATTACAGGCATGAGCTGCCATGCCTGTCCCTACTGTTAGCATTTTTATGTAACTGAAAACCAAGGGTGAATTTAAAAGAGAAAAGACAAAGAGCAAAGACAGCCTGTGGAGGTATATAGAAGAAGGAAACTGAGGCCAATAGACAATCCAACATTTTGATTGTTTTGAGCAACTCCAATTTTTATTTAAGCACTAGCTGCCAGAGACTATTTCTTCCAGCCAGCAATTACCTGCTTGTATCACTGCAACCTATCTGGTCTCTGCAGCAGTATAGGCCCCCAAATGCAGACCCTGAGATGGATGTGTCCTCATCTGACATAGCCATAACAGGATTACAAAACAATCAAGTGAATTTAGAAACTTTGAGGGAGAATGGAGTAGGGTGAAACGAATAACATATTAACTATCAGGATAGTTCCCAGATAATAATATAAACTATTATATCATTCTTTGGCTTGTATATTACTCTTATGTAGATCTGCATTGTCAAGTACAGTAGCTACTAACTACATGTGGTTACATTTTTCTTTTTTTTTTTTTTTGAGATGGAGTTTCACTCTTGTTGTCCAGGCTGGAGTGCAATGGCACAATCTCGGCTCACCACAACCTCCGCCTCCCAGGTTCAAGGAATTCTCCTGCCTCAGCCTCCCGAGTAGCTGGGATTACAGGTATGCACCACCATGCCCAGCTAATTTTGTATTTTTAGTAGAGACGGGGTTTCTCCATGTTAGTCAGGCTGGTCTCGAAATCCTGACCTCAGGTGATCCACTCGCCTTGGCCTCCCAAAGTGCTGGGATTACAGATGTGAGCCACCACGCCCGGCCATGGTTATTTAAATTAATCAGTAGGGTGCAGTGGTCCCAATGTGCCAACAGCTCCAGCTACTTGGGAGGCTGAGGTGGGAGAATTGCTTGAGCCCAGGAGTTTGAGGCTATAGTATGATATGATAGCTCCTGTGAATAGCCACTGCACTCCAGCCTGGCCAACATAGCAAGACCCCATCTCTAAAAAAGTAAGTTAAAATTAAATAAAATTTAAAATTCAGTTTTTCGGTCACATTAGCTCTATTTCAATTGCTCGATAACCACATGTGGCTAGTGGCTCCCACATAGGGCAACACAGGTAGGGAGCATTTCCATCATTGCACTGTCTATTGGACAGAGCTGGTATAGACAGATTAACTTGGTTAGAGGAAGTAATATCAGTTTCCTCTAACATTGGTAAATCACTAGATCTGTTCATACCACTCCCAGTTGCTCCTTCCCCTGTGTTCCCATTATACTTTGTTCACGCTGTCTATTAAAGCTCTTAACCACTTTTGGTAATAATAAATAACATTTACTGAGTATTTGCTACATTCTATGCCTCTAGAACATTTCACAAATAGGTAACATCATTCTCAATCCTAGGTCTGTCTGACTCAAAAGTCCATGTTCTTCATCTCCAAATTAGACTGCAGATACAGACTGTCTTAATTGCCCTTGACAAGCCATAGTATAGTACCTAGCAGATAGCAGGGTCTACATTAGATGCTTGTTGAAAAAATAAATATGTAAACTGTTATATAAATTAAATAACCATTAAAATATTAAACATTTATATGCTTCTTGATTGTGTTCTGCTTCACTCATCTCAGCATCTATTTCTATAATGCTACCATTCTCTTTAAGTTACCATAACTTTAAAATGTTTTAATATCGGGAGGTCTAGTTTTCCTACCTATTACTCTTAATTTTAAAGGATGTCACTTGGGTAGTTTTATGTTTATTTTTCCAGATGAACTTTCTAAACATTTTGACAAGTTTGGGCAGAAAAACCTGTTGCTATTGTGTTTGGGATCACATTAAATTTATAGATTTGGAAAAAATATATATCGTTTCATATTGAGTCTTTTCCAGGAAAAAATTATATTGTTTTTTAAATTTAAATCCTTTTTATGTTGCTCAATAGAGTTTTAATAAGTCCTTCATATTTCTTAATCACTTTATTCCTGGTTATTTATTTGCCATTTTTAATCAGACTTTGCTTTATTATAATTATTTTTCTTTTTTTTTTTTTTTTGAGACAGAGTCTTGCTCTGTAGTCCAGGTTGGAGTGCAGTGGCGTGATCTCAGCTCACTGGAACCTCCGCCTCCTCAATTCTCCTGCCTCAGCCTCCCGAGTAGCTGGGATTACAGGCGTCCACCACCACATCAAGCTAATTTTTGTATTTTTAGTAGAGACGGAATTTCACCATGTTGGCCAGACTGGTCTCGAGCTCCTGACCTCAAGTGATGTACCCTCCTTGGCCTCCCAAAGTGCTGGGATTACAGGCATGAGCCACCGTGCTGGCCAGAACTTTGCTTTAATTGTTATTTAAAACTAGCAAACATTGCTTTTTCTTCCAATAACATTTCCTTCTTTCTTTACTCTGAAACCCTGTGATTCAGGTTTAGCCAGTTAGACAACCCCATTCCTTTGGCCAAAAGTGATTAGTTCAGGAATGGGAAACCATCCAAGTTGGACCAATTAGAGTAAATCCTGTGGCTTCTGTAAAAACAACTGAGAAAATCTACTCTTGTTTTCCTGCTCAACTTGAGTTTGGAGAGATGAAGACCTGGGTTCCTAGCAAGTCATACTGCCACCTCATGGAGCCTGAAAACAAAATCAAAGTGAAAGAAAGTACAGCTGAGAGCTGGAGAAATGCCAGGTTCTGTTGAGATCACTTGATGCCTTGAATCTACCTGTGTATCCCTTATCCTGGAAGGTAGTCAATACATTCTGTTTTGCTGAAGACAACTAAAGCTGTGTTTGTAATCATGTACAACTGACAAATTCCAGAATATACATTAAGCATAAATGTGACGTCCAAGATATATCCATCTAGGCCTACTTTATAAAGAATATTTTAAAATTTAGGAATGATATTAAATTTTATCAAATGTTTCTTTTGGCTTCTTTAGAGATTACTGTTTATTTTTATTTTCCCCCATTAATATAAAAGTTGTGCTATAGACTTCCCAATATTTTGTTCTTGAAGTTTTGTTCACTGCTGTTTCCCTAGTATTATACATATATAGTAGCATATATAGTAGGCCCTCAATAAAATATTCAGTGAATGAATTAACTGCTGTACTCAATATACAAATATTTTACTTAAGATTTTTTTTTTTTTTTTTTAGGCTGGGTGCAGTGGCTCACGCCTGTAATCCCAGCACTTTGGGAGGTCAAGGCCTTTTTTTTTTTTTTGAGACAGAGTCTCACTCTGTCACCCAGGCTAGAGTACAGTGGCGTGATCTCAGCTCACTGCAAGCTCCACCTCCCAGGTTCACTCCATTCTCCTGTCTCAGCCTCCTGAGTAGCTGGGACTACAGGCGCCCGCCACCATGCCCAGCTAATTTTTTGTATTTTTAGTAGAGACGGGGTTTCACCGTGTTAGCCAGGATGGTCTCGATCTCCTGACCTCGGTATCCGCCCGCCTCAGCCTCCCAAAGTGCTGGGATTACAGGCATGAGTCGTTTTTTTTTTTTTTTTTTTTGAGACGGAGTCTCACTCTTGTTGCCCAGGCTGGGGTGCAATGGCGCAATCTCGGCTCACTGCAACCTCCGCCTCCTAGGTTCAAGTGATTCTCCTGCCTCAGCCTCCCAAGTAGCTGGGACTACAGGTGTACGCCACCACACCCGGCTAATTTTTGTATTTTTAGTAGAGATGGGGTTTCACTATGTTGGCCAGGCTGGTCTCGAACTCCCAACCTCAGGTGATCTGCCTGCCTCGGCCTCCCAAAGTGCTGGGATTACAGACGTAGCCACCACACCAGGCCTACTTAAGATTTTTTTATGTTGACAACTAAGACTCGTCTCTCATTTCCTTTTTTAGTCTTGGGTAGGTTCTGGTATCAGTGTTATGTTATGCAAATTTTCCTTCTTTTTCCGTGCAGTTGGAGCATTCATTTTAAAAGGGATTGGGGCTGGGCACAGTGGCTCATGCCTGTAATCCCAGCATTTTGGGAGGAAGATTCTTGAAGGAAGAGCGAGACTCTGCTCAAAAAATAATAAATAAATAACTATATAATAAAAAAAAAACCATTGGAATTATCTGCCTTTGCATTTGAAAATGTTCACCTCACTTGTAGAGTCACCTACTCCATGGCCTTTTGTGAGGACTGTCCCTCGATAATTTTCTCAATCTCTTTCTTCTTAGGTAAACTTTGTTAATTTATTTTTTTTTTCTAGAAGACATCCAGGTTTTCAAATTTATTTACAAAAACTTTTTATTATTTTTAAATTTCCTCTGTATTAGTGATCATTTTCCCTTCTTGTTTTTAATTTTTACAGTAGGCTGGGCTTAGTGGCTCACGACCATAAACCCAGCACTTTTAGGAGGCCAAGGCAGGAGGATCACTTGAGCCCAGGAGTTCAAGACCAGCCTAGGCAACATAGCGAGACCCTGTCTCTACAAAAAATACAAACATTAGCCGAGCATGGTGATGCATGCCTGTAGTCCCAGCTACTCATGAGGCTGAGGTGTGAGGATTGCTTGAGCCTAGGAGGTAGAGGCTTCAGTGAACTGTGATCATCCCACAGCCCTCCAGCCTGGGTAACAGAGGGAGACCCTTTCTCTCTCTAAAAAAAAAAATAAATAAAAATAAAAATAAAAATAATAATTTTTACACTGTGATATTTCAAATTGGTTTTTTGGGTTGTTGTTGTCATTGTTTGAGACAGGGTCTCGCTCTGTTGACCGGGTTGTAGTACACAGCTCACTGTAACCTTGAACTCCTGGGCTCAAGTGATTCTCCTACCTCAGCCTCCCAAGTGGCTGGGGCTACGGGTGCATGCCACCATGCCCAGCTAATTTTTAAATTTTTTGTAGAAACAGTGCCTCACTATATTGCCCAGGCTGGTCTCAAACTCCTGGCCTCAAGTGATCCTCCTGCCTTGGCCTCCCAAAGCACTGGCATTACAGGCATGAGTCACCAACAGCTGGCCCTCAAATTGGTTTTAGGTTGTCTGGACAAAAGTTGTATCTACCAAACTAAATGTGTACCAAGTGAGATATCCAAGGTCACTTAGCAAACATTCTGTTAGGGATAATGTAAACATGAAAAGAAATTTAAGGATTTTTTTTTTTAAGACTGTTTTTGGAAACAACCAAGAGGAGAGACAAAAGGCACTTCAGTGAGGACTTTAAGCCAGTGACAGCAGGTCTTATTCAGTATGCTCATTTCCTACTCTGATGTATGGATAAACACAATATGCCCCATAGAGATTCTCTGTGGTGCAGTTCACACTAAGTGATTGGGGTTAAATAAATACAAGATTTCCAAATAGTTTAGAATAATAGTAGATCAGTCTGAATCACAGCAGTCGTATGGAGACATTATTAGGTAATCTCTTGGAAAAATAAAAAATCAGAATAACCAATTATATCCACCAAAAGAAAACACTTCATTTCACTTTTGCTATCTTAAAGGGATCAAAAAATTCTTCCAAAGTAGGCATGTAGGGCAACACTGCAATCTTTCTAGATTAAGTATTCTCCTTCTGCAGGGAGTAGCGTAAGACATCAGTATATAAATAATTGCTGCTTGAAATGGAAAAATAAAATAATAAAGGGATGCAAAAAACTGTCCAAAGTAGCAGTCCACCCCCTCACAGCTGTAAATTACTCATCAGTCATTAATGTCATTGTTCTGAGCTGGAGTTGAATCAGCCATTACCCTGGCTGGAGTGAAGCAGAATTTAATCTATCTTTTCATTATAAGGCTTTTACTCTATGCATCAGTAGCAGAGGAAAAACCAATGCTTTATAGCAAGAATTCTATCCAACTTGACTCTGGAACAATTTGGTTCTAGGTGAATCAGTTACTGTCAGTAAAAACAAGAAGAGTAATTCCTTCCTTGCCGATTTTCTGTCACAAACAATCTACAGAGATAAAGGAAGAACAGAAATGTTTACTTTTATATTTGCCTCACATTCTCTTCAATCTAGCTACTCAGATTCATTAACATATGCTTTGCTCCATATATACCATGATTAAAGGCAAATGCTTTAAATAGAACAAACCGTATGAAATATTAAAATTTCTTAACAATTTTGAGTAGTAATTCTCTAATTTTTATAAAAATATTTTCTTTGATCCTGTCAAATATGTATAAGCCTAAGACATTAATAAACATGACTTCATTAAGAAATAGAGCCTCATAATTTATCTGGAAAAAAATGTACAATGACCTATGCAATTAAATCACATTTGCATATCTATCATAAAGAGCTCTATTTACTGGTAGATATAAAATTTAATATAATTAGTGAGAAGTTGTGTTACAACTGATTTCTTGAATTTTTGTATCTTTTAACTTGATACAAAGTTAAGGTTTTTTTTTTTGTTTTTTGTTTTTTGTTTTTTTTTGAGACAGAGTTTCACTCTTTCTCCCAGGCTGGAGTGCAGTGGCGTGATCTCGGCTCACTGTAACCTCCACCTCCTGGGTTCAACCAATTCACTTGCCTCAGCCTCCCGAATAGCTAGGACCACAGGTGTGCACCACTACACCGGCTAATTTTTGTATTCTTTTTAGTAGAGATGGGGTTTCACCATGTTGGCCAGGCTGGTCTCAAACTCCTGACCTCAGGTGATCTGCCCACCTCAGCCTCTCACGCTGGGATTACGGGTGTGAGCCACTGCGCCTGGCCTAACTTGGATTTTTAAAGGTAAGCTAAACATTTCAAATAGGTTTTGCTCGAATTCTCCCTCACCCACTCATCTTTTTTGTAATATCTTCACATTCCTCACTTTAATCTTTCCATTCATGTAGGTATCACTTATGACAATCTCCTGTTGCTCCAGTTACCTTCTAAATACTACTCTACCTTTTTCAAAATACACATGTATTTTTCTCTTCTTCCCTTCCTTTTATTGATTTATTTGAAAAAAGTTGCATTTTTTCTCCCCTGCTACCACTACATAAACAACCAGCAGGTAAATGTAATTAGATTTAGTATTTTGCAGATATTTTCTGTGGACCACTACATATAGAAGATTCTAGTATTTTTAAACAAATAATGTAGAAAGGTACTCACCCACAGTCCCTTCTGTGCCATCCGTTTCCTTTGGGATATAATGTGCAGAAAGATCACTCTGAAGGACTTCATCTGATGTGGCTCTGGCTAAAGCAGCAGCCAAAAAGGAAGGGCAATTACTGCAAGAAAAAAGATAAAAGGCCATTTTCAGCAAAAGAATTAGAAAGTAATACATTTAACGTTATAATAATTACATATTAATTATAACATTGTCTCAAAACAAAATTATACCTTTAAACAATATTCAATAAATATTTATTGAGTAGGCACTCTGGGCACTGGATATATATTGATGCATAACACAGACATGGCTCCTTACCTAAAGGAGCTACAGACAGATGACAAACTAATAGGATATAACTTAAAAGCAGGATAAGTTTGTTTCTGTTTGTTGTTTGTTTTTTAGATGGAGTTTTGCTCTGTCGCCCAGGCTGGAGTGCAATGGCGTGATTTGGGCTCACCGCAACCTCTGCCTCCCGGGTTCAAGCGATTCTCCTGCCTCAGCCTTTCAAGCAGCTGGGACTACAGGCATGTGCCACCATGCCCAGCTAATTTTTGTATTTTTAGTAGAGACGGGGTTTCTCCATGTTGGTCAGGCTGGTCTTGAACTCCCAACCTCAGGTGATCCGCCCACCTTGGCCTCCCAAAGTGCTGGGATTACAGGCATGAGCCACTGCACCAAGACCAGGATAAGTTTTATAGAGGAAACAAACAGGATACAATGACAGAGAATAATAAAGAGGGGTATGAACTTAGATAGAATGGTCAGGAATGCCATACCTTAAAGGATGAAAAAGACTCAGTTATGTCGTAGTGGGAAGTTAGGAGAGAATACTCCAGGCAGAGGGAATAAAATTTATATAGAACCTTTTTTTTTTTTTTTTTTTTGAGAGAGACTCTTGCTCTGTTGCCTAGACTGGAGTGCAGTGGTGCAATCTTGGCTCATTGCAATCTCTGCCTCCCAGGTTCAAACTATTTTCTCATGCCTCAGCCTCCTGAGTAGTTGGGACTACAGGTGTATGTCACCATGCCTGGCTAATTTTTGTATGTTTAGTAGAGATGGGGTTTTACTATGTTGGCCAGGCTGATCTCAAACTCCTGACCTCAGGTGATCCATCTGCCTCAGTCTCCCAAAGTGCTGGGATTACAGGTGTGAGCCACTGCGCCTGGCCAATACAGAACCTTTTGAGAGCTTGTTATATCTAAGGAACTGAAAGAAACCCAGAGGAAGTGAATCATAGTGGGTGAGGGGAAAGTGGCACAGAATAAAGTCAGAGGAACAGACAAAGACCAGATACATGGGCCTTTTAGGTGATGGTAAGGAATTTCTATTCTTTTCAAAGGGTAATAAGAATTCACAGAAGATTATGACCAAGACAGTGCCATCGTCAGACATATGAATTAAATTATTGCTTTGACTGCTATATCAAAGGAAATTAGAAGGGAGCAAGAATGAAGGAGGGTAACCAATAAGGAAGTTGTTATAACCCAGATGAGAAGAAAAAGAGTGAGAAAAAAATATAGAACTTGTTGATGATTGGATGTAGAGGTGAGAGAGGGAGAGAAAGTAAAGAAGTCTGAGTCCTGGGTTTTGGTCTGAGCAACTAGGTGAATAGTAGAATCACCTGCCAAGATGGGGAAACCAGGAAAATAACAAGTTTGTGAAGGAAGTGGGGTAAAGTAGAAATCAAGAATTCATTTTAACATGTTAAGATGGAAATATTGGCTGGGCATGGTGGCTCATGCCTGCAATCCCAACACTTTGGGAGGCCAAGGCGGGTGGATCATGAGATCAGGAGTTCAAGACTTGCCTGGCCAACATGGTGAAACCCCGTCTCTACTAAATACAAAAATTAGCTGGGCGTGGTGGTACACGCCTGTAATCCCAGCTGCTCGGAAGGCTGAGGCAAGAGAATCACTTGAACCCAGGAGGCGGAGGTTGCGGTGAGCCGAGATCGTGCCATTGCACTCTAGCCTGGGCAACAAGAGTGAAAACTCTGTCTCAAAAAAAAAAAAAAAAAGATGGAAATATCTGAGATGTCCTAGTCAACGTGTCAAATGGTTACCTGGATATTCTAGTCTGGCATTTGAGATGTTAGGAAATTTGGAAGTTGCAAATGTATGGATGATATTTAAAGCTACGGAAATGGAAAAGACCACTGATATAGTTTGGATATTTCAAATTTCATGTTGAAATCTGATCCCCGATGTTCAAGGTGGGGCCTGGTTTGGGTCATGGAAGCAGGTCCCTCATGAATGGCTTGGTGTAGTCCTTGTGGTAATGAGTTAATTTTTGTGCCATTAGTTCCTGTGAGATCTGATTATTAAATTAAAAAGAGCTGGGCACCTCCTCCCCTTTCTCTCTCATTTCCCAACATGTGATCTCCACATGAGGGCTCCCTTTTGCCTTCTGTAATGAGTGGAAGCTTCTTAAGCCCTCACCAGAAGCAGATGCTGGTGCCATGCTTCTTGTATAGCCTGCAGAACTGTGAGCCAAATAAACCTCTTTTCATTATAATTTACCCAGCTTCAGGTATTCCTTTATAGCAATTCAAAGCAGACTAAGATAAGCATATAGGGAGAAAACATAAAAAGAGAATTGCTCTAGATCAGTGATCTCTATGTGCCTCCTGGTTTCCCCCTCTGGGAACGAGAAGATTATCCTATGCCACACCATATTGGGTATATTGGGTTACAGCGGGAAAGGGAGTAGATAAATGGCCTTTTTAGCTCATAGGTTTTCAGTCAAGTGGAACAATAGTTAAGGAGCTGTCATTAAGAAACTAGTACTCCAGGTCGGGGGTGGTGGCTCATGCCTGTAATCCCAGCACTTTGGGAGGCTGAGGTGGGCAGATCACAAGGTCAGGAGTTTGAGACCAGCCTGGCCTACATGGTGAAACCCTGTCTCTACTAAAAATACAAAAAAATTAGCTGGGTGTGGTGGCGGGAACCTGTAATCTCAGCTACTAGGGAGGCTGAGGCAGAAGAATCGCTTGAATCCAGGAGGTGGAGGTTGCAGTGAGCTGAGATCATGCCACTGCACTCCAGCCCAGAGTGCAAGACTCTGTCTCAAAACAAACAAACAAAAAGAAAACAAAGAAACTAGTACTCCAGCCCCACGGGCTGCCCTTGGCAGATATCCCCCTGGGCCATCCAAGCAGCCATGTGCCTGTGTCCTGGGCCTGAGAAGCAGCTCTGTGAGCCACTGCCAGCAGGCACACCCCCAAGCAGTAACATTCCCATGCCTGTGGCCTGATAAACAGCCTCACAGGCCCATTCCTGGAGGCCATGACCCTAGGCCTGCCCATGCCCAGGGCCTGAGAAACAGGCTGGCAGGTCTTCTTCCAGTGGATATGACCCCATGCTGGCCAAGAAACTGTGTGCCTGCACCCAGAAGAGGAACAGCCTGGAGGTCCCACCCCAGGCTGTCATACCTCCAAGCTGGGCAGCCATGCACATGTGCCCCCAGCCAGAGTAACAGTCCATGGCCACAGCCTCAGCAAGCTAGACCCCAAGCTGGTCAACCCATGATGTGCATGCACATGTCCCTGACCTAAGAAATAGTCCAATGGTCCCAACCCCAGTAAAGCTACATGACTTCTGCCATAAACTCTAACAGCCTAGGCCATTGGGATACTCACAAACATCACTAGTGCAGATTACAGCAAAAGAAACTACAACACTGTGTCCACCTAGAACCATAGCCAATGCAGCCATCCAACTGATGCCCCAAGACCCATCCACATGACTAAATCTTTCCCTATGAAAACTACTCCATAAGATTGGAAGAGGTGACTGTTCCACCAGATGTGTAGAAATCAACATAGGGACACATCAAATGTGAAAAATTGAGGAAACATGACTCCTCCAAATGCACACAATAATTTTCCAGGAACAAACCCCAATCGTAAGGAATATATAAAATGCCAGAAAAAGAATTCAAAATAATAATCTTTTCTTAAAAATTTGAGATGAAGGTCTCACGATACTGCATAGGCTGGAGTGCAGTGGCTATTCATAGGCATCCTACTGTTAATTGGCATATGTGTTTTGATCTGCTCCATTTATTTTTCTTTCTTTTTTTTTTTTTTTTTAAAGAGAGTCTCACTCTGTTGCCCAGGCTGGAATGCAGTGGTACAATCTTGGCTCACTGCAACCTCCACCTCCTGGGCTTAAGCAATCCTCCCACCTCAGCCCCCGCAAGTAGCTGGAACTACAGGCATGAGCCACCAGCCTAATTTTTGTATTTTTTGTAGAGACGAGGTTTCACCATGTTGCCCAGACTGGTCTCGAACTCCTAAGCTCAAGCAATTCACCCATCTCAGTCTCCCAAATTGCTGAAATTATAGGTGTGAGCCACCACACCTGGCTGACCTGCTCTATTTCTGACCTGAGCTGGTTCATCCCTCCCTAAGCAACCTGATGGTTCTCTGCTCCCAGAAGGTCACCATATTGATGCCAAACTTAGTGTAGACACCAGATTAGCATAATGCACTATAGGCCAGAACTCCTGGACTCAGGCAATCCTCCTGCTGCAGCCTCCCAAGGAGCCAGGACTATAGGCATGAGCCATCACATGTGGCTCAAAATAATCATGTTAAGGAAACGCAATGAGATACAAGAGAATACATATAGAACAGTTAACAAAAATCAGAGAAATTCAACAAAGAGATATCATTAAAAAAGAACCGGCCAGGTGTGGTGGCTCACGCCTGTAATCCCAGCACTTTGGGAGGCCGAGGCGGGCAGATCACGAGGTCAGGAGATCGAGACCATCCTGGCTAACACAGTGAAACCCCGTCTCTACTAAAAATACAAAAAATTAGCCAGGCATGGTGGCGGGCGCCTGTAGTCCCAGCTACTGGGGAGGCTGAGGCAGGAGAATGGCGTGAACCCAGGAGGCGGAGCTTGCAGTGAGCAGAGATCACGCCGCTGCACTCCAGCCTGGGTGACAGAGCAAGACTCCGTCTCAAAAAAAAAAAAAAAAAAAGAACCAAACAGGAATCTTAGAGCTGAAGAATTCAATGAATGAAATAAAAAATACAATAAAGAGCTTCAACAGCAGACTAGACCAAACAGAAGAAAAAATTTTTGAACTTGAAGACAGGTCTTTTGAAAAAACTCAGGCAGAAAAAAAAAGAAAGAAAAGAAAAAAGAATGAAAACAGCATATAGGATTTATGGGACACCATTAAGCAAACAAATAATTGCATTATGGGCATTCCAGAAGGAGAAGAAAAGAGAGATGGTGTAGAAAATATACTTAATGACATAATAACTGAAAACTTCGTAGGTCTTGGGAGAGACACAGATATTCAGATCCAGGAAGCTGGAAAGTTCCCACATAGATTCAACCCAAACAAGTCTTCTCTAAGGCACATTATAGTCAAAAAATAATTTTTTTTTTGAGACAGAGTTTCATTCTTGTAGCCCAGGCTGGAGTGCAATGGTGCAATTTTCGGCTCACTGCAACCTGTCTCCTGGGTTCAAGCAATTCTCCTGCCTCAGCCTCCTGAGTAGCTTGGATTACAGGCACCCGCCATCATGCCCAGCTAATTTTTGTATTTTTAGTAGAGACAGGGTTTCACCATGTTGGTCAGGCTGGTCTCAAACTCTCAACTTCAGGTGATCCACCTGCCTTGGCCTTCCAAAGTGCTGGGAATACAGGCATGAGCCACCACACCCAGCTGTCAAATTGTCAAAAGGTAAAGACAAAGAAATAATTCTAAAAGAGAATTCCTTTTCAAAAGAAAAGCATCAAGTCATATATAAGGGAATCTCCATTAGACTAGCAGCAGCTTTCTCAGCAGAAACTTCACAGGCCAGGAGAGAAAGGGATGATATAGTCAAAGTACAGAAAGAAAAAAAACTCAGCTAGCCAAGAATATTATACCCAGGAAAGCTATTCTTCAAAAATGAAGGAGAAATAAAATCTTTCCTGGACAAGCAAAAAATAAGAGAATTCATCACCACTAGTCTAGTCCAAGAGAAATGTTCAAGGGCGTCTTACATCTGGAAATAAAAAGATGATAACTGCCCTCATGAAGATATGTGAAATTATAAAATTCACCAGGAGAGCCAACAGAGAAAGAAGAAAGAGAAAGGAATAAATAATCTTATCACTACAGAAAACAACCCAACCACAAAAATAAATAATAGGAGGGGAAGGAACAAAGGTTACACAAAATACTCAGAAAACAGTCAATAAATGTCTGGAGTAAGTCCTCATCTATTAATAATAATCTTGAATGTAAAATGGTTAAAATTCCCAATTAAAAGAAACTGGCTGAATGAATTTAAACAACAACAACAAAGCAAACAAACAAAAACAAAAACAAGACCCAACTATATGCTGTCTACAAGAAACTCACCTCATCTATAAGGATATACACAGACTGAAAGTGAAGGGATGGAAAGAGATATTCCACGCAAATGGAAACCAAAAGCAAGCAGGAAAAGCTATATTTATATCAGCTAAAACAGACTTTAAGTCGAAAGCTATAAAAAGAGACAAAGAAGGACATTATATAGTAATTAAGGAAACAATTCAAGAAGCTATAACAATTGTAAATATACATGCACCTAAGACCAGCACACCCAGATTCATAAAGAAAATACTATTAGATCTAAAGGAAGAGACAGATGCCAATACAATAACAGCTGGGGACTTCAACACCCAACTCAGCATTGCAGAAATCATCTAGGCAGAAAATCAACAAGGAAACATCAGATAAACCATAGCATAGCTCTAACAGACATTTACAGAACATTTCACCCAACAGCTGCAGAATATGCATTCTTTTTATTAGCAAATGGAACATTCTCCAGAATTGACTACATGTTAGGACACAGAACAAGGCTAAAAAAATTTTTTTAATTGAAGTCATATCAAGTATCTTATCTGACTATGGAATAAAACTAGAAACCAATAACAAGTGAAACATTCAAAATTACACAAATACATGGAAATTACACAACATGCTCCTAAACAACCAATGGGTGAAGAAAGAAATTAAGAAGGAAATTGACTAATTCCTTGAAACAAATGAAAACAGAAACACAACATACCAAAACCTATGGGACTCAGCCAAAGCAGTATATAATATGTCTCTGCAGTAAAAATATGTATGAAAATTGAAATTAAATTTTTAAAAACTTTCTGTGACCATAAGGCTCCAGCGTTAAACATTTTCTTTTTCATTGCCTTATCAGTGTAACTACTGGTACACAAATGATCTAATATAGTATACACTTTGATAAACATAAAAATTAAACTCTCATTGGAGAATTTTTTTTTAAAGGAAGAAACCTTACTTGCCAGATAAGAAATCTTATCTGCCATGGTCTTGGCCTCAATGAAATCTTGGACCTCAAGCTTCAGCCTAATACCATAATGGGATTAGACTTTGGGAAATCTTAGGGGATGTTGGGTGAGTGCATTTAGCACATGGGAAGGATGTGAATTGTGTGGCCAGAAAAGACTGTGGCAGATTATTTTTAAAAAGGCCGCAACAGCATTCCTGGTCCCGCATGCTATTTTAGAACTTTGCCATTCCCCATAAAAAAATAGAGTCTGTTTCCCTTCCTAATCTAAACATGGGTGAGGTGTGGTGACTACTCGGATGAAAAAAATGTAGCAAAAGTGATACTGTGTGACTTTTGAAGTTTGTTCATAAAAGGCCACGTGGCTTCCCCCGGCTTCCTCTTCTTTCTTCCTCTGTCTCCCTCTGGATACTTGCTCTTCATACTCAGCCAAGCCATCAAGCCATGAGGAAGCCCAAACTAGCCATGTGGAGAAACCACATGAACAGGCTCATGTGGATGTAGCCTGAGGTCTCCCAGGCAGTAGCCATTATCAATTGCTTGACATGTAAGTTCACAAGCCTTCAGATGATTCCAGTCCCCCAGCCTGAGTCTTCCAACAGAGACCCCAGTTGGAACAGAGATAAGGTGACCTTGCTTTACCCAGTTTTAATTTCTGACTGAAAGACATTGTGAGCATAATAAATAATTGTTTTATGCCACTAAGTTTTGTGGTAATTTGCAATACAGTGACAATAACTGAAAACCCAATATTTAGAAGCTTAGTAGAAGACAAGGGACCTATGAAGACTAAAGAGAAATGGCAAAATCTGTAAAAGGAGAACCGAGATAGTAGAGAGTATTTGAAGGAGGGAGCAGTGAACTCTGTCAATTGCTGAGAGGTCAAATAAGTGAAAAAAAAAAAAAAAAGGCCAGGTGCAGTGTCTCGTACCCGTAATCCCAGCCCCTTGGGAGGCCAAGGTGGGTGGATCACCTGAGACCAGGAATTCAAGACCAGCCTGGCTAACATGGTGAAACCCTGTCTCTACCAAAAATACAAAAACTAGCTGGGTGTGGTGGTGCACGCCTATAATCCCAGCTACTTGGGTGGCTGAGGCATGAGAATCGCCTGAACCCAAGAGGCAGAGGTTGCAGTGAGCTGAGATCACGTCACTGCACTCCAGCCTGGGTGATAAAGCAAGACTGTCTCAAAAAAAAAAAAAAAAAAAAAAAGGCCAGGAGTGTGGCTCACACTTGTAATCCCAACACTTTGGGAGACCGAGGTGGGCAGATCACACTCAAGCCTGGGCAACAGAGCAAGACTGTCTAAAAAAAAAAAAAAAAAAAAAAAAAAAACAGGAAAAAGGAAAATAACTTTCTGTTTAACAAAATGGTCAAATGGTGCTGGAAAAATTGGATATCCACATGCAAAATAATCAAGTTGGACCCCTTCCTTACACCATATACAAAAATTAATGCCAAATGCATCACAGACCTAAATGTAAAGCTAAAACTCATAAAACTCCTAAAAGAAAACTCCTAAAAGAGTAAATCTTCATGACCTTGGATTAGGCAATGGTTTTCTTAGCTCTGACACCAAAAGCACAAGCAGAAAAGAAAAAAAATATTAAATTGGACTACATCAAAATTTAAAACTTTTGTATCACAAATCAGTAAAGTGAAAAGACAACCCATAGACTGGTAGAAAATATTTGCAAATCTGCCAGGCATAGTGGCTTATGTCTGTAATTTTGGTACTTTGCAAGGGGGTAAGGTTGGGGCCAGGAGTTTGAGATCAGCCTGGGCAACTTAACAAGACCCTGTCTCAAAACAAACAACAACAAAATAGCTGGGTATGGTGGGCACACCTGTAGTCCCAGCTAATTGGGAGGCTGAGGCAGGAAGATCGCTTTAAGCCCAGAGTCCAAGGCTGCAGTGAGCCATAATCATCGTTATATTCCAGCCCGAGAGACAGAGAGACCCTGTCTCAAAACAAAACAAAAAATTGCAAATCATATATCTAATGAGACTGGTATCCCAAATATGTAACGAATCCTTATATTTCAATAATAAAAAGACAACCCAAAGGCTTTTTTCCAAAGAAGATATACAAATGGGCAATAAGCACATGAAAAGATGTGCAACATCTGTGACATAATTGGAAATAAATATTTGTCCTCCGCCTTGGTTCCTGACACAGAGCCCCTAAAACCCTTTTTATTTCCTGAGTGACGGGGTACTGGAAGCATCTTCTAATATTTAGTCTTTGAACCTGGTTTCTGACATAGAGCTTCTAAATCCCTTGGAATTTCCTGTATAGTCTATGAGTGCCTTTTGGTCTTATGAAGCAGTTCTTGGTGGGCTACTGGATAGCTTCAGGATGGCAACTGGGCATCAGAAAGATCAACCCATAATAAGAGGCCTGGAATATTCAACCCTATTCCCATTTTCTAGGGAAGGGAGAGAGATGGGAGATTGACTTAATAATTATTTGAACATGCCTACGTGATGAAGCCTCCATGCAAATCCTTAAAAGATGGGATTTTGGGAGCTTCTGGTTTGATGAACATAACTATGTGCTAGAAGGGTGGCATACCCCACCTCCAACAGAACCTATTATGTTTGAGACCCTTCCCCTTCAGGACCTCACCCTGTATATCTCTCTTTATCTGGCTGTTCATTTATATCCTTTATAATATCCTTTCACAAACCAGTAAACATAAGTGAATGTTTCCCTGAATTTTGTAAGACATTATAGCAAATTATTTAACTTCGGAGAAGGTTGTAGGAAACCTTGATTTATAACCAGTTGGTCAGAAGTTTGGGAGGTCCAGACTTTTAACTGGCATCTGAGGTGGGGCATCTTGCAGGACTGAGCCCGTTATCCTGTGGGATCTGTTGTAACTCCAGGCAATTAGTGTCAGAATTGAGTTAAATTGTAAGACACCTAATTGATGTCCAGGGAGAAATGGAGAATTGGTTGGTGGGAAAACCCCACACACTTTTAGTGTCAGAAGTGTGTGAGGCTGGGCAAGGTGGCTCACGCCTGTAATCCCAACACTTTGGGAGGCCAAGGCGGGACGATCACCTGAGGTCAGGAGTTCGAGACCAGCCTGGCCAACATGATGAAACCCCGTCTCTACTAAAAATACATAAGTTAGCTGAGTGTGGTGGCATGCCTGTAATCCCAGCTACTCGGGAGGCTGAGGCAGGAGAATCGCTTGAACCCAGGAGGTGGAGGTTGCAGTAAGCAGAGATCATGCCACTGCACTCCAGTCTGTATGACAGAGTGAGACTCAGTCTCGAAAAAAAAAAAAAAAGAAGTGTGTGACTGTACAGAAAAACAGGTTTTTTTCTTCCCCTTTTAACATCATTAGTCATTAGGGAAATGCTAATCAAAACCACAATGAGAAACCATTTCACATCCACTAGGATAGCTATAATAAAATAGCTATAACAAAAAAGACAATTAGTAATAACAGGTGTTGGCAACTATATGGATAAATGGAACTCTCATACATTCCTAGTGGAGATGTAAAGTGGTACAGCTGCTTTGGCACTTCCTTAACATTTTAAACATAAAGTTACCATATGGCCAGCCCAGCAATTCCACTCCTAGGTATACATGCATGAGAAATAAAAACATATATTCACAAAAAACTCATACATTAATGTGCACAGCAGCATTGTTTATAATCGCCAAATAGTAAAAACAACCAAGTGTCCATCACTTGATGGATAAATAAAATGCAATATATTCATACACTGGAATATTAGCCATAAAAAAGAATGAAGCACTTATACATGCTACAGTGTGGATGAACCTTGAAAACATTATGGATAGCAACAGAAGCCAGTCACAAAGACCACTTATTGTAGAATTTATAATTCTATAATAATAATTATATGAAAAGCCCAGAATAGGAAATTTATAGAAGCAGAGAGTAGTGGTAGCTTAGGGCTGGAGGGGTGGTGGGAATGAGGAGTGACTGCTAATAGGTAGGGGGTTTCTTTCTGGGGTGATGAAAATTTTCTGGAACTTAGGGTGACGGTTGAACAACTGTGACTGTATTAAAATCCTTGAATTGTACACTTTTTTAAAAAGGCAAGTCATGTGAAGCAGTGGGAGTAGAGAAGGAACAAAGAAACCTATGACTGGTTGTGATCAGTTAGTTGTAAACTTTAAATGGGTAAATTTTATATTATGCGAATTATATCTCAATAAAGATAATAAAAAAACTACTGACTTTGTCAAGAACTACTGAATAGTGGAAGTGAAAATCAGGCTAGAATGGGTTAATTACTGAGTAGGGGGCAGGGAGGTTTGGCACAGAGGGGAAACAGAGATATGGGGCAGTAACTGATAGGGGATAGGGGAAAGGGAAAGTCTGTTGTTGTTTTAGAATGGTGTAGAATCTGACTGTAGGATGAGGCACATTTCCTTAGTTGGAAAAAGAAGAAAATCAGTACAGATGCAGGTATGTTTTTAGATGTTAGTAGGAAACGACGGGTATTCCCATTTAATGATTTGAGACAACAAATATTTATTGAGGCCTACTATGTACCAGGCACTGTTCTAGTGCTCAGGGTATATATAAACAAAAAAGAAAAAACCCCTGCCCTCTTAGAGCTTACATTCTAAAGAAGGGCTTCTCAATGAAGTATGAGGCAAGATTCATTTTCAAAACTTTCTCACGCATCAGAATCACCTGCAGGGCTTCTTAGCACACAGATTGCTGGGCCCCATCCACAGAGTTTCTGACTCAATAAGCCTGATGTGAGGCCTGTGAATCTTCATATTTAACAAGTTAAATATGAACTCATGCTGCGGGTCTGGGAACCACATTTTGAGAGCCACTAGGTTAAATCACAAACTAGGTCATGAGGGTAGAAAGGAAGGAGGAGGGATGAAGTCAGAGCAGATATGAAATCGTCATATCAGAGAGTAGTAGGACTGTCACACAGTGCTAAGAGACTGTGGGAAGTTTGAGATAATTTTTAAATGAAACCAGTTTTTCTGATGGCATGACTTTTTCATCTATGTTGGCACATGCGTAGGTAGAAAGAACCATTTAGTTCATCAAGTGTCACAAGATTGGCGGTTTATTCGAGGTTCATTTTTGGTTTTTGTTTTATTTGTGTGTTTTTTTTGTTGTTTTGTTTTTTATTTAAGTTTTAGAGAAATGTCTCTGACAAGAAGGATTTGGGGTTTTGCAAGGTAGTACTATAAAGCGAAGAAGAGAAATGGAGATTTGGAATTTTTATTTTTTGAGATAGGGTCTCACTCTATCACCCAGGCTGGAGCACAGTGGCACGATCTTGGCTCACTGCAATTTCCGCCCCCTGCAGATTTGTTATCTTTTTTTTTTAATTCACTTTTTATTTTATTCAATCATCTTTGGCTAGAGATTGCTATCTTTAAAAAAAATTTTTACTTGTTTTTAGAGACAGAGTGTTACTCTGTTTTCCAGGCTGGAGTGCAGTGGCACAATCATAGCTCACTGCAGCCTTGAACTCCTGGGCTCAAGGGATCCTCCCACCTCAACCTCCTGAGTAACTGGGATTACAGAGAGCCACTGCATCAGGCAGAATTGAGTATCTTTTTAAGATACTCAAATCTTTTTTTTTTCTTTTTTTTTATTATTATACTTTAAGTTTTAGGGTACATGTGCACAATGTGCAGGTTAGTTACATATGTATACATGTGCCATGCTGATGCGCTGCACCCACTAACTTGTCATCTAGCATTAGGTATATCTCCCAATGCTATCCCTCCCCCTACCCCCACAAATCTTAAAGAACAGACTTGAGTTGTAAATCAGTGTGGTCTAAATGTAATTAAAGAATTGTAGGTGGGAGTACTTGGGCACAAAATCTAGGGCAGAATGTTGTCGTCTGAGAGCAGGATGCTTGTGTACAAGATTTGTGAGCTGATGCAATTTTTGATAACAAGGTCTAGATGAGTCCAAATAAGTGAGTGGTTCAGGAACATATAAAATGGCAATGCTTACATTCTATGTCTTCAAGGAAAAAAAATTAGAAAATTATTTTATTATTCATCAATATTTCTTTTTCTTTTTTGAGACAGAGCCTTGCTGTGTTGCCCAGACTGGAGTGTAGTGATGCAGTCATACCTCACTGCAGCCTCAAACTCCTGGGCTCAAGCAATCCTCCCACCTCAGCCTCCTGTGGAGCTACGACTACAGGTGCAAGCCACCATGACCCATGCCCCGTTTTTTGTTTTTTAGAGACATAGTCTCACTATGTTGCCCAGGCTAGTCTCGAACTCCTACTCTCAAGCGATCTTCCCGCCTCAGCCTCCCAAAGTACTGGGATTACAGGTGTGAGCCACTGCACCCAGCTATTATTCATCAGTATTTTTCAAATTGCAGTTTATGATCCATTAGTGGGTAATGAAATTAATGTATGAATTATGACCAGCATTTTTTTTTTTTTTTTTTGAGACGAAGTCTCGGTCTTGTCCCCCAGGCTGGAGTGCAATGGCGCGATCTTGGCTCACTGCAACCTCCACCTCCCAGGTTCAAGCGATTCTCCTGCCTCACTCCCCCGAGTAGCTGGGATTACAGGTGCCTGCCACCACGCCCAGCTAATTTTTGTATTTTTAGTAGAGATGGGGTTTCACTATGTTGGCCAGGCTGGACTCGAACTCCTGACCTCAGGTGATCTGCCCGCCTCGGCCTCCCAAAGTGCTGGGATTACAGGTGTGAGCCACCATGCCCGGCCTATGACCAGCATTTTTTTTTTTTTTTTTTTTGAGATGGAGTCTTGCTCTGTCACCAGGCTGGAGTGCAGTGACATGATCTCGGCTCACTGCAACCTCTGCCTCCCAGGTTCAAGCAATTCTCCTGCCTCAGCCTCCCGAGTAGCTGGGACTACAGGTGCACACCAACACACCCAGCTAATTTTTGTATTTTTAGTAGAGATGGGGTTTCACCATGTTGGCCAGGATGGTCTCGATCTCTTGACCTCATGACCCGCCAACCTCAGCCTCCCAAAGTGCTGGGATTACAGGCGTGAGCCACTGCACCCAGCATGACCAGCATTTTTTAAAGGAAATAGAATAAGGTGCATGAGGTAAAGCATTGTTTCACATATATATGTAGGTAAGTATATACTGAATTATGATGAAAAAAATTTAAAAGCTACTACCCTTTAACAATTATTAAATAAATTGATGGGATCCCTTTAAAATCCAAATGCTTTATAAACAATGTTACCATGTCTCCTTCCATGCTATGGAAATTAACTGAATTTTGATGAGTCAAAATGTTTCTTCACAGACCTAATCTCTGTAAAAATCGCTTATCTTTACCTTTCTGTCATGTCTTACTCTGATTAACTGGACACATTCCAAATGTTTTACCTATATGAATTTTTAGTATATAGTTATGGAATTTACTGGGTTGTTTTTTAAATTTACATTAAAAATGATCTGGGCCGGGTGTGGTGGCACACGCCTGTAATCCCAACACTTTGGGAGGCTGAGGTGGGTGGATCACCTGAGGTCAGGAGTTTGAGACCAGCCTGGCCAATGTGGCAAAACCCTGTCTCTACTAAAAATACAAAAATTAGCCACGCATGGTGGCATACACCTGTAACCCCAGCTACGTGGGAGGCTGAAGCATGAGAATTGCTTGAACCTGGGAGGTGCAGGTTGCAGTGAGTCCCGATCACACCACTGCACTCCAGCCTGGGTGGGGTAATGGAGTGAGGCTGTCTCAAAAAAAAACCCAAAAAACAAAAATGATCTGAAAACCTTTATTGTAATCTTGTTCCATTAGAGTTCCAAAAGAAAAGGATATCTTCTGTGTAATTATTAAACTATCTGGATGTAGGTTCAACAAATGTAAGAAATGAAAACTTTAGAGAATAAGGCAAGAACCATTAGTCTCATTAATGTGTCATCTGCAATACATTTTTAGTCACAGTTAATATAATTTTTTTACCTTTTGTCAGACAGAATGAAAATATTTTCAGTGAAGTAGGGAGGAGGATTAGCTGACTAATAGCTAGATATAAAACATTAAGCTAGATGCTTCACCCACATCAGTTATTCCTACATGTCAGAAAGCTGTAACACTTAGCATGAATAACTTCTTATGGTTTTGACTTTGAGTTGGAAGTGATTATTTCTGAAAAATCAGAATTGCAAATATATTTTAGAGCAGTCACATCAGAGAATATTTGATACACCTCAAATAAAAGCTTATCACTAATGCTTGTCATTTGAAGAGAATCACTAGGAGTGACTAACATGATAATAACATAGCAAGCTGCTTTCTTTCATCATTTCTCTTAAAATACTTGAAAGATCCTGATACAGAAAGTTTTAAAGTTCGGCAAATGTAATAAGCATAGCAAATATCAAAAGAGAGCCAATACTCATAGCAGTTTGGAGTACTAGGTTTATAAATGTCATTGTGTTGAGAACACTGCTGAACTGCAATATGATTAGAAATCCTTTAATATTTGCAGTATCATTTTGGGGGACTCTGTGTCCAAGTCAAATTAATCTTGTTAGGACTCTCAAATATAGTCCAAGAATAATGCTTTTCTTTTTATGTATATAAACAGATATTTTGAAGTGCTTTCCATTTTTATCTTCAAGCAATTCACATCCTGAGAACAAAAGGAAAGTTTTTCCATACATACCAATTTGATGTTTTCTTGTTTGTTTTAGGTATCAAAGTACTAATTTTATATATTCATAGACGGAAATAAAATCTTTGCCTATTTTATGTCTAAGGCATATAAAAATTATATACATAAATATTTTTTAAACAATGTTGAAAATCATTAATTAGGGGCCCATTTAGTTTTAATTTTTAAGTTTAGTCACATAAGTAACACGTTCCACTTCATTAAGGCTATTTATGTTCATGAATACATATATGAATTTCTGTGTATACTGACTTTCTTGATGTTATGAATTGTAAAACAAAAATCCAGGCTCTACTTAAACTTCATAAATTGAGCTTTGTAAACAAAGCATGGGGTCTTGCTTGCTTTAAGCTAACAGTAAGTGTTCTACAAACACACATAAAACCCCCACAAAACTTATAGTCATGAATGTTCTGACTGTTCTTTCCTGCAGCTCATATTGGCTAGCATCATCTTTATCCTCCAAATATTTATCTTGCTTCCTCAATTCTATTTCAAAAATAGCCACAGCTGAAAACATGCTTGGTGGAAGATTTTGAATTATAAAAATGTAACTGCATTCTAATAACCTTCAATAGGTCAGTACTTTACTTACACAAATTATTTTAGTTTGTTTTAGTGTCTGGGGACAGGGTTGAAGCAGGAGACAGATGTTAAATCATTATGGGAACTATCCAAGTCATTATCGGAATTAGTGGGCCAGGCGTGGTGGTGCACACCTGTAATCCCAGCACTTTGGGAGGCTGAGGTGGGTGGATTACCTGAGGTCCGGAGTTCGAGACCAGCCTGACCAACATGGTGAAACCCCCTCTTTACTAAATACAAAAAATTAGCTGGGCGTGGTGGTGGGCACTTGTAATCCCAGCTACTCTGGCGGCTGAGGCAGAAGAATCGCTTGAATCCAGGAGGTGGAGGTTGCAGTGAGTCAAGATCGCGCCATTGCACTCCAGCCTAGGCAACAAGAGCGAAACTCCTCAAAAAAAAAAAAAAAAAAAAAGAATTAGTGTATCAGCATAGACAGCCTATGAGTACTGAGCATGTTCATTTCTTATGCTCTAGATAAGTACTGATTTCTTTAAATTTCATAATGGGGCCCAGTCATAGGAGAATCCTTAGCATTTCCTTCACCTATAGTGCTTGCAGGACTTAATTATATATGGGTCCTTGTTACCTATATGTAGATATTAAAGACTATTATTTATGTATTCATAGATACCTCAGATACTCAGAAATCACTTTAACTTATAATTTAAACACTGATTTCTCCATGTAATGACAAAGATAAAAACATATATATATGAAGAATAATTACAGACCACTATTGACTTTGGAGCCTGAAAATACATAGTTACACACACACGAGAGAGACCTAAAACTTCTGCCAACTTACCATTTAATTACTATTTGACTAACTTGTTGGAGACAAGAAATTAGAGCAGAAATATAAGGAGTTAGAAAGGTGGGTTCTAGTTATAGCTGGGTAACCTTAGAAAAGGTGCTTAAAGTCCCTGGATTTCAATTTCCTCAACTAGAAAATTAAGTTAGAATAAAATAACTCTAAAGTCAATTCTAGGCCTAAAATTCTACTTCTATAATTCTATTCCAAATAAGGTTTTTTAATTTCAAAGATGGGACAAAGGCAGCTTAAAAGTGTAAACACACTTCAGATCCAAAGGTTTTCACATAGTCCAGTGGGGTAGAAACAAATGCTATATATTCCTTCTATAAATAATTAGGAATATTCTGCTTTATGCTGTGGGTGTATTCTGAAACATTAAATGTATATTTATTTTGATAAATGCAATCAATCCTTGCAGTGAATCCATTAGTTAGGAAAGAATCCTTCACATTTTGTATTATTTGTTTTCTTTCTTTCTTTTCTTTCTTTCTTTTTTTTTTTTTTTTGAGATGGAGTCTCACTCTGTTGCCCAGGCTGGAGCGCAGTGGCACCATTTTGGCTCACTGTAACCTCCACCTCCCGGGTTCAAGCAATTCTCCTGCCTCAGCCTCCTGAGTAGCTGGGATTAGAGGTGCCTGCCACCATGCCCAGCTAATTTTTGTAGTTTACTATTAGTAGAGACGGGGTTTCACCACCTTGGCCAGGATGGTCTCGAGCTCCTAACCTTGTTATCCACCCACTTCGGCCTCCCAAAGTGCTGGGATTACAGGCGTGAGCCACCACACCCGGCCGTAGGCATGTCTCTTTAAGAAAACAAATAATACTGGCCAGGTATGTGGCTCACGACTGTAATCCCAGCACTTTGGGAGGCCGAGGCGGGTGGATCACGAGGTCAGGAGTTTGAGACCAGCCTGGCCAAGGTGGTGAAACCCCGTCTCTACTAAAAATACAAAAATTAGATGGGCGTGGTGGCGGGCACCTGTAATCCCAGCTACTGGGGAGGCTGAGGCAGGAGAATCGCTTGAACTGGGGAGGTGGAGGTTGCAGTGAGCCGAGATGGCACCACTGCACTCCAGCCTGGGCAACAGAGTGAGACTCCATCTCAAAAAAAAAAAAAAAAAAGAGACAGGCCTACATGATAAATGTCATATAAAACAATATTGTTACTATAAAATTTTATATTTGAAACAAGAAAGTACTGTTTCCTACCTCTTTTAAAATATTTATTTACAAGAGCTTATTTTATTTTTTTTTTTTGTATTTTTATTAGAGACGAGGTTTCACCGTGGTCTCGATCTCCTGACCTCATGATCCGCCCACCTCGGCCTCCCAAAGTGCTGGGATTACAGGCGTGAGCCACCGCGCCCGGCCTTACAAGAGCTTATTATTCCATCTCCACTATATAGGCTGACATCAATCCAATCAATTCGTATTTTCCATTAGAGAATAGGAAAGGAGTCAGATTGGATTGAATATGAAAGCTGGCTCTCTTTCAGCACTGAATATTGCCATCTTGTTATAAAGCAGGAACCACAACAGATAAATAGATTATTACTGAATAAAAACATTTAATTTGCATTCATTTTCAAATACCATGGGTTGATAATAAGTTCCTTTAGATGGACAGGATAGTATTTTATTCAGATCTTTTTGTATTGACTTGTTAGTATATTCCACATGCATATTAAGACAATATACATTTTAAGACTGCAAACTGAATTCTTGTTATAAACCAAGCCAGGAAGCATTTTCATCACAATGCCAAACCTACACAAATCACTAACGACATTATTAGATAAATTAGAGGTTTAAAAGTACATCCTTCCTGACATTGGCAATGTGGGCGTCTGCACAGCACCCACAGCTGTGTTTCAACAGTCTTGGCATAGCATTGCTAAGGTAATAAAAATTCTTGAAGGTGGGAAGTTTCCATCAATTAACTTGGAGAGAGACTCGTCTGGAGCAGCCTCATCTCAGCCCACATATTATGATGATGCTATCTACTCAGTATGCCCTTGCTAGGATGACAGCAGTTAAATATTGAATTTCTGATCATCCCCTCATCCCAGTTAATCATAGGTATTCTAAATCTAGAATAACACATTAAGCTAAAAATAATGAAGGCAAGTTCTCCACCTGACTTAGTATTCTTTTTCTTAGTGGACTATATGGAATTAAAATTGGGGCTGAATTTAAGCTATTTTCTTTCTTTCTATAGCAACCTCTAGGAATGCCACGTGGAGTCAACTGATTGCAATGCCCACACACCACCGATTCTCTTCATTAGTTTTTCTACAACTAAATAATGTAATCTACCAAAGGACTAGTTCCTGCAGTTCTGGGTTTGGGGTTCACAACAGAAATCTCATTCCCAGGGAACATCACACTCTGAGGACTGTTGTGGGGTGGCGGGAGGGGGGAGAGATAGCATTAGGAGATATACCTAATGCTAAATGACGAGTTAATGGGTGCAGCACACCAGCATGGCACATGTATACATATGTAACTAACCTGCACATTGTGCACATGTACCCTAAAACTTAAAGTATAATAATAATAAAATTTAAAAAAAAAAGAAATCTCATTCCCTACTGCTGCTAACAGTATAATCTTACCAACCATTTGCTCACACTGATCAGGTTCACATCCAAGCAAAACCAAAGTTATCCTAAGTCTTCTGTGAATAGCAATCTAGATGTTACAAATTTACCAAAGATCAAACTATGACTACTGCTATAAGATCACAAAAATAAGAGGGCTTAGTGGTAACTATCTTTCTTGTCATCCTTTCTCCATGACGAGAAGAAATTAGATAGCACATCTTTACTGAAACAGCTCTTGTCAACATCACATAAGTGACCTTCCTTTTGCTAAATCCAATAGTCTATTCTCAGGTCCACTTCATTCAGGAGCATTTGGCTACTGATCATGTCGTCTACCTTGACATGATCTTTATTCTCTAAGCTTCTGTAACGTCACATTCTCCTATATACTCCCAGGGTTCTGTCTTCTCAGTCTCCTTTGATAGTTCCTCCTCTTCTCCTTGCACTTCCGAATCCTCTTATGCCGTATGTCTTTTTCTTTTTGCATAGACATTATCAACTTCTAATACAGCCTAGCCATTTTTTTTTTTTTTGAAATGGAGTCTAGTTCTGTCGCCCAGGCTGGAGTGCGTGGCATTATCTCAGCTCACTGCAACCTCCGTCTCTCGGGTTCAAGCGATTCTCCTGCCTCAGCCTCCTGAGTAGCTGGGATTACAGGCACCCGCCACTGCGCCCAGCTAATTTTTGCATTTTTAGTAGAGACGGGGTTTCACTGTGTTGGCCAGGCTGGTCTTGAACTCCTGACCTTGTGATCTGCCCGTCTCAGCCTCCCAAAGTGCTGGGATTACAGGCGTGAGCCACCGCGCCCGGCCCAGTCTAGCCATTTTTAAAATTATTTTATTTTCTTTTTTTTTTTGAGACGGAGTCTCGCTCTGTCGCCCAGGCTGGAGTGCAATGGCATGATCTCGGCTCACTGCAACCTCTGTCTCCTGGGTTCAAGCGATTCTCCTGCCTCAGCCTCCTGAGTAGCTGGGATTACAGGTGCCCACCACCATGCCCAGCTAATTTTTGTATTTTTAGTAGACATGGGGTTTCACCATGTTGGCCAGGCTGGTCTCAAACTCCTGACCTCAAGCGATCCACCCGCCTTGGCCACCAAAAGTGCTGGGATTATAGGCTGAGCCATTGTGCCCGGCCACACCATTTTTATTATGTTTACTGTTTATGTCTCCATTGCTCCTCCACTAGACTGCAGATGCTTTTGTCTCTTTTTGATGTCTAGTGCCCAGATCAGTGCCTGGCACACAGTGCTCAATACATATTTGCTGAATGGGTAAACTACTATTTTTCTGATTTATATATGTTTAAGCCATTCCCTAACTCCTTAGAATGAATGTTCCTTAAGAGTAGAAAATAAATATATTTACAAAACAGTGTACCATGTAACATAATCTTGAGTTGTTACCTACAGGATATAATTTGTAATTAATACCAAATAAATAATGCTTCAGTAAATAGCTTTACATAACTTTTTGTGCACACTACACACAGAGAAATAATCCCTTATTGGTTAAATTATTTTTATTTTTGTCAAAATATTGTAGTCACCTCCTTTAAAAAGTCAAATTGTACTATTACAAGACTTATAATGAAAGACGCTTCCCCATTCTTCTCTAAGCTGCAGAGGCTATCAACTTCAACTCTTCTAGTCATTCTCCCTGTTTCCATCTCTCTTTTTTTTTTTTTTTTTTTTTTGATACGAAGTCTTGCTCTGTTGCCCAGGCTGGAGTGCAGTGGCTTGATCTTGGCTCACTGCAACCTCTGGTTGCACTTGATTCTCCTGCGTCAGCCTCCGAAGTAGCTGGGATTACAGGCGCGTGCCGCCACATCCAGCTAATTTTTGTATATTTACTAGAGATGGAGTTTCAGCATCTTGGCCAGGCTGGTCTTGAACTCCTGACCTCATGATCCACCCGCCTTGGCCTCCCAAAGCATTGGGATTACAGGCGTGAGCCACTGCGCCCAGCCTTTTTTTTTTTTTTTCTTTTGAGATAGGGTTTCACTCGTCTTCCAGGCTGGAGTGCAATGGTGCGATCTCGGCTCACTGAAACCTCCACTTTCCAGGTTCAAGCGATTCTCCTGCCTCAGCCTCCTGAGTAGCTAGGATTACTGGCGCCCGCCACCATGCCCAGCTAATTTTTGTATTGTTAGTAGAGATGGAGTTTCACCATGTTGGCCAGGCTGGTCTCCAACTCCTGATCTCAGGTGATCCACCCACCTTGGCCTCCCAAAATGCTGGGATTACAGGTGTGATCCACTACACCCAGCCTGTTTCCATCTTTCTAAATAAAATGTTTATATTGATATTTCTTAATTTATCAATATTAAATATCAGATTTATTATCTTCCCCCCATGGTAGAAGGCATCTTAGTTGTTTCCGATTTCTTGCTTTATCAATATTAACAGTATCATTTCACCAACATGAAGTTTTAGTAATTGTTCTCACATACACAACTCTCCTCTCCCTCAATTCTCCCAATATTTGGTTAAATCAGTGAGTTTTAAAATATTATTATAGCCATACAAATAGTGTGAACTGCTGAACAGCAGACTAATTATACAAGAACTCCTTTTCTTGCACAATTACAGTCATGTGTCACTTAATGGGGATACGTTCTGAGAAGAGCATCATTAGGCGATGTTGTCATTGTGCAAACATCATAGAGCATACTCATATAAACCCAGATGGTATAGTCTACTACACACGTAGGCTATAGGGTACAGCCTATTGTTCCTAGAGACAATAGTGCACAGTGTGTTACTGTACTGAGCACTGTAGGCAGTTTTAACACAGTGTAAGTATTTGTGTAACTAAACATAGAAAAAGTACAGTAAAAATATGGTATAACATAAAAACGGTACATCTATATAGAGCAGGGCAGCTCTATTACAATTTTATGGGACTACCATTGTATATATGGCCTGTTATTGACTAAAATGTTGTTGTGGGGTGCCTGACTGTATTTTGTTTTTCCTGGAGTTGTTAACTGCTTTATTTTTTTCATTTGCTTTGTTTCCAACATACCTATCAGTATTCTTTTTCCAAAAGCTCCAACATCGTGGCATGCCATTCAATAATAATATTTTTCATATGCTCATATAAACCAGTCCTTATTTTTTTCTAGAAAACTCCCTGGCCTAGGCCTGGTATAAAAATGATATCCTGGAACTTCCTTACGGAGCCCTTCTGTGCTGGATCACCTGTTCCCAGATCCCATGTTTGTTTGTTTGTTTGTTTTTATAATTTATGTTAATAAATTAGTTCTTAGATTTTACTGGAGTACATCCTCCTGCTAGTGGTTTGTTTGTTTTTGAGACAGCGTCTTGCTCTGTTGCCTAGGCTGGAGTGCAGTGATGTGATCTTGGCTCACTGCAACCTCCACCTCCCGAGTTCAAGTGATTCTCCTGCCTCAGCCTCCTGAGTAGCTGGGATTACAGGTGTGCACCACCATCCCCGGCTAATTTTTGTATTTTTAGTAGAGACGAGGTTTCACTATGTTGGCCAGGCTGGTCTCGAACTCCTGACCTCAAGTGATTCATCCACCTCGGCCTCTCAAAGTGCTGGGATTACAGGCGTGAGCCACCGCGCACGGCCCTCCTGCTAGTTTTAGCACTTCCTACTATCTCTCACCCTTATCCTTCCAATCCTTTATTTTTATTTATTTCTGAAAAAAGACAGGGTCTTGCTTTGTTGCCCAGGCTGGTCTCAAACTACTGGCCTCAAGTAATCTTCCTGCTGTGGCCTCCCAAAATGCTGAAATTACAGGCATGAGCTACCACACCCAGCCCTCCCAATTCTTTGGGGTCATTTAATACCTACACTGTCAGAGTTTATAACATGTAAATTCTCTTCTGGAATAGTAAGCCCCACATGAATCTTATGGATTGCATGCTCACATAAGGTCTTTTGTGACATTTTCTTTATCACTTGTTTGGCTGGCTGGGCACAGTACAGGCATCAGGGAAATTATATTTTCTGAGTTCTTGAATGTTCAAAAACATCTGTTGCCTTTTTACCTAAATAACAGGTAAGCTAGATATAAAACCTTGGATCACACATTATTTTCTTGAGGACTATAGATAAAGTCTATAAAGCCTACAGTCTTCTGGCACTGAAATATACTGAGGAGAATTCTGAAGTAAGTCCAAATCTTTCTCCCTCTCATATGTTTTTTTCTTTTTTTCTGGAATCATTCTTTAATTTTTGGAGTCCAATAACATGACTAGGTTGTGCCTTATTATAATTGTTCTATGTACATTTTCCCTGGCTCATGATGTACTCTCTCAATCTATAGATTCAAGTCTACCTGACTTCCTTTCTTCCTTCCTCCTTTCCTTCCTCCCTTCCTCCCTCCTTCTCTCCCTCCCTCCCTCCCTTCCTTCCTTCCTTTTTTTGTGATGTAGTTTCACTCTTGTCGCTCAGGTTGGAGTGCAATGGCATGATCTCAGCTCACCGCAACCTCCGCCTCCCGGGTTCAAGCGATTCTCCTGCCTCATCCTCCCAAGTAGCTGGGATTACAGGCATGCACCACCATGCCTGGTTAATTTTGTATTTTTAGTAGAGATGGGGTTTCTCCATGTTGGTCAGGCTGGTCTCGAACTCCCGACCTCAGGTGATCCGCCCGTCTTGGCCTCCTAAAGTGCTGGGATTACAGATGTGAGCCACCGCGCCCGGCTTTTTTCTTTCTTTCTTTCTTTTTTTTTTTTTTTTTTTTAATTTTTGTATTTTTAGTAGAGATGGGGTTTCACTATGTTGGCCAGGCTGGTCCTGAACTCCTGACCTCAGGTGATCCACCCACCTCAGCCTCCCAAAGTGCTGGGATTACAGGCTTAAGCCACCACACCTGGCCTCAAGTCTGCATTTGTTTCTGAATAGTTTCCTTTAAAAAATCTTTAAATATTATTTTCTATTGAGCTTTATTCTTCAGAGACAATTATTCTACTTTATCCATGTTCTACATCTTACATTGGCTCTCTATTCCTTTTAAACACTTGGTTAATTTCCATTTCATTTTGCTCATTTTTTTCTCTAGCTTCCCATGTCCCTTACTATGTTTTCCAGAAGTGTGTATTCTCCTTTTGCACTTCCAATATGTCCATTATTTCACTGACAATTTTTTTCGTTTACTTATTTCCTAAGCTCTGTTACCTAAGGCTTTATCTTCTGCACCAAATCTTCCTTGACCTATCTCTACTTTGTGTTCTAGTTTAATCAAAGTGTTTATAAGATTAAGTTTTTATGTTATTCACGGCAATGTATTTTATTACAACTTTCATCAGATCTGTTTTTTATTATTCAGTTTTTCTTTTCTTTTTTTGAGACAGGGTCTCACTCTGTCTCCCAATATGGAGAGCAGTGGTACAATTACAGATCACTACAGACTTGACCTCCTGGGCTCAAGTGATCCTCCTGCCTCAGCCTCCAGAGTAGCTAGGACTACAGGCGTGTGCAACCACATCCAGCTAATTTTTTGTATGTATATGTGTGTGTGTGTCTGTGTGTGTGTGTGTGTGTGTGTGTGTGTGTGTGTATATACATTTAATTTATTGTAGAGGTGGGGTTTTCCCATGTTGCCCAGGCTGGTCTTGAACTCCTGGACTTAAGTGATCCACTTGCCTCAGCCTCCCAAAGTGCTAGGATTACAGACATGAGCCACCGCGCCCAGCCCAGATACTTGATTCTTATAAATTGTGATAGAACAAGTAAATTTTCAGGCGAGATCAGGCACGTTCAGGGTAGTATGACCGTAAACAAAACAAGTAAATTTTCAAAACAGAGATAGCAGGAAGAATTTCTGATATTGAAAATAATGACAGTGTATCTCATTTTTACGACCTTCCAAAGCTAACAGAATTTTAAATGATGAGTTGAGAATAAACAAGCTAACTTCCCAAATATGTATGTAAAACAAAATAACATGATAACATAAAGAAACCCAGTTGTATCTCTATTGGTTCTGTGAAAACTTATATCCAGCCAGAAACATAATAAGCAAGCAACTTAACTTTCAGGGGTTATTGCTGACTCTGCTTCTCTTCATGGAATACATAAGGAAAAAAATTGTTTCTGAGAGTATCGAATGCTTTTTTTCTACTTCTCAGTATTCTATTATACAAATGTTCAAATGTACAGAAAAATGAAAATGATTTTACAGTAAACATTCATATACCCACTACTTAGATTCTACCATTAATATTTTGCTATCTATTGATCAATCCATCAGTGCATCTTATTTCTCATGCATATTAAAGCACCCTACAGATATCAGTACATTTCCCCCTGCAAATATGCATATTGTTAACTAGAATTCAAAATTTTGTACAGGCTTTAGTAAAATTTACATATAATAAAACACATATTCTATATACATGCATTGAATTTTGGCAAATGCATTTACCTATGTAACTCAAAACCCTACCAAGATATAGGACATCATAATTACTCCAGAAAGTTCCATCCTCCTCCTTTCCAGTCAATCCTCACTCTCAATCTCCTACTGTTCTCATTTTTTCATCATAGATTAATGTGTCTCTTCTTGAACTTCGTATGAATGGATTCATATAGCCTGTTTTCTTTTATGTAAGGCTTCTTTTACTCAGCAAAATATTTTTGAGATTCATCATATTATTGTATATCAATAATAATTACTTTTTATTGTTGATTAGTTTTCCAGTTTATTAACATACTGCAGTTTATTTATTCTTCTATTGATGAATACGTGGGCTGTATCCACTTTGGGGCCATGATGAATAAAGCTATATTAAAATTCATGTGTTCGGCCGGGCGCAGTGGCTCACGCCTGTAATCCCTGCACTTTGGGAGGCCGAGGCGGGTGGATCACCTGAGGTCAGGAGTTCAAGACCAGCCTGGCCAACATGATGAAACCTCGTCTCTACTAAAAATACAAAATATTAGCCGGGCGTGGTGGTGGGCGCCTTTAATCCCAGCTACTCAGGAGGCTGAGGCAGGAGAATCACTTGAACCCGGGAGGCGAAGGTTGCAGTGAGCTGAGATCGCGTCACTGTACTCCAGCCCGGGCAACAAGAGCAAAACTCTGTCTCAAAAAAAAAAAAAAAAATTCGTGTGTGAGTAATTTCGTAGATATATGTTTTCATTTTTCTTGGGCAAATACCAAGAAATGAAATTGCTGGGTCACAGGGAAGGTACATGTTTAGTTTTACACAAAACAGCCAGCCCTTTTTCCAAAGTGGTTATATCCTTTTTACAAGCCCATTGACAATGTATAGAGTTTTGGTTGTTCCACATCTTCACCAGTATTTGGTGGTGTCAGTCTTTTTAATTTTAGCAATTCTGATGGGTGTATAATAGTATCTTGTTGTGATTTTAGTTAGTAACCAAATACCTTCTCTAAGAGTTCAGATAACATAATAGTAATATAATATATAATAGATATAATAATTTCTTTCAAATATCAAGTAGTCCTGACAATAGTATAAGAATGCTAGATTAGTACATTTTTCCATAGTGAGAGGCTTTTTTGTTTCTGGTTGTATCTGCCAGATAAAGCGAATCTTCTTTTTTTCTTTTGGAAACAGGGTCTTGCTCTGTCACCCATCCTAGAGTGCAGTGGTGCAAACACAGCTCACTGCAGTCTCAACCTTGTAGGCTCAAGTGATCCTCCTGCCTCAGCCTCTCGTGTAGCTGAGATCACAGACCATGGTAAGCACCACCATGCCTGGTTAATTTTTTTTTTTTTAATTGAGATGGAGTCTTGCTCTGTTGCCCAGGCTGGAGTGCAGTGGTGTGATCCTGGCTCGCTGCAACCTCTGCCTCCCAGGTTCAAGTGATTTTCCTGCCTCAACCTCCTGAGTAGCTGGGACTACAGGCACCCACCATCACGCCCAGCTCATTTTTGTATGTTTTAACAGAGAGAGGGTTTCACCATCTTGGCCAGGCTGGTCTCGAACTCCTGACCTCAGATGATCCGCCTGCCTCAGCCTCCCAAAGTGCTGGGATTACAGGCATGAGCCACCGGGCCCGGCCGCCTGGCTAATTTTTTAATTTTTAAAATGTTTTGTGGAGACAGGTTCTCACTTTGTTGCCCAAGCTGGTCTTGAACTGGGCTCAAGCAATCCACCTGCCTCAGCTTCCCAAAATACTGGGATTACAGGAGTGAGCCAACACCCCTGGCCTTAAATGAATTTATTTGAGGTAACACTGCTACAGTAACAAAGGCCCCTGATTGATATATCTATTTTGGGTAACTGGTAACAGTAAAGGAAACTGCAACCGAAACACTTAACTAAGATTCCACAATTTTTTTGGAAAGGTAGCTGCAGAAGGCCAAAAGACTGAAAATATTATATCGCTAGTTAAAAAGTTTAAAAGTCGGCTGGGTGCGGTGGCTCATGCCTGTAATCCCAGCACTTTGGGAGGCCAAGGCGGGCAGATCATGAGGCAGGAGATGGAGACCATCCTGACTGACACGGTGAAATCCCCTCTCTACTAAAAAAAATACAAAAAAAATTAGCCGGGCATGGTGGCAGACACCTGCAGCCCCAGCTACTCGGGAGGCTGAGGCAGGAGAATGGCGTGAACCCAGGAGGTGGAGCTTGCAGTGAGCCGAGACCGAGCCACTGCACTCCAGCCTGGGCGACAGAGCGAGATTCTGCCTCAAAAAAAAAAAAAAAAAAAAAAGTTTAAAAGTCAGTAAGTAATATATCTCTAAAGTATAAAAATGAATATATTTTAAAGCAAAGATATTACAAGTCCATATGTTCTGACAAATTTCTATCAGATTTAAAAAAATAAATTGTGAGTTAAAATAACACAAAGTCTGAATTCAATGTTAGTCAATATTTTTAAAATCAAGAGTTTAATTTTCATGCTATAAGAACTTGTTTTTAGGTGCACATTTATTTTATATATTTGAGTTATATAACATTTACATATTATAGTCCATTCAGTTAGAAAAATTAGGTTGCTTTAATTAATGCAAACATCTTAAATCTGAAGTTGTAGATACTGCTGCAGTTTTATATTAGCCCCAATAGCTAATTGGTTTTGTTATATTACACTGAAGACAATCCAGTTTCCAAAAATGCCATACAAATAGTAATTTAAAAAAAAATCAGCTTCTCTTAAAATTTCAAGCTACTCTTCAATTAAATAGAAATGGCAAAGTTTATTAGGAAATGAACACACACATGGAAAATAATCTGGCAGCACAGCACAATTAATTGGCTATGGATGCTAAGGGTATCATATTTGACTATGCTTCTTTACATATACACACTATAACACATACACACACACGCACACACATATTTTAAATGATTCATATAACCAGCACATAATTAAAAATTAAAAAATATAAAGGGAGTTATAATGAAAAGCAATAGTACCCTTCCTTCCTCTTTCAGTGCTATTCATCAGAGACAACCAATCAACCAATTAGAATACTTTGCCTTTTTTTTTTTTTTTAATTTAGACAAGAGTCTCACTCTGTCACCCAGGCTAGAGTGCAATGGTGCAACCTCGGCTTACTGCAGACTCCACCTCCTGGATTCTCCTGCCTCAGCCTCCCGAGTAGCTGGGACTACAGGCACGTGCCACCACGCCCAGCTAATTTTTGTATTTTTAGTAGAGACAGGGTTTCACCACGTTGGCCAGGCTGGTCTCAAACACTTGACCTCAAGTGATCCGCCCATCTCAGCCTCCCAAAGTGCTGGGATTACAGGCATGAGCCATCGCACCCAGCCAATACTTTGCAATTTAGCTTAACACAAACCACTTAACATTAACACACAATTCCCAGTTGGAGGAGGGGAGGAGGAACAGTATAGAGAAACTAGGACATCCATACACTGTTGATGAGAATGTAAGTTAATGAAATCATTTATATATATGTATTTTTTTAGGGACTTGCTCCTTATTGCCACCTACAGATCAGTGTCCCTCCTTTCTCCCTCAAAACTCTGAAACCCATGCTATACCTACAGAACGGGAGAAAATTTTTGCAATGTACCCATCTGACAAAGGTCCAATATCCAGAATCAACAAAGAACTTAAACAAATTTACAAGAAAAAAACAGCCCCACGCCTGTAATCCCAGTACTTTGGGAGGCTGAGGCAGGCGGATCATGAGGTCAGGAGATCGAGACCATCCTGGCTAACACAGTGAAACCCTGTCTCTACTAAAAATACAAAAAATTAGCTGGGCATGGTGGTAGGCGCCTGTAGTCCCAGCTACTCGGGAGGCTGAGGCAGGAGAATGGCATGAACCCAGGAGGCGGACCTTGCAGTGAGCCGAGATCACAGCACTGCACTCCAGCCTGGGTGACAGAGCGAGACTCCCTCTCAAAAACAAACAAACAAAAAAGAAATAAAAAAACAGCCCCTTCAAAAATTGGGCAAAGGATATGAACAAACACTTCTCAAAGGAAGACATTTATGCGGCCAAAAAAGGTATGAAAAAAGGGCTCAATATCACTAATGATTAGAGAAACGCAAAAAAAAACCACAATGAGATACCATCTCACACCAGTCAGAATGGCAATTATTAAAAAGTCAAGAAACAATAGATGCTGGCAAGGCTGTGGAGAAATAGGAATGCTTTTACACTGTTGGTGGGAGTGTAAATTAGTTCACCCATTGTGGAGGACAGTGTAGCGATTCCTCAAGGATCTAGAACCAGAAATACCATTTGACCCAGCAATTCCATTATTGGGTATATACCCAAAGGAATATAAATAATTCTATTATAAAGACACATGCACACATATGTTTATTGTGGCACTATTTACAATAGCAAAGACATGGAACCAACCCAAATGCCCCAAAATGATAGACTAAATGAAGAAAATGTGGTACATATACACCATGGAATACTATGCAACCATAAAAAGGAATGAGATCATGTTCTTTGCAGGGACATGGATGAAGCTGGACACCATCATCCTCAGCAAACTAACACAGTAACAGAAAACCAAATACTGCATGTTCTCACTCATAAGTGGGAGTTGAACAAGGAGAACACATGGACACAGGGAGGGGAATAGCACACACCGGGGCCAGTTGGGGGGTGGGGGGCAAGGGGAAGGAAAGCATTAGGAAAAATAGCTAATGCATGTGGGGCTTAAAACCTAGATGAGGGGTTGATAGGTGCAGCAAACCACCACAGCACATGTATGCCTATGTAACAAACCTACATGTTCTGCACTTGTATCCCGAAACTTAAAGTAAAAAAGAAAAAGAAAAAGAAACTCATGCTATTGGACTAAACTCTGTTGCCCAGGTTAGAGTGCAGTGGTGTGATCATAGCTGACTGTAACCTTGAACTCCTGGGCTCAAGCAATCCTCTCACCTCAGCCTCTTGAGCAGCTGGAGCTACAGGCATGTGCCACCACACCCAGCTAAATTTTTAATTTTCTGTAGAGCCACAGCACTCAGACAAATAAATAATTTTAAAGAAAAATTTGGTATACCTAATTTTTCCTTCCACCTTTCCTTCCATTCTTCCCTCCCTCCTTCCCTTTGTTCCTCCCTCCCTCCCTCCCTTCCTTCCTTCCTTTTTTTCTTTTTTTAAAAGATGGGGTCTCGGCCAGGCACAGTGGCTCACACCTGTAATGCCAGCACTTTGGGAGGCCGAGGCAGGCAGATCACTTGAGGTCAGGAGTTCGAGATCAGCCTGGCCAACATGACGAAACCCTGTCTCTACTAAAAAATACAAAAATTAGCCAGGCATGGTGGTGCACACCTGTAATCCCAGCTACTTGGGAGGCTGAGGCAAGAGAATTGCTTGAACCCAGGAGGTGGAGGTTGCAGTGAGCCAAGATCACGCCACTGCACTCCAGCCTGGGCGACAAGAGCGAGATTCTGTCTCAAAAAAAAAAAAAAAAAAAAAAAAGAGGGGGTCTTTCTCTGTTGCCCAGGCTGGAGTAAAGTGATGCAAGCATAGCTCACTGCAACCTCGAATTCCTGGGCTCAAACAATCCTCCCTCCTCAGCCTCCTGAGTAGCTGGGATTATGGTGCAAGCCACCATGTCCAAATGACTTTTTTTTTTTTTTTTTTGAGACGAAGTCTTACTCTGTCACCCAGGCTGGAGTGCAGTAGTGCGATCTCAGCTCACTGCAACCTCCGCCTCCCAGGTTCAAGCGATTCTCCTGCCTCAACCTCCCGAGTAGCTGGTACTCGGGAGGCACATGCCACCACACCTGGCTAATTTTTTATTTTTAGTAGAGACGGGGTTTCACCATGTTGGCCAGGCTGGTCTTGAACTCCTGACCTTAGGTGATCTGTCCACCTTGGCCTCCCAAAGTGCTGGGATTACAGGCGTGAGCCACTATGCCCAGCCCAAATGACTTTTTTTTAGGAATGGGATCCCACTATGTTGCCTAGGTTGGTCTCAAACTCCTGGCCTCAAGTGATCCTCCAGCTTCTGCCTCCCAAAGCTTTGGGATAATAAGTGGTGCCACCACATCATTTATCCACCTAATATTTTCTTTTCTTTCTTTCTTTTTTTTTTTTTTTTTTGAGATAGGGTCTCACTCTGTCACCCAGATAGGAGTATAGTGGTGCAATCTCGGCTCACTGCAACCTCTGCCTCCTGGGCTCAAGTGATCCTTCCATCTCAGCCTCATGAGTAGCTGGGCCTACAGGTGTGCACCACCATGCCCAGCTAATTTTTGTATTTTTAGTAGAGATGGGTTTTGCCATGTTGGCCAGGCTGGTCTCAAACTCCAGGCCTCAAGTGATCCAGCTGTCTTGGCATCCCAAAGTCTTGGAATTACAAGCATAAGCTATCACACCTGGCCCTAATATTTTTCAAAATTCACATTTATTTCAACCTAACATTAGAAATTTATTCTATTTATATAGCTGTAAAAGTACTTCAATCACTAGGTCAGGAGATCAAGACCATCTTGGCCAATATGGTGAAACCCCGTCTCTTCTAAAAATACAAAAATTAGCTGAGTGTGGTGGTATGCACCTGTAGTCCTAGCTACTCAGGAGGCTGAGGCAGGATAATCACTTGAACCCGGGAGGCAGAGGTTGCAGTGAGCCGAGATCGCACCACTGCACTCCAGCCTGGGCAACAGAGTGAGACTCCATCTCAAAAAAAAAAAAAAAAGTACTTCAAGACATATATTTAAAGATGTTCACTACAGTGAAAACCTAGAAATAATAATAAAAAAAAATTCTCAATAGGGCACAGGTGAAATACAATGGAATACAATGCAGCCATTAAAAAGAATAAGGTAAGAGGCTGGGCTCAATGGCTCACATCTGCAATCCCAACACTTTAGGAGACTGAAGTAGGAGGATTGCTTGAAGCCAGGAGTTCAAGACCAGTCTCAGCAACATAGCAATATCCCATCTCTACAAAAAAATACAAAAATTAGCCAGATGTGGTGGCACACACCTGTAATCCTAGCTATATGGGAGGCTGAGGTGGGAGGATCCCTTGAGCCCAGGAGTTCGAGGTTGCAGTGAGCTATGATCGTGCCACTGCAGCATTCAGACAGCTGAATGTGACCAAAGTAAAACTCAAACATAATGACTTGGCTTCCTTTAATTCATTACTACTAACGTTAAATGAGCCTTTAGTGTTACTTACCTTACTATATTAAAAAAAAAAAAATCAACTCTTCTCCCTCCCTCTCCTCATTGAAAAAAATAGAAATTATAACTCACGTAAGCTCTCATCATACTAAATATATACTAAAATATGTGCATCTGTACCCATACACTTTTTTTTTTTCTTTTTTTTTTCTTTTTGAGATGGAGTCTCGCTCTGTTGCCCAGGCTGGAGTGCAGTGGTGCAATCTCGGCTCACTGCAACCTCTGCCTCCCGGGTTCAAGCAATTCTCCTGCCTCAGCCTCCCGAGTAGCTGGGATTACAGGTGCGTGCCACCACACCCGGCTAATTTTTTATTTTTAGTAGAGATGGGGTTTTACCATGTTAGCCAGCCTGGTCTTCAACTCCTGACCTCAGACAATCCACCCACCTCGGCCTCCCAAAGTGCTGGGATTACAGGCATGAACCACCGTGCCCGGCCACACTCTTTCTTCCTACACAATGGTAAAACTGTCCATAATCCTATCTAAGGCCATCTCTTCTACTGATTCACTGAATTTTTTTTTTTTTTTTTTGAGATAGAGTCTCACTCTGTCACCCAAGCCTGGAGTGCAGTGGCACGATCACGGCTCACTGCAGCCTCAACCAGGCAGGTTCAAGCGATCCTCCTACCTCACAGGCACCCAGATGTTGTTTTTTGTTTGTTTGTTTGTTTGTTTGTAGAGATGGAGTCTCACTATGCTGCCTAGCCTGGTCTCAAATTCCTGGGGTCAAGTGATCCACCCACCTCAGCCTCCCAAAGTGCTAGGACTACAGACATGAGCCACTGCACCTAGCCACATCTACTGGATTCTATCCCCTCTCACCAACCTGTAACTGTCTTTCTCTTACATTATCAATTACCCCTCTCTACTAGTCATTTCCATCAGCATACAATGTTTCCAATGTTAAAATACAGGTTTCTTGACCAACATTTCACCTCCTCAGTCAAAGTCCCATTTCTCTGCTGCCCTTTACAATCAAACATGAAAGAGCAATCTGTACTTGCTGTCTCTACCTTCTTTATTCCCATTGTCTCTTAAACTCATTCCATTCAGGCTCTAATTCTCAGTGCTTTTCTGAAACTGCTCTTATTAAAGTCACAATGGCTTCCATGTTGCCAAATCCAACTGTCAATTCTCATCTTCATTTTATTTGGACTATCAGCAGTATATGACAGAAATGATCATTTTTCTCCACCTTGAAACCTTTTTGTTTCACTTTTAGGTCACCACTTCTCTTGGTTCTCTTTCTACTTCATTAGATGCTTCTTTTGATCTTGTTCACTGGTTTCTCTTTTCCTGATCTCTAAAAATGGTAATGCCCAGGGTTCAGTCCTTGACCTCTTCTCTATCTCTATCCATTTAATAGATTTTATCATGTCTCATATCTTTATGTATTATCTATATGCTGATGACTCCCATTGTATGTTTCTGGTCCAAACCTCTCATTCGAACACTAGGCTCTTATATTCAAGTACCTGCTCTTGGATATCTAATGCTCATTTCAAACTTATTAAACTTATTTGTCCTAAAACAAAATCCTAATTCTCAACCTCCTTTTCATCAAACCCATTTCTCCTATAAACTTCCTTATTTCAACAAATAGTAACTCTAGTTTTCCATTTGCCTCATTTTAATAATGGGCCAAGGAAGGAGGGTAGTGAAGATCATAGAGAAAATGGATCCAAGGTCCTGTTGGAGTTAAAATTGTTGAAGTCCATATACTACAGGGAGAGGGCTGGAAAGACAGGAGTTGTGGGAGGAGAGTAGAATGCTTAAAATGAAGGTTTAGTTATTAGTAACGACATAGCCTAGAGGATGATCTTATGAGCAGGTGACTAAATTGAGGTGGAAGACAAGATCACTGGAGGTGAGGAGGTCAAGAAACAGAGATATCTGAGCATTGGAGGATTGTCTGTGTAGATAATGAAATAACTAAAACTTTTAAAGAGTTGTGGAGAGAAAGGCAGTAAGGTTGGTGTGGAAGGAAGGACAGTAAGTTTAGTGCTAAAACTCATTTTCCATTTTTAGAAATGACTCCTTTCCAAAAATCTTAGAGTCATTTTGATTCCTCTGTTTATCTCACATCCCAAATCCAATCCATCAGCAAATCTTCTTGGTTCTATTTTCAAAATCCGACTACCTGTTACCACTTTTATAGATAAACACCTAGTCTAAACCATCATTACTATGCTTCCCCTGGATTAATGTCATCAACTACTAACTGATCTCCCTGCTTCTACCCTGCCCTCCCCTGACCCCATAGTTTATTCTGCCAGCAAGTGCCAGATAAGATATGTCCTTTAAAACTGTCAGTGCCAATGGTAAATTCTTAGTTTTGAGTAATGTACCACAATCATGTAGCACCTGGGAGAAAGAACTCTCTATCTTTTTTTTTCCTTTTTTCTTTTGAGACAGAGTTTCATTCTTGTCGTTCAGGCTGGAGTGCAATGGTGTGATCTCGGCTCACTGCAACCTCCCCCTCCCTGGTTCAAGTGATTCTCCTGCCTCAGCCTCCTGGGTAGCTGGAATTACAGGCATGCACCACCACGCCCAGCTAATTTTTTGTGTTTTTAGTAGAGACAGGGTTTCTCCATGTTGGTCAGGCTGGTCTCAAACTCCCGATCTCAGGTGATCCTCCCATCTCGGCCTCCCAAAGTGCTGGGATTACAGGTGTGAGCCACCGTGCCCAGCCTCTATCTTTTCAACTCGCTGTAAATCTAAAATGGTTTCAAAACAGAAAGTTTAAAATTAGTTATGTCATTGACACTTATCTGCTTAAAACCACGGTGCCAAAAAGCACACAGAAGGTACTCAGTAAATATTTATTAAATGAATAGAATGAAAGCTGAATGTTAACTATTCAAGAACTCTCAAGTTCAATGACTGTATATTTTCCCTACATCACCTCTTTCCATCTATCAATTTCTATTCTTCCACCAGGTTTAGTACATGTTTCTAAATGCCACATTTCTCTTATGGTTTTCTTCCTTCTCTCACATACAATGACTATTCCTATCCATTATCTTCTGAGAGCCATAAAACCTTTAGGCATTTCTCCCTTTCAAATTTAAATTTAAATTACCTTTTCAAAGTACTCTGAATCAAACCACTGGGAAAATTACAACTCTGGAGACTATAGCTCTGCTTCCATTTATGGTTCAGTACAGAATGTTTGGGGTTTTAAACATGTCAACATCCCAGCTTATGTAGATAAAATTTTAGACCTCATAACTGTAGCTCATAAAAGCAATCCCTTTTCTGCATTTTATCTAGATTTAGATTTTGAGTTCAAGAAGCAAAGCTTTGGCTAATTCTGCATCTTTAAAAGTAACTGAATAAACGTTTCTATTCAGTTTTTTAGAAGCTTTTTTTTTTTTTTTTTTTTTTTTTGAGACGGAGTCTCCCTTTGTCACCGAGGCTGGAGTGCAGTGGTGTGATCTCGGCTCACTGCAACCTCTGCCTCCAGGGTTCAAGCAATTCTCCTGCCTCAGCCTCCCGAGTAGCTGGGACTACAAGTGCATGCCACCATGCCCGGCGAATTTTTTGTATTTTAGTAGAGATGGGGTTTCACCGTGTTGCCCAGGCTGGTCTGGAACTCCTGAGCTCAGGCAATCCACCAGCCTCAGCCTCCCAAAGTGCTAGGATTACAAGATGCATGTATTTTTAAAGCACACATTATTTTAAAAAGCTATATTTGGGAGTTTATGGTAGGTAAAAAGCACCCTACTAAAGATCATAAATTAACATTACAAGTCAGAATGAGATAGTACAGCATTAGACTTAGTCTTATATGAAAGAGGAAATCTATTTGACACAAATTCTAGTAATCTAAGTAATCGCTACCTGATAAAAACGATATGCCCTTAGGAATTCTACTGGTTAAATGTTCAGTTTCTGAAGGAACTATTTTTAAATAAGCCTTAAATGTACACCAAACCTCCAATACAGTTGGCAGCTTCAGAAAAGCTTAATTACCCTCTTATTCTTTTAACCATCCAAAGAAACCAATCCAGTGTCTACCATAGTACTTACTACCTGCTGTGAGCACAGTCAAATGGATTCCCCACTGTTAAACTCAGAAAATAAACCAAAAGAATTTTAAAAATTAAAAGAAATGGGAATGCTGATGGGGGAAGTAACAAAATTACAGCAACTAGGGACAAAATGAGAATCTCAGCCTGACTTTTAATACTGAGAAAGATCTGAGAAACTATTTTCAGGAATTCTATGGAAAATATCTAGGAAAATGCTTTTATTCATAGCTGTAAAATAAAATTCCAACTAAGAATAGAGTAATTTACCATGATTTTCTTTAAATGCTACTCCATAGGGAACTAAAGAATAAAATTATAGTTTGACTTTGAAAAGATCTGATCTGGTCAGTAAATGAAAAATGACAAAACTAAAAAAAACAAAATGAGTTATAAAACTTTTTTCTACACAGAAGAATCACAACAGTACAAAGTATGTACTATTCTAATAATGAGGAGAAGAAATAGTTGGCAGTAGATAAATACTATAGAAGGGCTCAAAGTCATTTTATTTTCCAGCAATAGCTTCTCTTCTGAATTCACCATAAAATTGGTTCTGTGCTGCTTAAGTTAAACCAAGAGTAGTGGCATCAAGCTGAGTGAATTTGATTGCAGAGAGCTACTGTCTATTTCCAAATAGTTTTCAGAAAGATGTCTCCTTGATAGAAATGCTGAATTATAACCTTAACCACAACACATCTGGGCATTGCCTTAGGAAAAACTGTCACAGAGTAAATGTAATGGAAGAAATAGGAGAATGTATGCTACATAAAAAAGTGCTACAATCCTCTTAGCTAAGAAAACAAACATAAATAGATAACAAACAATGGCAACGATTATAATATAATAAATTCTAGGCCTCACCAAAACAAAAAACAAAAAACACCTCAATACATTATGTGTATCTTTTAATTTTCAATGAATACAGATAGTTTTTTTTTTTTTTCTTTTTTTTGAGACAGAGTCTCGCTCTGTTCCCCAGGCTGGAGTGCAGTGGTGCAATCTCGGCTCACTGCAACCTCTGCCTCCCAGGTTCAAGTGATTATCATGCCTCAGCCTCCCGAGTAGTTGGGATTACAGGCATGAACAACCACGCCCGGATAATTTTTGTATTTTTAGTAGAGACGGGGTTTCACCATGTTGGCTCGGCTGGTCTCACACTCCTGGCCTCAAGCAATCCACCTGCCTTGGCCTCCCAAAGTGCTGGGATTACAGGTGTGAGCCACCGTGCCCCACCACAGATAGTTCTTACAGTTACTGAGGGAATCTCTGTTGACTAGTTTACTAGTCTTATATAATAATACCACATATTTGTATAGTACTTTATGTTTACAAATGGTTTTCCCATATACTATCTCAGCCCTTAAAGCTCTCAGTTAAACCCTGAGAGATAGGTACTATATGTATTAAAGCAAAATCATAGAATTGGAAGGAACCACAGAAGTCATCTGGCCAACTTTCAATTTACAGGTAGGGATTCTCTCTATAATATCCCTAACATCTGATTAGTTAGCTTCTGTCATAATTTCTTTCTTTTTTGAGATAGGGTCTCGCTCTGTCACTCAGGCTGGAGTGGAGTGATGTGATCATGGCTCACTGCAGCCTCAACCTCTTGGGCTCAAGCAATCCTCCAGCCTCAGCCTCCTGAGTAGCTGGGATTATAGGTGTGAGCCACTGTGCGGGGCTATACTTTCTTTTTTTAAATGACAGCAAGCTCATCCTTAAGCTATAATTTCTTACTGACAGGAATTCATAAGCAAAGGCCTGTGGAGAATGTACAAGAATTAATTAAATATTTACTTAAATGGGATCAGGGAAACAGGACAATAGAAAATTCTACCTCTATCCTATTACTTTCTATTTATTCAAAATTTATTATGTGCTAGACATTGTCTTTATGTACACGCTGTCTTTTAAACTTTACAACAACCTGTAAGGAGCAGCTAATAGCAGCTTACTTGTTAGGAATGCTATGCTTGAAATTATTTTTTTCCAAATTATTTAATGGCCTTTAAAATCTATTTAAATGCAGTGGAATGTGTCTGTAGTCCCAGCTACTTGGGAGGCTGAGGTGAGAGGATCACTTGAGAGCAGGAGTTTGAGTCTAGACTGGGCAACATAACGAGAAACCCTGTCTCAAACAAATAAGAAAAACCACAACACAATTTAAATGGAAAAACTCTAAGAATGCATGCTGAATAGTAGACATAGGTAAAGATGAAGTATGATTGTACCCATTTTATAGATGAGAAAATTGAGTTAAGTGAATTAGCCCTAGTTATATTTAGGAAGTAATGGGGTGGGACCTAGAACACAAATTTTCTATCTACTAATTCAGCATTAATTCCATTCCACATTGCAAAGTAGGTAAGCTACAATGCATTTTAATAGAGAAAAACATTTGAAAAATCCCTTAAATATGCAACAAAAATAAAACTATTTGGCTATAAAAATGGCACTTAATATAGCCAGCTCTGAGTTGAATGGGAATTATAAAGATGTAAAATTCAGGGCTTTTACAAACTAACAATCTACTGACCATACATGATTCAATATAGTCTTTGGTCATTGTGTCAGAGGCATTTGAACCAGAGCAACTCCATCTTGAATAGGGGTTGGGTAAAATAAAGCTGAGACCTACTGGGCTGCATTCTCAGACAGTTAGGCATTCTAAGCCATAGGATGAGAGAGGAGGTCGGCACAAGACACAGGTCTTGAAGACCTTGCTGATAAAACAGGACGCAGTAAAGAAGGTGGCTAAAACCCACCAAAACCAAGATTGCAACCAGAGCGACCTCTGGTCATCCTCATTGCCACATTCCCACCAGTGCCATGACAGTTTACAAATGCCATGGCAACATGAGAAAGTTATCCTATAGGATCTAAAAAGGGGAGGCATGAATAATCCACCCCTTGTTTAGCATATAATCAAGAAATAACCATAAAAATGGACAACCAGCAGCCCTCAAGGCTGCTCTGTCTATGGGGTAGTCATTCTTTTATTCCTTTACTTTCTTAATAAACTTGCTTTCTCTTTGCACTGTGGACTTGCCCTGAATTCTTGCACAAAATCCAAGAACCCTCTCTTGGGGTCTGCACTGGGACCCCTTTCCGGTAACAATTACAACCACTGATAGGATGTATTTGTGGATTATTACAAAAGCAGCAAAACAACCAAAGTCTGCCCCTTCCTTCTCTCTTCCTCTCTCTCTTTTCCTCTCCCCCATATGGACACTACAAAATGAAAATAACAATCCTGGGTACTAAGTAATAAATAATTATGGAAGATAAGGAGAAATGTCAAAAATCTCGACTTAAAATAACTTTGCTATAGATTATGTGTACTTTTTAATGAGTTTAGTCTATGGAAAATTGTAAAGTGGGCAAAGATGTCTCTAAAATCAGGTCCTATTCACATGTTATCTCTACATCAAAATTTGCTGGACTCACCACATCATATCAACATAATATCACTGGTGGTGATATTAACTTTGATCACTTGGTTAAGGTAGCATTTGTCAGCTTTCTCCATATTCTTTTTTAGAAAGTGAGTCAGCCCACACTCAAGACTGGGGATGGGGGTTAACACTACCTCCTGGAGAAGGGTATATTACCTCTGTGGTATTCTTTCCAGAAGCCCATAACCCCAGTCTAGTCTTTTGGAAAACATTATGAGATAAGCCCAAATTGAAAAACATCCTATAAAGCATCCAGTTGGAGCTCCTTAAGACTGTTATGCTCATAGAAAAGAAGGAAGGATTGAGCAACTGTCACAGACTGCAAAAGAATAAATAAACGTGATGCAATGTAGTATCCTGGATTGGATCCTAGAACAGAAAAAGGACATTAGTGGAAAAGCTGATGAAATACAAGGTAAGTCTGGAATGTAGTTAACAGTAATGAACAAATGCTGGTTGGCTTCTTAGTTTTGTCAAACACACCATGATAATGTAAGATGTTAAAATTAGGGGAAATGGTAAGAGGTAGATGGTAATATTGAAACTACCTTTGCATAAATTATAACAGTGAGAAAAATTTGACATGGAAAAATTATGATGGTGAAAGAAATCTAACCTAACTGACTCCATCTTGCTTTTAACCTCCAAGCTGTCCTTGTTCATTCCTGGGCGGAATGAACTATAGGAGGAACTATAGGAGGAATTTAATTTAACTTTAAAACAAAGATGATAACACTCTCCTTGCTCAGGAAACAAAACTGCCTTTGTAAAACTAACAAATTAGCCAGGAGGTTAGAACTGTGGTTCAGAAGCCATGTAGCCAGAGGTCACAAGATTTGTAACCTCTTCAGTTGCTCCTATGAATAACATCACTATTATAAAACCTAAGATTCATGTTTGGGGTATTTTTCAGACTCTCTATTTTGATGGACCAGCTGGTGCCACCCAGACAGGTAAAGCTGGCTCAGCTGGTCTTGCAATCCTACCCAGGAAGTGAAGACAGTAAGAAGACAACTTAGATTCCCTATGAGTTCATCCCCAACTCAACCAGTCAGCAGTCCCCTAGCCCCCTGCTGCCAAATTATCCTTTAAAAACCCTAATCTCTGAATTTTTCAGGGGGAGTGACTTGAGTAATAAACTCCTGTCTTCTGCTCAGCTGGCTCTACGTTTATTACACTACTTCGCTATTGCAATACTGCTGTCTCAGTAAATCAGCTCTCTCTGTGCAGTGGGCAAGAAGAACCCATTGGGTAATTATCATATTATCTTAGCAGCTTTCCTGTACATCTAAAATTATCCAAAATTAAAAAGTTTTTTTTTTAAGTCTGCTCAAGCCTAGATCCTTATAAACTCACTTATTACCTTGCTAACTGTAGGACATGGGAAAAATCAAACACTTTTCCTACTCTCAACACTCAACACATTATTTCTGACATAAGATGTTGTGGGGGTTTTCCCCACACATCAAGCAATTCTCCAGCAGACACCAACTGAATGCCCTATAATTCAATCATTTCTGACTCTATCTACTTGGAGATATGTAGAATGACCAACTCACTATAAATTAGGGGTTCTCATGACTCCCTCTTCAGGTCCAATTTATTTGCTAGAGTAGCTTACAGAACTCAGGCAAAACTTTACTTACTGTTGCCAATTTATTTCAAATGATATTTTAAAGGATACAAATGAACAGCCAGATGAAGAGACACTTAGGGTGATATTTGGAATGGTCCCAAGCACAGGAGCTTCTGTCCCTGTGGAGTTAAAGGTGTGCTACCCTCCTCAGCACAAGAAGCTCTTTGAACCCAGTCCTTTCTGGGTTTTTACAAAGGCTTCATTATATAGGCATGATTGATTAAATCACTAGCCACTGGTTACCAACTCAACCTTCAGCTCCTCTCCCTTTCCTGGATGTAGGGGTTGAAGGAAGTATGACTGAAAGTTTCAATCTTTTAATCACATGGTCCATTCTCCTGGCAACCAGCACCCCCATCCTGAGGCTAACTAGGAGCCACCAGCCATCATTCGTCTCATTATCATACAAAAAGACACATCATTTCGGAGGTTCTAAGAGTTTTAGAAGCTGTATGTCAGGAAATGGTGAGGAAGACCAAATGTATTATTTCTTATTATAAATCACAGTGTCACACTGACCATCTCCTACAATTCTACTCTTTCCTCAATCCACTCCAGTCACACTGGCCTCCTTGTTATTCCTCAAACATACCAATTATGCACTTACTTCAGGCCCTTTGCACTTTGCATCATTTTCTCTGCCTGGAACAAATGTTCTTCAGACAGTCGTATGGTTCATATCCTCACTTCCTTCAAGTCTCTGCTTAAATGTAACATTAGAGAGGATTTTCTTACTCACTGCCAGAGATAGTGAATTCTTCTTCAAAGGGTTTAATTGTGTAATGTCCTTGTCCTTGGTTTGGAGGCCTCACTTCTTTGTACTATCTTGTTTCTAGCCTGCAAGCAGCCCTCCCGCTCTTGTTGTGCCCTGACTTGCCCAGACATATCCGAACATACCTTGTGCTATAGCAGCGGGACCACTCCTACCCCCTCCCTCCCTTGCAAATCGTGTGTTTACCCTAATTGGAAAAGTTTAAGTCTTAGCCAACCAGGGTCAGCTTAGATTGTACAGTTCAACCCTAGCCAATAGGGGAAGGACACAGGGATAGGGACTGCGTTAGGGATAAAAAATCCTTCTCTCCTTTGTTTGGTGTGCTCTCGCAGAGGCCAGAAGTGCAAGCGGCACCCTTCTGCACAAGTAAATTTGCCTTGCTGAGAAATGGTTTGAGTGCTTGTTTTCCTTGCGACTCTGAGCTCTTGTTTCTAACACTCACTCTCTTAAAAAAAGTACCTTCTTAACATCTTTCTTATTATTTATTTGTGAATGAATGTCTATCTCACTCTTGCCCTCCACAAGGACTCAATCAATAATGTTCACTTATTTATCTTCAGCACCCAGAACAGCACCTAGTATACAGTAGGCATTCAATAAGTATTTGTTGAATGAATGAATGACTTTATATTAAAAACGTACAAAAGAAAAACGCTTCAGGGTTATCTGCATTTTAACAAGAACAATAAACCAAAGAAATAAACCTCTAGTGTTACAATTTTAGATATTATTCTTATTAACCAGTAGAGATACTTTTAAATGCACCTGAAAAGCCTTCAACTGACCCTTTGAAATCATGATGAAATCATGAAATAACCAGATGCTTATTTCATCTGGTCCTAAGGCCTACTCCAATCTTTAGTATGGCCCTGACTATTCTGTAGTACACAAATGGTGGTTAAATGTTATCCCCTATTCCTGTGTTACAATTAAAATAAAGAGAAAAAAATTTGAAGAGAATTATTTTAACAATAGAGGGAAGACTTCCAGCTTTGGTTCCACTTGTAAGAAGCTTGGAAGTGGCCACTCCAACCTAACAACAAGTAAAAAGCTAAGCAAACTGCAAAACCAACAATACTTCTTAGATTCTTAAGAGAAGTGAGGTCACAGTTGCTCCTAAAATTGGACAGGTGTATACAGAGAATTATAAAACATACCCATCAGACACCTCCATAGGAACCAATTCCAGGGTAAGAAAACCTGAACTGTAATTGACAAACTGCTGGAGACTAGGTGTAGAAGTCTGATAGTCAAAAACTCCAGGAAGACCCAGTCAGAGGGGCTCCCCACACTTTTGTGAGTTTCACCTCCAGGAGCTCTACCAGGTCATCACAGTGAGTATCAGAAAAAAATCCCCTCATGAATCTGGCAAGAGGAGGGGAAAAGGAACCATGTTGAAATGCGGCAGAGCACCCTCTTCTTCTTAATAAGGTCTTCTTTCAGAAGAAACTAGCTAACCAGAGTCTAATGTGATGGGGTTTATCAGAGCCTAACTGACCTAGGGGAAGGGCAATACCCATCTCCAGCTCACTCTAGCCTTCTTGTCCCACCTAAGGTGGAGGAAAAAACAAAACCAACCCTGAGAACAATATGTGAAGCTCACAGTCCATAAGTACAGCCTCACTAAAAGAATGAAGTCTAATTACAGGACTAGTTTCCCCTAACTACATACCTTATCACCACATTACTAAAGGGCTATTTATAGCAGTTCCTTTTACCCTATACATCATGTCTGGCTATTAAGAAAAAATTACAAGACATACTAAAAGCAAAAAAAATTTTGAAAAGACAGAACAAGTATCAGAACTAGATATGGTGGAGAGGTTGGGATTATCATACCAGGAATTTAAAACAACTATGATTAATATGCTAAGGGCTCTAATGGATAACGTAGACAACATGCAAAAAGAGATGGGCGGTATAAGCAGAGAGGTGGAAATCTAAAGAAAGAGCCAAAATGAATGCTAGAGATAAAAAACACTGTAAAAGAAATGAAGAAAGCTTTTGATGGGCTTATTAGTAGCCTGGACTTGGCTTAGGAAAGAATTTCTAAGCTTGAGGATATACAATAGAAACCTCCAAAACTGAAAAGCAAATAAGGACTGAAAAAAACAGAACAGAATACTCAAGAACTGTGGGGCAACGAGGCGGGTGGATCACCTGAGGTCAGGAGTTCAAGACCAGCCTGGCCAACATGGCAAAACCCCTTCTCTACCAAAAATACAAAAATTATCTGGGTGTGGTGGCGGGCACCTATAATCCCAGCTAGTTGGGAGGCTGAGGCAGGAGAATCACTTGAATCCAGGAGGTGGAGTTTGCAGTGAGCCAAGATAGCACCACTGCACTCCAGTCTCAAAAAAAAAAAAAAAAAAAAGAAAAAGAAAAAAGAAAGAAAGAAAGAAAGAAAGAAAAATGACTAAGAATTTCCCCAAGGTAATGTCTTGGCACCAAATCACAGACCCAGAAATCTCAGAGAACACCAAGAAGAATAAATGTCAAAAAACAAAAACAAAAACCCTGTACCTAGGAATATCATTTTAAACTATAGAAAATCAAGGATAAAGAATGAAATCTTGAAAGAAGCCAGAAAAATAAAACACCTTACTTACAGAGGAGCAAAGAGAAGAATTGTATCTATCTTTTCCTCAGAAACCATGCAAGCAAGAAGAGAACAGAGTGAAAAAAGGGTTGAGAGAAAAAAACCACCCACCTAGAATTCTGTACCCTGCAATATTCCTTCAAAAGCAAAGGAGAGGTCAGCCATGGTGGCTCACACCTGTCATCCCAGTGCTATGGGGGGATCAGTTGAGGCCAGGAGTTCAAGACCAGACAGGGCAACATAGCAAGAGCCTGTCTCTACAAAAAGGAAACAAAGATATCCAGGTGTGACGGTGTGTACCTGTAGTCCTAGCTACTAAGGAGGCTGAGGCAGGAGGATTGCTTGAGCCCAGGAGTTCAGGTTATGGTGAACTATGATCATGCCATTGCATTCCAGCCTGAGTGATGGAGTGAGAACCTGTCTCAGTGTGGGGTTGGCGGGGTGGTGAGCGGCAGTGGGGAGTGAAGGAGAAATAAAGACTTTCTCAGACAAACAAAAAAACTGAGGAAATTTGTTCCTAGTAGACCTGCCTTGCAAGAAATATTAAAAGAAATTCTTTGGAAAGAAAGAATTGATATAGGTCAGAAACTTAGATGCACATAAAAAAAAAGGGCACAAAAGAAGAAATAAGTGATGATAAAAATTAAACCTTGTATTTTTCTTATTCTTAATTGACCTAACAGATTGTTCATAATAATGGCAACAATACATTTGATTATGCATATGTATGTATCTTATGTGTGTATATATATCCATATGCTTAAGAATATGTTTATATATAGGTAAAATAAATAACAGCAATGATACAAGGGATGGGAGGTAGGAGTTAGGATTATTTTATTATTATAATACACTCACACTATCAGTGAAATGGTGTAGTGTTATTTGAAAGTGGGCTTTAATTACTTATAACTGTATATGGCAAACTCCAGAGCAACCACTAAAAGAAGTATAAAAAGTGGCTCGGCACGGTGGCTCATGCCTGTAATCACAGCACCTTGAAAGGCCAAGGTGGGCGGATCACCTGAGGTCAGGAGTTCAAGACCAGCCTGGCCAACATGGCGAAACCCCATCTCTACTAAAAATACAAAAATTAGCTGGGCATGGTGGTGGGCGTCTATAATCCCAGCTATTCAGAAGGCTGAGGCAGGAGAATTGCTTGAACCCAGGACACAGAGTTTGCAGTGAGCCGAGATCATGCGATTGCACTCCTGCTTGGGCAACAAGAGCAAAACCCCGCCTTAAAAAAAAAAAGTATAAAAAGAAGCATAATTTATATGCTAAAAAAGAGGAAACTGAAGCATAAAATATTAAATTAAAACAACAGGCCGGGTGGCTCATGCCTGTAATCCCAGCACTTTGGGAGGCCAAGGTGGGCAGATCACAAGGTGAGGAGTTTGAGATCAATCTGGCCAACATGATGAAACCCTATCTCTACTAAAATACCAAATTAGCCAGGCGTGGTGGGTGGGTGCCTATAATCCCAGCTACTCGGGAGGCTGAGGCAGGAGAATTGCTTGAATCTGGGAAGTAGAGGTTGCAGTGAGCTGAGATCGTGCCACTGCACTCCAGCCTGGATGACAGAGTGAGACTCTGTCTCAAAAAAAATTAAAAAAAAAAAGCAGAAAAAGAGTAGAAGACAAAAATAGAAACAAAGAACAAGGCAGCAAATAGAAAACAGTAACAAATATGGTAAATAATCCAAGTATATCAATAATCACTTTGAACATTAATAGTCTAAATGCACAAATTAAATGATTGTCAGAATGGATTAAAAAAACAAGACCCAACTATATGTTGTCTACAAGAAATCCACTTTAAATATAAAGACACATATAGATGAAAGAAAATAGAGAAAAATACCATGATAACACTAATCAAAAGAAAGCAGAAGTAGATACTTAATTTCAGACAGAGTAGATTTCAAAGCAAGGAATGTTATCAGGGCTGAAGAAGGGCATTACATAATGATAAAGGAGTCAATTCCCCAAGAAAATATGATAATCCTTTAAGTGTGTGTTTCTAGTAAGAGTGCATCAAAATACGTGAGGCAAAAACTGGTAGAACAACAAGGACAAAGAGATGAATCCACTACTATAGTTGGAGACTTCAACATCCCTCTCTCAGAAATGGACAAAATGCAGCAGGCAGAAAATTAGTAAGGACATAGTTGAACTCAACAACACCATCCATCAACTGAATATAATTTACATCTACAGACTACTTCATCCAACAGCAGAATACACATTCTTCTCAAACTCATAGGGAACATTCATCCAGATAGACCACATTCTGGGCCATAAAACATGCATTAAGAAATTTAAATGAATAAAAATTATACAATGTCTTATTCAGATCACAGCAGAATTAAACTAGAAATGAGTATCATAAAGATAATTGGAAAATCCCCAAATATGTGGAGATAAAACAATTCACTTCTTTCTTTTTTTTTTTTAGATGGAGTCTCATCGTGTCTCCCAGTCTGGAGTACGGTGGCGCGATCCTGGCTCACTGCAGCCTTCGCCTCCTGGGTTCAAGCGATTCTCCTGCCTCAGCCTCCCAAGTAGCTGAGACTTCAGGCATGTGCCACCACGCTCGACTAAATTTTTTTTTGTGTGTGTATTTTTAGTAGACACGGGGTTTCACTGTGTTAGCCAGGATGGTCTCGATCTCCTGACCTCGTGATCCACTTGCCTCAGTCTCTCAAAGTGCCGGGATTACAGGCGTAAGCCCCTGGGCCTGGCCAACAATTCACTTCTAAATAACACATGAATCAAAGAAAAATTTTCAAGAGAAATTTAAAATATTTTGAACTAAATGAAAATGAAAGCACAGCTTATTAAAATCTGTGGAATACAGTGAAAGCAGTGCTTAAAGGGAAATTGGTAACATTAAGTGCATATATTAGAAAAAAAATTTAAAATAAATAATTTAAGTTTCCACATTAGGAAACTGGAAAAAGAAGAGCAAATTAAATCCAAAGAAAGCAGAAGGAAATAAATAATAAAAATTAATATACCTACTATGTACCCATAAAAATTAAAAATTAAAAAAGGGAAATGGGTTGGGCACAGTGGCTCATACCTGTAATCCCAGCACTTTGAGAGGCTGAGGTGGACAGATCACTTGAGCCCAGGAGTTTAAGACCAGAGTGGCCAACATGGCAAAACCCTGTCTATACAAAAAATACAAAAATTAGCTGGACAGGTGGCACACGCCTGTAGTCCCAGGTACTCGGGAGGTTGAGGTGGGAGGATCACTTGAGCCTGGGAGATTGAAGCTGCAGTGAGCCCTGGCAGTGCCACTGCACTCCAGCCTGGGTGAAGGAAATAATAAAAATTAGAGCAGAAATCAATGAAATTGAAAATAGGAAATCAATAGAGAAAATCAATGGAACTAAAAGCTGGTTCTTTGAAAGAGTCAATAAAATCGATAAGCCTCTAGCCAGGCTAACTAAGAAAAAAGGAGAGGATGCAAGTTACTAATGTCAGGAATGAAAGATGGGACATCACTATAGATCCCATGGACATTGAAAGGATAATAAAAGTAATACTATGAAGAACTCTATGCATTACATTAATTGATTTTTAATTTGATACAAATTAATTGATACAAATTTGATAACTTAGATGAAATGAATCAATTCCTTGCAAGACTCAATCTGCCAAGAATTAAACTATCTGAATAGGTCTAAATTGATTACAGAAATTGAATCAATAATTAATAACCTTTCAAAATACAAAGCACCAAAACCAGATAGGTTCACTGGAGAATTCTACCAAATATTTAAGGCATAAATTATACTATTTCTCTACAGTCTCTTTCAGAAGATAGAAGTCATTCTCTGAGACTACCATTACTCATTCTATTAATAAAAATTAATACACCTATTAATTAATTAGTGCACCTATTAACCCACAAAAATTAAAAATTAAAAAAGGGAAATAGGCTGGGTGCAGTGGCTAACTTAACTCATTCTATGAGACTACCATTACTTTAATGCCCAACAAAGATGTTACAAGAAAAAAAAACTACAGACCAATATCTTCAGGAACAAAGGGGCAATAATCTTCATCTAAATATTAGCAAACCAAATCCAACAATGTATAAAAAGATTTATACATTACAAAAAAGTGGGATTTATCTCAGATATGCAAAATTGATGCATCTGATGATCATTAAAAATCAATTAATGTAATCTATCATATCAAAAGGCTAAAAAAGAAAAATTACATGATCATATCAAAAGATGCAGAAAAAGCACTTGATAAAATTCAACACGCATTAATGATAAAAACTCTCAGTTAACCAGAAATAGAGGGCAACTTCTTTAACTTAATAAAGAATATCTATAAAAGACTTACAGCTAGCTTCACACTTAATGGTAAACAACTAGAAGCTTTCCTACTAAGATCAGGAACAAGGCAAGGATGTTCCCTCTCACTACTCTTTTTCAACATTGTACTTGAAGTCCTAGTTAATGCAATAAGACAAGAAAAAGAATTAAAAGGTATACTGATTAGGAAGGAAGAAATAAAACTGTAACATGTAGAAAACTAACATAACTATGTAGAAAATCTGAAAGAGTCAAAAAACCCCTAGAACCAACAAGGAATTATACAAAACTATAGGAGAAATTGTTTGTTGTTTTTTGTTGTTTGTTTGTTTGTTTTTTGAGATGGAGTTTCACTCTTGTTGCCCAGGCTGGAGTGCAATGGCACGACCTCGGCTCACCAAAACCTCCGCCTTCTGGGTTCAAGCGATTCTCCTGCCTCAGCCTCCCCAAGTAGCTGGGATTACAGGCATACACCACCACATCCGGCTGATTTTTTTTTTTTTTTTTGTATTTTTAGTAGAGATGGGGTTTCTCCATGTTGGTCACCAGCAATGAATAAGTGGGGAATGTGAAATTAAAACTACAACACCATTTACATTAGCACCCCCCAAAATGAAACATGTAGGTATAAATCTAACAAAATATGTATGAGATCTAATATAAGGAAAACTACAAAACTCTGTTGAAAGAAATCAAAGAACTAAATTAATGGAGAAATATTTCATATTCATGGATTGGGAGACTCAATATTGTCAAGATGCCAGTTATTCCCATTTGATCTATAAATTCAACACAACCCCAACCAAAATCCCAGCAAGTTATTTTGCAGATATCTTCTAGATAAGCAGATAATTTAAGACAAGGATAGTCATTCGCCTATGAGAAGAACTTTCAAATTCTTTGCAGAATCAAGTAGGTAGAAAGACAATCTTATAAATCAGATTCAAAGTGTAAAAATATCAGGCAGTATTATAAAAATTATTACCCTTGTTAGAAATCATTTCCCCAGCCTCTGATCACTTATACATTAAGAATGTACTACTATACCACTTATTCTGTGTAACTGAGCAAGATACTTAACCTCTTTCAACTCAAATTTCTTCATCTGGCAAATAAAGATGATAGTACATGCCAACCCTGCTAAGCAAAATATTATATAAGAAAGACTTCAACTTCTTTTCTTCAACTTCTATACTTTCATAGTACCTTTTTTATTTATTATGTCATAATTATAAATTTATTCACACATTTTTCACTATCTGCAAGAGGGTAGTGGACATGTATTCAACTTTCTTCTCTATCTCAGCTTTCAGAATAGTATAGATCTCAATAATAATTTCTGGCTCTTTTTGAAATTATTTCAAATTCAAGTAAAAGTAATAACACTATCAGATCTGGTTTCATTATAGATCTGCGTTACTTTGCTATTCTTTAGTGTCTATTGAAAGTCCTCCACAATTATATATTTATTTGGAAAATATTAGATTACTTTTCTAATAATTGGCAGGGGAAGAGGGGAGAACCCTAGGTAACAAAGCTTTACTCTGTTTTTTACAACAAGAAGTAAACATAATATCCAAGGTGCCCATTTTATTAGTGAGTTCTCAATTATTCACAAATACAGATTAATCTATAATTTTCTAGGCCCTCTTCCTTCTAAGAACTCAATAAAAACTGAACAACCCAGAAGCTGGGATTAGGCAGAAAAGTGGTACGTTTATGTCTGTGGGTGTGCATGTCAGTGTGGCAGGACAATATAAGATTTTAATTTTCATTTGTTCTCCACTTCTTTTTCCCTTTCCTCATTTAAACAGGTAACCAGGTCTTCAGGTTCCATTATTTACAGAAGATCTGAGTTACAGACTGGAAAGCAGAAGTTATTTGTAGATAATCTGCCTTCAAACTTTCATTTTCTGGAAGCTTGAGATAAAGGCAAAAGCTTTGAGAACTGTAAGGGAGACTGGGAAATAGCCTGCTAAACCCAGCTTGCCCAAATTGGAAAAATGTTCAGCAACACCAGGGATAGTTGTGACCTGAATCCTACTTCCTGGCTGTTCTCCAAGGAAATGGCAAGACCTCAAAGAAGAATGGCTGGATGGAGTACCTTGGGAGGCTGGACTGTAGTTACTGGGGGTTCACAATCAAGAGAGACTCTCATGTCCAAGCTTGACCAGAAAAGCAATAATGTCATCGGACTTGAAGCAGAACTTATTCAATAAGGGTATCAGTCCATGATGGTGATAACTGCAGACAAGTGGGCCCATCTCCTATTTGTTTTCTTTTTTCCTAAAAGATTCTTAGGTTTTTGCGCTACTCTTGGGTTGGAGAGGACCAAGGAAGGAAAGGAAGAAAGACATATTCTTTTCTATGTGTTCCCATAATGACTGATATGAATCTATATTTTACCAGGTTGGGCAATTCAAAGTCAGATTTAATTTAATTTATAGGAAATAAAATAATTTTATATATCTTGCCCATACAAATTTCTGATGTTATCCAACTAAACATGACAATATGGATCTATACATTTCTAATATACTTTAATAAATATTTTCCATTGTTCATTATTTATATTTTTGTGTTTCACAACCCCTATATCTGAATGATTAAAATGTCTGCATTTTGAAAGACTGTTTTTCTTTGGAAGCAAAACAATGATGGCAGTTGATTGTTACTGTCAGTAAGAAGTTCATCATCATAGAAAGTATAATACTGCAAGATAAATTTATAATTTGGATTTAGGAACTGCAAACAAAACATTAAAGGAGTCAGGAGAAAAAGCAATCTCATTAAGTGTTCCCTAGGAAGGCCTATCCACAGACAGAGACAAATGACTTCTGTGGGAAATGCTTCACATCCCACATGCTAGACTAAATAAATGATACTTAATGGGTGTATTTTATTTTTTAAAAAAATGGTGAGGGATCCCCAGCATCCTAAATCCACCCATACAATGCAGCATAGCTGGTTTAGCTGAAGAACTTACAGAAGGAAAAAAAAAACACAAACATTTATCTTCCTTCATTTTTTCCCCCACGAAGATCTATAACAAACTTTAAATTAATTTGACTGCAACCCTAACTTAGCAGTAAGATTGAAAAAAATTCTTACACTCTTGTAGCAGTCTGAAATTTCCAACCAGCATTAAACTATGCACAGAAATAACAGCTTACTTCTATAACTCTGTATACAGGTCTATTTTTTTTAATTTTTTCTCCTTTACCTCATTTTCCATAATTTAGAACATTGTTTTAATCTTTATTACTAATGTATGATACAATCAGTAGTCTGAAATATTAAGCTACATTCCAGAACAGGAAGTTTTAGCTATTATAAAATAATTATATTTTAGATTCATTTTTAATATTTTATTTATTTATTTATTTTTGAGAGGAGTTTCACTCTTGTTGCCCAGGCTGGAGTGCAATGGCACAATCTTGGCTCACTGCAACCTCCGCATCATGGGTTCAAGCAATTCTCATGCCTCAGCCTCCCGAGTAGCTGGGATTACAGGCATGTACCACTACGCCTGGCTAATTTTGTATTTTTAGTAGAGACACGGTATCTCTATGTTGGTCAGGCTGGTCTTGAACTCCCTACCTCAGGTGATCCACCCACCTCAGCCTCCCAAAGTGCTGGGATTATAGGTGTGAGCCACCGCGTCTGGCCTTATTTTATTATTATTTTTTGAGACAGGGTCTTGCTCTGTTGTCCAGGCTGGAGTGCAGCGGGGCAATCTTGGCTCACTGCAACCTCGGCCTCCCAGGTTAAAGTGATCCAGTCTCAGCCCCCCGAGTAGTTGGGACTACAGGCGCAGACCACCATGCCCGGCTAATTTTTGTATTTTTATTAGACATACATGAGGTTTCACTATATTGGCCAGGCTGGTCTCGAACTCCTGACCTCAGGTGATCTGCCTGCCTCGGCCTCCAAAAGTGCTGGGATTACAGGCGTGAGCCACCGCACACAGCCCATTTTTTATTTTTTAATAGAAAACCCTCAGTAGTTATGTGATCAAAAAATGCAATATAATTTCTTCAAAAGGGGAAGAACATTGATAGTTTAGTTTCCTGACTATTGATCAAAGTCAAGGTGGTGGCTCACGTTGATCATATTCACATTTTTTATGATGATAATATTTCTAGTGAATATTTTCCTCCTTGATTTAACCACATCAAACTTTGAAAAAGAACCAAGAATTGAAGAGATTAGATAAGCATACCGCAGGAAAATACATGCATTCATTCCCAAAGTGTAAAGCATCATGCTGTGGCATGATGTGGTGGTAAAAGCCTGGATTTTGGAAATTGCTTGGATCTGCTACTTACTAGCTATGTGATTTGGGTGGGTCACTTAATCTCTCTGTGTCTTAGTTTCCCAATCTGTAAAATAGGGAAAATAATATTTATCTCAAAGGATAGTTGTAAGGTACATATTTATATTTATATTGTGTGCTTAGAATAATGTCTGGCACATTGTATACCCTATAGAATAAAGTTCAAGATGAGCATAACCTAGATCCATCAATCCACTCCCAAGCATAACTAGAGAAAATTTACACATATGCATAAGAAAACATTAACAAGAGTACTCATTGCAACGTTGTTTGTAATAGCTCCAAACTGGAACAAAATGACATCAGTAAGGGAACAGGTTAAAGAAACTATAGTACAGGCATACCTCAAAGCTAGTGTGGGTTCAGCTCCAGGTTACCACAATAAAGCAAATATTGCTTTATTGCAAAATAAAAATATTGCAATAAAGTGAGCTGTACAAAATTTTTTGTTTCCCAGGGCATATAAAAGCTATGTTTACATTATACTGTAGTCTATTAAGTGTACAATAGCATGATGTCTAAAAAATGTACATAACTTAATTTAAAAATACTTTATGGCTAAAAAATGCTCACAATCATCTGAGCCTTCAGAGCGTGATAAGCTTTTTGCTGGTGGAAGGTCTTGCTTCCACGTTGATGGCTGCTGACTGATCAAGGTGGTGGTTGCTGAAGGTTGGAGTGACTGCGGTAATTTCTTAAAATAAGACAACAATGAAGTTTGCCACATCTATTGACTCTTCCTTTCACAAAAGATTTCTCTGTAGCATACAGCGCTGGTTGACAACATTTTGCCCACAGTAGAACTTCTTTCAAAATTGGAGTTAATCCTCTCAAATCCTGCCACTGCTTTATCAACTAACTTTATGTGATATTCTAAATCCTTTGTTATTACTTCAACAATGTTCACATCATCTACACCATGAGTAGATTCCATGTTAAGAAACCACTTTCTTTGCTCATCCATAAGAAGCAACTCCTCTTCACTTTTTTTTTTTTTTTGAGACTGTATCTCACTATGTTGCCCAGGTTGGTCTTGAACTCCTGGCCTCAAGTGATCCTCCTACCTCAGCCTCCTGTGTAGGTGGGACTACAGGTGCCCACCACTGCATTCTGTTTAGGGTAGAACTATTAATTCTCTCTCTTTTAGTTATCTTGCTATTTCCACCAAATCTGCAGTTACTTCCTCCAATAATGTCTTGAACCCCTCAAAGTCATCCATGAGAGTTGGAATCAACTTCTTCCAAACTTCTGTTAATGTTGATATTTTGACCTCCTCTCATGAATCACGAATTTTCTTTTTTTTCCTCGAGGAGCATGAGCTGTAGTTTTATTGGTTCATTTCTTGCATTTGAAGTACTCTTCGATGACATCTTTGGCTTGAGATTCTTTGCCATAGTCCTTACCTACCACACAACTGCAACCAACCACTTTACAGGGTTTTCCCCCCTCTGTCAATTTTACAGAAGCCTACCCATTCGCCTACTTTCTGGTCAACCTTAATTAGGGTGATACGGTGTTAAGCACTAAGGGCCTCCACCAACGTGACATACACAGGCTCATCACACATGGATGCAAGCACACAAAGCCTTATCTAAGGTTTTGGCAGCTTTGCAAATTCCATGTAATAGGTCATCATGCTTGAGGGAGGTCTTCAGCGCCTCTTAGGAAACTGTTTGTTTTTTGTTTTTTTGTTTTTTTTGGAGACAGGCTCTGTCACCAGGCTGGGGTGTAATGGCACAATCATAGTTCACTGCAGCTTCAAACTCCTGGGCTCAAGTAATCCTCCCACCTCAGCCTCCTGAGTAGCTGGAACACCATGACACCTCGCTAATTTTTTTTTCATTCTTTTTTGTTTTTCTTTTTTTTATATATTATACTTTAAGTTCTGGGGTACATGTGCACAACGTGCAGGTTTGTTATATATGTATACATGTGCTGTGTTGGTGTGCTGCATCCATCAACTCATCATTTACATTAGGTATTTCTCCTAATGCTATCCCTCCCCCATCCCCCCACCCCACGACAGGCCCCAGTGTGTGATGTTCCTCGCCCTGTGTCCAAGTGTTCTCATTGCTCAATTCCCACCTATGAGTGAGAACATGCAGTGTTTGGTTTTCTGTCCTTGTGATAGTTTGCTCAGAATGATGGTTTCCGGCTTCATCCATGTCGCTACAAAGGACATGAACGCATCCTTTTTATGGCTGCACAGTATTCCATGGTGTATATGTGCCATGTTTTCTTAATCCAGTCTATCATTGATGTACATTTGGGTTGGTTCCAAGTCTTTGCTATTGTGAATAGTGCCGCAATAAACATATGTGTGCATGTGTCTTTATAGTAGTATGATTTATAATCCTTTGGGTATATGCCCAGTAATGGGATTGCTGGGTCAAATGGTATTTCTAGTTCTAGATCCTTGAGGAATCGTCACACTGTCTTCCACAATGATTGAACTAGTTTACACTCCCACCAACAGTGTAAAAGCATTCCTATTTCTCCACATCCTCTCCAGCACCTGTTGTTTCCTGACTTTTTAATGATCGCCATTCTAATTGGTGTGAGATGGTATCTCATTGTGGTTTTGATTTGCATTTCTCTGATGGCCAGTGATGATGAGCATTTTTTCATGTGTCTGTTGGCTGCATAAATGTCTTCTTTTGAAAACTGTCTGTTCACATACTTTGCCTACTTTTTGACGGGGTTGTTTGATTTTTTCTTGTAAATTTGTTTAAGTTCTTTGTAGATTCTTTGTAGATAGTTTTTTTTTTTTTTTTGAGACGCAGTCTCCCTCTGTCACCCCCAGGCTGGAGTGCAGTGGCACAATCTCAGCTCACTGCAACCTCTGCCTCCCAGGTTCAAGTGATTCTCCTGCCTCAGCCTCCTGAGTAGCTGGGATTTCAGGTGCATACCACCACACCTGGTTAATCTTTTTATTTTTTTAGTAGAGACGGAGTTTCACCATGCTGGTCTCAAACTCCTGACCTCATGATCCACCTGCCTCGGCCTCCTAAAGTGCTGGAATTACAGGCATGAGCCACCGTGCCCAGCCGACACCTCGCTAATTTTTTAATTTTCTGTAGAGACAAGGTCTTGCTATGTTGCCCGGGCTGGTCTTGAACTCCTGGGCTCAAATGATCTTCCTGCCTCAACCTCCCAAAATGCTGGGATTACAGGTATGAGCCACTGTCCTCAACCTTATAAAGTATTCTTAACATCCATTACACCTTCAGCAGCAATGGCTTCCTCAGCCACGGTGGTGGGTTACAGATGAAGCCTAATCTTGCACATAGCTGAGCCACTGATTCAGCAGTGGCAAAGCACAAATGTACTTAATGACATCTAGAATGGTGAATCCTTTCCAGAAAGTTTTCAACGTATTTGCCTATATCCATTAGAGGAATCACTAAGGCAAATATACCTTATAAAATGTTTCTCTTAAAACATGACTTAAATGTCAAAATTACTCTTTGATCCATGGTCTGCAGAATGGGGATGTTGTGTTAATAAACATGAAAACATTAATTTCCTTGTACATCTCCATCAGAGCTCTTGGGTGACCAGGTGCATTGCATTACCAATTGGCAGTAGCATTTTCTTTTTTCTTTTTTTTTTTTTAGATGGAGTCTCGCTCTGTCGCCCAGGCTGGAGTGCAGTGGCGCAATCTCGGCTCATTGCAAGCTCTGCCTCCCAGGTTCACGCCATTCTCCTGCCTCAGCCTCCCAAGTAGCTGGGACTACAGGCGCCCACCACCATGCCCGGCTAATTTTTTGTATTTTTAGTAAATACGGGGTTTCACCATGTTAGCCAGGATGGTCTCGATCTCCTGACCTCGTGATCCACCAGCCTCAGCCTCCCAAAGTGTTGGGATTACAGGCGTGAGCCACCGCGCCCGGCCGGCAGTAGCATTTTCAAAGGAATCTTTTTTTCTGAGCAGTAGGTCTCAACAGTGGGCTTAAAATATTCAGTAAAACATGCTATAAACAGATGTGCTGTCATCCAGGCCTTTCAGTTCCATTTACAGAGCACAAGCAGAGTAGATTTAGCATAATTCTTAAGGGCCCTAGGAATTTCAGAGTGTTAAATGAGGATGGACTTCAATTTAAAGTTACCAGCTGCATTAGCCCCTGACAAGAGAGTCAGCCTGTCCTTTGAAGCTTTGAAGCCAAGCATTGACTTATCCTCTGTAGTTATGAAAGTCCCAGATAGCATCTTCTTTCAATAGAAGGCTGTTTTGTCTACATTGAAAGTCTGTTGTCTAGTGTAGCCACCTTCATAAATGATCTTAGCTAGATCTTTTGGATAATGCTGCAGGGTCTACCTCAGCACTTGCTGCTTCACTGTGCACTTTTAAGTTACGGAGCTGGCTTCTTTCCTTAAACCTCATGTACCAACCTCTGCTAGCTTCAGACTTCTGCAACTTCTTTTTATTTTATTTATTTATTTGAGATGGAGTCTAGCTCTGTTGCCCAGGCTGGAGTGCAGTGGTGCATTCTTGGCTCACTGCAACCTCCACCTCCCAAGTCCAAGCAATTCTCCTGCCTCAGCCTCCCGAGTAGCTGGGACTACAGGCATGCACCACCATGCCCGGCTAATTTTTGTATTTTCAGTAGAGACGGGGTTTTACCATATTGGTCAGGCAGGTCTTGAACTCCTGACCTCAGGTGATCCACCCACCTCAGCCTCCCAAAGTGTTGGGATTACAAGCATGAGCCACCATGCCCAGCCAGACTTCTCAAGCTTCTGACCTCTCTCATACTTTGTACAATTGAAGAGAGTTAGGGCCTTGCTCTGGATTAGGCTTTGGCTTAAGGGAATTTTGCTTCTGGTTCAATCTTCTCTTCAGACCACTAAAACTTTCTCTATATCATCAATAAGGCTGTTTCGCTTTTTCTTTTTCTTTTTCTTTTTTTTTTGAGACAGAGTCTTGCTCTGTCACCCAGGCTGGAGTGCAGTGGTGTGATCTCGGCTCACTGCAAGCTCCGCCTCCCAGGTTCATGCCATTCTTCTGCCTCAGCCTCCCAAGTAGCTGGGACTACAGGTACCTGCCACCACACCCAGCTAATTTTTTTTTTTTTTTTGTATGTTTAGCAGAGACGGGGTTTAACCGTGTTAGCTAGGATGGTCTCGATCTCCTGACCTCGTGATATGCCCACCTCAGCCTCCCAAAGTGCTGGGATTACAGGCGTGAGCCACTGCGCCCGGCCTCCTTTTCTTTTTTGAGACACGGTCTCGCTCTGTCACCCAGGCTGAAGTGCAGTCGTGTCGCTATGGTTCGCTTTAGTCTTGATCTCCCAGCTCAAGCAGTACCCCCACCTAAGCCTCCCGAGTAGCTGAGAGTACAGGTATGTGTTACCATGCTCATCTATTTTTTTATTTTTATTTTTTGTAGAGATGGGGGTCTCACTGTTGCCAGCACTGGTCACAAACTCCTGGGCTCAAGTGATCTTCCCACTTCAGCCTCCCAAAGTTTTGGAATTACAGGCATGAGCCATCACACAGGGCCTGTTTCACTTTCTTATCATTCATGAGCTCACTGGAGTAATTTTTTTCAAGAACTTTTCCTTTGCATTCACAACTCAGGTAACTTTAGTGCAAGAGCCCTAGCATTTGGCCTGTTTTGGATTTTGACATGTTTTCCTCACTAAACTTAATCATTTCTAGCTTTTGAATTAAAGTGAGAGACGTGACTTTTCCTTTCACTTGAACGTTTAGCCCATTGTAGGGTTATTAACTGGCCTAATTTCAATAGTGTTGTGTCTCAGGGAACAGAGAAACCCAAGGAAAGGGGAGAGAGGGATGGGGAAACAGCCAGTTGGTGAAACAGTCAGAACACACAATATTTATTAAGTTCGCTGTCTTATATGGGTGCAGTTTGTGGTGCCACCCCCCAAAATTACAATAATAACATCAAAGATCACCGACTACAGATGGCCATAACAGATATAATAATAATAAGAAGTTTGGGATATTGCAAGAATTACCAAAATGTGACAGAGACATGAAGTGATCACACGCTGTTGAAAAAGTGGTGCCAACGGACTTGTTGAACATAGAGTTGCCACAGACCTTGAATCTGTGAAAAAATGTAGCATCTGTGAAGAGCAATAAAGCAAAGCACAATAAAATGAGGAATGTCTGTATTATCAAACAATGTTTTACTCCAGAACAGTTGAAATGAATGATCTAGAGCTAAATACATCAACTCGAATAAATTTCAAATAAATTTCAAATACAAAAAATATAAGTTGTAAAAAGAATAAGGAGTATATTATTAAAAAAACATTAAACAATTATAATGGTTTAATATATTTAAATAATGTGTGTATGTGTGTTTGTGTGTATATGTATGTGTGTGTGTATATGGAAAATATACATGGGAAAGATCAATGAAGCTCCTGAAGGGAGCCCTATGGGTCCCTAAGATCCTTCTTGAAAATAGTCAGAACTATTTTCATAATAATACTAAGAAGTTATTGTGGTGACATTTTCACTGATGGTGCAAAATCAATTATGGGTAAAACTGCTGGCACCTGAACACAAATCCAAATCCATGCAGTGTCACCAAACTATACTAGCAGTCATGGCATGTTTTACTATCATTCACTTGCAGAAAAAAAATGCTTTAAATCCAGCTTCACTTAAGAATGTTAAGAATATTCTTGATAAAATGGTAATAATCACTAATTTTATTAAATTTGCCTCTTGAATCAATTTTTTAAAAAATAGACTTCATTAAAATTAGCCAGGTCTGGTGGTGCAAACCTGTTAATCCCAGCTACTTGGGAGGCTGCGGCACGAGAATTGCTTGAACCCAGGAGCTGGAGGTTGCAGGGAGCTGAGATTGCACCACTGTACTCCAGCCTGAGCGACAGAGCGAGACTCTGTCTCAAAATAAATAAATAAATACATAGACTTTATTTTTGTTTTTTGGTGGTTTTTCTGGTTTGTTTTTTTTGAGACAGGGTCTTGATCTGTTGCCCAAGTTGGAGTGCAGTGGTGTGATCATGGTTCACTGCAACTTGAACTCTTGAGCTCAAGGGATCCTACCACTTCAGCCTCCCAAATAGCTGGGACTACAGGTGTTTGCCACCACATCCAGCTAATTTTTAAAATTATTTTTGCAGAAACAGGATTTCACTATGTTGCCCAAGCTGGTCTTGAACTCCTGGCTTCAGGAGTTCTTCCACCTCAGCCTCCCAAAGTGCTGGGATTATAGGCATGAGCCATCATGCCTGGCCAAAAACAGACTTTAAGAGCAGTCTTAGGTTCACAGCAAAATTAAGCATAAAGTACAGAGAGTTCCCATATAATCCCTGTGCCCACACACCCACCAGCCTCCCTCCCTATCGACAGCCCATAACAGAGTGGTACATTTGTTATAATCAATGAACACACATTGACCCAAATTCCACATCATTATTACCCAAAGTCCATAGTTTACACTAAGGTTCACTCTTGATGAATGTTCTGTGGGTTTTGATAAATGTATAATAACATATATCCATCTTTATAGCATTCTACAGAATAGCTTCAATGCCCTAAAAATCCTCTGGGTTCTGCCAACTCATCCCTCTCCTCAATACTTGAAAACCACTGATCTGTTTGTTGTCTCCACAGTTTTGTCTTTTTCCAGTATGTTATATAGTTGCAATCATACAATAGGCATCCTTTTCAAATTGGCTTCTTTCACTAAGTAATATGCATTTAAGCTTACTCCATGTCTTTCATGGCTCGATGACTCATTTCTTTTCAGTGCTAAATAATATTCCATTGTCTGGATGCACCACCGTTTGTTTATCCATTCACCTACTAAAGGACATCTTGGTTGCTTCCAAGTTGTGATAATTATGAATAAAGTTGCTATAAGCACTTCTGTGCAGTATTTTTTGCGGGCATAAGTTTTTAAATCATTTGGGTAAAAACCAATGAATATGATTGCTGGATCATATGGTAAGAGTACATTTCATTTTGTGAGAAATTGCCAAACTTCTTCCAAAGTGGCTGTACCATTTTGTCTTCCAACCAGCAATGAATGAGAGTTTTTGTTGCTCCGCATCCTTGTCAGCATTTGGTGTTGTCAAGGTTTTGGATTTTTATCATTCTAATAGGTGTGTAGTGTTATCTCATTATTGTTTCAATTTGCTAACACATATCGATGTTGAGCATTTTTTCATATGTTTATTTGCCATATAAAAATTTGTTTTGGTAAAGTGTCTGTACTTCTTTGGTAAAGTGTGTGTTCAGGTCTTTTGCCCATGTTTAAATTGGGTTGTCCATTTTCTTATTGTTTTAAGAGTTCTTTGTATATTTTGGCTAACATGCTTTTATCAGATATGTCTTTTGCAAATATTTTCTCCCAGTCTGTAGCTTGCCTTCTCAGTTTCCTGACAGTGTCCTCTGCAGCGCAGAAATTTATTTATTATTTTATCATTTTATTATTATTATTTTTTTGAGACAGGGTTTCTCTTGCTCTGTCACCCAGGCTGGAGTGCAGTGGTGTGATCGTGGCTTACTGCAACCTCCAATTATTGGGCTCAGGCAATCCTGTTGCCTCAGCCTCCTGAGTAGCTGGGAATATAGGCATGCACCAACATTCCTAGCTACTTTAAATTTTTTGTAGAGATGGGGGTCTTGCTATGTTTGCCCAGCTGGTCTCAAACTCATGGCCTCAAGCAATCCTCCTGCTTCAGCCTCCCAAATTGCTAGGATTATAGGCATGAGCCACCATGCCGGCCTTGAAATATTTCAAAATTAAAATGTAACACAAGCATGTATCCTAATTTTTACCTAAGTATAAATTTTCTCCTCTGCAGTTTAGAATCTGTATAGTTTGGTACAGAGCCTAGTGCATTTCTGTGCTAAGTCTTTGTTTTATAGAAAGATGTAAAACATGGCCATGCACGGTGGCTCACACCTGTAATCCCAGCACTTTGGGAGGCCAAGGCAGGCAGATCACTTGAGTCCAGGAGTTTGAGACCAGCCTGGCCAACATGGCAAAATGCTGTCTCTACTAAAAATACAAAAATTAGCCATGCATGGTGGCGCATGCCTGTGATTCCAGCTATTTGGGTGGCTGAGACATGAAAATCATTTGAACCGGGGAGGTGCAGGTTGCAGTGAACTGAGATCACGCCACTGCCCTCCAGCCTGGGTGACAGAGCAAGACTCTGTCTCAAAAAAAAAAAAAAAAAAAAAGAAAAAGAAAAAAATGTAAAACATAATAGAAAAACTGATTATATGGTTCATTATATGTTCCTTTCCAAATAGAGCAGCTTCATCCAAAGGAAAAAGAACCAACAAAAATAGAGATCATGAGATATTTACTGGTATAAAATGTGTAACATTTCCATTTCCTATAGTCTGCAATTTTGAATTAAGATAGACTCATTAAAATGATATATATCCAGCCAGGCGCGTTGGCTCATGCCTGTAATCCCAACACTTTGGGCAGTTGAGATGGGTGGGTGACAAGGTCAGGAGTTCGAGACCAGCCTGGCCAATATGGTGAAACCCCGTCTCTACTAAAAAAATACAAAAATTAGCTGGGCATGGTGGCATGCACCTGTAACCCCAGCTACTCAGGAGGCTGAGGCAGGAGAACTGCTTGAACCCGGGAGGTGGAAGTTGCAGTGAGCCGAGACTGCATCACTGCACTCCAGCCTGGGCAACAGAGCAAGACTCCATCTCAAAATAATAATAATAATAATAAATCCATTTGCAGAGAGGCTTATTGATTCATTCATTTAAAATTTATTTAATTTCACCAGGTGCGAGTGGCTCATGCCTGTAATCCCAAAACTTTGGGAGGCCAAGGCAGGCAGATCACCTGAGGTCGGGGGTTTGAGACCACCCTGACCAACATGGAGAAACCCCATCTTTACTAAAAATACAAAATTAGCTGGGCGTGGTGGTACATGTAATCCCAGCTACTTGGGAGGCTGATGCAGGAGAATCACTTGAACCTGTGAGGCAGAGGTTGCAGTGAGCTGAGATTACGCCATTGCACTGCAGCCTGGGTAACAAGAGCAAAATTCCGTCTCAAAAAAAAAGAAAAAAAAATTATTTAATTTCAACTGTGTGTTAGTCCCTGTGTTAAGTACTAAGAATACAGAGGTAAATGAGAAAAGGTCCTTGCCATTATGGAGCTCACAGTTTAAAGAATCCTGGTAAAGAATTAACACAAAATGTGAAAAATATTATACAAGGCATGTACACAGGGATATGAGATCATACTCAATGAGTATTTAAGAGAGCTGGGAAAGGTTTCTGAGATAGGATAACATCCAAGCTGGGAGCTGAATAGTGAGAATACAACAGATAGAAAAGAGATTAAAATGCATTCCAGGCAGGAATGAAAAAACATTCATGTATATATATATATGTGTGTATGTTTATATACACACATACATACAGTTGATCCTCATTATATGCAGGGTCTGTATTTGCAAATCCACATAGTCACTAAAATTTATTTGTAACCCCTAAGTCAATACTTTCACAGTCATTCATGGACATGTACAGAGTGGTAAAAATTTGAGTTACCTGAAGCACACATTCCCAGCTCAGGTCAAAGTAATGTTTGTTTTGCCTTCTTGTTTTAGCTCTCACAGCGTCCTTTTCTCAGTCTCTTTCACGCTATGTTTTTCGCATTTTTATGCTTTGTGCTGATAACCTTGCTGTTTACAACGTTCCCCATGCATAATGCTGATATGCTATCTAGTGTTCTGACACATAAGAAGGTTATGAGGTGCCTTATGAAAAAAATAGTTGTGTTAAATAATCTTAACTCTTGGCCTTGAGTTCAGTGTTAATGAATCAACAATATATATTTAATACGGTATCTTTAAGCAGAAACACATATAAAACAAGGTTGTATTGACTGGTTGATAAAAATGTCATGAACAGAGGCTCACAGGAACCTAACCCTCTATTTCCTCTAGGAGCAATGCTTCTATATTCACTGATTCAGTGTTTGTGGTAACTTTACGGAACATAACTAATGTAAATTGAGAAGCAACTGTGTGTTTATTTACTAATTAACATGCTTCTTCGACTACAATTTATTTATAGAAACCACTGATTACTTTGATTAGATACACATAGCATATTACCTCATGCTGAATAAGTAATGAATAATCAACTATACTGAAGACAACTGAAGCTTATTATGCATAGCCTTTAAAACCATCACTTTAAAAATAAGCTTGGTATTATGAGGTATTTTGAGGTTTCTAGCAAGGGCAGTAATATCTCACATAAAGATAGCTATGTACTTGCAACCACATAAGAGTAGAGTAGAAATTTACAGAAGGAGATGTGGCATAATTTTACCAATTTAGCATTTCTACTAAGTATAATTGTGGATAGTGTCAAAAGCAGTATGGTAAAAACTGCAGTAGAAAAAAATCTAAAATAATTTTTTTTTTTCTTGAGACGGAGTCTCGATCTATTGCCAGGCTGCAGTGCAGTGGCACGGTCTCGGCTCACTGCAACCTCCGCCTCCTGGGTTCAAGCGATTCTCCTGCCTCACCCTCCCAAGTAGCTGGGATTACAAGCATGTGCCACCACGCCCAGTTATTTTTTGTATTTTTAGTAGAGATGGGGTTTCACCATGTTGGCCAAGCTGGTCTTGAACTCCTGACCTCGTGATTCGCCTGCCTCAGCCTCCCAAAGTGCTGGGATTACAGGTGTGAGCCACCGCACCTGGCCTAAAATGATTTTTAAAAAGCTTTCTTCAATCAATTAACAGAACTGAACTGTCATTTTCTGAAAGTGATTCCAATGAACAAATACTGTATGAACTCCCACACACAGATTTGCTCATTATAATGAAAAAGAAGCAGGTAATATCCTTAAGCAGTTAAGTTGGTATAAGGTTAACCTTTATAGAAAAGTAGAACAAGCAAGTTATATAATTTAATATTAGGTCTTGATAAAGACTTTTTAACATTAACACTTCCTGTTATAATGATTCTAATAACTTTGAAGAATGTAATTCAAATTTTCACATTTCCTTTACATTAAAATAGAGAAAATTAAAGAAATGAACCTAAGAGAACACATAGACCCTGAAGTCATGATTGAGAATGATGCCATAAATCCATACCTGTCTAAAATGTTAAATTTTAAATTCATAATGACACTTTTTCTATCTCTTGCTGAATGGCCTGCACCTCTTAAATGACATTCAACTATCTAATAATTAAGAGCTACATATTATGAATTTTAAATATCCATTTGTAGTTTTGGAAGATAATTTGCAGAAACTGATGAGGTTGACAATGCCAAAAGTTTTCTGCTGATTTCAAATTCTATTTTAAAACAGGAAATAAATGAGGGTGAAAAATCATTGTTTAAAGAGAAGAGTCCTGGCCGGGTGTGGTGGCTCACGCCTGTAATCCCAGCACTTTGGGAGGCCAAGGCAAGTAGAAAGGTCAGGAGTTTGAGACCAGCCTGGCCAAGATGAAGAAACCCCGTCTCTACTAAAAATACAAAAATTAGCCAGGCGCAGTGGTGGGCACCTGTAATCCCAGCTACTCGGGAGGCTGAGGCAGGAGAATCACTTGAATCAGGAGGTGGAGGTTGCAGTGAGCCAAGATTGAGCCTCTGCACTCTAGCCTGGATGACAGAACAAGACTCTGTCTCAAAAAAAAAAAAAAAAAAAAGAGAGAAGAGTCCAAAAGGGAACAAGACATCAATATTCCATAATGCAAGGAAAAAGAAAAAAAAAACAGACGAAGTTTTCATTGTATGTATAGTGCGTAATTGTAAAGCCAGTTCCATGGATACCATTTACTTACAGCCAATGCTTAAATTTGTATCTTCCAGTCATACCTCTCTTCTGAACTTCAGGTTCTTACATCTAACCATACATGCTCAATATTTCCACTTGAACAGGTAATCTTAAGTGTCTAAAACCAATCTCTTGATTTTTCCCTTTAAGCTTGCTCTTCTCCATCTTAGTAAGGGGCAATTCCATTCTTCCAGTTGCTCTAGTCAAAATCATTGAATTTATGCTTCCTTGATTCTTCCCTTCACGTACACCACATAAACAAGTCCTATTGCTTCTTCTCTCAAAATATATCCAGAACCTGACCACTTATTACTGCCTCAAGACTACTTCCCTGATCTAAGCTATCATTATTTCTCACCTGGACAACTACTACTAATTCTTTCCCCTTTTCTACATTCTTTCCTCCTACTCTAGTCTCCACACAGCACCCAGAATGATCCATTAAAAATGCAAATCAGATCATGTCCTTCCTCTGCTCAGCCTTCCCATCTCACTCAGGGAAAAATTCAAAATCCTGACCATGGCTTACAAGACCCTACTTGATCTAATACACTGCCAGCTCTCTGATTTTGTTTTGTAATACTATTCTTTCACTTTTGTTCCAAGTCACACAAATCTCTCTGTCATTCCTCAAACCTGCTGAGCATTCTCTTACCTAACTGTCTCTATACTTATTGATTCCTCTGCCTAGAAAGCTTTTCACCCAGATAGCCATATCATTCATGCATTCACTTATTTCAGTTCTTTACTTTTAAGAATAAAAATCGGGGCCAGGTGCAGTGGCTCACGCCTGTAATCTCAGCACATTGGGAGGCCGAGACGGGCAGATCACCTGAGGTCGGGAGTTCAAGACCAGCCTGACCAACATGGAGAAACCCCGTCTCTACTAAAAATACAAAAAAATTAGCTGGGCATGGTGGCGCATGCCTGTAATCTCAGCTACTCAGGAGGCTGAGGCAGGAGAATCACTTGAACCCAGGAGGTGGAGGTTGCAGTGAGCCAAGATTGCACCACTGCACTCCAGCCTGGGCGACACAGTGAGACTACATCTCAAAAAAAAAAAAAAAAAAAAGAAGAAGGCCTCACTTATGAGGTATGAGGTCAATAAACCTAAATCCCAATAAATTAATAATTAAATGCTATAGTAATTTTGTTTAAATTTGCTACCTAGGATGCACAGAGCTTTATATATGCAGTGCTAACATTTTTATAATTTAAAGTGTAATTCCTATTTGAGGACATTTTAAAATATATTTTTAATAGACTTTTTAAGAGCAGTTTTAGGTTCACAGCAAAACTGAAGAAGTACAGAGAGTTCCCATATGCTCTTTGCCCCTACACATGCACAGTCTCCCCACCACTAGGCATCCCAGCCTCAGGCAACTACTAACTTGCTTTCTATCTCCATAGATATGCTCTTTCTCAACCTTTCATATGTAATCTTTTGCATGTGGCTCTTTCACTTAGCGTAATGTTTCTGAAGTTCACAGATGTTAAAGCATGCATCATTTGTTCTTTTTAATTGCTTAGTAGTATTCCACTGTATGGATGTTCAGAGTGTACCAAATGGACCTTATCTTTCTTGTATGTCAGAGAAGAAGAATCCTCAGTTAATGCCAGTAATTCAAGCTAGTAAAGGCAAAAGGGGAAATAAAAGAAAATGGAATTGTGGCTGAGTAAAGTCTGTTTCTAGCAGAGATGGGGAAAGTCAAGCTCTAGAACATTAACCATAGGTAAAGGAACCTGCCCCGGCTATGGGAATTCAAACTCTTTCCATTGGATCCTGTGACCTGAGTTTGTTCACTACCACTTGCTTGTTATAAAGAGGAGGGTGTGGTCATGGCAGCCAAACTCTACATCTATATGAACAAATCTGGACTACTTTTTCCAGGTGTACTAGGGAATGCCAGCTCATTATATAATTAAATAGTATAGTTAAATGCAATAATATTTTAAAATAACATTCATCTGATGACTTCTGTCAAAAAGAAAAGGAAGATCAAGCATATGTATTTCTCTGCTCCCCTAATAAAATGATGGCAACATAATTTAAAAGGTTTAAATCCTCAAGGACAATCAAATAGAAGAGGGAGTACATAGCATGTTTTACAGTGGATAACATATTTTTAGAAAAGGGAGAACAAATGGAGGAGTGGTATCTGACTTGTTATAGTGGAGGAAGCTATAATCTCAGGAAATTACAAAGGGGGACATTGGTGAGAAGAAAGCCAATTCACCCCCAAAGAATCTGGGAAAACCTCTGACCTTGGAAGTACCCAGTGGGTAGTGAGGAAGCACAAAGTGAAAAACCAGGATAAAAGTCTGTGTATGTGAACAGTTGATTCTCCTCCCTACTCCCATGTGTAGAATGCTAGCAGCTAAGTGTATACACCCCTGACTTGGTTGGAGAATGGCAGTGTATCCTCTTGAGAAATTGAAGAGGGGTATTCCAGACATGAGGACACTAGGCAAAATAGAGTAGACGTAGGACAGATAGATAGAAAACAAATGGATTTCTTGAAATACCAAAGGGTGGGACTTAATTCCCCTACCCACTCTCCCACTCCACCCCACCACTGACCCGAAACACTTCCACTTTATTGCCCAGGCGAGAAATTGAAAGTCTTTTTGGAGGCATTGCACAATCTGAGAGAAAAGATCCTCTTCATAATAATAATTATGTCCATCCTAACACCCAAAAGTAAGGCTTATTCCTTACTTACTCCACAATTAGTTTTATTCCTAAAGAGCTTTTAATCAATTTAAAATAAATATGCACAAACTACCAAAGGTCATCGGACATGTGAGAAAATCCCTTAACATGAAAGATTAAAATCAGATGTCAAAAGAACTGTTTGATATTTAAAATAAGATTGTTGGCTGGGCACGGTGGCTCATGCCTGTAATCCCAACACTTTGGGAGGGCAAGGCGGGCAGATCACCTGAGGTCAGGAGTTTGAGACCAGCCTGGCCAACATGGTGAAACCCCACCTGTACTAAAAATACAAAAATTAGCCAGGCGTGGTGGCAAGTGCCTTTAATCCCAGCTACTCAGGAGGCTGAGGCAAGAGAATCACTTGAACCTGGGAGCCAGAGGTTGCAGTGAGCCGAGATCACGCCACTGCACTCCGGCCTGGGCAAAAGAGCAAGACTCCATCTCAAAAAAATAAATAAAATAAGATTGTTAAAATAAGACATTAAGCAGAGGTTACAAGAATTCCCAGGAAAGTATAACTACACATGAGATGAAAAGTATGAAAGAAAAATAAGATACTTCAAGGATAAATCTAAGGAGATTAATATTTTACTAACAGGAGTTCTAGGAAAATAAGACAGAGAAAAGAGAGGGAAGATAATATTGATAATGAATATTCATTAAGGGTATACTATGTGCAAGGCATTGCTCTAAGTCCTTTACATAAGTTAATTTTAATTAACTAATTAATTAATTCTCTGGTCACCCTACAAAGGAAGTATTATCCCCCATGTTACAGATGAGGAAAATAGGAATGTAGAGATTAATCTAATAGCTAGTAAGTGGCAGACTCAGAGTTCAAACCCAAGCAGTCTGGTGCTATAACTCACACTCTCAACTACTATGTACTGCAGTCTCTCTATCAAAGAAATAACATAAGAGACTCCCAGGATAAGAGGGCAGATCTAATATTAATATTCAATGTACTCCTTTCAGAAACCCTACTAAGACAAAAATTAAGGCAAATTTTAAAATACATAATCCCAAAGGATAAGGAGGAAAAGAGAAGAAGAAAAAAAGCAACAGATTTTTGTAAATCAGAAAGTAGATGACAGAGTGGTAACTGACTTAGCCGACCAAAGAGAGCCAAGTCCTAAACTGGCAGTGAGGAAAGCTGAATGAGCCAAGTCCTAAACTGGCAGTGAGGAAAGCAATATATACCACAGAATTTTCTAAAGGCATAAGAATTGGCAAGACTATGGACCTGTGGAACTGGGGGTAAGTTGGGAGTGGAATGGATAAAATAAGAAAAATTGGATGAAAGATATTTAAGAAGCTGTTAGATCCTTAGATTTCCTTCCTCCATTCCACATCTCCAGGTGACCATCTCTCCCTAATAACTCAATCATGGCAGAAGTCTGCAGCTTATTCTCTGGAGATTAGAGGACACCAGGTACAGTAGAGGACGCAGGTATCATTCTGAAAAACAAGGAGACTAAGTGACCCTATGCACAGATGAATGCTGAATTCTAAGATCAGAAGCCCTCTTCCCCGATTCGATTGAGCCCAGTAGATTAGAATTTTTTATTTTTATTTTTTTTTGGTAAATTTGGGTTGAAGTCAGAAGGTTCCCTAACAAATGTCTTCCAACCAGGTCATCCTACAGTAAAACTGAAAATCTACAAGCCCCATCCCATGTACTTAGGCTTCCCAATTGGCTTTTATTCACCTATTCTTATTTAAGAACAGGCAGCGGGCCGGGCGCGGTGGCTCACGCCTGTAATCCCAGCACTTTGGGAGGCCGAGGCGGGCGGATCACGAGGTCAGGAGATCGAGACCATCCTGGCTAACACAGTGAAACCCCGTCTCTACTAAAAAACACAAAAAAATTAGCCGGGCGTGGTGGCGGGCGCCTGTAGTCCCAGCTACGCGGGAGGCTGAGGCAGGAGAATGGCGTGAACCCGGGAGGCGGAGCTTGCAGTGAGCCGAGATCGCGCCACTGCACTCCAGCCTGGGCGACAGAGCGAGACTCCGTCTCAAAAAAAAAAAAAAAAAAGAACAGGCAGCGAAGAATTACTAGATACCTAAAGAAAGCCTGTATTTGGAAAATAGAGACTAAAATTAACAAAAGAAAAGAAAGCAATCTGGTAGAAAGAAACTATGCCAGCAGAAGAAAACATTAGGAAAAAAATTATTTCCAAGAGATAACTGTAACAAACAAAACTTTTAAAAAACATTCAGCACACACAGAAAAACTTACATAAATTAAAAATGTAATAACAGGCCGGGCGCGGTGGCTCACACCTGTAATCCAGCACTTTGGGAGGCCAAGGCAGGTGGATCACCTGAGGTCAGGAGTTCAAGACCAGCCCTGGCCAACATGGTGAAACTCCGTCTCAACTAAAAACACAAAAAAATTAGCTGGGCGTGGTGGCAGGCGCCTGTAATCCCAGCTAGTTTGGGAGGCTGAGGCAGAAGAATTGCTTGAACCCGTGAGGTGGAGGTTGCAGTGAGCCGAGATCACACCACTGCACTCCAGCCTGGGTGACAAGAGCAAAACTCCATCTCAAAAAAAAAAAAAAAAAAAAGAAAGTAATAACAAAAATGAAAACCTTAAGAGAAGGACAAAGTTGAGGAAATCTCAGACAGAACAGAATAAAACAGAAAAACAGAAAAAATAGGAGAGGAGAAAATCTGAGAATTTTGATGACAGACATAAAACCTTAACTGCCCATCAGTTCAGTATGGTTAAATAAACCTCTGTGGAACATTATGAAGTGGTTATTGTAGTTAAATAGTAGTATTGCTACGGAAAGACCTCTACATTTCATTAACTGAAAAACAATGCAGGCCAGGCTCGGTGGCTCACACCTGTAATCCCAGCACTTTGGGAGGCTGAGGTGAGCGGATCACTTGAGGTCAGGAGTTTGAGACCAGCCTGGCCAACATGGTGAAACCCTGTCTCTACTAAAAATACAAAAATTAGCCAGGCGTGGTGGCACGCACTTGTAATCCCAGCTACTCGAGAGGCTGAGGCAGAAGAATCGTTTGAACCAAGGAAGCAGACGTTGCAGTGAGCCGGGATGGCACCATTGCACTCCAGCCTGGGTGACAAGAGCAAAACTCCGTCTCAAAAAAAAAATGCAAGTTGCTAAAAATATAGACAGTATGACCCTACTTATATAAAAGGAGGAAAATTCCCTGCAAACCATGTTTCTTTATATAGAAATAGTATGTAAATAAACAGAAAAAGATTTTGAATGAAACATCAAAGTAGTGATTTCTGGAGAGGGGAATAAGATAGAAGAGGAAAGGAAAAAGGTAACACTGCTTTTTATTGTACTTCTTTCTTTTCTTTTTTTTGCTTTGAGACTGGGTCTCACTGTGTCACCCTGGCCATAGTGCAGTGACATGATAATGGCTCACTGCAGCCTCAACCTCCCTGGGATCAGGTGATACTTCCACCTCAGCCTCCCAAATAGCTGGGACTACAGGCACAGGCCACCAAGCCCGGCTAATTTTTTTTTTTTTTTTTTTTTTTTTGTAGAGACAGGGTTTCACCATGTTGCCCAGGCTGGTCTCAAACTCCTGGGGCTCAAGTCATCCAACTGCCTCAGTATTCCAAAGTGCTGGGATTACAAGCATGAGCCACCATGCCTGGCCTGTATTTCTTTTCTTTTCTTTCCTTTTCTTTTTTGAGACAAGGTCTGGCTCTGTCGCCCAGGCTGGAATGCAGTGGCACAATCTCGGCTCAATGTAACCTCCGTCTCTGGGCTCAAGCCATCCTCCCACCTCAGCCTCCTGAGTAGCTGAGACTACAGGTGCACACTATCATGCCTGGCTAATTTTTATGTTTTGTTTTTTGTTTTTTGTTTTTTTGAGATGGAATCTCACTCTGTCACCAGGCTGGAGTGCAGTGGCACGATCTTGGCTCACTGCAACCTCCACCTCCCGGGTTCAGGCAATTTTCTGCCTCAGCCTCCCAAGTAGCTGGGATTACAGGCACTCGCCACCACACCCGGCTAATTTTTTGTATTTTTAGTAGAGACAGGGTTTCACCATCTTAGCCAGGCTGGTCTTGAACTCCTGACCTTGTGATCCACTCACCTCGGCCTTCTAAAGTGCTGGGATTACAGGCGTGAGCCACCACGCCCGGCCAATTTTTGTATTTTTTAAAGAGACAAGATTTTGCCATGTTGCCTGGACTGGTCTCAAACTCCTGGGCTCAAGGCGATCCACCTGCCTCAGCCTCCAAAGTGCTGCGATTACAGGGATGAGCCACTGCGCCCAGCCTTCTGTATTTCTATTTCTGGAAGTTTTTGCAATGGCAGTGTTTTCATGTATGACATTTGTGTAAGTTTTAAAAGAGAAAGAAAAAGAAGGAAACGGGAAAGTGAAAAGCAGAATAAAAAGGATTGGTATACTCTCTGGATGGGAAGTGAATATTATCCTTAATTAGGATTGCAAAAACAAAGCAAGACTAAACAAAACAATAATGACTTTACTTGCTGCGTAACATTCTACTTGCTGAGTAGACAAAGTTACCTCCAAAAAACTTAACATAGAATAAAATATACAGGAAATGAATATTGCATGTTGTTTATATATATTATTGATATATACACAAACTTAGGTATCACAAGTTGTGAACCATCACCAGTTTAAAAAAAAATTGCTTGAGCTCAGGAGTTTGAGACCAGCCTGGGCAATACGGCAAAACCCCATCTCTACAAAATATACCAAAAAAAATTAGCTAGCAGTGGTGGCATGTGCCCATGGTCCCAGCTACCCAGGAGACTGAGGTGGGATGATCACTTTAGCCCTGGATGTCGAGGCTGCAGTGAGCCGAGATCGTGTCACTGCACTCCAGCCTGGGCGACAGAGTAAGATCCTGTCTCAAAAGAAAACAAACAAACAAACAAACAAACAAACTCTTTCACAACAGAATCAGAAGAAAAATTTTTCTCCTTACCATCATACTTTTTAGGAAGTCTGTGAGTCTAGCCAAAAGATTACATACATGTTCAGGAGATATCGTCAGATTTTCCCTGAAAGATTGTTTCAGACTCTCACTGCCCTATTCTGGTAAAGTTCTTATGTTTATACATCTTTGGTGTAAAATTCTGCAGGAAACTTCATATTCCTAATCCTTTCAAGAAAACATGAATCTTCCATTTAAGCTGAAGGAGTTAAAAATATACCACTCTGACATATTGACTATTTTGAATTAAAGGCACTTGAAAAGCAGCAGGTGCAAAAAGATCCTTCTAGCCTCTTTTCTGTTTCTTAAAAGCAGGAGATGAAATTCCCATGTGAAAGACACCCTCCCTATACCAAAAGGAATAAAACATCCTTATCCTCAAGGATGAAGTTGAGACCAAAGGAATTCTGTACAGACCTTGTTAAAATAACTGTTATCTTTTAAGCCTCCCCACACAATTTAGCTGCTTTTTCACAGCTACTTTTTTGTCCAATTCAGTATACCAGTGATTGACTGTAACTGCTTCTTTGGGTCTTCAGTTCCTTACGAGGGCTCCCATGCCGTGTGAAATTTGTATTAAATACATTTGTATGTTTTTCTCCTGTTAATGTCTTATGTCAATTTAATTCTCAGACCCAGCTGGGACCCTAAGAGGATGGAAGTGGAGTTTTGCCACTCCTCCAAAGCCCAAGGGTTCTGGAAATGTGTGTGGGAATAAAGTTGAAGCCCAAATATTTTAAAAGTTAATCTCGCCGGGCACGGTGGCTCACGCCTGTAATCCCACCACTTTGGGAGGCCGAGGCGGGTGGATCACGAGGTCAGGAGATTGAGACCATCCTGGCTAACATGGTGAAACCCCGTCTCTACTAAAAATACAAAAAAATTAGCCAGGCGTGGTGGTGGGCGCCTGTAGTCCCGGCTACTCAGGAGGCGGAGGCAGGAGAATGGCGTGAACCCGGGAGGCGGAGCTTGCAGTGAGCCGACAAGCATCACCGCACTCCAGCCTGGGCGACAGAGCGAGACTCTGTCTCAAAAAAAAAAAAAAAAAAAAAAAAAAGTTAATCTCAGCACCTAATCTTTTTTTCCTAAATGATATCCTAATTTTAGGTTTTAACTTCATGGTGAAAAATACAGAGTAAACAATTGGCCAAGCACAGTGGTACACACCCGTAGAAGCTGAGGTAGCAGGATTGCTTGAGTCCAGGAGTTTGATCAAGTTCAACCTGGAAACATAGTGAGACCATGTCTTTTATATATATAAAATATTATAAATATTATATATAGTATGTGGAGATAATGCACTCCAAGTAGCCTTTTGCTTCAAAGTTATTAAAAATAATGTATGTGTTCCTAATTCTGTGAAAAAACGCTGTGATGTACATTTTGTGACATAGACTATGAGATTAAGATCCTTCACTAAAAATTCTAGTCAATATAGAGTAAACTGAGTAGTCTAAAGACTAAAATGCCTCCTAACTGCCAAATTCCAGTGTCTGGATTATTGCAAAGACATCCTACTGTCATCTCTAGCAAAAGTCCTGAATGACAAAAGGAGGAAAAATAAATGGCAAGGTGAGGAAAATAAAATCATTTAAGTTTGGCATCTCTTTTAGAAGAGCAAAAGTTAGTTTTCTTTTTTTCTTTTTTTTTTTTAGAGATGCAGTTTCGCTCTTGTTGCCCAGGCTGGAGTGTCCGCCTCCCAGGTTCAAGCGATTCTCCTGCCTCAGCCTCCTGAGTAGCTGGGACTACAGGCAATGCACCACCACGCCCAGCTAATCTTGTATTTTTAGTAGAGACTAGGTTTCTCCATATTGGTCAGGCTGGTCTCAAACTCCCTACCTCAGGTGATCTGCCCACCTCAGCCTCCCAAAGTGCTGGGATTACAGGTGTGAGCCACCACGCCTGGCCAGCAAAAGTTAGTTTTCTTCAGAATTTTGTAGGCTATATTTTATAATACTCTAAACGAATCCTCCAATTCATAAAATATTCTTAGCTTTTAAATGATCATCTATTCTGGCTAGGCGTGGTGGCTCACGCCTGTAATCCCAGCACTTTGGGAGGCCAAGGTGGGCGGATCACCTGAGGTCAGGAGTTCAAGACCAGCCTGGCTAACATAGTGAAACCCCATTTCTACTAAAAATACAAAAAATTAGCCAGGTGTGGTGGCACGTGCCTGTAATCCCAGCTACTCGGGAGGCTGAGGCAGGAGAATCCCTTGAACCCGGGAGGTGGAGGTTGCAGTGAACCGAGATGGCGCCACTGCACTCCAGCTTGGGCAACAAGAACGAAACTTCATCTCATAAAAAGAAAAAACAAAAAAAAGATCATCTACTCTATATTTGCCATTTGTTTCTTTCCCTAGCTGTCAGATTAAGGTTTTTTACTGAATTTAGTAAAAATTAATGGCTTACTTGACATTTATCATAACAAATACAAACAACTAAGTAATGTAAAGCCACTCTTTCTTTTGTTATTTGGAAGTTTAGTCACAAGAAGTTATTTCCTCTTTCACGCTTTTATTTTCTTATTTTTATTTTTCACTTTTTTCTTTTTAAACAGAACCATAATTTTTTTTTTTTACTTTTTAAAGAACAGCTTCACTGAGATATAAATCACATATCAAATTTTTATTATTTATGGATCCTCTTACCATAATCCCTCTTTCAGCTACACCTAACCACTCAAAGAAAATTTCTCTCATTGTTCCATTTGTGAGCTATTAATCCCAAGAATAGTAGTGCATTTGCAAAAGATAGTGGGGAGTTTAGACAAAAAATTAGAAATAGTTTCTGAAGCCAATTTTAATGTATCCATAAGTCCTTTTTAGAATTTCCATACAAGTTTCCCAATCCTGTGATTCACACTAACTGCTTTCCTTAAATTGCCAGCATTAAATTCAATATAAAAATATTTAAAACAAATCTTTATTCCTCACTACTTTATGGATTAAAAATACTTCTGTGGACTGGCCTAGGAACCTACCATTTATAACTCTTTCTATGGAAAAAATATATCAAAAATTCTAAAATACATTTTAAAACAAACTTTTAGAATATAATTTGTTTAGAAATTGAGGGTTTTTTGTAAATATGGACCAGAAAACTCCTAGCAATCTATAAATCTTTGTAAAGATGTATTTGTCTCATTGGCGGGGAACTGATAAATTTAGAAACATAATATGTGAGCCAGCTATCCTCTGAAAAACAGGAATTAAAGAAGAGAATTTTAAAAGCAATATCTTATTTTCCTTTTTGCTCTCTTTTAGGGAACCTTATCCTTTTCATTAACAATGAGGAAAAAACTCCACTTTACCTAATGAGGTACCAAGGCTACCTATGTTGGCTATGCAAATAGTTGTATTATATTGTAAAATCTTAAAGCAAAACATTTTATGTCTATTTGAAACGTCATCTTAAATTCAAACGCCATAGATTTTAGAAATAATAAGTTAACTATTTAATTTAACATGCGCATTTGGCCAGGCGCGGTGGCTCACGCCTGTAATCCCAGCACTTTGGGAGGCCGAGGCGGGCGGATCACGAGGTCAGCAGATTGAAACCATCCTGGCTAACACGGTGAAACCTTGTCTCTACTGAAAATACAAAAAATTAGCTGGGCGTGGTGGCGGGTGCCTGTAGTCCCAGCTACTCGGGAGGCTGAGGCAGGAGAATGGCCCCAAACCGGGAGGCGGAGCTTGCAGTGAGCCGAGATCGCGCCACTGCACTCCAGCCTGGCGGACAGGGCCAGACTCCGTCTCAAAAAAAAAATAAAATAAAATGCACATTTGTCAACTGACAGGTATATTTTTTACAGCCACTTCCTGAAGACATCTAATAATAATTTTCCAAGGTCTTCTTTAGCTACTTTCCCAATATTATAATGTTTTAATTATCGTCAGTCTTCTGATTTACTATCAGTTTCTAATTTACCATTCCATAAATAAATTTTCAAGTTTTAATTCCTTACATTTTAGGAAGAGGATTAGAAATAACAAGTAGCCATAAACAAATATTTTTAGTTTGCCAGTATTTCCATTTCCTATAAAAATATCAAAAAATAAATCTTTATGTCATTATAACAGATTTCAAATTATCACTCTCAGATTGTAGAATTCCCTAGTAATTGACATTTTGTTTATCCTCAAGAAAGCCAAAAACTGAAAGCAATATAGAGATTAAATATAGGAAAATGCTTCCTAACCTACTGATAAAATTAAGGCTATAGTCTTCTGCCTATTAATACAAAGAAAATACTCCAATTTAAAAGTTAAGGATAACAAAAGTATAACTCCTTTAAAAATTAATCAAGCTCACAAAAGTTTTATTTATGTACAAATATAAGAAAATTTTTATCCTTGGAGATGAAATTTTATAGAACATGCTACAAATCACAGATATACTACCAGTGAATGAATAGCATTTTGGGTTCTTCCTTAAGCCAAAAACAAAATTTTAGATGCAAAGAAAAAATTATGTTCATAATACATTTAAATCACAAACCATAGTACTCATCATGCAGTCAATGTAACAAGTTAAAACATTCAGGCACCAGAAAAACATAAACCCTTTTTATCCTTTGAAGAGATGTAAAGTCATTGATACTCCATGAAGTCATCCTTTTCAGATGAAGTCTTTGTACTATATCTCTCATTAATGATAGTACAGATGTGTCAACATCCTTGGGATTTTTTTACTATGATTAAACTAGCTATATCCATCTCATGGGTCTCTTCTTTGATGAGCTGTGTTTTCCCCCTTTCCTGCATTATCCACGGTGTTAGTAATGATTAGAACTAAAACAGACTTAATTACAGTACCTTTCAAATAGTTACTAAATATAGGTTTTTGTTCAGTCAACTGTGATTGTCTGTGAATCACAGGAGTATTTAAAACAAGATGCATAGGATTTTATTAAATTATTGCTGGGACTTAAGCTTTTTATGTAGGTATTTATAAAACAGAAGCAACTTATATTTGGAGAATAAATTAAACTCTTAACAAATTGAACTTGGTTCTGCCACATTGGTGTCAAATTGGCAATACTTAAAACACTGAGATTGACAAGTATAGTATATATATTTGCCCATTCATTTTGAAACAAAGAAAAAGCATTGCTTCTGTAAGGGCCAGGCAAAAAAAGATCAAAGCAAACTTGAGACCTAGCTATACTTTCAGCCAAGATCAAGAGAAAAACCTCTGACTCATTTTTTACACATTTCTCAAAGTGTCAATCTGTGCTTTCTTTCATTGGTTCTTTTCCCCAAATTCTCCTTCTTCCTTCCTTGAGAGACCTAGATGCCTGCCACTAATTAGATACATTAATACCAATACAAAGACAATATGCTATTTAACACAGAATATATGTTACTTGGTTGAATTACTTGGTGAATAATGTTCTGTTTTTCAGGCTTATTATAATAATTTACTAATCTAAAAGAATCTAGAAAGTAAGTCTTTCAAAACTTCCATATTTGTGTTTATAATTAGCCAAGTAAGGGCAATTACATTGTTTTTAGAAATAATGATTTTATGAGTTAAAAGGACACACACCAAATTCATGAGAGGTTGCCTCTTACAGGAAGAAAGGGGACAGAAAATGGGGCAGGAGGGGAGAGGATAAAGGATACTTCAGCTTTATCTATTGATGCTGTATAATTTTTATATAAAATATTTCTGTTTGAAAATTTCTCAAAATAAAAATTTAATTTAAAAAACTGTAGAAACTTAAATATAATATTCATCACAGCCAACAAATTTCCTCTATAGAAAATTGCAATGTGAGGAGTTTCCAGTGGTGATATACCAGTAACTTTCTTTCTTACATCTTTAAAAGTCCCAATTATCCAATAAGTCATGGAGAAAATGCTCAATCTTTCTGAGGTAGTACAAACCAGGTTATAATTTCTCAAAAGACCCCATAAGTACATATTATTATTGTAACTGATATATCTTTGAGGTCCAGAATCTACTTCTACTGTAACAAGAACTTTGCAAAGATATCTTACAGTATAAACATAATTCATCTTATATTCTCAGACATAAAATATAATTTTCATCTGGGAAGATTTCTGTAACTATTAGAATCTTCAAATCTCTCAAAGCTACATGAATATATTCTTCCATAAAATTATAAAACACAAATCATTTTTATTTGTTCTTCAGTAGTGAGAGATTAGAAGATATATAAATGGACAATGACCAGACCATACATGAAGATAGAACTCTGACCTACAATCTCTTCAGCAACCAGCCTGCAAATCCAAATTACAATCTTGGCAGCAATCACCCCAGGACAGCGAGGATTTGATCAATGACTACCAGCTTCTCTATTTTTGTGCCCCAACCCCTGCATGATTTCAACTCAAGGCCAACCACAGAAAGCCAACTATGTTTCCTGAATTAATTCCCTAAGATGCTCTGCTTTTAGATAGCTGGCCTTCAACTTCTCCATGCCAACAACCTCCAATTAGATCATACCTTAACGTATTTTTTTCACTATAAAACTTGCCTACTCGTTTTTGAGTCTGCCCAACGAAAGCGATGTTGGCTGACTTCCTTGTTATAGCAAGATTTCAATAAATGAATTCTGTTGGTTCTCATTTGGGTGGACTTTGCTTATTTTCATAGTAGTGTAAAAATCATGCAAAAAGAAAATTAACACTAGGCCGGGCACGGTGGTTCACTCCTATAATCTTAGCCCTTTGGGGGGCTAAGGTGGGCAGATCACTTAAGCTCAGAGTTCAAGACCAGCCTGGCCATCATGGCAAAATCCCATCTCTACAAAAAAAAAAAAAAAAATTAGCTGGGCATGGTAGTGCGGACCTGTAGTCCCAGCTACTTGGGGGTGCTGAGGCAGGAGGATCACTTGAGCCTGGGAGATCAAGGCTGCAGTGAGCTATGATTGTGCCACTGCACTCCAGCCTGGGTGACAAAGTGAGACCCTGACTCGAAAATAATAATAATAATAATAATAATAATAATAATAATAATAATACTATGAGCATTTTGTTCCATTCCAACCAAGATCAAGTTTCAGTCTTGCTACCTCTACGTAGCTCTTGTCCTGTTTGCCAGCTACACCATCTGAACCAACTTGCTTCATTAGATACATGGTTTTTCACTGCTTAGAAAATAAATTTTGTATTCTTCAATGTTTGATATTTCAGACTCAAATTGGTGTAGTTTCTTCCTTGGGAACTGAGATCATTTTAAAACAAAGAAAAGATTCTGCTTTATTTTAGAAAAACAGTAATGTTGATAGTATAATACAGAACTAAATAGTGCAATAAAATATTTGCCATCAATCTGTGCATATATATGCAGCAAACATCAGAAGGTAATTCCTAAATTTCGTTAATATTAAAGAGATAAATCATATCAACTTACAAAGAGTTATGAAAATTTATCTATACTACATTGAAGTTGTTTTGAATAAAATGTGAGCTTAGGCCTATGATGGTGTGAAACTGAGTAATTCAAATTTAAAGCTGGCAGAATTTTAGATAATTTTGAGCCTTGAGAGGAATGTGGTTCTATGACCTGAGCCAGTAGCATGCCGCTGCAAGTTCTGCTTTTACTGTAAATGACTAGGAAAAGCCTTGTAGCTCAAGATCTCTTCAAATTATCACCCCGATCACTGAATGTTAAGGCAGTCTTCCTTGAAATGTAACAAACTGTAACCAATCACTTCCTTGAAATGTAACAAACTATAACATATAACATATGGACTGACCTTGTATGGAAAAATGTTACAACCCTGTTAACTGCCTATATAAATGGAAACTCAACTTCCCCACTTTGGAACACTTGCTCCCACGTGTTTGGGGTCTGTGTTTCCCAGGTGGCTGTCATTTTTGTTTTTAGTAGCAAGGGACTGGAGGATATACAAATGGACAATGACCAGACTATACATGAAGACAGAACTCTGACCCTTCAGCAACCAGCCCACAAAAACAAATGGACAGTGATCAGATCATACTTTGTGTTTAAATAAACCCTATATTTTATCATATTTTCTGAATCTCATTATTTAAGGTTGACATTTTGGTCACCATGAAGGGACTCAAAGCAGACCTCCAGTGATATCTGTCACTTTGCTGACAACTGGAACGCTGCTACCAACACAAATTACTTTCATTCACCCAATCTTGCTGAAGTTAATGGAAATATCTAGTAAGGCATCTCTCAGGGTCTGAACCTCCCAGCTTGGTAGAGGTTTAAACATTATTTTGTTATTTATTTATTTTCCTTTTACTTATTTTTTGAGACAGCCTCTCACTTTATGGCCCAGGCTGGAGTGCAGTGGTGCAATCTCGGCTCACTGCAACCTCCGCCTCCTGGGTTCAAGCAATTCTCCTGTCTCAGCCTCTGGAGTAGCTGGGATTACAGGTGCGTGCCACCATGCCCAGCTAATTTTGTATTTTTAGTAGAGACAGGGTTTCACTGTGTTGGCCAGGCTGGTCTCAAACTCCTGACCTCAGGTGATCTGCCTGCCTCAGCCTCCCAAAGTGCTGGGATTACAGGCGTGAGCCACCACGCCCAGCCTCATTAGCATTTCTATAACTTTTTATCTCATTTGAAACTTTGGTCAGGGAGAAAACAGTTTATCTTTGAAAAGAGGAAATGAATCTTTGTGACTTAAGCAAAATTTGTAATCTTTAAAACTAACCAGATTCTGAAGCTCAGTTCAACTGACAACTGACAAATATAAATATTCTTCTTCTTCTTCTTTTTTTTTTTTTTTGAGACAGGGTCTCCCTTTGTTGCCCAGGCTGGAGTGCAGTATCGATGATCATGGCTCACTGAAGCCTCAACTTCCGAGGTCCAAATGATTCACTCACCTCAGTCTCCCAAATAGGTGGAACTACAGGTGTGCGTCCCCACACCTGGCTAATTTTTTGTATTGTTTGTAGAGACGGAGTTTTGCCATATTGTCCAGTCTGATCTCAAACTCCTAGGCTCAAGCAATCCACCCATCTCAGCCTCCCAAAGTGCTGAGATTACAGGTGTGAGCCACTGTGCCTGGCCTAAAGTTTCTTCTTGAGTAATTAAAACTACAAAAGGCTCTTTATGAGGACAAAATAAGTCCCAAAGATGAGAGACACTGTTCTTGCCAACTGAAAGGCACCTTAGGCTACCGAGGTCTTTGTGGGAGTGTTGGAGCTCATTGTTCATGACATGAAACAGTCTTACAGGAAAACCCTTAAGAAGAGCATACAGAGCCAGGCACGGAGGCTCAATGCCTATAATCCCAGCACTTTGGGAGGCCAAGGCAGAAGGATCACTTGAACCCAGGAGTTTAGGACTAACCTGGGCAACACAGTGAGACTCCATCTCTACAAAAAATATATAAGAAATTAGCCAGATGTGGTGGTGTGCACCTGTAGTCCCAGCTACTTGGGAGGCTGAAATAAGGGAGGATCACTTGAGACCAGGAATTCGAGGCTGCAGTGAGCTGTAATCACACCACTGCACTCTAGCCTGGGTGACAGAGCAAAACAAACAAACAAAAACCATAAAGTTAAATGAACACACATAACAGCTGATCACCTACTGCCTTAAGCACCCAAGCCTCTTGGGATCACCAAGACACATAAAAGGGAAAAACCAACACAAGGGTGACACCTTGAGGGGCTATTCCCACAGGCGGCACACTTAATCCAAAATATCTCCTATCTAAGTTGTTTGGTCATTCAAGAGGAAAATCTAAAGTCTGGGTAATCATGCATCTAAAACCAAGTATTCCTCCTGAAGAAGAGATCCACCACTAGAAACGTAAGCTGGATTCATGTTTAATACTTACGGCACATCTTCATGTAAATATTTAGAAAATTAGTCATGCATAATTTGCAATGACCCCAAATTACAGTGGCCAAAATGGGGGTACCTTTGAAATACCTAAACTAGTTTCTCTGCATACTCAATTTTTAAAAATCCAGCTCTCATTATCCTAAGTGAATTAACACAGGAACAGAAAACCAAATACTGCATGTTCTCACTTATAAGTGGGAGCTAAGCATCGGTACACATGGACATAACAGAAGGAAAATTAACACTGGGAACTACTTGGGGGTGGGCAAGGGCTAAAAAACTACATATTGGGTACTATGCTCACTACCTGGGTAATGGGATCCTTTGTACCCACAAACCTCAGCATCACACAATATACCCATATAACAAACATACACAGGTACCCCCTGAATCCAAAATAAAAGCTGGCTCTAAAATAAAACAAAATAACTGGGAGAGCTATTTTCAATGGTACTTAGAAGCTTTCTGATAAAGCCATTTCTTTGAAAGAGGAAATGAAAAAATTGTCTAAAATAATTTTGAATTGAAAAACCCTGACATTTCTTCTTCTCCTTCAGCTCCTTCTTCTCTTTGTCCCTCATTGTCAGAACTTCCTTGTCTATCAGACTACCTTCCCTTCCTCCTCCTCCTCCTCCAGATGCTGTACTGGCTCCATTTAGGGAATACCCTGTGTGTCTAGTAGAAGAGAACCTGCTTGATTTATCAACCATGCTCAAAGGTAGAACTTAAAGGCATAATTAAATAATTTCCTAATCCTCTTCAGGATTCTATTGGATTTGCTAGAGAATTTGAATTAAACATTCAAACTTTCAATCCCAGATTCTCTGACTTATATCAATTCGTTCATCTTTGATAAAGCCAAATAGGATAGCAAAGGCACATTAGAGAAATTCTTCAGAGAACTTCCATAAATGTTCTGAAGCAGATTGTGAATGGGCCTGCAACACTGCCAAAGCTTTACTAGATGCTATCCCCTTAGTTTTTCAAAAAGTGGTTGATTGGAACAAAATACAACATCAACAAAATTTTCATGAGCCTTGTCTTAGTCTGTCTTTGTGTTGCTATAAAGGAATACCTGAGACTGGGTAATTTATAAGAAAAGAGGTTTATTTGGTTCACAATTCTGAAGACTGTACAAGAAGAAGCATGGTGCCAGCATTTGCCTCTGGTGAAGGCCTCCAGCTGCTTCCACCCATGGCAGAAGGAGAAGGGGAGCTGGTGTGCAGAGATCACATGGCAAGAGAGGAAGAAATTGAGGGGAGGTGCCAGGCTCTTTTTAACAATCAGCTCTCATGGGAACCAATAGAATGAGAACTCATTCATTACTGTGAGGATGGCACCAAGCCACTCACAAATGATCTGCCCCCATGAGCCAAACATCTCCCACTAGGTCCCTCCAACGCTGGGGATCAAATTTCAACATGAAATTCGGACAGGACAAATATCCAAACTATATCAAGCCTTTGATGTCACACTATGAAAGATTTGGGGAAAAAACATTAAAAAATATTCAGGCCTATCAGAATAAAGTTATACTAACCACCAAAATGATACTTCCTATAACTTAAACTTTTGTTGTTGAGACGGAGTCCCACTCTGTCACCCAGGCTGGTGTGCAATGGCACAATCTTGGCTCACCACAATCTCTGCCTCCCGGGTTCAAGTGATTCTCATGCTTCAGCCTCCTGAGTAGCTGGGACTACAGGTACACGCCACCATGCCTGGCTAATTTTTTTTGTATTTTTAGTAAAGACAAGGTTTTGCTGTGTTGGCCAGGCTGGTCTTAAACTCTTGACCTCAGGTGATCTGCCCACCTTGGCCTCCCAAAGTGCTGGGATTACAGATGTGAGCCATAGTGCCTGGCCTTGTAACTTAAACTTTATAAATGGATTAGATTAAGAATTAGCAATTATAATAAAGAAACAATGCACCAGTTAGTTATCCTCAAACTCATTATCTAGTTTATTTTGCTGAACGTACCCATACCCTATGGGACCTAGGTCCCATACCCTAACCAAGGAAGAAAAGGAAAGAGAAGTTAAACAGGGAAGAAAACCAAATAAGGTTATGAGTTTACAATTAAAACAATTGTCCAACCAATTAAAACCCCTAAAAAGCCTTTTTAAACTCCAAAACTGACCCAATCTCCTGCATTGCAATGACTGCAAAAAAAAAAAAAAAGCCTGGACATTTCAAAAAGGATTGTAGAAAATTAAAATGGAAAGAATGAAAACAGTCCAAAGAAAAGGAAGAATAGGAGTGCCCTGAGGAAATCAAAAGAGGGAACTTCCCTCTTCTCACTAATACCTTAGGAGTAACTGAAATAACTTTAAATGGAAAACAAACCAAGCTCTTTAAAAATTAAAAAAAATTTTTTTTTGAAAAATATTGTTAGCGAGGGCCTACGTTGTTTTTGTTTTTGTTTTGTATTGAGACAGGGTCTCATTCTGTCACCCAGGCTGAATTGCAGTAGTGCAATCTTGGCTCACTGCAACCTCTGCCTCCCTAACTCAAGCCTGAGCCTCCTGAGTTGCTGGGACTGCAGGTGTGCACCACCATGGCTGGCTGATTTTTGTATGTTTTGTAGAGACAGGGTTTTGCCTTGCTGCCCAGGCTGGTCTTAAACTCTTGAACTCAAGCAGTCGACCCATCTTGGCATCCCAAAGTGCTGGGATTATAGACATGAACCACTGCGCCTGGCCCCAAACACAAGCTCTTAATGACACCAGAGCTGCATTATCAATAATAAATCCCACCTTCTTACAGAGTCTTATTCCTTGGAGTCAAAAACCATTACAGATGGTGGGTGTAACAAATACTCCTATAACAGCATATCAATCTCAACCTATAGTTTTTCAGTTAGGTTCCCTAGAGGGAACACATGTTTTCCTCTTAGTTCCCTCAGCCCCCATGCATTTGATAAGGAGAAATGTTTTAAATTATATAATAGCCATACTCTTCTCAAAAGGGGGAAGTGTATTTAGAATTAGAAGGTAAAACAAAATTGTGAGATACAAAAATTTTTCCAAATCTGATCCTTTTAATTGCAATTTATATTGCCATAGAGGATACTGAATTGTTAAATAATAAAGAACTAGAAGCGCTCTTAAAAGTAGTGCCTAATTAGCTGTAGTCAAAATTCTCCACTGATATGAGGAAAATTATCTTAGCTCCTCCAGTCAAAATCCAGATAGATCCATCAAAACCTGTCCCAAACCTTAAGCAATACCCTCTAAGATTGAAGGCCTTGGAGGGAGTAAGAGCTGTAGTTTTGGATTCTATAAAAAGAGGCTTGATTATTCCTTGTACAAGCCCCTGTAACACTCTAATCCTTCCCATAAGAAAATCTAATGGTAGAGGTTAGAAATTTGTACAGAATCTAATAGCAATTAATAATATAGCTATTCTTCAACATCTGGTAGTAACAATTTTGAGTAACATGATTTTTGCGTTTTGAAAAGCTTAAAATCCAGGCAGGGCGCGATGGCTCATGCCTGTAATCCCAGCACTTTGGGAGGCCAAGGCAGGCAGATCATGAGGTCAGGAGTTCGAGACCGCCTGACCAACATGGTGAAACCCCTTCTCTACTAAAAATACAAACATTAGCTGGGTGTGGCGGCACATGCCTGTAATCCCAGCTACTCAGGGGGCTGAGGCAGGAGAACTGCTTGAGCCCAGGAGATGGAGGTTGCAGTGAGCCGAGATCATACCACTGCACTCCAGCCTGGGTGACAGAATGAGACTCCATCTCAAAAAAGAAAAAATAAAATCCCCCCAATTTGGCTCCTCTAAGATTTATTTATCCATTTCCTTCTACTTCTGTTCCTCCTTCCTTTTGTCATCTTTGATATCAAATGAAGAAATCTAGAGGAGACTTCTAGTGGTCCTGAGACCCCTTAAGGAACATAGAAAAAGGTACTGAACACCCACCTTTTGGGATCTTTTGCTTTCTTTGTGGAGTCCCAAAACCTATGGAAGGTTTTTCTCAGGTCTAAAGATCTGCTCTCTCTCCCTTATCTCTTTGGCTTTTGGGGATACCAGGGATTATTTTGTACTATGAGAGAACATGACCTTTGAGTGTGCAATAGCTGAAAGTCTCTGGTGAGGACTGCAGCTATGGAGGTAGTTGACAGCATTTACAATGACAGCATTTACAATGAGTGGTTATTACTGTAGGAGACTACTCATTTCTTCCTGCATATAGATAAGAAAAGAGTGGTTTTGACCCTTAGGGTCTATGGAAACAGTTGCCGCTAAGGCGTAAGACTCCCATGGAGGATGGGCTGATCACAGAGTAGCTGATTAATGTTGGGTTACCCACCAGTCTTGGGGGAACGTCCTTGCAGCAAGGGGCACTGTAGAAGCATTGCACTGTCCAATCCTGTGGCATTTCCCTAGTTTTGAAGACCTAGGATTCAATGTAAAAATGAGCTCCTTGATTTGAGGGAATCTACGTGTTCTGCCTTCCAGCTGTGTCTAATTTTCACATATTTAAATATATGTCCTATAAACTGCATGCTTTCTTTGACCTATTCATCCAAGGGCTCCACCCTGAAGTTAGTAATCTAATCAAGAAAAAAGCTAACTTGAAAAGGCTGCCTATCTAACTAGATTGGTCTCCAAAATACAACTTTCTGGCATTTAGCTGGCTATTTAGACACTCTTTGTGAAAGAGATCTGCATTTATAAAGAAAATCTCCCTCTCTGCATCTAAACCACAAGAAATATGATGGGGAAGACACTGGCTTAAAGTTTACATAAGAAATCTTACCTCTGTTTAAAACTACCTGGCAATCTTGTCTTGTCTGGTGGCCCTTTACCTATGGCCTTCTTTGTCTCAGCAAATAATGCTGTTTAGATCTAAATTCTGTGCCTAGGGATGTAAATTTTCACCTAACAATCATGCCTTTGAAAGTGCAGATTTGCTGTTGTCTAGCTAACAACTATTTACCACAATAGAATAGCTAATCAAGAGACTGATAGTCTAAAAAGGGGAGATAAACTATTTGAAAACTGACAAAGAAACTTTTGTTTGTTTGTTTGTTTTTTGAGACAGGGTCTCCTTCTGTCACCCAGTCTGGAGAGCAGTGGCTGCAATCATGGCTCACTGCAGCCTCAACCTTCCAGGCTTAAGCAATCCTCCTGCCTCAGCCTTCTGAGTAAATCGAACTACAAGTGTGCACCATCATACCTGGTGAATTTTTGTAGAGACGGGTTTCGCCATGTTGCCCAGGCTGGTCTGAAACTCTGGGCTCAAATGATCTTCCCGCCTCACCTCTGCCTCCCCAAGTGCTGGGATTACAGGCATGAGCCACCATGGCTGGCCCAGGATTGCATAATCTTTTTTGTTTTTGTTTTTGTTTTGGAGACAGAGTCTCACTCTGTCACCAGGCTGGAGTGCAGTGGCACGATCTTGCTCACTGCAACCTCCGCCTCCCTGGTTCAAGCAATTCTCCTGCCTCAGCTTCCCAAGTAGCTGGGACTACAGGCGCCTGCCACCACGCCCAGCTAATTTTTGTATTTTTAGTAGAGACTGGGTTTCACCACGTTGGCCAGGATGGTCTCGATCTCTGACCTCGTGATCCATCTGCCTCGGCCTCCCAAAGTGCTGGGATTACAGGCGTGAGCCACGGCACCTGGCCCAGGATTGCATAATCTTAACTGACCAACTTCTCCCTCATAGGATGGACCTGCAAGAAATTCCCTTCACTAAACACTGATGTTGTTTGATTTACAGATGGATCTTACTTGAAGGATGAATCTGGAATTTATTTTGCAGATCATGCTAGATTATCTTTTTTGTTGTTGTTTTTCGAGATGGAGTTTTGCTCTGTCACTCAGGCTGGAGTGCAGTGGTACAGTCTTGGCCCACTGCAACCTCCGCCTCCCGAGTTCAAGCAATTATCCTGCCTCAGCCTCCCTAGTAGCTGGGACTACAGGCGCCTGCCACCACACCCGGCTAATTTTTGTATTTTCAGTACAGATGGGGTTTCACCATGTTGGTCAGGCTGGTCTTGAACACCTGACCTCCTGATCCACCCACCTCTGCCTCTCAAAGTGCTGGGATTACAGGCGTGAGCCACTGCGCCCAGCCATCATTTTTTTTCTTTGAGATGGAGTCTCGCTCTGTCGCCCAGGCTGGAGTGCAGTGGCACAATCTCAGCTCACTGCAACCTCCATCTGCCAGGTTCAAGCAATTCTCCTGCCTCAGGCTTCTGAGAAGCTGGACTTACAGGCGCAAGCCACCACACCTGGCTAATTTTTGTATTTTTATTACAGACAGGTTTCACCATGTTGGCCAGGCTGGTCTCGAACTCCTGACCTCAGGTGATCCACCCACCTCAGCCTCCCAAACTGATGGGATTACAGGCATGAGCCACCGCACCGGACCAGATTATGCTACAGTATCTTAACTGAGGAAACAGAAAGTTCTCGTCTTCCAAAAGCAACCTCAGCTCAACAAGCAGAGTTAATAGCATTAGTTAGAACTTGTCGTGGACAAAAGAAATAACTGCTAATATTTATACAGGCAGCAGATATGCTGTCAGAGTAGCTCATGACTTTGGAGTGGTATGGAAACAAAGAGAATTTTTTTTTTTTGAGACAGGGTCTCACTATGTTGCCCAGACTGGTCTTGAACTCCTGGGCTCAAGTGATCCTCCTGTTGATATGGACAGAAGGCAGGGAAATACTAGATAGAAGGGCGGGGTCCCTGGCAAAGGTTCCACCCTCAAGCCTGGACCTGCAGCCCTAAATGAGAACTTCACATCCCCATTTCCCCACCTAAATGTTCTCTTTTAGCCCACCACACCCCCTATCCTGTGCCCATAAGAACCCCAGACCCCAAACTCAGTGGACACACAGAAGAGAGAAGCACCTGAACATTCAGAGTAGAAGAAGTAGCTGAACATCAGAGACTACAGTCAGAGAGGAGTTCAGCTGGGGATGGTCGGAGAGGTGTTCGGTTGGGACACCTGAACTCCAGGGGAAGACCACTTTCCCACTCCATCCCCTTTCCAGCACCCCAGCACACTAAGAGCCACTTCCATTGCTCAATAAAATCTCTGCATTCACCATCCTTCAAGTCTGTGTGACCTCATTCCTCTTGGGCATTGGACAAGATTTCAGGACCACTGGGTGCAGGAACCCAAAAAGGCTGTCACACTGGCCCTTTGCCCTCACTGGCAGAGGGCAGCTGCCCCTCACAATGAGGCAAAAAGCCCACTGAGCTAGTGATATGCCCTCTGGGGCTCTAGGGGTAGCCGGCACTCCCTCCAGATGGCAGAGCTAAAAGAGCATTGTAACACACTTGGATCCTGCTGTGGGGCCTGCACAGGACCTGCTCCCACTGGAGAGAAGTGGCCGGCTCGTTCCAGCATTTGTTTGCCCTGGCTCCTGCAACTGCTCACCTGCATGCTCCCACTCCCATGAAGGGCTCAGAGCTGCACGCTAAGAAAGCAAGCCACCCCTTCATGAGTCTCACAAAGGGGTCAAGGGAACTCTTGTGTTTCACTGCCTCGGCCTCCCAAAGTGTTGGGATTACAGGCGTGAGCCACCATGCCCAGAAAACAAAGAGGATTTTTAACCTCTTCTGATCAGTCCATTAAAAATGGACACCATGCTTCAGAATTATTAGAAGCCATATTATTTCCCAAATCATTAGCCATTATCAAGATCTGAAGCCATTCAAAGTCAGACATTCCACAAAGCAAAGTACATCATTTAGCAGATAATATAGTAAAAAGGGCTGCTCTAAGTGTATTTGAATAAGCAAATCAACCCCTTTTTAGCTTTTAAGAAAGCATTTGATTTTGACATAAAATTAGCTCAACATAAAGCTCCAAAAAAGAACAAGAAAATTGGGAAACAAAAGGGAAAACATACTCCTCCAAGACTGGGCTATGGTAGGGACCAAATGATCGACCCATACTTCCAACCAAATTACAGTCAACTTTCTGAACTTATGTACATGATTTAACTCATTGGGGCCCTAATAAAATGATTACTTGGGGAAAACAGTATTATTGGAGGCCTTCCCCAACTGTGGATTGGTATATAGATATACAATCATTGACACATCTGCCCAAAATATAATCCAGGGAAACCTTTACATAGCAATCAAGGTCATTTTCCTCTACCTGAAAGCCCCTTCAAGGTAGGACAATTATATTTTATTCAGCTACCACCATCACAAGGATACAAGTATATTCTAGTAATGAATTATACATTTTCTCATAGGATAGAAGCATTTCTATCCAGAAGAGCAACAGCATTAGCAGTAAGTAAAATTCTTAGGGAAAATTATTTCAAATTGGGGAGTTCCTCTAGAACTTCATAGCAACAGGGGTACTCATCTTACCAGACAAATAATCCAGTCAATATATAAAATCTAACCTATTTTCCAACATTTCCATTATGCATATTGCTCCCCAGTAATCTGGGTTAGTGGAACACACAAACAGAATAATCAAAACTAAATTGGCAAAATTAACTGAGGCTCTTAAAATTCCTTTGCCAAAAGCCCTTCCACTGGTTTTGCTTAGCCTAAGATCAATCCTTTTTGATAAATACTGGCTGTCTCTGTTTGAAACAGGCAGACCTATGAAACTGTCTCCAGGAAACTGTGAATCTATTGTATTAAAAGGATATATGTTGTATTATTGTAATGGCCTTGTAAGGCAGCTAATTAAAAACTGTAATTGAGTAAAAGAGTGTTTCCACTGTAAGCTCCTAGAAGACAAAGAACCCAAGGACCAAGGACTTCAACCAGGAGTCTTTGTCTATTGGAAACAGCAGCTTTTATTTATTTATGTATTTTTTTTTTAAAGTATCTCACTTTGTCATCCAGGCTGGAGTGCAGTGGTGCAATCTAGGCTCACTACAGCCTCAACCTCCTGAGTTCAAGTGATTCTCCTGCCTCAGCCCCCTAAAAGTAGCTGGGACTACAGGCACACGCCACCATTCCTGGCTAATTTTTTGTATTTTTCATAGAGATGAGGTTTCGCCATGTTGCCCAGGCTGGTCTCAAACTCCTGGGCTTAAGTGATCCACCCACCTCAGCCTCCCCAAGTGCTGGGATTACCAGCGTGAGCCACCGTGCCCAGCCAGAAACAGCATCTTTTAAAGGACTCCCTCCAACGAAGGTGAAATAACCTTATCAAGTGCATCTAACTGACTCTTGTGCTGCTAAACTAAAAGGAATCAATTCTTGGATATCCGTCACCCATTTAAAGAAAGTCACTTTGCCAATCTGGACTTCATCTCAAGCCAGTGATCTAAAATTGAAATTCTCCAGAGCCAACAAGAAGAAGAAAAAGACAGCATCTGAGGTAGTCAGCTTTCCCAAGACACTGAACCAGGCCTGTATCTAAATGAACTCTTAATATTAATAATTATAATAGATGGAGAAGGTCATCCTTTGCAAGTTCCCACTAAATTTATTTTCATCCCTTGTTCTTATGTTTTGTTGTTGCTATCACCAGCTCTTGTCTATGAAGCAAACATCTTCTTGCAATGGGCTCAAGACAATGCTGATAAATTACAGGAAAACATCTGTTGGATATGTAGCCTCATGCCCCTTTCCAGTGGATCTGACCCACCATGGTGGGTATTGCCTTTCCAAGGACAAGACTGAATAGAAGACCAGAAATATATCCGTGCTTCTCAAAAACAATCATTGGTGTTTAACACTTAGTATGACTAAGGATAACATATAATACTGGCCTATTGATAACACTTTATAAAGCAAGGGGCATGGGAAGAGATTTTTCAGTAGATGAAACCAGTATGTTAGCTTTTTTTTTCTTTTTTTTTAAGACGGAGTCTCACTCTGTCGCCCAGGCTGGAGTGCAGTGGCGTGATCTTGGCTCACTGCAACCTCCACCTCCCTGGTTCAAGCAATTCCCCTGCCTCAGCTGGGAGTAGCTGGGATTACATGTGCACCATGCCCGGCTAATTTTTGTATTTTTAGTAGAGACAGGGTTCCACCATGTTGGTCAAACTGGTCGCGAATTCCTGACCTCAGGCGGTCTGCCCGCCTCGGCCTCCCAAAGTGCTGGGATTACAGGCATGAGCCAGCGCACCCGGCCTAAAGCGAGTATGTTAGCTTTAATGCTAGTACTGCCCCAACTGAAATCAAGTTGTCAACTGAAAAATGAGACAACTTGAATTGGGGATGGTATAACACAAATTTGGGACTGTTTTATCTGGCATAACCCCCTCTTTTGGTCAGCTTCATCAGCTTTCTCCTCTATGCTGAGAACAAAAGGAGCAAACTGAAGATACATGGCCCAATAATGAAACCACCTTTGCCATTAGAAATAAGGGATGGAAAACTAAGGAATACTGTATGCACACCATTATATTACAAAAAACTGACTGGCATGCCACTGAATGGGCATTGTGTATTTACTGGCTAGCTCCAAATGGACTATATTGGCTGTGTGACACCAATCCATGGCCATGGTTACTCCCAGGATGGTTAGGACAGTATTCTTTGAGTTATGCCTGGGCACAAGGTCTAATACTTCATACCCTTTCAAAGCCTGCAAATCTTCCTATTTACAATCTCTTTGGGTTTGTTCTGAATTCCACTGTTAAGATCATTTAGTTTCCATCTTTCTGCCACAACTGGGTATTGAGGATGTCATTTGGCATGTAGAGACCCTAACCAATTACACACACCAAAAGGCCCTAAATGACAGCCACATAAGAATCTCATTATTGAACAATGAAGTTGGTCCTATGAGAAAAGCTGTATTGCAGAACCATATGGCTTTAGACATACTGCAGCCCAAGGGGAAACCTGAGCTATCATAAAAATTGAGTCTTATGTCTATATCCCAGATGAATCAGGTAACATCACTAAATTAACGGCTGATATGAAAACCCAAATAACCAACCTTTGAGATCCAACACCTCTCTGAACAATTGGCCAGGCAGCTGGTTTAGATCTTGGGAAACATGGTGGTGGAAGCTGTTACTTATTCTAGGAATTATTTGTTGTGTTTTGTCCTGTTTTTGTCTTACTGCTACTTTGGCATTTGTTTGTAATGGAGTCAACACACAACTGAAAAGACTAAAATAATGGTTGCTCAATGAAATACTTTAACTGAAGATGCAGCTATGTAGCCTGACTTGAGTCACAAAGTCACCTCCTTCCTCTAAATGTGGCCTATACTCTATTTGCTTTACAGTCTGACAAATTCTCCTTGCCATGGGACATGACTCTCTAGTAATAAGCCTTCCTAGCAATGGAAGACTGAGCTCCTGAAAATAAAAGAAGCCAAAACCATTTGAGTTCACCTATGATGGTTTCTTCAAACGATCTTGATAAAAAGGGGAAAATGCAAATAATTTAAACTTAAAGCTGTTGTAACTTTAAATTATTTTGAGCCTTGAAAGGACGGTGGCTATGTGGCCTGAGTCATGTAGCATGCAGCTGCATCTTCTGTTTTTTCCTGTAAATGATCAGGAAAGGTCTTGTGGCACCAGAGAGAAGATCCCCTCAGATCATCACCCCTTCTCACAGAATGTAGAACTGATCTTCCTTGAAACGTAGCAAACTGTAACCAATCAAATTGCCATAACATAGGTACTGACCCTGTATGAAACATGTTGCAACCCTGTTAACTGCCTATATAAGTGAAACCTCAACTTTCCCACTTTGGAACACTAACCCGATTTCTTTGAAGTCTGTGTTTCCCATGTGGCTATCCTCAAGTTTCGCACTTGAATAAACGCTATACTTAATCACACTTTCTGAATCGCATTATTTAAGGTTGACAATGACATAACTAATGCAAATTAAAAATGTAATGGCTTTTCAGCCAATCTGGAGAACAATATGGAGGTTCCTCAAAAAGCTACAAATAGAACTACCATATGATCCAGCAATCACACTATTGGGCATTTATCCAAAGGAAAGGAAATCAGTATGTCAGAGATATCTGTACCCCCATGTTCATTCCAGCACTATTCACAATAGCCAACATATGGAAATACATAATAACCAACATATGTTGTTGTGTCCAACAATAGATAATAGATAAAGAAAATGTGGTATATGTACACAATGAGATACTATTCAGCCTGAAAAAGAATAAAATCCTGTCATTCTTGGCAACATGGGTGGAAATGGAAGACATTATGTTATATGAAGTAAGCCAGGAACAGAAAGTTAAACACCGCATATACTCACTCATATTTGGAGGCTAAAAAAAAAAAAATTGATCTCATGGAAGTAAAAAGTGGAACAGAAAATATTAGAGGCTGAGAAGGGTAGGAGAAAGAAAGGGATAGAGAGAGATTTGTTAAAGGATACTAAATTACAGCTATATAGAAGGAGTAAGTTCTACTGTTCTGTATCACTGCAGGATGACTATAGTTAACAATAACATATAGTTTCAAATAACTAGAAGGAGGATACTGAATGTTTCCAACACAAAGAAATGATAAACATTTGAAATGATACACTAATTACCCTGATAAGATCACTATACATTATATGTATCAAAACATCACTATGTACCCCATAAATATGGACAATTATGTGTTGATTAAAAAGCTAAACTAAAATAAAAAGTACAAAAAAATTAGGATTCTGCAAAATACTCTAAAAACATTGGCTTTATAAGGAAGGTTAAGGAGGAATCAAGAGCATTATATTCTCAATCACATCTGTTGAATTTGGTAACAATGACGTTTTTTATGGAAGTGAAAAAACTCCAAAACATTCTTAATTCTTTGGGTGACATTGTTTATATGCCTGAGAAAAGAATGAAAAAACTTTCAAAATATTTGTTAGATGAACAAAGCATAATATGTAGGGAGTAGCAGTTTACAGTAAACACATTGGACGGAATTTTACCTATATTATCTGCTACGATAGAGTAGCTTCCTGAAATTATTAAAATAATGGAAGTTTTATGAATTAATTTTTTTAAACCATAGGTGGCTAGAGAATTGAATGATCTGCTGACATCATCTCTAATTTATTTATCTTTTTAAAATCGTCTGTTGTGTGCTGTTCCAGGAAGTTTTACCAGAGAGCTTCAAAGTAGAACTTTAGGTATTGTTTTCTGACCGCAAAAGAAAGAAGCAACATTTCTTTGTTAAGCCTATAGGAAAAATTACTGCTTAAAAAATGATTTGGATAGATAATAAAAATCCTTACTATATGGCATGTACTTTACTAAAAGCTGTTACATATTTTTTCATTTAATTCTCTCAGTAACCCTATTAACCTTACAGATAGAGAAACTGAAGCACAGAGAGGTTAAATAATTTTTCCCAAGATCAGTCAACTAAGCAAGTAGAGGTAGAATTTAAACTCAGTCTGATTAAAACTGCTACCGACATAGTACTGCCACTGAGCCATTATGCCCCAGGAAAACAAATTAAAACAAAGAAACAAACAAAAACCACTGTTATTGTAGCAAAACCAAAATAAAACAAAAACAACCTCAGTGATTCAAAGTAAAAAAAAAAATCTTCCATTCAATGTGGACAACAGATTAAAGTACTTTATCAATGTTACATTTTCTGAAATTAATAAATGTACTGTGGTTATGTAAAAGCATGTCCCTATTTTTAGGAAGTGTGTAGTGAAGTATTTAGGGATAACAGGGCATAGTGTATTTAACTTATTTTCAAATGGTTCAAATATACATGAATAAGTAGAGAGACGAAGTATAAAGCAAATGGGGCAAAAAATAGGTTAAACTGAGTAAAGAGTATAAGGGTGTTCTCTGGACTATTGTTGCAACTTTTCTGTAAATTTAAAATTATTTCCAAATTTTTAATCTTAAAAAAACTTCCATATAGAGAAGAAAATTTCCCTAGGGGGAAAATTACTATCATGACTGTATTAGTTTGCTAGGGCTGCAATAACAAAGTACCACAGACTGGGTGACTTAAACAACAGAAAATTTTCTCACAGTTCTGGAGATGAGAAATTCCAGATCTAGATGTCATCAGGGTTGATTTATTGAAGCCTCTCTGTTTGGCTTATAAATGGATATCTTTTCCCTCTGTCTTCACATGGTCTTTTTCTCTATTTGTGCCCTAATCTTTTCTTCTTATAATGAGACCAATCCTAATGGATTAAGACTCACTTTAAGGACTTCATTTAACATTAATTACCTCCTTAAGGGCCCTATATCATTCTGAGGTGCTGGGGGTTAAAACCTCAACATATGAATTTGGTGGAGACAATTCAGCCCATAACAATTACCATTCAGGTAGTGCATTTTCTCTTAATTGTTGGAAGACATCATAAAATGAACATATATCATGACCAGCCTGACCAACATGGAGAAATCCTGTCTCTACTAAAAATACAAAATTAGCCAGGCATGGTGGCGCAGGCCTGTAATCCCAGCTACTAGGGAGGCTGAGGCAGGAGATCGCTTGAATCCGGGAGGTGGGGGCTGCAGTGAGCAGAGATCGCGCCATTGCATTACAGCCTCGGCAACAATAGCAAAACTCCATCTCAAAAAATAAAATAAAATAAAATGAACACATATTACTAAACATTAGAATACAGAACTCAAGATTAATATTTTCCAGAGAATTATTAGCAAAACAAAAAAAATTTCACAATTACCACTTAAATGGAATAAGCTTTTAGATAATGCAATAGCTGAATACATACAAGTTTCACAGATAAGATATACTTCAAAAGTTTGATTTCACTGGAAATACCAAAGATCAATTTCCATGACCATATTAAGTAAACTTATTTTGGCTATTTGTTTATTCAGTATGCTATTCATAACAATTTTCCCTATGTATCTTCTACATATTTCTTTGATAAATCTGTATAGCAATAAACATCTAGTCTGTATTGTCTAAAATAATTTATACCGCACCACAGGGGAAGATTCACTGGGCTGGTACTAATGTCCATCAAGCAAGAATTGGTAACCAAAAAGATTAACTCTAAAGGACTCAGTAGTACTGCAGATAATTTGCTTCACAAGCTGAGAAACGTAGGATGGTTTGTTACTATTATGAACTAAAATTCATCTATAATTGAAATTTCCCTATATATTTAAAAAATTTATCTTTAAGGTCCTAACTTATAAGTAGGTCCTAAAACTCGCTGCAAAATTTCTGGTCTGATAATTCCAACATCCCTGCCATATCTAGTTATGATACTTCCTCTATCTCTTCAAACTGTGTTTTTGCCTTTTAGCATGTCTTGTAATTTTTCTTAATAGCCAGGCACGATGTACTGGGTAAAAGGAATTGCTATAACTAGGCCTTTAGTAACGTGGTAGTAAGATGTGGAGGAAGGGGAAGCATTCTACAGTCCTATGATTAGGTTTCTATCTTTCAGTGAGCCTGTACCTCCACACTGTGAACTTCATGTTGCTTCTCAGTCTACCCCACTCCTTACCCCTTAGTTGGGGAAGGATGTATAGAGTGGGCTGGAGGTGGGTATGCAGCTTATCCCAGGTCAGTTAGGCTCTAACAAAACCCTAGCAGGTTAGATCCTATTTAGTTAACTAATTTCTCCTTAGGGGAGACCTTGTTAAGAAGAGCAAAGTGTTCTGGTGTAGTTCCACATGGTTCCTTTTCCCCTTTCCCTTCCAGAAGCACAGGGGGATTTTTCTCGCATATTCACTGTGAGAATTTGATAGAGCTCTTGGAGGTAAAACTCACAAAAGTGTCGGGGCACCCATATGACTGGGTTAACTCTCAGAGTTGTCCACACTTGAGTTTCCAGGAATACATCAATTACAATTCAGATTTCCCTACTCTGATACTGGTACCTGCAGAGGTTGCTACTTGTGGGTTTCTGCTCTACTAAGCTGTGATTCTCTATTTTCACCTGTCAGTATCTCCAATTTTGGGAGCAGCAGTTTGCCCTGTGACCTCAAGTTTTATCATTTTAAATAATTTATCTCACTTGGTTGAAAATCATGACCATGAGACAAAATACTAGAAACAGAATTCAGCAGCATATTAAAATAATTATACACCATGACTGAATGGGATTTATTCCGGAACTGTAAGGATGCCTCAACACATGAAAAATCAAACAATGTAATATACCACATTAACAAAATGAAGGAAAAAACCCACATGATCATCTCAATTGATGTTTGACAAAATTCAAAAAAACTTTAATGATAAAAACACTAAAAAAACTAAGAATAGAAGGAAACTACCTCACTGTAATAAAAGTCATATATGAAAAACCCACAAAAAGCACTATATTCAATGATGAAAAGACGAAAAGCTTTTCCTCTAAGATCAGGAACAAGGCAAGGTTGCCTGCTTGTCTACTTCTATTCTACAGAGTGCTAGAAGTACTAGTCAGAGAAATTAGGCAAGAAAAAGAAGTAAAAGCCATCCAAATTGGCAAGGAAAAAGTAAAATTATCTCTTTACAGATAACGTGATCCTATATGTAGAAAACCCTAAAGATTACAAACACACACATACACACACACCTATTAGAACTAATAAATTCATCAAAATGGCAGGATACAAAGTCAACACACAAAAATCAGTTGCATCTATTCACTAAATGTGAACAATCTGACAAGGAAATTAAGAAAACAATTCTATTTATAGTAGCACCAAAAAGAATAAAATACTTAGGTATGAACCAAAGAAGCAATACAATGAAAACCACTAAATATTTTTGAAAGAAATTAAAGAGGACATTAAAAAAAGACATTCCATGTTCATGAACTGAAGGGGTTAATATTGTTCAGATGTCAATATTATTCAGTGATCCTCTGATTTAATGCAATCTCTATCAATATCCAAATAACGGTTTTTGTAGAAAAAGACAAACTCATCCTAATATTTATATGGAATTTCAAGGGACTCCAAATAGCCAAAATAATCCTGAAAAGGAAAAACAATGCTGGAGGATTCACACTTCACACTTTCTTTTCTTTTTTTGGGACAGAGTCTCACTCTGTCGTCCAGGCTGGAGTGCAGTGGTGCAATTTCGGCTCACTGCAACCTCTGTCTCCCGGGTTCAAGCGATTCTCATGCCTCAGTCTCCTGAGGAATAGCTGGGATTACAGACGTGTGCCATCATACCCAACTAATTTTTGTATTTTCAGTAGAGATGGCATTTCACCATGTTGGCCAGGCTGGTCTTAAACCTCTGACCTCAGGTGATCCACCCATCCCAGCCTCCCACAGTGCTGGGATTACAGGCATGAGCCACCAAGCCCAGCCACACTTTCTGATTTCAAAAGTTACTACAAAGCTACAGTAATCAAGGCAGAATAGTACTGACATAAAGACAGACACATATGTAGAACAACTAAATACAATAGGGAGTCCAGAAATGCATCCTTGCATATATGGTAAAGTGATTTTTGACAAGGGTGTCAAGACCATCCAGTGGAGAAAAATACAGCCTTTTCAACAAATGGATCTGGAAAAACTGGATATCCACAAGCAAAAGAATGAAATTGGACCTTACCTCATACTATATACTAAAATTAACCCCAAATGGCTCCATGACCTAAATATAAGACCTAATACTATAAAATTATTATTTTAAAAAACATAAGGCAAGAAAGAAGAAAGCACAACCTTAGATGTAGCAATGCTTTCTTAGATATGACATCAAAGATACAGGCAACAACAACAAAATAGACAAACTGGACTTTATGAAAATTTAAAAATGTTGTGCATCAAAAGACACTATCAACAGAGTAGAAAGACAACCCACAGAATGAGAGAACATATTTGCAAATCATATATCTGACAAGGAGTTAATACAGAACTCAACAATATAAAAACCAAACCACCCAATTAAAAAGTGGGCAAATGACTTGAATAGACATTTCTCCAAAGAAGATATACAAATGGTAGACCAGGCGTGGTGGCTCACACCTGTAATCCCAGCACTTTGGAAGGCCAAGGTAGGCGAATCACGAGGTCAAGAGATCGAGACCATCCTGGCCAACACGGTGAAACCCCGTCTCTAATAAAAATATAAAAATTAGCTGGATGTGGTGGTGTGCACCTGTAGTCCCAGCTACTCGGGAGGCCGAGCCAGGAGAATCACTTGAACCCAGGAGGTGGAAGTTGCAGTGAGCCGAGATCACGCCACTGCACTCCAGCCTGGTGACAGAGTGAGACTCCATCTCAAAAAAAAAAACAAAAAAAAACAAAAAAAGAAGATACATAAATGGTCATAAAGCACATTTAAAAAAAAAAGTTCAGTATCACTAATCATTAGGAAAACACAAATCAAAATTATAATGAGGTACATACTAATTAGGATGGCTACTATCAGAAAAACAGAAAACAACAATCATTGATAAGGATGTGGAGAAATCAGAACCCTGTGCACTGTTGAAAATGTAAAATAAGGGTTCCAAGATGGCCAAATAAGAACAGCTCCAGTCTGCAGCTCCCAGCATGAGCAACACAGAAGACGGGTGATTTCTGCATTTCCAACTGAGGTACTGGGTTCATCTCACTGGGGCTTGTCAGACAGTGGGTGCAGCCCACGGAGCAGGGTGGGGCAGTGCTTCACCCGGGAAGCGCAAGGGGTCGAGGAATTCCCTTTCCTAGCAAAGGGAAGCCGTGACAGATGGTACCTGGAAAATCAGGTCACTCCCACCCTAATACTGCACTTTTCCAATGGCCTTAGCAAACAGCACACCAGGAGATTATATCCCATGCCTGGCTTGGAGGGTCCCACACCCACAGAGTCTCGTTCACTGCTGGCACAGCAGTCTGAGATCGAACTGCAAGGCAGCAGCTAGGCTGAGGAAGGGGCAACCACCATTGCTGAGGCTTGAGTAGGTAAACAAAGTGGCTGGGAAGCTTGAACTGGGTGGAGCCCACCGCAGCCGAAGGAGGCCTGCCTGCCTCTGTAGACTCCACCTCTGGGAGCAGGGCATAGCTGAACAAAAGGCAGCAGAAACTTCGGAGACTTAAACATCCCTGTCTGACAGCTTTGAAGAGAGTAGTGGTTCTCCCAGCATGGAATTTGAGATCTGAGAAAGGACATATTGCCTCCTCAAGTGGGTCCCTGACCCAGGAGTAGCCTAACTGGGAGACATCTCCCAGTAGGGGCCAACTGACATCTCATACAGCCAGGTGCCCCTCTGAGACGAAACTTCCAGAGGAAGGATCAGGCAGCAATATCTGCCATTCTGCAATATTTGCTGTTCTGCAGCATCTGCTGGTGATACCCAGGCAAACAGTGTCTGGAGTGGACCTCCAGCAAACTCCAACAGACCTGCAGCTGAGGGTCCTGACTGTTAGAAGGAAAACTAACAAACACAAAGGACATCTACACCAAAACCCCATCTGTACATCACCATCATCAAAGACCAAAGGTAGAAAAAACCACAAAGATGGGGACAAACCAGAGCAGAAAAGCTGAAAATTCTAAAAATCAGAGTGCCTCTTCTCCTCCAAAGGAACACAGCTCCTCGTCAGCAACAGAACAAAGCTGGACGGAGAATGACTTTGATGAGTTGAGAGAAGGCTTCAGACGATCGGTAATAACAAACTTCTCCGAGCTACAGGAGGGTGTTCGAACCCATCTCCAGGAAGCTAAAAACCTTGAAAAAAGATTAGATGAACGGCTAACTAGAATAAACATTGTAGAGAAGCCCTTAAATGACCTGATGGAGCTGAAAACCATGGCACGAGAACTACGTGATGCATGCACAAGCTTCGGTAGCCGATTTGATCAAGTGGAAGAAAGGGTATCAGTGACTGAAGATCAAATGAATGAAATGAAGCCAGAAGAGAAGTTTAGAGAAAAAAGTAAAAAGAAATGAACAAAGCCTCCAAGAAATATGGGACTACGTGAAAAGACCAAATCTCTGTCTGACTGGTGTACCTGAAAGTGACGGGGAGAATGGAACCAAGTTGGAAAACACTCTTCAGGATATTATCCAGGAGAACTTCCCCAACGTAGCAAGGCAGGCCAACATTCAAATTCAGGAAATACAGAGAACATCACAAAGATACTCCTTGAGAAGAGCAACTCCAAGACACATAATTGTCAGATTCACCAAAGTTGAAATGAAGGAAAAAATGTTAAGGGCAGCCAGAGAGAAAGGTTGGGTTACTCACAAAGGGAAGCCCATCAGACTAATAGCGGATCTCTTGGCAGAAACTCTACAAGCCAGAAGAGAGTGGGGGCCAATATTCAACATTCTTACAGAAAAGAATTTTCAACCCAGAATTTCATATCCAGCCAAACTAAGCTTCATAAGTGAAGGAGAAATAAAATCCTTTACAGACAAACAAATGCTGAGAGATTTTGTCACCACCAGGCCTGCCTTACAAGAGCTCCTGAAGGAAGCACTAAACTTGGAAGGGAACAACCAGTACCAGCCACTGCAAAAACATGCCAAATTGTAAAGACCATCGATGCGAGGAAGAAACTGCATCAACTAACCAGCAAAATAACCAGCTAATATCATAATGACAGGATCAAATTCACACATAACAATATTAACCTTAAATGTAAATGGGCTAAATGCTCCAATTAAAAGACACAGACTGCCAAATTGGATAAAGAGTCAAGACCCATCAGTGTGCTGTATTCAGGAGACCCATCTCACATGCAGAGACACACATAGGCTCAAAATAAAGGGATGGAGGAAGATCTACCAAGCAAATGGAAAAAAAAAAGCAGGGGTTGCAATCCTAGTCTCTGATATAACAGACTTTAAACCAACAAAGATCAAAAGAGACAAAGAAGGCCATTACATAATGGTAAAGGGATCAATTCAACAAGAAGAGCTAACTATCCTAAATATATATGCACCCAATACAGAAGCACCCAGATTCATAAAGCAAGTTCTTAGAGACCTACAAAGAGACTTAGACTCCCACACAATAATGAGAGACTTTAACACCCCACTGTCAACATTAGACAGATCAACAAGACAGGAAATTAACAAGGATATCCAGGAATTGAACTCAGCTCTGCACCTAATAGACATCTGCAGACCTAATAGACATCTGCAGAACTCTCCACCCCAAATCAACAGAATATACATTGTTCTCAGCACCACATCACACTTATTCCAAAATTGACCACATAGTTGGAAGTAAAGCACTCCTCAGCAAATGTAAAAGAAGAGAAATTATAACAAACTGTCTCTCAGACCACAATGCAATCAAACTAGAACTCAGGATTAAGAAACTCACTGAAAACCGCTCAACTACATGGAAACTGAACAACCTGATCCTGAATGACTACTGGGTACATAATGAAATGAAGGCAGAAATAAAGGTGTTCTTTGAAACCAATGAGAACAAACACACAACATACCAGAATCTCTGGGACACATTTAAAGCAGTGTATAGAGGGAAATTTATAGCACTAAATGCCCACAAGAGAAAGCAGGAAAGATCTAAAATTGACACCCTAACATCACAATTAAAAGAACTAGAGAAGCAAGAGCAAACACATTCAAAAGCTAGCAGAAGGCAAGAAATAACTAAGATCAGAGCAGAATTGAAGGAGATAGAGACACAAAACACCCTTCAAAAAAATCGATGAATCCAGGAGCTGGTTTTTTGAAAAGATCAACAAAATTGATAGACTGCTAGCAAGACTAATGAAGAAAAGAGAGAAGAATCAAATAGATGCAATAAAAAATAATAAAGGGGATATCACCACCAATCCCACAGAAATACAAACTACCATCAGAGAATACTATAAACACCTCTACACAAATAAAGTAGAAAATCTAGAAGAAATGGATAAATTCCTGGACACATACACCCTCCCAAGACTAAACCAGGAAGAAGTTGAATCTCTGAATAGACCAATAACAGGTTCTGAAATTGAGGCAATAATTAATAGCCTACCAACCAAAAAAAGTCCAGGACCAGATGGATTCACAGCTGAATTCTACCAGAGCTACAAAGAGGAGCTGGTACCATTCCTTCTGAAACTATTCCAATCAATAGAAAAAGAGGGAATCCTCCCTAATTCATTTTATGAGGCCAACATCGTCCTGATAGCAAAGCCTGGCAGAGACACAACAAAAGAAGAGAATTTTAGACCAATATCCCTGATGAACATCAATGCAAAAATCCTCAATAAAATACTGGCAAACCGAATCCAGCAGCACATCAAAAAGCTTATCCACCATGATTAAGTTGGCTTTGTCCATGGGATGCAAGGCTGGTTCAACATGAGCAAATCAATAAACATAATCCATCACATAAACAGAACCAAAGACAAAAACCACATGATTATCTCAATAGATGCAGAAAAAGCCTTCAACAAAATTCAACAGCCCTTCATGCTAAAAACTCTCAATAAACTAGGTATTGATGGGATGTATCTAAAAATAATAAGAGCTATTTATGACAAACCCACAGCCAATATCATACTAATGGGCAAAAACTGGAGGAATTCCCTTTGAAAGCCGGCACAAGACAGGGATGCCCTCTCTCACCACTCCTATTCAACATAGTGTTAGAAGTTCTGGCCAGGGTAATCAGGCAGGAGAAGGAAATAAAGCGTATTCAATTAGGAAAAGAGGAAGTCAAATTGTCCCTGTTTGCAGATGACATGATTGTATATTTAGAAAACCCCACCGTCTCAGCCCCAAATCTCCTTAAGCTGATATGCAACTTCAGCAAAGTCTCAGGATACAAAATCAATGTGCAAAAATCACAACAAGCATTCCTATACACCAATAACAGACAAACAGAGAGCCAAATCATGAGTGAACTCCCATTCACGATTGCTTCAAAGAGAATAAAAAACCTGGAAATCCAATTACAAGGGATGTGAAGGACCTCTTCAAGGAGAACTACAAACCACTGCTCAATGAAATAAGAGAGGACACAAACAAATGGAAGAACATTCCATGCTCATGGACAGGAAGAATCAATATTGTGAAAATGGCCATATAGCCCAAGGTAATTTATAGATTCAATGCCATCCCCATTAAACTACCAATGACTTTCTTCACAGTATTGGAAAAAACTACTTTCAAGTTCATATGGAATCAAAAAAGAGCCTGCATTGCCAAGACAATCCTAAGCCAAAAGAACAAAGCTGGAGGCATCATGCTACCTGACTTCAAACTATACTACAAGGCTACAGTAACCAAAACAGCATGGTACTGGTACCAAAACAGAGATACAGACCAATGGAACAGAATAGAGCCCTCAGAAATAATACCACACATCTATAACCATCTGATCACTGACAAATCTGACAAAAACAAGAAATGGGGAAAGGATTCCCTATTTAATAAATGGTGCTGGGAAAACTGGCTAGCCATATGTAGAAAGCTGAAACTGGATCCCTTCCTTACACCTTATACAAAAATGAATTCAAGATGGATTAAAGACTTAAATGTTAGACCTAAAATCATAAAAAGCCTAGAAGAAAATCTAGGCAATACCATTCAGGCCATAGGCATGGGCAAGGACTTCATGACTAAAACACCAAAAGCAATGGCAACAAAAGCCAAAATTGAAAAATGGGATCTAATTAAACTAAAGAGCTTCTGCACAGCAAAAGAAACTACCATCTGAGTGAACAGGCAACCTACAGAATGGGAGAAAATTTTTACAATCTACCCACCTGACAAAGGGCTAATATCCAGAATCTACAAAGAACTTAAATAAATTTACAAGAAAAAATCAAACAACCCCATCAAAAAGTGGGCAAAGGATATGAACAGACACTTCTCAAAAAAAGACATTTATGCAGCCAAAAGACACATGAAAAAATGCTCAACATCACTGGTCATCAGAGAAATGCAAATCAAAACCACAATGAGATACCATCTCACACCAGTTAGAATGGCAATCATTAAAAAGTCAGGAAACAACAGGTGCTGGAGAGGATGTGGAGAAATAGGAACACTTTTACACTGTTGGTGGGAGGTAAACTAGTTCAACCATTGTGGAAGACATTGTGATGATTCCTCAAGGATCTAGAACTAGAAATACCATCTGACCCAGCAATTCCATTACTGGGCATATACCCAAAGGATTATAAATCATGCTGCTATAAAGACACATGCACACGTATGTTTATTGTGGCACTATTCACAATAGCAAAGACTTGGAACCAACCCAAATGCCCATCAATGGTAGACTGGATTAAGAAAACGTGGCACATATACACCATGGAATACTATGCAGCCATAAAAAAGGATGCATTCATGTCCTTTGTAGAGACATGGATGAAGCTGGAAACCATCATTCTGAGCAAACTATTGCAAGGACAGAAAACCAAACACCACATGTTCTCACTCATACATGGGAATTGAACAATGAGAATACTTGAACACAGGGTGGGGACCATCATACACCAGAGTCTGTCATAGGATGGGGGAAACGGGGAGGGATAGCATTAGGAGATATACCTAATGCTAAATGACGAGTTAATGGGTGCAGCACACCAACATGGCACACATATACATATGTAACAAACCTGCATGTTGTGCACATGTACCCTAGAATTTAAAGTATAATAATAATAAAAAAGAAAGAAAATGTAAAATAGTACAACCACTGTGGAAAACGGTTTCCTCAAAGAGTTTAAAATAGAATTACCAAATGACCCAGCAATTCTATGGGTATATACTCAAAAGAATTGGGTCCCAAAGAGATACTTATACATTTATAATCATAACATTTGTAATCATAGCAGCATTATTCACAGTAGCTAAAACATGGAAGCAACCCAGGTATCAACTGACTGATGAATGGATAAGCAAAATGTGGTACATATATACAACAGAATATTATTCAGCCTTAAAAAGGAAATAAATTTTGGCTGGGCACGGTGGCTCATGCGTATAATACCAACATTTTGGGAGGCCGAGTTCGGCAGATCACCTGAGGTCAGGAGTTCGAGACCAGGCTGGCCAACATGGTGACACTCCATCTCTACTAAAAATACAAAAATTAGCTGGGTGTGATGGCGCACGCCTGTAGTCCCAGCTACTTGGGAGGCTGAGGCAGCAGAATCTCTTGAACGTGGGAGGAGGAGGTTGCAGTGAGCCAAGATCGCGCCACTGCACTCCAGCCTAGCGACAGAGCGAGACTCTGTCTCAAAAACAAACAAACAAAAATAAATAAATTCTAATATATGCTGCAATATGAGTGAACCTTGATGAGGACATCATGTTAACTGAAATAAATTGGTCACAAAAAGATAAATACTGTATGATTCCACTTAAATTAGTTATTCATTGTAGTCCAAATCATAGTCAAAAAGCAGAATGATGGTTGCCAGGGGCTAAGAGGAGGAAGGAATGAGAAGTTACTGTTTAATGGATAGAAAGTTTCAATTTTGCAAAATGAAAAGAGTTCTGGAGATGGATGGTGGTGATAGTTGTACAATAATATTAATATACTTAATACCAATAAATTGTATACTTAAAAATGGGTAAGACAGAACATTTCGTTATGTGTATTTTACCACAATAAAAGAAACTGAAAAAAAAAAAAAACCAACCATGACCCATGAACAGAACTGTAGAGGAATGAATCTGTAAAAGTAAATCCACTTGCTAGGTTGCTATATGTTACCCCTGGTTCCTTCCTGAAAATACTAATTAATGATGATTACAACAATATACCCAAATATTTACAATGTCAGAAATTTCCAGCAAATGTAGACTTGGTCACACATTTCGCATAAGTGATTAGCAACACTGTTAAGGCTGGGCATTCAGACACAGGCAAAGCTTACCATAATGGAGGAAAGTGACTATGCCATTCCCAGACTGCAATACTATATGCAATATATATGAGAAGCCAGTGCCATTATCTAATGAAAACAACACTCAATAATGCTTGAATAAAAGGTTATTGATAGAAATATTTTAACTTTAAAAATTTGGTCTCTATGTCTCTTTAGTCTCTTAGTTCAAACCAAATTTTCTGTAAGATGTTGTGATGTTCTTTGCTAGAAGACTGCTAGATTTCTTATTAGGGTACAAATACAAGAGAAATCATGTTTTTGCAAAAGTCTACTACTCTAAAGATTGATTGCTGATATCTTTTTCCATGCAGTTTTATAAAATATGTTGCCTCTATAAAAGACTCTAAGTAGAAGACTCAACAGTGAAATAAATTCCATTAACACATTTTCATGGAAATAATTAGTTTAGTGACAACCTTCAAAAGCCCCATGTGGGGAGATGGTAAACTGTCTTTGAATGCCCACCTCGGCTATTTACACTTGCCATTAATGAGGGAAACAGTCACTATTTCTTTACAAACTCAATAAGAGGCTGGAGGATGTACTCATAAAATCCAGCAGTCATACAATGTATATTATATTATTCTAGATAGTTTTTAATCTCTTCTGAAAAGTTATCCCTTTATATCACTTTTTAATCTGTAAGCATTATGTTCTCATTTTTATTATAATTTTATTTTCTTCCTTTTATTGTTACCCTTATTATTCACTTTCATACCCATTTGAAATATAAATTACAATTAGTTATAATTTTTTTTATACCAGAAACATTGGTAACTTTTAAAATCAACTCATCATATTAGAAAATCTTCACAATAAATTCAGATAATAATTCAATATATTTGTAAATATTAATCATGTTTGCTTTTAATCTTTGTAATAAGTGAAATTCTCTAATATCCCAGGACCTACAGTCCTTCAGTAAAATGACAGTTGAAATACATTTCTCAAAAAATAGTACTATAATTCTTAAGAATTTAATTCCCAAAATAATGTATCTCTGTATTTAACTCCATATGACGTATAGAAAGGTATGTGACAAAACTATAATGCTCTGCCTAAAGACTTGCAAAGCATACTCTGCACCCTCCTTTGAAGGTCAGATATTTGTTTACATTGTATGCTTAGGGGATCCCATTTATAATAAATCACTTTTTCATATGCCATTTCCCCTACAATCTTCATTGTTTCACAATGTTTTGTTTTGTTTTGTTTTGAGACAGGGTCTAGCTCTGTGCCCAGGCTGGAGTGCATTGGCATGGTCATGGCTCAGTGCACCCTCAACCTCCAGGGCTCAGTTGATCCTCCCATCTCAGCCTCCTGAGCAGTTGTGACTCTGGGCACACACCACCATGCCCAGCTAATTTTTGCATACATATATATTTTAGACACAGGGTTTCACCATGTTGCCCAGGCTTGTCTCAAATTCCTGGGCGCAAGCAATCCGCTTGCCTCGGCCTCCCAAAGTGCTAGGATTACAGGTGTGAGCCACTGTGCCCGGCCTTGTTCTACAGTTTTATTTTTATTTTTTTTAGACAGGATCTTGCTCTGTCACCCAGGCTAAGTGGCGCGATCTCCGCTCACTGCAACCTCTACCTCCCGGGTTCAAGCAATTCTCCTGCCTCAGCCTTCCAAGTATAGCTGGGACTACAGATGTGCACCACCACGCCCAGCTAGTTTTTTATTTTAATTTTTATTTAATTCATTTTTTTTTTTTTTTGAGAGGGAGTCTCACTCTGTCGCCCAGGCTGGAGTGCCGTGGTGCAATCACGGCTCACTGAAAACTCCGCCTCTCAGGTTCATGCCATTCTCCTGCCTCCCAGGTTCACGCCTCCCAGGTTCTCTGCCTCCCAGGTTCACTCCATTCTCCAGCCTGGGACTACAGGCGCCGCCACCATGCCCGACTAATTTTTTTTGTATTTTTAGTAGAGACAAGGTTTCGCCATGTAGCCAGGATGGTCTAGATCTCCTGACCTCGTGATCTGCCTGCCTCGGTATCCCAAAGTGCTAGGATTACAGGCATGAGCCACCCAGCGCCCGGCCTGTTCTACACTTTTTAAAATTATAATTCTTTTTAAAATCAAAACATTCTAAACTTTTTTTTTTGAGACAGAGATGTTGCTCTTGTTGCCCAGGCTGGAGTGCAATGGCACGATCTTGGCTCACTGCAACCTCCACCTCCCAGGTTCAAGAGATTCTTCTGCCTCATCCTCCCGAGTAGCTGGGATTACAGGTGTGCACCACCACACCTGGCTAATTTTGTATTTTTAGTAGAGACAAGGTTTCACCATGTTGATCAGGCTGTTCTCAAACTCTTGACCTCAAGTGATCCACCCGCCTTGGCCTCCCAAAGTGCTGGGATTACAGGTGTGCACCACCACACCTGGCTAATTTTGTATTTTTAGTAGAGACAAGGTTTCACCATGTTGATCAGGCTGTTCTCAAACTCTTGACCTCAAGTGATCCACCCGCCTTGGCCTCCCGAAGTGCTGGGATTACAGGCATGAGCCACTGCGCCCAGCCAACAGTTTTTGATTTACAAATTGAGTAGATAGTGTAGCATTTTCATATACCCCCCAACATACACACACATTTTCCATTTTCCCCTATTATTAACAGCTTATGTTAGTATGGCTCACTTATTACAGTTAATGAATGAATACTGAAAAGTTATTATTAACTGGTCCATAGTTTGATTTCCTTAGTTTTTACTTAATGTCCTTTTTCTGTTCCAGGATCCCATTCAGGATGCCACTATATTACGTTTACTTGTCGCGTCTCCTTAGGTGTCTCTTAGCTGTGATTGTTTCTCAGACTTTCTCTTTTTGAGGATCTTGACAGTTTAAAGAGTTCTGGTCAGGTATACTACAGGATGGCCCTCTATTAGAATTTGTTTTTCTCAGGCTGGGCACTGTGGCTCCCATGCCTGTAGTCCCAGTACTTTGGGAGGCCAAGGTGGGTGGATCACTTAAGGTCAGGAGTTTGAGACCAGCCTACCCAACACAGGGAAACCCCGTTTCTATTAAAAATACAAAAATTGGCCAGGCACAGCAGCTCATGCCTATAATCTCAGCACTTTGGGAGGCCAAGGAGGGCGGATCACGAGGTCAGGAGTTCAAGACCAGCCTGGGCAATATGGTGAAATCCCATCTTTACTAAAAAATACAAAAATTAGCCAGGCGTGGTGGTGCACACCTGTAGTCCTAGCTACTCAGGAGGCTGAGGCAGGAGAATCGCTTGAACCCAAGAGGCAGAGGTTGCAGTGAGCCGAGGTCATGCCACTGCACTCCAGCCTGGGCAACAGAGTAAGACTCTGTCTCGAAATGAAAAACAAACAAAAAAACCCACAAAAATTAGCTGGTCACGGTGGTGTGCACCTGTAATCCCAGCTACTCGGGAGGCTGAGGCAGGAGAATTGCTTGAACCTGGGAGGTGGAGGCTGCAGTGAGTCAAGATTGCACCACTGCACTGCACTCCAGTCTGGGAGACAGAGCAAGACTCCGCCTCAAAAAAAAAAAAAAAAAGTATTTGTTTTTCTCATGGTTAGATTGGTGTTACAGACTTTTGTGACAAAGATCACAGAGATAAAGTGCCATTTTTCATCATAGCATATTGAGGGTATATATGATATCAACATGATTTATGACTGTTTATATTGACCATAATCACTTGGCTTGAAGGTGTGTTTGTCACGTCTCTCCCATGAAGTTATTCCTTTCCTCCCACTCTCCACTTTTCATAAGGGACTCTGGAAGGAAGTCACTATGCACAGCCCACACTTAAGGAGTGGAGAATTAACCTCCCATCCTCAGGATGAAGTATCTAGATAATATAATTAGCATTATTCCATATGGAAAGATTTGTCTATTCACTTCCATTTATTAATTTATCCAATTATTTATATATCAGTATGAACTCATTGTGGAGTCCTGATAAGTTAGCAACAACAAGGGGGGTGCCCCAGGGTGAGTGAGAACAATTGTTCTGAGAAACAGCTAACTACAAACATCCCGTTTGCACAATATCCTGTTCCCGAATACCTTGTTCTACATGTAGTCCCTCCAGGTCCAGCCTATAAAACTTCCCTCCAGCCCTGCCCCTTTGCAGACAGCTTTTTCTCTGCTGTGCTGCCCAATGCTTCCTTGCAACATACTTTCTCTCTAATACACTTACTTATTATTACAATTATTAACTCACAGCTGTTTCAGCAAATTATTTTACCACTGATGACGCTGGCCCAGATCAGCTGCAACCCACCACAATCATGAATATTTATGTTATACTTTAGGTTATAATACAATAGTATGGTATTCATTCATTTATTTTGCTCAAATATTTCTAAATTTTCCCATTGGGTGCTCTTTCATTTGGCTTCTTTTACATACCTCTCACAGTGATCTTTTTTTTTTCTTTAGCACTTTCTTACTTTCTGCCTCTACAAGATGCCCCAGGCTGGTTCTGTACATTTTCTACCCTATCCCTGGAATCAGCCATTTCTCCAAGGAGTCCTGGTTACTCTTACTGAAGAATAATATTAGAAACCAAGATCTGAGCATTAGGTATACTTGTTACTACTGAATTGGTCTGGCTTTTGCCCTTGGCTCCAGGGAGGTATTCTCTAAGCCTCTGTAATGCCTGACTGAAAAGTAGGTCCTTGTTAACCTGGGAGCTTTAGGCCATGCCAGATAGCCTATGCTAACAATGTAATTAATGGTGGAGGTTTTGAGCCATGTGGTATCTGTAACAAAAAACAGCCATGTGAGTAGTCAATCATGTCTATATGACCAAGCCCCAACAAAAACTCTGGACACCAAGGCTTGAGTGATCTTACCTGGTTGGCAATACTTCTAGCGTGTCGTCACAGATTGTTGCTGGGGGAAGTTACCACTGTCCATTAGTCCAGCAGGAGAAGAAACTGGAAGCTTCACATGAGGAATTCTCCTGTACTCTGTCCCATGTGCTTCTTCCCTTGGCTGGTTTTAATATGTATCCTTTTATTGTAATAAACCATAACTGTAAATATAGCAGCTTTCAGTGAGTTCTGTGAGTACCTCTAGGGAATTATTCAACATGAGGGTGATCTTGGGGACCCCTAAACTTACAATTGGAGTCAGAAGTGGTGGTGGTGTTGTAAACTTCTAAACTTTATAGTATGTATACTAACTTGTGCACATACCCATCTATAAAAATTTCCACAAGCAACTATCTAACTATATATGAGCTGTTCTAGTATCCTCAACGTTAATCCATTACCACATGGGTCATTCTAGCTTCCTCCCTTGTTGATTTGTAAAATTTTCACTCCAACAGTGAAAAACCTGGCTCCCACTATCTGCTATCTATTTTCTTCTTGGTCAATGTTAGTGTACATAAAATTTCCACTCCAACAGTGAGAAACCTGGCTCCCACTATCTGCTATCTATTTTCTTATTGTTCAATGTTAGTATACAAGTATAGCAACAATGCATTTATTAACCTATAAACCCATGCAGAAAAACTTTATCAACTTGAGTAAGTACTCTTGTACAGTTCCTTTGGCCTTTAGTTTTACAGACTCCAGTCATTTTCAAAGTTAGGGTAGCACTTTTCTCCCCATCCCTTCGGTGAGGTTGTTTCATATATTTGTAATACAGTTAGATGCTCTTGTCACAGTCTGCTTTCTTTCCCAAATCCCGTGGCCTCCTGAATTATATTATTTTTTCCTTAAAAAAATTTTTTTTTTTAGAGACAAGGTCTTGCCATGTTGCTGGACTTGAACTCAAGTCCCAAGCTGGACTTGAACTCTTGGCCTCCAGTGATCTTCTTACCTCAGCCTCCCAAGTAGCTGGGATTACAGGCAGAAGCCACCATGCCTACCTGTGAAAGCTATTGTTAAATTTGTACACACTGAGGTTAACTTTTTGTGCTGTAAAGTTCTACAGACTTTAACAAATGCATAATGTCATGTACCCACCATTACAGTGCGTACAGAATAGTTTCACCACCTAAAATACCACTCTGCTTCACCTATTCATCCCTCCCTCACTACTGTCCACAACCCGACAACCACTGATCTTTTTACTGCCACCATAATTTTCCTCCTCCAGAATGTTATATAATTGGAATTGTTACAGTATATAGGTTTTTCAATTACTTAATAATATGCATCTATATTTTCTCCATGTCTTTTCCTGGTTTAATATCTCCTTTCTTTTGATCGCTTAATAACATTCCATTGTATGAATGTATCACAATAGTTTGGTTATCCATTCGCCTATCAAGGGACAATCTGTTGCATCCAGTTTGGGGGCAGTTATGAATAAAGCTGCTGTAAACATTCCTTTGCAGGTTTCTGTGTGGACGTAAGTTTACAACTCAACTGGGTATGTCTATTGCACCTAGAAATGCGATTAATTGCTAGATCATATGGTAAGAATATGTTTATCTTTCTTGTAAGCCACTGCCAAACTCTTTTCCAAAGTGGCTATATCATTTTGCATTTCCACCAGCAAAGATGAGAGTTTCTTTTGTTTTTCATCCTCACCAGTTTTTCAGTTTTTAAATTTAGCCATTCTAACAGACTTTAATGGTATCTCATTGTTTTAACCTGCAATTCCCTAAAGACAAATGATGAGCGTCTTTTTAGTGTTTATTTGCTGTCTCTACATTTTCTTTATTGAGGTGTCTGTTCAGATCTTTTGCTCCCTTTTTAATTGGGTTGTTCACTTTCTTATTGTTGAATTGTAAGTGTTTTTTGTATATTTTGGGTACAAGTCCTTTATCAGATATGTGTTTTGCAAAGATTTTTTCCCAGTTTGTGACTTACCTTTTAACTCCCTTTACTGTGTCTTTCCCAGAACACAAGTTTAAAGTCAATTTTATCAATGTTTTTCCTCCATGCTATTTGAGTTGTATCTAAAACTCATGGCCAAACTCAAGGTCACTAGATTTCTCCTATGTTATCTTCTAGAAGTCTTATAAGTTATGCATTTTACATTTATGTGTATGATCTATTTTAAGTTAGTTTTTGTGACAGGTATAACATCTATGTTTACATTCCAGAGGACTTTCTTAATTGAAAGGCTTCAAAGATTTATCAACACGTTATTGTCAGTGATCATCACCTTCTCTGGGACAGTCTAACAGCCCTGGCTGGACATGAGACAGAGTCAAGATTAACTTCTCAAATGCTGCCAACTTTTATAAACAGCACACTACATTGTCTAAATTAGCAAATGCGTAGCACATATAATTTATAAAAACCTCATGGGCTGGTTGTGGTGGCTCATGCCTGTAATCCCAACATTCCAGGAGGCCGAGGCGGGTGGATCACCTGAGGTCAGGAGATCGAGACCATCCTGGCTGACACGGTGAAACCCTGTCTCTACTAAAAATACAAAAAATGGCCGGGAGTGGTGGTGGGCACCTGTAATCCCAGCTACTCAGGAGGCTGAGGCAGGAGAATCACTTGTACCTGGGAGGCAGAGGTTGCAGTGAGCAGAGATTGCACCACTGCACTCTAGTCTAGGTGACTGTGTGAGACTCTGTCTTAAAAAAAAAAAAAAAAGCCTCATGATTTTAATAGAATTTCTGATGGCCTTTTAAAACAATTTCTTAACATAAATTAAAAGTCCAATAAATTTTTCTGAGTAATCTTAAATAAAAATGAAATCAATTTGTAACTATTAAGGATAATGAGAGATTTAGTGTGTGTGTGTGTGTGTGTGTGTGTGTATGTGTGTGTGTTATTCTCATTCTCTGACAGTTGTATATCCTGGGAATTCTTTTTTTTTTTTTTTTTTTTTTAATTTTTTTAAGAGACAGGGTTTTACTCTGTTAGCCAGGCTGGAGTGCAGTGGGACCATCATGGCCCACTGTAACCTCCAACTCCTGGGCTCCTGGGCTCAAGTGATCCTCCCATCTCAGCCTCTGGAGTAGCTAAGACTACAGGCATGCGCCAACAAACCCAGTTGATCTTAAATTTTTTGTGGCTGGGCACGGTGGCTCACGCCTTGTAATCCTGGCACTTTTTTTTTTTTTTTTTTTTGAGACGGAGTTTCGCTCTGTCGCCCAGGCTGGAGTGCAGTGGCGGGATCTCGGCTCACTGCAAGCTCCGCCTCCCGGGTTCACGCCATTCTCCTGCCTCAGCCTCCCGTGTAGCTGGGACTACAGGCGCGCGCCACCATGCCCGGCTAATTTTTGTATTTTTAGTAGAGACGGGGTTTCACCGTGTTAGCCAGGATGGTCTCGATCTCCTGACCTCGTGATCCGCCCGTCTCGGCCTCCCAAAGTGCTGGGATTACAGGCGTGAGCCACCGCGCCCGGCCAATAATCCTGGCACTTTAGGAGGCCGAGGCAGGCAGATCACAAGGTCAGGAGCTCGAGACCAGCCTGACCAATATGGTGAAACCCCGTCTCTACTAAAAATACAAAAACTAGCTGGGTGTGGTGGCATGTGCCTGTAATCCCAGCTACTCAGGAGGCTGAGGCAAAAGAATCGCTTGAACCTGGGCGGCAGAGGTTGCAGTGAGCCAAGATTGCACCACTGCACTCCCAGCCTGGGCGACAGAGCAAGACTCCGTCTCAAGAAAAAAAAAATTTTTTTTTTGTAAAGACAGGATCTTACTCTGTCGCCCAGGCTGGTCTTGAACTCCTGGGCTCATTAAATCCTCATACCTTGGCCTCCCAAAGTGCAGGTGTGAGCCACCATGCCAGGCCCCCTGGGAATTCTTTGATTTAGATAAGAAGAAGGCAGATGATGAAATACATTAATCTTAATATTATATATAGTTCATTTTTTCCTGAAAGAATTTTAATCTGGGTAACACAAAAGATAAAGTTAGTAGTCTTGTCACTTTTGAGCAACAATATATACCCAAAACTTAAAAAACAGTTGCTGTTAGAGTATATCAGGATGGTTTTGCTCTGGGCAGCATTGTATAGTGGTTAGCATCATGTTAGAGATTCTAAAGCCACACCTGGGTTTGAATCCTAGCTCTACTGTTTACCAATTTTGTAACCTTAGGCAATTAATTACTTGACTGTTCTAAGTCTCAGTTTCCCCATTTTTTTTAAATTATAATATGTAACATTTGAGTGTGATCCTTGTGCAGGGACCATACTAATCTTCTCTATCATTTTTAGTATATGTGCTGCTGAAGCGAGCGCCCCATTTGTTTTTGTTTTGTTTTTTTGTTTGAGACGGGGTCTTGTTCTGTCACCCAGGCTGGAGTGCAGTGGCATGATCATAGCTCACTGCAGCCTCAAAATCCTGGGCTCAAGCAATCCTCCTGCCTCAGCCTCCTGAGTAGCTGGGACTGCAGGCATGCACCACCATGCACGGCTAATTTTTTAAAATTTTTTGTAGAGATAGAGGTCTCACTATATTGCCTAATTTTTAAAAATTTTTTGTAGAGATAGAGGTCTCACTATATTGCCTGAGCTAGTCTTGAACTCCTGGGCTCAAGCAATCCTCCTACCTCAACCTCCTAAATGCTGGGATTACAGGTGCGAGCCACTGAACTCAGTCAAAAATATATGTTTTAATAAAATATAAAGCTACAGTGGGAAGGCCCAACAATATGACAGGTAATAAAATTTCCCAGAACATTTACAATAACACTAAAAAAAAATTAAAATTCGGGTAGAAATATAACAAAACATGCACAGGATCTGTGTGCCAAAAACTACAAAACACTGATGAATTTTATTTTACTTTATTTGAGACAGGGTCTTGCTCTGTCACCGAGGCTGAAGTGCAGTGGCACAAATGATTGTGGCTTACTATACCCTTGACCTCCCAGACTCAATCAATCACCTCGCCTTAGCCTCCCCAGTAGCTGGGACTACAGGCACGTGCCACCATGGTTGGCGAATTTTTCTATTTTTTGTAGAGATGAGGTCTCACTATGTTGCTGAGGCTGGTCTCGAACTCCTGTGCTCAAGTGATCCTCCCACCTCAGTCTCTCAAAGTGCTGGGATTATAGGCATGAGTCACTGCACCAGGCCAAAAAAAGGTTTTAATGACCTAAATAACTGGAGAGATGTGGCATTCTCATGGATTCGGAGGCTTTAGAGAGTAAAGACATCAATTCTCTCGAAATTGATCTGCAGTTGGTTTAATGCAATTCCTATAAAAATCCTAACAGATTTTTATACATGAACAAGCTGATTCTAAAATTTATATGGAAAGGCAAAGGAACTAGAATAGCTAAAAGAATTTTGAAAAAAAGAATAAAATAAGGGTAATCACATTAGCTTTTTAAAGACTTACTATAGAGGCACAACAGTTAAACGGTCGTATTGGGAGACAGACACACAGATCAATAGAACAAAAAAGAGCAAAAAAATAAACTCACACTTGTACAGACAACCAATTTTTGACAAAGGCATAAAAGCAATTTAATGAAGCAAGGATAGTCGTTTTAACAAGTGGTGATGGGACAACTGGTCTCCTGTAGGAGACAAAATGGACCTTGACCTAAACCTCACAATTTATACCAAAATTAACAAACTTCAAATGCATAATTTTATCAGATGTTGAACTATAAGACTCTTAGGGAAAAAACAAGAGAAACTCTGTGTGACCTAAATTTAGGGAAAATGTTCTTAGATATGACACCAAAAGTACAACCCATAAAGGAAAAAATTAATAAATTAGACTTCATCATAATTAAAACTTTTCCTCTGTGAAAGATATTAAGAAAATGAGAAAAGAAGCCACAGATTGGGAGAAAATATTTGCAAATCACATATATTTGAGAAATAATTTATATCTAGAATCAATAAGGAAATCCCTAACCTCAACTGTAAATAAGTAAGCAGTCCAATTAAAAAGTGGGCAAACAAGTCAACAATGCAATCCCATTTACAATAGCCATACCCCACACCCCACCAAAAAATAAAAATAAAACAAATAAACAAACAAACAAAAAACCCTACATCTAAGCAAAGAGGGGAAATATCTCTACAAGAACCACAAAACACTTCCAAATGGGCGAAAGACATGCACAGACACTTCGCAAAAGAAGACATACATCTGGCCAATGAACACGAAAAAATGCTCCACATCACTAATCATCAGAGAAATGCAAATCAAAATCACAATGAGATGCCATCTCACATCAGTCAGATGTCAGAATGGCTATTATTATAAAGTCAAAAAACAACAGATGTCGGAAAGGCTGTGGAGAAAAGGGAACACTTATACACTGTTGGTGAGAATGCAAATTAGCTTAGCCACTATGGAAAGCAGTTTGAAGATTTCTCAAAGAACTTAAAACAGAACTACCATTTGACCCAGGAATCCGATTACCCATACTGGGTATATACCCAAAAGAAAACAAGTAATTCTATCAAAAAGACATATGCACTCGCATGTTCACTGCAGCACTATTCACAATAGCAAAGATGTGGAATCAACCTAGATGCCCATCAGATGTGGTCTGGATAAAGAAAATGTGGTGCATATACACCACAGAATACTATCCAGCCATAAAAAAAGAACAAAATCATGTCCTTTGCAGCAACACGGGTGCAACTGGAGGCCTTTATCCTAAGTGAATTAATGCAAGAACAGAAAGCCAAATACCACATGTTCTCACTTATAAGTGGGAGCTAAACATGGGGTACTCATGGACATAAAAACGGCAACAATAGAAACTAAAGACTTCTGTGGGGGTGCGGTGAGGTAACTGTTGAAAAACTACTGGGTTTCAAAAGGTCACATACTAGATGATTCCACTTACATAACAGTCTCAAAGTAACAAAAGTATGGTAATGGAAAACAGATCAGTGGTTGCCAGGGGTTAGGATTGGGGTGTGACTGTAAACGGCTAGCACATGGGAGTTTCTTTGGGAGTTCTATATCCCAAATGTGATAATGGTCATATGAATTTATACATGTGATAAAATCCTGTAGAACTACATACATCCCCCAAACATTTTTTTTTAAGGATTGTATATAATAACTGTGAAATCTTGTGAGGCTGAGGCAGGTGAATCACTTGAGGCTGGGAGTTCAAGATCAGCCTGACCAACATGGTGAAACCCCGTCTCTACTAAAAGAAAAAAATACAAAAATTAGCCATAGCCAGGAGTAGTGATGCATGCCTGTGATCCCAGCTGCTCAGATGGCTGAGGAAGGAGAATCGCTTGTTCCCAGGAGGCGAGGGTGCAGTGAGCTAAGACCACACCACTGCACTCCAGCCTGGTAACAGAGCGAGGCTCCATCTCAAAAAACAAACAAACAAACAAAAACCTGGTGAAATCCAAATAAGGTCAGTAGTTTAGTTAATAAATAGTATTGTACCAATGTCAGTTTTCTGATTTTGATAATTATACTATGGTTATATAAGATGTCTTTGGGGGAAGCTGGGTGAAGAGTACATCTGAACTCTGTACTATTTTTGCAACTTCTACATGACTCTAAAAATATTTCAAAATTAAAGTTTAAAATTTCATGTTACGTTATTATGCAGAACATCTTAATTCTCAACCTACACTCCAGATTATTTTTAAAAAGGAGCACCAATTGATCTAATTAAAAACAAAACAAAATCATTGTATGTTTCAGGTCTCTCTCTCTATATATAGAAGTAGTAGAAGCTTTACATTTTTTCTTTAATTTCAAGCAGATAAAATTCTGAGAAACTCTTCCCTTTGCAGAACATACCAGGAGTGCTAGGTTTATTTTTTTTTATCACAACAATATTTCAAAAGAAAATGATAATAATTTACTCTAGTCTGTGCTGGTTAGATTCTACCTGGAGTATTGCTCTCAATTCCAGGTATCATTCTTTAAGAACAGTTAATTCAGAAGTGAGTGACCAGGATAGTGAAGAAATTTGAAACAGTATTTTCTGAGGATCAAATAGAGAAACTAGGTTATCTCTACGCTAGAGAAGAAAAAATACTAAAGTTCTAATACTGTCTTTAAGTCTATGAAAGGTTACCAAGTGGAAGACAACAGATTTATTTGGAATACTCTAAGGTGTAGAATTAGGATCAATAGTCCTACAGAGACAAAGACTTTCACCCAAGATAAGCAGCCACTAAAAAACAGTGCTTACCAAAGAGGAAATGAGCTGCCTTGGAACACAGTGCCTATCACAGAAACAATAAAAGCACTGGCAATAATGTTGGACTTTCAGGACTTCTGATTCAAAATAGCAGACTGCACACATGTATTTATCTCAGAAACCTCCTGAAATGTGAAATTAAAATAACAGAAAGACATGGAAGAAATGATAGTAGACAAAAAAGATTAACAAATATTTGAAAGCAAGAAAGGGAATGAAGGAGTAGCAACCTTAACATACCAGAACAGAGAAAGCTGAGTCCAAACTGTCCAATAGGGGGATGACATCAAGAATCTAGCTGGTTCTCATCAAAGAACTCCAGGAATCTAAGGAACTGGAGATACTAGCTATCTCAGACAGCGGGTATAAGGAGAAGTGTTGGAAACGTTGCAATTCATTGAAATTATACAGAAGAAATACCTAAGATAGTTTTCTTCTAAACTCCCATGCAACCAAACAAGTGCACCTCCCTCACATGGCAGGAGAGAAAATGTTCATTTTCTGATTAATTGAAACAGAATATTCAAAGACACAAGGTATATACTGAGAGACTGAAGTAAATCACCTTACTAAAATTAAGAATACTATGTGAAAAGTTACATATAAACAAGTGTATTCCCTTACTCAGTTCCCAAAATGCTGGCTAAAGAGAAGAGTCTAAAAGCTTTAAGATAAAGTTTTAAGTCTGCAGTGGCTCACGCCTGTAATCCTAGCATTTTGGGAGACCAAGGTGGACGATTACAAGGTCAGGAAATCAAGACCATCCTGGCTAACACAGTGAAACCCCATCTCTACTAAAAATACAAAAAATTAGCTGGGTGTGGTGGCACGTGCCTGTAATCCCAGCTACTTGGGAGGCTGAGGCAGGAGAATCACTTGAACCCAGGAGGCGGAGGTTGCAGTGAGCTGAGATTGTGCTACTGCACTCCAGCCTGGGTGATTAGAGTGAGACTCCATCTCAAAAAAACGAAAAAAAAAAAAAAGATAAAGTAAGTCACATACAGGTCAGGTAGGGTGGCTCACGCCTGTAATAGAAGCACTTTGGGAGGCCAAGGCGGGTGGATCACTTGAGGATAAGAGTTTGAGACCAGCCTGGCCAACATGGTGAAACCCTGCCTCTACAAAAAATACAAAAATCAGCCAGGCATGGTGGCACACGCTTATAGTTCTAGGTACTTGGGAGACTGAGGCAGGAGTATTGCTTGAACCCAGAGGCAGAGGTTGCAGTGAGCCAAGATCATGCCACTGCACTCCAGCCTGGGCAACAGAGTGAGACTCCGTCTCAAAAAATAATAATAAAAAATAAAAAAAAATAAAGTAAACCACATACAAATAGGTTCAGGAATCAGAATGCTATCATCTTTCTCAATAATAACACTGAAGGCTGGGCGCAGTGGTTCACACCTGTAATCCCAGCACTTTGGGAGACCGAGGTGGGCGGATCACAAGGTCACGAGATTGAGACCATCCTGGCTAACATGGTGAAACCCCGTCTCTACTAAAAATACAAAAATCAGCCGGGCATGGTGGTGGGTGCCTGTAGTCCCAGCTACTCGGGAGGCTGAGGCAGGAGAATGGCGTGAACCTGGGAGGCGAAGCTTGCAGTGAGCCGAGACTGCGCCACTGCGCTACAGCCTGGATGACAGAGCGAGACTCCATCTCAAATAATAATAATAATAATAATAATAATAATAACAACAACAACAACAACAGTGAAAGCTGAGGGACAACAGACTAATGCCTTCAAAATTCTGTGGGAAAACAATTTTCTAACAATTTTTTTGTTGTTCGTTTTGTTTTTTGTTTTTTTAGAGAGACAGTGTCTTGCTCTGATTTCCAGGCTGGAGTGCAGTGATCCAATCAGAGTTCATTGCAGCCTCAAACTCCTGGGCTCAAGTGATCCTCCTACCTTAGCCTCCCAAGTAGCTAGGACTACAGGCATGGGCCACCATGCCTGGCTAATTTTTCTTCTAGAGACAGGGTCTTACTATGTTGACCAGGCTGTCCTCAAACTCTGGGTCTTAAGCAATTCACCTGCCTTGGCCTCCCAAGGTATTGGGATTATAGGCATGACCCACCACGCTTGGCCTTTAACCTGTAATTCTGTACCCAACTAGGCTAACAATCAAGTGGAGGAGTGGAATAAAGATATTTCAGGTTAACAAAATTAACTGAAATATCTGAAAAAAATTAACTTCCATGAATCTTTTATTTGTTTTTTTAAGCTCACTAATCCTGCTTTCTAACCATGAATCTTTTATAAAAAGACTAGTAAAGGATGTCCACCAGCAAAATGAGAAAAGAAACCCAGAAAGAAATGAAAACCACAAAACTGAGGCTCTGATGAAAAAGAAGCATCAGGAACCACGAGGATCATGGTAGAGCTCCAGAATGTCAGCTGTACAGAAGGTATACAGCACGTACAGTCTGGACTGGAACAGGCAGATGCAAAGTTCCAAGATGAAAGCCTTATAAAAAATGATTACCCAGGATGTTTAACTATACTGATAGTGGTTTTTATGTTTCTACTGCAGAGTTCAGAAAATAAAGGACAATAGGTACATAGAAAACTAAACAAATGAAAAATAGTAAATTATTAACTCCAGGAAAAACAAAAGGTTATACAATAAAGAAAACGTAAACACGGGCCAGGCACGGTGGCTCACGCCTGTAATCTCAGCAGTTTGGGAGGCCGAGGCAGACGGATCACCTGAGGTTGGGAGTTTGAGACCAGCCTGACCAACATGGAGAAACCCCGTCTCTACTGAATATACAAAATTAGCCAGGCATGGTGGCGCATGCCTGTAATCCCAGCTACTCAGGAGACTGAGGCAGGAGAATCGCTTGAACCCGGGAGGCGGAGGTTGCAGTGAGCTGAGATTGCGCCATTGCACTCCAGCCGGGGCAACTAGAGTGAAACTCCGTCTCAAAAAAAAAGAAAAAAGAAAAGAAAATGTAAACACAGTATATAGTGGCTCAGTTGTAAACAATATATACATAATTCAAACAATGTAAACATTATTTTGCCTGAAGTTGTGGTATGATTATACTGGGAGTTAGTGGGGGAAAGTAAGTGGTAGCAGGAGTTGTATAAAATTGTTAAATCTTTATCTTCTAGAATAAAAAACAAAGAGTTACTGTCTATAATTTAAAAAACAAGAAACAGCAAATGAAACATTCTTTAGAGACAGGTAAATCCCAGAAGAAACAAAGAACTAAAAATAGGCCAGGCACAGTGGCTCATGCCTGTAATCCCAGAACTTTGGGAGGCCAAGACAGGAGGATCACCAGAGGTCAGGAGGTCGAGACCAGCCTGACCAACATGGAGAAACCCTGTCTCTATTAAAAATACAAAATTAGCCTGGCGTAGTGGTGCATGCCTGTAATCCCAGCTACTCGGGAGGCTGAGGCAGGAGAATCACTTGAACCTAGGAGGCAGAGGTTGTGGTGAGGCGAGATCGCGGCATTGCACTCCAGCCTGGGAAACAAGAGTGAAACTCCATCTTAAAAAAACAAACAAACAAACAAAAAGAATTAAAAATAGTTGCTTCCTTTGCCATTGTGGTTCCAATGTATAGAAAGAGAAAAGAGAGGAAGAGAGAGAAAAAGAAAGAAAAGAAAATTAAAATAGTTGTTTCCAAGGAGGACTTGAGAATGAAGAAGAAAAGGGTAAGAGACTGTTCTTAGTATATGCTTTACAGTACACTATTCACTTTTAAAAATTATACACATATTACATTGAATAAAAATAAAAATTATTATTATTACTATTTGAGATTGAGACTGTATTGCCCAGGCTGGAGTACAGTGGCGTGATCTCAGCTCACTGCAATCTCTGCCTCCTAGGTTCAAGTGATTCTCCTGCCTCAGCCTCCCTAGAAGCTGAGATTACAGGCACCTGCCATCACGCCTGGCTAATTTTTGTATTTTTAGTAGACACGGGGTTTCACCATGTTGGCCAAGCTGGTCTCGAACTCCTGACCTCGGGTGATCTGCCCACCTCAACCTCCCAAAGTGCTGGGGTTACAGGCGTGAGCCACCTTGCCTGGCCAATTATTATTATTATTATTATTATTTTTTTTTTTTGAGATGGAGTCTCGCTCTGTCGCCCAGGTTGGAGTGCACTGGCACGATCTTGGCTCACTGCAAGCTCCGCCTCCCGGGTTCACGCCATTCTCCTGCCTCAGCCTCCCAAGTAGCTGGGACTACAGGCGCGCGCCACCACGCCTGGCTAATTTTTTGTATTTTTAGTAGAGACAGGGTTTCACCATGTTAGCCAGGATGGTCTCGATCTCCTGACCTCGTGATCCGCCCTCCTCGGCCTCCCAAAGTGCTGGGATTACAGGCATAAGCCACCGCGCCCAGCCCTGGCCAATTATTTTTTAAATTTATAGGTTCTCATGTCCCACTCCTAGACCCACTGTAACAGAATATCTGAATAAATCTACATATTCAAATGGCTTAAAAGATTATAACCAGGTAGTTAAGTTGGATAAAACATTGGTATAAGATCATGGATTTTGGCCAGGTGTAGTGGCTCATGCTTGTAATCCCAGCACTTGGTGTGGTGGCTCATGCCTGTAATCCCAGCACTTTGGGAGGCCAAGGCAGGTGATCACCAGAGGTCAGGAGACCAGCCCGGCCAACATGGCGAAACCCTGTCTCTACTAAAAATACAAAAAATTAGCTGGGCATGGTGGCGGGCACCTATAATCACAGCTACTTGGGAGGCTGCGGCAGGAGAATCGCTTGAACCCAGGAGGCGGAGATTGCAGTAAACCAAGATCGTGGCATTGCACTCCAGCCTGGGTGACAGAGCAAGACTCTGTCTCAAAAAAAAAAAAAAAAAAAAGATCATGGACTTAAAGCTGAATGCAGGCTTTTATATATTCCACTGACTCAGAAATGTACCCTCAACCCTAGCCAGCAGATCTAAATAAGCATGCAACTTATTACAAAGAAGACCGAGAAAGAGAGTTTTAAATGGGTCAGCATGATCCATCATTCCTATAAGTAAAGCTCCTTAAAAGTATATAAAACCCATACAGATAAATTAGGAACAAAATTTTTGTACATCACACCTGTAATCCCAGCACTTTGGGAGGCTGAGGAGGGCGGATCACAAGGTCAGGGGATCGAGACCATCCTGGCTAACACAGTGAAACCCCGTCTCTACTAAAAATACAAAAAAAAAATTAGCCAGGTGAGGTGGCATGCACCTGTATTCCCAGCTACAAAGGAGGGTGAGGCAGAAAAATCGCTTGAACCTGGGAGGCAGAGGTTGCAGTGAGCCAAGATCGTGGCACTGCACTCTAGCCTGGGCGACAGAGCCAGGTTCCATCTAAAAAAAATAAAAGAGTAAAAACAAAATATTTGTACATTAAAAATAGTAAGTTACATTGATATGTTAAACTAATTTCTTGCTATCTAAAATGATATATTAAGCAACAATTTTATTGTATAATTTGATTAAATGTACAGTTAATGTACCTCTTGCTTCAATATAGTTTATCTTTGAAGTTCTGCTGAATTTTAGTTGCCATAACAACCTGAATAAACCCTTTATTGCTGTAGATATCTGTAGCTATTTATAAATGCAACAGCTGGATCTGTCCAGCTAAATTTCTTTCATAATATAAAACATCAAAGCCGCTTTCTTTCTTTTCTTTTTTTTTTTTTTTTTGAGATCGAGTCTGTCTCTGTTGCCCAGGCTGCCAGGCTGGAGTGCAGTGGAGCCATCTCGGCTCACTGCAACCTCTGCCTCCTAGGTTCAAGCAATTCTCCCTGCCTCAGCCTCCCAAGTAGCTGGGATTACAGGTGCCCGCTGCCCACCACCACATCCAGCTAATTTTTGTATTTTTAGTAGAGACGGGGTTTCACCATGTTGGCTGGGCTGGTCTCGAACTTCGGACCTCAGGTGATCCGCCTCACTCAGCCTCCCAAAGTGCTGGGATTACAGGCATAAGCCACCATGCCTGGCCTAAAAGCAGTTTTCATTTGCTCTGAATAAACTTAAAAAAAAATGTCAGGAACCATTAAAACTAAAACTATAATTTCTACATTTATATCTAAAAATATTAAAATGTAGTAAAACTATATAGAATAAGGTAGAGAATGGGGCTGCGTGCGGTGGCTCATGCCTGTAATCCCATCAATTTGGGAGGCCATGGTGGGTGGATCACTTGAGGTCAGGAGTTTGAGACCAGCCTGGCCAACATGGTGAAACCAAGTCTCTACTTAAAATACAAAAATTAACCGAGCATGGTGGTGGGTGCCTGTAATCCCAGCTACTTGGGAGGCTGAGGCTAGAGAATCAGACTGAGGCTGGGCTTGAACCCAGGAGGTGAAGGTTGCAGTGAGCCAAGATTGCACCACAGCCAGGGCAACAAAGTGAGACTCTGTTTCCAAACAACAACAACAACAACAAAAAACAACAGAGAATAAAAAAAATACGTTTTCATTTGTTTCCTGAAAAAAAAAACACCAATGTTAACACAAAGCTTTCTAAACTGTTAAGTTTTTTCTGAATTGAAAAACGCTTAGATATTTTATTCAGAAGTTTTTGTTTGTTTTTAATTTTTTGTAGAGACAGTCTCACTAATATTGCCGAGGCTGGTCTCAAACTCCTGGGCTCAAAAGATCCTCCTGTCTCAGCCTTCCAAAGTGCTGGGATTACAGGCATGAGCCACTACACTCAGCCAGATATTTCATTCTATTTATTTTTGTGTGTGTGTGTGTGTGTGTGTGTGTGTGTGTGTGTGTGAGTGTGTGTGTGAGAATCAATAGTTCAAGCCTTTCTTTTTTTTATTTTAGTTTTCTGTAAGTTATTGAGGTACAGGTGGTATTTGGTTACATGAGTAAGTTCTTTAGTGGTGATTTGGGAGATTTTGATGCACTCATCACCCGAGCAGTATACACTGCTCCATATTTGTAGTCTTTTATCCCTCGCCCCACTCCCACTCTTCCCCCCAAGTTTCCAAAGTCCATTGTGTCCTTCTTATGCCTTTGCATCAGCCAGATATTTTAAATGAATTGCTTCTCTCCACAGTAATACAATGCAAGATAAAACACAAAGAAGCAGGCTGGGCGCAGTGGCTCACACCTGTAATCCTAGCACTTTGGGAGGCCGAGGCGGGCGGATCACGAGGTCAGGAGATTGAGACCATCCTGGCTAACACGGTGAAACTCTGTCACTACTGAAAAAAAAAAAAAAATACAAAAAATACAAAAAATTAGCCAGGCGTGGTGACGGGCACCTGTAGTCCCAGCTACTCGGGAGCCTGAGGCCAGAGAATGGTGTGAACCCGGGAGACGGAGCTTGCAGTGAGCTGAGATCACGCCACTGCACTCCAGCCTGGGCGACGAGCGAGACTCCGTCTCAAAAAAAAAAAAACAACAGAAAGAAGCAAACAACAGCATTATTAGCAGCTAAAGCAACCTAAATTCATTAATAAAAGTAGAATAAAGCTTTTACACCTGAATCCTCTTTTCAAAGTGATTGATTCCATTAAAATAACTAATAGTAATTAGATTGAAGAAATATCTATCTTCACTGATATAAGCTTTTGAGTACACAAAATTATAAAAATAAAAGGTTTATCCTGCAGCAGTGTAGCAGTTGATTAGCAGCTTCTCAGATAGGATCTGTGCCTATGTAAAGTCTCAGAAAGTATTGGTTCAATAGATTATTTAGATTAAGACTGCTATATTTAGGACAACCTACAGATTTTTTCTATGAGAAAAAAAGTTTTAAATTATATATAAATAAATGTATTGACTGATAATTGTTATGTACATTTTCTACCTTGAATTGGAGATATTCATCTTTGTGCTCATCTCCTTTCAAACCCTTTCTCCAACCCTTTCTCTAACTCATGTTTTAAAAACATATATAATATTCTACACATCCATATATTTGGGGATAGTCCATTAAATTTGTATTAAATTTAAATTTTGCAGGCCGGGCACGGTGCCTCACACCTGTAATTCCAGCACTTTGGGAGGCTGAGGCAGGCAGATCACGAGGTCAGGAGATTGAGATCATCCTGGCTAACGTGGTGAAACCCTGTCTCTACTAAAAATACAAAAAATTAGCCGGGTGTGGTGGCGGGTACCTGTAGTTCCAGCTACTCGGGAGGCTGAGGCAGGAGAATGGTGTGAACCTGGGAGGCAGAGCTTGCAGTGAGCTGAGATCGAGCCACTGCACTCCAGCCTGGGCAACAGAGCAAGACTCTGTCTCAAAAAATAAATAAATAAATAAATTTAAATTCTGCACCTCGTCCATATTTAATCTAATCAATGCTTAATTTTGCAGATGTTTTTCTTTATTTTTTATCTTTCCTGTGGTGCAGATTAATTTTGCAGACATTTTACAATAATTTAAAAATATACAAAACACAATTTCCTAAGGGAAAAAAAATAACTGAACAACAGGTGATTCAGATAGCAGCCAGCAATGTTATTTTCAAAGAGTAACTATAGATGCATAAGATTCATTCTCCTATATTCATTACTGTCATATTTTGATATAAAACATATCTAATCATAAATAAGGTCTTTGCCTTTTCACCTAAATCTTTCAGAGAACAGCGTTATCACAATCCTGAGAAACCATTCCTGTGCCTAGAATTTCAAGTAAGTCTGTCTTTCATGCAAATACCCACATGATTCTTTTCCATTACTTTCATAGTTCCTTTCCTGCCCATTCCATTCCTTGAAAAATTTATGAGAAATGCCTACATGACAGAAATATGACCATTTCAGCCTCTCTTAAACTAGAAACAATTCTTAGGTGATAGAAATGAAAACCTCATTTTTATACGTTGTCTTTATAGTTTAAAAAGTGCTTACATACACTATAATGTCTGACTCTACAATAATGCTTCCACTTGGATAAAATAGGTATTATTTTCATTTTGAAAATTAAAAAAAAAATGCTCAGAAGGGCTTGCCCCAGGTCAAACAAGAAGAGCAATAATCATCGTATAAGTCAGCTCTCTTGACATATTTTTTTCACAATACTTTGCTGCCTCACTTACATATGACAAAGAGGAGAGAATGGCGCAACTGACTTTGGCAGGCTTCAGTTGTCACAGACCCTGAACAACAGAATCTATTACAATCTATTCTCTCTCCAACAGCAAGTACTGGCAGTACGGTAAGACCTGACTGATAGCATAACTTTAATTATCAGCCAGAGGCTTAAACCTATGCTTGTTGTAATTAGAATTTCCCCACAGAAAAAAAGCATATCATCTATTCCAGAAAAAAACTACCTATTAAATCCTCATCTTTACATCTTCAATTCATGGCCAACCAGTGTTTAAAGCATGAATTATCTTAATAAGAGAGCAAGTTTACAAATGCCTATGGGCTACACGTTTGGCAATGTTACCCCGTTCTATTTTTAGTAAACACTTAATCCTAGTATAAGACCAGAACAGATGGGCAATTGAAACTGGCTCCAATCTTCCAACATTCTTCCTACTAGCTAACAATATAGCAAACACCTAGAGGTTCTAACCATAATTATCAGCTTAACCTATAACAGAATCAGAAGTCAGCTGGTATTCCCTCTTGTTTTGGAGAAAGATACTTGGGACTCGTCAAAAAATAAATAAATAAATAAATAAATAAATAAATAAATAAATAAATAAATAAAAATAAATTCAGACTTAGCAACTTTACTTCTAAGTAAACAACCCACACTGCTGCTCATATTTTATAATGCTTGCTCCTAGTTGCATATGTACTTCATTCAATGCTATGCTTCAGTGCCTCCTTTTCTTTGGTCTCTTTTCACTTTTTTTGCTGTTGTTACTTGCTCAACTCCTTTACTACATTCTTCTTTCCATCTCTTGTTTTAGTAATCCTCATCACTCTCTGGGCTATCTTGGTCTTCTTCCTGCCAGATTCCTTCCTGAAGCTGCCAGCTCCCACTTAAAGCTTTGTGTTCATCAACAACTTATGCTTTAAAACGATATTTTGCTTTTTCCTTGATCGCCTTTCAAAATCTCATTACCTTGATATATCTCAGTTAGTTATTAGAAAAGCTAGTTGACTAAACTAGTTTATACTAAAAGCTGCATAAGCGTTGAATAATTGGTCATTTTAGACAAGATGGGGGAGAAATTTGGGAAAGGACAGTTTTCATACTTTCAGCCCACTCCCCTCCCAGCCTTTACCAAATAACAATGGAGTTCTAAAGCCCAGGAAAACCCTTTCTCCAACCCCTGGAGTCTCAAAATAAGTTTCTTCATTGTTAAAGAAGACTTCGGTTATTACTCTATTTCCATCTCTTCTACTAGTTTTCCAAGGTCCTTGCTAACCAGTATCCGCTTCTCAATCAAAGGAATTCTTTCTATTATATCGGGCAAGTTCCTGCCCTGCCGTAAGCTAACTTAAACACCCAGAGTGTGTGTATCTATACCAAAGAATGTGTCATTATTCTGATCTCTGAGTGGCGCCTATTGGAAAAGGGGCTTGAATGTAGGAATCTTCATATTGAAATGAAAAAACTTTCTTCTTTTTCTAGTAAACTCCTATCTCCTCTCCAGATAATTAGAAAAATACAAAGCTGGCCGGGCGCGGTGGCTCACGCCTGTAATCCCAGCACTTTGGGAGGCCGAGACGGGCGGATCAGAAGGTCAGGAGATCGAGACCATCCTGGCTAACACGGTGAAACCCCGTCTCTACTAAAAATACAAAAAATTAGCCAGGCGTGTTGGCGGGCGCCTGTAGTCCCAGCTACTCAGGAGGCTGAGGCAGGAGAATGGCGTGAACCCGGGAGGCAGAGCTTGCAGTGAGCCAAGATTGCACCACTGCACTCCAGCCTGGGTGACAAAGCGAGACTCCATCTCCAAAAACCAAAAACAAACAAACAAACAAACAAACAAAAATACAAAGCTAAGCTGAAGGTTTATAATATTAATTATATATAATAATAATCACTTATGTGAACAACTTATCACTTATACTTTAAACATCATACATTATAATTGGAATTAAGCCCATGATTAAATGTTTCAGATCAAGTTATGTTTTACTTTATTATAACAGAATTTGGTATCTATTTAGTCTTCATAGTTAGTTGTTCATATAGCACAGCAATCTGTTTGTCTAAAATTAGTAGGACCATTGCTACTATAATCATTAATTATGACTCACTCCCACAAGTAATTTATTTTATTTATGATATAATTTAAATACATTTATTTTAAATTGTTTGTATATCTAAATAAGATAACAGCACATGGACAATAATTTTGTTGAGCTTCTAGCACCATTTGGACCCTATAATGAAATAATAGTCATTGATGTATATTCAGTCTCTACCTTATTCATTTTAACTTATTCATATAGTCTGTCAGTGTTTTAAAGTCATTTATACACATATCTCCTATTTGTAGGTCCAATAAGCACACTCCTTTAGGACTTCAACCACGTCTTTTACAGTTGAATCTCAACTAATTTGAAACCAAAAAACCAAAAATTCATTGTACATTAATGGGTCCTGAACATGGCTTAGCACATCACATGTATTATTATTATCTTCTTTAATCCTGGCAGCAATCCTGTGAGATAGCACTATTATCAGCTGCATTTTCCTGAGGAGAAACTGGAGGTTGGAGAGGTTTCGTACCTTGCCCAAGGTCACACAAAATTAGTAAGTGGAGCCAGGATCAATTCCAGGTCTGTCTGATATAAAAATTCATGCCGTTTATCATTGTTATTGATAGGTTTGGAACTCTGTCCCCACCCAAATCTCATGTCCAATTGTAATCCCCAATGTTGGAGGTGGGGCCTGGTGGGAGGTGACTGGATCATGGGGGTGGATTTTTATGAATGGTTTAGCACCATCCCCCTGGTTCTCTCCTCACACTAGTGAGTGAGGGCTCGCTTAAGACATGTCCTTTATTTATTTATCTTATTTATTTATTTATTTTTTGTTTGAAATGGAGTCTGGCTTTGTCTCCCAGGCTGGAGTGCAGTGGTGCCATCTCGGCTCACTGCAACCTCTGCCTCCCAGATTGAAGCCGTTCTCCTGCCTCAGACTCCCAAGTAGCTGGGATTACGGGTGCCCACCACCAAACCCAGATAATTTTTGTAGTTTTAGTAGAGACAGGGTTTCACCATGTTGGCCAGGCTGGTCTCAAACTCCTGACATCAGGTGATCCACCCACCTCTGTCTCCCAAAGTGCTGCGATTACAGGTATGAGCCACTGCACCTGGCCCCAACATGTCCTTTAAAAGCATGTAGCACCTCCCTCCTGCCCTCTCTCTTACTTGCACCACGCCAGAAGCCTTACTCCCCTTTGCCTTCCACCATGATTGTACATTTCCTGAGGCCTCCCCAGAAGCAGAAGCCACTATACTACCTGTACAGCCTACAGAACCGTAAGCCAATTAAACCTCTTTTGTTTATAAATTACCCAGTCTCAGGTATTTCTTTATAGCAATGCAAGCATAGATTAATACAGTTATAGTACTTCTTGTATATTCAAGAAACAAAAAATGTAATTAGAAATATGGCTATGGCGGGCCGGCCACAGTGGCTCACGCTTGTAATCCCAGCATTATGAGAGGCTGAAGCAGGTGGATCACTTGAGGTCAGGCGTTCAAGACCAGCCTGGCCTACATGGCGAAACCCCGTGTCTACTAAAAATACAAAAAGAATTAGCCTGGCGTGGTGGCGCGTGCCTATAATCCCAGCTACACGAGAGGCTTAGGCAGGAGAATCACTTGAACATGGGATGCAGAGATTGCAGTGAGCCGAGATTGCACCACTGCACTCCAGCCTGGGTGACAGAGTGAGACTGTCTCCAAAAAAATAAATAAATAGAAATACGGCTGTGGAAAATTGGGGGGCAGAGATCAACCACCATAATAACAGTTACAATTTTGGATTTCATCATCTTATTTGATAAAGATTTATAAAGAGAAACAATATATGTATTTATCAAAATTTGTTCTTATTTTAGCCACGGAGCCCATGTTGTCCAGGCTGGAGTGTAGTGGCTATTCACATCACTATCATACAGCACTGCAGCCTGAAATGTCTGACCTCAGGTGATCCTTCCACCTTAGCTTCCTGACTTAGTTGCAGCTACCAGCACGTGCCACTGCACCTGGCTATTCAGCAAATACGTGTTGAGTACTAATTATGTACCAAGCACTATCACAGACTCTTGCCCTTAAGGAGTTTACATAAAGAGATTTTTCCAGAAAGCAAGAGCATTTCAAGGAGGTAGAGAAGCACTCAAAAATAATAAAGAACGAGAAGGATGTGGTGTCAGTAATAAATTTAAACCAAGATCTAGGTGATCTAATTATCATTGGCTCATATATGGGTTGCCAGTACCTGAAATACCAAGCAAATAATGAACTTGGGGTCTATATCAAAAGTTTACACTAAGTAAAGCTTATATATGGGAATAAGTAGCCCTCAAATCTCTATAATTAAGGTCCAATTACCATTTTTTAGCTATGCCCTTACAACAGTAATATTAAGTGTTTTGGGCTCATCTTTACTGTAAACTCCAAAAGATAGGGATAAAGATCTATTTATTATTTTCATCAGTGCCAACATGTAGTCCTAAAATATGCTTGTAGATAAAGATGTTCTGAATTAAATATAAATCTACTACTTGTTACTTGTGTGACCACAGACAACTTATTTAACCTCTCTGTTAAACCTCTGTTGTGTGCCTCAAGTTTTGTACTTGTTAAATAAAGACAATGAGAGCTCCCACCCAGTATGCATTGCTGTGAGGTTAAATTAATGTGCTTACTTAGCATGGGGTCTGGCATACAGTAAATACTCCATAATGCTTAACTGCTATTAAGTACTGTCTCATTTTTTTCCTGTTTAATATTGTTTACTTTTCAAGTAAGGTACCCATAATGAACTAGAGACAGTACAGATTTAACTTTAGAAAAAAACTAGAGTGGGCCGGGCGCGGTGGCTCACGTCTGTAATCCCAGCACTTTGGGAGGCCGAGGCGGGTGGATCACGAGGTCAGGAGATCAAGACCACGGTGAAACACCGTCTCTACTAAAAATACAAAAAATTAACCGGGCGTGGTGGCGGACGCCTGTAGTCCCAGCTACTCGGGAGGCTGAGGCAGGAGAATGGCGTGAACTCAGGAGGCGGAGCTTGCAGTGAGCGGAGATCGTGCCACTGCACTCGAGCCTGGGCGACAGAGCAAGACTCTGTCTCAAAAAAAAAAAAACTAGAGTGTATTCTTTTTGAGAAATGCAAGCATTTTCTAGGACATAAGGAAAATCTAGTGTTTTGTTATCATACAAGTTTCAGAATGCTTGGGAGTCCCTAGTGTTAACTGTTAATAGAGAAGTAACATGATTTATTTACAGCATGTTTCACTTGCTGAATGCAAGGATCTTTTTAACTTCTCAGTGAATGTATGTCAAAGAAATCAGTATTTAATATTTCAAATTTGGAAAAATTAAAAAGTACTAAAAAGGCAAATATAGAAATGTTATTACCCCCAAATGATAACAATTTATGAAATTCCAAAACATTTTCTTATTTTAAAATGAAACAGTAAACATTTTAAATATAAGGTAATAAAAAGGCTTCCCAAACTATCTGTTAAAGCACAATGCATGCCACTGTGAAAACGTTTGGCAGTTCCTCAAACGATTAGACATAGAATTACCATATGATCCGGCAATTCCACTCCTAGGCATATACCCAAAAGAACTGTAAGCAGGGACTCAACAGATACTTTGTATACCAATTTCTACAGCGGCATTATTCACAATAGTCAAAAAGGTGAAAATGTCCAAGTGTCCTTCAACAGATAAATGGATAAATCAAATGTGGTATAGACATACAATTGAAATTATTCAGTAATTTAAAAATGAGATTCTGAGGCTAGGCATGGTGGCTCGCACCTATAATCCCAGCACTTTGGGAGGCCAAGGCAAGCAGATGGCTTCCACTCAGGGGTTTCAGCCCAGCCTGGGCAACATGGCAAAATCCTCTACCAGAAATACAAAAAAATTAGCCAGGCATGGTGGTCATGCGCCATAGGCCCAGCTACTCAGGAGGCTGAGGTGGGAGGATCACTCGGGCCTGGGAGGTGGAGGTTGCGGTGAGCTGAGATCGCGCCACTGCACTCCAACCTGGCTGACAGAGTAAGACCCTGTCTCAAAAAAAAAAAAAAAAAAATATATATATATATATATATATATATATATATATATATATATATATATATATATTTATATTCTGATACATGCTACAACATGCATGAACCTTGAAAACATTATGCTATGTGAAATAAGACAGGCACACAAGGACAAATATTATATGATTACACTTACATGCAGTACCTAGACCAAAAATAGGCAATTCATAGACATGAAAAGTAGAATAGAGGTTACTAGGGGATGGCAGGGGATGGGGGAAGGAAGAAATGGAAAGTTATTGTTTAATGGGTATGAAGTCTGATTTGGGCTGATGAAAAAGTTTTGGAGATGGATGGTGGTGATGATTACACAACATTGTGAGTGTACCTAATGTCACTGAATTGTATGCTCAAAAATGATTATAATAATAAATTTTATGTTATATATATTTTATGTTTTCATATTTGAAAGTATTTCCTTCTCTTTACTCCATATAGAAATATTACATACAGGCTGGGTGTAGTGGCTCACACCTGTAATCCCAGCACTTTGGGAGGCCAAGGCAGGCGGATCACAAGGTCAGGAGTTTGAGACCAGCCTGGCCAATATGGTAAAACCCCAACTCTACTAAAAATACAAAAATTAGCTGGGCGTGGTGGCACGCACCTGTAGTCCCAGCTACTCAGGAGGCTGAGGCAGGAGAACTGCTTGAACCCAGGAGGCGGAGGTTGCAGTGAACTGAGATCATGCTACTGCACTCCAGCCTGGGCAACAGAGCAAGACTCCGACTCCAAAAAAACAAAAAAAAAGAAATATTATACACATTCTATCTGCATTATGATTAAAATTTTTTATTGTATCAATATTTTTATTTTATCAATATTTTTTATCATAATGCAGGTAGAATGTACGTGATAGTTCTATATGGAGTAAGGGGAAGGAAATATTTTCAAATATGAAAATAGGAAACCCTTTATTCCACAGTTAAAATGACAACTATAAAAAATCTCTCTTATCATTAAGAGTGGGAAAACAGAATTATGTATGGCAATTCAACATCATAATCTTCTCACAATAATGATTAGCATATAATATCCTAAAACTTGCAATTAGTTTGTTATTCCTAAACTAAGACTCAAAAGCAATGTCAAAATCAGCTCTAGTACATAATCGACATTTGATTTACATAATCTGATATGAAAACTTTTCAAAGCACCGAGGGAAAAACACCTTAGAAAATATTCTTTGAAAGGAACAGCATTAACAGAGCTATAATAAGTAAGAGCAAAAGAAAGTTCACATCCTCCCCACTCTTTCTAGGTATCTCTAAAAGAACGCATACTCTTTCTTTTCAATTATTAGCTATATTTCAAGAATGATGCAATGACAGTCTGACAAAAACTATGTCGTGGGTACCAAAATCAGGACCATATGCTAATTATGCTGAAATCCAAAACAATAAATATTCTCCAGGTAAAAATTTTAGTTTACAAATAGTAGCAAATCACATAAGACACCAAATAGTGCCATTAGTTTAGGCTTCAGGTTCCCTGTTATGTTGTAGTTAAGACTGCTAACACAATGGCATTCAGCTATAATAATGTCTTATAATTTCTAGTTAACATTGACTTTAAGGAATTCAAAACAACAGTCACCTATTATCACTCTAACTCATACACCTAATTAAAGTTAATCTGGTAAAAGATAGTTTTTATTTCCCTACTGAGAATTCTGAAGTAAATAGAGGGCAAAAGTTTAAGTGGTTTACCCAAGAATTCAATGGCAATAACTTTAAAAAGGAAAGAAAGAAAAGTATATAGACTTTTATCGTTGAGGATTCACATGTACTAAGCTAGAAATATTTCTGTGCTATAAGTAATTTATTCCTTAAAACAACCTGTATCACAGAATTGCACAACTAAAGGGTTCACCATTCACATCCTGGCCTATGTAGTCAGCAAACTTCAAACTGTGGGCCAAATCTGGCCCAGAATCTATTTTTATAAATGAAGTTTTATTAGAATACAGCTATACCCATTTGTTTACATATTGCCTATGGCTGTTTTTGTGCTATAACAGCAAGGTTGAGTTGGTGTGACAGCTTTCTTATGGTTTATGGCCAGCAAAGCCTAAAATATTTTCTATCTGGCTCTTTACAGAAAAAAAACATTGTCAACCCCTGGTCTGTGTGAACACCACCCCTGGAATAATGCACTGTACAGTCTATGCAGCAGCCCTGAAGTGATTTACTGAAAAGGTATTATCTGTATCTGGTAGATGAGAAAACTGAGATTCAGTAATATCAAATAATACTCAAGGTCACATAGCTTTTAAGTGACAAAGTTAGCCTTCAAATCCAGAGCCTTCCATTAAATTACACAGGACCATGTATATATTGGGGTAGTAATACATAGCTCCCTTGGCTGTTGTTAGAAGTCTCAAATGTGTATATAAAAATATTACAGAAATGTTAATTATTACAGAGTAAATATTAAACACTGATAGTTTGACCTTATGTTCTCCTTTATCCTTCAATAAAATTGGTGTCTTGGCAATGCATGCCTCCATATTTACCAGTTCCTCCAAAAAGAGATCTTCACACTCCTATTCCCATCTTCCATCTAACAAAATACTACTCTTTTTCTAGAATCAACTTAGAAGCTATATTCTTAATGACATCTTCTCTGATTTCCTAATCAATATTCACTGCTTTTTCCTGTGTTCTTCTTTAGCATGTTATTGGAAACTCTGTTTAACATGTTTCATTCTATTTTCTATTATTTACTTATCTAATTCCATTTCCATTACATTATTATTTTACATTATTTAGGGGACTATTTCTTATTCATGCTTATATCCACCTCAACCACCCTCTCCCACAATAATGCCTGTCAAAGTTCCTTGTGCATAACAAACACCCACTGAGTTGGACTTCCTGACACTGTACACCTAGTGCTGCTCTGTGTTCCAATCTGTTGCTCATCACACCAAGCTAGGTTGCCTCCAGTACATATGTCTACTTCTCAAAAAGGCAAGAGGAAAGCCAGAAACTCTTCCAAATGAAATACAGACAGAATTTTCAATTTCTACAATGTTCAGTATATTTAATGCTTTAAATGTAAACTCCTCTGTGTAACTTAGTAATTTTTAATAAAATATTTCATCAGTTTTATCAATATAATTTATTCCCCCATTTAATCTTTAAACCAAATTGTTCATACTCAAATTCTCTCACAAATAAACACAATGTTCTACCTCAGCTGTTGTGGCAGAATGTGTTCACAATGAACAACCCCTACTATCTTGGCAAGAATTACAGAATTAGCTAATTACAGTACAACCTCCTTTATCTGTTTTCATTGGGATAAGGAGCAATCTGGATATATCAAAAAGCAAATGATCCAGCACGACATCTTAGGGTCTTTCCCTAAATATGGAAGTCCTATGAAGACAAGTTAGATTGAGCTTTTCTCTACCATGTGCATAATTTTTCTATCAATAGTAAGAGAAATTCCAAGGTATGAGGTTTTCATAAGAAAGAGGCTAAAAAGATCCCATTGTACAAGGTAGCCAAGGCAAAAATGTTTTAAACAAGCTGGAAATTTATATGGGCCTGAAGTCTGACAAAAAGAGGATAGAGATACATAAAAGTAGAAGACAGTGCCTGCCATAAAAGATCCTGGGTTTTCTTTAGGGGAGAAAGAATAAACATATGAAATAACTTGAGAACAATAATGAACATCATATCTTGTAGGCAGTGATTCAAAATATTTCCCTCATCTCTCACTGCCACATCACAAATTATTATGACTACTGCCATAAAACAAACATGTATCACTGTTTGGGCCTTAAGACTGAGCCACAGAGATTGAAGGGAGGAAGAATAATATTCTTTTTCATTTTTCATGATTTGTATTTCACTTGCTTCTGAAAAGACTTGAGGAAATCTACCAAATAAAAAAGTGTGTGGCTGGGCACGGTGGCTCATGCCTGTAATCCCAGCACTTTGGGAGGCTGAGGCGGGTGGATCACTTGAGGTCAGGAGTTCAAGACCAGCCTGGCCAACATGGCAAAACCCGATCTCTACTAAAAAACAAAAACAAAAAACAAAAAATTAGCTGGGCATGGTGGTGTGTGCCTGTAATCCCAGCTACTCAGGAGGCTGAGACAGGAGAATTGCTTGAACCCAGGAGGAGGAGGTTGCAGTGAACCAAGATCATGCCCCAACACGGGCGACAGAGCATGACTCCATCTCAAAAAAATAAATAAATAAAATAAAACAGTGTGTGCTATTCATGGTTAAAACAAAAATATATCCCTCAAACAATGTAAGAAAGTAAATACTTCTAGGCACCTCAGGTGATCAGATGACATTTGGACTAAAATGATGTGCAACGACTTCAATCTCCTACCATTTTCTTATGACAGAACTACTATCAAACATATCTCCTGCTATGGATTCTATTATACAGTTGTTGAACAGACTATATTAGAACTCCCTATTCTTTTTTTTTTTTTTTTTTTTTTTTTTGAAACAGAGTCTTGCTCTGTCGCCCAGGTGGGAGTTCAGTGGCGCAATGTGGGCTCGTTACAAGCTCCACCTCCCAGGTTCATGCCTTTCTCCTGCCTCAGCCTCCCTGGTAGCTGGGACTACAGGCGCCTGCCACCACACCTGGCTAATTAGAAATCCCTATTCTTATTAGAGAATTAAAAAAAAAATGGAATTCTGAGACATCTGTCCTGTGTTTATTTTTAGTTCCTTATCTTTCAGGATTTAATGAGCAAGGTCTTATATATTTTTTTTCTTTTCTAGCTAAGGATATGAACTGCAAACACAAAATTACCATTAGAAAAACAGCATAAATTGGCCGGGAGCAGTGTCTCACACCTGTAATCCCAGCACTTTGGGAGGCCAAGGTGGATGGATCACGAGGTCAAGAGATCGAGACCATCCTGATCAACATGGTGAAACCCTGTCTCTACTAAAAATACAAAAATTATCTGGGCATGGTGGCACACGCCTATAGTCCCAGCTACTCGGGAGGCTGAGGCAGGAGAATTGCTTGACCCCGGGAGGTGGAGGTTGCAGAGGGCTGAGATCGCACCACCATATTCCGGCCTGGCGACTGAGTGAGACTCTGTCTCAAAAAAAAAAGAAAAACAGCACAAATTAATTCACTTTGTACCTGTTAAAGAATAATTAGTAACATTTTATTGAGACAGGTAAAAAGATACTTCACAGTCACATAGATGCCTACAGTTTAACATAACAGTTAACAATACAAAAGAAAAAAGTCTCAATTTTTTTCTACCACTTCTGTTCAGATTGCGCAATGCATACAAATTAATAACAGATATTGAAGATGTAATGCAATTTGGTTGCCAAGAAGATTGTCACTTTTGAGACAATAGTGCAAAGGATAAATTCCAAATTTTCTGCGTTAAAAGGCAGAGTCCTATTTTATGGTATTACAGATATATTAGTTCACCCATTTTTCCCTAATGAATTAAATAAAAATATTAATATTTAACACCGTCCATTCCAGATAAATAGAACACTAATTTACCCTGAATACCTTTCAACATGTCACCTAAAAATGCTAGCTAAAATATGAAAATCATCTTGAGATACAGTATCAGTGAACATAAAAATGCACAATCCAAATTCACAAAACAAGGCTGGGTGAGGTGACTCACACCTGTAATCCCAGCATTTTGGGAGGCCAAGGCGGGTGGATCACTTGAGGTCAGGAATTCGAGACCAGCCTGGTCAACATGGCGAAACCCCGTCTCTACCAAAAATACAAAAATTTTCCAGGCATAGTAGCGCGTGCCTGTAATCCCACCTACTCGGGAGGCTGAAGCAGGAGAATCGCTTGAACCCGGGAGGTGGAAGTTGCACAGAGCCAAGATTGTGCCACTGTACTCCAGCCTGGGTGAGAGAGTAAGGCTCTGTCTCAAAAAAAAGAAAAGAACAGAAAACCGACCATATAGTGGGCCATAACAATTCATAATAAAAAGAATAACTACGACAGAAAAATACTTCAGTAGAAGAACAACTGATGAGAGAAAATTTTTCTTTATAGAACAGTTCAACTATTAGATGCAGAAGAAATGAAAGAATTACACAGTCACTATTGTGAATCACTAATGAAATATAAATCTAGGCAAAGATCATCAAAGGCAGCTAAAACCATAAGGTGAAAGGCTGGGGCAGCAGGTACTGAATGATTAGGCTGACGGCACTTGAACTTTTGGACCAATCTTAACATCACAAAAATATATATATATTATTTGCTTCCTGTTGAAATGCAATGTAAAGTACACAGCGGCCGGGCGCAGTGGCTCATGCCTGTAATCCCAGCACTTTGGGAGGCTGAGGCAGGTGGATCACAAGGTCAGGAGATTGAGACCATCCTGACCAACATGGTGAAACCCTGTCTCTACTACAAATACAAAAATTAGCTGGGCATGGTGGCGCGTGCCTGTAATCCCAGCTACTCGGGAGGCTGAGGCAGGAGAATCACTTGAACCCAGAGGCGGAGGTTGCAGTGAGCTGAGATCGCACCACTGCACTCCAGCCTGGTGACAGAGTGAGACTCCGTCTCAGAAAAAAAAAACAAAAAAGTACACAGCACCACATATGAATTATTCTTGACAAAAACTCAAGCCTAAAATCAGACCTCTAGATCTGTGCTATCCACACGTAGCTACTAAGCACCTGAAATGTAGCTACTTTGAATTGAGAAATGTTGCAAATGTAAAATACACAACAGATTTCAAAGATTTGGTACAAAAAAAGACTGTAAAATATCTTACTAATAATTATGTACATTACGTGGTAAAATAATATTTTTAATATCTGGTATGAACAAAATGTGTCATTAAGATAACTTCACCTTTTTCTTTTTACTTTTGTTAATGCAGCTACCAGAAAATTTTAAATTATGTGGCTTGCATTTGTAATTTGTATTTCTAAGGGCACAGCATGTGCTGCTCTAGAACTAATTACCTTTTTACAGAAGATATGATATAAAAGCATATTACATGATATCACAAGAATGCAATTAGCCAAGTCCAGAATGTAAGAAAGTCTACCAACAAATGATCTGGTTTCTTCAACAGATAAGTGGCAATGAAAAAAATGAGGGGGGCTGGGCACAGTGGCTCATGCCTGTAATCCCAGCACTTTGGAAGGCCGAGCTACAGGGCTGCTTGAGCCCAGGAGTTTGAGACCAGTCTGGGAAACATAGTAAGACCCTGGGCAAAAAAAATAAACAAAAATTAGCCCAGCCTTGTGGAGCATGTCTATAGTCTTAGCTACCTTGGGAGGCTGAAGTGGGAGGATTGAGTCTGGGAGGTAAGGCTGCAGTTAAGCCGCGCCACTGCACTCCCACCTGGGCAACACAGTAAGACCCTATCTCAAAAAAAAAATTTTGTTAATTTGGCCAGGTACAGTGGTTCACACTTGTAATCCCAACACTTTGGGAGGCTAAGGTGGGAGGATCGCTTGAGGCCAGGAGTTCAAGACCAGCCTGGGCAATATAGTAAGACCCTTCTCCATTAAAAAAATTTTTTTTAATTAGCTAGATATGGTAGTTCGCACCTGTAGTTCTAGCTACTCAGGAAGCTGAAGCAGGCTTGAGCCCAGAAATTCAAGGCTGCAGTAAGCTATGATCTCACCACTGCACTTACAGCCTGAGTGACAGAGCAAGTCCCTATCTCTTAAAAAAAAAATTGTTAATCTTTTTAGGTGTGATAATGAAACTAAAATTATACTTCAATTTAAGAAGAAATCATCATACCTTGGAGACACATACTGACATACTTATAGAAGAAATGAGACTTGTTTTAAAACAATCCAGGTGAGAAGTTAGAAGATTGTCCTTATTGGTTGTTTGAGAGTCATTGTTCTATTTTGTCAACTTTGTGTATTTTTAAGTGTTCATACTAAAAAGGCTTAAAATAAGTTTTTTTTTTTAAACTACATGGTGGTTTCCTCGGGCTAGGGATGGGAACAAGGAGTGACTGCCAACAAGTGTGCCAAGAGTGACTGGCACAAGCTTTCTTTTTAGGGTGACAGAAATGTTCTAAAATTAGATTGTAGTGATCATTGCACAACTCTGAAGATTTACTAAAAATCACTGAACTGTACACATAAAATGAGTAAATTTTATGGTATGTAAATTGTACCTCAATAAAGCTGTTTTTTTAGTTGATGTTTAATTTTATACTCTTTTTCTCTCTCCTCCTTCCACTCCCCCTTTCCTCCCTCCCTCTCTCTGTCTCACAAACACACAGACACACGTACACATAAATACATAGGAAGAAATATAACAAAAGACTATGATAAGTTTATAAAGAAAATTGTAAAATTAAATTAAAGACATTAAGACAGACCTAAATAAATGGAGAAATACAGTCCAGAAAATTATTTTCAAAATGACCTATCAATTCAAAGTAATTCAATATAATTTCAATAACAATCCCAACAAGACATAAGACTTGACAAATTGATCCTAAGGGTTATATGGAAGAGCAAATGACCAGAAATAGCCAAACATCCCTGAAGAACATTCTGAAAGAAGATGATCCTACTAGGCATTAAAACTTATTTTAAAATTATAGTAAATAAGCCAGCATAAAATTGCTGCATGGATAAACAAATCACCAATTTAACATACTAGAGAGCCTAGAAATAGACCCATGAAAATATGATAACTTGATAAATGTGATATTAACAATCAGTAGGGAAAGGACAGATTACATACACATATAAACACACATACGCACTGCTAGTAGTAGAACTGCTTGGTCAAAGGGCATTTGCAACTTCAGTTTTACCAGGTAATACCAAAACATCTTTCCAAAGTGGTTGTACCAGTTAAAGAATCTTACTAGCAGTATATGAGGGTTCACGTTCCTTTACATTTTGCCTACCTGGGATGATCCAATTCTTTAATTTCTGTAAGTCTGGTATGTGTAAATGCTTATTTCATTGAGGTTATAATTTGCATCTCTTTATCTCAAATGAGGTTAAGTACCTTTTAAAATGTTTCTTGCCTATTCGTGTTTTCTCTTTGTGAAATGTCCATTAGTTTTATTTGTCTGCTTATCTATAGGGCTGTCTTTTCCTTATCCATTTGTGAGAGTTCTTTTATGAGTTATTTGTGTTATAAGTATCTTCTCCCAGTTTATGACTTATCTTTGTATTTTTTTACATTGCCTTTTTAAAAATTGATATGTCATTCATATACTACACAGCTTACTTTTTTAAAGTATATAATTCAATGGTGTTTAGTATAGTCACAGAGTTGCACAACCGCCACCGTTATCTAATTCCAGAACATTTTCTCACCTTTATAGAATTCACCAAAAACCACATTTTTCACTTTATATACTAACTGCTACTTAAGTATAACTTACATTTAAAATTAAGCAACTAAATATTATATTCATTTCAACTCAGATGTTTATTTAGTGAATGAGTATTATGTTAGGCACCCTGAAATACACAATAGTAATATACAAGATATAGTTCTGATATTCCAGGAATAAAGAAAGAAATTAGCAATCAAGTATGTTCACTAAAACATTTTCTTTTTAAAAAATCCAAAAAATCATTTTATTATGGAAAGTATCAAATATGCACAAAAGTAAAGAGAATAACATATTAAATCTCATGTATCCAAGTTCAACAATTATCATAAGACATTTTCTAATGCTGCTACAATTAGGAGGTATCAGCATTCACTGTAAGATTTGAAGACCTCTACTAAAATTTTTTTTAATGCAACCATGACAGAGTATGAAGTAGAAAACACAAAACAAGGCCAGGCATGGTGGCTCACACCTGGAATCCCAGCCTTTGGGGGGCTGAGGCAGGTGGATCACGAGGTCAGGAGTTCAAGACCAGCCTGGCCAATATGGTAAAACCCTGTATCTACTAAAAATACAAAAAAAAAAACACAGCAGGGCGTGGTGGCACGCACCTGTAGTCCCAGCTACTCTGGAGGCTGAGGCAGGAGAATCGCTTGAACCCAGGAGGTGGAGGTTGCAGTGAGCCGAGATGGCGCCACTACACTCCAACCTGGGCAATAGAGGGAGACTCCATTTCAAAAAAAAAAAAAAAAAAAGAAAACAAAACAAAACAAGATAATTAGGTTATCCTGTGATCCTGTGGCAGCCACTTTCATATTCCTTCCACCTCATCCCTCTCTCTCAAGTCAAGTCTATATTACAAATCCCCAAAGATCTAGTTTGACAAATGCTGAGCCCTTGTTGGAGACAGGAGAAAAGGAAAAAATTGAATTAGTAAAGGTAGAACTATCATTAGCACATAGACGAAGAGCAGAAGGCTGGAAACTCTCACACATTAAGTTTTTTCCTATCACATTTTTTTTTTTACCATTTATTAGTTAGAAAACAGATCTAATTATTCTTTCAACTCAATCCCTATACTGTCGACAACTAACTTTTTACATCCATCCCTTTCCCACATAGCTTACCCTTCTAATCATACTAATTTTCTCGGCAAAATGATAGGTAATAATAGACTTTGTACTCTCGCATTGATAAGAAGGAAAAAAAAACATAGACTTTGGAGTCAAAAGACCTAGGTTTGCTGCTATAAACTCCACAACCTTAAGCAAGTTATTTCAATTCCAGATGTTTGTTTGCTTATTTGTAAAACTGAGATACTCCCTACTTTCAGAAGAAAGTCTTCTTTTTATATAAATTGGTCAAGTTAAGTGCCACGAGACAGGACACGGAGGAGAGAATTGACAGTACTTACTACAATTAAGTATCAAATGCTACATATAGTTTTTTTTTTGTTTTGTTTTGTTTTGTTTTTTTTTTGTTTTTTTTTTTTGTTTTTTTTTTTAGCAGAACAGCCTGAACCTCCTATTAAAAAGTTACCAGAACTGGTCTGGATCCATATTGAAACAAATCATACATTTTAGGCTTCCTATTCTTAACTATAAGTGATATGATTTTACATAGATACAAAGAAACATACTTGCTTTCTTCGTATTACAGAAAAACAGTATTTCCAGATCCTTGATGATCAGAAAATGAAACCGCACATTGTTTTCTAATTCCTATAATGCTACTAGTATGATGACTTTCTTTCCATTCAGGGGTATTTTAGTGAGGTCACATATTATTATTATGAAATATCTGGAAAAAATGGTAGTATATAGAAGCGAATCTGTGTATCTATATAATGATAATGGCATCATTCAGTAATAATAGGGGGTGAGGGATAAAAGACTACACACTGGGGCCGGGCACGGTGGCTCACGCCTGTAATCCCAGCACTTTGGGAGGCCAAGGCGGATGGATCACCTGAGGTCAGGAGTTTGAGACCAGCCTGACCAACATGGAGAAACCCCATCTCTACTAAAAATACGAAATTAGCCAGCTGTGGTGGCGCATGCCTGTAATCCCAGTTACTCGGGAGGTTGAGGCAAGACAATCACTTGAACCCAGGAGGCAGAGGATGAGGTGAGCCGAGATCGCGGCATTGCACTCCAGCCTGGGCAACGAGAGTGAAACTCTGTATCAAAAAAAAGAAAAAAGAAAGACTACACATTGGGTATAGTGTATACTGCTTGGGTGACTGGTGCACCAAAATCTCAGAAATCACCACTAAAGATCTTATTCATGTAACCAAACACCACCTGTTCCCCAAAACCTATTGAAATAAAAAAAACTATATAAAAAATAAAAATTTTAAAAAGTTGATCTCAGGGAGGTAGAAAGTAGGATGATAGATACCAGAGGCTGGGCAGGGTATGGTGGGGGGTGGGAGGAAGGTAGAGATGAAGAGAGATTGGTCAATGGGTACAAAAATACTGTTAGATAGAAGGCATAGCAGAGTAGGTAACTATAGTTAGCAACAATGTATTATGTATTTCAAAGCAGCTAAAACAGAGAATTTGAAATGTTCCCAACATATAAAAATGATAAATACTCAAGATGGGTACCCCAAATACCCTGACTTGATCATTACACATTCTATGTAACAAAATATGACATGTACCCCATTAAATAAGTAAAATGTTATATATCAATAAAATAAAATGAACTTAATTTAAAAAAATAATGGCAGGAAGATTCTGTAACAGAGTATATTTTAAATAATATTTTCTCAAATTTATTCATATCAAATAACTATTATACCTGAGCAAATGATTCAGAAACTATAAAAAGTAGATGGAATATCTTTAACATTTATTATAATAATGAAACTTAAGTGAGTCACAACATGTAAAGTAAAAACTATTTTTATGCACTCGAATTGCCATCCCCCTTCCCTATCTCCATGTCTTCCAAAAGTGTATGAAAATATTGAGAACTCATAATTCACTAAAAGCTGGGTGACAAATCTAGTTAGAGAATAATGTTTTGGTAGGAAGAAAAAAAGAGCATATTCCATTATCTGTTTTAATGTATTACTTTTATGAGTATAATAAAAACAAGGTTCAAAAATACCTTATGATAGATATCACCTATAATGATGAAAACATTAAAAAGTTTTCAAAACCAATCACTTTAAAATTTTAAATAGAAAAAGCAGCTTTCATTTAAACTAATATTTGGAGGCCAAGCATGGTGGCTCATGCCTGTAATCCCAGCACTTTGGGAAGCTCAGGCAGGAGGACTGCTTGAGGCCAGGAGTTCATGACCAGCCTGGGCAACATAGTGAGACCCAGTCTCTTCAAAATATTAAAAAATTAGCTGCCATGGCTTCACAGGCCTGTAGTCTCAGCTACTTGAGAGGCTGAGGCAGGAGGACTGCTTGAGCCTAAGAGTTTAAGGTCTCAGTGAGCTATGATCATGCCAGTGCACTCCAACCTGGGTGACAGAATAAGACTGTCCCTAAAAACAAAACAAAATAAAATAAAAAATTAGGAATATTTGGATTACATATTTTAAAACACTACTATTCAACTTAAATTCACATTTACTTCTGAACATAATGGCAAGGTAGTACTAGACTACACTATTAAAAGCGTAAATCCTGGCAGCCTAGAAGACAGTGATAGCAGAACACACTGATCTAGGAATCCATAAAGTTACTTCTACTTTTTGGTATACTTTTGTCTTACAGGTTACTGCTAAACAGTGGTTCTGACTGAAAATGATTTTGCCCCTTAGGGGACATCTGGCTGGAGACATTTTAGGTTGTTAGAAGTAGGGAAAGGTACTACTGGTATTTGGTGGTGTAGGCCAGGTAGGCTGCTAAATATTCTACAAGGCCTCCAACAAACAAGAATTATCTGGCTTGAAATGTTAGTAGTGCCAATATCCCTGATGAACATAAATGCAAAAACCCTCAACAAAATTTCAGTAAACCAAATTCAGTAGCACATTAAAAAGACTATGCACCATGATCAGGTGCGATTTATCCCTGAGATGCAAGAATTATTCATTATATACAAATCAATAAATGTGACATACCACAATAACAGAATAATGGATAAAAATCATATGATCACCTCAAGAGATGCAGGAAAAATACTCAACAAAATTTAACATCATTTTTTGATAAAAAACTTTCAACAAATTAGGTATTGAAGGAATGTACCTTCGTATAATACAGGCCATATATGACAAGCCCACAGCTAAACATCATACTTAATGGTGAAAAGCTAAAAGCTTTTCCTTTAAGATCAGGAACAAGACAACGGTCCTCAGTTTTGCCATTTCTACTCAACATAGTACAAAACTAGAACATAGTGCTATTCAACATAGAACAAAACTAGAACTATGAAGTCCTAGTTAGAACAATCAGGCAAGAAAAAGAAATAAAAGCTATCCAGATGAGAAAAGAGGAAGTAAAATTGACTCTGTTTGCAGATGGCATGATCTAATATATATGAAACCCTAAAGACTCCACAAAAGAACTGTTAGAACTAATAAATGATTCTGCAAATTTGTAGGATAAAAAAAAACACACAAAAATCAGTTGCATTACTATATACTAACAGTGAACTACATGAAAACAATGAAGATAAAAATCCCACTTACAGTAACATCAAAAGTAATAAAATAGTTTTAGGAACAAATTTAACCAAAGAGGTGAAATATCTGAATATGAAAAACTATAAAACATTGATTAAAAAATTGAAGACACAAATAAATGGAAAGATATCCTGTGTTCATGGATTGGAAGAATATTGTTAAAATACCTACACAATCCAATGTAATCTACAGATTCAATGCAATCTCTATCAAAATTCCAATGGTATTTTCCACAAAAAATAGAAAAAAAACCCCTAACATTTGTATATTAATAGTACAACAAAAGATCCCGAGTAGCTAAAGCAATCTAGAGAAAGAAGAACAAAGCTGGAGGCATCACACTTCCTGATTCCAAATTATATGATAGAACTACAGTAATCAAAGCAGTATGGCACTGGCATAAAAACAGACATAGAAACCAATGGAACAGAATAGAAAGCCCAGAAAGAAACCCAAACCTATATGGTCAACAAATCTTCAACAAAGGTACCAAGAAGATACAACAGGGAAAGGATAGTTTCTTTAATAAATGGTGGTAGGAAAACTGGATATCCCTATTCAAAAAATATGAAGTTGGACCCTTATTAAACCATACATAAAAATCTACTCAAAATGGATGAAAAACTTAAACATAAGATCTGAAACTATAAAACTCCTAGTTGAAAACACAGGGGAAAGCTCTTTGACAACTGGCCTTGGCAATAATTTTTTGTTTGTCAATCACACCTCAATAAAACTGAAGGGGAGGCCAAGCATGATGGCTCACGCCTGTAATTCCAGGACTTTGGGAGGCTGAGGTGGGTGGATCACTTGAGATCAGGAGTTCAGGACCAGCCTGGCAAACATAGTGAAACCCTGTCTCTACTGAAAATACAAAAAATTACCTGGAGGTGGTGGCATGTGCCTGTAATCCCAGTTACTCAGGAGGCTGAGGCACAAGAATAGCTTAAACCCAGAAGGCGGAAAATGCAGTGAGCCGAGATCATGCCACTGCACTCCAGCCTGGGCAACAGAGCAAGACTCTGTCTCAAAAAAAATAAAAATTAAAAAAAAACTGAAGGGGAGCCGAGCGTGGTGGCTCAAACCTGTAATCCCAACACTTTGGGAGGTTGAGGCAGACAGATCACGAGGTCAAGAGATCAAGACCATCCTGGCTAACATGGTGAAACCCCGTCTCTACTAAAAATAGAAAAAATTATCCAGGCCTGGTGGCACGTGCCTGTAGTCCCAGGTACTTGGGAGGCTGAGGCAAGAGAATCACTTGAACCAGGGAGGCGGAAGTTGCAGTGAGCCGAGATCGTGCCACTGCATTCCAGTCTAGGCAATAGAAAGAGACTCCACCTCAAAAAAAAAAAAAAAAAAAGACTGAAGGGGAAAAAGACAATATTATCAGAGATAAAGGGGGACATTTATCTAAAAATAAAATGGTTAATTCATAAGGAACAAACAAACAACAGTCATAAATATGTATGTTTGTCAAACAAGTTTCAAACTATGTGAAGCATATTGACAGAATCAAAGGAAAAAGTGGACTAAATTACAATCACAATTGGAGATTTCAACACTCTCCTCTCACTTAACAATATCAATGAAAACGTATACGATTTGAAAAACACTAACAACCAACATGACCTAATCAACATTTATAGAACACTACATCCAGCAAGGCCAGAATACACTTTCTTTCCAAGTGTACATGGCATGTTCACCAAGATAGAATATATTGTGAAATAAAATAAATTTTAATAAAAATAAAAGAATCAAAATAATATAGGGTATGTTCTCTGACCCCAGCAGAATTAAATTAAAAATCAAGAAGAGCAGAGTAAACCCAGAGTAAATAAAAGGAAAGAAATGATAAAGAATTGCAATCAATGAAGTAGAAATCAGGCAAAAAACAGAAAAAATTAATAAAGCCAAAAGTTGGTTCTTTGAAAAGATCAGTGAAACTGATAAAGTCAACACAATTTATAATATTCTAGCTAGACAGGTCAAGAAAAAGAACAGAGACCATCACCCAGGTGAGGAATAAAAGAGGATATCACCTAAGATCCCACAGACCTTAAAATGATAATAAAAGACTATTATAAACAATTTTATCTCAATATGTTTGACAAATTAGAAGAAATAGACAAATTCCTTAAAATACATCATTTACGAAGACTTAGATAAGATGAAAGAGAAAATCTCAGCAGCCCCTTGTCTATCAGAGAAATTGACTTTGTTATCAAAAACCTCCCCACAAAGAAAACCCATGCCAAGATAGTTTTACTGGTGAATTATGTCAAACACTTAGAGAAATAACATCTTATACAACCTCAGAAAACAGAAGAGACAATATTCAATATTTCTTGAGGCCAAAATAACCCAATACCAAAGCTGGAGAAATTACAAAAAGAAAAAAAGGAAGAGAGAAGGAAAGAAAAATATTATAGGCTAATATCCTTCATGAACAAAGATGTAAATATTTACAACAAAATAGTACCAAATTGAATCTAGCAGTATATAAAAAGGATAACACATCATGACTAAATGAGATTTATTCCAGAAATGCAATGTTGGTTTAATGTTTGAAAAAACAATTAATGTAATGACCACATTAACAGATAAAGGACAAAAATCATATAGTCATCCAAATAGATGCAGAAAAAAAAAATTTGACAAAGTTCAACATCCATCTATATGTATATATACATATTTATAATGTTCATGGATTGAAAGATTCAATAAGATTTACTTTCTTTGCTAATTGATTTACACACATAGTCAATGTAATCCCATTCATATTCCTACCAGGAATGTTGTAGAAACAGAAAACTTAATTTTAAAATTTATATGGAAATGCAAAAGATCTATAAAATCCAAGCAATTTGGAGAAACAAGGTTGGATAATTTACATTACCTAATTTCAAGACTTAATGTGAGGCCAGGCATGGTAGCTCACACCTGTAATCCCAGCACTTTGGGAGGCCAAGGCCAGCAGATCACTTGAGCTCAGGAGTTGGAGACCAGCCTGAACAACATGGTGAAACCCCATCTCTACCAAAATACAAAAAATTTGGCAAGGTGCAGTGGCTCATGCCTGTAATCCCAGCACTTTGGGAGGCTGAGGCGGGTAGATCACCTGAGGTGAGGAGTTCAAGGCCAGCCTGGCCAACACAGTGAAACCCCATCTCTACAAAAAATACAAAAATGTAGCCAGGCGTGGCGGTGCACACCTGTAGTCCCAGCTACTTGGGAGGCTGAGGCAGAAGAATCGCTTGAGCCCAGGAGGCAGAAGTTGCAGTGAGCCAAGATCGTGCCACTGCACTCCAGCCTGGGTGACAGAGCAAGACTCCATTTCAAAAAAAAAAAAGTAACTGAGTGTGGTGGCACACGCCTGTGGTCCCAGCTGCTCAGGGGGGACCGAGGTGAGAGTATAGCTTGAGCTCTGGAGGTGGAGGTTGCAGTGAGCCCTGACGGCGCCACTGCACTCCAGCCTGGGTGACAGAACAAGACCTTGTCTCAAAAAAAAAAAGACTTAATGTGAAATTACACTAATTAAGACAGCATGATTCTGTCATAAATAGACAAGCATATCAACAAAATAGAGAACACTGAAAAGACCCACACTTGCACTATCAACTGATTTTCAACAAATGAACCAAAGCAATCCAATGGGAAATTGTCTTTTCAACAAATAGCGCCAGAACAACTGGATATCTAGATGGGAAAATAAATGAACCTTAAGCTTTATCTCACACTATATACAAAAATTAATTTGCAATGGATCAGAGACCTAAACATAAAACTTCTATAAGAAAACACAGGGCTGGGCACAGTGGTTCACGCCTGTAATCCCAACACTTTGGGAGCTGAGGCGGGCAGATTACTTGAGGTCAGTAAAGTTTGACACCAGCCTGGCCAACATAGTGAAACCCCATCTCTACTAAAAATACAAAATTTAGCCGAGCATGGTGGCATGCATCTGTAATCTCAGCTACTCAGGAGGCTGAGACATGAGTATCACTTGAACCCAGGAGGCAGAGGGTGCAGTGAGCCAAGATCATGCCACTGAACTCCAGCTTGGGTGACAGAGTGAGACTCCATCTCAAAAGAAAAAAAAAGAAGAAAAGAAAACAGAAAACACAGGAAAATATCTTTGCAACTTGGGGATAGGCAAAAGTTTAGTAGGGCAGCAAAGCAGTAACAATAGAAGAAAAAAATAGATATTCATCAAATTTTTAAAATTCTGCTGACTGAAGACACTATTGCGTAAAAAAAAAAAAAAAAAAAAAATAGGGCCGTGTGCGGTGGATCACGCCTGTAATCCCAGCACTTTGGGAGGCTAAGGCGGGTGGATCACAAGGTCAGAAGTTCGAGACCAGTCTGACCAACATGGTGAAACCCTGTCTCTATTAAAAATAAAAAAATTAGGCGTGGTGGCGCCTGCCTGTAATCCCAGCCACTCAGGAGGCTGAGGCAGGAGAATCGCTTGAACCCGGGAGGTGGAGGTTGCAGCAAGCCGAGATTGTACCACTGCACTCCAGCCTGGGCAACAGAACGAGACTTCGTCTCAAAAAAAAAAAAAAAACAAACAAAAAACGTAATTCACACAGAAGAAAATATTTGCAAAACACATATCCAACAATGACTGATATTCAGAATGTGTTAGGAACTCCTATAACTCAGTAAGGAAAAATACAAACAATTTTAAAATGGGCAAAATAACTGGACACTTTACAAATGAAGTTATATAAATGGCTAATAAGCACATGAAAAGATCCTCAAAATCATAAGTCATCAGGGAAATGCAGATTAAAAGTACAAGATACTATTACATGCCCACGAGACTAGCCAAGTTTTATTTATTTATTTTTACATTTGTCCTCAATACACAAGTGTCACTTGCCAAGAGAATAGCCAAAAATTAAAAGACTGATAACACCAAACATTGGTGAAGAGATGGAGCAACTGAAATTCCCATACATTTTTCGTGGCCACATAAAATGATATAACAAGTTTGGAAAATATCAGGTAGTTTCTTAAAAACTACATGTATATCTACCTACCTAATGATCCAGCATTTCTATTCCTAGGACCTTAGAGAAATACAAGCCATGTCCACAAAAAGACTTGCACGAGAATGTTCATAGGAGCTTTATTAATAGTAGCCAAAAAAATGGAAACCGCTCAGATGTCCATCAACAGGAGAATAAATGAAAAAACTGTGGTACATTCACACAATCAAATACTACTCAGCAATAAAAAGAAATAACTGAATACATGCAATGACATGAATGAATCTCAAAAAACATGCTGTCTGAAAGAAGCTTTCCACAAAAGTGTCTCTACTATATGCTTCTGTTTACATGGGATTCTAGAATAGGCAAAATTAATCTATGGTGAAAAAAGGAGTAATGGTTCCTCTGGGCAGCATGGGTGAAGACTGACTGGGAAAGGGTGTGAAGAAACCTTCTGGAATAGCAGTAATGTTCTAATTCTGATAGGGATATTAGTTAGCAGATACATGCATCTGTCAAAATTCATCAAATAGCACAATTAAGATTTACGCATTGTATTGTATATAAATTTTACTTTTTAAAAAGTAATCAATGACTTGTTGGAAACTTGAAAAAAATAAACAAACATTGAGCTACAGTAAATTATTTGTTTTTTAGGGGCAAACTTTGCAACTTACTTTATTGATTTATTTTTTGAGATGGAGTTTCGCTCCTGTCCAGGCTGGAGTGAAGTGGCGTGATCTCAGCTCACTGCAACCTCTGCCTCACGAGTTCCAGTGATTCTCCTGCTTCAGCCTTCCAAGTACAGCTGGGATTATAGGCACCCGTCACCACACCTAGCTAATTTTTGTATTTTTAGTAGAGACGGGGTTTCACCATGTTGGCAAGGCTGGTCTCAAACCCCTGACCTCAGGTGATCCACCCGCCTCAGCCTCCCAAAGTGCTAGGATTACAGGTGTGAGCCACCATGGCTGGCCACAGCTTACTTTAAAATGCAACCAAAAACAAAATGGATAGAATGATGTATAAACATATAGAAGATGTGATAAAGCAAATACAGTAAAACATTAATTGTAGAATCAAAGTTGTGGGTATATGGGTGTTCACTGTTCAATGCCTACAATTTTTCCATATGCCTCAAAAATTTTATATAAATGCTGGAGAATAAAAACAAAAGTAAATAATACTTAATTAAAAGATAAAGGTCAATGTCAAATTAAAGTGCCATAGAGGCCAAGCACAGTGGCTCACGCCTGTAATCCTAACATTTTGGGAGGCCAAGGCAAGTAGATCACTTGAGCCCAGGAGTTTGAGACCAGCCTGGGCAACACAGCAAAATCTTCTCTCTACAAAAATACAAGAATTAGCCAGGCTTGGTGGCACATGCCTGTAGTCGCAGCTACTGAGTGAGCCCCTGTCTCTAAATAAATAAATAAAGTGCCATGGGAAAAAACCAAGCCGGGCAGGATGGCTCTCACCTATAATCCTAGCACTTTGGGAGGCTAAGGAGGGAGGATCATGGGAGGCCAGGAATTCGAGACTAGCCTGGGGAACCATAATGAGACCCTGTCTCTACAAAAAATTTTAGAATTAGCCAGCAATGGTGGCATGCATCTGTAGTCTTAGCCAGTCCAGAGGCTAACGGAAGAGGCTAGCTTAGTTCATGGCTGCAGTGAGCCATGATTGTGCCACTGCACTCCAGCCTGGGTGACAGTATCAGACTCCAAAAACAATTGCAACAAAAAAAATTGACAAAAGGGATCTAACTAAACTAAAGAGCTTCTTCACAGCAAAAGAAACTGTCAACAGAGTAAACAGACAAACTACAGAACGGGAGAAAATATTTGCAAACTATGCATCTGACAAAGGTCTAATATCCAAAATCTATAAGAAACGTAAACAAGTTCACAAGCAAAAAACAAAACATTTAAAAGTGGGCAAAGGATATGAACAGACACTTCAAAAAAAGACATACATGTACCCAGCAAACATATGAAAAAATACTCAACATCACTAATCATTAGAGAAATGCAAGTCAAAACCCCAATGAGATACCATCTCACACCAGTCAGAATAGCTGTTTTTGTTTTTTGTTTTCAAACAGCGTCTCACTCTGTCTCCCAAGCTACAGTGCAGTGGCACAAACATAGTTCACTGCAACCTCTACCTCCTGGGCTTAAGCAATCCTCCTGCCTCAGCCTCCCGAGTATCTGGGACCACAGGCGTGCGCCACCACATCCAGTTAATTTTTTGATTTTTTTGTAGAGACAGGGTCTGACTTTGTTGCCCAGGCTGGTCTCAAACTCCTAGGCTCAAGAGATCCTCCTGCCTCAGCTTCCCAAAGTGCTGAGATTACAGACATGAGCCCCCACACCCAGCCAGAATGGCTATTATTAAAAAGTCAAAATATAACAGATGCTGGCAAGGTTGTGGCAAAAAGGGAACACTTACACACTGCTAGCAGGAATCTAAGTGAATTCACCCATTGTGAAAAGCAGTTTGGTGATTTCTGAAAGAACTTAAAACAGAATTACCATTTGACCCAGCAATCCCATTATTGAGTATATACCCCCCAAAATATAAAACATTCTACCATAAAGACACATGTAGGTTGGGCGTGGTGGATCATGCCTGTAATCTCAGCACTTTGGGAGGCCAAGGCAGGCAGATCACTTGAGGTCAGGAGTTCAAGACCAGCCTGACCAACACGGTGAAACCCTGTCTCTACTGTAGATACAAAGAAAATTAGCTGGGCATGGGGGTGGGCTCCTGTAACCCCAGCTACTTGGGAGGCTGAGGCACAAGGATTGCTTGAACTCGGGAGGCGGAAGTTGCAGTGAGCCAAGATCATGCCACTGCACTCTAGTCTGGGTGACAGAGCAAGACTCTGCCTCAAAAAAAAAAAAAAAAAAGACACATGTACATATATGTTCATCACAACACTATTCACAATGTCAAAGACATGGGATCAACATAAATGCCTATCAATGGTAGACTGGATAAAGAAAATGTGGTGTATATACACTATGGAATACTATGCAGCCATAAAAAAGAATGAGATCATGTCCTTTGCAGCAACATGGATGGAGCTCAAGGCCATTATCCTAAGCGAACTTACACAGGAACAGAAAACCAAACATTGCATGTTCTCACTTATAAGTGGGAGTTAAACATCAAGTACACATGGACACAAAGAAGGAAACAACAGACACTGGGGCCTACCGGAAGATGAAGAGTGGGAGAAGAGTGAAGATTGAAAAACTACCTATTGGGTACTATGCTTATTACCTGAGTGATGAAATAATCTGTACACCAAACCCCACAACACGCAATTTATCTATATAACAAACTTGCACATGTACCCCTGAAGCTAAAAGTTAAAAATAACATAAAATACTTCAAAAAATAAATAATAATAAATTGGGCCAGGCATGGTGGCCCACACCTGTAATCGCAGCACTTTGGGAGGCCGAGGCAGGAGGATTTCAAGCCCAGGAGTTTGAGACCAGCCTGGGCAACACAGGGAGACCTTGTCTCTAAAAAAAAATTAAAAATTGGCCAGGCATGGTGGCTCCTGCCTGTAATCCCAGCACTTTGGGAGGCTGAGGTGGGCGGATCACCTGAAGTCAGGAGTTTATACCCAGCCTGGCCAACTTGGCAAAACCCTGTCTCTACTAAAAAATACAAAAATTAGCCAGGTGTGGTGGCAGGCATCTGTAATCCCAGTTACTCAGGAGGCTGAGGCAGGGAGAATTGCTTGAACCCAGGACGCGGAGGTTGTAGTGAGCTGAGATCAGGCCACAGTGGTGCATGCCTGTAGTCCCAGCTACTCAGGAGGCTGAGATGCGAAAATCGTTTGAACCCAGGAGACAGAGGTTGCAGTGAGCCAAGATTGCGCTGCTGCACTTCAGCTTGGGCAACAGAGTGAAACCCTGTCGCAAAATAAAATAAAAGTGGTATATACACAGTTTATATAGAAGTATTAAATTCTACTTATCGATGTGGATAAAATAGATGTTGAGACCTTGTAAATACAGAATTGTACAGATATAAACAAGTAATATTGTATTTAATGTAAAATTTATATTCCAGATCTCAGATGTAGATTAACTTTATCACTATATAAACATAATAACAAATATTTTGGCCAGGCACAGTGGCTCATGCTTGTAATCCCAGCACTTTGGGAGTCCTAGGCAGGCGGATCACCAGGTCAGGAGATCGAGACCATCCTGGCTAACACAGTGAAACCCCATCTCTACTAAAAATACAAAAAAATTAGCCAGGCATGGTGGTGGGTGCCTGTAGTCCCAGCTACTCAGGAGGCTGAGGCAGGAAAATGGCATGAACTCGGGAGGCGGAGCTTGCAGTGAGCCGAGATCGCGCCACTGCACTCCAGCCTGGGTGACAGAGCAAGACTCCATCTCAAAAAAAAAAATAATAATAATAATAAATATTTTACAAAGGCATTAATAATTACTTTAAAATGTGATGTTAGTGTATTATATGTAGTAGTATATATCTTTGTGTGCATATATTACATATACATGTAGTAGAGACAGAAAGATCATGGGAATCAGCAAAGAAGGAAATAACAAAGATTCAAGGTTAAAAGATGAAGAAGGGAGTATAACAAATCAGGAAAATTCAAGAGGAATTAGAGAGTCAAGTTCAAATGGAATAAAAAAGAAAAGCAGAGCATCTATCAAGCCAACATAATTATTAAACACCCACTTAAAAAGTAGTAAAATTCGGCTGGGCGTAATGGCTCATGCCTGTAATCCCAGCACTTTGAGAGGCCAAGGCGGGCGGATCATGAGGCCAAGAGATTGAGATCTGGCCAACATGGTGAAACCCTGTCTCTACTAAAAATACAAAAATTAGCTGGGTGTGGTGGCGGGTGCCTATAATCCCAGCTACTCAGGATGCTTAGGCAGGAGAATCGCTTGAACCCAGGAGGCGGAGGTTGCAGTGAGCTGAGATCATGCCACTGCACTCCAGCCTGGTGACAGAATGAGACTCCATCTCAAAAAAAAAAAAAAAAAAAAAAAAAAAAAGAGTAAAATTCTTATAAAATAAAATAATAACTGTTCCAAGTATTTATAGCCATGTTACATAGGAAAGAGTTGAAAAATTATATAATTATGATATGAGCCAGGCACAGTGGCTCACGCTTGTAGTCCCAGCATTCAGCACTTTAGGAGCCCAAGGCGGTCAGATCACTTGAGCTCAGAAGTTCAAGACCAGCCTGGGCAACATGGTGAAACCCTGTCTCTACAAAACCATACAAAAATTAGCAGGGCATGGTGGTGCACACCTGTAGTCCCAGCTACTCAGGAGGCTGAGGTGGGAGGATGGCTTGACCCCAGGAGGCATTGATTGCAGTGAGCCAAGATCACACCATTGCACTCCAGCCTTGGTGGCAGAGTCAGACTCTGTCTCAAAAATAATAGTAATCATTATTGTGGTAATAATAATTAGTTACAATATATTATACTATATAATATTACTATATAATATCATATAGTAATAATTATTATTACTATAATAATTATTATTGTATAAGGCAAGATACAAAAGGATATGACAAAAGTCATGTCCTGGGAACAAATAAGTAAAATAGAAGCTCAGGAAGGAGAGGCATATTTAACTTGGAATCTTCAAGGAAAGTTCCAGTGAAGTAAACTTAAAATACTCCCAAAAGATTAAATTTACATAAGCAGAAAGAAGGAAAAATACCCTAGAAAATGGGAGAAACACATAATAAGAAAGACACAAAGATGGGAATAAGAATGGTGTATAGGGAAGAAATGGGCAAGGAAGAAAAGTGTTAGGTGCAACCTTAGAGGAGAATCAGTCCCTGAAACACATTAAAATGAAAGAAATTAAGCAGAAAGTTCATGGAAGGAATAACAGGAAAAAGGGTTAAGGAATACAGAGGCTATTTATAGAATAACAGACTTCATCTGAGGCTTAGTTTTCTTCCATTAAGTAGACTCATCTGTGTGCTCCTTGGCCCCAGTCCCTCTCATTACCTGCGTAACCTCCATACATGTGATGTAGCCCATTATGATTAAATCCCCAAAACTCAAAGGCATCACCTATAACCTCTGGCAGGAAAATACTGCCCTATTCACATCGATCCTGGGTGTAGGTATTCAGTCCAGAAAACCTGGAATTTTGTGCTTGGGTAGGATGTGGTATTCCTATACAAGTGGATAAAGAGGAAAGTTTTGCTGTTAATAAAGTAATTCTTAACCTTTTTGGAGTTACGGACTTCTCTGAGACACTAATAAAAGGTCTTCGTTATTACTTCAGAAGATATTGAGCATATATGCCACGTGCTGGGGACACAGTTAAAAATAGGACAGTATCTGCTCTCACCAAATGCAGAGTTGAGCAGAAAGACAAAACATTATTAAACAATTGTATGTTGCCATCTCCGAATCATCTAAATTAGGTTTTCCTTTTATTCCTGTTCATGTCCATTATAGCATTTATCATAATCTGATAATCTGATAATTTACATTCTGGTTAGATAACCAAAATGTATTATACTGCTGCATAATAAACCACTCAAATTTAGTGGCTTAAAACAATTCATTCTCAGGCCAGGCACGGTGGCTCACACCTGTAATCCCTGCACTTTGGGAGGCTGAGGTGGGTGGATCACTTGAGGTCAGGAGTTCAAGACCAGCCTGGCCAACATGGTGAAACCCCATCTCTACTAAAAATACAAAAAAATTAGCCGGGCAGGGTGGCGGGCACCTGTAGTCCCAGTTACTCCGGAGGCTGAGGCAGGAGAATCACTTGAGCCCAGGAGGTGGAGGTTGCAGTGAGCTGTGGTGGTGCCACTGTACTCCAGCCTGGGCAACAGAGTGAGACTCCATCTCAAAAAAAAAAAAATTTATTATCTCTCAAGATTTTGTGGATTGACAAAGCTCAGATCTGTAGTTCTCGATCTTCTCACACATGAATGCAGTAAGACAGTAGGGGGCATGAAGTCATCTAAAGGCTGGACTGGACTGGATGTTCACAATGGGTCACTCACAGGACCAGTTGATTCTGGCCATTGAAGTTCAGCTGGGGCTATTGATCAGCGTTACCTACACAAGGCCTCTCCATGTGGCTTGAGCTTCTTGCAACAGAGTGACTGGGTTTTAAGAGGGATTATCTCAAGAAAAATATTTCCAGAGACCCAGACACAAGCTTTACAGCCTTAAGGTCTAGCCTCAAAGTTCCAAAATGTTTATTTCTGCCACATTCTATTGACCAGCCCAGATTCAAGGAGAGGGGAATTAGACTCTATTTCTAGACATGAAAAATAGCATGCATATACACAAAGAGAAGGAACTGATGATGTCCATTATAGACCATCATAACTGGCCATGTATTTGTTTAATACCTGCCTTTCTCACTAGATCATAAACTCAAGACAAGAGCCGCGCTGGGCACAGTGGCTCATGTCACCAGTTTTGAAAGGCCACAGTGGGTGGATTGCTTGAGGCCAGAAGTTCCAGATCAGCCTGGGCAACATGGTAAGACCCTGGCTATCCAAAAAAAAAAAAATTTTAATTAGCTAGGCATGGTGGCATACACCTGTAGTCCTAGCTACTCAGGAGGCTGAGGCAGAAGGATCCCTTGAGCCCAGGAGTTTGAAGCTGTAATGAACTATGATCACGCTAAGGAACCATATCTGCTCCTTTTCAGTGCTGCTTACATCATCACAGTTGCTGGAACAGAGTAAGCCCTCAATAAATGCAATAAATATTTGCTCAACTAACTTATTTATTCAATAAAAATTTCAAAAATGCATAAAAACTGTCAAAAATTGTGCTAGAATGAAAATTCTATAGTGCCTGCCTTCAAGAAATTTACTTTCTGGTGGCAGAATGAGACAACCAAAGCCTACAAAATTAGGCTTCTTGATAAAATGAGATTATGGGACTAAACTATAATGCTTGCTGAATGTCTGACACAGGCAACAGTGTTCTTGTGTGTCACATCAAAAGGTAATAATAGGCAGGTATTTGCATTTTATATATATATATATATATATAAATGACTCTCAGATGTGATCCATATATATGTGCAAAGGATCACATCGGAGAGTCATCTAAGAAAGAATGAAAATAAAGATGCCTTTTGTTCAAATAGCAGGCAGCTGTCAAGTGAGCAAGAAAAGCACTAGTGGATCATAGCTGATTCTTCTGATACTACATCCTATGTTAAGTCAGAGATTAGCTAGTGAATTTTGCAGAGCTCCTGGGATTACCTCACGGAGACACATGATGAAAGCAGTGTAAATTTAACCTACTACTAGAAAGAAGAATGTAATCAGAAAAATAAAGTTAGAAGGCAATGAGTAATGAAGACTGAACTGGGGTGGCCGCAGCAAGAATGAAGACTAAATCTGAGACATGTTTCAAAGGAAAAAGTGACAGAAATAGATGAATAACTAAATAGGGGTGGGATGGAAAAGAATGAGGTATGAGCCTGAAGAAACCTAAAGAGGTGCTATTTGATGTGGAACAAGGCAGAATCTTTATTGGATATACTGAAATGAAAAGTAAAATGTTTCTTATGTTCTTAGAATTACGGGCTTGAGCTCTGGTAACAGTGTAGAGCTGGAGGTGTAGAAGTCAGTATAAACAAACTTCTAGAGAAAAGATCACTTAATTGCTTTTATTAGTCAATCTTTCAGTCCAAAACAGATGTACATTTTATGTATTAGGCTTGATAGTCCATTTTGTGATATGCCATTATGAATATTCTCAATTTTGAGGATCTGAAGGCAGTGTAACTGAAGCATCTGTCAATTCATTATTAGGATTAACTCAGCTAATCTGGCTGCTTAGGTGAGTTCTGGATCACTGACTAAAATTATTAAAAATCATTTCAAGTAAAGGTCAAGTCACTGAATTCACTTCTTTAACTCTTTAGTTGATCAGTTTCAATCTGTATAAAGCATGAAAAGGAATGTTCAATTTGTCTGCCCTAACTCCCTGCTATTGTTGCCAGAGACTGAGGCGGCAGAAAAAGGAAGAGGATCAGACTTAAAGTCTTAGTCTTTAAATTCTGCACTGACAAAAAATACGTTCATTGCTATTATATCCTTGAATATGAGAAATTCTTTTCTGTCCACCTCCTCCTAAACAGCAGCAGATAATTGGAGCAGAAACAAATTGAACATTCTTTTAAATGTTACCAAGAAGATGAAAACTGATCAACTAAAACTAGTTTAAAAGAAGTAAATTCAGGGAATTGGCATTTCATAAAATGGATGGCTTCTGCTAAGTAAATGTACCTTCTTCCCTCACAATAGTATGTGAAACTATACCCGTAGTGAAAGAGTACCGTTGTAGCAGACTGAAGTGACTCTTCTGTCAAGGGCATACAAATACCTCCAGTCACCTTGTTAATCTGTATACACTCTAACTCTTTGGATGAAAATCAAGGAAAGAAAGAGTTTATACAGACCCAGCACTTTGGGAGGCCGAGGCAGGTGGATCACTTGAGGTCAAGAGTACGAGATCAGCCTTGCCAACACGGTGAAACCTCGTCTCTACTAAAAGTTCAAAAATTAGCTGGGTGTGGTGCCGAGCGCCTGTAATCCCAGCTACTTGGGAGGCTGAGGCAAGAGAATCGCTTGAACCTAGGAGACAGAGGTTGCAGTGAGCTGAGATCGGGCTACTGCACTCCAGCTTGGGCGACAGAGTAAGACTCCATCTCAGGGAAGAAGAAAAAAAGTTTATACAGTTTGATGTGCTGAAAGACTGCAAAAATAGAAATTTGGAACAAGAATTTGTACAGAACTGGCATTTTCATGTTTTAAAGAAAACTCTGAACACGGCCAAAACCATTTTTTTCTTTCTTTTCTTTTTTTTTTTTTTTTAGACAGAGTCTTACTCTGTTGCCCAGGCTGGAGTGCAGTGGTGCGATCTCGGCTCACTGCAAGCTCCACCTCCCAGGTTCACACCATTCTCCTGCCTCAGCCTCCCGAGTAGCTGGGACTACAGGCGCCTGCCACCACGCCTGGCTAATTTTTTGTATTTTTAGTAGAGATGGGGTTTCACCCTGTTAGCCAGGATGGTCTCATCTCCTGACCTGGTGATCCGCCCGCCTCGGCCTCCCAAAGTGCTGGGATTACAGGTGTGAGCCACCGTGCCTGGCCCCATTTCTTTACTAAAGTACTCATAAGTGAAACAACTTCTGTATGGTTATGTATACTCTCTAGACTCTTTGGAATGGTAAGTGCTACACACATGGAAATAATACAAAATGATTAGTCCATGGGTCCAAGAATAACGAATTATTAAATCTCCAGAGAAAAATCCATTTTTAGATTTCCATTTTTACCAAACAAATATTAAGCTATCATATTAGCTGTGGGTTAAAAAAAAAAGAAGAAAAGAAAAAAAAGAAAAATTTGGGCCAATAATGCATTAGTACTTAAGTCATGTGTATTCAGAGAATTTCTGTACAAAATATTTAATCTAATGTATTACTGTGGGAATCTTGCCATCATAACTGTTTATGTCCAGTATGGGAGCCACTGAGGTTTGAGAGTCACACAGCCCTGTATGCCATCTTTGCCATTTACTAGTTATATGACTTTGGGCAAGTTATCAAACTTTTCTGAGCCTTGAATTCCTTATCTAATAGAATTTGAGTAAGAACTAAATATGATTATGCACACAACTATTTGGCACATTGCCTGACCCACAGCCAGAGGTCCGCATCAGCTGCTATTGTAATGTTAAATGGGCCAATTTATTTAACACCCTCTACTTCAGAATTTTCAAAATCAAAATTATGTAACTAACCCCTAGTGGTTTTCAATATATGTTTAGAAGAAATCCTTTCAGAAATGTGTCAAAGAAAATTAAGCAATAGAAAGCTAATAGCTTATGCACAAAGATTATGATTGCAATGTTATTTAAATAATAAATATTAAACTTAAATATTCAAAATAAGGGACTAATTATTAAATTATGTATAAACTGCAGATGAACATTAGGCAACAACAAAAACAATAATATGGAAGTTGTGTAACGGTGGCAGAATTATGCATTACAGTAGTCTCTCTTTATTCATGGTTTTACTTTTTGAAGTTTTAGTTACCCATGGTCAACTGCAATCCAAAAATATTTAATGGAAAATTCTACAAATAAACAATTCATAAGTTTTAAACTGCACGCCATTCTGTAGCAGCCCGATGAAATCTTGCATCATCCCACTCCGTCCTGCCTGGGACATGAATCATCCCTTTGTCCAGTGTATCTATGCTGTGCATGCTACCAGCTGTTAGTAATTTAGCAGCCAGGCTGGCTATCAGATCAACTGTCAGGTAACATTATAGCAATGTTTGTATTCAAGGAACTCTTATTTTACTTAATAATGGTCCCAAATTGCAAAAGTAGTGATGCTGGCAATTCAGATATGCTAAAGAGAAGCCATAAAGTGCTTCCTTAAAAGTGAAAAGGTGGCCAGGCCCGATGGCTCACACCTGTAATCCCAGCACTTTGGGAGGCCGAGGCGGGCAGATCACGAGGTCAGGAGACGGAGACCATCCTGGCTAACATGGTGAAACCCCGTCTCTACTAAAAATACAAAAAATTAGCCAGGTGTGGTGGCAGGTGCCCGTAGTCCCAGCTACTTGGGAGGCTGAGGCAGGAGAATGGCGTGAACCCGGGAGGCGGAGCTTGAAGTGAGCCGGGATTGCGCCACTGTACTCCAGCCTGGGCGACAGAGTGAGACTCTGTCTCAAAAAAAAAAAAAAAAAGTGAAAAGGTGAAAGTTCTTGATTTCAAGAAAGAAAAAAATCATATGCTGAGGTTGCTGAGATTTATGGTAAGAATGAATCTTCCCCCAACCCCATGAAATTGTGAAGGAAAAAGAGATTCATGTTAGTTTTCCTGTCACACCTCAAACTGCAAAAGTTATAGCCACAGTGTGTGATAAGTGCTCAGTTAAGATGGAAAAGGCAGTAAATTTGTGGGTGGAAAACATGAACTGAAACGTGTTTCAATTAATACAATCAGCAACTGGGTCTGGTACTATCTGTAGTTCAGTCATCCACTGGGGGTCTTGGAACGCATCCCCCTAAGACTGGGGGGGTCGTGGTTACTGTACTTTCTCTCCTATCTTCCATAGTTTTTATTATATTTTTTATAAAAAATAAAAGTTATGGCTGGGCAAGGTGGCTCATGCCTGTAATCCCGGCACTTTGGGAGGCTGAGGCAGGAAAATCACTAGAGGCCAGGAGTTCAAGACCAGCATGGGCAACATAAAGAGATCCTGGTTCTACTATATATATATATATATATATATATATATATAAATTAGCCAGGTGTGGTACATCTAGCTACTCTGGGAGGCTGAGGCAGAAGAATTGAACCTGGGAGTTCAAGATTGCAGTGAACTATGATTATACCACTGCACTCTTGCCTGGGCAACAGAGTGAGACTCTGTCTCAAAATAAATAAATAAATAAATAAATAAATAAATAAATAAAAGTTATATTATTCTTCTAAAAATTCGAGTGCCAGGACAATTCAGTGAGGGAAAGAACAAGTTTTTCCAACATATGGTGCTAGGATAACTAGATGTCCACTTGCAAAAGAATCAAATTGAACTCCAACTCCTCTATATACACAAATTATCTCAAAATAAATCTTAGACCTAAATGAAAAGCTAAAACTATACAACTCTTAAGAGAACACATAGTAAATCTTCATGACCTTGGATTGGGCAACACCAAAGGACATGTGACAAAAGAAAAAATATATAAATTGGACTATATCAAAATTGAAAATCTTTGGTTGCAAATGATACCATCAAGAAAGTGAAGAACTCACAGAATGGGAGAAAATACTTGCTAAGCATATATGATAAGGGACTTCTGTCCAGAATATATAGAGAACTCTTACAATTCAAATAATAAAAGATAAATAACCCAATTTAAAAAATGGGTAAGGCTAGGCATGGTGGCTCATGCCTGTAATCCCAGCACTTTGGGAGGCTGAGGCAGGCGGATCACGAGGTCAGGAGATAGAGACCATCCTGGCCAACATGGGGAAACTACGTCTCTACTAAAAATACAAAAATTAGCTGGGTGTGGTGGCACGGGCCTGTAATCCCAGCTACTCAGGAGGCTGAGGCAGGAGCATTGCTTGAACCCGGGAGGCGGAGACTGCAGTGAGCCAAGATGGTGCCACTGCACTCCAGCCTGGCGACAGAGTGAGACTCCGTCTCAAAAAAAAATAAAGACTCCGTCTCAAAAAAAAAAAAAAAGTGGTGGGGGGGAGGAGGGTAAAGGATTTGAATGAATATTTCTCCAAAGAAGATATACAAATGGCCAGTAACCATATGAAAAAATGTAAAATCAAACCAATATTCAAGACATCTGAACTTTGATTCACTCTATAACATTCTTACTAAAGCAGTAAACTAGCTTCATTCAGACACTATACAAGGACCGGACGTGGTGGCTCATGCCTGTAATCCCAGCACTTTGAGAGGCCTCGGTAGGCAGAACACTTGAGGTCAGGAGTTCGAGACCAGCCTGGCCAACATGGTGAAACCCGTCTCTACTACAAATACAAAAAATTAGCTGGGTGTGGTGGTGCGTACCTGTAATCCCAGCTACTCGGGAGGCTAAGGTGGGAGAATTGCTTCAACCAGGGAGGTGGAGGTTGCAGTGAGCCGAGACTGAGCCACTGCACTTCAGCCTGGGCAACAGAGTGAGACTCTGTCTCAAAACAAAACAAAACAAAACAAAAAAAACAGGCCGGGCACGGTGGCTCACACCTGTAATCCCAACACTTTGGGAGGCTGAGGCAGGTGGATCACCTGAGGACAGGAGTTTGAGACCAGCCTGGCCAGCATGTCGAAACCCTGTCTCTACTAAAAATACAGAAAAAAGTAGCTGGGCGTGGTGGTGGTCACCTGTAATCCCAGCTACTCGGGAGGCTGATGCAAGAGAATCGCTTGAACCTGGGGGTAGGAGGTTGCAGTGGGCCGAGATCACGCCATTGCACTCCAGCCTGGGTAACAGAGTGGGACTCCATCTCAAAAAAACAAACAAAACCACTACACAAATATACTACTGCCTCTCGAAGCATCCTGTTTATTCTCTAGACAGCTCTAATCACTAGAAAATTCTTCCTTCTTTTGGGCTTATGTCCCAGAGCTGCTTTTATGGCTAGATTAAGTCTAATTCTTTTGCCACATGAGAAAGGGCTGATACTGCTGTCATTTGGACATACGCCAATTTTCTCAAAGGTAGTACCTAAATCTGGATACATGCCAAGTCCAGGCCTAACCAACCTCCTTTATTCAAAAAACTACAGTAATTAAATTTTGGCAGGCAAATCTTATGGCTGATTCACAATTAAGTTTATCAACAATAAAATTCCCTTTGTCATAAATGCTCCTATTAGGCTATTTATCCTTCATCAATTCTTCTTTCAAATGGTTTTTTCCAACCCAAATTCAGGATTATATATTTAGTTATACTTATTTAAACCAATCTGTTAACTCCTTGTTGCTACAGACTTTCAAATTATTTTTACTGTTTGCATGAAGGTCCATCAAGCTTTGTCATTTCTGAATGTGATCATCATGCTGTCAAAGTCCTTACTCATTGCTTACCTCCAATCCTCTGGCATTTTTCTATTCTCAATAATTCCTCAAAGTTGAACTTTCTTACCTACAAGTTCATAGCAATCTCAGATATAATTAGTTCAGGTTAGAAAACAAAGTCATATTGAGTAGTTAAGATACTTTCTTAATTTCACCTATATTGGACTTTAATTCTACTTTACTAAGTGATTTGTTGTTGTTCTTACAGAATAAATATTATTCTCCTTGATGGAAAATATGGAAACAAAATAGGAGCTGTTAGTATTAAAAAAGCATACATTTTCCATATTCCTGTTTCTGAATATAATTCTAAAATCTTTAAAATTATCTTTAATATATTCCTCACATCTGTTAATTCTTAATTTTAATTATTCTGCCACACTTATGTTTGTCACTTTTCTATATTCATCTTTTATAAATATCCTTTATAAAACCTGAGTTAAGGCCAGGTACGGTGGTTCATGCCTGTAATCCCAGCACTTTGGGAGGCCGAGGTGGACAGATCACCTGAGGTCAGGTGTTCAAGACCAGCCTGATCAACTTGGTGAAACCCCGTCTCTATTAAAAAATACAAAAAAAAAAAAAATTAGCCAGGCGTGGTGGCACGCACCTGTAATCCCAGCTACTTGGGAGGCTGAGGCAGGAAAATCACTTGAACCTGGGAGGCAGACTTTGCAGTGAGCCAAGATCACACCACTGCACTCCATCCTGGGTGACACACCAAGACTCCATCTCAAAAAAAAAAAAAACAAAAACCTGAGTTAAGATTGTTGCAAGTGAAGTCACAGTAGTTTTAGTTGCACTTGCCTTTTAAAAAACACTCATTGTTATAATTTATAACTGTATAATTATATAATTATGTTTTAATGTTTCCCAATTTTCCAAGTCTTAGCTCATAAGGTCATGATTACTTATTTTTTGTTCAATTTTTTTAAAGCCTTCTTCCTACCATGTAGACAATATGTGTATGTGGCTCCTTCTAGAATTCTCCATCCTAGCTATCACAAACTTTAATAATCTGGTCACTTTGTCTCCAGAGGTTTCTATCATTCCTACCCACCAAGCAATTCTTCCTCATTGGCTATAAATAGATGCAGAGCAACAGTACCCTTCATTTAATCCTTTATCTGTTCTATATTTACTAAACAAATAACATTTTTTGTTGGAAAAAAAACTTAAAACATAATAAGTAAAAAAGTTTACAAAAATCTGAAATCTTACCATCCCAAGAAAAAATCACTGCATTTTATTTTATTTTTTTTTTCTTTTGAGACGGAGTCTTGCTCTGTTGCCCAGGCTGGAGTGCACAGGCGTGATCTTGGCTCACTGCAACCTCTACCTACTGTGTTCAAGTGATTCTCCTGCCTCAGCCTCCCGAGTACCTGGGATTACAGGTATGCACCACCATGCCCAGCTAATGTTGTATTTTCAGTAGGGACGGGGTTTCGCTGGTATGGAACTCTGACCTCAGGTGATCCGCCTGCCTCAGCCTCCGAAAGTGCTGGGATTATAGGCATCAGCCACCGTGCCTGGCCCCAAAAAAATCATTGTTAATAATTTGGTGTATATCCCTCAAGACTTCTCATACAAATATATTTTTTCCCTTACAATCTAAGACGAAAATGTCAGCAAGGCAAGAATTTGTGAAACACCCATAGTTAAATTCAAATGAATTTGGTTGGCCATGAAGACTGCTTAGAAATCTGCACTTTTGGGCCAGGCACGGTGGCTGACAACTATAATCCTAGAACTTTGGGAGGCTGAGGCGGGTGGATCATCTGAGGTCAGGAGTTGGAGACCAGCTTGGCCAATGTGGCAAAACCCCGTCTCTACTAGAAATACAAAAATTAGCCTGGTGTGGTGGCAGATGCCTGTAATCCCAGCTACTCAGGAGGCTGGGGCAGGAGAATCACTTGAACCCAGGAGGTGGAGGTTGCAGTGAGCTGAGATCGTGACACTGCACTCCAGCCTGGGCAACAGAGAAAGACTCCGTTTCAAAAAAAAAAAAAAAAAAAGACATCTGCACTTTTATTTAAATATTTTCCTATCCAAAAAGTATCTACCATTATACCAATCTTTTATAAATCTTATATTCATGCCTTAGCCAACTATATTTACCATTATAGACTTCCAGGTTTCAATTTAAGCATTTTGACAAAATTAAAACTCCTTTCACAAACTTTTCAATCTTTCTAATTAAAAGAATTATTTACTTATCAGAAGTAATAATTAGATATATCAATTTGAACTATTTATACGTGGTGGTATCCAATACAAAAATTCCCAATGAACATAAAAAGCTATAAATATCTAGAGGAACATAGAAGACAGTAGGTAGGCAAGGTCAGTTAGACCCTTTAAACATAATACAAATCCCAGAAGCCATAAAGAAAAAAATTAGCCAATGTGACCAAGTACAAAAATTTTAACTTCTATATAGAAAAAGATTCTCTTGTAAAGTTTTAAGACATCTTATAGACTGGGAGAAGCCATTTGTAACACATGATACTCAAGTGGCTAATATCCATAATACATAAAGATTTCCCACAAATCTATAATAAAAATACAAAAGTTCATTAAAGATATAAACAAGCAAATCACAGAAGAAATATAAAACACCAATAAGCATGTGAAAAGATGCCAAGCCAATACATTCAAATCAAATGTATCTTTCTTGCTCATCAGATTGGCAAAAATTAAAATTGAAAGTATCTACTGCTCGACCTCCCCAGCCTCAGGTGATCCTCCCACCTCAGCCTCCTGAGTAGCTAGGACCACAGGTGTGTGCCACCATGCCTGGCTAATTTTTGTGGAGACAGGGTTTCACCATGTTGCCCAGGCTGGTCTCGAACTCCTGGGCTCAAGCAATCTACCTGCCTTGGTCTCCCAAAGTGCTGGGATTACAGGCGTGAGCCATGGCATCCAGCCTTTTTCTTATATATACTATTGGAGTTGGAGGTAAATGATATAAATGTTCTGAAGGATAAGTTGAAGAATTTAAGAAAAGATTTTAAGCATGCATACCCTATATTTCAACAACCTCAATTCCAGGAAAATCTATTCTACTAAAATATACGCAGGTATGCAAAAAGATCTACATATATGAATGGCCACTGCAGCATTCTTTGTAACACAAAAAATTGGAAGCATCACAATCTTCATTAATAATGGGAAAGTTAAATTATGATCCACCTGTAACGGAGCACTATGCAGCAGACAAAAGAATGAGGTAAATCTTTACATGTTGATCTGAAAAGACAGCCATGATACACTTTTAAAAAATTTAAAGTTGTAGTAGAATAATCACATTATGTTTAGGAAAAAAAAGTGTGTAAAGATAGATATTGACATAGAGAGTGAATGAATGCATACAAAAATCTGAAAAAATATACAACAAACTGATAAGGAAGACTTACATTTTAGCACTTTGGGAATAATTTATTACAGTCAGCCTTAATTACTTTTGTAAATACAGTCACATACACTTTTAAATACATCTACTGGCAAAAATCTGAACCAAATTTGTCCAATAAAAGGGTCATAATTGAATTACAGAATATTCATACAAGAGACATTTTTCCAACTTCAGGCTGCAATCCATTAGTGAAATACAAAATCACTTCAAAGGGATGGAACAAGCATATTTTAAAGAATAAAATACAACAGATAATATCAGAATGCAGGCTGGGCATGGTGGCTCACGTCTATAATCCCAGCACTTTGGGAGGCTGAGGCGGGCAGATCACCTGAGGTCGGAAGTTCGAGACCAGACTGGCAAACATGGTGAAACCCCGTTTCTACTAAAAATACAAAAAACTAGCTGGGTGTGGTGGTGCATGCCTATAATCCCAGCTACTCGGGAGGAGCAGGAGAATTGCTTGAACCCAGGAAGCGGAGGTTGCAGTGAGCCAAGATCGCACCATTGCACTCCAGCTTGGGCAACAAGAGCAAAACTCCGACTCAAAAAAAAAAAAAAAAATCAGAATTCATTACCCTTAATACTGTTTTACAATTTTTTGATACAATTAAATATGTACATGTGGCCTTAATCACAAAATAAAATATATCTCCTACTGTGAATTTTGAGCAAAATCACACTAACATTTCAACATTATGTTTTCAAGGAACGTTTAATGATTTTAAAAAGTGCTCACTTGAAAGTGTTGAAGGAAAAAAGCAGGGCACAATACTACATATATATATATATATATATATATATATATATATGTATGTATCATCTCAATTTAGTTATATTTGAATAGAAAAAAAGAAATAGAGAAAACTATTCCTAAAGGATGGCTCTTTGGAGTGGCAAAATACAAGTAAGTTTTGTTCTTTTTCCCCATAGTTTCAAAAATTCCTATAATGAGCATATGGCTTGTATCTAATCAGAACAAAACGCTATGTAAAACATAAATTAGGGCCAGGAGCTGTGGCTCAGGCCTGTAATCTCAGCCTGAGAATCAGAGTTGTAATTTCAGCTCTGGGAAGCTGAGGCGGGCAGATTGCTTGAGCCCAGGAGTTTGAGACCAGCCTGGGCAACGTGGTGAAACCCCATCTCTACAAAGAATATAAAAATTAGTGAGGCATGGTGGCACATGCCTGTAGTCCCAGCTATTTGGGAGGCTGAGGCACGAGAACTGCTTGAACCCGACAGGCAGAAGTTGCAGTGAGCCAAGATCATGACACTGCACTCTCCAGGCTGGGAAACAAAGCAAGACTCCGTCTCAAAAAAAAAAAAAAAAAAAAAAAGATGGCCAGCCACAGTGGCTGATGTCTGTAATCCCAACACTTTGGGAGGCCAAGGCAGGTGGATCACCTGAGGTCAGGAGTTCAAGACCAGCCTGGCCAACATGGTGAAACCCCGTCTCTACTAAAAATACAAAGATTAGCCAGGGTTGGTGGCACACGCCTGTAATTCCAGCTGCTTAGGAGGCTGAGGCAGGATAATTGTTTGAACCTGCCAGGCGGAGTTTGCAGGGAGCCGAGATCAGGCCACTGCACTCCAGCCTGGGCAACAGAGCAAGACTCCATCTCAGAAAAATAAAAAAAAAATAGCTGTGTGTACTGGCACACACCTGTAGTCCCAGCTAGCTACTCAGGAGGCTGAGATGGGAAGACCGATTGAGACCCAGAGGCCGAGGCTGCAGTGAGCCATGATCATGCCACCGTACTCCAGCCTGGGCGATGGAGCAAAATCTTGGTTCAAAACAACAACAACAATATCAAACCAATAAGTGATGTATATTTTGCCACAATAAAAAATGTGTTAAGCATATATTTTATTCATTAAGTACTTTCTGAAAACCTTCTATGTCCTAAGCATTCAGTATCCTAGGTACTGAGGATAGGATGGTGAGCAAAAGAAAGTCTGGAGCTTATATTCTAGTAGGAAACTCCATAGACTAAATTGAATTAAATTCTTTGTGTAGTAAGGTAAAATTCTGTTTATTTGAGAAACAGGATATTATCATTCTTTCAACAGTTATTAATTGCCCTATGTATACTTATAGGTACTTGTTCCCACTCCCTCGCACTATGCTGAATCCTCTCAGCCAACAGGTAAAATGATACTTTAATAACAATCAAATCTTCAGTTTACATTTTAAACACTTAAACACCTTGGGTAAGTTTCATACTGGTGTCATATTTAGAAAAGAAAAATATTTTGTTTATAAAAAGTGATGCATTCTTTTTCTACTCTCAATGAAATGACAAAATATAGATCAAAGCAAAAAAGTTCAAGAAATCTTTTCTCCTGTAAAATATAAAATTACAGTGATCCTTTTTCCTTTGAGTTCCACGGATAATTCAATGTTCATAAAGTTTTTCAATTTAAGATTACAAATTTGCATTGAAAATAAAAATATCTTAATTATGCTATTAAGAGCAAAATGTTTGGGCATATCTATGATTTTTTTGAGGTGGGGGGACAAGGTCTCACTCTGTCACCCAAGCTGGGGTTCAATGGTGGTTGAATGGTTCACTGCAGCCTCCAAGTTCAGAGCTTAAGGGATCCTCCTTCCTCAGCCTGCCATGTAGCTAGGAGTACAGGCAGGCACTACCATGCCTGGTTAATTTTTTTTGTAAAGCCGGGGACTTGCTATGTTGCCCAGGCTGGTCTCAAACTCCAGGGTTCAAGCAATCTTCCTGCTTCATCCTCCAAAGTGTTGGGATTACAGTCATGAGCCACTGCACCCAGCCCTATAATCTTCTTATTAAAGATTCCTATAGCCCACCTCCTCTTTTCTAACTCTTTATTCTAAGCATTAAACTCTCCCTTATTTTCCATTCTGGGTTTCTCTCTAATTTAGTTCTCTTCTTCTGAGCTGTCCTGATTATAACAGAGTCTGATGGTATTCAATTAAACCACTTAGGCAAGTTAATGTTTTGAAGAAACAGATTAATTTTTAAACATAATTTACATATTAAAACATAGCCCAATATTCATGAGTTCATAAGTTGGGTATTTCTACAATGTGGTTAATCATTTTCAGTATTTATTAAAATAAAGCAATAAATGACACCTAAAATAAACTATTTGGTGAATTTAAAATGAGGAAATGACACAGATCAAGGACAAATATTTTATTCCTGTGTACCAGAGAGACATTAATTTAAAAATGCATTTTTGTAGAGAAAAACTAGTGCTTTTTAGCAGAAAGAAATGTACATTACTAAACATATTTTATATATAATTTTTCAAAATTGGTATGCAAATTTATCTAGATTTTGTCGTAAGAATCCATTATGTGTTCTAACAGCTTCTGAAAATTAAAATTACTAGATTTTCATTTGGGTCAATCAAGGCTCTCCCTGCTTTTTTTTGGAGACAGGGTCTCCTCTGTCATCCAGGCTGGAGTGCAGTGGTGCGATCATGGCTCACTGCAACCACAAACTCCTGGGCTCAAGGGATCCTCCTATCTCAGCCTCCTAAGTAGCTGGGACTACAGAGGCGCACCAGCATGTCTGGCTAATTTTTAAAAGGTTTTTGTAGAGACAGGGTTTCACTATGTTGCCCAGGCTGGTCTCAAACTCCTGGGCTCAAGCAATCCTCACAGCCTTGGCCTCCCAAAGTGCGTGAGCCACCATGTCTGGCCTTTATTTTTTATTTATTTATTTATTTTTAAGTTAAATGACCATCTACCACCATCACAAACACCAAAAATGGGAGGTTAAAACAATCCTCTGAAATCCAACTATTCTTTTTTTTTTTTTTTTTTTTTTTTTTTTTGAGACGGAGTCTCGCTCTGTCGCCCAGGCCGGACTGCGGACTGCAGTGGCGCAATCTCGGCTCACTGCAAGCTCTGCTTCCCGGGTTCACGCCATTCTCCTGCCTCAGCCTCCCGAGTAGCTGGGACTACAGGCGCCCGCCACCGCGCCCGGCTAATTTTTTGTATTTTTAGTAGAGACGGGGTTTCACCTTGTTAGCCAGGATGGTCTTGATCTCCTGACCTCATGATCCACCCGCCTCGGCCTCCCAAAGTGCTGGGATTACAGGCGTGAGCCACTGCGCCCGGCCCCAACTATTCTTAAGAAATCTCAATATTACTACATATAATCAGTAAAAGTAAGAATAGCATTAAAAATAATTTTTAAAAGATATTGTTTAGATATAGGCTGAATTTGTTTAAAATATTTACTTGAAAATATCTGCCATGTAACTGCTGGAAGATCTGATAATGATTATGACAAAATCAAACAAATTGCTAATTAAAAATACAATAATAACATTATTATAGAGCGGTTGAGAATGCTGACTCTGAAGCTAGATTATACTGGCTCATATCCTAGCTACTTATCAGTTGTGTAAACTTAGATCGCTTAACCTATACCTCAGTTTCCTTACTTGGAATATAAGGATAATAACAGTGTCTATCTTATTTAGTTGTCATGAGGATTAAATGAATTAATGTATGTAAAATACTTGGACCAGTGTTCTACATTACAAGCATTATTTTAAACATTTCTTATTTGTATTACCATTATAAATACAGCTTAGGTTTATAAAACTATTTTATCACACCTGTAATTCCAGCACTTTGGGAGGCCGAGGCAGCTGGATCACGTGATCAAGAGATCACAAGCATCCCGGCCAACAAGGTGAAACCTCATCTCTACTAAAACTACAAAAATTAGCTGGGCCTGGTGGCGTGTGCCTGTAGTCCCAGCTACTCAGGAGGCTGAGGCAGGAGAATCGCTTGAACCCAGGAGGCAGAGGTTGCAGTGAGCCGAGATCACGCCACTGCACTCCAGCCTGGAGACAGAGGAAGACTCAGTCTCCAAAAAAAAAAAAGAACTACCCAGATGAAGATTTATATTACTTGCTTGCTATAGCTTATCTTAGTCCTTATCAATTCAATAATGCATAAGCCAAGATAAATGGTATTCTAACAACAATTTCACATTTTTAAAAAATCACAGATAAAACATACACAAATAAGAAAATCTACAAATAAACATAACAATATAATGTGTTGTTACAGAAAAATAAGGAGCAAAATATGTTAAATATTATCTAAACTACAGTATTTCTGACAGTACTATTAGTTACAAACTATTTTATAAAGAAGCATGCCCTAAAAGGCAATCTTTGCATCTAGCAATATAAGGATGTGCAGATATGATGTCCAATATGTCTTTTCTTAGTCTTTAATTATAAAACCATGGTGCTTTATTTCACATGCATTCACAGAAAATGGCCAATATTTAAAATTATTTATACCTAAATATGCTTTTTTAGATTGAACTTTCCAAAATATTGAACACTGGTCCTGTGATAAAGAAAAATTTGCACTGAAAATATCTATTTATTCACTTTCTTATATTTTATACTCCACCATGTACTAATGTTTATAATTTTTACCAAGATATACATCTGTCCTTTCAAATAAATGTAACTTTAATTTGGATTCTTACATTCTCCCTAATGCAGTGGTTCTCAGACTTTAGTATGCACCATAATTACCTATAATGTTTTTTTTGGGGGGGGGGGACAGAGTTTCCCTCTTGTCACCCAGGCTGGAGTGCAATGGCGCGATCTCAGCTCACTACAACATCTGCCTCCCTGGTTCAAGTGATTCTCCTGCCTCAGCCTCCTGAGTAGCTGGGATTACAGGCGTGTGTCACCACACCCAGCTAATTTTTGTATTTTTAGTAGAGACAGGGTTTCACCATGTTGGCCAGACTGGTCTGGAACTCCTGACCTCAACTGATCCGCCTGTCTCAGCCTCCCAAAGTGCTGGGATTAGAGGCATGAGCCACCGCACCCAGCCAATTACCTACAATTTTTATTCAAAACAGATTCCCGGAACCCATAGAAATTCTCATTCAGTAGGCGCGGGCAGGAGCACAGGAATTTGCATTTTAACAAAACACTCGAGATAATTTTGATGTAGGTAATTCACGTTCAACACTTAAGAAACACTGCCTAATAATTTAGTTTATAATATATGTGCTATGTTTTAATTCATTAAATATTAACTCAGTGCCTCATATGTACAAGGCTTAGTGCTGTGGATCAAACATGAATTCTGCTTCAAGGAAGGTACAATTTAATAAAAGAGATAAGAAATGCATATAAATGACTTATAATACAAAGGAAGGAATTACCAAATGTCTTTTGGTACAATACTGGGGTAGTTCATGGGAGGGAATGATACTTCCACCTGACCTCAGGGAAATTCTTCTAGTAAGATACAGCATTTGAAACGAGTGTTGAAGCCTGTCTCTTTAGACTGTAAGGATGGAAAAATTAAACTAATAAAAAATTATCTCACTGAATGATAAATGTATCCATGAAGATCACCCCTTCAAACCCCTTCAAACACGGAAAAGTTATTCTCTACCTCCTAAGTTTTACATGTTGATTTATAGGTCATGGTCTTGTGTTGTCTTGTATACTACTCAGCAACTCAGTATGCTTCTATCTCTCCAGACATGTCCTTGAAAGGATCTGTTTTAGTACTTTTAGTACATTTATCCTCTAAAAGATAAAGTCACACAGTGAATACTGATAAAGAGAAACATACTTATCCTTTTACAAATCTTTAGGAAGTAAATAGGATTTAAGCATAGTTGAAATGGGAACAGTTTAGGCAGTCTTCAAGTTCTAAAATCCCCACACAGCTTGGCATCAGGTAGAATGATGAGAGAAACGATCAGAGGAAAAAAAAAAAAAGAGAGAGAAAGATATTTTACAATTTAGAAGACACTGTTCTAATAGCCAAATAAAACAAACTACAGGGCGGAAGATTTTAAGACTCTTCTATTTCCTGATTATTTGGTATGTTGTTTAACATATGTGACATGTCTGTGACTTTTAGTTTAAAAATTCCAGTATCTCCCTAGAAATACAGCAAATACAGAGTCTACAGTGCCCAGTAGTAACTGAATATATGAATGAATGACTTTCAGGTCATTCTCTGGTTTTCCTTGCAGGTTTACCCTCCTTTATTAAGAGAAATAAAAGTTAGCCAGACAAGTACCAAATGTGCTATGCTTTCTCATCTCCATGCCTTTGCACATGGTAATGTCTCTGGTGGAATGCTTTTCAGCTCCCTCTTCCTCTTGGCTAATTCTTATTGAGTCTTCTAAACCTAATTTAAGTGTCCCCTTCCAAAATCCAAGGGACTACTTTGGCAAATGTGTCTCAGTGTCCCCATAAAATCCTCTGCATTGCTATATCTTTTTTTTTTTTTTAGATGGAGTCTTGCTCTGTCACCAGGCTGGAGTGCAGTAGCACGATCTTGGCTCACTGCAACCTCTGCCTCCCAAGTTCAAGCAATTCTCCTGCCTCAGCCTCCTGAGTAGCTGGGGCTACAGGCGCACGCCACCACACCTGGCTAATTTTTGTATTTTTAGTAGAGACGGGGTTTCACCATATTGGCCAGGATGGTCTTGATCTCTTGACCTTGTGATCCCCTGCCTTGGCCTCCCAAAGTGCTGAGATTACAGGCGTGAGCCACCGCGCCCAGCCTGCATCTATATCTTAACTCTAATCAGTATACTGTACAGAGGCAGCAAGATAACAAGCTTTGGAGTCAGACACACCTGAGTTCAAATTCTGATTCTAACACTTACTGTGTGACCTTGGACAAGTTACCTAATGTCTCTAAGAATTAATTTCCTTATCTGAAAAATAGAGAATAACAGTATGTAAGGTGCTCAGTATATCACTTCACACATAGTAGAGTTATAATAACATGTTCACATTGTATTGTACTTGCTGGTTAACTTGCCTGACTTTTCCTCTAAACTGCACACTTCTTGAGGAAAGGAACACGTTTATCTCTGAATAAGTAGCATTTAGCACAGTGTTTGGCATATGGTAAGTACTTAATTTTTGATGAATAAATATTACTTCCATTATAAAAAATTAATTTGCCACTTGAAATCCATTCTGTAATGAGGTGGAAAACAAATGAATAAGAAAATAAACTCATTGATGTCATTTTTTTTTTAAAGAATACTGTCTTTAATCATATATTTTCCTTTTCTTTCTTTTTTATCTTCTTCTTTTTCTTTTTTTTTTGAGATGGAGTCTCACTCTGTTGCCAGGCTGGAGTGCAGTGGCGCGAACTGGGCTCACTGCAACTCCACCTCCCAGGTTCAAGCGATTCTCCTGCCTCAGCCTCCTGAGTAGCTGGGACAACAGGCGCCCGTCACCACATCTGGCTAATTTTTGTATTTTTAGTAGAGACGGGGTTTCACCATGTTGGCCAGGCTGGTCTCGATCTCTTGACCTTGTGATCCACCCGCCTCGGCCTCCCAAAGTGCTGGGAGCCACCATGCCCGGCCTTAATCATTTTTTTTTTTAGAATCTACTTTTAACTATACATACTATGAAATGCCAAACAACTCAATACTTGCTTTGACATGGCTGATCATATATGCATGGAACCTATAATTTTTTCATATTATATATTAACCACAAAAATTACCAAGCCACACATAAGACTATCTTTATTTGTCGACCACTTAGAAAAGTTACAGTAAAATAGCTGGGTGTGGTGGCTCACGCCTGTAATCCCAGCACTTTGGGAGGCCAAGGTGGGCAGATCACAAGGTCAAGAGATAAAGACTATCCTGGCCAACATGGTGAAACCCCATCTCTACTAAAAATACAAAAATTAGTTGGGCGTGGTGGCATGCGCCTGTAGTCCCAGCTACTTGGAAGGCTGAGGCAGAAGAATCACTTGAACCCAGGAGGCGGAGGCTGCAGCGTGCCGAGATTGTGCCACTGCACTCCAGCCTGGCGACAAAGTGAGACTCCGCCTAAAAAAAAAAAAAAAAGAAAAGTTACAGTAAAATAGAAAGCTTCTTAAAACCAAGGGAATTCTCAATACAGAAAGCTTAATTAATTAAAATCTTTTATAGTCTTTGGGGAAGGGAGAAAAAATTCAGTTTCATGGTTTGATAATTTCAACCTATATAAGAACATAAAAATATCCTAATTACTTAATGTAATACTTAACAGATTTTTCCATTGTGATGTTTAATTAGCTGGTTTGAACAACATTGAGGCACTAATTTTTGCTATTCATTTGTAAGGTCTCAATCTGAGAGAACGCTTTTATTTTATATTTGATAATCAATATATTTTACTTGTTTAATTTAAAAATGGGGTCTCACTATGTTGCCCGGGCTGGAGTGCAGTGGCTCTTCACAGGGTGCAATCATAGTGTACTACAGCCTTGATCTCCTGGGTTCAAGTGATCCTCTTGCTCCTCCTCTGGAGTAGCTGGAACTAAAGGAGTATGCCAGCATGCCCAGCTCAATTATATTTTAATCTTCAATGTATTTTTTACAGACCTGCACTAAAGCTAATATCACCTCTTTTCCTTGATAGTCAAGGATAGTTTTACCTTAATATTATACTTAAACATAAACTGGGTATTTTAATATATAAAATGGAATTCTGCTTCTGAAAGACAAGCTTTACTTTGAGCCATTTTTAAACTCATTATGCAAAGGAATAACGATTTTGCAATGATGATTCCAAAACTATGTTACAGTATATGGATACAATGGTGAGGGTTATAATCCATGACTCTTTTAGAATACAAGTGATAATGTTTTATGTCAATTTATAATCCACTGGTTTTTTCTTGTTGTTGTTGTTTTTTTTAGATAGAGTTTTGCTCTGTCACCCAGGCTGGAATGCAGTGGCACAATCTCAGTTCACTATAACCTCCACCTCCTGGGCTCAAGCAATTCTCCTGCCTCAACCTCCTGAATAGCTGGGACTACAAGTGTGCACCACCATGCCCATCTAATTTTTGTATTTTTAGTAGAGACGGGGTTTTGCCATGTTGGTCAGGCTGGTCTCGAACTCCTGACCTCAAGTGATCTGCCTGCCTCAGCCTCCCGAAGTGCTGGGATTACAGGCATGAGCCACCACACCTGGCCAATCCACTGCTTATATGACCCATATGTGTTTTACTGGCTTCTAAAAGATCAGATACTTAATATATGACATTAATACAGATTGCAAACTAAACAAAAATATTTCTCTTTTCATTTTTATATATACTTTTTGAGACAAGGTCTGGCTCTATCACTCAGGCTGGAGTGCAGTGGTGCGATCTTGATTCACTGCAACCTCCGCCTCCCGGGCTCAGGGCAGCCTCCCAGGTTCAGATCATCCTCCCACCTCAGCCTCCCGAGTAGCTGGGACTACAGGTACACACCGCCATGCCCAGCTAATTTTTGTATTTTTTTGGTAGAGACAGGGTTTTGTCATGTTGCCCAGGTTGGTCTCAAACTTGGGAGCTCAAGCCATCCACCCACCTTGACCTCCCAAAGTGCTGGAATTATAGGCGGGAGCCACTGAGCCCAGTCTCTCTTTTTACTTAAAGAACCAAAAAAAACAGGATTTCTTTCCAAAGGAGACATTTGTTGAGTAGATGATGGCTGCATTAGGAATTAAAATTATATAGAAAATAGGTACCTTCAGCTATTTAAATAATTAGTAATGAAATTGAAAAATTTAAACAGATTGCAAGATTAGTCAAGTACTAAATGGAAAAAAATATCTCCAGGCATCTTAGTAAGTGAAAAATAATGCATTTTTTTTTAATTTTTGCCATTGTTATAAGCCATATACCAAGCTGTGAACTATTTTTTTCAGTCTATTGTTTAAAGAATTTCTGGATTCTAAATTATGTTTTTAATAAACAGCAATAGGCCAGGCGCATTGGCTCACACCTGTAATCCCAGCCATTTGGGAAGCTGAGGCAGGTGGAACACCTGAGGTCGGGAGTCCAAGACCAGCCTGACCAACATGGAGAAACCCTGTCTCTATTAAAAATACAAAATTAGCCAGACATAGTGGCATATGCCTGTAATCCCAGCTACTTGGGAGGCTGAGACAGGAGAATCACTTTAACCCGGGAGGCAGAGGTTGTGGTGAGCCAACACCGTGCCATTGCACTCCAGCCTGGGCAACAAGAGTGAAACTCTGTCTCAAAAAATAAAATAAAATAAAAATAAAAATAAACAGCAATAATTGTTAACTTTTTCTTTTCTTTCATTAGAGGCAAGAGTTTAGAGAAATATTTGGTGCAAAACCCTTAGACGGCTCTTATCTATAGGTAATGCCTGAACAAGATACTTTTTTGGGTGGAAGATAAAATAAAAATCCAACCACCCTATCCGCCTCCAAAGGAAGGTTTATTCTAGTTAGTCAGGGAAGCGGATGCTCTTTGGAGAAGAAACAGCATCTACAAAGGCAGAAAGACAGGAAATAACGTATCTTTAGAGAATCAGGGTAAGGGCCAGGCAAGGTAGCTCATACCTACAATCCTAGCACTTTGGGAGGCCAAGGTGGGTGGATCACTTGAGCCTAGGAATTTGAGACCACCCTGGGCAAAATAGAGACCGCCATCTCTATTTTAAAAAATAGCAGGGCACAGTGGCTCATGCCTGTAGTCCTAGCACTTTCAGAGGCTGAGGCGGGCAGATCACTTGAGGCCAGGAGTTTGAGACCAGCCTGGCCAACATGGTGAAACCCCATCTCTACTCAAAATACAAAAAATTAGCTGGGCAAGGTGGCAGGCACCTGTAATCCCAGCTACTTGGGAGGATGAGGCAGGAGAATCCTTTGAACCTAGGAGGTGGAGGCTGCAGTGAGCCAAGATCGCACCACTGCACTCCAGCCTGGGTAACAGAGTGAGACTCTGTCTCTAAATAAATAAATAAGTATAAATTTTAGGCTGGGCGTGGTGGCTCACACCTGTAATCCCAGCACTTTGGGAGGCCGAGGTGGGCGGATCACCTGAGGTCGGGAGTTCGAGACCAGTCTGACCGACATGGAGAAACCCCATCTCTACTAAAAATACAAAATTAGCCCAGCGTGGTGGTGCATGCCTGTAATCCCAGCTACTCGGGAGCCTAAGGCAGGAGAATCACTTGAACCCAGGAGGCGGAGGTTGCGGTGAGCTGAGATCGTGCCATTGCACTCCAGCCTGAGCAACAAGAGCGAAACTCCATCTCCAAATAAATAAATAAATAAATAATTTTAAAAGAGAACCATAGTAAGTTCAATAATGCTGGAAAATCCAGTGAAGCTAGATTAAAAGGAAAAAAGACCAGTGTCAGGGAAATTTGTTGGGAGGCTACTAAGGTAATCAAGGCAAGAAGTGATAAAAGCCTGAGCTAAGCAAATGGCAGTAATCAAAATTCAATTTCTACATTTGCATTGAAATTTTTCCCCGTAGGAAATGTTTGTAATGTAGCATGAGAATCATAAAATGAACATCATAATTATAATCTCCCAAGTCTGACTGCCTAGGTTAATGTCCTGGTGACACTGCTGATGGTGAAAACTTGTTCTTTAAATTCTGTGTGCCTCAGCTTTTTCATCTGCAAAACAGGTTAATGATAAAAATCTTTATCATATATTTTTATGATGATTAAAAGAGGTAATAAATATAAAACAATGCCTAAACGAGGTCTCACTGAATATAGTACACAGCAGCAAGAGAAACAGGAACAGGTGTCTACTATTCATACTTGTACAATTGTTATTTTGGGTGTAGACAATGCTGACCCTCTGCAAGTTTACACTGTTAACTCTTACAGAAAGATACTTATCAATCCAAGATGAGAGAATATCCTGGGCAAAGGGTTTTTATTAGACACAAAACTGTTTTTGTTTTGAAACACTGAAAATTGTTTCTAGATTATAGTTAACTTTCCATGTGACCCCGAAAAAGCTGAAAATATTTTTGTTTCTCTGATTATATATAAGTATATTGTGAATAATAGGACCAATATCTTTCCAAGTAATAAATAAAACTATTTATAAGCTGCCTTGAACCACTTTGAACTAATAAATATTCAGAGTTGCCAGAAATCAAATCTCAGAACTTAAGAGATCATTCCTTTTGCAAAATCAGTGATAGCTGAATTTAATGATTGTCATCTCATATTTATGTAATAACATATTAGATTGCATAAAGAACATGTTTACAACCTAATTCTTGCCCTTTAGCATTTTAGCCTTTTAGTATTTTTTACTGTGTGTGTGTGTGTGTGTGTGTGTGTATACACACACATATAGTACAATATACTTCTCAAAAAAACAGGCTTACTAGTATCTTAGTTTTTGTATTTAGATTCACAACATAGAAAAATGTGACTAAGAAATTACAGGCTGGGTGCAGTAGCTCACACCTGTAATCCCAGCACTTTGGGAGGCTGAGGCGGACAGAACATGAGGTCGGGAGTTCGAGACCAGCCTGACCAACATGATGAAACCCTGTCTCTACTAAAAATGCAAAAATTAGCCAGGTGTGGTGGCCCGCACCTGTAATCCAAGCTACTCAGGAGGCTGAGTCAGGAGAATCGCTTGAACCTGGGAGGCGGAGGTTGCAGTGAGCCGAGATCGTGCCACTGCACTCCAGCCTGGGCAGCAGAGCGAGACTCCATCTCAAAAAAAAAAAAAAAAAAAAAAACAGAAATTACAAAAATAAGCCAGGTGCAGTGGCTCACACCTGTAATCCCAGCACTTTGGGAGGCCAAGTAGGGTGGATGACCTGAGGTCAGGAGTTCCAGACCAGCCTGGCCAACATGGTGAAACTCTGCCTCTAATAAAATACAAAAATTAGCCAGGTGTGGTAGTGCACACCTATAATCCCAGCTACTTGGGAGGCTAAGGCAGGAGAATCGCTTGAACTTGGGAGGCGGAGGTTGCAGTGCGCCGAGACTGGGCCACTGCACTCCAGCCTGGGCAACAGAACGAGACACCATCTTGGAAAAAAAAAAAAAAAAAAAGAAACTACAAAAATATTAAAGACCAGAGGTTGTGCTTTGTGGTAAAAAGCAGGTCAAATACTTTAATCCATAAAAGACAACAATGGTAATGTTTCTATAGTGATCTTATAAATCATTATGGAATCAAGTCACCAGGAAAAAAATTATCTTTCATACTTCTAACCAGGAGATTATTCTTTTGGTTCTTTTTTTTTCTTAAACTACGCTAGGTAGTAATGAACTAGTCTTTCTCAGAGCTATACACCAGAGTATTCAGTGAAAATATACATGAAGAATTAAGAATACTCTCAATCTTTTAAACAGTTCATTACTCTTCATATAGTATTATACTTCAAACTTGTCATTGTTCACAATATTCTCAAATAATTCACATGAGGATACTGTTTTAAATCCATGAAAAATGGCCAGGCATGGTGACTCACGCCTGTAATCCCAGCACTTTGGGAGGCCAAGGCTGGAGGATCACAAGATCAGGATTTCAAGACCATCCTGGCCAACATGGTGAAACTACGTCTCTACTAAAAACACAAAAATTAGCTGGGCATGGTGATGCGTGCCTGTAATCCCAGCTACTCGGGAGGCTGAGGCAAAAGAATCACTTGAACCAGGAAGTTGGAAGTTGCAGTGAGCCGAGATCGTGTCACTGCACTCCAGCTTGGTGACAGAGCGAGACCCTGTCTCAAAAAAAAAAAAAAAAAGAAAGAAAGAAAAATGTTCATTACAAAGTTTTGGAATGCTAATCAGTAATAAGAATTGCAAACGTTTCTATAGCTAGTTGAAAATGTTAACAAAGCAAAATAAACACACACCAACAAAAACATAAAATAAGAAGCCAACCTAAAGGGATGTGGGAATGGAATACTTTCTTCTTTTTCTTCCCTTATCCTCTACCTTTCATGGGAGAGCAGAAAAGGAAAATAATAATAAAGAGAAAGATGATGATGATAATAGGCCTATACAAACCTGGAAAGAAAACAACTAGTAGGCTGGGCATGGTGGCTCACACCTGCAATTCCAGCACTTTGGGAGGCTGAGGTGGATGGATTACTTGAGGCCAGGAGTTTGAAACCAGCCTGGCTAACATGGCGAAACCTCATCTCTACAAAAAATATAAAAATTAGCCGAGCATGGTGGCATGTGCTTGTAGTCCCAGCTACTTGGGAGCTTGGGAAGTCAAGGATGCAATGAGCCATGATTGAGCCACTACACTCCAGCCCGGGTGACAGAGCGAGACTCTGTTTCAAAAACAAAAAAAACAAACCAAAAGAGAAGAAACTAGCCAGGCATGACGGCACATGCCTGTACTGCCAACTACTTGAGAGGCTGAGGCAGGATGACCCCTTGAGCCCAGAAGTTTGAGGCTGCAGTGAGGTGTGTTCACGCCACTGCACTCCAGCTTGGGCAACAGGCTGGCTCCCAAAGTGCTGGTACTACAAGGGTGAGGCACTGCACCCAGCTAAGTGGCTCTAATGTCAATATGAAATGCCAGTCTCTAATTTAATATGAAATGTTATATTTCCTCATTAATTTTAAATATTAATTAAAAATGGTTAGATATGTGTTACAGAATTAAAGTTTTTGTTGTTGTAGTTGTGGTTTTTTTAAAAAATAGCAAATCTAAAACAAAATTGTTTGTTATGGTAGCCATTAGCCCCATATAATTATTAAGTATTTGAAATGTGATACTCCAAATTGGGATGTACTGTAAGTGTAAAGTACACACAGGATTTTAAAAACTTGGTATAAAAATATAAAATATTTTATTAATAATATCTTAATATGGATTACATGTTGAAATAGTAATATTTTGGATATATTGAGTTAAAATAAGTTTTTTTAACTAAATTCACCTGTTTCTTTTTAATTTTAAAAAGGTGGTTAATAGAAAATTTTAAACTATATGTGGCTCATATTATATTCCTATTGGACTTTAGGCAGTTTAGACTTTTAGGCATCCATAAAAGACAACAATGGTAATGTTTCTTTAGTGATCTTATAAATCATTATGGAATCATAATGCCCTCTTCTAAAATGCCCTAAATCAAGATCATATTCAGCTATAAGCATTCTTTCCTACATGGTTCAGTAGCAATAATGGAACACAACTGTGTTAAAATACAAGCTTCACGGTATGGCAGTTCAAATGGTAGCAAGAACGTAGAGAAATCAGACTCCTCATACAGTACTGCTGGACAAAACAATTTGGCAATACCTAATAAATTTAAAATGTACTTATATCAATCTGACATTTCCACTTCTAGAAACATACCCAAGAAACCTAGGAACATATGCACAAGGAGACATGTCCAAACTAGCATTATCTGTAGGGCAGGAGCCACCAAGCTACCCACCAAGATTTTGTACTCTTTGTCCATAGTGTAGAGTTGTTTCTTGGAATTAACTGCCAAGCCAGCAATTTATTTCCCAGCCCCCTTTTTTAGGAAATGTAGGTCCCAGGTGGTGTCATATGACTTGAATTCTAGCCAATGGAAAATGAACAGAAGTGATATATGCCACTTCTAAGGACTGGCCCTTAAAAACCTCAAACACCATTCTCTACTCCCTTATATTTGCTGGATAAATGTTGATGCCTAGAGCAACGTTGGAAACCACAGGTTAAAAAGGACAGAGTCTCCATCAGCCTGGGTTCCTTAATGACTTCACAGAACACAGCTCCTCCTTCTCCACTGAAGGAACTCTATATAAGCAAGAAATAAACTAACATTATGTTAAGCCTTTGAGATTTGGGGATGTATCCATTAGAGCAGTCAGTATTAACTTAATATATGTGTAAAAATTAAAAACAACTGACATGTCCATCAATAGGAGATTGGATAAATCATAGTATAATCATACTATAGAATGATATACAGTAGCTACAATGAAAGAACTAGATCTACATGGATCAACATGAATTTTGTTTTAAGTTTAACCTCAAAATAGCTAGTTACCAAAACAAATTTTTTTTTTTTTTTTTTTTGAGACGGAGTCTCGCTCTGTCGCCCAGGCTGGAGTGCAGTGGCGGGATCTCGGCTCACTGCAAGCTCCGCCTCCCGGGTTCACGCCATTCTCCTGCCTCAGCCTCCCAAGTAGCTGGGACTACAGGCGCCCGCCACTATGCCCGGCTAATTTTTTTGTATTTTTAGTAGAGACGAGGTTTCACCGTTTTAGCCGGGATGGTCTCGATCTCCTGACCTCGTGATCCGCCCGCCTCGGCCTCCCAAAGTGCTGGGATTACAGGCGTGAGCCACCGCGCCCGGCCCAAAACAAATTTTTTAAACACATATGTTGACCATACAAATTCATATGTAGTAAGCGTGAGAGAACTATAAGCTCTTAACTTTTATGTTTCTTACACTTGCATTATCAATATTATGTTTAACTCATGATTTTGTCATAGAAACTTTTTTTTTTTGAAACAAGGTCTCACTCTGTTACCCAGGCTGGAGTGCAGTGACATGATCATGGTTCACTGCAACCTCAACCTCCTGGGCTCAAGCAGTCCTCCCATCTCAGCCTCCTGAGTAGCTGAACTAAGTTTTGTAGAGACGGGGCCTTGCCATGTTGCCCAGTCTGGTCTCGAACTCCAAGACTCAAGCAATCTGCCTGCCTCAGCCTCCCAAAGTGTTGGGATTACAGGAATGAGCCACCAAGCCCAGCCATCTTCACAGGAACTTTTAAAGCCAATTTTCCATTTCATGAGGGCTAATTTTGTTAAAACCAGGAAATATAATCCATAAATCTATTTACTCAGGCACAGATAAACTGTAATAGTTTGTAATGGCCTAAAAATTGGAGAAAGGATGCCACGGTCAACCCCCATAAGCTGTGGAATTTGCACTCCCTCAGAATACCACACTTACCATGCTTCACATGAAATCAGTCGTCATACAGAACAAGTTGCCAATCTCAATAAACATGTCAAATATTTATAGCACTTAATTTCGTATGTTATACACAAATAAACAGATGATAATGTTTTCTTCCTTTGCCGAAATGAAGTATTTTAGGTGCAATTGACTTTGGAGACCTCTGGTCTAGTGACGGAGATATAAATATTTGCTGACAAAAAATAATAAATTAAACCAAGTACTTACAAGAGGAATGGCATTGGGTATTATGGAAAGGAACGTAGAAGGGACCCCTAACTCATGATGAGTGTGAGGACGGTAAGCAAAGGCTTCCTCAAGGAAGAGGTGTTAAACAGAGAACTAAAAAACGGGTAAGAAATTGGATTGTGTTGGGAGTGGCTATTGGGGGAACATAGTATTCCAAGCAGAGGGAAAAATATACTATGTGCAAAGGTGCAGAGGCAAAAGATAACACAATACCTTCAAAGAAATACATTAGTTTAATATAGCTGAAGTGTAGTTTCTGGAGGGGTAGAGCTGGGATGAAGTGGGTGGATAGTGATTCCAGAAATAAAACTAATGAAGTAAGATTATAAGCCCTTACCTTTGGATTTTATCTAGAGGGCAAAAGAGAGATAGGTGATGAAGGATGTGGAGTAAAAAACTTGTCCAAAGAGAGGTCCAGATGTTGCCCCCAGCTCCTGGGAGGTAACCTCTAAGCCCCTGGAATTTCTGGAGTAATATGAGTATTCTTACTATTCATGATGGGTCCCTTGAACCACATAGTATCAGCCTAACCTCTGGAGAGGGGAGACTGGAAACTGAGTTCAACCATGCAAACAATCAATAAATCTCAATGAAAACTCTGCTGAGGTAAGAAGATCATTTGAGCCAGGAGTTTGAATCCAGCGTAGGGAATATAGTGAGACCCCATCTCTTTAAAAAACAAAACACAAACTCCAGACACACTAAAGTTTAGGTGAACTTCTTGGGTGGGCAATACCTTGTGTGTATTTCCATACATCCACACATTCATGCTGGGAGGGTATGGAAGGTATATTCCCTGAGAACAATGGAAGTTTCATATCTGCAACCCTCTTAGACTATACCCTAGGCATCTCTCTTCCTTTGACTAATTTGTAGCTTGTCTTTGTAATGAACTGTATCTCTAAGTATAATAGCTTTCAGTGAGTTCTATGAGTTTTTCTAGTGCATTACTGAATCTGAGGGTGGTTTGGGGAAACCCCCAAACTTGCAGTTGATGTTAGAAGTGAGGTTTTGCATAGCATCTTCATTTGAAATTTGTAGTTGCACCCTAACCCCTTACAATAGGATCAGAAGTCTTGAGCAGACTTGGCAGAGTAGAAGACTGTGCCCTTAACCTTAGAGTTTGGCTAACTCTGGGTAAAGGGTAAAAATGTTTAAGCAGTGTGACAATTAAACATTTTGGCTACACTGGGGAAAATATATTGCAGAAGGGTAAGACTGGCAAGAGATGACAATGACAGTGGGAATGAAGAAAGACATATTTAAGAGGTATTTACGAGGTAGAATTAACAAGATGTGACTGAATGTGAGAGGTGAAAGGAGAAGTCAGGGAAAGGAGAAGTCAGGGATGGACCCACCAGAAAGAGTATCAGGTTTTGGTTTTGTTTGTTTTGGGGGCCGTAAAGAGGGTTGGAGGACTGAATTCTGTTTTAGACAGTTTAATCTGAGGAAATTTTGACATCTAGGTAAAGCTGTTCTAGCAGTCAAAGAAAGGATGGAGATAGAGTTGGGAGCCTTTAGCATAACTACAATAACTGAAGTCATGTGACAGATTGATATTGACTAGGGACAAATAAGTCAACCAGACAAAAGAAGGTCAAGGACAGAACACCAATATTAAAGGGGTAGGCAGAATATTAAAAGCTCACAGAGAAGAAGTGGGATAGCCTGAGAAGCAGGAGAAAAACCTGGAAAGCATGATTAACAATGAATGGTATTTTTCCTCTTTTTGCTTATGTGAATGTTCTCCACTTCTTTATTTAATAAATGTGAACGTTTATTATTTTTGAATGAGAAAAAAATGTGCAACTTAAAAATTGGTATTATATAACATGAATCCATATATTTTTCCATTTATATATTTGTAAATTAGATAAAGTTTAATGATTTTCTGACCTAATCCAAAGTCATTAATGATTCACACAATTCAATGTAACTGAATTATTAGTGTCTATAACCAGCGATTTTCTTTTCCAAGCCATTTTTAAAGTGTCCACCCTCATTATTACTGCAAGCCATCTGGAACTACTTAACTGTGCCAGACTCTTGGGATATTGGTTTCCCCCTTGGGAAGTCCAACCCAGACTAAATGAATAACTGAGGAAACAACTGTTCTGAAAATATGATGACAATATAGCTCTAATAATGACTTTATCTTCGTTTAATAGTCTACTGGTAAAAAATGGAAAGAAAAAAGACTTCAGAATATTTGCTTCTTCTGGATTAAAACAAATATATGTTATCTCTAGTAGTGTATAGAGAAATTAAATACAAAATATTGACCCATATAAACTACACAGATAGCCTTATATTCACATCTCCTGTAAGATCAGTTATACCCTTATTTACAAATTATCTCAGTTATAAAATCTCTCACCTCCACCTTTTCAAAGGGCAGCCTCTCCTTAACCTCAGAAATTCTCAGATTGTCATTGAAATTATTTTAATCTCTTGGGGGATTTAAACTTAGAGAAAGGAGTAAAACGTAGGTAACTTTTTTTTTTGAGACAACGTCTCACTGTCACTCAGGCTGGAGTACAGTGGCTCACTGCAGCCTCGGCCTCCTGTGCTCAGGAAAGCCTCCCACTTCAGCCTCCCAAGTAGCTGGGACTACAGGTTCACACCACCATGCCCAGCTAAGTGTGTTTTTATTTTTTGTTTTATTTTGGTGGGGGAGTGGAAGGTGGGCGGACAAGGTCTTGTTCTGTCACCCAGGCTGGAATGGACAGCAGTAGGATCTTGGCTCACTGCAACCTCCGCCTCCTGGGTTCAAGCGATTCTTGTGGCTCAGCCTTTTGAGTAGCTGGGATTACAGGCATGCACCACCATGCCCGGCTAATTATTGTGTTTTTAGTAGAGACGGGGTTTTGCCATGTTGGACAAGATGGTCTCAAACAGGTGTTCCGCCCACCTCAGCCTCCCAAACTGCTAGGATTACAGGCATGAGCCACTGTGCCCGGCAAAAACTGTTTTTAAACCTGTTAAGGACCTTAAAGATACTTTACATGAACAAGCCAGCCATTTTATATCTGAATAAAAATACATTAACAACTTCTGTACAAAACACAATATAAATGATGAAATCTCTGATTTAAGCGGAAATATTTTCCAACTTTAATTTTGCTAGTTTTATTTCAAATCCAAACTTCTGTTCTCAACTAGATGGCCATTTTATCATTTCAGTTTTTTCTAGTTTATACCTATATCAAAATTAATCTTTTTTTTTTTTTTTGAGACGGAGTCTTGCTCTGTCACCCAGGCTGGAGTGCACTGGCACAATCTCAGCTCACTGCAACCTCTGCCTCTCGGGTTCAAGCGATTCTCCTGCCTCAGCCTCCTGAGTATCTGGGATTACAGGCGCGCGACACCACGCCCAGCTAATTTTTGTATTTTTAGTAGAGACGCAGTTTCACCACGTTGGTCAGGCTGGTCTCGAACTCCTGACCTCATGATCTGCCACCCCGGCCTCCCAAAGAGCTGGGATTACGGGAGTGAGCTACCGCTCCTGGCCGCTTCTATATGAAAAAACACACATCTTCTTGCCATCATCTTTAAATAAGTTAAAAAAAAAAAACCTTCTTACATGGCAAATGTTCAGGGTTGTACTAAAATAATGACCTTATTTGGACACTTTCTAAAGTTTGAATTGGTTTAATTCTGCAAACTGCATTTGTAAAGGTAAGAATTAACTGTCAAGATAGAGCCAGTCTGCTGCTAAGATAAATTCCCTTAATAAACATTTCCATTTTATTTTAAGCAGGGAGCTTTATCTTTAAATACTGTAAAAAATTACATCTCAGAAGCCCTTGTCTATGATAGTTCACAAAGACCAGATATACTCTAAAATGTTAATACTGTTTATCTCTGGGTGGTGGTATTACACGCCATTTTATATTTTACGTTTCTCAAAAAGCATCATTACCTTGCTAATTGACGGTAATACTGTAATTGAACAGTATTTTAAAATTAAATTTTAGATAGCTTATATTATGAAATACCAACACAGTCCACTTCTATGGAAGATTTGTTAAATGATTTTCCCCTATTGATAAACTGCTGCTTTAACAGGAGAATGATCTGATCAGGTGTCTATTAGCTTGGATGAAGACAAAACAGGTTTACTTTCCAGGCCCTTCTTTTCTTTAGGCTTTTGAGAAAATCCCAAAAGTGAGTTTGAACTTAATTACAGCGAATCTTGCAGTAGTAAACTTTTTGGGTGGCCAGAGTAACACCTTTCATTACAACTATCAGCTGAATGGCAAAAGACTTCCCAGGTTTACCAATGTTTTCAGAGACTTACTAGTATTCTCCTCTGTCATTATTTCGGAACAATTCCATTGAGAAACGCAATTGTAAACCGTTTCTATTTCAGGCCTATAAAAACCAGAACTGGGATGAAAGGCAAAGCCTTGACCTTTCTATTTTAGACTTTCATCTGTGTAGCTAAGCCATCTGCTTTCTCCCCACCCCATCCCATCTACTTAATGGACTGAAAATACTGCACCTAATTGCAATTTAATCAAAACAGCCTGACTTTTCCACTTTAATGAATTATGGCTCTTTCACCCGAAGGCTTGCTTGCAAAATTTTGCTTACCCTTCCCTCTCAATTCCTTCCCACTTCCCTCAATTATGGAATGTCAAATGTCTAAACTAAGAGACTAGGCTTCCCTGTGTGAAAACATCTAAAAAGCCCTTCACTTTCAACACTGAGCACCTGACGGAAAATCTACTCCATTCTCTCATCTGGATACGGGGCCGGTATAACCATCATTGTTGCAGTTACGCAGGAGGCACCTCGCAGCTCAGTCTAGAAAGGAGTCGCGTCTCTGCCGCCAAACAACAAGGCACTCAGCCCGGGAAAAGACAGACTGGGGTGGGAGGAAACCTCCCGGAGAAAGAAGGGATCTGGGAAGAAGAGGGAGCTCAAGCCTGGGAGGAAGGACCTTTCCAGGCAGGAAAGGGAAAGGTTGCGTGAAGTGGAGCTAGAAGCTGGGGGCCGAGGTGAAAGGGGATGAGGGGCCCGGGCCCGGCGGGAGGGCGCCGGGGCTCAGGAGAGCGGCTTCAAGGCCGGGTAGGAGGCGTGGGGGCCGAGGCGGGCGTGGGGGCCGAGGCGGGCGTGGGCAGCTCTCAGCCGACCGCCCGGGTCCGAGCAGCGGGGGCGCTTTCAGCGGCGGCAGGCGCGGGTGCGGGGGAGAGGAGCAGAAAAGAGAGCAGTTTGAGGGGCCGAGGGAGCCGCGTCCGAGGCCGGCGCGGTGGGGACCGCGGGCCCACCACCAGCCAAGCCCAGCTACTTAACTATTTGTAGAGCTGCTGCAGGCACAGGTCCAGGCTTTCGCCCTCCACCTCCTCGCGGGTGATGCGCTCTGACAGCGGTCGCGGGAGCGGGGGCAAAGGCGGCAGCTGGGGCGGCGGCGGCGGCACGGCCGAGTGCCCCGGGGCTGCCGCCGCCGTCGCCGCGCCCTCCTCCTCCTCCTCACCCTCAACCGCCGCCTCCTCCTCGGGCTCCGGGTCTTGCTCCTGGTCCCCCTCCTCCGTCGCGGCTACCGTGGCCGCCTCCTCCCCGGGTTCCTCTACCGAAGCCTCGGCCGCCTCAGCTTCTACCAGTTCAGGTTCGGGCTCGGGCTCGGACTCGGGTTCGGGTTCGGGTTCGGGTTCGGGTTCCGGCTCCGGCTCGCCGCCGCCGCACGGTCCGCGAAACTCGCCCAGGAATAGCTCCAGGAAGCGCCGGTAAGTTTTCTCCTCAGGGATGCAGCCGGCCATCGCTGCTCATGCCCCAGGGCAGACCGGGAAAGGGGTTGGGGGAAGCCCAGGAAGGGTAAGGGGCTGCTTTTGAGCCTAGGGCTCCGGCAAGGGCGGTTAACGGCCGCACCGGCACGAGCGATCAGCACTAGGTTGCCTGGAGAGGGCTCCCGCAGGCGTGCGCGCCGCCGAGCACCGACGTGCGCGGCCCGGGGGCGGAGCGCGCCGCCCCTCTCGGATCTGGAGGGAAAGTTGGTGGCGGGCGCGCGCAGGGTCCAGCGGCGGCCCACCCTTTATTCCTACGGAGAGCTCAGCCCACGCTGCCTAGAGACTGTCGCCATGGCAACCGGTTCTAATTAAGCATTGCAGGGTCCCTCCCGTCGAGTCCGCGGAGTCTAAAGGACACTCCACTCGCCCGCTCTCCAACTCTGAATGTCTTTATTGGTTGGATACCCTACCCTCACGTGGTTAAGAGTGAGCTAAGACATCTCCAAGTCTAGCTGTTGGTTCCCACTTGGGTTGCTTGGATCCCAATTGGATGTACTTCCATTTCCTTATCTGTTCCTTGCCTTAGCGTATGTTTTGAAAGATACCACACTGTGAACACCTTTTGTTGCAGTCTTTGAATAAGTAGTTTTCAGGCAGAGGGAGCTTCAAATACCTACCAAGTGATAAGTTCCTTTGCATAGGTTCTCTCTCACTTGATTCTGTGAAGAAAGTGGTGTTACTCTCATTTCTTAAAAGGAAACTGAAAATTATGATATTAATGGTAATTTACTTGTTTCAAGGTCTCCAAACTTCCAGCCTTGGCGTTGGAGAACTCAGGTCGTTCAGTCGCCAAAGCTTTCCGAAAGTGCATTTTTCCTTAACTCAACTCTGTCTCCGGAGATTCAATAGTGCAATTGTCTGTATAACACCTTATTTCTATTGGGCTTCATAGTTTACACATTGATTTCACCCTTTTAATTCTTACCACAGTCCCTTGAGGTATAGGACGTTACCGTTATGATTTTTTTTTTTTTGAGACAATCTCGCTCTTGTCACCCAGGCTGGAGTGCAGTGGCGCGATCTCAGCTCACTGCAACCTCCGCCTCTCGGGTTCAAGTGATTCTCCTGCGTCAGCCTCCCAAGTAGCTGGGATTACAGGGGCCTGCCACCACCCCCGGCTAACTTTTGTATTTTTAGTAGAGACGGGGTTTCACCATATTGGCCAGGCTGGTCTCAAACTCCTGACCTCAGGTGATCTGCCTGCCTCAGCCTCCCAAAGTGCTGGGATTACAGGTGTGACCCACCACGCCGGCCAATTATTCCATTTTATAGGTGAGAAAACAGCCTTAAAGACATGGTGACTTTGCTCAAGGTCACATGCAAGGGATGCAACAAGGACTCAATCCAGGTCTTTTCACTGGATTCACCCACTTCAATGGATTTTACCCATTAGTTTTCAGGCAACCAAGACTCCCCTCTTTAGTCTCTGCATAATGCATATTATACTTCATTATATAATATGTATTTTTTCTTTTCTCTTTCTTTTTTTTTTGAGACGGAGTTTTGCTCTTGTTGCCCAGGCTGTAGTGCAATGGCAGGATCTCGGCTCACTGCAACCTCTGCCTCCTGGGTTCAAGCGATTCTCCTGTCTCACCCTCCTGAGTAGCTGGGATTACAGGCATGTGCCACCACGCCCGGCTAATTTTTTTGTCTTTTTAGTAGAGACAGGGTTTCACCATGTTGGTCAGGTTGGTCTCGAACTCCTGATGTCAGATGATCCGCCTACCTTGGCCTCCCAAAGTGCTGGGATTACAGGCGTGAGCCACCGTGCCCGGCCAATAATATGTATTTTTTCTACATTTTGTTTGCTCTTCTTCCCCATCCCCCCAAGTCTCTTTTTTTCTTTCTTGGGTTGGAATTGAAATGACTTTAAGTGATTCTAATTTTCTTACCAAACTACACACAAACCTATTATTTTTAAGCCTTACTGAAGGAGTGGGAGAGAAAGAAGCTGTGTTGTTATACAGCTGTATAGATGATAGCATCATTACTGCAAACTGCCATGTCCATGGCAACATATAATTCAGCAAAAACATAGTGATTCTTTCTCTACTTTGAAAAACATGTTCTCACAAATTATCCACCCCATCCTCTCCATGTATTGTTTCTGGGTTTCAGTTGGATTTAGGGTCTGAAATATCGTTTCCAGTTATTAATGGCAGAAGAGGGAGTCTCTCTGCCAACTGTTTTCATATAATACTGTATTCTAAATCCCTGACCTGATACTGTTATTTTAAGATTAAGTGGGTTGAGCTCACTAATGTACATTATGGCATCATGTAAAACAGAGTTCCTCTCCTAGCTTGAGATTAAATAATACATGATAGAAAGAATATAGTGAATAATTGCCTTGAGTCCTCTATATTTTTTTCCCAAAGGTAAATGGAAAGATCTAATAAATCTGTTTCCAGAAATGCTGAATGTATTTATATGTGTTTTGTTTAAAACATAACCAGCGTAGAGCAACTTCTCTATGAGGTGCCAAGAAAGTCTTTAAACTCCTCATTTGTCTTTGTTTTCAATCCACCTGTTCATTTCCATTTCAGAATGTCTAGAAAAGATTGACAAAACTTTTTAGGCTGCAAACCTAAATGTCCACAATTTTACATTTCAACAATTGTTTAATATCTCAGAATTTGACATAATGACATTTAGTTCAAGAGTACTTAGCTGTCAACTGTAACAATTCATATCTACGCCTTCCTACTTTGTAACATAGTTGCCTCCCTCATTTGTGACATTAATTTATGACTCAGCCCACATTTCAAAGGAAAGTGATATATGTTGGGGAAACAATACTACTAAAAGAAAAAGCCCACACCTCTACATTACTATAAGTGAGAGGCGTGTTTGCTTATATTAATAAAGATATTCCTTCACAAAGATCAATATGGATCCTATTGCATCCATTTGACAAAGTAGCTTTGCCAGAAGGTAGCTGACAGCAAGTGCTGAGATCTCAGAGCAGCTGTGTAGGATGATTTTGCCATTGTCAAGAAGTCTTTAGTAATTATTTTGCATTAGTTTGCTCTCTTTTTCAACTCCTTTCTTATTACACTTTTCTAATCCCCTTGCATACTATCTATTAAAAAATATTGAGGGCTGGGCATGGTGGCTCACGCCTGTAATCCCAGCACTTTGTGAGGCTGTGATAGCTTGAACTCAAGAGTTCAAGACCAGCCTGGGCAACAAAGAAAAACCCTGTCCCTAAAATATATTTTTTAAAAAGGAGGCCAGGCGCGGTGGCTCATGCCTGTAATCCCAGCACTTTGGGAGGCCGAGGCGGGCGGATCACGAGGTCAGGAGATCGAGACCATCCTGGCTAACACGGAGAAACCCCATCTCTACTAAAAATACAAAAAATTAGCCGGGCGTGGTGGCGGGCGCCTGTAGTCCCAGCTACTTGGGAGGCTGAGGCAGGAGAATGGCGTGAACCCGGGAGGCGGAGCTTGCAGTGAGCCAAGATCGCGCCACTGCACTCCAGTCTGGGTGACGGAGCGAGACTCCGTCTCAGAAAAAAAATAAATAAATAAAAAATAAAAAGGAAAAAAAATATTGTTATGAAAAGTTTAACGTATTTTTAAGGTATCAAATTTTTAAAGTTTTTCTCATAAAAATTATTCTCCCTCTAACCCTTTGCTCTTTGGAGGAAATGTACAATGTCCTTTTGTGGACATTCATAGTAATGACATTTATAAGGTTAAAAAGAATTGTTGAGTTTGGCAGTTTCTTACATGACCCAGCAATTCCTCTCCCAGGTATTTTATTCATGAGAAATAAAACATGTCCACCAAACACACATGCACTTGCACACACCCCAAACACAAAAAAACTTGTACATAACTGTTCACATAAGTTTCATTCATAACAGCTCAAACCTGGAAGCAACCCAGATGTCCATCAACAAATGAACAGATAAAGTAGTGTATTCATACAATGGAATACTACTCAGCAATAAAAATAAATGAACTGCTGATAAACACAACATGGATGAATTTCAAAAATATACTGAGCCAAAAAAAAAAATCCAGGCACAAAAGAGTACATAATATATTTCCATTTGTATAAAATTCCCAAACAGGCAAAATTAACCTATATAGTGAGAGAAAGCAGATTCCTGGTGGCCTGGGACTGGGATGGGGTGGGAGATTTGTAGCAAAGGAGTAAGCAGGAACTTTGTGAAGTGATTAAAATGTTCTGTATCTTGACTGATTGGTCATATGGGTGTACTCATTTGCCAAAAATTATTGCCAGGCAGGGTGGCATGTGCTTATAGTCCCAGCTACTCTGGAGGCTGAGGCAAGAGGATCGTTTGAGCCTAGGAGTTCAAGGCTACAGTGTAATATGATTGCACCTGTGAATAGCCACTGCACTCCAGCCTGGGCAACATAGCAGAATCCATCTCAAAAAAAAAATTATCCAAGTCTGCATTTAAAATAAGTATATAAATTGTATATAAATTGTATATAAATTGTATATAAATTACACCTCAATAAAGTTGATTTTTAAAGTTAAAAAGAATTGATTACTGTGTCAGTCCTTGTCCATTTTGCCCTCATACCTATTCTTTCTCCTCCTTTGCCCTGCTCTGTATTGTAGGAGGGCTGACCCTTTCAGGCTGTATTCACTAGGCTACTGTGACAGCTGACTTTCACCTGGGATTTGTCCAGTGGTAGGCACTGACAAGAAATTGGAAGAAGGGAGGAAAGAAGAAAAGCCCTGTTCCCTAGCTCAGTCCTGAGGCCTGATGCATTTCCTTTGTAGCTTTCCTCCCCATGAATATGTTCACTGGGATTCTCTAGCTTTTGCCAGTGACCCTATCCCCTCAGCTCCAGAACAACATCTTCCCCCATTTGTCCTTTAGCCTAGGGATGGTAGAAGCTTTCAGCTTTCTAATCTTTTAGGACTTAGAGAAGTGAATCTTTCCTTTTTGGCTTTTTAGCTCTTCCATAATTTGTGTAACCAATTTCCTGGATTCTCTGTTTTGTTTTTGTTTTTGTTTTTTGAGACGGAGTCTCATTCTGTTGCCAGGCTGGAGTGCAGTGGTGTGATCCCAGCTCACTGCAACCTCTGACTCCCTGGTTCAAGTGATTCTCCTGCCTCAGACTACCAAGTACTGGGATTACAGGCACGTGCCACCAAGCCCAGCTAATTTTCGTATTTTTAGTAGAGATGTGGTTTCACCATGTTGGCTAGGATGGTCTCCATCTCCTAGCCTCATGATCCGCCCACCTCGGCCTCCCAAAATGCTGGGGTTACAGGCATGAGCCACTACACCCCATTCTCTTTTTCCTTAACTAGATCCTGACTGACATAGTAACAAATAATACTTTAAGGAATAAAATGGATTGTATATATAAAAGAACTATAAATTAGTTAAGTTAAAGCAAGTTTAGGTCTCCAAAGTAAACTGAGTTTACTTGACATTAGCAGTAAATGATTTCCTGGAATTAGAAGAATAGCTTGCCAGGGGTTCTGGGGGAGGGAGGGAAGAATGAATAGGTAGAGCACAGGGGATTTTTAGGGCAGTGAAAACTATTCTGTATGATACTGTAATGGTAGCTACATATCCTTATACATTTATCAAAACCCATGGAATGTTCAAGAGTGAACCCTACTGTAAACTATTGACTTTAGTTAATAATAGTGCATCAATATTGGCTTATCAATTGTAACTAGTGTACCACAATAATGCAAAATGTTAATAATAGGAGAAAACATGTAAGTGAGGGGAGAGGGCATATATTGGAACTGTCCTTTCTACTTTTCTGTAAGCCTGAAACTGCTCTAAAAAGTCGATTAATTTCTGTAAGTTAATAAAATATTTGATATATAAACAATTGATGCTTATAACTAAGAAGTCTATCAAAGCTGATTTAAAAAAACAGTCTATAACTTCTCAGTTTATCTTCAATTAATATTAGCTTGGGGCCAGGCACAGTGGCTCACTCATGCCTGTAATCCCAGCACTTTGGGAGGCCAAGGTGGAAGGATCACTTGAGCCCAGGAGTTTGAGACCAGCCTGGGCAACACAGTGAGACCTCACCTCTACAAAAAATAAACAAAATTAGTCAAGCATAGTGGCACATGCCTGTAGTCCCAGCTACTTGGGAGGTTGAGGTAGGAGGATCACTTCAGTCTGGGAGATGAAGGCTGCAGTGAGCCATGTTCACACCACTGCACTCCAGCCTGGGCCACAGAGCAAGACCCTGTCTCAGGAAAAAAATTGGCTTGATTATGCAAGTCTGGAATATTCTGTCTATTCTAAAGTATGCCTCTTTTATCTATAGGCAGAATTAGAAACACTATTTCCAGAAAACCCTCAATTTTGATTTGCTAGTTGTAAAAAACCATTGATTTGAAGCTAATATAATATCTCAAATAGTAAAACATAGTTTATGTTAACATAAAATATTGGCATTTTATATTTTGGAGAGAGTATAATAACAAATTATATATAGCTCATATCCCATGGCCTAAAATTAATGCTTATGTAAATGTTTAAGGCTAGGCCTAATGATAAATATTAAGTTGCAAATATTAAAATGTATATTTTAAATTTATATTTTAAAAACTGAATGGAAGGATAACTAATATGTAAATCAGGGGTGTCCAATCTTTTGGTTTCCCCAGGCCACATTGGAAGAAGAATTGCCTTGGGCCACACATAAAAGATACTAATGATAGCTGATGAGCTAAAAAAAAAAAAAAAAGTCCATGCATAAACCTCATAATGTTTCAAGAAAGTTTATGAATTTGTGTTGGGCTGCATTCAAAGCCGTCCTGGGCTGCATGTGGCCCATGGGCCACAGGTTAGACAGGCTTGATATAAATAGTTTTGTTTTTTTTTTTGAGACAGAGTCTCACTTTGTCACCTAGGCTGGAGTGCAATGGCGCGATCTCAGCTCACTGCAACCTCAGCCTCACGAGTGGCTGGGACTACAGGTGTGCACCACCACACCTGGCTAATTTTTGTATTTTTAGTAGAGACGGGGTTTCACCATATTGGTCAGGCTGAGCTCAAACTCCTGACCTCGTGATCTGTCTGCCTTGGCCTCCCAAAGTACTGGGATTACAGGCCTGAGCCACCACACCTGGCCAATAGTTTTTAAAATATTAATTTGACTATGTTGTCAAATTGACTAGTAGGAAGCAACAGAACACCTGACAACTGAAAAAACTGAGCAACATAGAAACATTTTCAAATAGAAACTTCTTCCTCTTCTACATCCCAGATCAATAATATAAAAATCATTCCCATTTGCTGCCAAAAATACTACTGCTATAATAATTTTTTATTCCTTTTCTGTTGCTGGCTAATATGGTCATATTGCAGCAATAATTCAAAGCTGTCAAAATTAAAATTCACATCAGGTAATAACTGGCCCACATGCACTGTATTTTACTAGTTTTAAAAAGCAAAGAAGTAAATCCCCAAAACAGATTCTAACCTTTTTTCTTGTTTAAACCATTAATAACAATCTTTCTTTTTATCTAGCATGGTTCTTTGAGGAACCAAAATTATTTATTATGACATACTTACAAAAGAAGAAGAGGGCAGTGGTTGATAGTAATTTGATGATGGTGCTATAAATGGCTAACATGTGGTATGTTCCTTCTATAATAAATGGTTCTTCTAAAATAAATTGACACTGTTTTAAAAATCCACTTCAATCTTTTGCTACTAGTTTTCACTTTACAAAAAAATGCTTTATGGTGGTAAAAACTTTACCTTTATTATCATCTAATTTTTAATTACCTTTGTATATTTATTTAAAATAAATACATGCAAGAATTCAGAGTGACATTGATCATGTCCTATTCTAGTTAGCAGATGCCCATTCCTCACTCTGGAACATTCATCAAAAAAACCTAGCTTTTAAAAATGAAAATGAAACAGTCAACTAAATATGAAAACTTCACAAAGGTGTGTTCTTTGCTTAGATAGTACTGAATATTTTATTCTTAGTTGAGCTGATGGAATTGAGCCACAATGACATTTGTGACTAGAAGGGAAGATGGAAATGATTCCATTAACCCAGAGTGCTGTAGCATATGGTAATCATAGGTGGTAGAATAGCTGTGTCGGACAAGGGTAGAAGTAAGCCATGTGGCACAGACATTATCAATTACCACACATGGTAACCATGCTGACAAAATGTATCTTTTCCAGAAAGAAAATGATTTGGGCATAGGAAGTAGTTTGCTGCCTTATGAAAGAGTGATCTATAAATGACATATCTGGCACCAATATAGCACACACATGGTTTCCAGTAATTCTGCAAGCTGAAGATTAAGATTTGATGAACCTCCATATACCTAAGTAATAATACAATACATTGCAGTTATTTGCACAAAGGCAGCAAATCAAAATACATATGCAAACTGAACTTGAGTCCTTCACACATGAAATTATTAATTTATAAAATATCCTTTTAAATTGTCATATAAAATTCTGGAAATTTGTATAGCTGGAAATACATGCCAATAATTTCATGACTCTTTAAGGTTATAAAGCCTATGGGAAAAAGTTCAAGATTAGATCTAGGCTGTAGTGGGATATGGAATTGCAGTTATTTATTCTAAGTATTGACAAAAATACTGAATTTAGAAAGAAATACAACCAAAACTGTGTTTTAAGAAAATTTAATATGCAGACATTCTTTCAGATGAATGCAGGATGGATTGAAGAAGAGAGATTGAAGGCTGGAATCAGTTGGGCAATGGGAGATAATAAGAGTACAGAAAAGAATGGTGTTAGTAGAAATGAAGATGAACAGAAAAAGCTAAAAGACACTGGACAGGAAGATCTGAAATTCTAAGAAGGCACCTAAAGACACAACTTGGGAATATCTGGTAACCCACCCAGAGAGGCTGTCAGGCAGCTGTTTCACTTATCTGTTGCTATAAAACAAACTATCCCAAAACTTAGTGGCTAGAAGAAAAACCATTTAACTATATCTCACAGCTCTGTAGGTTGACTGGACTCAAGCTAGGTGGTTTTCACTTGAAGGTCTGAGGAAGCGGCAATAAGGTAACAGTTGGGGAGAGTATCTGAAGGCTCAACTGGGCTAGATGTCCAAGATGACTTACATTATACCTTTCCATTTATACTGAAAAAAATAGAGTTGAGAAATGATTAATATGTAAATATTTTTCAAGATACTAATTTGTGTTGCCAAACTGGCCATTGATGCTGGTTGCTGAGCGTTAGTTCAGCTAGGGCTGTCAACTGTAATGCCTACACATAACACCTCCAGCATGATGGCTTTAGGATAGTCAGACTTTTTTATTTTTATTTTTGGAGACAGAGTCTTGCCCTGTTGCCCAGGCTGGAGTGCAGCGGCGCGATCTTAGCTCACTGCAACATCCACCTCCCGGGTTCAAGCGATTCTTCTGCCTCAGCCTCCTGAGTAGCTGGGATTACAGGTGCCCACCACCAAGCCCGGCTAATTTTTGTATTTTTAGTAAAGATGAGGTTTCACCATGTTGGCCAGGCTGGTCTCGAACTCCTGACCTCGTGATCTGCCTGCCTCGACCTCCCAAAGTGCTGGGATTACAAGCGTGAGCCACCGTGCACGGCCTAGGGTAGTCAGACTTCTTATATAGTAATTTAGAGCTTCAAGAGTGAGTGTTCTAGTGCCTAAGAAGATGCGTAGCCTTTCATGACCTAGTCTCATATGTCAATAGCATTACTTTTATGGTGCTCTATTGGTCAAAGCAGTAAGAGGCCCATTTTAGATTCAAGAGAAGGGGACATAATACACCCCACCTCCAGATGGGAAAAGTGTCAAATAATTTGTTTTAAATTACCATAATGACATTTACCTTCATGAATTTATGACAAAGTTCAGCAACTTGAACTTGGAGGCTCAGAAATGAGTGCTCCAAATTTAATCAAATGGAGGGATATTAACTAATGTAAATCTCGCGAGAGTATATCAAAATCACAATAACAATATATGAATTTACAGTGAGAACTATTAATTCCAAGGAGACCAGACATTTGCATTGATCTGGCTATACCCAAAGTATCTGGGGAAATCCAGTTATCAACTGGTTGATAATTGGTATGCATAGAACCAGAGGAGTTCATTACGATTTAAATATTTAATGGCAGCCAGGCACAGCGGGCTCATGCCTGTAATCCCAGCACTTTGGGAGGCCGAAGTGGGAAGATCACATGAGCCCAGGGGTTCGAGACCGGCCTGGGCAACAAAGTGAAACCCCGTCTCTACAAAAAATAAAATAATTAGCTGGGCATGGAGGTACATGCCTGTAGTCCCAGCTATTCAAGAGGCTAAGGCGGGAGGATTGCTTGAACCTGGGAGATTGAGGCTGCAGTGAGCTATGATTGTACCACTGCACTCCAGTCTGAGTGACAGAGACCCTCTCAAAAAAAAAAAAGGCCGGGCGCGGTGGCTTACGCCTGTAATCCCAGCACTTTGGGAGGCCGAGGCGGGTGGATCACGAGGTCAGGAGATCGAAACCATCCTGGCTAACACGGTGAAACCCCGTCTCTACTAAAAATACAAAAAATTAGCTGGGCGTGGTGGCAGGCGCCTGTGGTCCCAGCTACTAGGGAGGCTGAGGAAGAAGAAGGGCGTGAACCTGGGAGGCGGGGCTTGCAGTGAGCCGAGATCACGCCACTGCACTCCAGCCTGGGCGACAGAGTGAGACTCCGTCTCAAAAAATAAATAAATAAATAAAAATAATAATAATAGGATATTAATTCAATGGAATGGCATATGCAATTATTTATTTATTTTTAGAGAGACAGGCCAGAGTCCAGTAGCCCAATCATACATAGCTCACTGCAGCCTGGAACTCCTTTCCTAAATAGCTGGGACAAGAGATGTAGGCCACTATGCTGGTTAATTGTTTAAAATTATTTTTTCTAGAGATGAAGTCTCCCTATATTGCCCAGGCTAGTCTCAACTCCTGGGCTTAAGAGATCTTCCCATGCCTCCTCCCAAAGTGTTGGGAATACAGGCATGAGCCACCTTGCCTGACCAGCAGTTTTTTATTTGAGAAAATTCTACATGTACTGATACAAAAACTAGTTGCAGAACACTGTGTATCTTATTTGAGTATTGAAGAAAAAATGTATTTATATTTTAGATACATAGAATAGCTCTGGGAGGTCATATAAAAAACTGGTAATAATGTTTGCCTCCTAAAAAGAAATTAAGGGGGGCCGGGCACAGTGGCTCACGCCTGTAATCCCAGCACTTTGGGAGGCCGAGGCAGTCGGATCACGAGGTCAGGAGATGGAGACCATATTGGCTAACATGGTGAAACACTTTCTCTACTGAAAATACAAAAAAATTAGCCGGGCATGGTGGTGTGCACCTGTAGTCCCAGCTACTCGGGAGGCTGAGGCAGGAGAATGGCGTGAACCTGGGAGGCCGAGCTTGCAGTGAGCTGAGATCATGCCACCGCACTCCAGCCTGGGCAACAGAGCGAGACTCTGTCTCAAAAAAAAAAAAAAAAAAGAAAAAGAAAAAGAAATTAAGGAAAGTGACTCAGAAACAGGAGATAAAATGAAACATACTTTTCATTGAATTTTAAATCCTGTGCTTTTTAAATTTAAATCCTGTACAAATATTACTTAGGAAAAAAATTTAATTAAAACACAAATAAAAAACAACAGCCAGAAAACACCTTTTCTCTTGAAAAACTGATATACTTCCTATCGTTAGGCCAAGACTATTCTATAACCAATTTTTTCTTCTTTGCATTGGTTTGTAAGAATTCCTGATACAAATTCTAATTAATTGGCTCCTCAGCTTTTGTCTTTTATCTTGTGTTAATTTTTTATTTTCAAAGTGAGTAGGACATAATTTCTGTAATTTCACAAGCCCTTCTGACGTGAGCCCAACTTTTAAATCATCATAAAATAAACTTCACATAAAATCACTCTCAGAGTCACGGTAGCTAAAAACTTACATCTTAACTACACATAATGGGAGTCAAATGGATAGTTGAAACATAAAAGGACATCATCAGATATCAATGGTACACAAAAACTGAAAACAAGCAAAGGAATATACTGTGGTCAAAAATACATAAAATCTTGTCAACATATTTTATGCCAAAATCAGTTTTGAGGGAGCAAAATGTTCTGTAAATTTTAACAGTAACAGTAAATTTAGGCACTGACGTTAACTAAAAATACATATTATGAACAGCCAGCCTCTCTTCTTCAACTGAATGTTGTTGTTTTATTTTTTAAAGCAATATGACATTTCAACATTAGTCTCAAAACTGAAATGCAATGTATTGTATTGGGATCCCTAATATTATTGATTTTGAAAATAAAAGTGTATAAATGTCACTCCTTTCCATGTTTCCAGTATTGATCATTTAAAGTGAATATTTAATATTGCCTCTACAAAAGCAAAACCCATAAAATTTAGACCAATGAATTTAGCAATCATTTAGTCTTACCTTCTTTGAGAAATAAGGTAAAGATATGAGAAAATAAAGGTGCCAAAACTGACATGGCTTGGTAACATCTCACATGCAACTAAAATGCACATCTTCCAACTCTAGTCTCATGTTCTTTCTACCACATTATATTGTAATTTTATCACTAGTTGCAAACAGTTTAGTAAGAAGGTTATCAACAAGAAAAGTAAAATACTGTAGAGAGAAAAATAAGAATAGCTAATATACGAGCCAAGTGCAGTGGCTCATGACTGTAATTCCAGCACTTTGGGAGGCCAAGGTGGGGGATCACTTGAGGTCAGGAGTTCAAAATCAGCCTAGCCAATATGGTGAAACCCCATCTCTACTAAAAATACAAAAAATAGCTGGGTGTGGTGGTGCATGCCTGTAATCCCAGCTACACAGGAGGCTGAGGCATGAGAACCACTTGAGCCCGAGAGGTAGAGGTTGCAGTGAGCTAAGATCGAGCCACTGCACTCCAGCCTGGGTGACAGAGTAAGATTCTGTCTCCAAAAAAAAAAAAAAAAAAAAAAGGGGGGGTGCCGAGAACGGTGGCTCACTCACACCTGTAATCCTAGCACTTTAGAAGGCCAAGGTGGGCAGATCACGAGATCACCTAAGGTCAGGAGTTTGAGACCAGCCTGGTGAAACCCCGTCTCTACTTAAAATACAAAAATTAGCCGAGCATGACGGCGGGCACCTGTAGTCCCAGCTACTCTGGAGGCTGAGGCAGGAGAATTGCTTTAACCTGGGAAGTGGAGGTTGCAGTGACTCAAGATTGTGCCACTGTACTCCAGCCTGGGCGACAGACCGAGACTCTGTCTCAAAACAAAACAAAACAAAACAAAACAAAAACAGGTGTGGTGATGTGCATTTGGGAGGCTACTGTGGGAGGAGGGCTTGAGCCCAAGAATTGAAGGTTGCAGTGAGCTAGGATCACACTATTGCACTCCAGCCTGGTGACTCATGTCTGTAATCCCAGCACTTTGGGAGGCCCAGGTGGTGGCATCGCTTGAGCCCAGGAGTTCGATACCAACCTGGGCAACATGATGGAACCCCATCTCTATAAAGAATACAAAAATTAGCCGGATATAGTGGCATGTGCCTGTAGTCCCAACTACTTGGGAGGCTGAGGTGGGAGGATTACCTGAGCCTGGGAGGCTGCAATGAGCCACGGTTGTGCGCCACGGTTGTGCCACTGCACTCCAGCCTGGGTGGCAGAGCAAGACCCTGTGTCAAAAAAAACCAAACAAGGCCGGGCCTGGTGGCTCACGCCTGTAATCCCAGCACTTTGGGAGGCCGAGGAGGGCGGATCACAAGGTCAGGAGTTCGAGACCAGCCTGGCCAACATGGTGAAACCCCATCTCTACTAAAAATACAAAAATTAGCCAGGCATGGTGGTGGGCGCCTGTAATCCCAGCTACTCAGGAGGGTGAGGCAGGAGAATTGCTTGAACCTGGGAGGCGGACGTTGCAGTGAGCCAAGATCGCGCCACTGCACTCCAGCCTGGGCAAAAGAGCAAAACTCTGTCTCAAAAACAAAACAAAACAAAACCAATCTAAATGTCCACCAAATGTCCATTAACACAACGGTCCCCAACGTTTTTGGCATCAGGGACTGGTTTCATGGAAGATAATTTTTCCACGGACGAGGGGCAGGGGGGATACTTTTGGGATGATTCAAGCACATTACATTTAGTGTGCACTTTATTTCTATTATTAAATTGTAATATATAATGAAATAATTACACAACAATCAGTGGGAGCCCTGAACTTATTTTCCTGCAACCAGATGGACACATCTTGGGGTGATGGGAGACAGTCACAGATCATCAGGCATTAGATTATCATAAGGAGCATGCAACCTAGATTCCTTGTATGCACAGTTCACGATACGGTTCGGGCTATGAGAATCTAATGCCACTGCTAATATGACAGGAGGCAGAGCTTGAGCAATGAAGGGCGGCTATAAATACTGATGAAGCTTTGCTCTCTCCCTCAGAACTCACCTCCTGCTCTGCAACCCAGTTTCTAATAGGCCACAGACCAGCATCAGTCCGTGCCCTGGGGGTTGGGGACACGTGCATTAACAGATGAATGGATAAACAAAATGTACAGTAGTAGTCTCTCCTTACCCGTGATTTCACTTTCCATGGTTTCAGTTACCTGAGGTCAACTGATGTCTAAAAATATTCAATGGAGAATTCCAGAAATAAACAATTCGTAAGTTGTAAATTGTGCAATATTCTGAGTAGCATGATGAAATCTTGCACTATCCTGCTCTGTCCTGCCTGGAACATGAATCATCCCTCTGTATATGCTACCTGCTCCGTTAGTCACTTAATACCTGGCTCGGTTATCAGATCAACTGTCAGGTGTTGGTATAGCAGTGTTTCAGTTTAAATAGGCCTTATTTTACTTAATAATGGTGCCAAATTGCAAGAGTAGTGATGCTGGCGATTAGGATATGCTAAAGAGAAGCCATAAATTTCTTCTTTTTAGTGAAAAGGTGAAAATTGTAGATTTAATAAAAAAGTTATGCCAACATTGCTAAGAGCTATGGTAAGAACGAGTCTTCTGGCCGGGCGCAGTGGCTCACGTCTGTAATCCCAGCACTTTGGGAGACTGAGGCAAGTGAATCACCTGAGGTCAGGAGTTGAAGACCAGCCTGGCCAACATGGTAAAACCATGTCTCTACTAAAAATACAAAAATGAGCTGGGTGTGGTTGCACACACCTGTAATCCCAGCTACTTGGGAGGCTGAGACAGGAGAATCGCTTGAACCGGGGAGGTGGAGGTCTCAGCGAGCCAAGATCACACCACTGCACTCCAACCTGGGCGAGAGAGAGAGTGAAACTCCATCTCAAAAAACAAAAACAAAAACAAAAAACGAGTCTTGGCTGGGCGCAGTGGCTCACGCCTGTAATCCCAGCACTTTGGGAGGTCAAGGCGGGCGGATCACGAGGTCAGGAGATTGAGACCATCCTGGCTAACATGGTGAAACCCCATCTCTACTAAAAATACAAAAAAATTAGCCGGGCGTGGTGGCGGGTGCCTGTAGTCCCAGCTACTCGGGAGACTGAGGCAGGAGAATGGTGTGAACCCGGGAGGCGGAGCTTGCAGTGAGCTGAGATCGCGCCACTGCACTCCAGCCTGGGCAACAGAGCGAGACTCCGTCTCAAAAAAACAAACAAATGAACAACAACAACAAAAAAAAGAGTCTTCTATCCATGAAATTGTGAAGAAAAAAATTCATGCATCATATATATAGAGGTGTGGTACTACCTTTGGTTTCAGGTATCCACTGGGGGGTCTTAGAGTGTATTCCCCTTGGTTAAAGGGGGACTACCGTGATATATACATGCAATGGAATATTATTTAGCAATAAAAATAAATGAAGTTCTTATATATGCTACAATATGGATAAATCTTATAAACATTATGCTAAGGCCAGGTGTGGTGGCTTATGCCTACAATCCCAGCACTTTGGTAAGCTGAAGCAGGCAGATCAACTGAATTTAGGAGTTAAAGACCAGCCTAGGCAACATGGGAAACCCCGTCTGTACAAAAGGTACAAAAATTAGCTGGGTGCGGTGGCCTGCACCTGTAGACCCAGCTACGCGGGTGGATGAGGCAGGAGAATCGCTTGAGCCCAGGAGGCAGAGGTTGCAGTGAGCCAGTATCACACCACTGCACTCCAGCCTGGGAGACAGAGCAAGACCCTGCTTCAAAAAAAAAAAAAAAAAAAAAAAGAAAAGAAAAGAAAAAGAAAAAGAAAAACCCAAAAAACAAAAAAGAAAACCAGCATTATGCTAAGTGAAATAATTGAGACATAAAAAGAACAGTGTTAGCCGGACATGGTGGCATGGACCTGTAGACCAAGCAACTTGGGTGGCTGAAGAGGGAGGAGGCCTTGAGTGCAGGAGTTCAAGGCCTGTATAACTTAGCAACACCCTGGCTTAAATAAATAAAAATATTGTGGGCCGGGCACGGTGGCTCACGCCTGTAATCCCAGCACTTTGGGAGGCCGAGGCGGACGGATCACCTGAGGTTGGGAGTTCAACACCAGCCTGATTAACATGGAGAAACCCTGTCTCTACCAAAAATACAAAAAAAATTAGCCAGGCGTGGTGGCGCATGCCTGTAATCCCAGCTACTTGGGAGGCTGAGGCAGGAGAATCGCTTGAACCCGGGAGGCGGAGGTTGCAGTGAGCCAAGATGGCGCCGTTGCACTCCAGCCTGGGCAACAAGAGTGAAACTCTGTCTCCAGGAAAAAAAAACAACATATATATATATGCATATATATACACACACACAGACATATATATAAAGATATATATACACATATATACACACACATATATACACACACGCACACATATATATACACATACATATACATATATAGTATAATTTCACATATATTTACAGTGGGCAAATTCAGAGAAACAAAGTAGATTAAAGATTATCAAGAGCTGGGGAGAGTGTAGAATGGGGAGTTTTTGTCTGGGGTGATGAAGTTTTAGAAATTAGTGGTGATGACTGCACAACATTGCGAATGTAATTATTGCCATTTAAATGTATATTTACAAATGGTTAAAATGGCAAATTTTATGTATAGCTATTTTACCATATTAAAAAAGTAAACATAAAACCAAGAAACTATTAATTTTATATTTGTAATCAAACAGGCTCATAAACACCATCCTAGTCATGACCAAATAGTATTTTCATCTGACCATTTGAAAAACAGAATTTGTTCATATCATGTCAGGGTCACACACACACAAAAAAAAAACAGAAAAAAGAAAAAAACACAGAATTTATTCTATATCTTATTTGAAATATTGTTTCAAAAAGTAGTTAAATGTGTGTTAGGCACTAAATGGATGGAAGGAAGGAAAGATGAAAAGCAGACAGGCTAGCCTATCACATCCACCTTACAGAGCTGCTAGAAGGATCAAATAAAATGATGTGTAAGTGTTTTTTTTTTTTCTTTTTGAGATGGAGTCTCGCTCTGTCACCCAGGCTGGAGTTCAGTGGCCTGATCTCAGCTCACTGCAACCTCTGCCTCCCAGGTTCAAGCGATTCTCCTGCCTCAGCCTCCCGAGTAGCTGGGACTACAGGCATGTGCCACCACGTCCAGCTAATTTTTGTAGTTTTAGTAGAGATGGGGTTTCATTATATTGACCAGGCTGGTGCTGAACTCCTGACCTCAGGTGATCCGCCCACCTCGGCCTCCCAAAGTGCTGAGATTACAGGCGTGAGTCACTGTGCCTGGCCAAAGTGTTTCATAAATAATAAAGAACTATATAAATATGTTTTAAGTTGCATATCCCGAAAATTGAAGCTAAAAATACAATTTATTTTTCCTAAGAAAAAATACTTCTGAGCTGATTTGTCAAACTAACCACAAGATGAAACCTGGATACAATCATTGGTTTGCAGAAGGTGAGACTTTAACCAATTTACGGGCATAGCATTAGGTGGCAAGCCTATATAAAGTGTGGGACATAGGTGTACTATCATATCCTCAGTTAAAACCAAGTAACAAAAAATGCTAAGGGGCCTCAGCGCAGTAGCTCATGCCTGTAATCCTAGCACTTCGGGAGGTCAAGATGGGCAGATCATGTGAGATCAGGAGTTTGAGAACAGCCTGGCCAACATGGTGAAACCCTGTCTCTACTACAAATAGAAAAATCAGCCGGGCATGGTGGTGTATGCCTGTAGTTCCAGCTACTCAGGAGGCTGAGGCAGGAGAATCACCTGAACCCAGGAGGCGGAGGTTTCAGTGAGCCGAGATGGTGCCACTGCACTCTGGACCAGGTGACAGAGCAAGAAGAGCGAAACTCCATCTCAAAAAAAAAAAAAAAAAAAAAAGAGCTGGGCATGGTCGTGAATGCCTGTAGTCCCAGCAACTCAGGAGGCTGTGGCATGAGAATCGCGTGAACCCTGGAGGTGGAGGTTGCAGTGAGCTGAGACTGTACCACTGCACTCCAGCCTGGGCAACAGAGCAAGACTCTGTCTCAAAATAAATAAATAAATAAAATAAAGTACAGTGTTATGGTACTTTATAAAAAGAGATTCTGGAGGCCAGGCCAAATGGCTCACATCTGTAATCCCAGCACTCTGGAAGGTTGAGGCAGGAGGATCACTTGAGCCCAAGAGTTTGAGACCAGACCGGGCAATATCGTGAGACTGTCTCTACAAAATAAAAATAAATTAGCTGGGCATGGTGGCGCATGCCTGTACTTCCAGCTACTAAGGAGTCTGAAGTGGAAAGATCATCACTTGAGCCTGGGAGGTCAAGGCTGCAGTGAGCAGTGATCGTGCCACTGCATTGCAGTCTGGGTGACAGAGTAAGACCCTGTCTCAAAAAAAAAAAAAAAGAGATCCTACATTATTTTATCTATCTCATCTGATGCTTGGTAACACTGATATTTATCACTTATAACACCCTCCTCCTCTGGATTTTATGATTTGAGAAGACAGAATATAAAATGATGGGTATTTGTTAAAATGATGGCATCAATTACAATAAAATGTGCTTTGAGGTCCACAAAAGATAGTCACAATTAGTCATTCTATGTTAGAGAAGTGATTTGAAGTTAGTCTTGGTTTATAGCCTCTGTACTGGCATAATTGTTAGCAGTGCCTGCTTTCACTCTCAAGTCCTGGTAAATGATGGCTATTCTATATAATCAATTGCAGAAAATAATAATTACACTGAAGTAATTTTATAAATTTACTGTTTAGTCTGGGATAGGAAGTAACACCTATCACTAAAATTTGGAAAATATTGCTGCTACAATATTTAATATTCAATTATTTAAATAATTTTGCAGTCATAAAAAAGAACAAGACCATGTCTTTTGCAGGAACACGGATGGAGCTAGAGGCTATTATTCTCAGCAAACTAATGCAAGAACAGAAAACCAAGTACCGCATGTCTCCCACCCATAAGTGGGAGCTAAATGATGAGAACTTAAGAACACAAAAGAAAAAACAGGCTAGGCACAATGGGTCATGCCTGTAATCCCAGCACTTTGGGAGGCTGAGGTGGGTGGATCACGAGGTCAGGAGTTTGAGACCAGCCTGGATGTGATGAAACCCCATCTCTACTAAAAATCCAAAAAATTAGCTGGGTGTGGTGGCGTGCACCTGTAATCCCAGCTACTCTGGAGGCTGAGGCGGGATAATCGCTTGAACCCAGGAGGTGGAAGTTGCAGTGAGCCAAGATCCTGCCACTGCACTCCAACCTGGGTGACAGAGCAAGCTTGCATTTAAAAAACAAAACAAAACAAAACAAAACAGACAAACACTGGGGTCTACTACCTAAGGGTGGAAGGTGGGAGGAAGGAGAGAAGCAGAAAAGGTAACTATTGGGTACTGAGTTTAACTCCTGGGTGATGAAATAATCTGTACAATAAACCCGTGACATGAGTTTACCTACGTAACCAACCTTCACACGTACCCCTGAACCTAAAATAATAGTTTAAAAATAAATATATAAATATGGCTGGGCGCGCAGTCTCACACCTGTTAATTCCAGCACTTTGGGAGGCAGAGGTGGGCGGGTCACTTGAGCCCCAGGAGTTCGCGACCACCCTAGCCAACATAGAGAAACCTGTCTCTACTAAAATTACAAACTATTAGCTTGGCACGGTGGTGCATGCCTGTAATCCCAGCTACTTGGGAGGCTGAGGCACAAGAATCGCCTAAACCCTGGAAGCAGAGGTTGCGGTGAGCCAAGATTGTGCCACTGCACTGCAGTCTGGGTGACAGAGCGAGATTCTGTCCCAAAATTAATTATTTTTTCCCCCACAGGGAACCAAAGTAAATTTTGTGAGTAAGTTGAAAAGTACTAAGAGCCAAGTGTGAAAATATTTTTAGGTGATTTTGAAACCATCGAGAATTGAAATCTTTAATTTATTTAAGCAAAGTTAAGATTATTCAAAGAAAAATGTCAACATAACAACTAGAATTCTAGAATGGATCATACCGTGTTTCAAAATATAGAAATGAGGCCAGGTGTGGTGGCTCACATCTGTAATCCCAGCACTTTGGGAAGACAAGGCAAGAGGATCGCTTGAGACCAGGAGTTTGAGACCAGCCTGGGCAACATAGTGAGACCTTGTCTCTACAAAAAAATCCAAAAATTAGCAGGGCATGGTAGTGCCTCCCTGTAGTCCCAGCTACTCAGGAGGCTGAAGTGAGAGGATTGCTTGAGCCCGGGAGGTCGAGGCTGCAGTGAGCTATGATCATGCCACTGCACTCCAGCCTGGGTGACGGAGTGAGACCTTGTCTCAAAACAAAAACAAAAACGTAGCAATAAATGATTGTGAGCTTATCAACCTATTCTGGAAGACATATGTTCCAAACAATCTCTAGATGAGATAACAGCTCCAAAGTCCTCCCTTTAACATTATAAAATGTCATTAAAAGCTAAACAAATGGCTTAGATTTTAGGATTGAGGTCACTAAAATCAGTTTGGTCACCTAAAATTTGTATCTTACCTATAAAACTGAACAGAATAATATGCTGACTCATGGTGCTGGCTTCTCTTTTATAATTATAAAAGCGGGTAATTTTAAAGAATTATCAAATTTACATTTAAAAAGAACATGGCTGGGCACAGTGGCTCACGACTGTAATCCCAGCACTTTGGGAGGCAGGGGCAGGCAGATCACCTGAGGTCAGGAGTTCAAGACCAGCTTGGCCAACATGGTAAAACTCTGTCTCTACAAAAATACAAAAAATTAGCCAGGCACGATGGCAGGTGCCTGTAACCCCAGCTACTCGGGAGGCTGAGGCAGATGAATCGCTTGAACCTGGGAGGCGGAGGTTGCAGTGAGCAGAGATTGCGCCATTGCACTCCAGCCTGGACTACAGAGCGAGAATCCATCTCCAAAAAAAAAAAAAAAAAAAAAAACACAATAAGAATATGATATGTTTCTTCCTAAGATTTTATAGGCAACTGGGAAAGAAAGGGGTGAAAACAGTATGAATGGTAAATTCAGACTGGCCACATGAGATCAGCTTTCCACATTTGTGAAATATAATAATCATCTCTACTGAATGTTACTGAAAATGAAAACAGGGTAAAATATAATTGCAGAATACTGCTTTAGAAAAACTTTCACAGAATCATATTTAGGTATTTTTCCCATTCACTTCATATGATCTGGATTCATTCATGCCATAGTGTGTTTATTTATACTTTAAGGTAACAAGTCCACTTGTACACATTGATTTCACAACATCAATAAATTTGTACACTTTGAGATTTGTTTCTGGGTTATAATTCTTCCTCTGGGTCTCGTGACCGTTTCCGGGTGCTCAAGGAACCTTCTGTTTGCAATGAACATGCAGAAGTAACAACAGTATCTCTAAATCCCTGAGGCTGAAAGATAAAAAATATATATACAAATATGCTTTAAGAACATTTGAAGACTGATCTTAGAAATATTTTTAAGTAACTAATAAGAAAGCTACTTTATTCTAGGGCCAGGCGCAGTGGCTCACACCTGTAATCCCAGCACTTTGGGAGGCTGAGGTGGGCAGATCATGAGGTCAGGAGTTCAAGACCAGCCTGGCCAACATGGTGACCCCTATCTCTACCAAAAATATAAAAATTAGCTGGGCATGGTGGCACACACCTCTAGTCCCAGCTACTCTGGAGGCTGAGGCAGGAGAATCGCTTGAACCTGGGAGGCGGAGGTTGCAGTGAGACAAGATTGTGCCACTGCACTCTAGCCTGGGCGAAATAGTGAGACTTCGTCTCAAAAAAAAAGAAAGTTCTTGAGATAGAAATTTATCAACCACTGTGAATGAAGAGAATAAACCTCATGGATACGTGCCAAAGCCCGGGCTATATTAAGAGTATTTTATATATACTTATTTATACCCTTGCATACACACGCACAGAAATAACATTGCATTATAAAAATGTTCTCTAAAGGTCAATCCTAACAAACTTTACGATAGCTTTGTTAGAAGTAAAAGGAAATAACCTAAGTCTTAGGTACTTTACAGATTTATTTTCATAATTAAATACTCTAAAGTTTTCCAACTATGATATTTCTCTCTCTCTTTTTTTTCCCCAACTAGGATATTTCAAGTACACCTGGGTACTGCAAAGACTAAGTGGATAATTCAGTTTCAGAATCTCTATTTCTGTTTTTGTTGTTATAAAAATGAGATAAAGCCGGGCTCGGTGGCTCACGCCTGTAATCCCAGAATTTTGGAAGGCTGAGAAGGGCGGATCACTTGAGGTCAGGAGTTTGAGACTAGTCTGGCCAACATGGCGAAACCCCATCTCTACTAAAAACACAAAAATTAGCCAGGCGTGGTAGCACACGCCTATAATCCCAGCTACTAGGGAGGCTGAGGCAGGAGAATTGCTTAAACCAGTAGGGCGGAGGCTGCAGTGAGCCAAGATTGCACCGCTGCACTCCAGCCTGGGCGACGCAGAGACTCCATCTCAAAAAAAAAGAGATGCCAAAAATATATTTGGCTCAACACTATTGATAAATATGCATATTTCAGCCAAAAAATGTGTGTTCTATGATGTAAATTCACAGAAGAATTAACATCTTAAAGTGGGCTATATTTGGTGCTACAATAGATCTATAATACCTACAGACCAAAATAAGTAATGTTAGTATTTTTTCTTTTCTGGAAATCTTCAACAACTTTCACTTTAAAGATTTTTAATATCCTGACATTACATATGGCATGGAACACACTACCCCAAAATAAGTATTTCCTCTGCTCTTAAGAATAAATTTCAGTCCATTTGTGACTACAATATTCTGTATATACTACTATTTTGGGGACAATGTTCTAAGCATCAAAAGCTGTCCTCAAATATGCTTGCTGCCTACAGAAGTTGACAGAAGCAAGTTGTAAATTCTCTCTTTAGATAATTACCGCCCATCAATATCAAAATCCCACTCTAATCAAATAATACTGACTTTGATTTGAAACAGTACTGTGCATTCCTTCTGGCTGGGTGACTTGTACAATGTTGCCAACCTGCTTAAAGAAAAAGAATAAATACATACAAACACATGAACTTAATTAATTAAAAGTTCAGATGACCAAACTCATTATTTAAATGTATAGGTTTATTATATTAATAATTCTATTTTTTCTCTAAGAACACAAAAAGGAGAGAAATATTAAAAATACACCCTTCAAATTACCCGTATGTATATAACAGAGTTTATATGAAATTTTAAAGCAACCTAAAAGTCCAATGACTGATTCAAATAAATTATTTTACATATGATGAGATATTACTTATGCTAAAAACTAAACGTGGAAGAAAATATTCAATGAGATAGGAAAGTATTAATAATATACTAAATAATAGTTATACTGTATTATCCCATATTTATAAGTATGTATACGCACATCTAAAAGAATTGATAGAAGACTACAATCAAGAAGTTAAAAGCTGTTATCACAAGGTAAAGGTTGCTTGCTTATATTTTCCAAACTGTCTGCAGTAATCATGTTTTTTTAATTATTGCTGAAGAATTATGATAATTTCTTATACTACAAATGAGAAACACTTACTCATATTACACCCAATAAAAATAGCTAGGACGACATTGTTTTAAAATGATGCACCTAGGCATGGTGGCTCATGTCTGTAATCCCAGCTCTTTAGGAGGGCAAGGCATGAGGATCACTTGAGACCAGGAGTTTGAAGCCATCCTGGGCAACATAGTGAGACCCCCATCTCTACAAAAATAATAATATAAAATGATTATGTCCCAAAAATAAGTCATGACAGAACAAGATCTGCTTAGGTGGGATTTTATTATGTCTTATACAATTAATATAAAACTGAAAGCTAAAAGTAGCTGAGAAATAAATTTCTAAGCTCTTATTAACTATATTCAAGTACTGTAACAGCAACAAATATAAACAAAAACCTTTAAGACTGCTTTTTGGCTGGGCGCGGTGGCTCACGCCTGCAATCCCAGCACTTTGGGAGGCCAAGGCAGGCAGATCACCTGAGGTCGGGAGTTCGAGACCAGCCTGACCAACATGGAGAAACCCCATCTCTACTAAAAATACAAAATTAGCCGGGTGTGGTGGCGCATGCCTGTAATCCCAGCTACTCGGGAGGCTGAGGCAGGAGAATCGCTTGAACCTGTGAGGCAGAGGTTGCGGTGAGCTGAGATCATGCCATTGCACTCCAGCCTGGGCAAAAAAGAGTGAAACTCCATCTCAAAAAAAAAAAAAAAAACTGCTTTTAAGAATTACTTTAAAACTGATACACTGTAACTTATTCACAATAGCCAGAAGGTGGAAGCAACCCAAGTGTGCATCCACAGATGAATAAACAAAATGTGGTATGTACATACAATGGAATATGCAGACTTAAGGAAGAAAATTCTGACACATGCTACAACATAAATGAGCCTTGAAGACATTATACTAAGTGAAATAAGCCAGTCACATCAGAACAAGTATTATATGATTCCAATTATATGGGGTTGCTAGAGGAGTAAAATTCAGAGACAGAAGGTAGAATGGTGATTGTCAGGGGCTGGGGGTAAAAAAGAATGAGTTAGCATTTAATGGGTACAGAGTTTCAGTATGGGAAGATGAAAAAGGTCTGAAAATGGATGATGATGGCTGCACAATATGAATGTACCTAATGCCAGTGAACTATATGTAAACATAAAATGGTAAATTTTATGTTATATACATGTTTTAGCACAATGTAATGAAACTGATCTAAAAAATACAGATTCTAACCTAGAGGAAAATAAGATTCTCAGAGTTATAAGGGTCATTTACTTACACAAAATAGAATGATTTGTTTTCAAAGACAATTCAAAAAGGACATTTTGGCTATGATCTGTTACTCTCTTAATTTTGAAATTGCCCCTCTTCTCAGACACAATTCAAAAGAAAAACACAGACCAAAATACAGCAGAATCCAAAATGTTCTATACTCTGTAATTGCAACTTTAAACATAAATAATTGCTAAGTAATATGTAATACAAGAATAGCTATGTTGAGGCTGGGTGCGGTGGCTCACGCCTGTAATCCCAGCACTTTGGGAGGCTGAGGCAGGCAGATCACGAGGTCAGGAGTTCAAGACCAGCCTGGCCAACACGGTGAAACCCCCATCTCTACTAAAGATACAAAAAAAAAAAAAAAAAATTAGCTGGGCGTGGTGGCACGCACCTGTAATCCCAGCTACTGAGGAGGCTGAGGTAGGAGAATCACTTGAACTGGGGAGGTGGAGGTTGCAGTGAGCCGAGATCGTGCCTCTGCACTCCAGCCTGGGCGACAGGGCGAGACTCCATCTCAAAAAAAAAAAAAAAAAAGAACAGCTGTGTTGAGTGGAATTATAAACTTTTATAATTCCCTAGGGTTGATAATCTATCTTTAATGCAAAAATTCACAGAAAAAGAGAGGCAAGGTGTATTTTAACCTGCCTTATTAAGAAGTCATTTTTTGAATGATGAAAATCAGCTAGCCTTCTGAAAAATTGGTATCTAAATCACCTCATATCAACAGTATGTCCAAAAAAGGTGCCTAGTACATCTATCCTGAGGAAATTATTAAAAAGTGAAAAGCTTTTAAGAAGCATTTACATGCTTGTTAAGAATCCTAAAGTCGGCCGGGCACAGTGGCTCATGTCTATAATCCAGCACTTTGGGAGGCTGAGGTGGGCAGGTCACTTGAGGTCAGGCATCCGAGACCAGCCTGGTCAAAATGGTGAAACCCTGTCTCTACTAAAAATACAAAAGTTAGCCAAGTGTGGTGGCGCATGCCTATAATCCCAGCTACTTGGGAGGCTGAGGCAAGAGAATCACTTGAATCAGGGAGGTGGAGGTTGCAGGGAGCCGATATGGCGCCACTGCACTCCAGCCTGGGTGACAGAGTGAGACTCCATCTCAAAAAACAAAACAAAACAAAAAAAGAATCCTAAAGTCAAAGGGGCATTAATTATTCAGGTTGAAAATCATCCTCAGGCCGGGCGCGGTGGCTCACACCTGTAATCCCAGCCCTTTGGGAGGCCGAGGTGGATCACCTGAGGTCGAGAATTCGAGGCCAGCCTGACCAACATGGAGAAACCCCATCTCAACTAAAAATACAAAAAATTAGCCAGGCGTGGTGGTGCATGCCTGTAATCCCAGCTACTCGGGAGGCTGAGGCAGAAGAATCGATTGAACCCGGGAGGCCGAGGTTGTAGTGAGCTGAGATTGCGCCACTGCACTCCAGCCTGGGCAACAAAAGCGAAACTCCATCTCAAAAACAAAACCAAACAAAACAAAAAAATCATCCTCAAATTTCTAGGTAAAAATACCACTTTTATGCATCATGTCTCTTCAGAGATCTTTTAAAATGAAAACTAAACCAAAGAATCACTTGGCTCATGGCCCCAGCTGAGATGTAGCTTAACATATGGCTGAACTACATAGTTTGGGTCAGGAAGAAATAAGACAGAAGCACAATTTGTGCTCTAAAACTGAGCACACATATGAAACACTGTGTGGGGGTGTTGATTTATTACTCCACTCTACCACCAGATCGTCTTGGCAAAGAGTAGTGTAATTCTGAATAATCTTGGCCTCATATAACCATGAATATGCAAATTGGAGGAAAACTCACATAATATAAGGACATAGACAAAAGTATTTCTTTTAATAACTGTTGGAATATTATTCCATCATTAGTCTAAGGGTAAAAATCAGGTGTTACTGGTGAAGGACAGGGGCTGGGGCATGAGACAGCACACCTAAGTTCAATGCCCAATATAATTTGGCTATTCAAGATTTTTAGTTTCTGGACGGGTGCTGTGGCTCACGCCTATAATCCCAGTACTTTAGGAGGCCGAGGTAGGTGGACTGACTGAGTTTAGGAGTTCGAGGCCAGCCTGGGCAACACGGCAAAACCCCATCTCTACAAAAATTACAAAAATTAGCTGGGTGTGGTGGTACATGCCTGTGGTCCCAGCTACTTGGGAGGCTGAGGTGGGAGGACTGCTTGAGCCCAGGAGGTTGAGGTTGCAGTGAGCTGAGATTGCACCACTGCACTCTAGCCTGGGCAACAGAGTGAGATCCTGTCTCAAAAAAAAAAAGAAAAAAAAAAAAGATTTTTAGTCTTCCTCTCCAAATGAAAAATGTTCATTTTTATAACTATTTTTCCCTGATATGAATTTCTATTTCCATCCTTTTAAAATAACCTAAAATTTAAAAAGCATAAAGCATACAAAATTTCATGCAACTTTTTTTTTTTTTGAGACAGAGTCTTACTCTGCTGCCCAGGCTGGAGTGCAGTGGTGCAATCTTGGCTCACTGCAACCTCTGCCTCCTGGGTTCAAGTGATTCTCCTACCTCAGCCTCCTGAGTAGTTGGGATTACAGGTGCCCGCCACCATGCCTGGCTAATTTTTTTGTATTTTTAGTAGAGACACAGTTTCCCCATATTGGCCAGGCTGGTCTAGAACTCCCAACCTCAGGTGATCCACCTGCCTTGGCCTCCCAAAGTGCTGGGATTACAGGTGTCAGCCACTGCGCCCGGCCTCATGTAACTTTTTTTTTTTTTTTAATATCTTAGAGATGGGGTCCCATTTTGCGGCCCAGCCTGAAGTATAATAGCTCAATCATAGCTCACTGCCACCCTGACTTCCAGGGCTCAAGTGATTTTCCCAACTCTGGCCTCCCAAACAGCTAGAACTATAGGTGTGCACCACCACACCTGGCTAATTTTTTATTATCTATAGAGGTGGTGTCTTGCCATTTCGGCCAGGCTGTTCTCCAACTTCTGGGCTCAAGTTCATGCAACTTTAACAACTTAAAGATGTCAGGTTTCAAATGATAAAGAACAAAACTACTTTAATGCTATTAAATGAGGTCAATTTATTTTGATTACATAAAGTATGTACATTATTTATCATATATCCACAGCCCGAAAAAAAAAAGTTTGAAGAAAAAAGATTTTACCTAAAAAAAGGAGTAAGCTACATATTCAGATTGGCTGGCAATCAACACAATACTACAATTACCTTCTAGAAACAGTTATTATAGAAGAAAAGAAATGAACTCCATAAAGTCAGCTATGGCCGAGTGCGGTGGCTCATGCCTGTAATCCCAGCACTTTGAGAGGCTGAGGTGGGCAGGTCACCTGACATCAGGAGTTCAAGACCAGCCTGGCCAACATAGTGAAATCCCACCTCTACTAAAAATACAAAATTAGCAAGGTGTGGTGGCAGGCGCCTACAATCCCAGCTACTCGGCAGGCTGAGACAAGAGAATCACTTGACCCCAGGAAGTGGAGGTTGAAGTGAGCCAAGATCTCGCCATTGCACCCCAGCCTGGGCAAAAAGAGCGAAACTCCCTCTCAAAAAAAAAAAAAAGTTTATAAGGCCGGGTGCGGTGGCTCATGCCTGTAATCCCAGCACTTTGGGAGGCCGAGGCGGGTGGATCACGAGGTCAGAAGATCGAGACCATCCTGGCTAACACGGTGAAACCCCGTCTCTACTAAAAATACAAAAAATTAGCTGGGCGTGGTGGCAGGCGCCTGTAGTACCAGCTACTCGGGAGGCTGAGGCAGGAGAATGGCGTGAACCTGGGAGGCAGAGCTTGCAGTGAGCCGAGATCGCGCCACTGCACTCCAGCCTGGGCGACAGAGCGAGACTCCGTCTCAAAAAAAATAAAAAAGTTTATAAAGTCAGCTATAAAATGTAGATAATACTATTTTCAGTCTACAGCCATACCACCCTGAATGTGCCTGATCTCATCTGGTAACACTATTTCAAAGATTTACGTGGAAAATAACATGAAATTATATATATACACACACATATACATACGTATATGTATATACATCTATACGTATACGTATATACATCTATACGTATACACATATATACATACACGTATATACATATATACATCTATATGTATACACATATATACATATGTATATACATCTATACTTATACACATATATACATATGTATATACATCTATACGTATACACATATATACATATGTATATACATCTATACGTATACACATATATACATATGTATATACATCTATACGTATACACATATATACATATAATCTATATATATACACATATATACATACACGTATATATGTACACATATATACATACAGTGCTTTGCACAATAAAGGACAGTTAAGAAATATTCAATAAATAGTAGCTATTATTTACTACTTATTCAGTTAACCTTTCTGGGCCTTGGTTTTCTTTTAATAATAATAGGTATACATTCTGCAAATAATTATTGAAAAGATTATCTGAAATGTTATATTTAAAGTGCCTAGTAAAATACCTAGCACAAGCAAGCACTCACTAAAATGAGAGTATGAAAAATAAATAAAATAAAAATAAGAATTAAAAAAATGATCTTATGAGATGTAGAAAAAATATTATAGAACAGCAGATTTCCCCCAATCTATCTATATTCAGTGTTGGTGTTGTACATCATTTTCTTGTTTTTTTTTTTTTTTTTTGCAGGGGGTGGATGGAGTCTCACTCTGTAACCAGGCTGGAGGGCAGTGGCACAATCTTGGCTCACTGCAACCTCCGCCTCCTGGGTTCAAGTGATTCTCCTGCCTCAGCCTCCTGAGTAGCTGGGACTAAAGGTGTGTGCCATCACGCCCAGCTAATTTTTTATTTTTAGTAGAGATGGGGTTTCACCATGTTGGCCAGGATGGTCTTGATCTCTTGACCCCATGATCCACCTACCTCAGCCTCCCAAAGTGATGAGATTACAGGTGTGAGCCACTGCATCCGGCCATGTACTTTAGTTTCTAATTTCTTGGGAAGGATTTGTAAGAAGGTGAATTCATACAATGGTTAACTCATGGTAAGCGTGATTTTCTGATCTCTTGGATAACTTATCAATGCTAACTTCTAGAACTTGACAAAGAAGGCAAACTTTTCCTCCTGTTGAGTTCATAAAAAGATGAAATATCTTGCTCTGTTCCTATTATTTTTCTTCTTAAATGCATTTTATTAGTAAATATTTAATTATAGTCTGAAGAAGACTACTGTATACTAACTCAGGCGTAATTCCTATGAAAAAATAAATGACGGAATGTGCTTTACAGAATAACCTAAAACTGGGAAAGTATAAGCAATATGTTCAAAAGACAGCTGGAGAACTGTTGCCAAATCTTTACAATAAGGTTTGGTGCCGAGAAAATAACTCCTTTTGTGACTCTAGTATACAGCAACTTACTTACAAAACTAGGAGGAACTACCTTAAATTGTGATCATAGAAAAAAAATTAGGGGGAGGATTTACCAGTCATACTGGTTTAGAGTAAAAAATGTGTTTAAATTAGGGGGCGACAGTCAATAGTAAAGCACTACGTATTGTGGGGGAAAAAAAACACTACCTGAGCTCTTTGCAAATACCATTTTTAAAGAAGACCCAAACTGCACGATCAGTTGCAAAAGATATATACAGAAGTGTAATCATTCTGTTATGAGCTTCAGGTCCGTAAAACCTAACTTGGTCAGGCAGGATTTTTTTCAGTTTGTAGAACAACAAAGAAATATAGATTAAAAAATAGACATTTTCACTGGCTAGGCCCAATATGTATTTAAGTGACCTTTTATTCCATCTTTGCCCACATGCCATTTTAATTTCTCCCTTTATTAGAGCATTTCCAAACCAAGACCTCTAGGTTATACCAATTAATCACAAAGCGGAGAGGCTAGCATGAATCTGACATTTTCTAGAAGTGTAGAAAAGACTTCACAGCTTTCAATGGTCTATTTTCAAGAAAATAAAAGCTGGTTTGTTCACTTGCTCAGCAGCTTTAAAAACAAATACAAAGATTTCATGCTGCCATACTTTTAAAGAACAATACTTGTGAAATGCAGGTAAGTAACTGGATAATAAAAGCTGGACAGCAAAATACAAAATAAAAAAAAAAACAGACACAATTTCATACAAGAAATATACTAAGCAAATAAGAGAAACCATCGTATGTTCCAAATAAATTAATTTTAAAGGTAACCTCAACAATTTTCCTTTTGTCCTGATTTTATTCTTTTTTTTTTCAATCTCTTCCAGGAACACAGAGTACTCACCTCCTTCTACATGGCTAATAAATTATTTCGAAGAGCTTTAGAAAATGGCATTCCTTGGCCACCTACTCATTTCAGGTGCATGCGCCCCATCATTTAAATATTCCAGAGAATTTCCTATGTAGCTAAATATGCAGTAATAACAACACATTTCTATGTTTGCTCTAGGTGATATCAGACAAGGCAACAAAAGTGTCACTTCATGGGTCACTGTATATCTCATCCACAGGACTAGCTCTAAGAAACCTGTAAGTGTTCATTCAGTATAATTAACCCAATATTCGGAGTTATTAACTTGTTTCTGTACTGACCTTTGCTTTCGGTCCCAATGAAAGATTAGCCGTATTGTAGCAGCATGTCCCCAACTTTCCCCTGAGAGTAAAAAACATAATAACTGTATATGGCCTTACTGACTTGGTTATACATTTCTCAGAACGCCTCTGATCAAATATAATCTTACTTTATTAATTTAACATAACGAAAGTATACTTGCTTTCAAAAAACCTGGAAAATGAGTAATATCCTGAGATTACAAGGTTTTTACCTATCTAGGGAAATACTGCAAATCATTATTCTCTATTTGCTTTTAGAAAACTTTATTGTCTGAGTCCATATATGTGTCAATTTTCCATATCATCAAGCCTAACGTATTTCTGACCTCCAGAAGAAAAGTAAAAACTCTGGTAGAATATTCTTTTTTTTTTTTTGACATCAACAGAATATATAATTAAGTTGTGGCATATTCATGTCATCGAAATGAACTACAGTGTCACACATCAACATGGATGAATCAAAAAATAATAATGAGCAAAAGTTGTCAGTCATATACAGTATAATTCTATTTATATAAAGGCTAGAAATAAGCAACTATTAGGGATACACAGACAGTAAAATCTATAAAAGCTAGGTGACAATTACACAAAATTCAGGATAGTGGTTGCCTCTTGGGGGGAGAGCATACGAGGCTCCTGGGGGGTAGTAATGTTCCATTTGTCAGTCTGAGCAATGGGCACCTGGACATTTATTATTGTTCTTCTAAATATACATTTTCATTTGTATATTCTATTTCACATTAAAAAGAAAAAAGACCAAAAAAAAAAGCATTAAGTGTAACTCAAGATTTAAGCAATAGTGCTTGGGAGTATTATCATATCATGCAGACACAGTGCAAGGAAATGAAAAGGTGGATATAATTTGTGAGGTAGAGATGATGGGCTCAGGTTTGGACAAACTGAGTTCCTGAAACACAAGACTTTTATTATTAGTCATATTAGGTGTGAAACTGGCCTGAGATCACCAATTTGTTTTATGCTAGATTTGGAGGGCAAAGAGGGCAGTTGAACTCAGCAATTTATGTGTCCAGCACTGAAAATCTTCATGGTTAACAATTACTAATAGGTTATATGTTAGGTTACTTTTCAGTCCCACTCAGCTCAAAGGGTTTGTCATTACCCTACTGATTTGCAATTCTAAGTCTTCTGCCTGTTGCATTCTGATGATCCATTTCTACGCAAGACATATAATCTAAAGCTGAGACACAGCAATAGAAGACCAAAGAACAGACACAGCAACAAAGTTTGCATGAGGCAAATCAGGAGGGTAGGAATGAGATTTTGATGTGCATCCTGGCCAAATTCCAGAACTAGCAAAGAGAGCGCCAGTTCCTAATTCCAATCAAAGCAAATTCAGCCATCTTATTTTCATACAGAAGTGGTCTACGTTGATTTTTAAATCTCTTTAAGGGATTAGGGAGCCTCTGAAATATAAAGGAAACTAAACTGATAGTAATGTAAAATGAGCAGTGACCTATCATACTAGCAAACACTGTCAAAAACAGAAAGCTAATGGTGGGATTGGAGTCTAGAACACAGGAGTTATGTTTATCCAGTGCTGCACTACACAACAGGGCAGTCACTTGCCACATGTGCAATTTAAATTTAAGTAAAATTCAATTAAACATTCCATTCCACAGCTGCATTAGCCACATTTTAAATGCCTCAATAGCCACATGTAGCAAGGGCTACTGTACTGAAGAGCACAGACATAGAACACTTCTATCATAACTGACCATTCTATTGAACAATATCCTAGCAATATCCAAGGTAAAGGGCGTTCTGCTAGTAAACCAAGGAGGGCATCAGAATTATCACAACTTAAGCATAATATTCCTGAGGGCATCCATTTCCATTTATTTGCTTCTCTGCTTACCAACTCTGAACCCCTGCTTTCCCAACTTCCTGGTATCTGGGAAGAAAATAAACTGACTAGAAAACATAAACTTCATTCTGCTTGACAACTGTAATTCTCACTAAATTTATAAATTTGCTTTCTGATTTATCATAGTGTGCTGAGGGCATGAGTTTGAGAAAGGCTGAGTTTGATTACCCCTGAGTGGATCCAAACATTAGGAAGCTCTTGCTTAAGTGGGTGATAGAAAATGACAAAAACAGCTGGAAGAAACATGACAGACTATTACACTCCCTTCCCTAACCTTCCTCCTTTTCATCCTGCTCACCTGGGCCAGGTTAGAATCCGTCCTTTGTACAGTACCCTGTACTTTCTATTGTAACCTTTACTACATTATCTGTTTATAGAATGATCTATGCCATTAGTTGAAAACTAGTCAAGGGCAGATACATTTTTTTTTTTTTTGAGACAGAGTTTCACTCTTGTTGCCCAGGCTGGAGTGCAATGGCGCGACCGTGGCTTACTGCAACCTCTGCCCCCCAGGTTCAAGCGATTCTCCTGCCTCAGCCTCCCAAGTAGCTGGGATTACAGGAATGTGCCACCATGCTCATCTAATTTTGTATTTTTAATAGAGATGGGGTTTCTCCATGTTGGTCAGGCTGCTCTCAAACTCCCGACCTCAGGTGATCCACCCGCCTCAGCCTCCCAAAGTGCTGAGATTACAGGCATAAGCCACTGTACCTGGCCAAGACTCTGGTAGAATATTCTTTAAGATTTTAGTGGAAATAAATCTTGAAGCACTACATTCTAACAAAACCACGATATTCACTGTAGTGTGATTTGTATTTAAGTGGATTCACCTTTCCTTCTCCCTAACACTGTGAACTCCCTGGGGGCAAGAATCTTTGACACAACAGTTGCCAGACAGTAGATACGCAATTTTTTGAGAGAGTCTTACTCTGTCCCCCAGGCTGGAGTGCAGATGCACGATCCCAGCTCACTGCAGCCTGCGCCTCCCAAGTTCAAGCAATTCTCACTCCTCAGCCTCCCAAGTAGGTGGGATTACAAGTGTGTGCCACCATGCCTGGCTAATTTTTTGTATTTTTAGTAGAGATGGGGTTTCACCATATTGGCCAGGCTGGTCTTGAACTCCTGGCCTCAAGTGATCCGCCTCGGCCTCCCAAGGTGTTGGGATTACAGGTGTGGGACACTGTGTCTGGCCACTCAATAAATGTTAAATAACTAAAAGGAACAATCAGTATCTAACGGTACTGTGCTTAGTGCTAAGATTAACCAGTGAACAAGACAAATACAGTCTGCTTTCATGAAGCGTATAGTACTCAATGAGAATCAAATGAAAGAGATAAGAAAAACTGTGATAAACTAAAATGTTTATCTGATTAATTACCCACCTAATGCAGGAACAAGCAAGGCCTGATTTCTATCAATCTTTGTTGTCATCTGATTGGTTAAAATTACCTACAAAAACAAAATGTAAGAAAATTAGGTGAGTCTCTTTGAAAATTATCAAGTAGACCAGTCTGGCCAAGATTGTGAAACCCCATCTCTACTAAAAATACAAAAATTAACCAGACATGGTGGCATGCACCTGTAATCCCAGCTACTCCGGAGGCTGAGGCAGGAGAATCATTTGAACCTGGGGCAGGCAGAGGTTGCAGTGAGCCAAGAGCGTGCCACTTCACTCCAGCCTGGACAAAAGAGCAAAACTCTGTCTCACTAAATAAATAAATAAATAAATAATCAAGTAAACAGTCTTGTGATTTTATTTTTTATTTTATTTTTTTTTTTGAGACAGAGTCTCGCTCAGTCACCCAGGCTGGAGTGCAGTGGCACAATCTCTGCCCACAGCAAGCTCTGCCTCCTGGGTTCACACCATTCTCCTGCCTCAGCCTCCCAAGTAGCTGGGACTACAGGCGCCCACCACCACACCCAGCTAATTTTTTTGTATTTTTTCAGTAGAGACGGGGTTTCACCGTGTTAGTCAGGATGGTCGCGATCTCCTGACCTCGTGATCTGCCTGCCTTGGCCTCCCAAAGTGCTGGTATTACAGGTGTGAGCCACCGCGCCCAGCCTGTGATTTTAGTAATATGAAATTAATCTACCTATTATAGCCAGCCATTTAAGTAATACAAATTTTTCTGATAAAAAATTTTAAATCCCAGCACTTTGGGAGGCCAAGACGGGCGAATCACGAGGTCAGGAGATCGAGACCATCCTGGCTAACAGGGTGAGCGGATCACGAGGTCAGGAGATCGAGACCATCCTGGCTAACACGGTGAAACCCTGTCTCTACTAAAAATATAAAAAATCAGCTGGGCGTGGTGGCGGGCGCCTGTAGTCCCAGTTGCTCAGGAGGCTGAGACAGGAGAATGGCGTGAACCCGGGGAGCAGAGCCTGCAGTGAGCTGAGATAGCGCTACTGCACTCCAGCCTGGGCAACAGAGTGAGACTCCATCTCAAAAAAAAAAAAAAAAATTAAAAATCCACCCATAAAAAGATGTAGTTACCTGAAAATATGATTCTACTGATCATAAAGTATTTTATTTTCATACTTTAGAGATGGGGTCTTGCTATGTTGCCCAGGTGGTCCTTGAAGTCCTAGACTCACATGATCCTCCCACCTCAGCCTCTTGAACAGCTGGGACTAGAGGTGTTTGCCACATCTAGCTCATAAAACTTTTTTTTTAAGAGACAGGGTCTTGCTATGTTGCCCAGGCTGATCTTGAACTCCTGGGCTCACACAATCCTCCTGCCTCAGCCTCCCAAAATGCTGGGATTACAGGCATAAGCCACTGTACCTGACCTACAAAAAACTTTTTAAAAAATTAGCTGGGCATGGTGGTGCACAACTGTAGTCCCAGCTACTCAGGAGGCTGAGGCAGGAGAATTGGTTGAGCCCAGGAGGTTGAAGCAGCAGTGAGCCATGATTCTGTCACCGTACCCCAGCCTGATGACCAAGCAAGACCTTGTCTCAAAAAAGAAAGACTGAGTCTCGCTCTGTTGCCCAGGCTGGAGTGCAATGGCGCGATCTCGGCTCACTGCAATCTCCGCCTCCCGGGTTCAAGCTATTCTCCTGCCTCAGCCTCCCAAGTAGCTAGGATTACAGGTGCCTGCCACCATGCCTGGCTAATTTTTTGCATTTTTAGTAAAGATGGGGTTTTACCATGTTGGCCGGCCTGGTCTCGAACTCCTGACCTCAAGTGATCCACCCACCTCGGCCTCCCAAAGGGCCGGGATTATAAGCATGTGTCACTGTGCCTGGCCTGAGTCCATGTTCTTTATCACTATTGCCTCCCTAGAATATTTTTATTGAAAGGAATATGAAATCCTTAACAAATACCTCAATGTTTATACTTTTAAGAAGGAAGCAAATATAGTATTACTGTTTATAATTTTATAGGAAAAAAAGAAACTGAGGCAACAAATTATGAGAAGAGACTTAAAACTCATAAAGAAGGTACAATATAAGTAGATGAACTAGGAAAAAAAAAATCCTAGTAGTCAGGTCAAATGACTCCAAATTATGATTATGCTACTCAGCTATTAACAGCCACAGGTGTTGCTTTGCAACTCACAGATGGCCCTCAAGGTTTCATATTGCTAATTCTCTTTGTATAAATACTGACCTACAAAAAAGGTTCCAGGTTTTGAAAGACAGTAATTTTAAATAAAGCAGGGAAAACAAAAGCGTTTAAGGCTGACTTAACACAGAAGTCAGATCTGTTATCTTTCCATCCCCAAATCTCCAGAAATGGTTACTTTATATACTCTTCTAATACATATCTTCCCTCCAGAAAAAAAGAGTTAATATTGCAAACTAAAACTGATAATGAAATTCCATGAAAAGCAGTAAGAAAAAGGTGTCTACTCTGAAAATGAGTTTTTTATGTAAGAAAACCGAGAAACAGCCCAGGCGCGGTGGCTCATGCCTATAATCCCAGCACTTTGGGAGGCCGAGGCAGGTAGATCACCTGAGGTCAGGAGTTCGAGACCAGCCAGGCCAACATGGCGATACCCCATCTCTACCAAAATTACAAAAAATTAGCCGAACGTTGGGGCGGGCACCTGTAACCCCAGCTACTCGGGAGGCTGAGACAGGAGAATCACTGAAATCCAGGAGGCAGAGGTTGCAGTGAGCCAATATTGCACCATTGCGCTCCAGCCTGGGCAACAGGAGCAAGACTCCAACTCAAAAAAAAAGAAAAAGAAAACTGCGAAAGAAAAAAGGTTGTTTGGCTGTTCCCACTGCAGTGGTAACACCCTAAAATTTCTGTTTCACCGCAAAGGAGAAATCTGTGATCCATCTAGATCTCAATTAGATACCAAGTGGATGACATGATTTTCTTCTAGCTCCCCTCCCCTTACATGCCACAGGGCATTCTCCATTTGTTACCTCTCATCGGGCACCTTAGAAAAAGCTAAGCAGGAATTTAAATTGGCAGCTTTTCTTTCTTTTTCTTTTTTTCTTTGAGACAAGGTCTCACTCTGTTGCTCAGGCTGGAGTGCAATGGCATGATCTTGGCTCACTGCAACCTCCGCCTCCTGAGTTCAAGCGATTCCCCTGCCTCAGCCTCATGAGTAGCTGGGATTACAGGTGTGAGCTACCATGCCTGGTTAAGCTTGTATTTTTGGTAAAGACGGGGTTTCTCCATGTTGGTCAGGCTGGTCTCGAACTCCTGACCTCAGGTGATCTCCACCTCGGCCTCCCAAAGTGCTAGGATTACAGGCATGAGCCACCACACCCGGCCGGCAGCTTTTCTTAAGAATAGTTTTTAGAAATGGGGTCTCACTCTGTCACCCAGGCTGGGGGGCAATGACACAATCATAGCTTACTGCAGCCTTGAAGTTGTGGACTCAAACAATCTTCCTGCCTTAGCTTCCCCAGTAGCTAGAACTATAGTTCAAGCACAAGTTCTACTAGCTAGAACTATAGGCATGCCTAACTAATTTTTAAATTATTTGTAGAAACAGGGTTTTGCTATGTTGCCCAGATTAACTTCGAACTCCTGGCCTCAAGTGATCCTCCCACCTTGGCCTCCCAAAGTGCTGGGATTATAGGCATGAGCCACTGTGCCTGGCCCAGGTGTAGCTTTTAAAAGTTAAATTAGCCAGGTGCGGTGGCTCACGACTGTAATCCCAGCACTTTGGGAGGCCGAGGCGGGCGGATCACGAGGTCAGAGCGAGACCATCCTGGGTAACACGGTGAAACCCCGTCTCTACTAAAAATACACAAAAAATTAGCCGGGCGTGGTGGTGTGTGCCTGTAGTCCCAGCTACTCAGGAGGCTGAGGCAGGAGAATGGTGTGAACCCAGGAGGCAGAGGCAGGAGAATGGTGAACCCGGGAGGCAGAGCTTGCAGTGAGCCAAGATCGCGCCACTGCACTCCAGCCTGGGTGACAGAGCGAGACTCCGTCTTAAAAAAAAAAAAAAAAGTTACATTAGAAGCCAGGCGTGGTGGCTTGTGCCGGTAATCCCAGTACTTTGGGAGGCAGAGGTGGGAGGATCACAAGGTCAGGATATCAAAGCCATCCTGGCTAACATGGTGAAACCCTGTCTCGACTAAAAATACAAAAAAATAGCTGGGCATGGTGGCATGCGCCTGTAGTCCCAGCTACTAGGGAGGCTGAGGGAGGAGAATGGCGTGAACCCGGGAGGAGGAGGTTGCAGTGAGCCAAGATCGCGCCACTGCACTCCAGCCTGGGCGACAGAGTGAGACTCCATCTCAAAAAAAATAAATAAAAAAGTTAAATTAAAATCATAAATTCAGTAGCTCAGTAGTATTAGCTATATTTCAAGTGCTGAACAGTCATGCAGCTACTGTACTAGACTGTACATTTTCATCTTTCCATCAGATCTACTGGACAGTGCTGGTTTAGAGAGAGTACTTAGTTTACGCACTACGTATCTTTAGGAAAATATAAATCAAACTACTGATTTACCAGGTATTCAACATGCCAAAATTAGAATTTCCATTATTAGCAAATATTTATATAGCAATTATATTACTTTTGCAAAACGATTGGCCTCCATGATACAACTGAAAATTAGTATGTGATTATGCCAAGCTTCTAAAGAATAAGTGCTTTTTTTTTTTTTTTTCGAGACAGAGTCTTGCTCTGTTGCTCAGGCTGGAGTGCAGTGGCATGACCTCGGCTCACTGCAACCTCTGCCTCCTGGGTTCAAGAGAGTTTCCTGCCTCAGCCTCCCAAGTAGCTAGGATTACAGGTGTCCCCCACCACGCTTGGCTAAATTTTGTATTTTTAGTAAAGACAGAGTTTCACCATGTTGGCCAGGCTGGTCTCGAACTCCTGACCTCAGGTGATCCACCCAGCTTGGCCTCCCAAAGTGCTGGGATTACAGGCGTGAGCCACCATGCCAGGTCAAAAGTTTAAAACAGTAAAGTAACAATCACTTGAAATTATGAACTTCAGAGCTTTAAAAATATTTCTGCCATGCAATGTCCTTCAACCAATGAACAGATAAACAAAATGTGATATATCCATAAAATGCAAAATTAGTCATTAAAAAGATACTGATGGGTGCTAAAATACAGATAAACCTTGAAAACATCACGCTAAGTGAAAGAAGTCAGACATAAAAGGCCATATACTGTATGATCTGCTTATATAAAATGTCCAGAAAAGACAAATTCACAGAAACAGAAAGCATACTAGTGGTTGTGAGGGACTGGGGGAGGGTAGAATAGAGAATGACAGCTAATGAAAAGGGTTTTTTTTTTTTTTTTTTTTTGAGACAGAGTTTCGCTCTTGTTGCCCAGGCTGGAGTGCAATGGCGCGGTCCTGGCTTGCTGCAACCTCCGCCTCCTGGGTTCAAGCAATTCTCCTGCCTCAGCCTCCTGAGTAGCTGGGATTACAGGCACCTGCCACCACAACTGGCTAATTTTTTTGTATTTTTAGTAGAGATGGGGTTTCACCATGTTGGCCAGGCTGGTTGTGAACTCCTGACCTCAGGTGATCCACCCACCTTGGCCTCCCAAAGTGCTGGAATTACAGGGGTGAGCTATTGCACCCAGCTGAAAAGAGGTTTTTTGTTTTTTTTTGTTTTTTTTTTTTTAATAATCTGGAACTGTGTGTTTCCCAGAACCAGAATTACTTTCTCCATAGGGTACAAAGTTATAGTTGACCGCAAGAAAAATTTGCATGAGATTTGAAACGTGACACTGAAGGAGCAGACATTTTAAATATTCTGAAATTCACTGTGAGGTTGGGGTTTCTTTTTTAGGATGACGGAAATATTCTAAAATTATACAGTGGTGATGTTTGCAAAACTCTGTGGATACACTGAAAATCACTGAATTGTGCACACTGCAAGGATGAATCATATATGTCATTAAGGCTGTTTAAAAAATTATGCCAATAATCCAAAAAACATATTTTTAAAGGACTTTCTCCATATCAATTTGGCAAAGATTTAAAAGACTGGTACCTAGCTGGGCGTGGTGGCTCACGCGTATAATCCCAGCACTTTGGGAGGCTGAGGCGGGTGGATCACGAGGTCAGGAGATCGAGACCATCCTGGCTAACACAGTGAAACCCATCTCTACTAAAAATATAAAAAATTAGCCGGGCATGGTGGCACGCGCCTGTAGTTCCAGCTACTCGGGAGGCTGAGGCAGGAGAATCTCTTGAACCCAGGAGGCACAGGTTGCAGTGAGCCAAGATCGCGCCATGGCACTCCAACCTGGGCGACAGAGCGAGACTCCGTCTCAAAGATATAAATAAATAAATAAAAGACTGGTACCCAAAGTTGGTAAAGATATGGGAAAACAAGAGTTCCCATTCATTGCTGTAGAGACATACTTTGGAGCATAGTTTCTGAGGGTAATTTTATAACATAAAACAAAATGTTCAAAAATCGATTCCTTTGGCTTAATATTTTCACTTTAAGAAATTTATTCTAGACTAGCTGTGGTGGCTCACACCTGTAATCCCAGCACTTTGGGAGGCCGAGGAGGGTCGATCACTTGAGGTCAGGAGTTTGAGACCAGCCTGGCCAACATGGTGAAACCCCATCTCTACTAAAAATACAAAAATTAGCCAGGTGTGGTGGTGCACGCCTGTAATCCCAGCTATTCGGGAGACTGTGGAATGAGAAGCTCTGGAACCTGGGAGGTGGAGGCTGCAGTGAGCCAAGAGTGTGACACTGTACTCCAACCTGGGTGAGAGAGGAAGACTCTATCTAAAACAGAAAAAAAAAAAAGAGAGAGACCATCAATAAGGAGGTGGTTAAAAAAACTACGCTACAGGGTGGGCACAGTGGCTCATGCCTATGGAAGGCTGAAGCAGATGGATCCCTTAAGCCCAGGAGTTCAAGAACAGCCTAGGCAACATAGTGAGACCTCATCTCTACAAAAAACTTATTTATTTATTTATTTTGGAGCTAGAGTCTCACTGTGTCTCCCAGGCTGGAGTGCAACAGTGTGATCTTGGCTCACTGCAACCTCCACCTCCCGAGTTCAAGTGATTCTCCTGCCTCAGCCTCCCAAGTAGCTAGGACTACAGGTGAGCACCAACACACCTGGCTAATTTTTGTATTATTAGTAGAGACAAGGTTTCACCATGTTGGCAAGGCTGGTCTTGAACTCCTGACCTCAAGTGATCTGCTTGCCCTGGCCTCCCACAGTGGTGGGTTATAGGTGTGAGCCACCGTGCCCAGCCTCTACAAAAAATTTAAAAATTGGCTGGGTGTGGTGGTGTGTGCCTGTGGTCTCAGTTACTCAAGAGGCTGAGGTGAAAGGATTGCTTAAGCCCAGGAGATTGAGGCTACAGTGAACCAAGATCATGCCACTGCACTCTAGCCTGGATGACAGAGCGAGACCCTGTCTCATAAAAAAGAAAACCCAAAAACAAATACAAATACAAAAAAAACCTATGCTACAGTCATACAGCAAAATACTATGCAGCTGTTAGTGTAAAGCAGACTTATAAGTAGTGTACATGGAAAAAAAAAGTAGTATACATGGAAAGATGTTCACAATATATTAAGTGAAAAACAGAAAACTGCTTTGCATAATAGCATGTATAATATGACCTCATTTTCATTTCTTTTTGTGTTTTTGAAGACAGGGTCTTGCTCTGCTGCCTAGGCTGGAGTGCAGTGGTGCGATCTCAGCTCACTGCAACCTTTGCCTCCCAGCCTCAAGCAATACTCCCACCTCAGCCGCTTAAGTAGCTAGAACTATAGGTGCATGCCACTATGCTTGGCTAAGATTTTTTTAAAAATTTGTAGCGATGAAGTCTCACTATATTTCCCAGGCTGGTCTCAAACTCATGGGCTCAAGTGATCCTCCCACCTTGGCCTCCCAAAGTGCTGGGATTACAGGCGTGAGCCACTGCGGTGGCATGACCTCATTTTCTTTTTTTTTTGAGACGGAGTCTTGCTCTGTCGCCCAGGCTGGAGTGCAGTGGCGTATCTCAGCTCACTGCAAGCTCCGCCTCCCGGGTTCATGCCATTCTCCTGCCTCAGCCTCCCGAGTAGCTGAAATTACAGGCGCCCGCCATCAAGCCTAGCTACTTTTTTGTATTTTTAGTAGAGATGGGGTTTCACCGTGTTAGCCAGGATGGTCTCGATCTCCTGACCTCGTGATCTGCCCGCCTTGGCCTCCCAAAGTGCTGGGATTACAGGCGTGAGCCACCACACCTGGCCTATGACCTCATTTTCTAAAACGTAAGTTTGTATATGCATGAAGTCTGCAAAAATATTTACACCAGACAACAATATTTACACAATCTCTGAGTAATGAATAATCGCTTCCTACATTTTTTATTGTTTAGAACTTTTTTTTTCTTTTACAAAAAGCATACATAACTTAAAATTTCTTTTTTTTTTTTTTTTTTTTTGAGATGGAGTGTTGCTCTCTCGCCCAGGATGGAGTGCAGTGGCGCAATCTTGGCTCACTGCAACCTCCGCCTTCTGGGTTCAAATGATTCCCCTGCCTCAGCCTCCTGAGTAGCTGGGATTACAGGCATGCCACCACGCCTGACTATTTTTTGTATTTTTAGTAGAGATGGGGTTTCACCATGTTGGTCAGGCTGGTCTCGAACTCCTGACCTCATGATCCGCCCACCTCAGTCTCCCAAAGTGCTGGCATTACAGATGTGAGCCGCCGTGCCCGGCCAATTATTCTTATTTTATGTATTTTTTTTTTTAGAGATGGGGTCAAGCTTTGTTGTTCAGGCTGGTCTCAAACTCCTGGCTTCAGGCGGTCCTCCCACTTTGGCCTTCCAAAAGTGCTGGGATTACAGGTGTGAGTTACCACATCTGGCCTTAAAATTATAAAATACATTATCAAAAGCCATACATGTTATATATATGTTAATTGGGAAAAAAAACCTTCAAGCAAAGAAATTATAAAGTAAGAGAGGGAAAGTGTGTCCCTAACCCTACAAAATCCCATCCTTTGAAGAAGCCAAGTCTGGGCACAGTGGCTTATGCATGTAATCCTAGTACTTTAGGAGGCTGAGGCCGGCAGATGATCGCTTGAGCCCAACCTCCGCCTTCTGACCAGCTGGGCAACATGGTGAAACCCCATCTCTACAAAAAAAAAAATACAAAAATTAGCCGGGCATGGTGGCATGTGCCTCTAGTCTCAGCTACTAGGGAGGCTGAGGTGGCAGGATCACTTGAGCCCGAGATGTCGAGGCTGTGGCGAGCCCTGATTGTACCACTGCACTTCAGTAAGATTCTGTCTCCAAAAAAATAAAAAAGAAGTAGCCACTGTTAATGTTTTGGTCCTTTCAGATCTTTCTCTTCATATATACAAATATAAATGCATACATATAATTATAAGTTTTCTCTAAACTGAGGTAACATTAAATATATTTTATATACAACTTAAATTTCTTCACTCAATAACATATATGTATATATCTTCTTCCATGTTAGGACGTTTATATTTACATCACTCTTCTTAAACACTACCTACTATTTGATGTTATTGTTTGGATTGCTTTTTTAGTCGGAAAAGGTGAAGCTATTTCTGTTAAAAACATAAGGAACTATGCAACCTATTAGTCTTGAGTGCCCCCTACTGGAGGCTCTTCACTGATATTAACAAAAGGCTAAATTACAATTAATTTAAGCAAAAAGTAATTCAAACACAGGGCACTATGCTTTTCAGCATATGGCAAAAAAAATTGGAAATTCAAAGAAAAAAGTATGCTTTAAAATGACTTTACTGAGGAAGTTCTTTATTTACTTATGATGTATTACAGGTATGTGCTAAGGTCTCTCTAATTAAGGTAAAGACAAAGAAATCAAGTTAAGCAGTTTGACCTTACATCTTACTCCCAGACAAATGTGTGTATTTGTGTCAGTGGTGGGATGTGGATTCAGGGTGGGAAGTAATGGCAAACAAGCAGTTAAAGAGGAGTGAGGTAAAACTTTAAAAAAAAAAATCTCTTCCCTTCTGAGCCGATATTTACTTCTCTCCTCACATTTCAAATCTTCAAGAGTTATTTAGCTCTACCTCAAAGCATCTAGGTTGTTTACACCGGTTATGTTTCAATCCATCTGAATCTGTGATTACATACCACATAATAATCAAAGACTCAAAGGAGAAGAAAACCAGGGATGTTGGAAGAGTTAACCTGAAAAACATCCAAAGTATATTTAAACAAAGAAGACACTGCAATTAACAAAGGTGGCATTTCTTTATCAAACAAAGTCCTTTTTTTTTTTTTTTGCCTTGAGACGGAGTCTTGCTGCTGCCCAGGCTGGAGTGTGATGGCGCGTTCTCCACCCACTGTAACCTCCGCCTCCTGGGTTCAAGTGATTCTCCTACCTCAGCCTCCCGAGTAGGTGGGATTACAGGGGCATGCCACCACACCGGGCTAATTTTTGGTTTTTTTTTTTTTTTTTTTTTTTTAGTAGAGACAGGGTTTCACCATGTTGGCGAGGGTGGTCTCAAACTCCTGACCTCATGATCCACCTGCCTCGGCCTCCCAAAGTGCTGGGATTACAGGCACGAGCTACCGCGCTCAACCACAAAGTCCATTAATTATGCTTGTTATTTTCCAGGAAAACTGACACTTATGACCAGAATTTTTTAATGGAAACCAACCAAACGTAACTTTACTCAAAACTGCATGTCTATATTATTTGTCAGGCAAACGCTATTTTGACATTTCTAGACATTAACATTTTATACAGTCTTGACTTTGTTATAAAACTCTCTTCACTAGTTAATACTTACAGCTAATCTGTGATTATTTGCAAGGCTGATCATTTGCTGGGCTAGGCCATTTAATAACCGAGTACGAAGAGACAGGTCATCTAGGTCATGACGAAATGGAAAAGCAATACCATCCACTATCACTAGTCGAACCTAAATACAGAAGAGATAATATTAGATTTGTTACGAAAAATAAAATAATAATAATAAAAATGCTCTCTCTCTCCAAGAGAGCAGGGACCTTCTCTCTTATTTACTATATTCTTCTGTCTTATTTACTATATCATCCCCAATGCCTGGAACAGTAAATAGCATATAGGAAAGGAGGTGTCAATTAATACTTGCTAAATGAAGAAACAAATACTCTAAATAAAACAACTTACTTAGACATTGCTTCATAAAAGCCTCTTCTTTAATCCAACCCTTACTAGATAGAAAAAAACATAGCATTGGAAAAACCATAGTCCATTACAGGAAAAAACCTTAAAACCCAGGGCTTTATTTCCAACTGTCTAAAGTATGGCTTTCTTTTGGAAAGTTACAAAGCTGTTCAGCCAGTGCTTTCTGCAATAATCACTAAAAGTTAAAACGGACTCTGCTTTGATAATTTCTCAACTTTAAAAAAGTAATTCAAAGGCTGGGCGCGGTGGCTCACACCTGTAATCCCAGCACTTTGGGAGGCCGAGGCAGGTGGATCACGAGGTCAGGAGTTCAAGACCAGCCTGGCCAAGATGGTGAAACCCCATCTCTGCTAAAACTACAAAAATTAGCCAGGCACAGTGGCAGGCACCTGTAATCCCAGGTACTCAGGAGGCTGAGGCAGGAGAATCTCTTGAACCCTGGTGGCAGAGGTTGCGCCACTGTACTCCAGCCTGGGCGACAGAGTGAGACTTTGTCTCAAAAAAAAAAAAAAAAAAAAGTAATTCAAAAAGAAAAAGGAATAATTATAATTTTCTTTAACTTGCCACTGTACACAGTCTTTACTGATAAAAAGCACATTTAAAGTCTTTGTAAAACATTCTGAAAAGGCTTAAAGAAAAAGTCTTGGTAAAACAACACATTTGTCAATTAAATATACCAATTTTACCTTCCGGGTTCTTTTTATGTTTCCTAAAACAAAAAACAAAAAACAAAAAAACCTTCAGGCTGGGCGCGGTGGCTCACATCTGTAATCCCAGCACTTTGGGAGGCCGAAGCAGGTGGATCACGAGGTCAGGAGTTTGAGACCAGCCTGGCCAACGTGGTGAAACCCTGCCATGCACTCCAGCCTGGGGGACAGAGCAAAACCCTTTCAAAAGAAAGCCCCCCCCAAAGCAAAAAATAAACAGTGAAGTTAGAAAAATAAACCAATATATAAACCTTAAGATCCCCAAATCAAAAAGAATCTGGAAACTAACCCAAATGTAAACAAACAAAAGACTCCAATGCTATGTTTTTTTCTATCTAGTAAGGGTTGGATTAAACAAGAGGCTTTTATGAAGCAATGCCTAAGTAAGTTGTTTTATTTAGAGTATTTGTTTCTTCATTTAGCAAGTATTAATTGACACCTCCTTTCCTATATGCTATTTACTGTTCCAGGCATTGGGGATGATATAGTAAATAAGAGAGAAGAATATAGTAAATAAGAGAGAAGGTCCCTGCTCTCTTGGAGGTTATGTTTTAGTGGAGTAAGGGACCATTAATATGCAAACAAACACACAAATAAGGTAATTTCCGATAATTATAAGAAAATGAAACTGGTTGAAGTGATGAAGAACAGGTGAACACTAATAAAAAGCACAAAAATGCAAAAAAAAGTGGCATTATAAAGACTGTGAAAAGGACACTTGTTTACAGTAGAGAGCTGAAATAAAAAGGCAGAACATGACCTTGTTCAACGTCAGCTGGGAATATGTGCACAGGTTGATTCGATTTTTCATGACTCCACACATGACCACTGCTGTGTCCCCCCAATATTCGTAAATTGAAGCCCTATCTCCCAGTGTGACTGTATTTGGAGAGAGGGCCTCTAAGGTAGTAATTAACGTAAAATTAGGTCATGAGAATGACATCCTGATTTGAGAGGATTAGTGTCCTTGAAGAAAAGACACCAAAGAGCTCACTCTTCCTCCTTCCTCCCCATGAGGACACAGCAAGAAGGTGGCCATCTACATGCCAGGGAGAGAGCTCTCACCAGAGACCAATCAGCCAGAACCTTATCTTGAGCTTCTAGTCTCCAGAACTGTAAGAAAATAAAATTTCTGTTGTTCAAGCCACTCAGACTATAGTATTTTTGTTATGGCAGCCTGAGGTGACCACAACAAATTTTAGTATCAAGAAATGAGGTATGGTGGGTTAGGTAGTGAGAGAAGCAAGGTACTACTATAACAAATACCTAAAATGTGGAAGTGATTTTCAAATTGGGTAATAAGCAAAGGCTGGAACAGTTTTGAGGCACATACTGAAAATATGGACATTAAGGGCAATTCTGGTGAGGCTTTTTTTTTTTTTCAGATGGAGTCTCGCTCTGTTGCCCAGGCTGGAGTGCAGTGGTGCGTTCTTGGCTCACTGCAACCTCCACCTCCCTGGTTCAAGCAATTCTCCCGCCTCAGACTCCCTAGTAGCTGGGATTAACAGGCACACGCCACCACACCCAGCTAATTTTTTTGTATTTTTAGTAGAGACGGGGTTTCACCATGTTGGCCAGACTGGTCTTGAACTCCTGACCTCAGGCAATCCGCCCACCTCAGCCTCCCAAAGTGCTGGGATTACAGGTGTGAGCCACCATGCCCGGCTATTCTGGTGAGGATTTATACAGAAATGAGGAACAAGTTACTGGAAACTGAAGGAAAGCTGGTGCTTAGTATAAAGTGGCAAAGAACTTGGCTGTGTTCTAGTATTTTATGGAAGGTAAAACTTGTGAGAAATGAAATTGGCTATTTATCTCAGGAGATTTCTAAGCAAAGTGTAGAGGAAGTGGCTTGGTTTCTCCTAGACCACTTATAGTAAAAATGAAAGAGGAGACAGATGAATTGAAGAAGGAATTGTTCAGCAAGAAGGAACCAGAACTTAGAGATGTAGAAAATTCTCAGCCTATCCATATTGCTAAAAATAAGAAAGCTTGCTCTAGAGAGAAGACCAAAGGTACGGTTGAACAATGACTCTATAAATAGATTATCCATGATGTTAATCAGCCATCTCAGCAGAAGCCAGTGATAGATAAGGGATTATAACAGCAGAAACACTGCTAGTTTGAAGTAAAGAGGACAGAGTAAGTGGGAAAGAATGAACGAAGGCTGTTGGACTTCCTTGATTCCACAAGAGAAAACCATGAGCTACTTGACTGTGAATGTGCCCTATTCCTCAAGAAAAGGAAAGAATGGTGCCAAAGGGGATCACAGATCCTCAGAGCTGTCACTCTTACCATAAGCCCAGGGGGCAATGCTATGTCGTCCTTGGTTTCAGAGGGTGGGGCCCTTGCAGAGAGAGGAAGGGGCAGGGCCACCCCACAGAGCAGTAGGGTGATTCTGCTACTGCAGTGGGCCTGGAAGGCAGAGCATCAAAGCAAAGGATCATTCTTTTTTTAATTATTATTATTTTTTTGAGATGGAGTCTCACTCTGTCACTCAGGCTGGAGTGCAGTGGCATGATCTCATGTCACTGCAATCTCCTCTGCCTCCTGCGTTGAAGTGATTCTTCTGCCTCAGCCTCCCTAGTAGCTGGGACTACAGGCACGCACCACCATGCCCGGCTAATTTTTGTATTTTTAGTAGAGACAGGGTTTCACCATATTGGCCAGGGTGGTCTCAAACTCCTGACTTCGTGATCTGCCTGCCTCAGCCTCCCAAAGTGCTGGGATTACAGGCATGAGCCACCGTGCCTGGCCAGCAAAGGATTATTCTTGAGCCTTATGGTCCAATGAAATTTGCCTTGCTAGGCACCCATAATCCTTTTGGGAATGTTCATCCTATGCATTTCCTACTATTGTATTTTGAAAGCATATAACTTGCCTGATTTCAAACGTTCACAGCTGGAAGGGAATTTCACTTCAGGATGAATTATAACTTGAGTCTCACCAATCTCTGATTTAGATAATATTTAGATGAAGCCTGGGACTTTTAGAGTTGATGATGGAACCGGTTAAGACGTTTGGGGCTGTGTGGATGGAATGGATACAAGAAAAACATGAATTTGGCGGGCAGGTAGGGGGTAGGGGGGCAAGGGGCCAGGGGCAAACTTCTGGGAACTCAATTATGTCCCCTTAAAATTCGTATGTTGAATCCCTAAACCCCAATGTGAATGTATGTGGAGAAAGGACTTCTAAGGAAGTAATCAAATAAGTTCATAAAGATGGGACCCTAATCTAAGATGATTAGCGTCCTTGTAAGAAGAAATATTAGGGGTCAGGCACGGTGGCTCACGCCTGTAATCCCAGCACTTTGGGAGGCCGAGGTGGGCGGATCACAAGATCAGGAGATCGAGAACATCTTGGCCAACATGGGGAAACCCTGTCTCTACTAAAAATACAAAAATTAGCCAGGCGTGGTGGCATGCGCCTGTAGTCCCAGCTACTCTGGAGGCTGAGGCAGGAGAATCGCTTGAATCCGGGAGGTGGAGGTTGTAGTGAGCTGAGATCACGCCATTGCACTCCAGCCTGGGTGACAAAAGCGAAACTCCACCCCCCCCCCAAAAAAAAGAAAAAACACCAGGGAATTCACTCTCTCCTTCTTTTCCTCCCTATCATATGAGGACACAGAGAAAAGATGGCTGTCTGCAAGCCAGGAAGAAAGCCCTTGCCAGAAACTGAATCAGCTAGAACTTTGATCTTGAACTTTTAGGCTCCAGAACTCTAAGAAAATTAATTTCTATTGTATTTATTTATTTAATTTTTATTTATTAATTTTGAGACAGAGTCTCTCTGTCTCCCAGGCTGGAGTGCAGTGTCACGATCTCAGCACACTGCAACCTCTGCTTCCCAGGTTCAAGCGATTCTCCTGTCTCAGCCTCCCAAGTAGCTGGGATCACAGGTGCATGCCAACACACCAGGCTAATTTTTGTATTTTTAGGTAGAGACGGGGTTTTGCCATGTTAGTCAGACTGGGCGACTCAAAAAAAAAATTAATTAATTAATTAAAATAAATAAAATAACAAAGAGATGGCATTTTCCATGCAGAATCTTGGCAAAAATATTCAAAAGGTCAGGATGATGGGTAATAGGCATTCTCATATATTGTCAGTAAGAGTAGAAATTGGTGCAGTCTTTCTGAAGGGCGATATGTGTTCAAGAAAAAATTATTCTAACACTTCTTAAAACAGTAAGGAGACTGTATTCAAGACTATTCTAATAGGGGTATCACAATAGGGGAGAGAGACTGGGTTCAAATCAGAATACAAGGACAACTGGGGATTCACAACCAAGAGCAAGGTGAAGGGGTCAGTGGATGAACAATTACTAACAGTGAGACATCAAGGGTAGGGAAATTCTTGCTAAACTGACCGAACAGGATTCTTACTAATGGCAGGCCAGCCAGGTGAGCAGCCTGGCCAACATGCAAAACCCTGTTTCTACCAAAAATATAAAAAAAAAAAAAAATTAGCCAGGCGTTGTGGCGCATGCCTGTAGTCCCAGCTACTTGGGAGGCTGAGGCAGGAGAATTGCCTTAACCCGGGAAGCAGAGGTTGCAGTGAACCAAGATCACGCCAATGCACTCCAGCCTGGGCGACAGAGCCAGACTCCATCAAATTAAAAAATAAAAAATAAATAAATAAAGGCAAGCCAAGGATTTAAATATCAAAGGTGGGGAATGAGGAACGTGATCAGGTATCAAAGGTGCTCAGACTATCAAATGTGAGAGAATCTCTCTGAACTGACAGCAGGATTCTTTGCTAAGACTGGACTGGGTAGGCCAAAGACAGGATGGGGCCAAGTTCAGTCAAGGAGAATCTTTGTCACTGATAATGTTTACCAAAATTAAAGGGCCAGGCACAGTGGCTCATGCCTATAATCCCAGCACTCTGGGAGGCTGAGGTGGGAGAATCGCTTAACCCCAGGAGTTGACTCCATTTCTACCCAAAAAAAAAAAAAAAAAAAAAAAAAAAGGTGATACATGATGGCACGGTAGCTCAATGTAGCCTTGAACTGCTGGGCTCAAGCAATCCTCCCACCTCAGGCCTGCTCCACCCAGCCCTTGGTAGCTGAGACTACAGCTACACCACACACGGCTAATTTTTTTTTTGGTGGGGACAATGTCTTACTATGTTGCCCAGGCTGGTTTTGAACTACTGGGCTCAAATGATCCTCCCACCATGGCCTCCCTAAGTGCTGGGATTACAAGTATGAGCCACTGCACCTGGCCAATAGTGATCACCTTTGGGGAGAGGCACTAGAAAACAGTAGCACAAGGAAGTTTTTATTTTTCATTTCATACCTTTCTATACAATGTGGTTTGATAGGAGCTATTCCACTATTACTGGAAATGAAACTTCTATATTATTTCAATTTCTTACTCTGAGCATAAACTATATATACATATACATACACAAAACAAATATAAATATAAATAAATTGTAGGTCAAGGAAGGAAGAGATTTTCTCAATTGGCTTTGACTTTGATTTTATGCTACTGTACTGGTTATTTTTTCATGCTTATCAAACACCTCAAAAAATACTTGGTTAGTTACATTTCAGTAGTCTGACTCATACCTTTGAGTGTTCTGAAAGGAAATCTGGAAGAAGATAAACTTGTGCCAGTAACTCTGTGTAGTCACGACAGCGAAAATAATAAATATGAGAAAGAATATTATCAAGAGTGAAATCCTCCAAAGCTTTTCGGTGTTCTGAAACAACAAAACACTCTTAATTAGTTTTACCTGTTTGGATGTATTGGCAATTGTAGAAAAACAATGCTTTTTAATAACAAAATGTTCTCCTTTGGATAACAAAATTCTTTAACTGAAAGATGACAAATTATAGCAAAATTACTATAAACAGTTCATAATTCCTGATCTTTTAATTAAAGTTCTAGGGTACATGTGCACAACGTGCAGGTTACATATGTATACATGTGCCATTTTGGTGTGCTGTACCCATTAACTCGTCATTTATATTAGGTATATCTCCTAATGCTATCCGTCGCCGCCCCCCACCTGATGTCTCTCTTAATCTGTTTAGAGATAAGGTCTCACTCTGACGCCCAGGCTGGAGCACAGTGGCACAATCATAGCTCGCTGCAACCTCGAATTCCTAGGCTCAAGGGATCCTCCTGCCCCAGCCTCCCAAAGCACTGGGATTACAGGCATAAACCACTGTGCCCAGCCACTTGATTTTTTTTTTTTTTTTTTAGATAAAGTCTCACTCTGTCACCCAGGCTGGAGTGCAGTGATGCGATCTTGGCACACTGCAACCTCTGCCTCCTGGGCTCAAGCGACTGTCCTGCCTCAGCCTCTTGAGTAGCTGGGATTACAGTCACTCGCCACCATGCCCAGCTAATTTTTGTATTTTTAGTAGAGACGGGGTTTCACCTTGTTGGCCAGGCCGGTCTTGAACTCCTGACCTCAAGTGATCTGCTCACCTCAGCTTCCCAAATTCACGCCTGGGATTACAGGCATGAACCACCACACCCGACCTGATCTATTATTTTCACATTTTTCCACTGTTTCCTTACATATTAGGCTATGTAAAATTATTTATAAACATATACAACTAGTGTTTTAATGCCTGCCTTTTCATATTTCTAGTCACTGGCTTCATTGAACAGAAGTAACATAATGGAAGTTTCTCTTTCTTGCTTTTTTCTATAGGACTACAAATTAAGAGTTAACGGCAGCCTGGGCAACATGGAAAACCCCATCTCTGCAAAAAATACAGAAATTAGTCAGGTGTGATGGTGTGCAACTCTGGTCGTAGCTACTCAGGAGGTTAAGGTGAGAGGATTGCTTGAGCCTGGGAGGTCAAGGCTGCAGTAAGCAATGATAGCGGCACTGTACTCCAACCTGGGTGACAGAATGAAAACTCTGTCTCAAAAAAAAAAACAAAAAAATAAAACACAGTTAGAAAAAATGTTCAAATGAAGCATTTTTTCTCTTGAATGCTATAGTATAATTTGATATTTAACTGGCAACAATTATATAAAATCTTTCTTAGATTGGATGTTTAAAACAAACAGTTTGAGGCTGGGCGTGGTGGCTCACACTTGTAATCACAGCACTTTGGGAAGCTGGGTGGATCACTAGGTCAGGAGTTCAAGACCAGCCTGGCCAACATGGTAAAACACATCTCGACTAAAAATATAAAGATTAGCTTGGTGTGGTGGTGCATGCCTGTAATCCCAGGTACTCGGGAGGCTGAGGCAGGAGACTGGCTTGAACCCGGGAGACGGAGGTTGTAGTGAGCTGAGATCCCGCCACTGCACTCCAGCCTGGGCGACAGAGCAAGACTCTGTCTCAGAAAAAAAAAAAAGTTTGATTTTGCACATATTTCAGAGAGAAACCAATCAGTTACTGCATTTTTTCTTTTTCATTTTTTTGAGACGGAGTCTTGCTCTGTCCTCCAGGCTGGAGTGCAGTGCCGTGATCTCAGCTCACTGCAAGCTCTGCCTCCTGGGTTCATGCCATTCTCCTGCCTCAGCCTCCCCAGCAGCCGGGACTACAGGCGCCCGCCACCATGCCAGGCTAATTTTTTGTATTTTTAGTAGAGACGGGGTTTCACCATGTTAGCAAGGATGGTCTCGATCTCCTGACCTCGTGATCTGCCTGCCTCTGCCTCCCGAAGTGCTGGGATTACAGGCAGTGAGTCACCACACCCGGCCAGTTACTGCATTTTAAAATGCACTTAGCCAGGCGTGGTGGCTCACGCCTGTAATTCTAACACTTTAGGAGGCCAAGGCACGCAGATCTCTTGAGCCCGTGAGTTCAAGACCAGCCTGGGCAACATGGTGAAACTCCGTCTCTACAAAAAATGCAAAAAAAATTAGCTGGGCATGGTAGTGCCCACCTGTAGCCCCAGCTACTTGGGGGGCTGAAGTGAGAGGATCACCTGAGCCCAGGGAGGTCAAGGCTGCAGTGAATTGTGATCATGCCACTGCAATCCGGCCTGGATGACAAAGTGAGACCCTGTTTCACAAAAAGTAAAATATTAAAAATAAATAAAATGTACTTAAATATTAACACTGAAAAAACAAGAAGCTATATTTTAAAATAGAAAACATTTCCTATTGCAAATAGACACTTAGCAGAGTCAAATTTTCACCAAAACAATGACAATTTAATCTCATATCAATCATTTAAAAACTTTAGGCCAGGTGTGGTGGCTCACGCCTGTAATCCCAGCGCTTTGGGAGGCTGAGGTGGGCAGATCATGAGGTCAGGAGATCGAGACCATCCTGGCTAACATGGTGAAACCCCATCTCTACTAAAAATACAAAGTCAGCCAGGCGTGGTGGCGGGTGCCTGTAGTCCCAGCTACTTGGGAGGCTGAGGCAGGAGAATGGCGTGAACCCAGGAGGCAGAGCTTGCAGTGAGCCCAGATCGCGCCACTGCACTCCAGCCTGGATGATGGACTGAGACCCCATCTTAAAAAATAAATTAATTAATTAAAATAAAAATAAAAACTTTATATCCTAGTGCTACACCTACTCTAGTTACAGTAAGGTTTTAAGACACTATTACAAACACACATTGTGAAATAGGTAGCTTTAAGGTATAAGGGAAGAAAAACTCCTTTTCCTGCCACCCTCTTAGGTTTCTTGGCTGGAGCCCTGTAAATCGGACTGACAAAAGATGGATTAACAAGAGAAAGAGTTTATTAATTGTGCATAGTGCATGTAACAACACAGGGGAGTCCAGAGATTAGTAACTCAAAAGTTTGGTTAGATTTGGAGCTGGGCACAGGTGTTCACACTCATAATCCCAGCACTTAGGGAAGCCGACGTAGGAGGATCACTTGAGGTCAGAAGTTTGAGACCAGTCTGGCCAACATGATGAAACTCTGTCTCTACTAAAAATACAAAAATTAGCCAGGTATGGTGGCACGTGCCTGTATTCGCAGCTCCCAGCTACTCAGGAGGCTGAGTCAGGAGAATCGCTTGAACCTGGGAGGTGAAGGTCGCAGTAAGCCAAGATTGCGCCACTGCACTCCAGCCCGGGCGGTAGAGCCAGATTCTGTCTCAAAAAAAAAAGATTTGAGCTTATCGTCCCGAAGGTACAGTAAATTTTTAGAGAAGTAACAAGACAAAGGAAAAGGACCCTAAGTCTCTAAAGGCAGCAAATATTGAAACTAACTGGAGATAAAAGATAGCTAGTAAAATTTGTTATGTACGCTGATAATGGTCTAAAGTTGTCTGTGGTGATTAACTTTTGTCTTCCTGTAAGAGAGGGAAGATGGAACTCTTCTGTGCATTTATGTCCTGTTTTTAGGAAGGGCAGACAGATTTATCTGTTTCTTTTCAATTGCCTTCAGCTCAAAATAATCCTTATGCCAAAGTGGCATATTTCAGGGTGGCATATTCTGCTAGGGTCCAAAGGGCTTTCAGTAACCATGCTGGTCATCAGCGAAATGGGACACTTAGTACCTCCATGAAAAAAAAAAATCCAGCTGACTACACTCATTTAAAGGAAATATACTCATTTAAAGGAAATCTTATGAAAAGCATTTTTTTTAAAACTTTTATTGGAAAGAATAAAGACCGCACATCCAAAAAATAAATAAAACAAAGAAAAAGAAAACAATAGGCCGGGCGCTGTAGCTCATGCCTGTAATCCCAGCACTTTGGGAGGCCGAGGCGGGAAGATCACAAGGTCAGGAGTTCGAGACCAGCCTGGCCAGCATGGTGAAACTCCATCTCTGCTAAAAAAACAAAAAATTAGCCGGGCATTGTGGCACATGCCCGTAGTCCCAGCTACTCAGGAGGCTGAGGCAGGAGAATTGCTTGAACCCAGCAGGCAGAGGTTGCAGTGAGCTGAGATCATGCCACTGCACTCCAGCCTGGGTGACAGAGCGCAACTCCATCTTAAAATAAATAAATAAATAAGAAAACAGTCAACCCATAAGCCATTTAATTTATAAGTAATTGAAAGAATAAGAACTTGAATATAAATTTCCTTTTTTTTTTTTGAGAAGGAGTTTCACTTTTGTCGCCCAGAATGGAGTGCAGTGGCACGATCTCGGCTCACTGCAACCTCCGCCTCCTGGGTTCAAGCGATTCTCCTGCCTCATCCTCCTGAGTAGCTGGGATTACAGGTACCTGCCACCATGCTCGGCTAATTTTTTGTATTTTTAGTACAGACGGGGTTTCGCCATGGCTCCTGACTTCAGGTGATCCGCCCGCCTCGGCCTCCCAAAGTGCTGGGTTTACAGGAATGAGACACTGCACCCGGCCTATAAATTATCTTTCAAAAAACTGTTTAAGGCTGGGCGTGGTGGCTCACGCCTATAATCCCAGCACTTTGGGAGGCCGAGGTGGGCAGATCACCTGAGGTCAGGAGTTCAAGACCTGACTTGCCTATATGGTGAAACCCCCTCTCTACAAAAAATACAAAAATTAGCTGGGTGTGGCCGGGTGCGGTGGCTCATGCCTGTAATCCCAGCACTTTGGGAGGCCAAGGCAGGCAGATCATGAGGTCAGGAGATCGAGACCATCCTGGCTAACATAGTGAAACCCTGTCTCTACTAAAAATACAAAAAAAATTAGCTGGGCATGGTGGTGGGTGCCTGTAGTCCCAGCTACTTGGGAGGCTGAGGCAGGAGAATGGCATGAACCCAGGAGGCAGAGCTTGCAGTGAGCCGAGATTGTGCCATTACACTCTAGCCTGGGCGACAGAGTGAGACCCTGTCTCAAAAAAAAAAAAAAAAAAAAAATTAGCTGGGCATGGTAACACATGCCTATAATTCCAGCTACTCAGGAGGCTAAGGCAGGAGAATTGCTTGAACCTGGGAGGCAGAGGCTGCAGTGAGCCGAGATCGCGCCACTGTACTCTAGCCTGGGCCACAGAGCAAGACTCTGTCTCAAAAAAGAAAAAAAAATTGGCCGGGTGCGGTGGCTCACGCCCGTAATCCCAGCACTTTGGGAGGCTGAGGCGGGAGGATCACCTGAGGTCAGGAGTTTGAGACCAGCCTGATCAACATGGAGAAACCCTGTCTGTACTAAAAATACAAAATTAACTGGGCGTGGTGGCACATGCCTGTAATTCCAGCTACTCGGGAGGCTGAGGCAGGAGAATCCCTTGAACCCAGGAGGTGGAAGTTGCAGTGAGCCAAGATTGTGCCACTGCACTCCAGCCTGGGCAGCAAAAGCGAAACTTTGTCTCAAAAAAAAAAAAATCGTTTTACAGTCACTTTATTTTCACATAACAAGCACCAAAACAACACCTCCCAAACACTTTAACAATTAGTGCAGTTATGAAATCAGCTATATAATCAAAGCCCCCAAGTCAATCTGCTTAACAATCCAAACATTTCAGACGTGGTTTTTTTTTTTGGTTTTTTTTTTTTTTTTTAAGAGACAGAGTAGTCTCACTCTGTTGCCTAGGCTGGAGTGCAGTGGCGTAATCTGGGCTCACTGCAATCTCCAACTCCTGAGTTCAAGTGATTCTCCTGCCTCAGCCTCCTTAGTAGCTGAGATTACAGGCATGTGCCATCACACCTGGCTAATTTTGGTATTTTTAGTACAGATAGGGTTTCATCATGTTGGCCAGGCTGGTCTTGAACTCCTGACCTCGTGATCCACCCGCCTTGGCCTCCCAAAGGGCTGGGATTACAGGCATGAGCACTGCATCCGGCCTCAGACGTGGTTTTCAAAGCTACCTTTGGTTTTTGGAAAACCAATATGGAAGTCCTTATACATTGGAAAGCATTTAACAACAGTTGCTTATATTAAGGTGTCCGGCACCGTTAACTTACACCTGATAAGATGGAGTATGATGACTGAAATACATACATAGGTTTTGTCCCAAAGCTCCTACAGGAAGAAGTGAGGGCCATAAAAGGGGAACAAAAAAAAGCCAGTCCAGGCTGTGGCATTTCTCATTTTGTAACAGTAGTAAAAGAGTTTAACACTAGTTAACTGTCCAGTAATTAGGCTTCACATTCCAAATGGAGTGTTGCTGAGGTCTCAGATGGGCACAAATGCAAATTACTTTTATTAATACAGAAAAAAAGAAGATCATTTACTAACTTACCCTCTCCCTTGTGTTTTTCTGCTATAAGCTGAAGGTGCTGAATGCAGGCAGTAGCAAGGTCTACCACTCTATCAACCATAAAACTTCCCTCTGTATCAATAAAAACTGCTTCACCTGCCACTCCTCCAAAACATTCTGGTATCTGCACATCTACTGCCAACTGCATACTGTCAACAGAAAGATGACAAACAACCAAATCATGATGATGATCTAAGGTAGTGTTTTTGAACTCCAGATAATGACAAGTTAGGTATCACTAAAGTTTTATAAATGTAAATATACTCCCCAAGGCAACAGAAATGTCTAACTCTTCATGACTCCAGATATAATGTGAACCAATCGACTATATGTAAATCAACTGGATTCGGGGAGGGCATGCCTATAAAACCAAGATTAAGGATATTTTATTTTATTTTATTTATGTTTTGAGACGGAGTCTCGCTCTGTCGCCCAGGCTGGAGTGCAGTGACGTGATCCAGGCTCACTGCAAGCTCCGCCTCCCAGGTTTACGCCATTCTCCTGCCTCAGCTGCCCGAGTAGCTAGGACTACAAGCACCCGCCACCACGCCCGGCTAATTCTTTGTATTTTTTAGTAGAAACGGGGTTTCACCGTGTTAGCCAGGATGGTCTCGATCTCCTGACCTCATGATCTGCCTGCCTTGGCCTCCCAAAGTGCTGGGATTACAAGCGTCAGCCACTGCGCCCAGCCAATTAAGAATATTTTAATCATTTCCAGGCCTCTCAAAATGGAGCCCCTTATTATACATAAATCTACCTTTTTTTTTTTTCTTTTGAGACAGAGTCTTGCTCTGTCACCCAAGCTGGAGTGCAGTGGCATGATCTCGGCTCACTGCAACCTCCACCTCCCAAGTACAAGCGATTCTCCTGCCTCAGCCTCCCGAGGAGCTGAGACTATAGGCGTGAACCACCATGCCTGGCTAATTTTTTTATTTTTAGTAGAGATGGGGTTTCGCCATGTTGACTAGGCTGGTCTTGAACTCCTGATCTCAGGTGATCCACCCGCCTCAGCCTCCCAAAGTGCTGGGATTACAGGTGTGAGCCACCATCCCCGGCCTCTTTTTTTTTTGAGATAGGGTCTCACTCTGCTGCCCAGTGATGTGATTAAGGCTCACTGCAGTTTTGACCTCCCCGGCTCAAGCTATCCTCCTGCCTCAGCCTCCCAAGTAGCTAGGACCACAGGCATGTGCCACCACACTCAGCTAATTTTCCATTTTTAGTAGAGACGAGGTCTCACTATGTTGCCCAGGCAGGCCTCAAACTCCTGGGCTCAAGCAATCCTCCTGCCTCGGCCTCCCAAAGTGCTGGGATTATAGGCATGAGCCACTACCCCTAGCCATAAATCTACTTTCAAACATCTGACTTTCAAATATAGTCTCAGGAATGAATAACGCAGAAACTTCCTGTTTAACCTTATGACTGCAGTACAATTTGCAAAAGAAACACTTTTTCACATCAGAATAATTGCATACATTTATCAAGAAGGGATAATGAAGTAACACAAATAGTAAGCTAATTTTTGTTTAATGCACATACACACTTAAAATTAAGAGCACATATATATCTTATTTGGTTTCCTGACGATAGTACAAAATACTACTTTCATAATATGTTATTAAACCCACCCTTAAAAGGAGAACACTTTATTTTACCATAATTGTGTTTTTCCAACACCTGGTGCACCACAAATTTCTGTTGTTTTCATTAAGGGCACTCCACCCCCAAGAATATCATCTAGTGCTGAACAGAAGGTGATTATGAAGCCCTGGGTATGCTCCTGCTCAAGAAGTTCCAGTGCTGTACACTTCTTGTGTGACTCAGATGTACCAGCATATCTTGGTTTATTTGTGAGACATTCTCTTCTGATAATTTGCAGAGTTTCTAAGGCTTCTGCTTTAGATATCCCAACTTCTGAAAGTAAAATAAGAAAAAAAGAACCCTAATTTTAGAGATTTAAAAGTGTAACATGATAATCGATTGTCTTTATTAATTTGTAGACAACAGTGATGCTAGGAGTGGAGAAACATAAAAATGCAACATTCTATCAACCATTTAATTTTTCAGTTTGGCCGGACACAGTGGCTCATGCCTAAAATCCCAGTACTTTGGGAGGCTGAGGCAGCCAGATCACCTGAGGTCAGGAGTTGAAGACCAGCCTGGCCAACATGGTGAAACTCCGTCTCTACTAAAAATACAAAAATTAGCCGGGCATGGTGGCACGCGTTATAATTCCAGCTACTTGGGAGGCTGAGGCAGGACAATCACTTGAACCTGCACCACTGCACTCCAGCCTGGATCGCACCACTGCATTCCAGCCTGGATGACAGTGCGAGACTCCGTCTCAAAAAAAAAAAAAAAAAAATTCAGCTTAATAAAGGTATTCGTTTTCTTAGTCATCACATAAAGAATTACCTATTACCTCAGAAACAATTCAACTAAAGCATTTCTGAGTACCTACAAGTGTCTCAGGAAGCAGAAATAAAAATGTACTCACTATTACCATATTTTTACTATCCCTTTTGGTCTTATGAAGCCATAATTATCTCGCTCTCATAAGGTATACAAATTATTTTTCAGATGAGAATGAAAATAGATGTTTTAACTGCCTAAAACAAGGTACAACTTTAAGAAGCACATATGCATGTATTATTTATAATAAAAACTTTTCATGGAAATAACTGATGTAAAAAATTCATGTATCACTCCAAACTAATGAGAACAATTATTCAAGGCACAAGCATTTTAAAGAATACATTTATGCTTCCTCGACTACACAATTTCACCCATCTGACAGTGTGGCCTGAGAAAAGAAAATGGCAATTACAAAACAAGCTGGTGAAGAAATAATGGTGAGGATGACATCACTTATCAGTTTGATATATCAGTGCTTGATCTGATAAGAATATGAGCCATAAATATGGGGCTAATAAAAGACAATGGTGATGACAGCATTTAGGAAATGAAAATCCTATCAAGAGCCTGAATGCTGGAATTAGATTGCCTGGGTTTGTAAATCCTGGCACCACTTACTGCATGACTTTGGGCAAGTTACTTCACTTTTTCTTTTTTGCTCAGATTTTTTTCGTCTATAAAATGGGAATGAGACGATACATGTAAAAAGCTTGGTAGAATATCAAGACCATCTAAAGTAGTCAATAGTTGTTAGTGATCATTATTATTCAGGGTCTCACATTTCTTCTTTGAAAAGCCAACTTGTTGAAGAAAAAAGAGCCCATCAAATCTTGGGGGACACAGTCTGCGCGCGGTATGACTTAAACAGTTAAGGCTGGGTCCACGAGACTTATTCTTTAGAGGCGAATTGAAACCTCTGTATTTTCCATCAGTAAGGGCAGTAACTTAAAATTCTGTTCCATCTTCTTCAGTGAATAGCACAGGTCCAGACATGTCATAGAGAGATGTGCACAACAAGTGACCACCGCCAGCCTCATATTTGTATGTCTCAGGATGCAGTGGTTCCCATCTGCAATGCTCTGGAATATGAGGTTTTGGGTGTTTCAGTTAATTACGTAAGAGAATATTCTTTCTATGCTTCCTCAAGATTCCGGGGATTCTACTCTCTTTCTCATTCTTAGTGTCTCTAGTCCTACACAAAATCCTGCATTTCTGAAATTTAACCCTTACCCCTTGGATCTTGGAACAGCAAAAATTAGACAACCAATTCTGACTCCAGTATTTCCTAACCCAGTTAGCATGAAAAGTTACCTAAGCTCCCCAAGATATCAGTTCTCTCATCCATATACTGAATATAATAATCTACGTAAGCGGGTTGAGGGTTAAATGAGACAATCCTCAAAGCATTCAGCAGGCATTGCCAGAGGAAAAGCAATTAGTAAATGTTTTCACGACCACAGTTCTCCTAACCATTCAGACAACTTGTAAGTGGAGTCGAGGAGCTCTTTCACGCTGTAAACATGGACGTGGGAGGAAGCAGAATCTAACGGAGACTGGGCTGAAGGCCGAGGCGAGAGAACGAAGACTGAGGCGGCGCTGACGGCGGCCGGTGTGCCTCAGCTTGCCATCAGGAGTCGTTACCTTTGCTAAGCTCGGAGGGTTTCACCTCTAGGAGTTCCTCAGCAGTCTGGAACCCCGCAGACACCAGCTTCACCCGCACCGCTGGAGACAGCGGGAAACTCACCAAATCCCGCTGCATTTCAAAGCGGAACGTCTTCCCGCGCATCGCAGGCTCACCTGCTAACCCCGGAGCAGCCAAACTCCGCACGCCCTCGCTGGGGCGTGCGGCGTGACGTCAGACGTAAAGCGGAAGGGGCCGGCTCTGCGGCCTGGCCGCACGGGGCTCCGGGCCTTGCAGCTTTGCGCAGTCTTGTAAATTTTCACACTTATGCACCATTCCGTTTTGATTCCCCAAAATCCCATTTAGAGATTCCTCATCAAATGTACACCCTGACTGTAAAACGATGGACGGAGACCATAGGACGGAGAGCCAGGCCCAGTGGGTTCTCCACGCCACATTTCCTTGCCTCCACCGTGGCCTGTTAGGTGAAGCCTCAGAGTCATTAATAGGAATGATCTCGAGTGGGAGTAGTGAGCGTAACGGGCACACACTAGCCAGTTACCATTATTTTGGTGTGAAAAGCTCAGGGAACAATCATTAGAATTAATCTGCGTGCTCTTTGTAGAGTTGCAGTCTCTTGGCTCTTCCCGCTGACCGTCCCCCTTTTCTGACCCCCCCCCCCCGCAACGACCACATTGCTTTTCCCGCCCTCGCGAGGGATTGTGGGCCAGCCCCCAACGGCCGCTGGGAGGGATCAGTCCGCATTCCCCGCACCCACCCACGTCTTCCCGGGAGTCGTATCCCGAGCATGGAGGTTACTGAGACCGTTATTTCTTCATGGCCTGCCTAGCTTAAGCAGTAGCTGGAAAAGTAAGCAACTAATGTCCCCATTAGTGTGTCTGGGCTCCTGGGGTCCTGAGAAGGAGGGGCTGGGCTACACAAGAGCTCCTTTTGTGGTACAGACTTGGGAAGGGGTGTTCAAGCAGTGGTAGTGACCGCCTCTAAATTACAGAACTTCGGGGAGGAAGGCAAGCAGTTTAGAAGGTGGTTTATGAGTTCCTTCCTTGCCTAGGTGAGTGTAACTTATTTAGCAGGGGGTAACTTATTCCCTACCTATTGGCGATTTTTTTTTTTTTTTTTTTGAGACAGAGTCTCACTGTGTTGCCCATGATGGAGTGCAGTGGCACGATGTCGGCTCACTGCAACCTTCGCCTCCCGGGTTCAAGTGAGTCTCCTGCCTCAGCCTCTTGAGTACCTGGGATTACAGGCGCACGCCACCATGCCCGGCTAATTTTTGTATTATTATTAGAGAAGGGGTTTCACCATATTGGCCAGGCTGGTCTCGAACTCCTGACCTCGTGATCCGCCTGCCTCGGCCTCCCAAAATGCTGGGAGTACAGGCGTGAGCCACCGCGCCCGGCCCTGTTGGCAATGATTCTTAGTCTTGACTTTTCTTCCCAGCTTAGAAGAACTTTCTAAATATTGCAAATCAGAGCCCTCTACATACTTAGATCTAAAAAAGGAAACAACGTATGTTGAGCACTTTAGCAAATCCCACACATTTCAAATGGCCATAGCCATGCCAAAAGGAAGATAAGGACATGGAAGCTCAGCATATAGTTTAATATCAATTCTGATAAAAGAAAAAAAGCTGGCCGGGCGCAGTGGCTCGTGCCTGTAATCCCAGCACTTTGGGAGGTCGAGGCAGGTGGATCTCTTTGAGCTCATGAGTTTGAGACCAGCCTCGACAACATGGCGAAACACTGTCTGTACCAAAAGTACAAAAAATTAGCCGGGCATGGTGGCATGCACCGGTCGTCCCAGCTACTCAGAAGTCTGTGGTGGGAGGATCCCTTCAGCCTGGGAGTGAGCTATGATCACGCCACTGCACTCCAGCTTGGGTGATAGAGTGAAACCCTGTCTCAAACAAACAAAACACCTCAGCACAGTTTTCTTAAAGCCAAGATTCAAACCTAGCATCCTTTTTACTACCCCGAGCTATTAAGATTTTGAGTCCCTACTGGCGGGGAGAATACGAGAAGCATTTATACCCCATTTGGTAGGTCAAAGAAAGTCTTGTAGGACTGGCCAAAATGTGGTTGGCCACTCAACCCATTGCTTAACTTCTAATATGGTCTATATTTGAGCGCTCAGTGGATGCATAAATACTATCTTCAGGGAGATTTCATGCTTATGCTTATAAAGCACCCAGATTCTTGGGTGAAGAAAAAACATGGTATTACCACATTCAACAATAAGTCTTCAGTTAGTTTGGTCAAACTCAGTGGAATCAGTCGTGTTTAGAATTTCTTTCGTTGACAGTGGAAAGTTCAAAACTACTTTGGCCTGGCACAGTGGCTTAAGCCTGGAATCCAAGCACTTTGGGAGGCCAAAGAGGGCACATCGCTTGATCTCAGGAGTTTGAGACCAGCCTGGGCAACAGGGCAAAACCCCATCTCTACAAAAAATACAAAAATTAGCCAGCATGGTGGTACATGCCTCTAGTCCCAGCTACTTGGGAGGCTGAGGTGGGAGAACCAATTGAGCCCGGGAGGTTGAGGTTGCAGTGAGCTGAGATTGCGTAACTCCACTCCAATCTGGGCGACAGAGCGAGACTCCATCTCAAAAACAAAACAAAGCAAAATAAAAAAAACAAAAAAACCCCCACTCAACTCTATCTATAGCTGTATAATTTAAGTGCTATTAATATCTTCTGCAGATCACAAGGTCAGGAGATCGAGACCATCCTGGCTAACATGATGAAACCCCGTCTCTACTAAAAATACAAAAAATTAGCTGGGTGCGGTGGTGGGCGCCTGTAGTCCCAGCTACTCGGGAGGCTGAGGCAGGAGAATTGCATGAACCCAGGAGGCGGAGCTTGCAGTGAGCCTAGATCACGCCACCACATTCCAGCCTGGGCGACAGAGCGAGACTCCATCTCAGAAAAAAAAAAAAAAAAAATCTTCTGGCCCTTGCCTATAATAATTATTTTCATCATCATTCTTAAGATGTCTTTAATGCAATTTGCTCTGTAGTCATGCTTTCAAACTGGGATCCAGGTTTTTGAAACCACGCACTAGGAACTAAACAAAGCTATGGGATAAATATGGAAGGTGCACCTTCTTGTGTAATCACTTTTCTCAAAAAAAATCTTTCAGGGAGGGAAGAGTTAAATGATTTACCTAAGTCATTTGAAATGGTTTATATTAAGCAGACATTACATCTGTGTAGTGTGGATAAATCATTAAAATTTTTGAAAAAGAAAATAAACTTTAATAAAACATGGGGTAGGCCGGGCACGGTGGCTCACTCCTGTAATCCTAGCACTTTGGGAGGCCAAGGCGGGTGGATCATGAGGTCAAGAGATCAAGACCATCCTGGCCAACATGACGAAACCCTGTCTCTACTAAAAACACAAAAATTAGCTGGGCATGTTGATGTGTGCCTATAGTCCCAGCTACTTAGGAGGCTGAGGCAGGAGAATAGCTTGAACCCAGGAGGCAGAGGTTGCAGTGAGTGAGATCAGGCCACTGCACTCTAGCCTGGAAACAGAGAGAGACTCCCTCTAAAAATAAATAAATTAGCTGAGCGTGATGTCTCACGCCTGTTTCACAGCACTTTGGGAGGCCGAGGTGGGCGGATCACGAGATCAGGAGATAGACTATCCTGGCTAACACGGTGAAACCCCATCTCTACTAAAAATACAAAAAATTAGCCGGGTGTGGTGGCAGGCACCTGTAGTCCCAGCTACTTGGGAGGCTGAGGCAGGAGAATGGTGTGAACCCGGGAGGCAGAGCTTGCAGTGAGCCAAGATCATGCCACTGCACTCCAGCCTCTGTGACAGAGCGAGACTCCATCTCAAAAAAAAATATATGTATAGAAATAAAAACAAAATGTGGGGGTAAAATGCAAATATAAAAATAAAATTTAAGAGAAAAGTATGAGGTCAGAGACACATCAGGCTTAAACTGGATACTTCAGTAATCTCCCAAACCCCCCCCGGGAATATGTTTTGGTTTTTCTTGCAACTTGAGGTTACTTCATGAAAAAATTTGAGAGACATTGCTATGGGCAAACCAGCATGGGCTGCGGAGTCACACAGATTTGGATTTGTATCACATGTCTGGAAGTTACCAACTATGTGACCTTCAGCAAGTTACTCAGTCTCCTCACCTGCAAGTAGAAGATAATATCTCCTGGGGTTTTGGTCAAGATTAAATTAACACATATACAGTACTTATCACACAAAAAAGTACATAATAAATCTGAGTCTGTTTCTCAGTTTTTACAGCATTCTAATGCGCATATTCAGTTGGAATAAATCCTTATAGAATACCTAGCTCAGCAGAATGCTAATGCTGAGACGTTTTTTAAAAATGTTTACAATTAGGCCAGACACTGTGGCTCACACCTGTAATCCCATCACTTTAGGAGGCTGAGGCTGGCAGATCACTTGAGGTCAGGAGTTCAAGACCAGCCTGGGCGATGTGGTAAAACCCCGTCTCTACTAAAAATACAAAATTAACTGGGGGTGGTGGAGGGTACCTATAGTCCCAGCTATTTGGAAGGCTGAGGCAGGAGAATTGCTGGAACATGGGAGGCAGAGATTGCAGTGAGCCGATATTATGACACTGTACTCCAGCCTGGGCGACAAGAGGAAAACTCAGTCTCAAAAACAAAACAAAACAAAAAAAGTCTATAATTGTAAAAGTGCCGAAGTAGAGTACTTTTATATATTTTATTTTCTTTGACTTGATCCACAGTAATCCTATGACTGGGGTCTACATTCAGGATTAGCACTCTGAAGACTAGATCACTAAAACAAGATTAAATATTGATTAAATGCTAGTTATGTGCCAGATGACAGGGTAAACAAGATAGATTCTCTGCCCTCATGGAGCTTATAATCTATCAGGATCTTTATTGAGTATTTCTGACATGTTGCATTTCTGACTTGTGTAGCTATCTTGATGTAATTCTAAGGGTAGGAAGGACCTATTGCTGTTAATGTCTATAGTTAACCTGTCAGAGTATTCCAATAACGAGACATTTTCAGGTTGACTAGGCTGTTTCTGGAGACATAGGAGAGGAATAATATGAAATTTTTGTTATAGCTGGGGAGAAGTTTATTTTTTTTTTAGCCTAAGAACATAGAACTTTAAAAAATGGTGACCACGGCCGGGTGCAGTGGCTCACACCTGTAATCCCAGCATTTTGGGAGGCTTAGGTGGGTGGATCACTTGAGATGAGTTCAAGACCAGCCTGGCCAACATGGTGAAACCCTGTCTCTATTAAAAATACAAAACTTAGGCAGGTGTGGGTAGAGCACCCGATTCTGTTGCTGATCAGGGCACCACTCTGTAACCCGCACGGACCTATGGGCTGAACAAAGGAGGGCAAATGCGGGAATAAAAGACGAGACAAAAGAGTATATTTGGAAGAAGGGGTCAGGGGGTACCTTGCCTCTAGTGGACAAGGGCCCTGAGCTTTACACAGCCTTCTGTATTTATTAGGTAAAAGAGATAGTGAGAAGGGAGGTGGGAGAAGGGGTCAGCTGCTGAGTCCAGAGTAGGCTTGCAAGACCGCATTCTCTAGATGTCGCAGTGGATAACCTCAGTGCCAGGGAGTGATTGCCTCCAGCAAATCTTCTGTCAGCAGGAGCAGTCGTGAGTTTGCTCACATCCTGCATTCATGATTAACAGTTTGGTGTTTGATCATAGAGCCTCCAGTGGAATGCTGAGTTGGTCACATCCCATGGGCCTTCAGCTCCCTACAGGTGTGGTGGTGGGCATCTGTAATCCCAGCTACTCGGGAGACTGAGGCAGGAGAATCTCCTGAACCCCAAAGATGGAGGTTGCTGTGAGCTGAGATCCCTCCCCTGCGCTCTAGGGTGGGTGATTGAGCGAGACTGCATCTCAAAAAAAAAAAAAAAAAAAAAAAAAAAAAAGGTGACCTTTCATGTTCAAGTGGGTTTGGGAATAGGAGAAAGAAGTCAATGTTGTTCAGACTGAGGAGAAAAACCTCTGAATAAAGGCATAGCTTTAGAGGTGGTTATGATAAAGCTTCTTTAAGGCCTCAGACATATATACTAGCAGTATCAATTTTACAGGACCTTATACATAATAGAAGCCCAATATGTATTTGTTGTCCACGACTCTTTGAAACATTCTCTTACTTGGCTTTTTTAATGCCACACTTCTGATTTCCTTTCTACATATTTGGCTTTTCTGTTTGCTTTGCAAGCACATCCTCCATAACCTGGGCATGGCAGTGACTCTCAAATTTGTATTTCTAGCCCTGACCCTCTGCCGTCCAGATGCAAATATCTAATTGCCTACTGGACAATTCAAAGTCTCCTCCAACTCAGCCTAACTCATTACCTTCACCCCATTCCCAGAACCTTGCCCTCTTCCTGCATTTCCTGCCTCCATGAACCACATATCCATCCTTCCATTTGCATAAGCCATAAACCTAGAATCATCCTTGACACCTCCTTCCCTTTCACTCTGCATAATCATATCTCACTGCAACCTTGAACTCCTGGGCTCAAGAAAGAGATCCTTCTGCCTTTGCCTCCTAAGAAGCTGAGACTAACAGGCACATGCCACCGTGCCTAGCTAATTTTTAAAAATTTTTGTAAAGACAAGGTGTTGCCCAGACTGGTTTTGAACTCCTGGTCACAAGGACTCCTCGGCCTCCCAAAGTTCTGGGATTACAGGTGCGAGCCACCATGATCCTCCTGGCATGATCTTTTTACAGTACATTTCAGTTATGTCACTCCTTATTTTGATCTTTTTTTTTTTTTTTTTTTTGTGAGACAGAGTCTTGCCCTGTCGCCCAGGCTGGAGTGCGGTGGTGTGATCTCGGCTCACTGCAACCTCCACCTCCCATGTTCAGGCGATTGTCCTGCCTCAACCTCCTGAGTAGCTGGGATTACAGGTGCACACCACCACACCCAGCTAATTTTTGTATTTTTTTTAGTAGAGATGGTGTTTCACCATGTTGGCCAGGCTGATCTTGAACTCCTGACCTCAGGTGATCCACCCACCTCAGCCTCCCAAACTGCTGGGATTACAGGCATGAGGCACCGCACCTCGCCTTATTTTGCTCTTAGGATAAAGACCAAATTTCTTAATAAGGCTTAAAAAAAGCTTGCATGTTTTGGCCCCTGTTTTTCCTCTTTACCTTCTTCCTTTTCCTCTTTCCCATTTGCTTCCTATACTCCTGCTACTTTGGCCTTTTCTTAGTTCCTTGTGTGTGCTAGACCTCATCCCTCAACAGTGTTTGCATATGTCTATAATATTACCTCTCCCTCCTTCACCTAATTAACTACTATTTATCTGTCAAATCTGACATTCTTTTTTTTTTTTTTTGACACCGAGTCTTACTCTGCTGCCCAGGCTGGAGTGCGGTGGTGTGATCTCGGCTCACTGCAACCTCCACCTCCCACGTTCAAGCGATTGTCCTGCCTCAGCCTCCTGAGTAGCTGGGATTACAGGTGTGCACCACCACACTCAGCTAATTTTTGTATTTTTTTAGTAGAGACGGTGTTTCACCATGTTGGCCAGGCTGATCTTGAACTCCTGACCTCAGGTGATCCACCCACCTCGGCCTCCCAACGTGCTTCAAAACAGGTCCTTCAAAACTAGGCCAAATCTAATGTATTCAATTTTTGTATTCTGACTTTGGTAACATGTTTAGAAGGTCTATACAAAATTATAAATGGATTTTTCATTCGTATTATTTCTACATATGGTTTAGATCTACATTTGAATCTTTTTTAATTTTTAATTTTATTTTCTAACCATCCATTCCTTCAACATTTGACTATTTATATGATTTTTTGGGGGACTGAGTTTTGCTCTGTCACCTAGGCATGATTTCTGCTTGCTGCAACCTCTGTCTTGAGGGTTCAAGCAATTCTTATGCCACAGCCTCTTGAGTAGCTGAGATTACAGGTGTGAGACACCACGCCCAGCTAATTTTTGTATTTTTTAGTGGAGACAGGGTTTTGCCATATTGGCCAGGCTGATCTCGAACTCCTGACCTCAGGTGATCTGCCCACCTCTGCCTCCCTATTAATCTATATGAGTTTTTAAAAAATAAGTGGTAGGAGGAAGAAAGCTTTTTATTTATTTATTTATTTATTTATTTATTTATTTATTTATTTATTTATTTGAGACAGGGTCTCACTGTCGCCCAGGCTGGAGTGCAGTGGCACGATCTTCTCACTGCCACCACTGCCTCCCTGGTTCAAGTGATTCTCCTGCCTCAGCCTCCAGAGTAGCTGGGAACAGGCACGTGTCACCATGCCCGGCTAATATGGAAGCAATTTTTTTTTTTTTTGGGACGGAGTTTCGCTCTTGTTGCCCAGGCTGGAGTGCAATGGTGTGATCTCAGCTCACTCCAACCTCCGCCTCCCGTGTTCAAGCGATTCTCCTGTATCAGCCTCCCAGATAGCTGGGATTACAGGCACCCACCACCATGCCTCACTAATTTTTGTATTTTTAGTAGAGATGGGGTTTCATCATATTGGTCAGGCTGGTCTCATGCTCCTGACCTCAGGTGATCCACCCGCCAAGGCCTCCCAAAGTGCTGGGATTATAGGCTCACGTGAGTCACCATGCCGGGCGGAAGCATTTTTTTTTCTTTCCAGTTGTGACCTAATTTTCTGAGCAGTCTTTGAAATAATCAGTTCCTTCCCCTTCTATATGAAATGTTACCTTTATCGTATACTTTTATATATGTAGGTCCTATCGCTCTGTAGCCAGGCTGGAGTGCAGTGGCACCATCTCGGCTCACTGCAACCTCCGTCTCTCGGGTTCAAGCAGTTCTTCTGCCTCAGCCTCCCGAGTAGCTGGGATGACAGGGATGCACCACCACGCCCAGCTAATTTTTGTATTTTTAGTAGAGATGGGGTTTCATCATGTTGGCCAGGATAGTCTTGATATCTTGACCTTGTGATCCGCCCGCCTCAGCCTCCCAAAGTGCTGGGATTACAGGCGGGAACCACTCCACCTGACCAAGTCTCTCTTTTTTTTTTTTTGAGCTGGAGTCTTGCTCTGTCGCCCAGGCTGGAGTGCAGTGGCGCAGTCTCAGCTCACTGCAGACCCCGCCTTCCGGGTTCAAGCAATTCTCCTGCCTCAGCCTCCCGAGTAGCTGGGATTACGGGCGTGAGCCACTATGCCTGGCTAATTTTTGTATTTTTAGTAGAGACAGGTTTTCACCATGTTGACCAGGCTGGTCTTGAACTCCTGACCTCAGGTTATCCGCCTGCCTCAGCCTCCCAAAGTGCTGGGATTACAGGCGTAAACCACCGCACCTGGCCAATTCTGTCTCTTTTTAAATAATCTACTAGATTCAGTTTATAAAGATTTTATATGTTTACTTATGTTAGTATTTAACAAACATATATTTCCTTTTTTTTTTGGGGGGGGGGATGGAGTCTTGCTTTGTCACTCAGGCTGGAGTGCAGTGGTGTGATCTCAGCTCACTGCAACCTCCGCCTCCCAGGTTCGAGCAATTCTCCTGCCTCAGCCTCCGGAGTAGCTGGGATTACAGACACGTGCCACCATGCCCAGCTAATTTTTGTATCTTTAGTAGAGATGGGGTTTTGCTATGTTGCCCAGGCTGGTCTTGAACTCTTGACCTCAAGTGATTCACCCGCCTCAGCCTCCCAAACTGCTGGGATTACAGGCGTGAGCCACCGTGCTCAGCCTTTCCTCATTTTTGTCTTTTTTTTTTTTTTTTTTTTTTGAGACAGACTCTCGCACTGTCGCCCAGGCTGGAGTGCAATGGCGCGATCTCGACACATTGCAACCTTGGCCTCTCAAAGTGCTGGGATTGTAGGTGTTAGCCACCGCATCCAGCTCCTCATTTTTTTCTAATCAAAGAAATGAGGCTCTTCTCAAAGGATATTAAGGTATGCAGGACCTCTGTGAGGATTATAACAGTAACATTTTTCTTAACTTGCTTAGAGTTACAAGGCAGTGGAGGACAGACATCTTTTTGCCTAAGGCTGACTCCCTTGAACAGATATTTTGATAACTAGGCCAATAGCAATGAAATTTTTGTGAAACATTGAAACTGGGACTTGTGAGGATTCATGAGCCACTTAAGACTCTGTAGGCTGGGCAGCCGGGCATGGTGGCTCACGCCTATAATCCCAGCACTTTGGGAAGCTGAGGTGGGCCTGTAAATTATCAACATTTTGTTTTGTGAAATAAAACACACTTTGAAATCTGGTTGGAGGAGTGGTCGTGGTGGCTCACACCTGTAATCCCAGTACTTTGGGAGGTTGAGGCAGGTGGATCATTTGGGGTCAGGAGTTCGAGACCAGCCTCGCCAACATGGCAAAAACCCATCTCTACTAAAAATACAAAAACTAGCCGGGCATGGTGGCATGTGCTTGTAATTCCAGCTACTCAGGAGGCTGAGGCAGGAGAACCGCTTGAACCTGGGAGGCAGATGTGGCAGTGAGCTGAGATGGCACCACTGCACTCTAGCCTGGACGACAGAGTAAGACTCTGTCACAAAAAAAAAAAAAGAAAGACTCTGTGGCCTGGGCATGGTGGTTCCATGCCTCTAATCCCAACTGTCTGGGAGGCGGAGACGGGTCAATTGCTTGAGCCCAGGAGTTTGAGCCCAGCCTGGGCAACATGGTGAAACTCCCTCTCTACAAAAAATACAAAAGTTAGCCAGACATGGTAGTGTGTGCCTGTAGTCCCAGCTACTCAGGAGGCTCACTTGACCCCTGGGGGTCAAGGCTGCAGTGAGCTGTGATGGTGCCACTGCACTCTAGCCTGAAGAAGGCACTGCTAGTCACAAATCTTCTGAAACTGGCATTTTGGTTGTAAGAATTGTTTGGTGGTAATGGCAGTATAGTTCACATACATTACCTTTTCCCTTACATGAGTTGTTCCACCAGATTTCTTTTTTCTTTTCTTTTTTTTTGTTTTTTTGTTTGAGACAAGAGTTTCCTGCTGTCACCCAGGCTGGAGTGCAATGGCATGATCTTAGCTCACTGCAACCTCTGCCTTTCAGGTTCAAGCGATTCTCCTTCATCAGCCTCCTGGGTAGCTGGGATTACAGATGCACACCACCAGATATTTTTGTATTTTTAGTAGAGACAAGGTTTCACCATGTTTGCCAGGCTGGTCTCGAACTCCTGGCCTCAAATGATCCACCTGCCTCGGCCTCCCACAGTACTGGGATTACAGGTGTGAGCCACTGCGACCAGCCCTCCAACCAGATTTCAAAGTGTGTTTTATTTCACAAAACAAAATGTTGACAATTTATAGAGCATACATATACATATGTGTGTATGTATATATATATTACATAATACTTCTTTGAAAAGGAAAGTATATAAAAATAAAACTGATAGACTGTCAGAACATCAGACTTGAGAACAAGTGTCTGGTTGCATCACAGAATCCCCTACCTCCTTGTCCCAATATTCTTTTTCTCCCCATCTAAGACACCTCTATGTTCTCAGTTGTTGCTTGTTTAGCAAGATTTTTATTTTCATTTTTATTTATTTATCATTAGAGATGGAGTTTCGATCTTGTTGCTCAGGCTGGAGTGCAATGGCACAGTCTCGGCTCACTGCAGCCTGGGTTCAGGCGATTCTCCTGTCTCAGCCTCCCGAGTACCCAGGTGCCCACCAGCATGCCCGGCTAATTTATTTTTAGTAGAGAGGGTTTCGCCATGTTGGCCAGGCTGGTCTTGAACTCCTGACCTCAGGTGATCCACCCACCTCAGCCTCCCAAAGTGCTGGGATTACAGGTGTGAGCCACTGCACCTGGCCCAAGATTTTTAAAACAGCATTATTTCTTCCTTTTGTAAAGATGGAAAACCGTGAGCTTGAAGTCAGTGACAAGGAAAAAAAAGTTATAAACTCTGGCTAATTTATTTTGGCAGAAGAGAAGATACCAGAAGAGTCCTTCTGTAAAATAAAAGATGTGGGATATTAGGGTGGTTCTAGTGTGATCTTGGAAAGACAATTGAAGAACACTGTTAACTCTGAAACTCCAATTCTAATTTGTTTTTTTGGTTTTTGTGGGGTTTTTTTGAGACAGAGTCTTGCTCTGTCGCCCAGGCTAGAGTGCAGCGGCGTGATCTCAGCTCATTGCAACCTCCATCTCCTAGGTTCAAGAGGTTCTCCTGCCTCTTGAGTAGCTGGGATTACAGGTGCCTGCCACCATGCCCAGCTGATTTTTGTATTTTTATTAGAGATAGGGTTTTACCATGTTGGCCAGGCTGGTCTCGAATTCCTGACCTCAAGTGATCTGCCCGCATTGGCCTCCCAAAGGGCTGGGATTACAGGCAGGAGTCACAGCGTCCGGCCTGCTTCATTCAAAATTAGAATTAGCGTTTGTGCAATTGATCTTTCAAGTAAGATTGATCATTTGCTGCATGTTTGAAAGACAGCATTTTGTATGTAAGCATGACACTTTGGACTGGTAGGTAACCTATACAGAGATTGGATTTTCAGATATGTAGACTGGATTTTCAGAAATAATTTTACCAAATTTCATGTTTTCAAACTTACTCAGGTTACGTGTATAGCAGCTTGTTTAACTGCGCAAGAAAGCCGTGCGCGCCTGTTTTTGCAGCTGCTGGGGAAGACTGAAACAGGAAAATCCCCTGAGGCCAGAAGTTCGATAACTACTGTACCCCAGCCTGGGCAACAAAGCAAGACTTTGTCTCTGGGGGGAAAAAAAAAGAAAAAAGACACCATAGTGGCATCATTAGTGCCAAACCCTTAAAGGCAGGAGCTAGTTTACGTTATTTACCTTTTAATCTGTAGAGCATTTTTAAGTTTTATTTCAGTCGTGTCACCAAGCATACTAGGAAAGGACATACTGAATGAGATCATCCAAAGGGGTGTGGAGTATGTAGATAAGCGCAGTGACTGCTGGCTATTTGCACCCTAGGCTTATATTTCTTAAGATTTTGAATAGCCAGATATTAAAAATACAGGTGCTGGGTTATTGTAGTTTGGAAAATATCTTTATTCCAGAAATTAGGGGGTCTAAAGAGCACATGAGAAAAATGATCCTATATTTAGAGTGGTTTGAATCTAAGGGTGAACTCTCAGGCAGCGCTGGGGACTCATACTTAACTGGCAAGGGAAATAACATGATCATTAAAGGTGGATTTTTCAGGGTGAGGTTTGTCTCTTGCATTGTGGATGTGCTGACCCCTGTGGTTTTCTACAAATGTGGGAAACTTAATTGCATAATTTGTGGTAGTGGGGACTATGTTGGTTCTCTCCCCTGATCTGGCTTGTTTATAAAAGGCGTACGTTGTATCTTTGCTTCGTAGGTTTTCCTGTGTTATATTGTAACCTCCTGTTTTGGAATAGCGAGAGATTGATGCCTTCTAATGGTCATTTTTTTCTCCACACACGCTTTTGGTCTCACACCCCTCGTGGTTGGTGTTGTCATTGAGTACTACAGTGATTTGCCATTACAATCAGAAGTACGCAGTTGAATACCTTTGGCGGCTCTAAGGGAGTGTTACCTTCACATTTTCCTTGTTTGTAGCCCTTTCCTTTTCAAAGCTAACAATTTAGCATCTTCTGACTTTTCTTCTGTCTTTATATCTTTTTGTGGACCTCCAGAGTCCTTCTGTTTTTTTTCTTTTCTTGGAGACGGCGTTTCGCTCTTGTAGCCCAGGCTGGAGTACAATGGCGCAATCTCAGCTCACAGCAACCTCAGCCTCAAGGGTTCAAGGGATTCTCCTGCCTCAGCCTCTTGAGTAGCTGGGATTACAGGCACACGCCACCACGCCTTGCTAATGTTTGTATTTTTAGTAGAGACGGGGTTTCACCATGTTGGCCAGGCTGGTCTCGCACTCCTAACCTCAGGTGATTTACCTGCCTCGGCCTCCCAAAGTGCTGGGATTACAGGTGTGAGCCACGGCGCCTGGCTCCAGTGTCCTTCTCTTTTATTATTATTATTATTATTATTATTATTATTATTATACTTTAAGTTCTAGGGTACATGTGCACAACGTGCAGGTTTGTTACATATGTATACATGTGCCATGTTGGTTTGCTGCACCCATTAACTCGTCATTTACATTAGGTATGTCTCCTAATGCTATCCCTCCCCGTTTCCCCCATCCTATGACAGACCCTGGTGTATGATGTTCCCCACCCCGTGTTCAAGTGTTCTCATTGTTCAATTCCCACCTATGAGTGAGAACATACGGTGTTTGGTTTTCTGTCCTTGCAAAGTTTGCTCAGAATGATGGTTTCCAGCTTCATCCATGTCCCTACAAAGGACATGAACTCATCCTTTTTTATGGCTGCATAGTGTTCCGTGGTGTATATGTGCCACGTTTTCTTAATCCATTCTATCATTGATGGACATTTGGGTTGGTTCCAAGTCTTTGCTATTGTGAATAGTGCTGCAATAAGCATACACGTGCATGTGTCTTTATAGTAGCATGATTTATAATCCTTTGGGTATATACCCAGTAATGGGATTGCTGGATCAAATGGTATTTCTAGTTCTAGATCCTTGAGGAATCGCCACACTGTCTTCCAGTGTCCTTCCCTTAAGGACCCTGTGATTACATTAGGCCCATCTGGATAAGCTTTTCATCTTAAATCAATCACATCTAAAAACTTCCCTTTTTTTTCCCCCTTGAGTTGGAGTCTCGCTCTGTCGCCCAGGCTGGAGTGCAGTGGCACCATATCTGCTCACTGCAACCTCTGCCTACCAGGTTCAAGCAATTCTCCTGCCTCAGCCTCCCGAATAGCTGGGCTTACAGGCACCCGCCACCATGCCAGGCTAATTTTTGTATTTTTAGTAGAGATGGGGTTTCACCATGTTGGCCAGGCTGGTCTTGAACTCCTGACCTCGTGATCTGCCTGCCTTGGCCTCCCAAAGTGTTGGGATTACAGGCGTGAGCCACCGTGCCCAGCCATTTCTGGCTCTTAAACTTTGGAAAAGTCTTTATCTTGTAAGTAGCAGGCTAGAACTTGTGCAAGAAGAGTGACCCTATGTGAAGAGTGTTTTGAATCTGAGGGTGAGATGTCAGGCAACAACCATGCCTTCCACTTTACCGGGCAGGGAAGATACCCTGACCACAAAGGTGGTTTTCCCAGGGCAAGGTTCACTCATTGCATTCTGTGTTTGCTGGCCCCTGTGATTTCCCCAAATGTGGGATACTCAACTGCATAATTTGTGGTAGTGGGCGACTGTGTTCACACTTTCCCCTGTGTTATTCTTTGTCAAATGGGAAGTAGCCAATGTGATTGTCTGTGGCCGTGTTTGGCTTCTCCTTGCTTGTTTCTTGTGAACTGTGTCTTTAAATTTCCATGGAAGTGAGAAGCTGTACTACTATTTAGTTTGTGATAGTAACAGGCTTCCTTGGTGTTTTTTCTTGGCTGTGTTCCCTTAATCCAGCATAAACTTTGTACACAATGAGTACCACATATATGTTGGCTGAGTCAAATGAACTGGAAATCAAACTCAGGAAGGATTTCCTTTAAGCATTTTTATTTTTAGAGACAGGGTCTTGCTCTTGTCTCCCAGACTGGAGTACAGTGGTGCTCAATCATGGCTCAAAGCAGCCTTGACCTCCTGGACTCAGTCCTTCTGCCTCAGCCTTCCAAGTAGCTGTACAGGCATGTGCCACCACGGCTGGCTAATTTTTTTTTTTTTTTTTTTTTTGAGACGGAGTTTCCCTCTTGTTGCCCAGGCTGGAGTGCAATGGTTTGATCTCGGCTCCCAGCACCCTCCACCTCCTGAGTTCAAGCGATTCTCCTGCCTCAGCCTCCTGAGTAGCTGGGATTACAGGCACCCGCCACAACACCTGGCTACTTTTTTGTATTTTTTAGTAGAGACGGGGTTTCGCCATGCTGGCCAGACTGGCCTCAGGTGATCTGCCTGCCTCGTCCTCCCAAAGTACTGGGATTACAGGCGTGAGCCACCCCACCTGGTCAGCTGGCTAATTTTAAAAGAACTTTTTGTAGCATAGGGTCTCGCTATGTTGCCCAGGCTGGTCTCGAACTCTTGGCCTCAAGTGATCCTCCCACCTCGGCCTCTCAAGGTGCTGGGATTACAAAAATGAGTACCATACCTGGCCCCTAAAGGATTTTAACCTGCTCTTAACAATGACTATAGAATTGAAATTCATTCATTGCATTCTAAAATGACTACTTTGAATGATCACCTTTAGGTTCTGACATAGTAGTTTGTTGGTTTTGTTTTGTTTTGTTTTCTTTTGTTTGAGATGGAGTTTCACTCTTATTGCTCAGTCTGGAGTGCAATGGCATGATCTTGGCTCACTGCAACCTCTGCCTCCCAGGTTCAAGTGATTCTCTTGCCTCAGCCTCCCGAGTAGCTGAGATTACAGACGCCTGCCACCACGCCTGGGTTTTTTTGTGTTTTTTTTTGTTTTTTTGGTTTTTTTTGAGATGGATTTTCTCTCTTGTTGCCCAAGCTGGAGTGCAATGCTGTGATCTTGGCTTACTGCAACCTCTGCCCCCAGGGTTCAAGTGATTCTCCTGCCTCAACCTCCTGAGTAGCTGGGATTACAGGCACCTGCCACCACGCCTGGCTAATTTTCTTATTTTTAGTAGAGATGGGGTTTCACCATTTTGGCCAGGCTGGGCTTGAACTCCTGATCTCAGGTGATCTGCCTGCGTCAGCCTTCCAAAGTGCTGGGATCACAGGCGTGAGCAACTGCACCTGGCCGACTAATTTTTATGTTTTAGTAGAGAGGGTTTCACCATGTTGGTCAGGCTGGTCTCGAACTCGTGACTTCAGGTGATCCATTAACCTCAGCCTCCCAACGTGCTGGGATATACATGTGTGAGCCACGGCACCTGGCCCATAGTAGTTTTAAAAAGGGAAAAGCTTACATACTACTATGATATATCAATTTAAAAATGCAAAAAGTCCAGACTCAGTGGCTCGTGCTTGTAATCACCGTACCTTTGGAGGCCCAGGCGACAGAACAAGAACCTGTCTCTAAAAATTAAAAACATGTTTAAAGGAAATCCTTTTGGAAATGCTTCCTGAGTTTGATTTCCAGTTCATTCAATTCAGCCAATATATAATGGGGTACTTATTGTAAACAAAGCTTATTCTGGGTGAGGGGAATGCAGATACCCTTGGAACATAGTCCTTGTCATAATCAGGAGTCTGTCTGGGGAAGGGAGATGGGGAAACCATCTGTTAATATTATACCATACAATTCACCCATTTAAAAGATAGTTTGATTTTTAGAAAGAGCCAGAGATTGTCTGGAGACTTTTTTATGTGAACATAACCCCAATATTGTATTGTCTTCATTATAAAACAAAAGATGACACTTAGAACTGGATATCATTTGGCCCTTTCTCTTCTCATCTCCTCTCACTTCAAAATGCTTACATCTCTTAATACCCAGCATTCTCTTTGTTCTGCAGTTGGGCTCAACACACTCAAGGCTTGGCACAATCTTCTTTGTAGTTTTAGCTTTTTTCGGGAAAATCAACTAGTTTGCCCACCCATAGCCAGATACTTGTCATTTTGATTCTAGCAATCATAGTGAGGGTGAAGTGGTATTTCATGGTGATTTTGATTTGTATTACCCTGATGGCTAAGAATATTGAACATATTTTCGTGTGCTTATTGGCTATTTGCATCTTTTTTTTTTTTTGGAGATGGTTTCCCTGTGTCATCCAGGCTGGAGTGCAATGGCACAATGTCAGCTCACTGCAACTTCCACCTCCCAGGCTCAAGTGATTCTCATGCCTCAGCCTCCCAAGAAGCTGGGGTTATAGGCATGTGCTACCATGCCCAGCTAATTTTTGTGTTTTTTGTAGAGATGGGGTTTCGTCATGTTGGCCAGGCTGGTCTCAAACTCCTGGCTTCAAGTGATGCACCCCCCCTCAGCCTCCCACAGTGCTGGGATTACAGGTGTGAGCCACCGTGCCCGGCCTACCTGCCTTTTTTTTTTTTTTTCCAAAGGCCTCATCGAAGATAAATCTTTTTTTTTTTTTAACCACTTTATTGAAGGATAATTGACATACTATACTTGTGCTTTTGATGTCATATGTAAGAAATCATTCCCTAATTGGAGGTCAGGAAGATTTACATCTATGTTTTCTTCTTAGTGTTTCTATTCGTTTTTTGAGATGGATTCTCACTCTGTCACCCAGGCTGGAGTGCAGGGGCAGGATCTCGGCTCACTGCAACCTCCGCCTCCCAGGTTCAAGCGATTCTTGTGCCTCTCCGTCTCGAGTAGCTGGGATTACAGGCCTGAGCCACCATGCTCAGCTAATTTTTGTATTTTTAGTAGAGACGGGGTTTCGCCACGTTGGCCAGGCTGGTTGTGAACTCCTGACCTCAAGTGATCTGTCCACCTTGGCCTCCTGTAGTGCTAGGATTACAGGCGTGAGCCACTGCGCCTGGCCGGACTTTCATCATAAATAAGTTATTCTCACTCCTGTGAAAAGGATGTGGGTTCAATAGGATTAGTTTGTGGTTCTCAATTCTGTCAAATCAAGGGTTTCCTTTTTTTTTTTTGAGACAGAGTCTTGCTCTGTCGCCCAGGCTGGAGTGCAGTGGTGCGATCTCGGCTCACTGCAACCTCCACCTCCCTGGTTCAAGCAATTCCCCTGCCTTAGCCTCCCGAGTAGCTGGGATTATAGGCGCATGCCACCACACCCAGCTAAATTTTTTGTAGTTTTAGTAGAGATGGGGTTTCACCATGTTGGCCAGACTGGTCTTGAACTCCTGATCTCAGGCAATCTGCCCGCCTTGGCCTCCCAAAGTGCCAGGATTACAGGTGGGAGACACCGCACCCGGCCCAGGGTTTCCTTTTATAAGAACTAGTAACATTCCATTTACTACCTTGAAGATGTTTGTAGAAAATATAAACTACATATAGTTACCCCACAGATAATATGTCCTAACTATAATATGAAGGAGAGAAGCCACGTGGGGTGGCTCACGTCTATAATCCCAGGACTTTGGGAGGGTGGGAGGATCGCCTGAGCCAAGAAGTTTGAGACCAAGCTGGGCAACATGGCTTAACCCCAACTGTAGAAAAACAAAAAAAAGATTGAAAAAATTAGCTGGGCATGGTGGTGCATGCCTGTGGTCCCAGCTACTCGGGAGGGTGAGGTGGGAGGATCACCTGAGCCCAAGAGGTTGAGGATGCAGTGAGCTGAAATTGCGTGACTGCATTCCAACCAGCCTGGGTTACAGAACAAGACCCTGTCTCAAAAACAAAACAATACAAATATAAAGGAGAGAGAAAAATAAGTTACAATACAATTATTTATTTATTTATTTATTTATTTATTTATTTATTTTTGAGATGGAGTCTCACTCTGTCGTGTAGGCTGGAGTGCAGTGGCGTGATCTCGGCTCACTGCAACCTTTGCCTCCTGGGTTCAACCGATTTTCCTGCCTCAGCCTCCTGAGTAGCTGGGACTACAGGTGTGCACCACTACGCCTGGCTAATTTTTTATATTTGTTATTTTTTTTTTATGGTTTCGCCATATTGGCCAGGCTGGTCTTGAACTCCTGACCTTATAATCCACCCACCTCGGCCTTCCAAAGTGCTGGGAATACAGGCATAAGCTACCGCGCCCTGCCCTACAATACAATATTTTAATATGTAAAGGCTTGGCATGACTACCCAGGGAAACAAAAACATCCCCTCAGAGTTTCAAAATTTCCCTTTGGGAGTGGCTCCACTGTCATGGAGAACCACTCAATTGTAAGAAATTTTTTTTAAAAAAAGTATGTATAAAAGGAATGCCGGCTGAGCGTGGTGGCTCATGCCTGTAATCCCAGCACTTTGGGAGTTCGAGGCTAGCAGATCACTTGAGGTCAGGAGTTCAAGACCAGCCTGGCCAACATGGAGAAACCCCATCTCTACTAAAAATACAAAAATTAGTCAGGCATGGTGGCACGCATCTGTAATCCCAGCTACTCAGGAGGCTGAAGCAGGAGAATCGCTTGAACCCAGGAGGCAAAGGTTGCAGTAAGCCGAGATCACACCATTGCACTCCAGCCCGGGTGACAGAGCGAGACTCCATCTCAAAACAAACAAAGAAAAAAAGGAATGCCGACTGGGTATGGTGGCTCACAGTTGTAATCCCAGCACTTTGGGTGGCCAAGGAGTTCGAGGCCAGCCTGGCCAACATGGTGAAACCCCGTCTCTACTAAAAATACAAAAAATAAAAAAACATTAGCTGGGCCTGGTGGCGCGTGCCTATAATCCCAGCTACTCGGGAGGCTGAGGCAAGAGAATCATTTGAACCTGGGAGGCAGAGGTTGCAGCAAGCTGAGATTGCACCTCTGCACTGCAGCCTGGGTGATAGAGCGAGACTCTGTCTCAAAAAAAGGAATGCCAAGTAGCAGTGAGGATGTAGTTGCAGTTTGCATAAATTTGGAGTATTTGGAGTAAGAGTGCTGGAAGATTCTGCAACTTTTTTTCTCCAGCAGTGCTGGGGAAATGGGAGTAGAGGAGATGACTGTTGATTGGCTCTAGGACCAGTTAGAGCAGGGGATTCCAACCCCCTGGAAGGAGCATGGTACCAGTTGGTGGCCTGTTAGGAACTAGGCCGCACAGCAGGAGGTGATGTCATTACTGCCTGAGCACCTCCTCCTGTTAGATCAGCAGCCACATTAGATTCTCATAGGAGCGTGAAACCTATTGTGAACTGAGCATGCCAGGGATCTAGGTTGCACACTCCTTATGAGAACCTAACTAATGCCTGATGAGCTGAGGTGGAACAGTTTCATCCTGAAACCATTCCCACCCACCCCCTGTTATCCGTGGAGAAATGGAAAATTGTCTTCCATGAAACTGGTCCCTGGTGCCAAAAAGTTTGGGAGCCTCTAAGATAGAGGAAATACGCTGTGCTGCAGCATGAAGTAGGTGAGAGATGGGGCTAGGGGCCTAGTGAGTGAAATGGCGTGGAAAGTCTAAAGGATTAGATGAATTGAGGGATGAGCTTCTCTGGCAGTGAGTAGACCTGAGGTCCAGGGAAGGCTTTTGTAAGCTCAAAACATGTAAAATGGTGAGAAAATAGAACAAGAAAACGAGTTTTTAAAATATATTTCTGATCTAGCAAAAAGAGAAATCCACAGAGACCCAGAGAAAGAAACAAATCCAGAAAGGAAAGGCAGGGATGGACCCTGTCTATTTCCTAAGGACATTGGCCATCCTTAGAAGCTCTGGGGCTGGCTTTTAATGGACCACAGGCAGGAGACAAAGCTTGGGGCCTGAGCTGGGTGGGAGGTCTGACTAGAGAGTCCCTCCTCATTCTATAAAGCTGCGACCCCAGGAGAAGAACACTCTCAGTTCTGAGGAATGCCCCCTCCCCAAGAGAAAGATGTTAGAGATATGTGCTGGTCTCAGCCTCAGCCTGAGAATGGGAAGGGGCAGAGAAATCTTCACCACTATCTCACATTCACAGTCCCTCAAAATGGGCCAGAATTCATACTGCTATGTGTATATGTTAGGGGATGGCACAAAAAGTTACTTTAGCCTGGCTTGGTGATGTCCCCCAGCACCAGGCAGAAACAAAAGAAACCCTCTCTAGTCTATTCATTTCTCAAAATGAAACTACAATAATTGAAATAATAATCTTAGTGAATGGGTTAAGCAGCAGACACTGCCAAAGACAGAATTAGTGAAGACAGATCTGAAAAATTACCCAGGATGTAGCTCAAAGAAATATAGAGATGGGAAAATGCAAGAAAGTTTCAAAGAGATAGAGAATAGAATGAGAGGGTCAAGATAAATGCAATGAGAGTTCCAGAAGGTGGAGTGGAAGCAATATTTGGACATGTAATGGTAATCAGTGTCCCAATTGTATATATTTATTGTGTACACGTTGTTTTGAAGTATTATACATTGTGGAATGGCTACAGGGAGCTAATTAATATATGCATTACTGTATGTACTTCTATCATTTTATTGTGGTAAAGATGCTTAACATATGCTTTCAGGAATTTTCAAGAATATATTAAGTATAGTCACTTTTTTTTTTTTTTTTTTTTTTTTTTTTAAGAGGGAGTCTCACTCTGTCGCCCAGGCTGGAGTGTAGTGGCGCAATCTTGACTCACTGCAACCTCCACCTCCCGGGTTCAAGCAATTATCCTGCCTCAGCCTCTCAAGTAGCTGGGATTACAGGTGCCTGCCACCACACCCAGCTAATTTTTGTATTTTTAGTAGAGATGGGTTTCTCCATATTGGCCAGGCTGGTCTCAAACACCTGACCTCAAGTGATCTACCCACTTCAGCCTCCCAAAGTGCTGGGATTACAAGCGTGAGCCACGGCTCCTGGCTGAATTTAGTTTCTTGGTCCCTGATCCTTATTCTTACCTTCCCAAAGCTGTTTGTTGTTTTTTTTTTTAATCTTCCCAAAGTTTATTTAGGCTTCTCACACTCCTTTTCTATCACATTTCTTAGCTTTCTAATCATTACACACACACATCCTATAGATAGATGGATAGATAGGCAGAAATCTCCATGCCAGGTACTTTGCTAGCCTGAGACTCCAGCAGTGACAGATGAAAACTCTCAGGTCCTTCGACAGTCTGTAGTCTAGCCCAGGAAACTGACTGATAATCACACAGTGGAATAATGAATGGACTGAAGATAAAGACTAAAAGAGAAATTAAAGGACTCTTACTATGATAACAGAGGGAGCTCAGCGTGGGAAGAGAAGTTAGATTTGTCAGGAGAGGCAGGGTAAAAACATTTTAAGCAAGGGGAACTACACAGGCAAAGGCTCTGAGGCTGGAAAGAGGCTGCGGCTGTAGCTGTGGCTGCCACGGCGGTATGGTGGACAGTACAGGCAGGCTGGAAAAGCTATGGAGCCAGCCCATGCAGAGCCTCAAGGAGCGTGGGATGGAGTTGGTGCTTTATCCAGAGGGCAGTAAGGAGTATTGAAGGGCTTTGGGCAAGGGAGTAACATTAGATTAGAGCAGCACCAATGCTCCTTCCTGACATTTTGTTAACATGTATTCACATGAGGGTGCTTCTTGCTAAACCTCAATGAAGTCTCAAGCTGTTGCTGGCTTTTTTTTTTTTTTTTTTTTTTTGAGACGGAGTCTCTCTCTGTTGCCCAGTCTAGAGTGCAGTGGCGTGATCTCAGCTCCCTGCAACCTCTGCCTCCCAGGTTCAAGTGATTCACCTGCCTCAGCCTCCTGAGTAGCTGGGATTACAGGCATGCGCCACCACACCTGGCTAATTTTTGTATTTTTAGTAGACATGGGGTTTCACCATTTTGGTCAGGCTGGTTTCGAACTCCTGACCTCAAATGATCCACTTAACCTCGGCCTCCGAAAGTGTCAGGATTACAGGCGTGAGCCACCACGCCCAGCAGCTGGCTTGTTACATTCTTTAGCCATCGTCTGGTGACTTTCAGCAAATATGACAAACTCCTCTCCACACCCCCTCCTGTTTTTTTTTTTGTTTGTTTTTGAGACAGAGTGTCGCTCTTTCGCCCAGGCTGGAGTGCAGTGGCATGATCTCGGCTCACTGCAACCTCTGCCTCCTGGGTTCAAGCCATTCTTCTGCCTCAGCCTCCTGAGTAGCTGGAATTAGAGGCGTGTACCACCATACCTGGCTAATTTTTGTATTTTTAGTAGAGATGGGGTTTCACCATGTTGGCCAGGCTGGTCTTGAACTCCTGACCTCAGGTGATCTGCCCACCTCACCCTCCCAAAGTGCTGGGATTATAGGCATGAGCCACTGTGCCTGGCATTGTCTCCCCCTTTTTTACACAATACAGATGTATCCCTAATCCTCCATTCATACAGTGTTGATAATTGCCAGGTTCCATTTTTTATGCCTACCTAGAACAGTGGTTCTCAGCCTTTTTTTCTAATTTGATATATACCCGGAACAAATGACACTCACTTGCCAGAATGTCTCCACCCTACAGCTTCTCAAACTGTGTGATGTAATATATTGACCCCCCAGTCCTCAGGGCCTTTGGGTAGGATGTTAGGGTGGGTGACTAGAGCCCTTGGGCCAGTTACCTCGCATAGCAGTTCACCTAGGATGCCACATGCTTTCTGGGTGATCCAGATTATTTTCTGTAGATGTCACCCTTGTCTGTGTGTGCATAAAAATAAAAAAAAGAAGTCCTCTCTGGGGATGACTACATGGATTTTAATTCCTTCTCTACCACTTGGGCACATTTCAGCCTCCCTTGGCCTCAGTTTTCTCATATGCAAAATGGAGATATTGTGTACTCTGTAGAATTGTTGAGTGGATTAAATGAGTTAAGGTGTGTGAAGTTCTTCTCCCTGTGCTGGGAGCACCCTGAGCCTTCAGTGGGCATTGGCTAAGATGATTCAGTAGACAGTCATGACTGGACCCAGGCTCCAGTTACTTCCTCCACATTTGCAGGGGTTTATAGTTACTGCAGCTCCTCCAGGCACATCAGTAGAAGAGGCTTTGGTAGCTGGGAGAGGTGCACTTTTTTGCTGTAAGGATGACTTTGTTCAGGACCATCAGGATAGGTATAGAGACCGCTGCAATGGGGTCTTGTAGTGGAGGAGAAAGACTGGGCACAAGTCCAAAGTACAGCATGGGCAAATGGGAATTTGTAGCCAAGGAGCAGTGTGGAGGTCAGTGGTTAGAAAATTACCAAGAGGAAACATCAGGGGTAAGAGGAATTCTGGCTAAACTGATCTAACAGGATTCTTGCTGAAGACAGGCTGGGGTGATCAGATATCACCTGGGGGGTGGTGCAGGATGAGGAACCTGATCAGATTTGGAGAATTTGGGTTTCAGCTAAATTGACTTAGCAGGGTTCCTTTACTAAAACTGGATTTTACAAGAACATGCACAGACTGGCCTATGAGAAGGTTCAGAAGCCTGAATAAGGTTTGGCCAAGCAAACAAGAAAAGAATCTTTTTTTTTTTTTTTTTTTAGCCAGAGTCTCACTCTGTCGCCCAGGCTGGAGTGCGGTGGCATGATCACGGCTCATTGCCTCACTGCAACCTTCGCCTCCCGGGTTCAAGCAGTTCTCCTGCCTCAGCCTCCCAAGTAGCTGGGATTACAGGCACTTGCCACCATGCCCGGCTAATTTTTGTATTTTTAGTAGAGACAGGGTTTCACCATGTTGGCCAGGCTGGTCTCGAACTCCTGACCTCAAGTGATTCGCCCACCTCAGCCTCCCAAAGTGTTGGGATTACAGGCGTGAGCCACTGCACCCGGCCAGCAAAGAATCTTTGTCATGCCTCAGGTTCTTTATCCATGAAATGGGGATGATTCCATTTCCTACCTCAACGTTGTGAGGATTAACCATAAAGTCCAGATGCATGGTAAACAGTAGATGTTAGCTGTTAGTATTTCTTGGTTTGCTTTAGGGTTTTTATTGGGTTGCCTGACTCACATGTTATAATTATGCTTTAAGGTTTAAGCTGTTCGTTAATGTATTTGTTTTAGTCTTCACAAAAACTCCTCCAAGGACAGTAATGCAGGTTTTACAAACTGAGGAACAAGTTGAGGCCATAAGCTCATCGAAAGTCTTGCATTGTGAACGCTATATTGCAGTCCAGATCTTGGATTCCAAAACCCTCCACTCTGCAGTACAGCCTGCTAGCATGCCCTGTTCCCCTTCTTGGAATAAGAGGAAATGATGCCGGGGTGGTTCACAGCGTGGGTATCCCGTGACTAAAAGTTCATTCACGTCTGTTAGCTCAAGGAAACTCTCCATACAGGGAGATCCGAAGGCCTTAGGCTACGCCAAAAGTAGTGAGGTGGTGCGTTTTTGTCAGGAAAATGGCCTGACAGACGTCACTTGCATTGACGCGAGCAGGAGAAGGAACTGCTGGTTGGAAGCGGGCCGAGATGAGAACGCAGTTGCGCTCTCTGACCAGCCAGGCCTATGCATGACGTCACGCCGGGAGGTGGAGTATGTAGATTAAAGACTGCATTTTGGAAACGCGTTCCTTGGAAGGATTTGCACAACTCTGTTACCAACACCAAGATATAGTATAAAAAATCTGTTTATTTTGTTCACTATATGTGGATAAAGTCCAATTAGAGTCATTTCAGGAGTTACCCGCACTTGCAATGATGTGGGCGGCACCGGGGATTGCTGGGGTCACGCAAGTACCTCATAATTACCTGTCAGGAGAAATACTGTGATTATGGAGGTGGTTTTTCCCTGTGTGTGGCTTATTCGTTGCACTTTGTGCTGATCCCTACGATTTCCCCAAATGTGGGTAACTACAGTGTATAATTTGTGGTAGCGGGAGATTGCGTTCGCACTTGCTGCTGGTTGTGGTAGTTGAAATGCAAGTTTTGTTAGTTGTGTATTAGCTTTTGCTTTTTTTTTTTTTTTTTTTTTTTTTTTTTGCCGTGGAAGGTTTGTTTCACTTTGTTTATCTAGGCTGGAGTGCAGTGGCATCCGAATTCATGCGCTCAGCCTTCTTTGGTTGTTTTAGGTTTTGCCTTATTTATTTTTTTGGGACACAGTCTTGCTCTATTTTCCAGGCTGGAGTGCAGTGGAGCAATCTCGGCTCACCGCAGCCTCCACCTCCCGAGTTCGAGCTATTCTCGTGTCTCAGCTTCCCTAGAAACTGGGATTACATTACAGGCATGCACCACCATGCCTGGCTAATTTTTGCATTTTTAGTAGAGATGGCGTCTTACCATGTTGGCAAGGCTGGTCTCGAACTCTTGTCCTCAAGTGATCCACACCTTCAGCCTCCTAAAATGCTGGAATTACAGGCGTGAGCCATGGCACCCAATTTTTTTTTTTTTTTTTGAGACAGAGTCTCGCCGTCTCCCAGGCTGGAGTTGAGTGGCACAATCTCGGCTCACTGCAACCTCCGCCTCCTAGGTTGAAGCGATTCTCCTGCCTCAGCCTCCTGAGTAGAGCTGGGAATACAGGCACCCGCCACCACGCGTGGCTAGTTTTTTGTATTTTTAGTAGAGACGAGTTTTCACTACGTTGGTCAGGCCGGTCTTGAACTCCTGACCTCATGTGATCCACCCTCCTCGGCCTCCCAAAGTGCTGGGATTATAGGCGTGAGCCACCGCGCCCAGCCTTATTTTTTTTTTTCATTGTTTCTTTTGGTTCTTAAGAATGCTTTGGGGTTGCAGGGTTGTTACCGTTGCTTACTGTTTAAAGCTGTACCTTGCTATCATTTAATGCTTAGGAACTTTAGTGAGGTAAACGCAATGAGTTGTGGGTTTTTTTGTTTTTTGTTTTTTATGAGACAGAGTCTCACCCTGTTGCCTAGGCTGGAGTGCAGTGGCGCGATCTCGGCTCACTGCAACCTCCGCCTCCCAGGTTCAAGCAATTCTCATGCCTCAGCCTCAGAGTAGCTGGACTACAGCCACGCATGACCACAATAAGCTAACTGTATTTTTAGTAGAGGCAGGGTTTAGGCAAGTTGGTCAGGCTGATCTTCAACTGCTGGCCTCAAGCCATCCTGCCTCAGCCTCCCAAAGTGCTGGGATTTCAGGCATGAGTCATTGCACCCAGGCAAAACATGATAATAAAGTTAATTTCATGTGGGCCGGGCCTGATGACTCATGCTTGTAATCCCAGTACTTTGGGAGGCTGAGGCAGGAGGATGGCTTGAGACCAGGAGCTCAAGACCAGACTGGGCAGCATAGCGAGACCCTATCTCTATAAATATAAAATAATAAAAATAATAATATAGCTACTAAAAATGTTCAACTGAATATGTCGAATGTTGCCCACATCATATTCCACTGGACAAGCAGTGCTCTAACTTAATCTGTTTCCTTATTTTAAAGTTTCCAGAGAGCCTTGCTGTATTACTTCCACAAACTTACATGCCTGCTCTTCCTGGAATGCACTTCCCTGCCCTGCCCTTCTTCATCTACCTGGAAAACTTATACTTCAGCCCTTCCAAACTGCCTGGGATCCACTCAGTGCCACTGAACCCAGGGTGGCCTTATCTGTTACGTACCACAGGCACACTGCCTAGGGGCACTTCTTTTAAAAATCAGAAGAAAAAAATGAATTTTTAGGTGGAAGAAAATGTCATATATAATAATATATTCATCTTTTAATCAATGCAGTCATAAGATAGCATTTTTAACATATATTTTAATGGAAATGTATATATTTTATCAGAGGAGGCAGGCACACAAAGGCAAAAGTATGGGCCCTTCAAAATCGTAATGTGGCCCTGCTGAACTTTTTATAGGTCTGGCAAGTCTGTTTTCCCTACAGACTATGATCTTATTTATTGCAGGCAGACTCAGTCTCTGCATTATTCCTCTTAGTATCCCCAGTGGCTAGGCCAGCGGACTGGACCTTGAACATTTAAGTGGCTGTCAGTAAATGAGAAGTATGTGCTACATGTAAGTAATGACTTGAGAACAGGTGTTTTTCATCATTAGCAGCAAAGAAATTCAAGAATATGAATGGCAAAAATACTGGAGTAGACAATGTGGTCATCAGAAATGGAGTTCTCCCAGCATAGGAAAAAGGGTCTGTTAGTACCTGTGATATCAGAGCCATGAGGGGGCACAAATAATCATAGAGGCCTCAGAGCTGTGGTCAGCCTGGCATTCATGGATACCATTGAAAGCCAAAGTATTACTTTCCTCATGTGAAATCAAACCTTCTGGAATAAAATTAGGAAGGTAGTTCAATAATGAGATTATATAGTATAACCGAGGTGGGCTGGGTCACACTTTGTGGATGAAGGTAATCCAGCAATTGTCCTAAATCAGCAATTGTACTAAATAGTGTGGAGTTGGGTTTTTGCTGTTGTTTTTTTGTTGTTGCTGGGGGAGCGGTTAAGACAGGGTCTCACTCTCACTAGGCTGGAGTGCAGTGGCACAACACAGCCTCCACCTTCCCAAACTCAGGTGATATCAGCACCTCGGCCTCCCAAAGTGATGGGATTGCAGGCATGAGCCACTGCCCCTGGCCTAAATAGAGTTAGTATGGTTTTTATTGCAGAGCTTTGTGGCTGAGAAATGCAGCTTCAGGGCCAGTGTGTTTCAGGAGTGAATGGATTTGGCTCCCCACAACTCAGGGTGTTGAGTAAGACATTTAGTGGCCTGGCACATTGGCTCATGCCTGTAATCCCAGCACTTCGGGAGGTCAAGGCAGGCAGATCACCTGAGGTCAGGAGTTCAAGACCAGCCTGGCCAACATGGTGAAACCCCATCTCTACCAAAAACACAAAAAATTAGCCAGGCGTGGTGGTGCATCCCTGTAGTCCCAGTTACTCAGGAAGCTGAGGCAGGAGAATTGCTTGAACCCAAGAGATGGAGGTTGCCGTGAGCCAAGATCATGTCACTACACTCTAGCCTGAGTGACAGAGTGAGACTCTGTCTTAAAAAAAAAAAAAATTTAGATTCAGTTACATTGGCATTAATGACTTTTTTTTTTTTTTTTTTGAGACGGAGTTTTGCTCTTGTTGCCCAGGCTGGAGTGCAGTGGTGTGATCTCGGCTTACTGCAACCTCCGCCTCCCACGTTCAAGCAATTCTCCTGCCTCAGCCTCCCAAGTAGCTGGGATTACAGGCATGCACCGCCACAACCGGCTAATTTTGTATTTTTAGTAGAGACAGGGTTTCTCCATGTTAGTCAGGATGGTCTTGAACTCCCGACCTCAGGTGATCCATCTGCCTTGGCTTCCAAAAGTGCTGGGATTACAGGTGTGAGCCACCATGCCTGGCCAACATTAATGACTTTTCTTTTTTTTTTTTTTTGAGACGGAGTCTCACTCTGTCACCCAGGCTGGAGTGCAGTGGTGCCATCTCGGCTCACTGCAACCTCTGCCTCCCGGGTTCACACCGTTCTCCTGCCTCAGCCTCTCCGAGTGGCTGGGACTACAGGTGCCCACCACCACGCCCGGCTAATTTTTTTGTGCTTTTAGTAGAGACGGGGTTTCACCATGGTCTCGATCTCCTGACCTTGTGATCCACCCGTCTCAGCCTTCCAAAGTGCTGGGATTACAAGCGTGAGCCACCGCGCCCGGTCACATTAATGACATTTTAACAGTCACAACTGCTTTGTGAACTTATGTAACAAAACTCAGCTTTTAAAAATTATTGAGTATATATGTCACTCTCATATTTCTGAGCATCAACCCTTCCTTCCTTGACTCCCATGAGGCAAAGTGATGGTTGGAAATTCAGAGATGAGGTGAGACTCACAAACTGAGGGGCATGTCTTAGGACAGCACACCTGAGTTGGCAGGAACAGCCATGATCTGAGATTAATAGTTGTGCCTGTTGCTGCCCTTCCCCACACGTAAGGGAACTCTCCAAATAACATTCTGTACTGAGGGGCTGTGTTTCTCCATCTCAACTTATTTGGGGTCTTTGATTTAGTCATAATTTGGTCATGTAGTTGGTTTGATTCTGTGTGTGTGTGTGTGTGTGTGTGTGTGTGTGTGTGTGAGATATGTGTGCTATATATCTGTACACACATAATATGTATTATGTACAAGCAATTCTCCTGCCTCAGCCTCCTGAGTAGCTGGGATTACAGGCACCCGCCACCACGCCCAGCTAATTTTTTGTATTTCTAGTAGAGATGGGGTTTCACCGTGTTAGCCAGGATGGTCTCGGTCTCCTGACCTCCTAGTCCGCCCACCTCGGCCTCCCAAAGTGGGGGATTACAGGAGTGAGCCACCGCGCCTGGCCACTCAGTAATTTTTGAAAACTGAGTTTTAGGCCAGGCGTGGTGGCTCACGCCTGTAATCCCAGTACTTTTTACATCATACATACACAGATATAGACATACAGGAACACTCGGTTTGTTACCAAATCCGGGCCTGATGCTACTTCCCTGTGTGGCAGGAACTGCAGATACTTGAATCTTGGCAAAGTCACTTTGGGGGTCCCAAAGTACAGGGGGCAGCAGTCGAGGGGCAGAATAGCCTGGGTTGGGGGTAGCTGCATTTTTACATGCATTCTCTTATTCAGTCCTCACAGAAATCTTGTGAGCCAGGAAGGCAGTATTATTCCCACTTTACAATTTTAGGAAACGGAAACAGAGAGACAAAGTTTGACGAAGACCCGGAGTGGAGCAGCGATTCAGACCCGGCACAACCGACTCCGTTGCCTTCCCCTATGCCGCCCCCAACGCCACCGCCTCCCTGACTGCCCTGCCGTGCAGCGCCCGATTCAGACTGGTTGTTAGAAATCTACGCCAGAATCTTTACGTGTGTCCAGAAAGGAAAGGAATCAACATTTCGCATCAGCCTTCCCAAGATGGCAGCTGCTGAAGACGAGTTCCTGCCGCCGCCGCGGCTCCCCGAGCTGTTCGATTCCAGCAAACAGCTTCTGGACGAAGTCGAAGGAGCGACTGAACCCACCGGTTCCCGAATAGTCCAGGAAAAGGTGTTCAAGGGCCTCGACCTCCTTGACAAGGTTGCCAAAATGTTATCGCAGCTTGACTTGTTCAGCCGAAATGAAGATTTGGAGGAGATTACTTCCACCGACCTGAAGTACCTGATGGTGCCAGCGTTTCAAGGAGCCCTCACCATGAAACAAGTCAACCCCCGTAAGCGTCTAGATCATTTGCAGCAGGCTCGCGAACACTTTATAAAATACTTAACTCAGTGCCATTACTATCGTGTGGCCGAGTTTGAGCTGCCCCAAACCAAGACCAACTCAGCTGAAAATCACGGTGCTATTACCTCCACGGCTTATCCTAGCCTCGTTGCTATGGCATCTCAAAGACAGGCTAAAATAGAGCGATACAAGCAGAAGAAGGTGTTGGAGCATAAGTTGTCTACAATGAAATCTGCTGTGGAAAGTGGTCAAGCAGATAATGAGCGTGTTCGTGAATATTATCTTCTTCACCTTCAGAGGTGGATTGATATCAGCTTAGAAGAGATTGAGAGCATTGATCAGGAAATAAAGATCCTGGGAGAGAAAGACTCTTCAAGAGAGGCATCCACTTCTAACTCATGTCACCAGAAGAGGCCTCCAATGAAACCCTTCATTCTCACTCGGAACATGGCGCAAGCCAAAGTATTTGGCGCTGGCTATCCAAGTCTGGCTTCCATGACAGTGAGTGACTGGTATGATCAACATCAGAAACATGGAGTGTTACCAGATCAGGGAATAGCCAAGGCAACACCAGAAGAATTCAGAAAAGCCACTCAGCAACAGGAAGATCAAGAAAAGGAGGAAGAGGATGATGAACAAACACTCCAAAGAGCTCGAGAGTGGGATGACTGGAAGGACACCCACCCTAGGGGCTACGGCAACCGACAGAACATGGGCTAATCTTCCCACAACACCGCAGGACTGCAGGGTGCACACCTTCCCCGCCAAGGAAAACCATGCAGCCTTCCCCTCCCTGAGCTCCCCTACAGCTGTGTAAAACGAAGGCAAAGATGCTTAATGTTGCTTTGAGTTCAATAAAGTGTTAAATTATTATTATTATTTTATTTATTTTTTTGAGATGGAGTTTTTTACTTGTCGCCCAGGTTAGAGTGCAATGGCGCGATCTCGGCTCACTGCAACCTCCACCTCCTGGATTCAAGAGATTCTCCTGCCTCAGCCTCCCGAGTAGCTGGGATTACAGGCGCCCGCCACCACGCCCAGCTAATATTTTGTATTTTGAGATGAGGTTTCACCATGTTGGTCAGGCTGGTCTTGAGCTCCTGACCTCAGGTGATCTACCCGCCTCGGCCTCCCAAAGTGCTGGGATTACAGACGTGAGCCACCGCGCCTGGCCTAAAGTGTTAAATTATTAAGCGTGTATTTGTACCCTAGATGATGTGAGCCATCAATCTAGTTTTGGCATCATCATCCTCATCCTGGTGTGTTCCAATTTCTTAAGTGGAATGAAAAGAGCACTGAGGGCCAGGCGCGGTGGCTTATGTCTGTAATCCCAGCACTTTGGGAGGCCGAGGTGGGCGGATCACCTGAGGTCAGGAGTTCAAGACCAGCCTGACCACCATGGTGAAACCCCATCTTTACTAAAACTACAAAAATTAGCCAGGTGTGGTGGCAGGCGCTTGTAATCCCAGCTACTCGGGAGGCTGAGGCAGAAGAATTGCTTGAACCTGGGAGGCGGAGGTTGCAGTAAGCCGAGATCACGCCATTGAAAAGCACTGAGAAATAGGTTTGGATAATTAATGGCTGTATGAATTCTCTGAAAAAATAACAAAAGTTACTTCTATTATATGAGCCTGTGCAGAAAAAAGAAAAAAAATTTCTTATCACACAATGCGATTTCTTTTGAATCCTTGGGAGCGGCAGCTAGAGCGAACCGATCCGTAAGGGAGTTCAGTCAGATCGTACAGAAGCAGGTGGTGACGTTACTATAAGAGGCGGGCATATGTAGATAGGGGCGCAGTGATTGCCGGTTCTAGTGCGTTCTTCGCGGGAGAAATTTTCTAGCGAATACCAAAGAAGGTGTAGTCTGAGATGTGTCATACGAAGAAGCGGTAGTTTCGAAGCGATGCCTAAAAACAACTCATAATACAATTTGCCATGAGTATGTTGTGTGTTGAGGACGATGGTAAGGTATTAGCAATATTAAGTAAATAATGTCTTTGTGGCGGGGGAGAGACGCTGTTGGTCCTGATAAAGTGTTTTTCTTGGGGGAGGGTTTTTACTATGTGTTTGCTCCCGCGATTTCCCCGAATGAGAAAACTCGGCTGCATAACTTGTGGTAGTGGGGGACTGCTTTTGCGCTTTTCTGTCCTGTGATTGAACTAGTTTAAAAGACGGCTTGTGTGTTGTTGCGTGTGTTTATTTTCAGAGTTGTTGTAGTGGCGCGCGTTTGGTTTTGGAGTTGTGGTTATGACCTTACGTCTTCTTAGGTTACGGTCTGTTTTAATTAGATGCTCGCTAAGTATTTTATACCGTTTCTAGGAAGGGTGGAAAAATAAGCCAGACTGATGTGGTACGCACCTGTGCTAGCTACTCGGGAGACTGAGGTGGGAAAATCATTTGATCCCAGATGGAGACTTAATGAGCCAATATTGTGCCACTGCACTCCTGTCTGAGCGATAGAGACCCTATCTCAATGAAGAAAAGTAAAAAAAAAAAATTCCTGGGTCTTCAGGTGGGAAGTTAAGTACCTCATCCCTTGTAGTTCAGTTTTTCTGTGCAGATAAATTTACCAGTTTGCTATGTTAGCCTTTTGTTCTGGTGGGATGAATTGCTGAGGGTGGCTAAAGCCTGTAAACCCAGCACTTTGGGAGGCCGAGGTGGGTGGATCACTTGAAGTCAGGAGTTTGAGACCAGCCTGGCCAACATGATGAAACCCTGTCTCTACTAAAATACAAAAAAATTAGCCAGGCATGGTGGCGCACATCTGTAATCCCAGCTACTTTGGAGGCTGAAGCAGGAGAATCGCTTGAACCCAGGAGGCAGAGGTTGCAGTGAGCCGAGATCACACCACTGTACTCTAGCCCGGGTGACACAGTGAGACTGTCTCAAAAAAAAAAAAAAAAAAAAAAGCCGGTGCACAGGTGGTACACACTGGTACAGGTGGTGCATGCCTGTAATCCCAGCTACTTGGGAGGCTGAGGCATGAGAATAGTGTAACCACCCAAGGGGTTCACCTTGCCTGCTGCCTAGACAGAGCCAATTCATCAAGACAGGGGAATTGCAATAGAGAAAGAGTAATTCACGCAGAGCCAGCTGTGCAGGAGACCGGAGTTTTATTGTTACTCAAATCAGTCTCGTGGAGCATTCGAGGAACTGAGTTGTTAAGGATAACTTGGTGAGTAAAGGGAAGCCAGTGAGCCAGGAGTGCTAATTGGTCAGGGAAGAAATCACAGGGAGTCAAAGCTGTCTTCTTGTGCTGAGTCAGTTCCTGGGTGGGGACCACAAGATCAGATGAGCCAGTTTATTGATCTGGGTGGTGCCAGCTGATCTATCAAGTGCAAGGTCTGCAAAATATGTCAAGCACTGATCTTAGGAGCAGTTTAGGAAGGGTCAGAATCTTGTAGCATCCAGCTGCATGACTCCTAAACCATAATTTCTAATCTTGTGGCTAATGTTAGTCCTACAAAGGCAATCTAGTCCCCAGACAAGAAGGAAGTCTGCTTTGGGAAAAGGCTGTTACCATCTTTGTTTAAATTATAAACTAAGTTTCTCCCAAAGTTAGTTCAGCCTACACCCGGGAATGAACAAGGACAGCTTGGAAGTTAGAAGCAAGATGGAGTAAGTTAAGTTAGATCTCTTTCACTGTCTCAGTCATAATTTTGCAAAGGCTGTTTCAATTGTTTGAACCCCGGAGGCAGAGGCTGCAGTGAGCCGAGATTCCACAACTGCACTCTAACTTGGGTGACAGAGCAAGACTCTGTCTCAAAAAAAAAAAAAAAAAAAAAAAAAAAAAAGCATTTCCCGTATTGCCCAGACAAAATTATAATATACACATGACAAAGACACAAACACCAGTTATTCCCCTCAATATCTGAGTTTTAACCTGGTAAAACAGACAAGAGGTTCCCTCTGAGTGAGGCCTGTTGAGCTTCTGCTAGTGATTCCTTCAGGATTCCACCCCCTGACACACAGACAAGACAAGAACAGGCACAAGCCCTCACAAATCAGAATTCTAAAACCAGATTTGGGCCCAGCGTGGTGGCTCATGCCTGTAATTCTAGCACTTTGGGAGGCTGAGGTAGGAGGATCACTTGAGCCCAGGAGTTCGAGATCAGCCTGGGCAACATAGTGAGACCTCATCTCTATTTTTTAAAAATAATAATAAATAAATAAAAATAAAACCAGATTTGGCCAGCATGGTGGCTCACACCTATAATCCCAAAACTTTGGGAGCCTGAGGCAGGAGGATTGTTTGAGGCCAGGAGTTGAAGACCAGCCTGGGCAATGTAGCAAGATCCCACCTCTAAAAACATTAAAATAAATAAATAAAACCCAATTTTCTTTTTCTTTTTTTTTTTTTTTTTTTTTTTTGTGAGATGGGAGTTTTGCTCAGTCACCCACGCTGGAGTGCAATGGCATGATCTCGGCTCACTGCAACCTCCACCTCCCAGGTTCAAGTGATTCTTGTGCCTCAGCCTCTTGAGTAGCTGGGACTACAGGTGCTTGCCACCACGCCTGGCCAATTTTTTTCTTTTTTTTTTTTTTGAGACAGAGTCCCTGTGTTGCCTAGGCTGGAGCGCAGTGGTGCGATCTTGGCTCACTGCAACCTCTGCCTCCCAGGTTCAAGCGATTCTCCTGCCTCAGCCTCCTGAGTAGCTGGGATTACAGGTGCCCACCACCACACATGGCTAATTTTTGTAGTTTTAGTAGAGATGGGGTTTCACCATGTTGGTCAGGCTGGTCTCGAACTCCCGACCTCATGATCCACCTGCCTCACCCTCCCAAATTGTTGGGATTACAGGCATGAGCCACTGTGCCCAGCCTTTTGGTTTTTGTTTTGTTTTGTTTTTTTGAGACAGAGTCTTGCTCTGTTGCCCAGGCTGGAGTGCAGTGGCATGATCTCGGCTCACTGCAACCTCCACCTCCCAGGTTCAAGCAGTTGTCCTGTCTCAGCCTCCTGAGTAGCTGGGACTACAGGCGCCCGCCACCACATCCGGCTAATTTTTGTATTTTTAGTACAGATGGGGGTTTCACCGTATCAGTCAAGCTGGTCTTGAACTCCTGACCTCATGTGATCCACCCGCCTTGGCCTCCCAAAGCGTTGGGATTACAGGCGTAAGCCACTGTGCCCGGCTGCCCAGCTAATTTTCGTACTTTTTGTAGAGACAGCATTTCGCCGTGTTGCCCAGGCTGGTCTCAAACTCGTGACCTCAGATGATCCACCCACTTCGGCCTCTCAAAGTGCTAGGATTACAGGTGTGAGCCATCGCGCCCAACCAAAACCAGGTTTCTGAACTGAGACCCAAAGGGCCCAGGAGTACTTCCCCAAAACAGTGCCCTTTAACAGGACCCTCAAAGAGTTTACAGGGCCTCTGAGGAGGCCAACAGATCAGGAGAAGGGAAAGGGAATATGGATTATGCTTGGGAATAATCATCAGAGACATCTTCCGGAATCAGAAACCATTTCTCTGCTGCAAGCCAGCTTATGCGCCTAAGGTTGGCAATGCCCCTGCCTACAAGGGAGGTGCCAGACATGGCCCCTGGCTTAAAGGAGGGCTCGTCTCGGGGTGCCGAAATGTCAGGGTTCTGACATTCTGTTCCAGGACAGAATGAGGTCCAGCTTTTTGTTCTCACAGTCCAATAATGAGATCCAGACTGGGAAAGAAGGGAGTTTATTGGCCAGGTGCGGTGGCTCACTTCTGTAATCCCAGCACTTTGGGAGGCCAAGGCAGGCGGATCACCTGAGGTCAGGAGTTTGAGACCAGCTTGGCCAACATTATGAAACCCCATCTCTACTAAAAATACAAACATTAGTCGCCGGGTGCGGTGGCTTCTGCCTGTAATCCCAGCACTTTGGGAGGCAGAGGCGGGTGCATCATGAGGTCAATAGATCGAGACCATCCTGGCCAACATGGTGAGAACCCATCTTTACTAAAAATGCAAAAATTAGCTGGGCATTGTGGTGCGTGCCTGTAGGCCTAGCTACTCGGGAGGCTGAGGCAGGAGAATCGCTTGAACCCGGGAGGCGGAGGTTGTGGTGAGCTGAGATTGCGCCCCTGCACTCCAGCCCAGCCTGGTGACAGAGTGAGATTCCTCAAAAAGAAAAAAAAGAAAAAATTAGCTGGATGTGGTGGCAGGCGCCTGTAATCCCAGCTACCCAGGAAGCGGAGGCAGGAGAATGGCTGCACTTCAGCCATTCTCACCACTGCACTTCAGCCTGGGCAACAGAGCAAGACTCTGTCTCAGGAAAAAAAAAAAAAAAAAAGAAGGGAGTTTATTTCTGCAACTGGTTACAGGGAGAAGGTTGGAGTAACTCAGCAGACCAACTAAAAAAGTTAAAAGTTTTGGCCAGGCGCGGTGACTCACGCCTATAATCCCAGCACATTTTGGGGTGCCGAAATGTCAGGGTGTTCTAGGACAGAATGAGGTCCAGCTTCTTGTTCTCACAGTCCAATAATGAGATCCAGACTGGGAAAGAAGGGAGTTTATTGGCCAGGTGCGGTGGCTCACTTCTGTAATCCCAGCACTTTGGGAGGCCAAGGTGGGCAGATCACCTGAGGTCAGAAGTTTGAGACCACCCTGGCCAACATGGTGAAACTCCAACTCTATTAAAAATACAAAAATTAGCTGGTAATGATGGTGGGCACCTGTAATCCCAACTACTTGGGAGCCTGAGGTCTGAGAATCGTTTGAACCCAGGAGGTGGAGATTGCAGTGAGCTGAGATCGTGCCACTACACTGCAGCCTGGGCAACAAAGCAAGACTCTGTCTCCAAAAAAAAAAAAAAAAAAGTTACAAGTTGTTTTTTTTTTTCCAAAGCTTCTATACATTCAAGGTCCATGCCTATAAGCGGGAGTGCACCTACAAGGTGGAGTGTTTCATTCAATCTATATCTAATCTTTAACTAGGATCTAGGGTCTGGAAAGCTTTCTCTAGAGTCTTGGAAAGTTTCTTAAGTGGTCCTTGGTACAAGGTGTATGTGTAAAAATGCTATTATTATTTGATCAGACTTTAGGGCCTGAGAAAGGCCAGGTGGTGTCTTAATGGGTTTGTTTTTGCATTCCAGCCCTTGTAGTACTCAGGCACCAGTTTCTCCAATTCTTTTTATTTTTTATTTTTGAGATGGAGTCTTGCTCTGTCGCCCAGGCTGGAGTGCAGTGGTGCAATCTCAGCTCACTGCAAGCTCCACCTCCCGGGTTCACGCCATTCTCCCGCCTCAGTCTCCCGAGTAGCTGGGACTACAGGCGCCCGCCACCATGCCCGGCTAATTTTTTGTATTTTTAGTAAAGATGGGGTTTCACTATTCACAGGATGGTCTCAATCTCCTGACCTTGTGATCCGCCCGCCTCGGCCTCCCAAAGTGCTGGGATTACAGGCATGAGCCACCATGCCCGGCCCAGTTTCTCCAATTCTTTAATGTTTAACATATGCATTCATCAAAATTATAGTAAAGGGTTAGTGGAACCAGATTGTTCTGGCTGCTGATGGAAACCTGGACTGCCACAAAGGGGGCACTGAGCCATGGTTAAATGCCCACAAGGGGCATCTTTTCATAGGATCACTGCTAAATTGTAATCCCACGTGGCAAGTCAGTATAGTGAGACACTGGGTTGCAGCAGAGAAAGAGGTTTAATCATAGGGCTGCAGAATAAGGAGATGGAAAGAGACCTCAAACGTCTCCCAAACACATCCTTTTATAAGGAACCCACTCCTGCCATAACGACCTACTTCCTTTATAATGACAATAGCACTAATCCATTCATGAGAGTGGTGCCCCCGTGACCTAAACACATCTTAAAGGTTCTACCTCCCAACACCTCCATATTGGGGATCGAGTTTTTAACATATAAATTTTGGGGGACACATTCAAACCATAGCAGTAGGTACACCACAGACACTTGATTGTAAGAATGATGGTCAGGTGTGGCTGTCACATTTGGAAAGTTAAAATTTCTCTGCATAGTTCTTATGCACAGTAACAGCTAACAACTACAGTGAACTTGTTTGGTGCCAGGTACTATGCTAAGCACTGTACACAAATTAGTTCCTTTGAAACTCTCAGACCAGGCGCCGTGGCTCACGCCTGTAATCCCAGCACTTTGGGAGGCTGAGGCAGGCGGATCACAAGGGCAAGAGATCAAGACCATTCTGTCCAACATGGTGAAACCTCGTCTCTACTAAAAATACAAAAAATTAGCTGGGCATGGTGGTGTGCGCCTGTAGTCCCAACTACTCGGGAGGCTGAGGCAGGAGGATCGCTTGAACCCAGGAGGCAGAGGTTGCAGTGAGCTGAGATCGCGCCACTGCACTCCAGCCTGATGACAGAGTAAGACTCCGTCACATACACAAAAAAAGAAACTCTCAGCAACCCTCTGCTTATTATTATCCCCATGTTACAGATGAAGAAATTGAGGCCTATCAATGTTAAATAATTTCTCCAAGGTCACACAGGGAGGTGACAGAGCCAAGACAGTTTCAGAGTCTGAACTGTGAACCTAAACCACTATGTTATACTATCTAGCTTTACATAATGACTGCATTTGTGTTCTAACCTTTCAAAGTCAATACTCTCCAAGTTATCTTAATGACACAATAAACGTGTATTTAGAATTTTACTTCCTAGAAGTCCTCACTTTTTCAGTCCTGGGAATTAGTGACAAATATTGTATTAGTCTGTTCTTGTGCTGCTAATAAAGACATGCCGGAGACTTGGTAATTTATAAAGGAAAGAGGTGTAATTGACTCATAGTTCTGCAGTGCTGGGGAGGCCTCAGGGAACTTAAAATCATGGCAGATGGGAAGCAAACACGTCCTTCTTCACGTGATGGCAGGAAGGAGAAGTACTGAGCAAAAGAAAGAAAAGCCCCTTATAAAACCATCAGATCTCATGAGAATTCACTCACTGGTCACAAGAACAGCATGAGGGTAACCGCCACCATGATTAAATTACCTCCCACTAGGTCCCTCCCATGACGTTGTGGGGATTATGGGAACTACAATTCAAGGTGAGATTTGGGTAGGGACATGGAGCCAAACCATATCAAATATATTCAAATATATATATTTTTTACTTGTCTCTTCTCACCATTCTATATTCAACAGTATATTCAAGTTCTTTAATTTCAGCGATAACACTGAGGAAAAACATTAATCTCATAGAGTTTCAATAATTATTCCCCTAATCTTCATTATTAATGAAGGTGGCTGGACAGGTTTCTAAATGTAAAAGAATTAAGTTGTTTCCTTGCATTTCTGGTTCAGTTAAAATAAGCATATTGCTCTCTTTTGGAACAGGATGTCTCGGGCTGTTCGTCTTCCAGTCCCCTGTCCTGTTCAACTTGGTACCTTAAGAAATGACTCCCTGGAAGCTCAGCTTCATGAGTATGTCAAACAAGGGAACTATGTGAAAGTGAAGAAAATTCTTAAGAAAGGTAAGCACCATGTTGAGATGGCAGATGCACCTTGGTACACATTTCTGAATAGCGTTCAGAGGAAAAGGAATGTCATAAAGGTATGAATGAGTCCTTGGGGAAATCCAGAAATTAAATGTAGAAATTAGATGTTCTCTAGCAGTGCAGTCAAGAGAGGTGTTAAATCCTCATTTTGAGGATGTTTTGTTTTGTTTTGTTTTGTGTTGGGGAACCACAAGCGCATCCAACTGCTACTGCTAGGCTCCTATGGTTTCTCTGAAGTCACCCACCTTTGATTCTGCCTGATTTCTTTCCTTGAAATCTGCTCCATCCATTAAGTTCTCTGACACCCGTGGTTGACTAAGGAGGCCAGTGTTCACAGCTGTCCCCTTCCTTGCTCCTTATTTCCACTTGGTGCCTTTTTTCTGGGGTTTTCTAGCTGAAGGATACAGGCAGACATGGCTCAATGGCTGAAGCAGTCTTCAAAAGAACCAACAAACATGTCATGTGAATTTGGTCTGAGAAAACAAACCAAAGAACCAACAAACAAAAACCCATATACAAACAACCTTTTCTGGTGTTTGGCTCCTGTTTTTTTTCTTTTTCTTTTGGAGACAGAGTCTCACTCTGTTGCCAAATGCAGTGCAGTAGCATGATCACAGCTCACTGCAGCCTCAACCTCCACGGGCTCAGGTGATTCTCCTGCCTCAGCTTCCCAAATAACTGGGACTATAGGCGTAAGCCACCATGCCTGGCTAATTTATGTGTTTTTTGTTTGTTTTTTGTAGAGATGCTTTCGCCATGTTGCTCAGGCTGGTCTAGAACTTCTGGGCTCAAGTGATCTGCCCACCTCAGCCTCTCAAAGTGCTAGGATTACAGGAGTGAACCCAGACCTGCTATTTTCAGTGTAAGCAGAGGTCCTGCTTGATCCCCTGTCTCTTTTCTTAGTATTGAAGGGGAGGCTTCTGAAACTTTTCTTTGCTGATTTGTGGAATAGTCAGGGTGACCTGGTTTTTCTCCACTTGCTTCAATAGCATTCCTGAAGACGTCCAGAAAGGTAACCCCAATTTTCCACCTATCCCACTGAATAGTTCTCTCATAAAGTTCTCATGGCTGGCACAGTGGATCCCACCTATCTGTAAACCGAGCACTTTGGGAGGCTGAGGCAAGAGAATTGCTTGAAGCCAGGAGTTCAAGACCAGTCTGAGACCAGCCTGGGCAACACTGTGAGACCCTGTCTCTACAAAAAATAAAAAATAAAGAAATCACTAGTTGGCACTACACGCATGGTAGCGCATGCCTATAGTCCACCACACCAGGAGGCTGAGGTGAGATCCCATCTCAACAGCAAAAAAATAAGTTATCAAACCTTTCCATGTACTACCCCTAGGGTCCATAGGTGAAGTAGCTCACACTGAGCTCAATCATTTATGTGAAAGGTCCTGGGTTTTTTTTTCCCCTCAAAATTTTGCATTTTACTCCATAACATATCCACATATGTTTTAAAATAAAACGTTGTAAAACTCTGCTTCTTGGGCCAGGCATGGTGACTCACACCTGTAATCCCAGCACTTTGGGAGGCCAAGGAGGGTGGATCATCTGAGGTCAGGATTCGAGACCTGCCTGGCCAACATGGTGAAACCCCGTCTCTACTAAAAATAATTAGCCGGGTGTGGTGGCAGGCGCCTGTAATCCCAGCTACTTGGGAGGCTGAGGCAGGAGAATCGCTTGAACTCAGGAGGCAGAGGTTGCAGTGAGCCTAGATCACACCATTGCACTCCAGCCTGGGCAACAAAAGTGAGACTCTGTCTCAGAAAAACAAAAACAAAAACAAAAATAAAACTCTGGGCTGGGCGCAGTGGCACACGCCTGTAATCCCAGCACTTTGGGATGCCGAGGAGGGTGGATCACCTGAGGTCAGGAGTTCGAGACCAGCCTGGCCAACATAGTGAAACCCCATTTCTACTAAAAATACAAAAATTAGCCAGGCATGGTGGTGGGCACCTGTAGTCCCAGCTACTGGGGAGGCCGAGGCAGGAGAATCACTTGAACCTGGGAGGTGGAGGTTGCGGTGAGCTGAGATCGCGCCACTGCACTCCAGCCTGGGGGACAGAGTGAGACTACTCTGCCTAAAAAATAAATAAATAAAAAATAAATAAAACTCTGTTTCTCACAGTGAATGGTGTGGATAGACAGTCACTAGAAGTCATAGCATACCTATATTGAACATCACTTTTTTTTAGTGAACATCAGAGTATTATGACATTTATTATCTCCTAGACATCTCCTGAATATTCTGCATCTTCAAATGCTTGATATTCAGTTAGAGTAAGGGATGGGGTTAACATGTGTACCTGGATATAGAACAGGACTTCATCTGTGTCTGGGAATTCTATCTGAAGCCTCAGAGTGCAGAATAAGGGGCGATAAATTCTCCCACAGTCTAATAGAGGGCTTGTTAGGATATCATTTAAATGATCCTTAGATTCTTTAAAAAGTATTCACAGGGCCAGGTGTGATGACTCATGCCTGTAATCCCAGCACTTTGGGAGGCTGAGGTGGGTGGATCACCTGAGGTCAGGAGTTTGAGACCAGCCTGGCCAACATGGTGAAACCCAGTCTCTACTAAAAATATAAAAATTAGCTGGGCGTGGTGGTGGGTGCCTGTAATCTCAGCTACTTGGGAGGCTGAGGCAGGAGAATCACTTGAACCTGGGAGGCGGAGGTTGCCGTGAGCCGAGATTGCGCCATTGCACTCCAGCCTGAGCAACAAGAGCAAAACTCCATCTCAAAGAAAAAAAAAAAAAAGAGGCCGGGCGTGGTGGCTCACGCCTGTAATCCCAGCACTTTGGGAGACCGAGGCGAGCGGATCACGAGGTCAGGAGATCGAGACCACGGTGAAACCCCGTCTCTACTAAAAAAACAAAAATTTAGCTGGGCGCAGTGGCGGGTGCCTGTAGTCCCAGCTACTTGGGAGGCTGAGGCAGGAGAATGGCATGAACCCGGGAGGCGGAGCTTGCAGTGATCCGAGATCACGCCACTGCACTCCAGCCTGGGCAACAGAGCGAGACTCTGTCTCAAAAAAAAAAAAAAAAAAAAAGAAAAAAAAAGAAATTCACAGGATTAGAAGGCTGTGGCTTTCCCCATCCTTGCCAGTCTCAAGACAAGAGGCCCTTCAGGCAAACCTCAGAGAGAACTGTGGTGCTTGCAGGCAAGAGAGATGAGACCTGAGTCCCAGCCTGCTGTACAGTTGAAATATGTCAGCCTACCCCAAGCTGCCACCAGAGTGACACACCAAGAAGCTGCAGTGTTCCCTGGAGTTGAGGAGGCAAGAAGACTGCTATCTGTCTCCTACTTGGAGCAGTCCTTGATGGGTGGGTGAGCATAGGAGGCTAACAGTAATTAGTCACACTTGCACCAGTTGGTGAGCATAGGAGGCTAGCAGTAATTAGTCACACTTGCACAAGTAGACTCCACAGTGGGTAGCTGAGCCATCTAAGGGGATTCTACCTGTGAAGGAAGAAAGGATCCCAACCAGAGAGGCTGCAGGTAGGGCTTTAGAGGGAGGGAGCTGAGTGGTGGGCAAGAAGTCAGCAGAAGAGAGCACTGGCCTGTGTGGGGTTCTGCACAGTGTGGTGGAGGCACTTGAAGGACCCACTAGCACCTTCCACAAAAGGACAGGCTTTAGGATAAAGCCAGAAGCTACACGGGGCATCAGCTGAGTATGAAGGCCATTGCCTCTTTTTGTCTTATTGGTTCTCCCCCTTGCCTCAGCTCTGGAGTTGCCACAAACAGCGTTGAGATCAGAGGAAGAGTGGAGAAGCAAGGAGGAGAATTAACAGAGCATTGCTGCATCCTGCAGTGCGGAGGAGGGAAGAAATTGGAATCGGCCTGGGTACGGTGGCTCACGCGTGTAATCCCAGCACTTTGGGAGGCCTAGGTGGGTGGATCACTTGAGCTCAGGAGTTTGAGAACAGCCTGGCCAACATGGTGAAACCGCGTCTCTACTAAAAGTACAAAAATTAGCTGGACTTGGTGGCACATGCCTGTAGTCCCAGCTACTTGGGAGGCTGAGGCAGGAGGAGAATCGCTTGAACTTCGGAGGTGGAAGTTGCAGTGAGCCAAGGTTGCACCACTGCACTCTAGCCTGGGCGACAGAGGAAGACTCTGTCTCAAAAAACAAAAAACAAAAAGAAAGAAAGAAAGAAATTGGAATTTGTTGAAAGATTGAGATTTTGATTTTGGTGGAACAAATTTTTTTTTTTTTTTTTTGCCTGACCTCAAGCACACTCTTGGTTGGCTCTTCCTTCCCCTCCTTGAGAGGCATCTCAGGCAGAATCCACTTTTTTTTCTTTGAGACGGAGTCTCGCTCAGTCGCCCAGGCTGGAGTGCAGTGACGCGATCTCAGCTCACTGCAAGCTCCGCCTCCCGGGTTCACGCCATTCTCCTGCCTCAGCCTCCCGAGTAGCTGGGACTACAGGCACCCGCCACTACACCCAGCTAATTTTTTTGTATTTTTAGTAGAGATGGGGTTTCACCGTGTTAGCCAGCATGGTCTCGATCTCCTGACCTTGTGATCTGCCCACCTCGGCCTCCCAAAGTGCTGGGATTACAGGGATTACAGGAGTGAGCCACCGCGCTGGGCTGCAGAATCCATTTTTTCTGTCACTTTAATTGTGCCGTTCCAGGCTGGGCGCGGTGGCTCAAGTCTGTAATCCCAGCACTTTGGGAGGCAGAGGTGGGTGGATTACCTGAGGTCAGGAGTTCCAGACCATCCTGGCCAACATGGTGAAACCCCATCTCTACTAAAAACATAAAATAGGCATGGTGGCGTATACCTGTAATCCCAGCTACTCGGGAGGCTGAGGCAGGAGAATCGCTTGAACTCTGGAGGTGGAGGATGCAGTGAGCCGAGATGGTGCCATCGCACTCCAGCCTGGGAAACAAGAGCGAAACTCTGTCTAAAAAAAAAAAAAAAGAGTGTGCTTGAGGGGAAAGTTGTCTCCTGATTGTATCCTACTCAGTTTAGCTCATTCAGAAAACCGATTGTTACAGATTATGACTGTGCCCTTTGGGACCATAATCTAACAGAAGAAACAGACATAAGTTGGGAGCTGAAGTGTACTGAGAAGGGCAGGAAGTGAAGTCAGCACACAAGATTCATCTGAGCCTCCTTGTCTATGGGGTAATCAAGAGAAACTTCTCAGAAGAAGTGTTGCTTAGGCCAGGACCTCAAGGAAGAAGAGGAGTTGACCAAGCCGGGTGCCATGGCACACACCTGTAGTCCTAGCTACTTGCAGACTGAGGTGGGAGAATCACTTGACCCCAGGAGTCCAACCTGGGCAACATAGTGAGATTCCATCTCTGAAAAAAATGAAAAGAAAAAGAAAAGGAGTTGATGAGGCAGGAGTTGTGCTCTGAGGATGGAGAGGAGCTAGAAAAGAAAAGGGTCTGGTTGACATGAGTTGACGGGAAAACCAGTGGGGTGGAGAGAGATGTGAGATGAAACTGGCAAGGGAGGCCTGGGCTGGACCAGTCAGAGCCTTGTGGGCTATTGGAAGGATTTTGGTTCGATGTAAAAACTCCCATTTTATATTGTTTTGTGTTTTACCCTCTGTTTTTCGTTTCTTCTCTTTCCTGCCTTCTTTTGTGTTAATGAAATATGTTTTAGAATTCCATTTTAACTTATAATAGCGATTGGCTTTTAAGCTATACCTCTTTACATTGTTTTTTCAGTGGTTGCTCTAGTTATTTCAATACAGTTGACACTGCTTATCTGTGGGTTCCACATTTGTGGATTCAACCAACCAAGTATCAAAAATATTAGGAAAAAGGAAACAATTAAAAAATAACACTACAATAAAAAATACAAACAAAAATGAAGACTAACAACTATTAACATAGTATTTACATTGTACTAGATATTATAAATAATCTAGAGATGATTTAAAATATACAGGAAGATTAGATGGGTAGGTAGGTGGATAGATACATAGATAGATTATATGCAAATACTATGTTATTTTATATAAGGGACTTGAGCATCTTTGGATTTTACTGGTATGGGAGGGTCCTGAAACCAGTTCCCCATGGGTACCGAGGGATGACTGTCTATATCTTTAACTTCTAACAGTTTACTTACAGTTAATGATGTACCACTTCACATAAAAGATGCAACCTTATAGGTTCATTTCTCCCCTTCTCTTATCCTTTATATTATAGAAGCCATAGGCCGGGCAGGTGGCTCATGCCTGTAATCCCAGCACTTTGGGAGGCTGAGGCGGGCGGATCACGAGGTCAGGAGATCAAGACCATCCCGGGTAACATGGTGAAACCCTGTCTCTACTAAAAATACAAAAAATTAGTCGGGCGCGGTGGCGGGCGCCTATAGTCCCAGCTACTCGGGAGGCCAAGGCAGGAGAATGGCGTGAACCCGGGAGGCGGAGCTTGCAGTGAGCCGAGATCGCGCCACTGCACTCCAGCCTGGGCAGCAGAGTGAGACTCCGTCTCAAAAAAAAAAAATTATAGAAGCCATAATATATCTATGAGTTATGAATCCTACAATATAATTTTATAATTTTGTTGTAAAGACTAATATAGGCTGGGCATGGTGGCTCACGCCTGTAATCCCAGCAGTTTGGGAGGTCAAGGTGGGTGGATCACTTGAGGTCAGGAGTTGGAGAACATCTTGGTCAACATGGTGAAATCTCGTCTCTACTAAAAATACAAAAAAATTAGCTGGATATGGTGGCGTGGGCCTGTAGTCCTAGCTACTCTGGAGGCTGAGGCAAGAGAATCACTTGAACCTGGGAGGCGGAGGTTGCAGTGAGCTGAGATCACGCCACTGCACTCCAGCCTGGGTGACAGAGCGAGACTCCATCTCAAAAAAAAAAAAAAGTTAAGAAAAAAAAAAGAATACAACTCAAGAACAGCCAAGGCTAGGCGCAGTGGCTCACGCCTGTAATCCTAGCACTTTGGGAGGCCGAGGTGGGTGGATCACCTGAGGTCAGGAGTTCGAGACCAGCCTGGCCAACATGGTGAAACCCTGTCTCTACTAAAAATTCAAACATTAGCCAGGCGTGGTGGCGGGCGCCTATAATCCCATAATCCCAACTACTTGGGAGGCTGAGGCAGGAGAATCGCTTGAACCAGGGGGGGCGGAGGTTGCAGTGAGCCGAGATCTTGCCACTCTAGCCTGGGCAAAAGAGCGAAACTCCGTCAGAAAAAAAAAAAAAAAAAAAAAAAAAAGCCAGGTGCGGTGGCTTACACCTATAATCCCAGCACTTTGAGAGGCCGAGGTGGGTGGATCACTTGAGGTCAGGAGTTCAAGACCAGGTTGACAGCTTGACCAACATGGTGAAACCCCATCTCTACAAAAATACAAAAACTAGCTAGGCGTGGTGGCATGCACCTGTAATCCCAGCTACTTGGGAGGCCCAGGTGGAAGAAGTGCTTGAACCTGGAAGGCTGATTTTGCAGTGAGCCGAGATCATGCCATTGCACTCCAGCCTGGGTGACAGAGCGAGACTCCGTCTCAAAAAAAACAAAAACAAAAACAGCCAAAAGTAAGAGATACCCAGGGTTTTATGTAGGTGTAGGGGGAGGGGCTTCCATTCCTTCTGGTGGCATTCCACCCTCCCAGTTCTTCAGTGTGTTCACCATCCCAGAAGCTCTCCAAACCCTATTTATGGATTTTTATGGAGGTCTCATTATGTAGGCATGATTGATTAAATCATTGGTCATTGGTGATTAAACTCAGTCTCCAGCCCCTCTCCTCTCCCTAGAGGTTAATGGTAGGGTAAGGTATTAAAGGGCCCAAACCTCTATCATAGCTTGGTCTTTTTGGTAACCTACCTCCGTCATGTAACACAGGTGTGAATAGATTTGCATTTTCAAATGGCTGCTCTGGCTGCAGGAGGCTATGAGGTATTTGGGGGGGGCGGGGGAGAAAACAGAGAAAACAGTAAGATGACTTAGGCTTCTTTTTTTTTTTTTTTTTTTTTTTTTTTTTTGAGACAGAGTCTTGCTCTGTTGCCCAGGCTGGTGGAGTGAAGTGGCGCAATCTCGGCTCACTGCAACCTCCACCTCCTGGGTTCAAGCGATTCTCCTGCCTCAGCCTCCCTATTAGCTGGGTTTACAGTCGTGCATCACCACACCTGGCTAATTTTTGTGTTTTTTTAGTAGAAATGGGGTTTCACCAGTTTGGCCAGGCTGGTCTCAAACTCCTGACCTCAGGGGATCTGCCTGCCTCGGCCTCCCAAAGTGCTGGGATTACAGTTGTAAGCCACTGTGCCCAGCCCTAGGTTACTTTTTTTTTTCATTTTTGAGACAGGGTCTCACTATGTTGCCCCATAGTCCTCCCATAGATGGGAGGACAGACTCACATGCCACTGCAGCTATAAGCTAGGTTTTTGTTTTGAGCAACGTGGTTGAAAGTGATATTATTCCCTAAAAGAGAAATACGTTTGGGAGGAAGCTGATCTAAGTCAGCTTGGGTAGGCTGTATTTGAGATATCTGTGATTCACCTAAATGCAATGTCAAGTAGAAGCTGGATATCTGAGCCAGAAGCTCAGAGGAGTGATCTGACTGCACAGACATATTTTGAAACCAAGGATAGGCAAGAAAAGACCAGGAACCCTGCTGACAGGTACCTCACTGTCTTAACATACAGGCCAGCTTTATTGGGGGAGGAGTAGAATAAGAAGGAAGGGAAAACCAGGTTGTTCCCAACAGGTCAGTAGCAGGGCTTGAGGGAAGGAACAATACATTCATGAATTCATCATTCATTCAGTTAGTCAGCATTTACTGGGCATCTACTGTGCCAGGCAATGTGCTGGAGATACAGAGATAAATAAGACATGTTTCTGCTTTTAAAGAGCTCACAGTTTAGTAAGGGGAAGTAAATGTATTTGGAACAGAGTGAGCTATGTAGAGGCCCATACAAGGATGATTAGGGACACAAAACTCATAGTGGTCAGTGTTATTTATGGAGGTCAAGGAAGGCTTCAAGAAGAGGTGACATGAACTAAGTGAGAATGTACTGGAGTGATAGTCACACCCATGTGAAGTTGGAGAAACTGCTCAGAGGAGGCCAAGGGATGGATGGTGAGAGGTTTCCAGAAAGATTGGAGGACTAGAGAATGGAAGACAGATATAGAAGGGCCCAGACCAGAGATAGGACCCTTGGATGAAAGTGACCAGAAAGTACTTTATAAATTCAAAATATACTAGGTGGGAGGCTGAGGCAGGAGAATCACTTGAACCCGGGAGGCAGAAGTTGCAGTGAGCCCAGATCGTGCCATTACATTCCAGCCTGGTCAACAAGAGCGAAACTCCATAAAAAAAAAAATAAATAAAATAAAATAAAATGTATATATATATGGAACTGCTCTGAACCCAAAAGATATGTCCCAGACCTGGCCAGATTGCCCCAACGCTGTCCCTTTTTCTGAAAAAAATTAAGTACGGAGCATTTGGCTGTCTCTAAAGAGAGCTGTCTGTGAGGAGATTCTATTAGGAGAGGCGGTTGAATAAGACTGACTGCTAAGCATCTTTACAACCTGATGGTCACATTTGTGATGCTGCTATAATGCAATTAAAAGTGTGGTTGATTAGAACACTGTGCCATGTGAATGTCCATGTGACCCTGTGCTTCCTGGTAGGAAATTTACAGCAGGAAGTTAAGTGACTAAAACAATTGCACATCATCATATCTGAGATGTGTTAATTGAGGTGAAATTGGTGCTAACTTTTCCTAGAAGTAAATGGGTAGGCTTCCTCAGGGATTTAGAAGCCAGGAAGATGAGTCATTCAGACTGAACTTTGAGAGATGATGTATTTAATGCTTCATTAGAGAAATGAATTGATTGGAGACTAGACTTCTGAAGAAGACCCCTTCGGCTTACCAGAAAGAACAGGGACTTGATTTAGTGCCAGACAGGCTTAGGTTCCAACTGTGGTTCCTTCAGCAGTGTGACAGATGCTATACCCAGCATCTATGAAAGGAGAAATAATCAACTATTCTCCTTCAGTTGTTTAAAGGATTAAATGAGATAATGGATTAAAACATCTATCACTTGGCTGGGCGCAGTGGCTTACGCCTGTAATCCCAGCACTTTGGGAGGAGGCCGAGGCAGGCAGATCACAAGGTCAGGAGATAGAGACCAGGTTGGCCAACATGGAGAAACCCTGTCTCTACTAAAAATACAAAAATTAGCTGAGTGTGGTGGTGCATACCTATAATCCCAGCTGTTAGGGAGGCCGAGGCAGGAGAATCACTTGAACCTGAACCTGGGAGTGGGAGGTTGCAGTAAGCAGAGATCAAGCTGCTGCACTCCAGTCTGGAGAGAATGAGACTCCATCTCAAATAATAATAATAATAATAATAATAATAATAAATAAAAGAGAAAGAAAGAAAAGAATGGCTACTCCATAGGCACAGCAGCCTGGTTGGCTACTTTTTTTTTGTTTTGTTTTGTTTTGTTTTAAGAGTCTTGTTGCCCAGGCTGGAGTGCAGTGGCCAATCTTGGCTCATCGCAACCTCCTCCTCCCAGATTCAAGTGATTCTCCTGCCTCAGCCTCCCGAGTAGCTGGGATTACAGGCATGTGCCACCACGCCCAGCTAATTTTGTATTTTTAGTAGAGACGGGGTTTCTCCATATTGGTCAGGCTGATCTCAAACTCCCCACCTCAGGTGATCCTCCAGCCTCGGCCTCCCAAAGTGCTAGGATTATAGGCGTGAGCTACCGCTCTCAGCCACCTGATTGGCTACTTTTTAATCATTCAAGTCTTGGCTTAAATAACCTTTGAGTGGTTAGGGAAACCCTCTCCTTCCCTAACCTCTGAAATCTAAAGTAACCACTGATGGGCAGGGTATGGTGGCTCATGCCTATAATCCCAGCACTTTGGGAGGTTGAGGCTGGTGGATCAGTTGAGCTGAGAAGGTCGAGACAAGCCTGGGCAACGCGGTGAAAACTTGTCTCTACAAAAAGCAAAAAAATTATCCAGACTTGGTGGCTCGCACCTGTAGCCCCAGCTACTCGAGAGGCTGAGGTGGGAGGATGGCTTGATCCCAGGAGGCAGAGGTTGCACTGAGCTGAGATTGCACCACTTGTACAGCCTGGGTGTCAGAGCAAGACCGTCTCAATAAATAAGTAAATAAATAGCCACCACGTCTCTCTGTTTCAACAATGTTATAATTCTCTACATGCCTCATTATTTATCATTCTCTCTCTCTCTCTCACACACACACACACACACACACACACACACACTAGAAGGTAAGCTCTGCATGTGAGTAGGAGCCTTTATTTACTTTATTCTGTTGCTATATGCCCAATTCTTAGAAATAGTGCTTAGCACGTAGAAAAACTGGATAGTGGTTAAGATAATAAGCTCTGGCACCTGACCTACCAGCTCTGTTTCAAAACTGTGTGACCTTAGGCAAGTTACCTAATCTTTCTGTGTGTCAGTTTATCCATCTATAAAGCTGGGATGATTACTAATAGTACTTATCTCATGTGACGCTGGGAACATGGCAAGACCTCAGTAAATAGTAGCTAATACCTTTTTTTTTTTTTTGGGACAGAGTCTCGCTGTGTCACCCAGCCTGGAGTGGCTCAGTCTGGGCTCATTGCAACCTCAGTCTCCTGGGTTCAAGTGTTTCTCGTGCCTCAGCCTCCCTAGTAGCTGGGACTACAGGCAAGTGCCATCACACCTGGCTAATTTTTGTATTTTTAGTAGAGACAGGGTTTCACCATGTTGGCCAGGCTGGTCTCAAACTCCTGACCTCAGGTGATCCACCCACCTTGGCCTACCAAAGTGCTGGGATTACAGGACTGAGCCACCGTGATTGGCCAGTAGCTATTACCATTATGTATACCAGCATTCAAATATTTGTTCAGGGAAGAAATGACGTCAAATTCACCAAACATCTTTATCTTAAAAATTTAAGAAGTGTGAACTGGTAGTGCAAACATGTGGCATAAGAACCAGAGTTCTTTTTCTTAAATGCTGGGTCTCAGTCACCCTGTTCCCTTTCCTGCCACGGTCATGGTGACCTGACCCTAGCGTTCGAAAGTCAAACCCTTAGGATAGTTGTGAGCAACTGCTGAGATTAATCAATTACCGGATCCAGCCTGATTCTAGCAGAGTCAAAGGCCCACCCTTTCCTTAAACTGTCTGGGACCAGGCACCTTTACCAGAACCGTGGAGCCTAGCTCATACTGTCTTATGAGGGGCTCACGGCAACATCCGCCTCCCGGGTTCAAGCGATTCTCCTGCCTCAGCCTCCCAAGTAGCTGGGATTACAGGTATGTGCCACCACGCCCGGCTAATTTTGTATTTTTAGTAGAGACGTGGTTTCTCTATGTTGGTCAGGCTAGTCTTGAACTCCTGACCTCAGGTGATCCTCCCGCCTTGGCCTCCCAAAGTGCTGCAATTACAGGCGTGAGCCACCGCGCCCGGCCAACATGAGTAAGTTCTTTAGTGGTGACTTGTGAGATTTTGGTACACCCATCACCCAACCAGTATACACTACTGGCACCTTATTTGTAGTCTTTTATCTCTTGCCCACCTCCCACCCTTCCCCTCAACTCCCCAAGCAAGATCATTGTATCATTGTCATGCCTTTGCGTCCTCATAGCTTAGCTCCCACATATCAGTGAAAACATACAATGTTTGATTTTCCATTCCTGAGTTACTTCAATTAGAATAATAGTCTTGCTGGGCGCGGTGGCTCACGCCTGTAATCCCAGCACTTTGAGAGGCCGAGGTGGGTGGATCACGAGGTCAGGAGATCAAGACCATCCTGGCTAACACGGTGAAACCCCGTCTCTACTAAATATAAAAAAAAAATTAGCCAGGCGTGGTGGCAGGCGCCTGTAGTCCCAGCTACTCAGGAGGCTGAGGCAGGAGAATGGCGTGAACCTGGGAGGTGGAGCTTGCAGTGAGCCGAGATCACGCCACTGCACTCCAGCCTGGGCAACAGAGCAAGACTCCGTCTCCCCAAAAAAAAAAAAAAAAAAAAAAAAGAATAATAGTCTCCAGGCCGGTCGCAGTGGCTCATGCCTGTAATCCCAGTGCTTTGGGAGGCCGGGGCAGGAGGATCACCTGAGGTCAGGAGTTCAAGACCAGCCTGACCAACATGGAGAAACCCTGTCCCTACTAAAAATACAAAAAATTAGGCAGGCGTCGTGGCATATGCCTGTAATCCCAGCCACTCGGGAGGTTGAGGCAGGAGAACTGCTTGAACCTGGGAGGTGGAGGTTGTGGTAAGCCGAGATTGCACCACTGCACTCCAGCCTGGGTAACAAGAGTGAAACTCCGTCTCAGAAAAAAAAGAATTATAGTCTCCAATCTCATCCAGGTTGCTGCAAATGCCGTTAATTCATTTTTATGGGTGAGTAGTATTCCAATGTATAAATACACCACAGTTTCTTTATCCACTTGTTGATTGATGGGCATTTGGGTTTGTTCCACGATTTTGCAATTGCAAATTGTGCTATTTCTGCATTAAATTTTTTTTTTTTAATTTATTGTAGTAGAGACAAGGTCTCGCTGTGTTGCGCAGACTGGTCTTGAACTACTGGGCTCAAGCAAGTGTCCCGGGTTGGCCTCCCAAAGTGCTGGGATTATAAGTATGAGATACCACGTCCAGCCTATTTTTGCAGTTTTTAATCATCAGAAACAATGCTTTGATAAAATACCTTGTAATATATCTTTACAGGCCAGGCGCAGTGGCTCACACCTGTAATCCCAGCACTTCTGGGAGGCTGAGGCAGGTGGATCATGAGGTCAGGAGTTCGAGATCAGCCTGACCAACATAGTGAAACCCCATCTGTACTAAAAATACAAAAATTAGCCGGGTGTGGTGGTAGGCACCTGTAATCCCAGCCACTCAGGAGGCTGAGGCAGGAGAATTGCTTGAACCTGGGAGGCAGAGGTTGCAGTGAGCCGAGATCGCACCACTGCACTCCAGCCTGGGTGACAGAGCAAGACTCCATCTCAAAAGGAAAAAAAAAAAAAAAAAGGCAGTAGGTTGTAAACCTATACTTCTTATGATTGACTGTACATCAGGTGTTCCCACAACCCACTCCCCAGATTTGATTAATTTGCTAGAGTGGCTCATAGAACTCAGGGAAACACTTTACTTAGGTTTACCCATTTATTGTAAAGATATCACAAAATATACAGATGAGCAACTGAATGGAAGAGATGTCTAGGGCAAGGCATGTGGGAAAAAGCTTGGTGATTCCATGCCCTCCCTGGCCCATCCTCCAGGAACCTCTCCATGTTCAGCTATTCAGAAGCTTCCCAACCCAGTCCTTTTGGGTTTTTATGGAAACTTCATTACGTAGGTATGGTAGATTAAATCACTAGCCATTGGTGATCAATTTAACCTTCAGCCCCTCTCCCCTCCCCGGAGGTTGGGGAGCAGGGCTAAGAGTCCCAACCCTCTCATCATGCTTCGGTCTTTCCAGTGACCAGCTGTCATCCTGATGCTTTCTGGGTGGCCCCAGCCACTAGCTACAGTCAGCATCAGCATACAAAAGATACTTATCATTCCAGAGGTTCAAAGAGTTTTAGAAGCTCTACGTCAGGGAACAGGCATGAAGACCAAATATATATTTCTTGTTTTTTTGTTGTTTTTTTGTTTTTTGTTTTTGAGACAGAGTCTCGTTCTGTCACCCAGGCTGGAGTGCAATGGCACGCTCACTGCAATCTCTGCCTCCTGAGCTTCAAGCAATTCTCGTGGCTCAGCCTCCCAAGTAGCTGGGATTACAGGCGCCCACCATCATGCCCAACTAATTTTCGTATTTTTAGTAGAAACGGGGTTTCACCGTGTTCGCCAGACTGGTCTTGAACTGCTGACCTCAAGTGATTCACCCGCTTCTGCCTCCCAAAATGCTGGGATTACAGGCGTGAGCCACCATGCCCAGCCCCAAATAAATCTTTCTTTCTTCTTTTTTTTTTGAGACAGAGTCTCACTCTGTCGCCCAGGCTGGAGTGTAGTGGCGCGATCTCAGCTCACTGCAACCTCTGCCTCCCGAGTTCAAGAAATTCTCCTGCCTCAGCCTCCCAAGTAGCTGGGACTACAGGTACATGCCACCATGCCCCGCTAATTTGTGTAATTTTAGTAGAGACAGGGTTTCACCATATTGGTCAGGCTGGTCTTGAACTCCTGACCTCGGGTGCCTCCCAAAGTGCTGGGATGACAGGCATGAGCCACCACCCCCGGCCCCAAATACATATTTCACAATATCACAGAGACAGTGGTATAGTGCGTGGACTTTAGAACCAGACTGGTTTGTGACCTCTGGCAAATTGATCTCTCTCCATTTCTTCATCTACAAAACAGTGATAATAATAGTTTCTTCTTCTTGTACAGTTGTGAGGATTAAGTGAATTAAAAGAATAGTGCCTGGCACACATTATTGTTAATATCAGATATTACCTCCTAGGAGGCTCACAGGTTAGGTGACTGACCCATCTGGAGGCCCTGGGCTTATGAGGGTGGTATTAGGATGTCAACATTTGAATCCAGGTCTTTTAACCTTTTCGGCCAGTCTTTGTACCATGTCATAGCTGCCTCTGGTCACTTCTTGTGGGACTGTTTTTAGTTACCTTTATAGCAGCCACAACATGGGTACAATGCTGGCCTAAAATAATTATTTGTTGAATGAATAAATGTTATTTTTTATTAGGAAGTCTCCAAAGGTCATGTTTGCTTAAGTTGTAGGGACAGAGGTTTTCACCTATTTTTCTTTCCTGCCACCTGTATCCCCTCAAGATTTGTTGCTCTGTGCCTTCCCCTAAGTGGTTTCTGATCCTTAGAGAAGCCCTTGGGACGCGGTGGCTCACGCCTGTAATCCTAACACTTTGGGAGGCTGAGGTGGGTGGATCACCTGAGGTCGGGAGTTCAAGACCAGCCTGGGCAACATGGTGAAACCTGTCTCTACTAAAAATACAAAAATTAGCCAGGCGTAGTGGCGGCTGCCTGTGATCCCAGCTACTGGGGAGGCTGAGGCAGGAGAATCGCTTGAACCCGCTGGAGGTTATGGTGAGGCTGGAGGTTGTGGTGAGCCAAGATCGCACCACTGCACTCCAGCCTAGGCGACAGAGACTCTGTCTCAAAAAAAAAGAGAAGCCCTTGGTGGGCTGGGCGCAGTGGCTCATGCCTGTAATCCCAGCACTTTTGGAGGCCGAGGCAGGTGGATCACTTGAGGTCAGGAGTTTGAGACCAGCCTGGCCAACATGGTGAAACCCTGTATCTATTAACAATACAAAAATTAGCTGGGCATGGTTGTGCGTGCCTGTAATTGCAGCTACTCAGGAGGCTGAGGCCGGAGAATCACTTGAACCTGGGAGGCAGAGGATGCAGTGGGCCAAGATCATGCCACTGTACTCCAGCATGGGCTACGGAGTGAGACTCTGTCTCAAAAAAAAAAAAAAAAAAAGAGAGAAGCCCTTGGAGGCCTTGGTTGATTTAATTTTTTGCCTCCTGAGCCCTGGGAGGGGCTTCCCTTGACTGTAATTTCTTCTTGTCAATAACTATAATTTCTTGTCAGCCTGCTTCCCTTGACTGTAATTTCTTCTTGTCAATAACTATAAATAGTTTGAGATTTGATAAATTAGACTGCTACATGTGTATGGATGAGATTCTTGGGGTCATAGATGAATGATGGTTTATTACTCATAGCAACAGCAGTAGCCAGAATATCAGCATTTTTTCCTTTTAACTTTTTTTTTTTTTGAGACAGAGTTTCGCTTTGTCAACCCGGGCTGGAGTGCAATGTTGAGATCTCAGCTCACTGCAACTTCCACCTTCCGGGTTCCAGCAATTCTCCTCCCTCAGCCTCCTGAGTAGCTAGTATTACAGGCGCCCGCCACCACGCCTGGCTACTTTTTGTAGTTTTAGTAAAGGTGGAGTTTTACCATGTTGGCCAGGCTGGTCTTGAACTCCTGACCTCAGGTAATCCGCCTGCCTCGGCCTCCCAAAGTGCTGGGATTACAGGCGTGAGCCACCATGCCTGGCTGGAGACATTATTTTTATTATACTGGATGGTAAGCATGTATTCACTTTGCTGTGAATGTAGATACTATCTGCCTTCCAAACTTCATTATACAAATATCTTCAAAGAGGTGCCCTGAACAGGTTAGTGCCTTGCCCCCATGACATGCGTAACTCTGAGAGATCCATGCAGAATTGTCCTTTTACTGTTCTCTGCTGCTCTTCTCTACTCTTAGGCTGGCTTGTGTTGGGCAGATAAGTGAACAAGGCACTGAAGATAGGGGAGATACATTGGGCAGTTCCTACCTTCTAGTGTAGGAGAGACAGTCTGGTAGAGGACATAGACATACCACAAATATTTGTAACACAGCAAGCCCTGAGCAGTAAGACATGTGAACCCCTCTAGTACTGCTCTCACCATGAACACTGTTTCTTTTTCTTTCTTTCTTTGTTTTTTAATTTGAGACAGAGTCTCACTCTGTTGCCCAAGTTGGAGTGCAGTGGCACAATCTCAGCTCACTGCAACCTCTACCTCTCGGGTTCAAGCAAACCTCCTGCCTCGGCCTCCTGAGTAGCTGGCATTACAGGCATGTGCCACCAAGCCCGGCTAATTTTTGTATTTTTAGTAGAGACAGGGTTTCACCATGTTGGCCAAGCTGGTCTTGAACTCTTGGCCTCAAGTGATCCACCCACCTCAGCTTCCCAAAGTGCTGGGATTACAGGCGTGAGCCCCCACACCCAGCCCAATTTCTTCTTACTAGATGTCTCAGGCTTTGATACTGTTGACTGATCCTTCTTTTTGAAACTTTTAACCTTCCTTGTCACTGTGACCCATTTCTTCCAGGTTTTCCTCTAATCTCTGCCTACTTTTTGGCTTCTTTCCTTATTTGCTTTTTTTTTTTTTTTCGGAGACAGAGTCTTGCTCTGTCACCAGGCTGGAGTGCAGTGGCGTGATCTCGGCTCACTGCAACCTCTGCCTCCCGGGTTCAAGTGATTCTCCTGCCTCAGCCTCCTGAGTAGCTGGGACTACAGGCGTGTGCCACCATGCCCAGCTAATTTTTGTACTTTTTAGTAGAGACGAGGTTTCACCATGTTGGCCAGGCAGGTCTCGAGCTCCTGACCTTGTGATTCACCTGCCTTGGCCTCTCAAAGTGCTGGGATTACAGGCGTGAGCCACTGCGCCCGGCCCCCGGCTAATTTTTGTGTTTTTATAGTAGAGATGGGGTTTGTCCACATTGGCCAGGCTGGTCTCAAACTCCTGACCTCAAGTGATCTGCCCAGCCTCCCAAAGTGCTGGGATTACAGCCGTGAGCCACCATCCCCAGCCCTAGCTTACCTCAAGATGGTAGTGGGCCTCAGGGTTCCAGCTTTAACCCTCTGCTGTTTGGGTAGTATGTTTGACTTATTTTCCCCTATGGCTTACAATTGGCCATTGTTAATGTCCTTTATCTTCTGCAGTTCTGTTCACTGGACATCTTTACTTGGATTTATTCATTATTAGGTGCTTGGGATATTGTGGGTACCCAAAGCCATTCATGTAGTCTGAAACTTAAAGTCTCATGCAGGTGGCAGGCATTAATCAAATGATCACATAGAAGAGGTGTTTGATCTGCTAAAGGAGGTCAGGGAAATATTTCCTGAGACAATGACATTTGGACCAATGTCTGAATGATGAAGATAAGTTGGGATTAGAGGTTGAGAGGAGAATCCCTGTCAGGGAGAACAGCCTGTCCAAAGGCCCTGTGGCAGAAAGGAGCATGGCGAGTATGAGGAACTGTAAGGCCAGAGTGTGGCTGGAGTGAGGGAGAATGAGACTTGAGAGATGGACTCGAGAGAGGGGCCAGACCATACAGGGCCTTTTAAGTGCGAGAAATACACTTACCTTTCCAAACCCAAAGAATGGGCTTAGAGGCACGAAGAACAGCGGAAGTGAGACTTTTAATAGGGGTCTTGCAAGATTGGGTGTCTGGTATAATTTATCTCCTAGCATCCAAGTCCCTCCCCCAGTTCCTCATTGGTCGAGTACTATGAGGTTACAATCTTTCCGGATGTCGCCTAAGTTTCATTATCCCCCTTATAAGGTTATATACCCTCTCCCCTTCCCTGCTTTAATTTTCGATTCCCAGTAAAGAAACTTTCTTCCCTTTTATGGGCTGACCCCTCCTCTACATTCTGTTCGCTTATCGTGACCTAGGTGCGTGAGCTGTGCGGTTACGTTTGCAGGCCGGCTGCCAGTACTTAGATTTATTATGCCTTGAAAATGGACCATTTAAAGTATTTTCTCACATAAGTATGTAGAGTTTTGTCTGTACCTTAACAAATGGGAAGCTACTGAAGCTTAAACCAGGGGAATATGTTGTCCTGCTTGTTTAAACACAGCAATGGCCGGGTGTGACGGCTCACGCCTGTAATCCCAGCATTTTGGAAGGCTGAGGTGGGAAGATCGCTTGAGCCCAGGAGTTCAAGGCCACCCTGGGCAACAGTGCGAAAACCAGAAAAAAATAAACACAGCAATGCCATGTAGAATAAAAACTCCCTGGTTTTTGGGGAAGAAATACAAAATATTTAAGTGTGTGGAATTTTGATCACAGTATAAAATATAATAGGGCGCGCTATGCAAATATCACAATCTTTGGCTTTGAATTATCGCTTTCCCTTCACTCTTTGGTTATTCTCGAAGGGCCTTCTTGCTTCCGATCATCAGTCCAAACCGGGCAGTTTCCCTGACGGTTTCTGGCGCTCCGGCGCGCTTTATAGTCGTCAGCGTTACGCGTGGAGGAAAATGGGGCGGGGTTAGAAAGGAGCTCTGAGTGATTTGCATGCTTTGCTACCATATGTTAATTACAGTGATTGCCTAAAGTATCTTCGAAATTTTGAGCTTATTTTAAATGCTTTTTCGAACTTTGGTAGTGGAAAGATCGTTTTTGGAAAAAACACATAGTAATATTTTCGAGAGGAAAATGTGCTCACGAAATACTCACCATCAGCATAATATGTGTGAGTTTCTTTCGCATGTGGAAGGCACATAAATGGACATTAAGACTATATTTTGAGGGATAATTTCTATAGTGTGTTTCTCGAGGAGTATATCTGAACGTGTAGAACGCTGGAAACCGCGAGAGGGAGATATTTGTGTTCTCTCACGAGTGGGATAGCAGTGTTTGGTGTTGCGTTATTCTAACTGCTGTTTGCTGTTGGTGACCGTTCTTCTCTAGAGAAGGCAGTCTGAGTAGTTCTGGGTTTTTTTTTTTTTCAGATGTTAATAGTAGTTGGTTTCCTCATGTTTTTAATTTTTGAGTATAAGGTTATGCCAGATGTGTGTTTTGAGAGATGTGTTGTGTATATATGCATATATTTTAACTTAGGATTGTGCAGAGTGCTTTTTGTGTGTTTTGAGAGATGTGAGATATGTGCATTTTTATTTTTGAGCTGGGGCTTTTTTCTGTGGTCCTGGAGTGCAATGGCACAATTTCGGCTCATTGCAGCCTCTGCCACTTAAGCAGTCCTCATGCTTCAGTTTCTCAAGTAGCTGGGACTATAGGTACGCAGCCAGCCCCGCTAGTTTTTGTATATTTAGTAGAGAGGAGATTTCGCCTTGTTGGCCAGGTTGGTCTCGAGCTCTTGGCCTCAAGTGATCTACCCGCCTCGGCTTCCCAAAGAGCTGGCATTACAGGCGTGAGCCACTGCGCCTCCAGGCTTGTGGGATTTCAATTTTTGTATTTCTTGGTGTTTTTTGGTCTTCTGGAGGACTAAATTTTTTTCTTGGTAGGTAAGGCATATTTTCCTTTTTTATTTATTTTCCTGGTCATGTTACTACTTTGGCCTTTTTTTTCAGTCCCTTTTAATTATTCACAGACTCATTGTTTGATAGTACTGGAAATTGGTCTGTTTTATGTGTTTTGTTTTCCCTTGTCGAATTAGTCTTTACACTTTAGTAAGATCTTTTAGGTGAGGACTTGTATTCCATTGAGCTCTTTTTATGTTATAGCCTTCCTCCCAACACACAGAGTATCTTTAGTCCCTCCCTCATCCTTTCCCATGATTGAGAACCATTTTAATCCATTTTATAATATGCCAGTGTGGTGAACTAAATGCTTCAATGCAACTTTCTGCAAATATTTTTGATGAATAAACACTGAGTTTGCCTTCCAGTATATCTATGTGCTACTAATGAAGACCTTCTTTGTACTTTTTTTAAAAAAAAGCTCACAGCAATATATGAAAGTACACTATAAAAATATGTAATTCCCCCACCCCCTACCCAGTTCCTTCTCAGGAAATTTTCTGATATTTGCATTGATTCTGATATTTCCTTTGCAGGAATTTATGTTGATGCAGTTAACTCCTTGGGCCAAACAGCACTTTTTGTTGCGGCGTTATTGGGCCTTAGGAAATTCGTTGATGTTCTGGTGGATTATGGATCAGATCCAAATCAGTAAGTACAATAATATTGATGTCTAGAAAATAGGGGTTGTGCTGTTAAGATGAGTTTGTTTAGAAACTAATTAGAAAAACGTTTGGCCGGGTGCGGTGTCTCATACCTATAATCCCAGCACTTTGGGAGGCCAAGGCGGGCAGATCACGAGGTCAGGAGTTAGAGACTAGCCTCACCAACATGGTGAAACCCTGCCTCTACTAAAAATACAAAAAATTAGCCAGGCGTGGTGGCGCATGCCTGTAATCCCAGCTACTTGGGAGGCTGAGACAGGAGAATCATTTGAACCCGGGAGGTGGAGGTTGCAGTGAGCCGAGATCGCGCCATTGTACCCCAGCCTGGGCAACAAGAGCGAGACTCAGTCTCAAAATAAAAAAAAAAGGGTGAATTTTGCCTGACTCTTATGGCTGTGGTTTAAAAGAATCAGAGTTTAGGCCGGGCATGGTGGCTCACGCCTGTAATCCCAGCACTTTGGGAGGCCGAGGTGGGAAGAGCAAAACTCCGTCAAAAAAAAAAAAAAAGGAAAAAAAAAAAACACGAAACACGAAAAGAATCGGAGTTTAATAGTTGGTCTAAATTTTATTTATTTATTTTTTTTTTTTTTTCAGACGGAGTCTAGCTCTGTCGCCCAGGCTGGAGTGCAGTGGTGCGATCTCGGCTCACTGCAAGCTCTGCCTCCCGAGTTCACGCCATTCTCCTGCCTCAGCCTCCTGAGGAGCTGGGACTACAGGCACCTGCCACCACGCCGGGCTAATTTTTTGTATTTTTAGTAGAGACGGGGTTTCATGATGCTAGCCAGGTTGGTCTCAGGATGGTCTCAATCTCCTGACCTCGTGATCTGCCCGCCTTGGCCTCCCAAAGTGCTGGGATTACAGGCGTGAGCCACCGTGCCCGGCCAATAGTTGGTCTAAATTTTAATATGAAACAGTAACACAGTGAATCAGTGACAGGTGAACATCTACTTTTTTTTTTTTTTTTTTTTTCCTGACACATGGTCTGCCTCTGTCGCCCAGGCTGGAGTGCAGTGGCAGGATCTTGGCTCACTGCAGCCTCTGCCACCCGGCTGCAAGCAATTCTCCTGCCTCAGCCTCCCTAGTAGCTGGGATTACAAGTGGGCACCACCAGGCCTGGCTAATTTTTTGTATTTTTAGTAGAGACAGGGTGTTGCCATGTTGGCCAGGCTGGTCTCGAACTCCTGGCCTCCATCCACCTTGGCCTCCCACAGTGCTGGGATTACAGGTGTGAGCCACTGTACTTGGCCGAACATCTCTTTTTGTGAAGCACTTCGGCTTTTGCTAGGGCCTTCTCAAATATTAGCTTATTTGACACCTTCTTGACAGAGAAGGGAGAGTGGGTGGTGGATATTTTTCAGTTCCCATTAAACAGAACCAGAAACTGGGGTTTTGGGCACTTAAGTGATTCAAGCTGATTTTCACAGGAATGCTAGAATATGAACAATCATAAAGTCTTTCCCATCTTACTTAAGGAGGCTCTGTTTAATGTACCTGCTTAAATTATTGATATTGGAAGCTTTTGTACTTTTTTTTTTTTTCTTGTGATGGAGTCTTGCTCTGTCACCCAGGCTGGAGTGCAGTGGCGCTACTACGGCTCACTGCAACCTCCGCCTCCCGTGTTCAAGTGATTCTTCTGCCTCAGCCTTCCAAGTAGCTGGGATTACAGGCACGTGCCACCACACCCAGCTAATTTTTGTAGTCTTTTTTTTTTTTTGAGACAGAGTCTCACTCTGTTGCCCAGGCTGGAGTGCAGTGGCGCAATCTCGGCTCATTGCAATCTGTGCCTCCGAGGTTCAAGTGATTCTCCTGCCTCAGTCTCCCTAGTAGCTGGGACTACAAGCGCGTGCCACCACACCCAGCTAATGTTTTATATTTTTAGTAGAGATGGGGTTTCACCGTGTTAGCTAGGATGGTCTCCATCTCCTGACCTCATGATCCGCCCGCCTTAGCCTCCCAAAGTGCTGGGATTACAGGCATGAGCCACTGCGCCCGGCCTAATTTTTGTATTCTTAGTAGAGGCAGGGTTTCACTATGTTGGTCAGGCTGGTCTCGAACTCTTGACCTCATGGTCCGCCCGCCTCAGTCTCCCAAAGTGCTGGGATTACAGATGTGAGCCACCGTGCCGAGCAGCTTTTGTATTTTATGTATGTGTGTTGTGGAGGGATTGGTTATAAAATTGCTTAGGGGAAGAAAACTTGGAAGCTTAGAAAAGCACAAAGAAAAAAGCCAATCAGTATGAGAATTAAGTAACCAGAGGTAACTTAAAACAATGAACATTTTGTTGTGTTTCCTTGCAGAATTTTTCTAGACTCACACACGCTCTACTGGCTCTACCGTATTGTTTAATTTCAAAGCCCGGAGAGAAAGGGGTCAGCCAGATGCAGTAGCTCACACCTGTAATCCCAGCAATTTGGGAGGTGAGGTGGGAGGATTGCTCGAGCCCAGGAGTTTGAGACTAGCCTGGGCAACAGAGACCCTGTCTATACCCAAAAAAAAAAAAAAAAAAAAAAAAGGTGGCATGGGGGCTGGCTCACCTGATGTTTGCATATACCCGTGTTGTAGGGAGGCCATATTGGGACAGTCTGCAGTTCTTCAGCAAAAATGCAACATTTTCTTTTTTCTTCAGTTTTTCCCACTTTTTTTTTTTTTTTTTTTTGAGATAGAGTCTTGCTCTGTCACCCAGGCTGGAGTGCAGTGGCATGATCTTGGCTCACTGCAACTTCTGCCTCCCAGGTGCAAGCGATTCTCCTGCCTCATCCTCCCGAGTAGCTGGGATTACAGGTGCCCACCACCACAGCTGGCTAATTTTGTATTTTTAGTAGAGATGCGGTTTCACCTTGTTGGCCAGGCTGATCTCAAACTCCTGACCTCAGGTGATCCACCAGCCTCCGCCTTCCAAAGTGCTGAGATTACAGGCATGAGCCACCATGCCCGGCCATTTCCCACTTCTTTTAGTTACTGAAACAAGGTGTATAAACATCGCCTTGAGTGATATAGTCATGACCATCATCACTTTCATATTCTGTATGACAGTATAATTCTGTTCAGTAAACATAAACCATTTTTTAAAAGCCTGTATAAAAAAATACAGATAAAAATTGAAACATTTTATAGTCATCTGCATTTACAACTGCTTTGTCCAGGCTTAAAGCTGATTTCTTTAAAGATCAAACCATTCAAACCTTTAATTTTCAAGATCAGGGAATTGAGACTAGCCCATAATATGGTACATAGTATTAATGACACAGCTGAGATCAGGAAGGAGCCCAGCTTCTGAAGACCTCAGAGTTTAAAGAAGTTCCCTTTTTCAAGTGTCCAGGAAGGACACTTGTAATGCCAGGCAATGCCAGGAAGGAAGTGGAAAGGGACAATAACAAGAGAGGATGGCAAACCCCTATGGCTTTGTATTTTCTGGTTGGGAACATTTTCATGTGACTTAAAAAATATCTGATGATTGGCTGCATAGAGGTACCGGGAAAAAAAGTTTTTAAAAAATTTTTATCTGATCAAGGTGAAGGGGAATTTCTGGGAGGAGGCTTTATTCCTTTTTTTGTTTTTGATGAAGTCTCACTCTGTTTTCCAGGTGGAGTGCAGTGGTGCGATCTTGGCTCACTGCAACCTCTGCTTCCTGGGTTCAAGCGATTCTCCTGCCTCACCCTCCCGAGTACCTGGGACTACAGGCGCGTGCCACCACACCTGACTAATTTTTGTATTTTTAGTTTTGCCATGTTGTCCAGGCTGGTCTTGAATTCCTGACCTCAGGTGATCCATCTGCCTCAGCCTCTCAAAGTGCTGGGATTTTAGGTGTGAGCTACCACACCCAGCCAGGAGGCTTTTTTTTTTTTTTTTTTTTTTTGAGATGGAGTCTCACCCTGTCGCCCAGGCTGTAGTGCAGTGGCACGGTCTTGGCTCACTGCAGCCTCTGCCTACAGGGTTCCAGCAATTCTCCTGCCTCAGCCTTCCAGGTAGCTGGGATTACAGGCACACGCCACTATGCCCGGCTAATTTTTGTTTGTATTTTTAGTAGAGACGGGGTTTCACCATGTTGGCTAAGCTGGTCTCGAACTCCTGACCTCAGATGATCCACCCGCCTCGGCCTCCCGATGTGCTAGGATTACAGGCATGAGCCACCGCACCCAGCCAGGAGGCTTTATTCCTATACGCTCAGTGGAAACGCTGTGATGGACTGGACCTATTGAAGTCACAAATCAGATGCCTACTGGACCAAGTAACTGGGTTTAGGTTTTCTCTGAGGAGGGTCAGGGATCTATTGCTGTTGGGCAGGAAAGGGGGGCAGGAAAGGGAGCCAGGAAAGCCAGATCTTCCGAATTTCCAAGAGCCGGAAATCCCAGTTTTTAATTTGAAATCTCCCAAATGTTGCCGGGCACAGTGGCTCACGCCTGTAATCCCAGCACTTTGGAAGTCCAGGGTGGGTGGATCATGAGGTCAGGAGATCGAGACCATCCTTGTCAACATGGTGAAACCCCGTCTCTACTAAAAATTAAAAAAAAAAAAAAATTAGCCAGCCATGGTGGCGGGCGCCTGTAGTCCCAGCTACTCAGGAGGCTCAGGCAGGAGAATATCTTCAACCCAGGAGGCGGAGGTTGCAGTGAGCCAAGATTGTGCCACTGCACTCCAGCCTGGGTGGCAGACAGAGACTCTGTCTCAAAATAAATAAACAAATAAATGAAAGCTCCCAAATGTTAAATATTGCCAACTATTTCAATTTTTTTGAACACTGTGTGTACCAAATAAAATAAACTTCTGAGTTGGCTAGGCAGAGACTCCAGTTTTTAGGCTTTACAATAAATAAATATGATAGTACACATTTTGATACCAGGTGGACCTGGATCCTCTTGTAAGCTTAGCTGGGTATAAATCATTATTCCTTTCCTCCTTAGCATTCATGAGAAATGAGAAATAATATCATCTGTGTCCTAACCCAGCTTTCTTACTGTTTGTGGGAGGAATGATTAGAAGATGGTAAGACAGGCTGGGCACAGTGGCTCATGCCTGTAATCCCAGCACTTTGGGAGGATGAGGCGGGCAGATCACCTGAGGTCAGGAATTTGAGACCAGCCTGGCCAACATGATGAAACTTCGTCTCTACTAAAAATACAAAAGTTACCTGAGCGCATGGTGGCAGGTGCCTGTAATTCCAGCTACTCGGGAGGCTGAGGCAGGAGAATCTCTTGAACACGAGAGGCAGAGGTTGCAGTGAGTCGAGATTGCACCATTGTACTGCAGCCTGGGGGACAAGAGCGAGACTTCGTCTCAAAAAAAGAAAAAAAAAAAACCCAAAAAACAAAAAAGAAGATGGTAAGACATTATACAAAGCTGTTTTTGCAGCAAGGAGGATATTGTGATTCCCACGATGCAGTGTGCTGGACTGCTTCTCTGCCCAGCAGTGGGAGAGAGCCTACAGTGAGAACCAATGGGATCAGTGGTTCCTATAAGCCTGTGTGCAGGCCAGCCTCTTTAGTATCACCAGGGGAATTTGAAAAACAAAACCAAACCAAACCACATTCCTGGGTCCTGTGCTTGCAGATTTTGTTTCAGTCAGTGTAAGGTGTAGTCTGAGAATCTGTGCTTTTGACAGATATCCCAGTGGATTATTAACTAAATTATGATACACCCATTCATTGGCATACTATGTAGCTGTTAAAAAGAATGGAGATGGCTTGTAGTTTCTCACTTGATCTTAGCCAAAAGGCCAAGAAGCGATGGCTTGTAGTTTCTCATATGGAAATTTCTCCAAGATAGATTCTTAAATGAAAATATGAAGGCTGGGCGCGGTGGCTCACTCTTGTAATCCCAGCACTTTGGGAGGCTGAGGTGGGTAGATCACCGGAGGTCAGGAGTTCGAGACCAGCCTGGCCAACATGGTGAAACCCTGTCTCCACTAAAAATACAAAAATTAACTGGGCATGGGTGGCGGGCACCTATAATCCCAGCTACTCAGGAGGCTGAGGCAGAAGAACCACTTGAGCCTAGGAGGCGGAGGTTGCAGTGAGCCGAGATCACACCATTGCACTCTAGCCTGGGTGACAAGAGCAAAACTCCGTCTCAAAAAAAAAAAAAAAAGAAAAGAAAAGAAAAGAAAATATGTAGATACAGAAGAGTTTGTATAGTGTATTCAGAGTCTCGCTCTGTCTCCCAGGCTGGAGTGCAGTGGCATGATCTCGGCTCACTGCAAGCTCTGCCTCCCGGGTTTTATGCCATTACGCCATTCTTAGCCTCAGCCTCCCGAGTAGCTGGGACTACAGGTATGCACCACCTACGCCCGGCTAATTTTTTTGTATTTTTAGTAGACACAGGGTTTCACCGCGTTAGCCAGGATGGCCTCGATCTCCTGACCTCGTGATCTGCCCGCCTCGGCCTCCCAAAGTGCTGGGATTACAGGCGTGAGCCACCACACCCGGCCTGTTTAGTGTATTCTTATTTATACTTGTATATACATAGAACATTTCCAGAAGGATACAAAAACTTGTAATAGTAATTGCATCTTGGTAAGAGAACTGGGTGTCTGGAGTTGGATGACTTTTTTCTTATCTTCTCTTCATCATCCTTTTCTTTCTCCTCCTCCTCCTCTGCCTCCCCCTCCCCTTCCCTCCCCCTCCTCCTCTTCTTCATCTTCTCCTTCTTCTCCTCCTCCTCCTTCTTCTCCTTCTTTCTTCTTCTTTTTTTTCCCTTCCTCCTCCTCCTATTTGTGTTTCTTTTTCAGTTAAAGAGAGAAAGTTCCCTGGTGATTCTGATGTGTAGCCAGGTTAGGAAACTAAGGCTATACATCATATCCTCACCATATCCTGGACACATTAAAGGCTGTCCCTTCATGTCTCAGACAGTTTACTGGCTTTGTTGAAATTTTTCTGAGGTGAAATTTTTCTGAGGTGTAGATCCTTGACTGCATTGCTGATGCCAAGGTTTTGTGCTCTACCACAGGATTTTCTTGGGGGGCTGTGGGGAGACATTCTCAAACGAGAGAGGTGGCGCCTTGTTAGGCTGTGCTTGACTAGCCTGATCCCAGGACACTGCAGGTGTGAAGACATTGTTTCTGGGCAGCCAATATCAGAGTGCTGGGGAAAGAAAATTGGATTTGGAACCAGATCTATGCCTGGGAATGAACCTCAGCTTTGCCGTTTTGTTTCCTCATCTGTAAATTGGGAAATGATACTTCCTTGAAGGGTTGAGTGAAGGAGGGAAAAAAAGGGATTGTGTGTGTGTGTGTGTGTGTGTGTGTGTGTACAGAAAGTTCCTGTGGGCACAGACAGGGGCCTCACAAATGATGTTGTTATATTCCTCGTCACCAACGTTGCCTTGTAGAATGGGAGCCCTGTGTTGCACGCTGAGCCCCGCTCCATGGAATGCAGGAGCATTGCCATGGACATCAATTGTACTCATCTCCCTCCCCAGCCGCTGCTTTGATGGGAGCACCCCTGTCCATGCAGCAGCATTTTCGGGCAATCAGTGGATCCTTAGCAAACTGCTGGATGCAGGAGGTGACCTGCGACTCCACGATGAGAGGGGTCAAAACCCGAAGACTTGGGCTTTGACAGCAGGAAAGGAGCGTAGCACCCAGGTAAGGGTGGGTCCCACTCTGTAGCCATGCCCACTAGAAGAGTACTGGGCTGAGAGTCAGGCTCCCAGTGGTCAGCACAGAGCGTACAGTGGCCTTAGTATTGGTACTGGAGTCTCAGGCTTGGATCGAAGCAAATTAGCCAGCTGCGAAACTTCCGGCAGGTCTAGTGAACCTTTCTACTCATCGTATTCGATGGGAAAGGCAAACAACTGTAATTTTGTCTGACCCATTTAACTAGCACTTACCATGACTCAGATGTTGTTTTAAATGTTTTTTATATATTAACTCAATCTTCACAACAACCTCTCAGGTAAGTACTATTAATGTCCTTATTGTACAGGTGGGGAAACTGAGGCCCACTGACATTAAGTAACTTTGTTTGGCAGGTGGGAATTTTTTTTTTTTTTTTGGGAAGGAGTCTTGCCCAGGCTGGAGTGCAGTGGCGCGAGCTCAGCTCACTGCAACCTCCGCCTCCTGGGTTCAAGCAATTCTCCTGCCTCAGCCTCCTGAGTAGCTCGGATTACAAGCATGCACCACCACACTCAGCTAACTTTTGTATTTTGAGTAAAGACGGGGTTTCTCCATGTTGGCCAGGCTGGTCTCGAACTCCTGACTCAGGTGATTCGCCCACCTTGGCCTCCCAAAGTGCTGGAATTACAGGCATGAGCCACTGCACCCAGCTGGTGTGATGTGTTTTAATGAAGACTAAATAACATAAATGTAAAACTCAAAGGGCAGGTACAGTGCCAGGCCCCTCTGTGTGCAGTCTCCTTTCTGGGGCTCCTGCTTATTAAAGCTGTTGGGCCTTGGACCAGCAAATTTTACTCGTCTTGGCCTTGGTTTCCTCATCTGTTGAAGGAGGGAGTTGGAGGAAATTGTTTCCCTAAAGCCTCTCCCTGAAAACATTCCATACCTTTAGAAAATCACCTGGGCCCTTTCCTTTTGAGAGGTTTTTCTGTTGGGGGCTCTCAGCTCCTCGGACCACTTATCTTCATACCCAAGCTTCCATTCCATTGAGAACTGGTGCGCCCGCACTGGGCATCTCTGCGATGTTTTGCAGATAGTGGAGTTCATGCAGCGCTGTGCCTCACACATGCAGGCCATCATCCAGGGCTTCTCTTACGACCTCCTGAAGAAGATAGACTCCCCGCAGCGGCTTGTCTACAGCCCGTCCTGGTGTGGGGGCCTCGTGCAGGGGTGAGTACTGCCTTGAGCAGAGTGGGATAGTCTCCATCACCCAGCCTTCCTCGTGGGAGCCCTGCAGCATGGGTTGCCTCAGCTCCTCCACATCAGTGCCCTCTGGCATCTGGCCCATCCAAAGGGGTGTGCTTGGAAAGAAAAGGCTTGGCCTTGATGAAGGAAGGCCAGAGGATCACCTTTCGCCCTCTCTCTCCTCTCCCTGAGAAGGTGTGAGAGGAATGAGTGTGGGCTCTGATGGAAACCACCCTGTGGTTAGCAGAAGGAGAACATCTCAGGTCTGAGGAGCCCAGCAGAAAACCCTTACCCAGCAGGACACCTGGCTGGCTTTTTTGTCATCTCCTGAACCACAGAAAGAGTGTTCCTTTATTACTAAGGTTGCAAAAGACCACAAATGCTTAACTTACGGTTTCTTGGGCTATTTTCAGCTGATACGAGAGACTTGCTGCCAGCTGGATGGGCAGCCCCCTCTTCTCCCATCACAGCTGCAGGAGGTGGGCTCCATGCTTTTCTCCATGCTCAGGGTTAAGCTTGGAAGGGAGGAGTGTCATTTTAACTTCTCTGGGATTGGTTGACTTAGGGTTTGTATGTAGAGAATCCTTCCCATTTGGCTTTCCTCTGATGGCATCTCTTTCTGTAAGCAGGGTAGCTGGGCTCACCACACTTTTGCAGGCTTCCTTGTCCTGTCATTCATGCACTTTGAGTCCTGGCTTTCCTCTGATGATTGGATGCTGCTGGCTTCTCAGGCGAGATGAGTTCATGATTCCGTTAACTCCTAACGGCTGTGCTGCGTGCCACTCTGGCCAGTTTTGGCTCTTTGCTCAGCATCCAGAATGACCTTTTAAAAATGGAAATCAGGTGGCTGGGTACAGTGGCTCACACCTGTAATCACTTTTGGAGGTTGAGGTGGGTGGATCACCTGAGGTCAGGAGTTCGAGACCAGCCTGGCCAACATGGTGAAACCCCCGTCTCTACTAAAAATACAAAAATTAGCCGGGTGTGGTGGCATGCACCTGTAATCCCAGCTACTCAGGAGGCTGAGGCAGGCGAATCACTTGAACCCAGGAGGCGGAGGTTGCAGTGAGCCGAGATCGCACCACTGCACTCCAGCCTGGGTGACAGAGCAACACACTGTCTCAAAAAAAAAAAATATTAGCCGAGTGTGTTGGTGTGCTCCTCATAGTTCCAGCTACTCTGGAGGCTGAGGTGAGAGGATCACTTGAATCTGGGAGGTGGAGGTTGCAGCAAGCCAAGATCATGCAACTGCACTCCAAACTGGGTGACAGAGCGAGATCCTGTCTCAAAAAATAAAGTAATCAAATAAAACTAAAATAATGGAAATCAGGTTGTACCACTCTGCTAAAACTCCTTAAGGACCTTCCCCATGGCTATTAGGATAGGTTTAGAAATCCCTTATCCGGCCTTGGAGACCCTGCCTCATCCAAGCCCTCCCCCTTCATCTCCTGCCTCTGCCCCTGGCGCTTGTATGGAGACCCGTCCTTCAGAGTTTAGAGAATTGTCATAGTTTGCAATTATTTTATTTGTATATGTTCTTCTCCAGTTTTCCAATTAAATTGTGAATTCCAAGAGCTCAGGGGCTGTGTCTATCCTATTCATTGCTACTAACCCTTAGCTGCTTGGTGCATGGTAGGGCTCTGTACAAGGAGAGGAGGCTCATGAGTGAGCCTGAAAGGAAAACCCAAGTGTAAATGTGGATGAGCTTTTACAATCTTAGTTACTCATCTAGATACAGCATTTAGTTTAGAATTAGAGGAAACATTCTTACGGGGTTAATGGAATGCTTACATGGAAATACACTCCTCTTCCCCCACCTTTTTTTTTTTTTTTTTTTTGAGACTGAGTCTTCTCTGTCGCCCAGGCAGGAGTCCGTGCAATCTCGGCTCACCACAACCTCTGTCTCCTGGGTTCAAGCAATTCTCCTGCCTCAGCCTCCTTAGTAGCTGGGATTACTATAAAATTAGCACACCTGGCTAATTTTATATTTTTAGTAGAGATGGGGTTTCACCGTGGCCAGGCTAGTCTGGAATTCCTGACCTCAGGTGATCCGCCTGCCTCTGCCTCCTGAAATGCTGGGATTACAGGCGTGAGCCACCGTGCCCGCCCCCCCTCCTCTTAATGTAAAAAACCACACAAATTCTTGAAATTAGAGTTAGCCTCTAAGATTTGTGAGTGGTGCCGTGTCAGATAAGATTCCTCACACGTGTGTTTGCACAGAGCTTGGACTGGGGAAAGAAGAAAAGCACTGAGTTGAGGACAGATGGCTGTAGATGACTAGAGTTAGTTTTTTTCTCCCCTTAACCCAGCCGAGTTATATAGATGTGTGCTGAGAAATTTAGGTAAGAGAGCAGGAAATGTTGGTCTGAACTGCAGTTGTCCAGGTCACTGTTTGAGAACACTCGGCTCTTTTGCTTAGAAAGAACTCTCCCCTCCAAAGAGCCATGTACTGCCCAGAGGCCCCAGAGTGGAAGGCAGGAGGCCTCGTCACTGGTAACCCCCAGTTCCACTGCTGCTAGAGGCTGACACCCTCACTGTCAGCACAAGGTCTGTTCCCCTGGGCAAGAAACGGTCCACTGTCTCCTAGATCTTTTGAGGCCTAAGCACATAAGCCTTATTTTAAGAAGAGACTGATGATTTGGTGTTGAAAAGTGGCCTTTTTCTTATGGTCTGTTTACTCAAGTGAGAGTGACCATATAGCTGATTATCTGTTGGCTGTTTCGAGAGTGAAAGGGAAACTATCAATAATGGTGCTAAGATACCAGGTGTAAATTGGGATGCTCAGTTTATCTCAGTCTAAACATCAGAGTCTTCTCCTCAATAGCATAGCAGCTTAAAGCAGAGACGGGACAGCTTGGCACTGATGAGTTGCTGAGGAAATAGAAAAGAAGTAAAGCACTTACATCTGTTCTCTAATAGTGGCATGTGGGGCCTCACAGACCTGAGGTAGGGCTGGCCCTGAGTATGCACCGTCTCCCAGCTCCTTTGCCATTTGCCAAGAAAAGGAAAGTGCCTCTGGTGGCAGTAGGATCTTTTTTCCTTCAGTCTGAGCTGAAAGTACTCAACTGGCAAGCATTAACTGAGCACCTACTGCATGGCACCATGCCAGGTTCTGGGAGCCAAAGAAATACGAGGCATCACCCCTTCTTCCAAGACACCTTCAGTGAAGGGGGACCCTGATGCACAAGTGGTAGTTTGAGTGTGGAATGTGGGAAGAACAGTGGCTGGAATGAGCAACATCAGTGTCTGGTCACTGCTGCATTTTATGACCTCAGGCCAGCAAGTTTCCTTTTCCTGGGCTTCATTTTTTTGCCTATATAATGAAAAAACTGGACAAGATGTGCTTATGGTTATTTCCAACTCTGACCATCTGTATTTGTTATCTATTGCTGCATAATGAATCACCCCCCAAACTTAGCAGCCTCAAACAATAAAATTTTTATCTCACACAATTTCTGTGGGTCAGGAATCAGGGAATGGTTTAACTAGGTTGTTCTGGCTCAGAGTTTCTAATGAAGTTGCAGTTAAGATGTTAGTTAGGGCTGTATTCATCTGAAGGCTTGACTGAAGATGGACAATTCAGTTCCAAGATGGCTCGCTTACGTGGCTGGCAAATTGGTGCTGGGCATTGAGCCTCCCCCAGGGCTGCTTGAATGTCCTCATATCATGGCAGCTGGCAGAGCAAATGATCCAAGAGAGATCAGGGCTGACGCCTTGGTAGATTTAGCCTCAAAGTGAGAGACTATCACTGTTTTGCACTGTTAACAGTCAAAAATGAGTTAACAGGTCAGCCCCATGTGACCTGTGAGGGGCTACACAAGGTTATGCATACCGGTAAGTGAGAATCATAGAGGCCCTCTCAGAGGCTGGCTGTTACATCATCTCTAGTTTTGTAACAGAAAGTCTAGCAGTAAAGACAAAGTCAACTACACCTTCTGAAAACTTGGTTCAGCATTATTATTCTGGATATGAGTGGTTAATTCTGAGGTTTTTTTCCTGTTTTAAATATTTCTAGAAACCCTAATGGCTCTCCTAACCGACTGCTTAAAGCTGGAGTCATTTCTGCTCAAAATATCTACAGCTTTGGTTTTGGGAAGGTAAGAGGTTGCCACTGACAGCCAGTGTTTGCAGGACTAACTGGAGAATCATCGGGCCCCATCTCCCACCTTTGTCCAACTCCTGCCTCCTTATCCTCACCAAAGTGTTGTTCTTTTCTTTTTTGCCCCTATTGAGGGAAAGGTATCTCTTAGTGTTCCTGTCTTACTAACAAATTTGTGAAAACCCCAGAGAATTCCCTTGGATGACCCTGGGCTACACTTGAGTTTAGAAAATGATCTTTTCATTAATTAATTTTTAGTTTTTAATTTTTAATTATTATTTTTTTGAGACAGAGTCTGGCTCTGTTGCCCAGGCTGGAGTGCAGTGGCGCGATCTTGGCTCACTGCTGCAACCTCTGCCTACTGGGTTCAAGCAATTCTGATGCCTCAGCCTTCCAAGTAGCTGGGATCACAGGTGTGTGCCACCATGCCTGGTTACTTGTATTTTTAGTAGAGATGGGATTTCGCCATGTTGCCCAGGCTGGTCTCCATCTTCTGGACTCAATCGGTCCACCCGCCTTGACCTCTCAAAGTGCTGGGATTACAGGCGTGAGCCAACTCGCCCAGCCCTACTCCCCGTTCTGTTTGTTGTGTTGAGGCAGCCTGGTGGGGAGGGAGAGGAGGAATATCAGATTTGGCCGCACACAATCCTGGGTGCTGTGGGGACCACAATGGGCTTCTCAGTCCCAGCAATGGCACTTGAGGCATCTGACTTCTTTCCATGAGCCTCAGTTTCTTCAGGGAAAAGAACAAAAGGGAAATAATAAAACCTTGAAAGGTTTTTAGAAAGATTAAAGATAATATAAAGAGTTGTGGTGAGGCCTGGTGGCTCACGCCTATAATCTTAGCACTTTGGGAGACCAAGGTGGGTGGATCACTTGAGCCCAGGACTTTGACACCAGCCAACATGGCAAAAGCCCGTCTCTATTTAAAAAAAAAATTAGCCAGGTGTGGTGGTGCATGCTTGTAATCCCAGCTACTTGGGAGGGTGGAGTGGGAGGATCGCTTGAGCCCAGGAGGTCCAGGCTGCAGTGAGCCAAGATCATGTCATATGCTCCAGCCTGAGTGACAGTGATACCCTGTCTCAAAAAAAAAAAAAGGCCCAGTGCATAGGGGTATTCAGAAAGTTGATAAATAGCAGCTCTCATTCTTTTAGCTGGCTGATAAGATTCTGGATGTATTCTGCTTTTCCCCCCTTCTCCCCATAATTTGAGGCTATGCCTTGGTTTCAGTTTTATCTTACTGGGGCGACACAGATGGCCTATCTAGGATCTCTTCCGGTCATTGGAGAAAAGGAAGTGATTCAAGCTGATGATGAGCCCACCTTCTCTTTCTTCAGCGGCCCCTACATGGTCATGACCAAGTAAGTGGGGGCTGGCCAGTTTGAGGTCTGATTCAGTTTCAGGGGAAGAGTGGGCTGCATGTGACTTCCTTATGTGTGGGGAGTTTCTACTCAAACACAGGGAACACCTAAGAACATCTGTCTAAATCAGGGTTTCTCAGCCAGGACACTATTACCATTTTTGGCCAGATGATCCTTTGTTGTTGGGAGTAGTCCTGTGCATTGTAGAATGTTTAGAAGTCCCTGGTCTCTACCCACTAGTGCCAGTTGCAGTCCCTTACAGCCCCCACAGCTGTGACAACCAAACTGTCTTACAGACATTGCCATAGGTTTCTGGGGGAGAACCACTGCTCTGAAAGATTACTCATTACAATACTTTAATGTCTCTGCTCTCTGAAGAATTAGAGGCAGCTTGGTAGTGACTGTCTTGCCTCTGATACAGGTCAAGGGTAATGAGGCCCCTATAGAAGCTGTTTTATTGCTGCTGCCTTTGCCCAAGTCTTCACCATCCCTCACCTGGGGTGGTCTCCTAACTGGCTTCCCATTCTCTGGACCACCCCTCCCCTACCCATTCCCCACATTGCCGGTAACGTTGTGTTTTTGAATACAAACCTGATCAAGTCACTCTCTCCCTTGCATTCAGTGACTTCCCACCACCTATACCTAAGTTCTCCAGGGTGCTTTAGTACCTGGGGGTGGGTAGTGGGAGAGAGGACCCAGTAGTGCCCAGTGGGCATTGCAGGTTCTGTGTGGAGACCATTTCTCTGGTCCTTGCTTAGGAAAGCTTATTCATTGAAGGAGTAAGTGGCTGCTCACTCCTTTCTGCTGAAACTCTTTCCTGTCCTTGTAGCCTAGTGTGGAATGGGAGCAGGGTCACAGTGAAAGAGCTGAATCTCCCCACCCACCCACACTGCAGCAGGCTGCGGCTGGCCGACTTGTTAATTGCCGAGCAGGAACACAGCAGGTGAGAAGGAAGCCCAAGGCCCCTTATAGGTCCAGGTCTCTCTACAGACTCAGGTTCTGGGCTATTCAGCTCTGTGCCTGGGATAGGGAGCTCCAGCTGCTCTCAGTCTCAGCATTTCCTGACTGTTGAAATTGATTGACTTGACTTCGAAGGGCTGCCAGGAAAGAGGAAGAGAAGTTAACGAGTAGCCTGAGCAGTGGGGACAGTGGTGGTGAGGGGCTCTGTCAGCTGTCAGCCGCCCTGTAACCCATGTCTCTGAATGCTGCAGCCTCCATGCAGGCCCTTCTGATTCTCATGCTACAATCCCTGAGTCCACCCACTTTGGGCCCTGTGCCCATCAGGACGGCATGTGGCTATCCTGTTTTCATAGAGCATGGCTTGCTTAAGATCCAGATGTCTGAGGACATGTCTGTGCCATTGAGGACAGGCTCATGGATCTCCAGACCTTAGGGTTCCTATGGCTCCAGAGTTAAGTCCTTCTGCTCTTGCTAGGACAGGTTCTTGATTCATTCATTCAGTGGACCCAGGCTTATCGAGCTCTCTCCTAAGAAGGCTCCTCAACTTCTGCAGGAGGCATGTAGAGAGGCCACATTCTTCTTTTTGTGGAAGTCGGCTTGAAGGGACCAAAGGAAGCTGAAAGAAGGAGCCTGGGCAACATAGACTTTGACATGAGACTGAGTTGGGCATGCAACCTTAGGTGAATTCCTGACATATTTCTTCCTATTTTTTTTGCGGGGAGGGTAGGATTGAGTCTCGCTCTGTTGCCCAGGCTGGAGTGCAGTGGCACCATCTAGGCTCACTGCAACCTCCACCTCCTGGGCTCAAGCGATTCCCAGGCCTCAGCCTCCTGAGTAGCTGGGACTACTGGCGTGCGCCACTACACCTGGCTAACTTTTGTATTTTCAGTAGAGACAGGGTTTCATCATCTTGGCCAGGCTGGCCTCAAACTCCTGATTTCAAGTGATCTGCCCACCTTGGCCTCCCAAAGTGCTGGGATTACAGACGTGAGCCACTGCACCAGGCCCTGACATTTCCTTGATGTTGGTCTCCTCATCTATAAAATGAGTATAATGATACATTTCTTGCAGGTGGTTGTTAGGATCTGAGACGATGTATGCAAAGAATACAGGAGCTCTTGGCCACATTGTCATTGTTGTCATTGATGGCTCTAAGCTCTCAAGGTCTCATCAGTTAGGGCCACAGATTCCAACAGAAACCCTCACCAACACCTCATCCTGTTTTCTTAGAAAACATTGTATACAAAAGGCCACGCCCAATGGCTCACGCCTGTAATCCCAGCACTTTGGGAGGCCAAGGCGGGTGGATCACCTGAGGTCAGGAATTCAAGACCAGCCTGGCCAACATGGTGAAACCCCATCTCTACTAGAAATACAAAAATTAGCTGCAAGTGGTGGTGGGCATCCGTAATCCCAGCTACTTGGAAGCCTGAGGCAGTAGAATCGCTTCAACCCAGGAGGCGGAGGTTGCAGTGAGCCAGCCGAGAGATCACCCCACTGCACTCCAGACTGGGCAATACAGTGAGACTCTGTGTCAAAAAAAAAAGAAAAGAAAAGAAAACATCGTATACAAATGGTATTTGTTTAGAATGTGTTCAAAAGGCCTACGCTCATTTTTTCATCATATCCTCCTCTCACCTGCCTTATCTGAAGCTTCTTTTCTTTTGCAGCAAGCTGCGGCACCCCTACTTGCTACAGTTGATGGCTGTGTGTCTCTCCCAGGACCTAGAGAAAACCCGCCTTGTGTACGAGCGCATCACTATCGGCACATTGTTCAGTGTCCTTCATGAACGAGTAAACTGCTGTTTCCGTGGATTTTCCATTGCTGACCTCCCAGTTTCTTCCCTCCTCACCCTCTTGCCCCAGCTGTGGTGATCCCATTTCTGCATGCATGGAAGATAAATATCTTTATTCTTTTGCTTTATAGGGGCTGTATAACATGCTATTTAAGGCTGATAAGCACATGGTCAGAATTAGTACGGTTTTATTATTGTCAGTTCTGCTTTTTTTTTTTTGAGACAGAGTCCCTCTGTTGCCTAGGCTGGAGTGCAGTGGCGCGATCTTGGCTTACTGCAACCTCTACCTCCTGGATTCAAGTGATTCTCCTGCCTCAGCCTCCCGAGTAGCTGGAACTACAGGCGCCTGCCACTATGCCTGGCTAATTTTTGTATTTTTAGTAGAGATGAGGTTTCACCGTGTTGGCCAGGCTGTTCTCAAACTCCTGACCTCAGATGATCCACCCACCTTGGCCTCCCAGAGTGCTGGGATTGCAGGCGTGAGCCACTGCACCCGGCCTGTCCTGCTTTTTTTGAGACAGGGTCTTGCTCTATTGCCCAGGCTGGAGTACAGTAGTGAGATCATAGCTCACTGTAACCTCCAACTCCTGGGCTCAAATGATCCTGCATCAGCCTCCAATGTAGCTGAGACTACAGGTGCATGCCACCATGCCCAGCTAATTTTTTTTTTTTTTTTTTTTTTTGAGACAAGAGTCTCCTTCTGTCACCCAGGCTGGAGTACAGTGGCACGATCTCTGCTCACTGCAACTTCTGCCTCCCTGGTTCAAACGATTCTCATGCCTCAGCCTCCCAAGTAGCTGGGATTACAGGCACCCCCCACCACACCCAGCCAATTTTTGTATTTTTAGTAGAGACGGGGTTTCACCATGTTGGCCAGGATCATCTCGAACTCCTGACCTCAGGCGATTCACCTGTCTCAGCCTCCTAAAGTGCTGGGATTTCAGGCTTGAGCCACTGCACCCAGCCCCCACCCAGCTAATTTTTAAAATTTTAATAGAATCATGGTCCCACTATGTTGCCCAGGCTGGTCTTGAACTCCTGGCTTCAAGTGATCCTCCTGCCTTAGCTTCCCAAACTGTTGGGATTATAGGTACGAGCCACTGCAGCCAGCCTAGTCCTGCTTCTTGATCAGACATCTAAGAGCGCAGTGGACCCAGAAAATACAGACACCTTTGACTAACTATAATCCAGCAGCCACTGGCTTTATTTTCCTACATTTTCATTTGTGCTCTCTCCCAGTTTTTTCTATAGAGGCCTGTATCACTCCCCTCTCACCTCTCAAATTTCCTTGGGGTTGGGAGACATCTTTCCTGGCTTGTATAGAGTCCCTGGAAAGGGTGCTTTGGCCTGAGATGTAGGTTTAGAGAGCTCTTGGAGTATTTAGGTTTTTTTCCTCCATGACTTTGTTCTAAATACTTTGGATAGAAGTAAGGAGACCCCAAGAAGGGCTCTTCCCCCAAATGGCTTGCCATTCCTTCTGCCTGAGGACCTCCTATTCTGTTTTTTTCTGTTTTTCCCCCTTGAGTGAGGGTATTACCTTAAAGACCATTTCTCTGGGGGAGAGACCCATTAAGACTTTAGTCAGCCAGGTGCATTGATGTGAGTGAATTTCTGTCCCCTTAGGAGGCACTTTCTGTCTCATCTGACTGGGGTAGGACTGAATTGGTTATCTGCATTCTGCAGGGTCCTTTGAGCTTCCAGGTTCTCCCCAGCAGCTTGGGCTTGGACAGGGAGGCGACAGGGCAGGTTTACTGGTGGTATGGGGGGACCTCCCCTGTCAGTTTTCCCCAAGCCAATCCTGGATGCACATACCAGACTTTGAGAACTTTCTTTTCATTTTTTGTGGTATGAAGCAGCTCAGCTGAGGGAAAGGAATCCAGGTTTGGATCCAGGGGGCCTGAGTCATTGGGACGTCAGGCCATTCACTTAGCCTCACTGAGCTTTAGGTTCTCCATCTGTAAAATGGGGATCCTTGGTAACCATGAGGATCATATGGAAAGACTGGAAATCACAAAATGCTCTACAGTGTCAGGGCCCCAGTCCTTTTTTTTTTCGTGGCATTTCATCTCTTGCTTGCAGCGGTCCCAGTTCCCAGTGCTGCACATGGAGGTGATTGTGCACCTGCTGCTCCAGATATCTGATGCCCTGAGATACCTGCATTTCCAGGGGTTTATCCACCGCTCCCTCAGCTCCTATGCTGTCCATATCATCTCCCCAGGTGAAGCGAGGCTGACCAACCTGGAGTACATGTTGGAAAGGTGGGCATAACATGGAGTGGGACTTTCTCCTGAAGTTGATCTCCCTTGGGGACCCTTCCTATAGAGACAGAATCTGATCTGGGTGGGACTCCTCATTGGTGAGATGAACCTGTTCATCAGTTGCTGAACCTGTCCCAAATGCCTTACCCTGTCTGCCAAGGCTAGAGGAATTTGGAGACATTTTAATAAACATTTAACAAGTAAGAGCTCGTATTAGCCAATGTGCATAAATGCTATAATTATCCATTCCAAAATTTTCAGCGGCTTTTTTTTTTTTGACGGAGTCTTGCCCTCTTGCCCAGGCTGGAATGCAGTGGCACAATCTCGGCTCACTGCAACCTCCGCCTCCTGGGTTCAAGCGATTCTCTTGCCTCAGCCTCCTGAGTAGCTGGGGTTACAGGTGCTCACCACCACGCCTGGCTAATTTTTGTGTTTTTAGTAGAGATGCAGTTTCACCATGTTGGCCAGGCTGGTCTCAAACTCCCGACCTCAGGTGATCCGCCCACTTCGGCCTCCCAAAGTGCTAGGATTACAGGTGTGATCCACTGCGCCTGGCCCTTTGAGCAGCTTTTAACACAACAAGGTGTATTTCTCGCTCACATTGCAATCCAATCTGTGTTGGAGGCAGGGACAGTGTTCCCTGTCACTCCAATCTGTAGCTTCACCACCTTTCAGGCCTTGATCCCCCACTGCATTCTTTGCACTGCCAGTCAGCAAGCAAGAAAGAACATGGAGGGGACACAGTGGGGTTTGGGGCCAGTCTGAAATGGGTATGTTACTGCCTCCCACATTGCAGTGGCCAGAGCCCAGTTACCTTCTACTGGAGGGAAGCTGAGCTGTGCCTTACCTGTGCATCCTGGAAGGAGAGAAGGTGATGGGTGCTGATGAGCCTAATGGCCTGTCACACCTCCTACATCTGGGCCAGGCACTGGCCTGGATAGATATGGAGGGCATTCTCTGCCCTCAAGGGGCTCAGCACAGTGAGAGAGGCAGTCAAAATTCAGGAGTTGGTAAGTGGGCTTTGTTTCCTGTTGGCAAGAGTCAAAGTCTTCCTGAGAGCCCCCAAGCTTTGAGAGGCAGAGGCTCTCCCCTGCGCTTCCTTACTGCCATCCACAGCTCTGAGCCTTTGGGCCAGTATTGGTTCTGCTCTTCTGTGAGGCCTCAGCCACTGGGCAGACCCCTTGCCTAGACCCACCTACTTCCTCTTACCCTTGTCTGCCACCTACCCATCACTGATGCTTTGTTTCTGGTCTCTCACCAGATCTTTGTTTGTCACATACTCTGTAACTTCTCTCAAAGATGAAAAGCTACATGAGGCAGGGATTTCTGTTTTATTTACTGCTATATCTCAAATGCCCAGAACAGGCCTTTGCGTATGTGCACTCAGCATATGTTTTTTGAACAAATGATATAAAAAGGCTCTCACTTCCCCAGACCTGGAGTGCCTTTTGTCCCTCTGCATGGAGAGGAGGCAGAGGTCAGGTTGTGCTTGGCCTTGTGGGCCCTGGTGAGGAGTCTGAATTTTATCTTAAGAACACTGGGATGCTGTGTTCTTAGGATAGGCATTTTTGAACAGTATAGGGTCATGGATGATTTTTAGGTTAAGATCCTTCCTCTAGGCTGGGCATGGTGGCTCATGCCTATAATTCCAGCACTTTAGGAAGCTGAGGCATGCGGATCACCTGAGGTTGGGAGTTCAATACCAGCCTGACCAACATTGAGAAACCCCATCTCTACTAAAAATACAAAATTAGCCAGGCGTGGTGGCGCATGCCTGTAATCCCAGCACTTTGGGAGGCCGAGACGGGTGGATCATGAGGTCAGGAAATCGAGACCATCCTGGCTAACACGGTGAAACCCCGTCTCTACTAAAAATACAAAAAATTAGCCGGGCGTGGTGGCAGGCGCCTGTAGTCCCGGCTACTCGGGAGGCTGAGGCAGGAGAATGGCGTGAACCTGGGAGGTGGAGCTTGCAGTGAGCCAAGATCACGCCACTGCACTCCAGCCTGGGCGACAGAGCGAGACTCTGTCTCAAGAAAAAAAGCAGGGGAGCCGTTAGGGTATGACCGGAGCCATGACACTTTTCTAGATGGGAACAGGCAGAGGCCAGATAACTGTCACTAGTTGAACTGCTCACTTTCTCATCTGGTCCATTTTTAATCTGAGTTAAAAGCTTTCAGGGTCTCCTTATTGCCTGCAAGATTAAGTCCAGACCCATTTTCAGGGAGCAGAAGCCTCCCTAAGTGAGGCTCCACTTGTAGTGTCAATCTCCTAACTGCCCTGCTCCCTCCTGACCATTTGAAGGCACTTTTACTACACTGCTCTCTGCATCTGGAATACCTGGCACACGCCAATTTAGCCTTTTAAAGTCACTTCAGACACAGTCTCCCAACACTCTCTGTGAAGTCTATACTGATGCTCTCATACCCTGAGGCACTTTGCATATTCCTCTTCTCACATGCGTCACGCAAATGTACCACAGTCATTTTTATACAAGTGTGTCTGTGCCACCAGATGGGGAGTTCATCACCAGCTCTGGGCCTGCCACTTATGGTAAGTGCTCAGTAAATATTTTTTATTTTTTTGAGACAAGATCTTGCTCTGTCGCCCAGGCTGGAGTGCAGTGGCACGATCTCGGCTCACTGCAACCTCCCAGCGTCAAGCGATCTTCCTACCTCAGCTTCCTGAGTAGCTGGGACTACAGGCACATGCCACCACATCCAGCTAATTTTTTTTTTTTTTTTGAGATGGAGTCTCGCTCTGTTGCCCAGGCTGGAGTGCAGTGGCACGATCTCGGCTCACTACAAGCTCCGCCTCCTGGGTTCTCGCCATTCTCCTGCCTCAGCCTCCCAAGTAGCCAGGACTACAGGCACCCGCCACCATACCCGGCTAATTTTTTGTATTTTTAGTAGAGATGGGGTTTCACCATGTTGGCCAGGATGGTCTTGAACTCCTGACCTTGTGATCCACCCGCCTCAGCCTCCCAAAGTGCTGGGAATACAGGCGTGAGCCCCTGCGCCCAGCCAATTTTTGTATTTTTTATAGAGATAAGGTCACGCCATGTTGCCCAGGCTGGACTTGAACTCCTGGACTCATGCGATCTGCCCGACCTGGCCTCCCAAAGTGCTTGGATTACAAGTGTGAGCCACCACACCCAGCCTTCTTTTCTGTGGGTGGGGGACACAGGATCTCTCTCTTTTGCCCAGGCCATAGTACAGTGGCTCACTACAATCTCAATCTCCTGGGCTCAGGCAGTCCTCCTGCCTTGGCCTCCCAAAGTACTGGGATTACAGGCATGAGCCACTACGGCTGGCCGGTAAATGTTTCTTAAATGATTGGATGATCTAGTTGAAGGAAAAACTTAAAATGGTTCAGAGCAGGGTTGACCTCTCTGGCTATGTGTTCAGGAGCAGTGGACGCTAAAGGGTGTGCACTTTTGTCAGTGATGGATCGCCATCTGCTATTGAGAGAAAGGTACCACAGTTTCTTCTCCTTTTGCTCACCAATAGAAATGTGAATCCTAGCCCGAAATGGAGCTTTGGAGATGGCCCAGCCCAATGCTGTCCTTATATAGTTGAGGAAACTGAGGCACCCAGGGGTGAAGCAATGGTGTGAAGTTACCCAATTGATTGGTTAGAGACACAGATGGGGCTAAACAGATAGTAGAGGATGTCTCCAGGATACAGGGGCAGGATGGATTGGAGGTTGACAGGAACACCAGCCATGAGACCATGAGACAGGGCCTAGTGGTGACCATGAAGCCAAAATGGGAGGGAATAAAGTGAAATGCATGGAGTTGCTGGGGTCAACAACTGGCCAAGTGAGGGGGTAGGAGGTAACCAAGGGTCTGTGAATGTCTAGGAATGACCTCAGGATGGAACCTCAGGTAGAAGTGTCAGAAATGTTAGACAGCAAGCCGTTGCAGGTGTAACAACATACCCTTCTTTGAAAGCTGGTAACATGAGTTGATTATTCACCAACCCAAAGTAGCCTTCAATCCCACATTTATTTTTGGTAACACTCTACTAGGGCATATCAGTTTGTTGAATGTCATTGTCAAGGATAGCATTCCATCTCTTGGTATAAAAGTGATACAGCAGTTTCTCCTACCTTCAGCTCCTTCCTTTTTTTTTTTTTTTTTTTTTTTTGAGACAGTAGCCCAGTCTGGAATGCAGTGGTGCGATCTCGGCTCACAGCAACCTCTGCCTCCCGGATTCAAGCAATTCTGCCTCAGCCTCCTGAGTAGCTGGCATTACAGGCACGTGCCACCATGCCCAGCTAATTTTTGTGTTTTTAGTAGAGATGGGGTTTCACCATGTTGGCCAGGCTGGTCTTGAATTCCTGACCTCAAGTGATCCACCCGCCTCGGCCTCCTAAAGTGCTGGGATTACAGGCATGAGCCACTGCTCCTGGCCCTTTTTTTTTTTAAGATGGAGTCTCACTCTGTTACCCAGGCTGGAGTGCAGTGGCTCAGTCTTGGCGCACTGCAACCTCTGCCTCCTGGGTTCAATATATAATTATGTATTAAATTTGTATGCATATCCACACTGTTCACACTATACTAGGCCATAGGTGACTTTTCAGCAATATAACTAAAGTCAATACTAGCTTTTTCACCTTCATGACTTCATGAACTCACTGCCCTCTATCCAAAGATTTGCTGGAAGAAACTTTATTTAGGGAAGTTTGCTCAAAGTCTGAGAAGCCCATCTCATCGTCTAAAATCTATCCTTTTTCCAGACCAACAAAAAACTTGCTGTCACTTGCTTTTTAAAAACTTAATTCTTAATTATCAACTGCCAGTCATTAAGTCTTGACTGAATGCCTCCCATAATATTCATACTAATTCTTTACATGAAAGAGCGCTTTATGGCTCACCGAGTGTTTCTACATCCATGATCTCATTTGACTGTCATGACAGCTGTGGGCACAAGTCAGTGCTGAGTTTACCCTGAGGACTCTTGCTGGGCCAGAAGACATTTAGGATGCTCTGACTTAGCTCTTAAGGAGTCTGGTTGGGAAGAGTTATTTAAGCATATGAGTGAACCCTTGAGTGCTAAACTGAGAGGACACATTCCCAAAAGGGCAGGAGTTCAGAAAAGAAATAATCATGAGGAGTTGGGGAAGTCCCAGATGGCTTTGATAAAGCAGATGGGGGTTGAGAGGGCTCTTGAAAGAGTTTACGTTCATTTATTCAACAGCAAGCATCAAGGCCCTGGTGTAAGCCCAGAAGTACAGTGATATAAAAGCAGATGAGTTGCCTACTCTCATGGAGCTGACTCTCTAGAATGGAGGGGAGACAGATAAACTAAATGAACACAAATTCAGATAATAAGTGCTCTGAAACCAATAAAACAGGACTACTTTAGATTAGGCAGTCAGGGAGGGCCTCCTTGAGGAAGTGACTTTCAGACAAATATCTCAGTCACAAAAAGTAGCTAGTCATTCTAGGATCTGTGGGCAGAGCATGCCTGGCAGAAGCTGCCAGTGCAAAGACTTGAAGAACATGAGGTATGTTGGAGGAACTGAAAGAAGGTCCCTGTGACTTGAGTGGAGTGGGTGAGCAGTAGAGTTGCCAGATGAAGTGGTGGAGAGGGCCCGGGTGGAATAGTAAGGAATTGCAGGTATTGGAACAGCTCTGAAGCAGTGTGGACTAGCTCATTGTCTAGCTAGGTTTCCAGGAACTCAAAGAGGTTGTCAGCCTTCAGAGGCAAAGTTTTCACAAATGTAGTATGTTGATTAAAAGACCCACGAGCCTGGCCAACATGGCAAAACCTCGTCTCTACTAAAATACAAAAATTAGCCGGGCCTGGTGACACACACCTGTAATCCTAGCTACTTGGGAGGCTGAGGCAGGAGAATCGCTTGAACCCGGGAGGTGGCAGAGGTTGCAGTGAGCTGAGATCACGCTGCTGCTTTCCAGCCTGGGTGACAGGGCAAGACTCTGAATGAATGAAAGAATGAATGAATGAATGAATGAATAAAAGACCCTTTAAGGCATGAGCGCTGACTTGTGAGTTTCCTTCCGTAGCGAGGACAGAGGTGTACAGAGGGACCTGACTCGAGTGCCCCTTCCTACGCAGCTATACAACTGGGCCGCACCAGAAGTGATCTTACAGAAGGCAGCCACAGTGAAATCAGACATCTACAGCTTTTCTATGATCATGCAGGAGATTTTAACAGGTAGATCAAGATCATTAATGGTTGACCAAAGTCCCTATTCTTAGGTTGCATTTTTCTCCCCCCACAGGAGTTACTGACTTTTATGAAAATAGAAGACTTATTAAAAAGAGACTTCTTGGCTGGGAGCAGTGGCTCACGCCTGTAATCCCAGCACTTTGGGAGGCTGAGGCGGGTGGATCACCTGAAGTCAGGAGTTCAAGACGAGCCTGGCCAAAATGGTGAAACCCTGTCTCTACTAAAAATACAAAAATTAGCTGGGCGTGGTGGCACGTGCCTGTAGTCCCAGCTACTTGGGAGGCTGAGGCAGGAAAATCACTTGAACCTGGGAGGCAGAGGTTGCAGTGAGCTGAGATAGCGCCACTGCACTCCAGCCTGGGTGACAGAGTGAGACTCTGTCTCAAAAGAAAAAAAAAAGACTCAGCAAAGCCCATCCATCTGCTTGTCAGTGATGATGCATTTAATCCACACTAAAAAAATTTATTTTTATTTTTATTTTTTATTTTTTTTGAGACAGAGTCTTGCTCTGACACCCAGGCTGGAGTGCAGTGGCTCGATCTCGGTTTACTGCAACCTCTGCCTCCCGGGTCCAAGCGATTCTTCTGCCTCAGCCTCCCGAGTAGCTGGGACTACAGGTGCACACCACCACGCCCAACTGATTTTTGCATTTTTAGTAGAGACGGGGTTTTACCATATTGGCCAGGCTGGTCTCGATCGCTTGACCTTGTGATCTACCCACCTCGGCCTCCTGAAGTGCTGAGATTACAGGTGTGAGCCACCACGCCCGGCCGAAGCAAACTTTTTAACCTGAATATTGGTATCAGTACTTATGATCTATGTGTGGTATCCCTTGAGAACTTGTAAATTAGGGGGAAAGACTAGCCTCTGAGAAGTAAACTATGAAACACACCCTGTGTCCATTAGATGTATAAACAGTGTCACTTGAAAGAAATGGATGTACTTCCAAATCCACTGCTCTGATGTGGAGAAAGTAGTCACATATCTGAAGATGGAAGGAATCCTTCAAAAGAAAGACACACACACACACACACACACACACACACACACACACACACACACACACACACACACAGTAAAATCACATTAAGGGCTGCTTTTTTTTTTTTTTGACAGAGTCTCACTCTGTTGCCCAGGCTGAAGTGCAGTGGCGGGATCTTGGCTCACTGCAACTTCTGCCTCCCGGGTTCAAGCGATTCTCCTGCCTCAGCCTCCCAAGTAACTGGGACTACAGGCGCGTGCCACCATGCCCGGCTAATTTTTTCTATTTTTAGTACAGACGGGGTTTCACCGTATTAGCCAGGATGGTCTGGATCTCCTGACCTCGTGATCCGCCCACCTCAGCCTCCTAAAGTGCTGGGATTACAGGCGTGAGCCAACGTGCAAGGCTTTTTTTTTTTTTTTTTTTAAGATGGAGTCTTACTCTGTTGCCCAGGCTGGAGTGCAGTGGCGCGATCTCAGCTCACTGCAACCTCCACCTCCTGGGTTCAAGTGATTCTCCTGCCTCGGCCTCCCAGAGTAGCTGAGATTACATGTGCTCGCCACCACACCCAGCTAATTTTTGTATTTTTAGTAGGGATGGGATTTCACTGTGTTGGCCAGGCTGGTTTCAACCTCTGACCTCAGGTGATCCACCCACCTCGGCCTCCCAAAGTGCTAGGATTACAGGCGTGAGCCACCACGCCCGGCCAAGGGCTGCTTTTTTATGGTGTTTGCAGTCCCAGAGGCAAAATGACAATATACATGAGATGAATATTGGGCTCCCCTGCCAGCGGGGAGCCCATGTGTACATGTTGCTGACACTATTGTTTCCTATCTCTGTGGCGGTGATCTCTCTGGTAAATGAGTAAAGTGGCTTCTCACTTATGAATTGGCCTTCCAGGTAGTTTTTTTTTGTTTTTTTGTTTTCTGTTTTTGTTGCTAGGCTGGAGTGCAGTGGCGCAATCTCAGCTCACTACAACCTCTGCCTCCCGGGTTCAAGCGATTCTCCTGCCTTAGCCTCCTGAGTGGCTGGGATTGCAGGTGTGCGCCACCACGCCTGGCTAATTTTTGTATTTTTAGTAGAGAGGGGATTTCACCATGTTGGCCAGGACGGTCTCGATCTCTTGACCTTGTGATCCACCCGCCTCGGCCTCCCAAAGTGCTGGGATTACAGGTGTAAGCCACCACGCCCGGCCCCTCTGGGTAGTTTTTCTACAGAGAGAAATTAATATATAAGGAAATGAATTGTTTCTAAAGTACAGTGGATTAGAAAAAAAAATAAAGAAGTTAAGTGACTTGCCTAAGGTTACCCAGCTTCATCTGATTTCTTTTCCCCCCACTCCACTCTTTGGTTTCCTAATTTACTCTTTTGTATGACTTTTTCCTTACAGATGACATACCCTGGAAGGGCTTAGATGGCTCAGTTGTTAAAAAAGCCGTAGTCTCGGGGAATTATTTAGAAGCTGATGTCAGGCTTCCGAAACCTTACTATGATATTGTTAAGTCAGGCATCCACGTCAAGCAGAAAGACCGAACTATGAACCTTCAAGATATCCGGTATATTCTGAAGAATGACTTAAAGGCAAGCCCTGAAGTTGTTGGGAGTTTATTTCTGCTTACCTAACTCAGGAGAATAGGGAGTTAGAGACAAGATGAAGCTAGAGACCAAGTTGTAAGAAATTTTGGAAATCCTCATTTTATTACACCATTTCTGTGTTCTTGATAATAGCCTAACTGCTTAACTTGGTGAAAGCAGCATGGAATTGAGGAGGGGAGCTAGGGAGGTTCAACACATATGCATAGTAGGGGCACCCTGTAGGCACTTAGTGGAGATTCAGTGAATGGTAGCTATTATTATTGCTTTTAAGGTATTGGCAATAACAATAAACTAGTTAATTAGGACTAAAGTCAGTCTACCCAACAGGAATAAGAGGGAGTTTATCAGATACTTAGATGGTTTCTAAAGCACCAGTGACATTCAGGATGACTGAGACTATGTCCTTGACAATATTTCCTGTGTTACAGGATTTTACTGGAGCCCAGAGAACTCAACCAACCGAGAGCCCCAGAGTGCAGAGATACGGACTCCATCCCGATGTCAATGTCTATCTAGGACTGACTTCAGAACACCCCAGAGAGACACCTGACATGGAAATCATAGAACTAAAGGAAATGGGTATGGCCTTAATTCACAGGTTGTGTTAGTTTGACACAAATGTGTTCTGAGAGTCACATGAGCTGCAACTAATTGACTCCTCTAAACTGTAGATGTAACTTGTTTGTTTTGTGAGATAAAGTCTAGCTCTATTGCCCAGACTGGAGTACAGTGGCATGCTCTCAGCTCACTGCAACCTCCACTTCCTGGGTTCAAGTGATTCTCATGCCTCAGCCTCCTGAGTAGCTGGGATTACAGGCATGTGCCACCATGCTGGGCTAATTTTTTTCTTTTTTTTTTTTTTTGAGATGGAATCTTGCTCTGTTGCCCAGGCTGGAGTGCAATGGTGGGGTCTCGGCTCATTGCAACCTCCGCCTCCCGGGTTCAAGCAATTCTCCTGCCTCAGCCTCCTGAGTAGCTGGGATTACAGGCACGCACAACCATGCCCAGCTAATTTTTTGTATTTTTAGTAGAGACGGGGTTTCACCATGTTGGCCAGGATGGTCTCGATTTCCTGACCTCGTGATCCACCCGCCTTGGCCTCCCAAAGTGCTGGGATTACAGGTGTGAGCCACTGCGCCCAGCCTTACTTTTTAAATTTTTAGTAGAGACAAGGTCTCACGATGTTGCCCAGGCTGGTCTTGAACTCCTGAACTCAAGCAATCCTCCCACCTGGTCCTCCCAAAGTGCTGGGATTGCAGGCATGAGCCACCACACCTGGCCTAAAAAAGTTTTTTTTTTTTAGAGATGAGGTCTCATTATGTTGCTCAGGTTGGTCTTGAACTCCTGGCCTCAAGCAGTCCTCCCACTTTCGCCTCCCAAAGCACTTGGATTACAGGTATAAGCCACTTTGCCCAACCAATTTTACTACATTTTAGTACATTTGAAAACCTTAGAATTTAGAACTGGAAAGGACCTTGCAGTCATCAGGCTTAATGCCTTCATATTACAGATGAGAAAACTAAGGTTCAGAGAGGTTGTAACCTGCTCAGGATCACAGAGAACTTGTTATAGAACTGGAACCCAGGCCTTCCAATTCCAGCCAAATGACCATTCACTCTGACTCTCCTTCAGCAGTGCTGGAGGCCTCCAGAGTGGCCCTGTAACCTCATTACTTTGACAGCTTAGTCCCATTCTCTGTAAGCTGTACACCTGTAAACCAGGGGTGGTGGGTGGTCAATCCTAGCATAAATTTTTTAGTTTTTTCATTACTCCCATAATGTAATGGCTCCTTGGGTGGTATCTAGGCTACTTTTTTTTTTTTTTTGAGACAGTTTCACTCTTTTTGCCCAGACTGGAGTGCAATGGCGCAATCTCGGTTTACTGCAACCTCTGTCTCCCAGGTTCAAGCGATTCTCCTGCCTCAGCCTCCCAAGTAGCTGAGACTACAGGCATGCACCACCATGCCTGGCTAATTTTTTGTATTTAGTAGAGATGGGGTTTCACCATGTTGGTCAGGCCATGGTGGTCACCATGTTGGTCACCATGTTGGTTTGAGACCACTCGAACTCCTGACCTCAAGTGATCCACCCGCCCTGGCCTCCCAAAGTGTTGGGATTACAGGCGTGAACCACCACGCCTGGCCCTAGGCTACTGTTATCAGATGCTCACCAAGAGCATAACTTTAACTGAGAAATAGTCAAACTCTTTTGTGTGAAAAGAAGGCTATGAACGTGGTCCTTAAGATTCAGGGGAGCTGGGCACGGTGGCTCACACCTGTAATCCCAGCACTTTGGGAGAGTGAGACGGGAGGATCACTTAAAGCCAGGAGTTTGAGAGCAACCTGGGCAACACAGCAAGACCCCATCTCTATAAAACAAAAGAAAACAAGATTCAGGGGCCTCTAATTTGCATGTCCTGACAGTTATGCATGTTTGGACACACAATAAAGCTTAGAATATTTCCTCCATGGCTAGACCCCTGCCCTGACAACAATTTCTGCCTCATTCCATGTCAAAATAGGAGCTTTCCCCTAGGGGACACATACTCCCTCACCCTTTGTGAGTGTATCCAGTAGTCTTCCACAACTGGGAAGGGGGTGGGAAAATAAAAAACTTTTTTTTTTTTTTTGACAGTCTTTGCCTCTTGAACAAGCCAAGGCTGCTTAGCTGCCAAATATGTTCATTTTAATGAGTTGCATTTTGCTGTTTTTTTCAATAGGCAGTCAACCTCATTCACCAAGGGTTCACTCTTTATTCACTGAGGGGACACTAGATCCTCAGGCCCCAGATCCATGTCTGATGGCCAGGGAGACTCAGAATCAAGATGCTCCTTGCCCTGCTCCATTTATGGCAGAAGAGGCCAGCAGCCCCAGCACAGGTCAGCCAAGCCTCTGCAGTTTCGAAATCAACGAGATCTACTCAGGCTGCTTGATTTTGGAAGATGACATAGAAGAGCCTCCAGGAGCTGCTTCATCTTTGGAGGCAGACGGACCTAACCAGGTAGATGAACTGAAATCCATGGAAGAAGAGCTGGATAAGATGGAGAGAGAGGCGTGTTGTTTTGGCAGTGAGGATGAGAGCTCTTCAAAAGCTGAGACAGAGTACTCTTTTGATGACTGGGACTGGCAAAACGGTTCACTCAGTTCACTCAGCCTTCCTGAGTCAACCAGAGAAGCCAAGAGCAATTTGAACAACATGTCCACGACTGAGGAGTATCTCATCAGTAAGTGTGTGCTGGATCTAAAGATTATGCAGACAATAATGCACGAGAATGATGATAGGCTGAGGAATATCGAGCAGATATTAGATGAAGTCGAGATGAAACAGAAGGAACAGGAAGAGCGCATGTCTTTATGGGCCACTTCAAGAGAGTTTACAAATGCCTACAAGTTACCTCTGGCCGTGGGCCCTCCATCTTTAAACTATATTCCTCCTGTCCTACAGCTTTCAGGGGGTCAGAAGCCAGACACCAGTGGCAACTACCCAACCCTACCAAGATTTCCAAGAATGGTAAGAGACTTTCAAGGGGGACATTTTGGCAAAAGATCCAGGAAAAGAAATGGTTGTGGCTGGAAACCTTTCACCCAAGTCTCCAAAGTAAACACTGGGGATCAGTCAGAGATAAGCCATCAGGTAACCTGAGTGGGAGGAAGGGGCATCCTAAGCAGGACCCCAGGGCTGGGTTTGACGTTGCCCCTAACCTATGTGGAGGGACTGACATATATATGCAACTGACTCATAGCAAGGTGCTCTTAGCTTTGGGAAATCAGTCCTCCATGGTGGAATTCCAACGTAGATACTCTCTGTCTCCCAGTTCAGACCCAACACACAGCCCATTGTCCTTCTCTGTAAATTCGTATGTATCAAATTGAACCATATTAAATTTCTGTTTTATTAGTTAAAATGGTCAAGTATTGGCAATTTTGCATGGCTCAACTTATTGAATAAAGTATCTTGGATAGGTATTAATCTCCATTCTAAGCTGCTATTCATTCATTCACTCATTCAACAAACAGCTATAGAGCCAGAGGCTATCTAGACTCTGGGTTTTTTCTTTTTTTTTTTTTTTTGGAGACAGAGTTTTGTTCCTGTTGCCCAGGCTGGAGTGCAGTGGCGTGATCTTGGCTCACCACAACCTCCACCTGTGGGGTTCAAGTGATTCTCCTGCCTCAGCCTCCCTAGCAGGTGGGATTACAGTCATGCGCCACCATGCCTGGCTAATTTTGTATTTTTAATAGAGATGGGGTTTCTTCATGTTGGTCACCGCTGGTCTCGAACTCCTGACCTCAGGTGATCTGCCCACCTCGGCCTCCCAAAGTGTTGGGATTACAGGCATGAGCCACCTTGCCTGGCCTAGACTCTGGGTTCTGATGATGAATAAGCCACAAACTCTGCCCATAAGTAGCTCAGATAACAGCTGGGGACTGAGGGACCTGGTGGATCAAAGAAAACCCCTCAGAGGAGGTGAGCAGACACCATGGGAGCTGGCTAGGAGGTATAGCTTGCAGAGAGGCTCCTCCGTGAGTTTCCTTAAGGACAGGGCCAACATCTGACTCCTCCTGTGTCCCAGCACCTAGCATGGTGACCAGTACATAGAAGGAACTCAGTAAATAGTCAGTGAAGGAATGAGGGGATGAATGAATTAATGAATTTGAACAAGTTCACACTCAGAGAGCTGGCTGCCTCTTGAATTTTATAATTTTAGAGTTGGAAGATCCCTTAGACATGGATTAGCCCTGTCAATTTACAGAGTGTGAAGCTCAAGCCCAGTGATATAAACTTCCTGAGGCCCAGAGATGTCAAGATGCGGGTGGGGTGGGAGAGGTCTGCCTCATTGGAAGGCGGATGTTATTACTGATATTATTTAGAATAGCTGGCCCATGGTGATAAAAAGCAGGCCAACTTTTACTGGGTTTTGTTACTGTTTTAGAATTCTCCGCTTAAGAGTTATCCTCTTTTTTATTTTTTATTTTATTTTATTTATTTTGAGATAGGGTCTCACTCTGTTGCCCAGGCCGGAGTACAGTGGCACGATCTCTGCTCACTGCAAACTCTGCCTCCCAGGTTCAAGCGATTCTCCTGCCTCAGCCTCCCGAGTAGCTGGGACTACAGTCACGTGCCACCATGCCTGGCTAATTTTTTGTATTTTTAGTAGAGACAGGTTTTCACCATGTTGGCCCAGCTGGTCTTGAACTCCTGACCATAGGTGATCCACCTGCCTCAGCCTCCCAAAGTGCTAGGATTACAGGCATGAGCCACCGTGCCTGGCCATATCACCCTTTTATTGCCTATACAGGGAAGATAGCTCTCCCTGCCACCTCTCAACTTGCTGTGCTACAACCAAGGGCCAAGTTGGTTAGGGGCAGGTCTCCTGACTCCTGGTCTGTTGTTCTTTCATTGTACAATACTGAATCTTAGTGAGGCTTCAGTCCTCACTTAGAACATTTGGAAAAGCATTGGCATTTATTTTTGCTGGAGTGAAGTGGCACTGTCATGGCTCACTGCAGCCTCAATCTTCTGGACTCAAGCGATCCTCCCGCCTCAGACCCCTGAGTAGGTGGGACTACAGGCTGTATCAGCACACCTGGCTAATTTTGTGAATTGTAGAGATGGGGTCTCAGCACGCCCGGCTGGTATTTATTTCTTTATCTTTTTTTTTTTTTCCATAGAGATGGGGTTTCACTATGTTGCCCAGGCTGCTCTCAAACTCTTGAGCTCAAGCAATCCACCCGCCTTGGCCTCCAAAAGTGTGGGATTACAGGCAAGAGCCACCATGCCCAGCTGTCATTTGTTTTTATATAAAGAGAAGACACAGCCAGGTGCAGTGGTTTATTCCAGCACTTTGGGAGGCCAAGGCAGGTTAATCGCTTGAGCCCAGGAGTTCAAGACCAGCCTGGGCAACATAACGAAACCCTGTTTCTACAAAAGATATCAAAATTAGCTGGGCATGGTGGCGTGTGCCTGTAGTCCCAGCTACTTGGGAGGCTGAAGTGGGAGGATCACCTGAGCTCAGGAAGTTGAGATTACAGTGAGCTGAAATCATGTGACAGCACTCTAGCACAGGCAACAGAGTGAGACCCTGTCTCAAAAACAAACAAAAAAGGCACAAAGAATTTACTTATATCCTAATATTTCTGTTTCCATAGAAAATTAGAGTTTGCTAGAAAACTGTTAGAAATCACTTTTTTTTTTTTAAATTTTTAAAGACAGAATCTTGCTCTGTCACCCAGGGTGGAGTGCAGTGGCACCATCTCAGCTCACTGCAACTTCCACCTCCCGGGTTCAAGCGATTCTTCTGCCTCAGCCTCCCGAGTAGCTGGGACTACAGGTGCGCACCACCATGCCCGGCTAATTTTTGTATTTTTAGTAGAGAGGGGGTTTTACCATATTGGCCAGGCTGGTCTCAAACTCCTGACCTTGTGATCCGCCCACCTTGGCCTCCCAAAGTGTTGGGATTACAGGTGTGAGCGACCGCGCCCGGCCTGAAATAACTTTTATATATTATATTTTGTTATCTATTGCTGCGTAGCAACAACAACAAAGCCCAAAACCTAATGGCTTAAAATAACAATAGTTTATTATTTCTCACAATTCTGTGGGTCAGGAATTTGACAGGTTCACCTGAGTGGATCTTCTGTTCCACATGGCCATTGGCTAGCATCACTCAGTTGTTTGCAGTCAGCTGGAGGTTGGACTGGGCAAGAAGGTCCAAGAAGCCTCTACTTACATGTCTGGTACCTTGAGCTCCTCCAGGTGGCCTCTCTTTGCACTTGACTTGTCATTCAATAAATAGTCTCACCCAAGCTTCTCTACAGCATAGCAGCTGACTTTGCAAGTGAAAGCTAAAACCACCAGACCTCTTAAAAGTTAGTCCTGACCCTAGGATTGTATCACTTTCGCTGCTTTCTGTTGATCGAAGAAATTCACGAGGCCAGCCCAGATTCACTGGGTGGGGAAATAGACTCTAGCTCCTTATAGGAGGCGTGGCAGGGTGGACAGGAGGGAATTGATGGCGGCCACTGCTGGAAACAATCTACTAGTACATAGGATATAAAACAATGATACCATATTTATTTTTTCCTTAAAAACATCACCCTCTTTTTCTAGCATCAGGGAAAAAGCCATCTCCATCTAAATGCATTTTTCAGACAATTGAAGTTTATTTCTTTAATTTCTTAGTTCTTAAAATTTTAATTATATTGAATGAAAACGTTACAAACTTCATGATATTCTAAATATCTATTTTGATTATATTCTAAACATATTCTAACCTTTTCTTGGTGACAGTGGTATTTTTCTGAACACCTGTTATGGTGAAGCATCATGATATAGGGCTGTCTTAAGCTTCTGCTAAGGAGTGTTTGCCCATACAAAGGCCTCTGGATCTTATACTTCAGGGAGCATGTAGTAATTTTTTGTGCCTCCTTCTCACTTTTACACATCTTGCTCCCATCTCAAACTCCATATTTGTTGCCTTAATTTGCTGTAGGCTAGGAAATATAATTAACTAAGTTTGTTAAAATTATGTTAAAATTGGGATAAGTAGAGCTAATAGTCTCTTGAATAAAGAGCACAGACTTTCATTTGTTTTACTTTTGCTGTTTCCTAAGTATTGTAACCTTTATTGTATTCTGTTTTATTTTCATAGCATCCCCAGTGGTAGGTATTATCATTCTTATTTTATGGATAAGTACAAGGTCTTACTTTATGGATAAGTACAAGATTCTCTTAGTGTCAGGGTGCGGTGTCTCACGCCTGTAATCCCTGTACTTTGGGAGGTCAAGGAGGGTGGATCATTTGAGGTCAGGGGTTCGTGACCAGCCTGGCCAACATGGTGAAACCACGTCTCTACTAGAAATATAAAAAATTAGCTGAGTGGTAGTGGCGCGCACCTGTAATCCCAGCTACTCAGGAGGCTGAGTCATGAGAATCTCTTGAGCCTGGGAATCAGAGGTTGCAGTGAGCCGAGACCAGGCTACTGCACTCCAGTCTGGGCAACAGAGTGAGGCCATCTCAAAAAAAAAAAAAAGAAAAAGATTCTCTTATGTTAGTCTGAATAACACTTAGACTAGAACCCAAGGGCCTTTACTCCTGCCACAAAGATCTGCTGTCTTCATATTCATATAGGAGGGGGAAAATGCTCAGGAAAGTGGATTTTTTTTTTATTTCTATCTTGTCTGCTTATTCTCCACTTGTATCCTGTCTGGGCTAGGTTCCTGGAGACCAACATTTCTGGGTAAAGACCTCCAGATAAGCTGGGCACAGTGGCTCACGCCTGTAATCCCAGCACTTTGGGAGGCCGAGGTGGGTGGATCACAAAGTCAAGATATCGAGACCATCCTGGCCAACATGGTGAAACCCTGTCTCTACTAACAATACAAAAATTAGCTGGGTGTGGTGGTGTGCGCCTGTAGTCCCAGCTACTCGGGAGACTGAGGCAGGAGAATCTCTTGAACCTGAGAGGCGGAGGTTGCAGTGAGCCAGGATCTTGCCACTGCACTCCAGCCTGGTGACAGAGCCAGACTCCGTCTCAAAATAAAAGCAAAACAAAAAAAGACCTCCAGATAAGAGATGGGTTAGCAGATAGGAAACATGCAAAGGAAAATCCTGGTAGGTCTGGTTATTTCTATACATTTAGCAAGAATGGCTTTGAAAATAGTGTGACAGTGAAGAGAGTGGGAATTCTCTCATCAAAGCCCTGAAACATGTTTATTGCTTTTTAAGCTGCCGACTCTTTGTGACCCTGGAAAACAGAACACAGATGAACAATTTCAGTGCACTCAAGGAGCCAAGGACAGTTTGGAAACAAGCAGGATCCAAAATACCAGTAGGTGGGTCAACATTTTGTTGTTCTTAATGTCACTATGCCTTTAGACTTCTGTGTGTCTCTGAGGCCACTCAGTGATCTTCTTATGTCTAGTGACAAAAGGACTGTGAGTGATGAAGAAGAGTAATGCAGATTGGCAGGTTCTCCCACTGAGTGAGTAGGAAGAGCAGTGTCATGGGAACTTGAGGAGACATCAAAGCCCAAGTGGCTGGCAGGTTAATCAGACAGAACTCATCAGTTGTTAGAAGCAAAGCATCTTGCCTTTCCGCAACTGCCCAGATAGTTTTTCTTATAAAAACAAACACCAGGTATTCCATTTACCAGTGCTCCAGAAACTAAACTAATTGGAAACCAGGGTTGTTTAAAGTAAGTGTCACTGACTCCAGAGAGAGTTGAACAACATCACTATGACCCTGGGGTGTGTGATTTCCAGCCAGACGAATGAAATGAATTGACTTTAGCACAAATTACTGGAAGAAGAGTGTGTGTGTGTTTGTATATATGTTCATACACATATATGTATATATAATATATTCATACACATATACGTATATATAATATATTCATACATATATGTATATGTATTCATGCACACATAGGTATATATGTATTCATGCATATATATGCATATACACATATATTCGTGCATGTGTATACATACATACATATATTCATACATACACACACACATGCTGAGTTTTAAAGAACTTAAGTAAAACAGGCCGAGTGTGGTGGGTCACGCCTGTAATCCTAGCACTTTGGGAGGCCAAGGTGGGCGGATCACTTGAGGTCAGGAGTTCGAGAGCAGCCTGGCCAACATGGTGAAACCCCGTCTCTACTAAAAATACATAAATTAGCCGGGCGTGGTGGCGGGCACCTGTAATCCCAGCTACTTGGGAGGTGGAAGCTCAATAATAGCTTGAACAGCTGGGTGCGGTGGCTCACACCTGTAATCCCAGCGCTTTGGGAGGCCAAGGCAGGCAGATCACGAGGTCAGGAGATCGAGACCATCCTGGCTAACATGGTGACACCCCGTCTCTACTAAAAATACAAAAAATTAGCCGGGCGTGGTGGCGGGCGCCTATAGTCCCAGCTACTCGGGAGGCTGAGGCAGGAAAATGGCGTGAACCCAGGAAGCAGAGCTTGCAGTGAGAGGAGATCGCGCCACTGCAGTCCAGCCTGGGCGATAGAGCAAGACTCCGTCTCAAAAAAAAAAAAAAAGAATCACTCGAACCCAGGAGGCAGAAGTTGCAGTGAGCTGAGATGGCACCACTGCACTCCAGCCTTGGCAACAGAGTGAGATTCTGACTCAAAAAAAAAAATTAAATAAATAAAGAACGAACTTAAGTAAAACAAATTTATTTGGTGTGTGGGAATTTTTTTTCAATTTTTAAAAAATTGATTAAAATTTTTTTTGGTTTAAATTTAGTTAGGTATTATAAGTAAGGGAATTACTAAAAGGGCAATAATTTTTTTTTCTTTCTTTTTTTTTTTTGAGATGGAGTTTCACTCTTGTTGCCCAGGCTAGATAGAGTGCAGTGGCGTGATCTCGACTCACTGCAAACTCCACCTCCTGGGTTCAAGCGATCCTCCTGTCTCAGCCTCCTGAGTAGCTGGGATTACAGGTGCCCACCACCATGCCCAGCTAATTTTTTATATTTTTAGTAGAGATGGGGTTTCACCATGTTGGCCAGGCTGGTCTTGAACTCCTGACCTCAGGTCATCCACCCACCTCAGCCTCCCAAAGTACTGGGATTATAGGTGTAAGTCACCACTCCCAGCCAATATATGTTTTTCACGACAGACTAGTATATCAGTTTTAGTTTTTTTTTGTTTTTTTTTTTTCCTGTGGATAAATGGTAGCACTAATCCACAACTTTGAAGTCAGTTCTCCTGGAAAAAAAAACTTTTTATTCCTCGCCCTAGTGGTGATTGAGACTAATGACGAGTTTGCTGTTTGTTTCATGTTGGCAAATATGTATGTAAGGGAAAATGAAGGAAAATGTCCAGACATTTTATTTATTTATTTTTTATATTTTTGAAATGGAGTTTCGCCCTTGTTCCCCAGGCTGGAGTGCAATGGCGCGATATTGGCTCACTGCAACCTCCACCTCCCAGGTTCAAGCGATTCTCCTGCCTCATCCTCCCAAGTAGCTGGGATTACAGACATGCACCACCAGGCCTGGTTAATTTTGTATTTTTTAGTAGAGATGGAGTTTCTCCATGTTGGTCAGGCTGGTCTCAAACTCCTGACCTCAGGTGATCCACCCACCTTGGCCTCCCAAAGTGTTGGGATTACAGGCGTGAGCCACCGCGCCCAGCCAGACATTTTAGATCAGTGGATTTTATTCCTATGAAGGGAATAATGAAGAACTACCTAGCTGGCATCAGAGTGTTTGGCACTCACACCACTGATAGAAGCAAATGGGATGACATAGCCATTAGATGACAAAGAAAAACCCATAGTTGTTGTGGCCTCCCCTGCTCGGCACCCTCTTCCCTCAGAAGTACAAAGAACAGACCAAAAAAAAGTTTGACATTTTTCCACCTGTTCCTCTAGTCTTTTTGTGTGCTTAAAAAAAAAGTGACAATTACGATATGTGTAAGCAATTTTATGTCATGATTTTCACTTTACATTAGAATGTAAACATTACTCTATGTTATTAAAAAAAAAAAACCCTGTAAACTTATTTTGAAATTGTTGGGCTGGGCAAGGTGGCTCCCACCTGTAATCCCAGCACTTTCGGAAGCCAAGACAGGCAGATCACTTGAGCCCAGGAATTGGAGACTACCCTGGGAAACATGGCAAAACACCATCTCTACAAAAAATTAGCCAGGCATGGTGGTGTGCGGCTGTAGACCCACACCCTCTCCTACTTGGGAGGCTGAGGTGGGAGGATCACCTGATCCTGGGGAGGTCAAGGCTGCAGTGCCATGATTATGCCACTGCATTCCAGTTTGGGCGACAGAATAAGACCCTGTCTCAAACAACAACAACAACAACAACAACAACAACAACAACAAAAATAGTTGGATTTCACCTATTGTTGAATTTTAGGTTGCTTCATTCTTTATTCTGTTATGAATAGGGACACAGTTACTTGTAAATAATGCTTTGTTTTTGCATTTTGGATTATTTCCTCAGGATGGATTCTCAGAAGCAGAATTACTTGGTCAAAGGGTTTGAAGATTTTAAGGATTCTTTTCCCCTCCTTTTTAAGACAGGGTCTCGCTCTGTCGCCCAGGCTTCCTTGCAGTGGCGCAATCTCAGTTCATGGTTTTTTTTTTTTTTTTTTTTTGACACAGAGTCTTGCTATGTCGCCAGGCTGGAGTGCAGTGGCGCAAACTCGGCTCACTGCAACCTCCGCCTCCTGGGTTCAAGCGATTCTCCTGTCTCAGACTCCTGAGTAGCTGGGATTACAGGCGTGCACCACCACACCCGGCTAATTTTTGTATTTTTAGTAGAGACAAGATTTCACCATGTTGTCCAGGATGGTCTCCATCTCTTGACTTTGTGATCTGCCCGCCATGGCCTCCCAAAGTGCTGGGATTACAGGCGTGAGCCACCACGCCTGGCCAATCTCAGTTCACTTTATGGGGCCAATGTGTGAGGGTCGCTTGAAGTCTGGGAGTTTGAGACCACGCTGGGCAACAAACATTGTGTGACTTCATCCCTACCAAAAATACAAAAACTAGCTGGCTGTGGTGGCAGGTGCCTGTGGTCCCAGCTACTTGGGAGGCTGAGGTGGGAGGATCGCTGGAGCCTGGGAAGTTGAGCCTGCAGTAATCTGTGATTGTGCCACTGTACTCCAGCCTAGTGACAGAGTCAGACCCTATCTCCAAAAGAATTTTATTTTTTTAAAAAGGAAGCTGATCAGATCTACCCTCTCTGATTCAGCAGTCTCTCTGCTTTCTGGTCCAGCTGGAGAGTAGGGCATTCTAGATAACAGGGAATTCATATCTGTGCCACAGAGCACACACTTTTTTTTTTTTTTTTTTTTGAGACGGAGTCTCGCACTGTTGCCCAAGCTGGAGCGCAGTGGATCTTGGCTCACTGCAACCTCTGCCTCCCGGGTTCAAGAGATTCTCCTGCCTCAGCCTCCCAAGTAGCTGGGATTACAGGCGCCCGCCACCATGCCCAGCTAATTTTTTGTATTTTTAGGAGATACGGGGTTTCACCATGTTGGCCAGGCTGGTCTTGAACTCCTGACCTCATGATTCACCTGCCCCGGTCTCCCAAAGTGCTGGGATTACAGGCATGAACCACTGCACCCAGCCTACACTTTTTTTTCTTTGGAAATAGAGTCTCGCTCTGTCACCCAGGCTGGAGTGCAGTGGTGTGATCTCAGCTCACTGCAACCTCCGCCTCCCGGGTTCAAGCAATTCTCATGCCTCAGCCACCTGAGTAGTTGGTATTACAGGCATGCACCACCATGCCCAGCTAATTTTTTGTTTTTTTAGTATAGAGTTTTCACCATGTTGGCCAGGCTCACCTCAACTCCTGGCCTCCGCCTGCCCTGGCCTCCCAAAGTGCTGGGATTACAGGTGTGAGCTACCGTGCCCAGCCAGTTCATGCGTTTTTGAAAAGTTAATTGAATAGATGATAAAATGTACATGTTCATGAGATATTTATAAACTTTATTTGTTTATTTTTTTTCTGGAGACAGAGTTTCACTATGTTGTACAAGCTGGCCTTGACCTCCTGAGCTCAAGTAATCCTCCTGCCTTAGCCTCCCAAGTAGCTGAGACTACAGACCTGAGCCACCATCCTGGCTAGTTATGGGATATTTAGAGGAAAAAAAGACGCCTTTATGTTGCAAATGAGGAAGCCTTGGCCTAGAGAGATTGATGTTTGCCAAAGTCAGATAGTAACCTAGTGGTAGGTCAGGGTCTAGAATTCAGTGGGACTAGATTGAAGGTCTCTGAATGTTCTTCAGGATCTCTGATGCCTTAAGACTGTTTTTACAAACGTTAGGCCGGGCATGGTGGCTCACACCTGTAATCCTAGCACTTTGGGAGGCCGAGGTGGGTGGATCACTCGAGATAAGGAGTTCAAGACCAGCTTGGGCAACATAATTTTCTACTAAAAATACAAAAACTAGCCGGGCATGGTGGCGTGCATGTGTAATCCCAGCTACTTGGGAAGCTGAGGCATGAGAATTGCTTGAACCCAGGAGGCGGAGGTTGCAGTGAGCTGAGGTCGTACCACTGCACTCCTGGGTGACAGACTGAGACTCTGTCTCAACAACTACAAATGTTATTGTGCTGTCACTGATATGAAGGTGGGCCTGTTACCAGAGAATTCTGATGGACGGGCAGGAGCAGAACCCTCACCTGAACCATCACCTGTGATTTGTGGCATTTGCAGGGGAGGCTCTGCAACAGCCCAGGGATTGTGTCTTGTGAAACTGCGCTTCAACTGCGGGTTTCTTCTACCTCTGAAAATCTCCCAAGAGCACTTTTATAATCATGAAATCTAAACTTAGAAACTAAAAATACTCTTAGAGATCTTATAGCTCAGTCCTTTCATTTCTTAGCCAGGGAAGACCTAGAGAGTCCACTGCCCAAGCCAAAGCCACACAGTTTAATAGTGCACTCTTCACTCTGTCAAGCCACCGGCAGGGACCTTCTGCATCACCCAGCTGTCACTGGGACTCTACCAGGTAAGGATCCTTGTGGGCTGGAAACTGGTGGTGGAGCGGGGGTGGGGGTGGGTTCTGGCACCCTCTGCTGGTGCAAAGGGGTCAGTGCAACTCTAGGAATGGCTTAGGGAGTAGGGAACAGGTCCTCTGGATGGGCTGGTGGGCTTTTGGTTCTGTCAAGAACTTGAGCAAACTGATGTGTTTGTGTCCACCCCGCTCCCCCTACCTCCAAAAAACCCGTGCAATTCAGGATGAGTGTGGAACCTGTTTCTTCTGAAATCTATAATGCAGAGTCCAGAAATAAAGATGATGGAAAGGTACACTTAAAATGGAAAAGTGAGTATAAAGTCATGGGTTTTATTAGACAAAATGAAATTTAAAGTATATTTCTAATGTGGTTGATATTTCTAAGTACACAACCTGTGTTGCACATTTAGAACCATAGCAATGTCCTTCTGAATTTTTTTCTTTTATTATATTTCATTTTAAAAGCAGGGCCCTTCTGACTACAGACTTCAGAAGGGAAATGCTTTTTTTTTAATTTCTAGACTTTATAGGAAATATTTCTAATATATAAATGTATATTGTATAAGAAATGTAACAAAACAGTGCACAATACAATAAGTCCTCACCTTATTCTGTTAATAGGAAATGACAATGACTTTAAGCAAACTACGACTTTAAGCAAAACGATGTATAACAAAACCAATTTTACCATGGGCTAATTGATGTAAGCAAGAGTTAAGTTCCTATAGCATATTTCTGGTCACAAATACATCACCATACTTCTAAATAAAGACCAAGACACTTCTAATATTAAACATTGAAATAAATGTGAGCTATGTACACATTTAAGAGAGATTAATAAAAACAAGTAAGATAAGTAATTACCTGTTTATTCTAGTTCAGGGTCACAGGTGGCTGGAACCTATCCTGGCAACTCAGGGTACAAGGAGGGAACCAGCCCTAGACAGACACCATTCCATTGCAGAGTGTACTCACACACTCCCACTCACACAGACTGGGGCAACTTCAACACACTAGTTCACCTAACGTGCACATATTTAGGATGTGGGAGGAAACCGGACTACCTGGAAAAAACCCATGCAGATGCGGGGAGAACATGCAAGTGCCACACAGACAGTGGCCCCAGCTGGGAATTGATTGTTTTTTTTTTTTCTCATCAGAGTTACAATGAAACAATGTTGAATAAAATGACATTATTTGAGGAACTGCTACATAGATATTTACTATATAACATTATAAAAGTGGAGAGTATGCAGTGTCACTCTCATATCCTGTGGGCATTATTCTTTGTATCAGTTTTCTCTTACAGGCTTAAAGGATATAATGTCTATTTTTAATACTAGTCGTAAGTGACATTAGCAGAAGTGTTTGACAACATTTGAAATGAAAACATGCATATATGTATGCATTCCAAAAATATGAGCTCAGTGTAGTCTGGAAAGACTAGACAAACTCAAATAGAATACTTTCTATTATTACACACTAAGAACTATAGATGTCATTTTTCCTGTTAAAACTTCACAGGAAGAGGGTCTATCTGTAAGTTGTTTGCTGCCTTTCACCCTGGAAGTAAGCAACAAGGGCTGTTGTTTGGGATAACTGACTGAAATTCCCTTCTCTCTCTCTGTCATCAATTCTCCCCTGACCTCCCATTCAAGCCAAACAGGGCAAGCTAAGGATGATGCAACTGTAAAAAGGCAATTGTTACACTATGAGTTATAATAGTATTATGTATTTCTTTTAGATGAAAGCCTGTGTTTCCAGTGTTTACAGTGATGTTTTAAATGCTGCTTTCTCTTATGCACAGTGGAGGTGAAAGAAATGGCAAAGAAAGCAGCTACTGGACAGCTCACAGTACCTCCTTGGCATCCTCAGAGTAGTCTGACTTTAGAGAGCGAGGCTGAAAATGAGCCCGACGCCCTGCTGCAGCCCCCCATTAGGAGCCCAGAAAACACGGATTGGCAGCGAGTTATTGAGTATCATAGGGAAAATGATGAGCCCAGAGGAAATGGCAAGTTTGACAAGACGGGCAACAATGACTGTGACAGTGACCAGCATGGCAGACAGCCCAGGCTTGGAAGCTTCACCAGTAAGTTCACTTGCGGGAATCAGGATAGGTGAACTCAATCAAGTATCAGTCGGGCGAGGTGGCTCAGCCTGTAATTCCAGCACTTTGGGAGGTGAGGCGAGCGGATCACCTGAGCCCAGGAATTTGGGACCAGCCTGGTCAACATGATGAAACCTGGTCTCTACAAAAAAAAAAAAAAAAAAAAAAAAAACATTAGCTGGGCGTGGTGGCACACGCCTCTAGTTCCAGGTACCCAGGAGGCTGAGGTGGGAGGATCACTTGGACCTGAGAGGTGGAGGTTGCAGTGAGCTGTGATCATGAAACTGCACTCCAGCTTGGGTGACAGTGAGACCCTGTCTCAAAATAAAAATAAAAGTAAAAAAAAGTTATCAGCTCTCAAAAAAGTAAACTTTCCAGCATATTTTTTTTGGTTTGGTCCTCTCTCCTTTCCTACTTTTCTGGAAACCTTGAATTCCAGGGGAAGACAGTATAGCCCTATATCTCATTGCATTTCCCACAGGCAAACAGATCCAGACACTGATCAGTTTTTATATTACTGAAACAGGTCCCTTTGTCCAAAGGAAGTAAAATAATCAAATACTGACCCTGGTTTTGGCGAGGAATCGATCCTTCTTTACCTGGGGATAGAGGTAGGCCATCACTGCCTACTGCCCATGTCTCTGCATTGTATTCTAAGCTGAAATTAAATTCTCCCAGAATTTATTTAGAATGTATTCTAAGCTGGCATTAAATTTTTCCAGAGAGTCTATGCTGGAGGAACCTAGAGACACATGACATTTATTGTCATCGGTTTATAGATTTACAGGTTAAAAAAAATGAAGGCTGTATATTTTCAGTTGATAATTTGCTTATAATCAGGGCATGGATATTGTTTCACAGTTGTTTATAAGTTAAAGAAAGATACATCTAAACTTGTCATTTGTCTTAGGCAGAAAATCTATTGGCTTGGGTATTATTTGTATTTAGAATCTGTTTCTTGTCAAGCATCACTCTCGAATGGGTGGGCAGATGATCCAGGGCTGCATTTTGGGGTCAGGCTAAACTAACAGTCTCTACTCTCTGGACTGAACCTAACGTATGGGACATGGCCACTCTTGGCAGAATATGTATACATCTCTTCTTTCATGCCACCTTTATCCTCTTCCATGTTGTCTGAATATCACTGAATGACTTTGACCCTGACTGTGTTACAATCATTAGGTATCAGGCACCCATCTCCCAGACAAAAGGAGCAACCAGAGCATAGTGAAGCCTTCCAAGCAAGTTCTGACACATTGGTGGCTGTAGAGAAATCTTACAGTGTAAGTAATACTGCCTGGAAAGCCAAGTTGAACCCAAAGATCTAATAAGATAGAACTGAGTTATTGTTATGTGTTATGACACCAAAATAATAGCTATAGTAGTTCTTTTTGGCTGGAGCATGTGCCTTCATGTCACTGACATGAATAAAATAATCTTTCCTCCTGTCTGATACTTTTTAAAAAGTCAGTTCAACTCAATGAATTGTGTATCCTGGAGATTGGGAGAGTACAGAAAAGTGTCAGATTCAGCTTTGGCACATGAGTTTCTGGCATAGTTTGCTAAACAAAACTAGGGCAAAGCTCCTTCCCCAGCAGGCGACTGAGGTCAGTTAGGAGTAGGAAAAGCAAGGGCAGGGTTGCTATGAGAGTATCTTCACCTGGAATATCCTCTAAGGGCCAAACTCAGCACCCAGCTCAGTGGAAGTGATGTGTTTGTGCCTGACAACTGCACCTCAGCAGGATCTATATGCGTTTCCACTGCAGTTACAGCCTTGCTTCAGGGCTTTAACACACTCTAGGCCATAGCGCAGCCAGACTAAGAAACCAAAATTTTTTTATTGTCATTGACATGGGATTGCAATCATTTAAAGAATATAGACAGCAATTGAGAATGATACAATATATGAATACAATAGTGATAAAATGTAAGGTCTTTTGACCTATTGTATTTAATCATGGCATATGAACCATTCATAAGATCAACTTATTCTTTCTCGGACTTGAGGGCTGGAAGAACAGTCATATTAACCATACTGGCTGAGCTGGAGAAGCAGGCCTAGGCAGGAAAGTGGGGAATGTCTGCCGGAGGCCAGGACGAATTCAGTTTGATGAGAGGTAAAGAGGAGCAGCTGTTAAGTGCACAGGAAGGGAAGTGTGTGGCAAAAAGCAGTGTCCGAGGAAATTAGTCACAAAATCTCTGCCAAGAGATCACTGAAGGTTGGGTGTAGTGGCTCACACCTATAATTCCAGTACATTGGGAGGCTGAAGCTGGAGGATCGCTTAAAGCCAGGAGTTCAAGACCAGGCTGGGCACCATAGTATGACCCTGCCTACAAAAAAATGTAAAAATCAGCTGAGTGCAGTGGCTCACTCCTGTAATCCCAGCCCTTTGGGAGGCCAAGGTGGGCAGATTGCTTGAGTCCAGGAGTTTGAGACCAGCCTTGGCAACATGGCAAGACCCCATCTCTACAAAAGATACAAAAGTTAGCTGGATATGCTGCATGCCTCTAGTCCCAGCTACTTGGGAGGCTGAAGTGGGAGGATCACCTGAGTCTGGGGAGGTTGAGGCTGCAGTGAGCCATGATCAGGCCACTGCACTCCAGCCTGGGGGACAGAGTGAGACCCTGTCTAAAAAAAATAAAAATTAGTCAGGCATGATAGTGTGCACCTGTAGTCTCAGCTATTCGGGAGGCTGAGGCAGGAGGATCGCTTGAGCCCAGCAGTTCAAGGCTGCAGTGAGCTGTCATTGCGCCACTGTACTCTAGCCTGGGTGGACTGAATGAAACCATGTCTCAAAAAAAAAAAAAAAAAGACTGAAGTGAGCCATTTGTTTGGCCACATAGTAATCAGGTCCTGAATATTGTGAAATAAGCAGGAAAAAAGGGGTGGAGCAGAGATGCTAAAGAAATAAATTTGCAGGCCGGTCGCGGTGGCTCACACCTATAATCCCAGCACTTTGGGAGGCCGAGGTGGGAGGATCACTTGAGGTCAGGAGTTTGAGACCAGCCATGCCAACATGGTGAAACCCCATCTCTACTAAAAATACAAAAAGTAGACAGGTGTGGTGGCACACACCTGTGATCCCAGCTACTTGGGAAGCTGAGGCAGGAGAATCACTGGGACCCCAGAGGCGGAGGCTGCAGTGAGCCGAGATCATGCCACTGCACGCCAGCCTGGGTGACAGAGGAAGACTCTGTCTCAAAAAAAAAAAAAAAGAAATTTGCAGGCCGGGTGTGGTGGCTCATGTCTGTAATCCCAGCACTTTGGGAGGCAGAGGCAGGCAGATCACGAAGTCAGGAGTTCAAGACCAGTTTGGCCACCATAGTGAAACCCCTCTCTACTAAAAATACAAAAATTAGCTGGGCATGGTGGCACATGCCTATAGTCCCAGCTACTCAGGAGGCTGAGGCAGGAGAATCACTTGAACCTGGGAGGTGGAGGTTGCAGTGAGCCAAGATCGCACCTCTGCACTCCAGTCTGAGTGACAGAGAGAGACTCTGTCTCAGAAAAATAAATAAGTAAATATAAATTTGCTGCTTTTTACTATTTTATTTTTATTATTGAGACTACATTGCTGTTTTTAAAATGCTTCTTCATTTGCCTTTAACCTATAATACTCAAGGGACTCACAGGTTCTGAGTAGCCGCAGCCTCCTCATCTGTAAGATGATGCCAACACATGGGCTATGTCTCTGCCTGTGAGGGATTAGTGTGTTTAAATTCAGTCCTCAACTTGAGTTGACTAGGGCCTTTCTCCTTATTTAGAATATTAGAATAGGACGGTCACCTCATCTCCACCCATTCTGCAGATGATGATGCTGAGGCTCAGGATTAGCATTCCTTCATGCTATTCCAGTCAGTTAACAGCTGCTTTTCCCCACCAGGAAGGGAAGGCAGAGGCACATGCACAAAGAGGTAGGGAGAGTCAGCTCAGTGTCACACTGACTGCTGGGTAGTGTTAGATAACCCCGTTGTTAACACTGCATCCAACTATAAAGGGATTTCGTTACAATGAACAGCAACTTAAAAGTGATTTCCTACATTATTAATAGCATCAGTCCATGCAATCAACTTGTTCACCAGAGTCTTCTGAGGATATAACAGATGAATTTTTAACTCCAGACGGTGAATATTTTTACTCCTCGACTGCTCAAGAAAACTTAGCTCTAGAGGTAAAAAACGCAGTTCAGGGTAAAGTACCTTTTCACCTTTCTCCATTGCCTTATTTCTTTTATTGAGAAAAATAGCTTACATATCAAAGTATGTAATGTCTACCAGGATTTTTTATACCTTTTTTGGTGTCAGGAGTGTGATATGAACCCATGCATTCATACGTGTTTTGAAAAACATCTGAAAATTTTTTTATTTTTGAGGATGGGAAGTCATGTGCAGTTTCTCCCAAAATTGTGGTTACTGCATTTATACAGCACTTTGTACTTTTTTTTCAAAACTTTTTTTTTTTTTTAATTTTTGAGATAGAGTCTCGCTCTGTCACCCAGGCTGGAGTGCAGTGGTGTGATCTCGGCTCACCGCATCCTCTGCCTCCCGGGTTCAAGCGATTCTCCTGCCTCAGCCTCCTGAGTAGCTGGAATTACAGGCGTGTGCCATCACACCCAGCTAATTTTTGTATTTTTAGTAGAGATGGGGTTTCACCATGTTGGTCGGGCTGGTCTCAAACTCCTGAACTCGTGATCCGCCCGCCTCGGCCTCCCAAAATGCTGGGATTACAGGCGTGAGCCACCATGCCTGGCTCAAAATGTTTTTATTCATGCTACTTAATTCATACTTCCTAATGGGAAAGGACAAGGCTATCATTCCTCTCTCTGAGGAAGACTGGTGTTCTGCAGATATACGGAATTAATTAACTCCAGCCTGCCAAGTTTTAGTGATGGGAGAGCCAGGATTGAGGCAAGGGTTCAGCAACAAATATGAGACTGTCCAATATACCAAGTTTTCTTGGGAATCTGCCTAGCTTTTACAAGAACCTCCTGTACAGAGTATTTTCATTTGTAAAATGAATTTTGATGAATTCTCTTATTTACTTATTTTCCACCCTACCTCCCTGCTAACCTGGCACCTTTTTGGGATCTTTTACCTATATGAAAGGGAGGATTGTGTCAATCACAGTATTTGACTGATAAGAATTCTAGGATGCATCAAAGATGTAATTTCAGGCCAGGCGCGGTAGCTCACGCCTGTAATCCCAGCACTTGGGGAGGCCGAGGTGGGTGGATCGTGAGGTCAGAAGTTCAAGACCAGCCTGGCCAAGATGGTGAAACCTCGTCTCTACTAAAAATACAAAAATTAACCGGGCGCAGTGGCAGGTGCCTGTATTCCCAGCTACTCGGGAGGCTGAGGCAGGAGAATTGCTTGAACCCGGGGGACAGAGGGTGCAGTGAGCTGAGATCGTGCCACTGCACTCCAGCCTGGGCGACAGAATGAGACTCCGTCTCAAAAAATATATATATATAATTTCAGCTAGGTGTGGTGGCTCATGTCTATAATCACAACACTTTAGGAGGCTGAGGCGGGAGGATTGCTTGAGCTCAGGAGTTTGAGAACAGCTTGAGCAACATAGCAAGACCTTGTTTGAAAAAAAGGAAATGAAACATTACTAGTCCCCAAAAGACCCCTTGTGATCCCATCCAGTCACTGCCTCTTCCAAAAGGAACCATTGTTCTGACTTCTTACCTCGTAGAGTAGTTTTGCAGACTGGGCCAGCTTTTAAGCCTTCTTTAGCTCTTCTGATAAAGCTCCCAAGAACCAAAATATCTTTGTTGGAAGATTGGGTTGAATAGGGATAGTGATATAAGGAGGCGGAGTCACATAATTCCTCTTCACAATGAGAGGTGAGGGAGGACTTACTGAGGAGAGGACATATGATACAAATAAGTACTTAATGTCTAGGAAGCAAGTTTGTGCTTTTTCTATAAAGATGCAGGGATCTTATGAAGATTTTCAAGATTTAAGAACATCAAGAAATTATTGACCTTTTAATATGTCTGCCTCCAGTGAACCTCCTTTCTTTGCTTTTCTTTTGTTCTTTTTTAGACCTCGAGTCCCATAGAAGAGGACTTTGAAGGAATACAAGGTGCATTTGCCCAACCTCAAGTCTCTGGTAATAAGCCCTTAGGGAAGATTCCTTGAGAATCACTTCCCTTAAATTTCTTCTGTTGGATCACAGATGTTTAGAGCTGGGGGGATCCTGAGGGACAGCCTCGTCCAAACCTTTCATTATATGGTTGAGAAAACCAAGGTTCAATGATTTCTCCTCAATAGAACAAATCCCTTCCTCCTCACCAACCTCATGACATCCACGTGTTGTATTATTTATACCTCCCCTTGCATTTTTATAGCAAATGTTGTTGTAGTCACTGCTTTTTCCCCCTTTGGTCTCTCAAGCTTTCAGGCTCCTTGGTGTGCCACATAGCAAGTGCAGTTATCTTTGCTAAGCTGACCTGGGGGATTTGCCCAAGCTACATAGCTAGTTATTAACATAACAAAATTAGAACTAGGTTTTCATGTATTTCTTCTCCCCAGAAGGCAGTGTCACCAGCATTTTCCTTTGCTTGCTTAGCATCTTAGCAAAGAGTTAGTAACAGTTAACAATGCAGATTCAACTTAACATCTACCACTTGGGAGGCCTTGGGTTCTATATAACTTAGCAGGGGCTTTCTTTTAGATGAGAAGGTAGCCTTGGATCAGTAGCCAGGGATGTGGCACCAGACAGATATAAGTTAACTGTTGGCTTTGTTACATTTTTAAAATTGTGTACTCTTGTTCTTTTAAGGTATGTACTCATCTATTTTAAAAGTAGAGTTATCCACCTACCAACCTGTGTAGCTATCCATGGTCATGTCTCAACCGTCTAAACCCAAACAGCGTAGTGTTATGAACTTACTCCCTTCTTCCACTGCATACTCCAGCTTCCAACTGTAACCTTGTGAAGGCCCCTGCCAGAGTTGGGAGCATTTTAAGAAGCTGTAAGCTTTTAGATCAACTTTTACTTAAAGTCTCAGCATAATATGTATTAAAAGTCTCCAGAGCCTTGGGCCACCCACCTCTTCCTGCAGAGCCTCTTTTTTGGACCTGCCTTGTATGTGGCCACTTAACTTGTATGTGGAGGTGAGTTGAGTGGGATGGAAAAGTTTAGGGCAGACAGGTCAGATAACCAGAGCTAGTTTAATACAGACACATGAAGTATGTGAAAAAGTCTCTGATTTCTACTCCATTCACTTCTTTCTGCCCCTCTCTGCCCCCTTTTCCTTCTACTGTTCTGATATATATCCCCTTCCACATGAGAGGACACAACAGGGGTACAGGATGCAGCATGCTAGGTTCCAAGACCCATTCTGCCACTGACTTTTTCTGCATAACCTTCAGCAAGTCACTTCACCCCAGGGCCCTACTTTCCCCTGGTATAAAGTAAAGGAGAGGGTCGGACTCTAAAGTCTCTAAGCTCTAAATGTTGCTTCTTAGGAATTAGTTTATGCTTTCTGGATATTTATCATTTTAAAAGGGTCAGAGGAAGAGGAACCCCCAATGTCTCTCCACTGGTGGGGTTTCAGAGCTCCTTGGTAGCTGTGAAAGGTGGCATTGTTCTGATGGGCCTTCTTAGTGTCTACCAGACCACCTGGACCTAAGGAATGGGATGGGGGTGGGGGAGTCATAGGCATTTGGAAACAGGGCTGGATGCTCCATCTGCCCCCTTCTTTATTAACTAGGACAGTACAGTGGTGGGAAGGAAAATGGATACTGGCCCTGCCTGCCTGGAGCAAAGCATCTTACTGAGAACTGGGGAGGAGTAACTTCAGATAACTTGATGCCAAGAAGAACAGAAGACAGTTGAATTAGCTCCTCAGTACTCAAGACCCCACGCCCACGCCCACGCCCACACCTAGTGTTTGATGGCCAAGTGGCATAGTTAGAGTTCGGGGCTGTTTAGTTAACAAACAGTTCTTGTTTTCAACGCCCCCTGGCGTCTGTTGACAGGAACCGGGTCAGTTTGCCTTCTTAAAAAGACAAAACAACATTTGTCTTCAGAAATAACTGTGGTTATAACTGAAAGGCCAGTAAATAGCTTGATTGTATTCTGAGTGTCAGAATATAGTTCTGTGCTCTGAGCAAGGAAAATAAACTTTCAGAGCAAAAACCTCTTCTACAGCACTCAATCCAAACCCAATTAGGGCAGCACTTTGTTTATCCAGATTATTTCTAATTCTGGACCAGACCAAGGGACATTCTAGGGAATGGTGACAATAATTTGGGTTGACAAAGATTCAGTAAAAAAAAATATATATATATATTTTTAACTTTATTCTTTCAGGTGAGGAAAAGTTCCAAATGAGAAAAATTCTTGGAAAGAATGCTGAGATTTTGCCCAGGTCTCAATTTCAACCTGTACGAAGGTATGGGCTATTATTATCTTATGCAGTTTCAAACTCATAGATGCAATGTTAAATGGTGATAATGCTCCGTGTTTATATATTGCTTGTCTTCAGATGTATTAGCTACTATCTTATAAAAGTTAGCTTTGGGCAGCTTAGCTGTGTTAGGACTTGTGCAGTAGAATTTGAGGGATTGAGTCATCACCTTTACTTAGATCTGACTCTGACTTTCTGTTCATGTGACCTTGTCAAGGTTCTCAACCCCTCTATTCTATTTTCCCATCTGTGAAGCAGGGATAAGAATCCTTACTGAGAATGTTGACAATAGGAACTTAAAGTAATAATATAACTCCTGGGCATTTATCCCAGAGAGATGAAAATTTACATTTACACAGAAATACATACAGGAACGTTTATAACAAATTTATCCATAATACCTCCAAACTGGAAACCCGGATGTCCTTCACCAAGTAAATGATTAAACAGACTTTGGTACATCCATACCATTGAGTGCTTGCTACTCAGCAGTAAAAAGAAATAAACTATTGATACATGCAACAACTTGGCTAAATTTCCAGAGAATTATGCTGAGTAGGAAAAGCAATCCCAAAAAGTTATTTACTGTGTGATTCCATTAATATAACATTCTTGAAATGACAAAATTATAAAAATAAAGAACAGATGAGTGGTTGCCAGGGGTTAAGGAAGGGGTGGGGAAAGGAGGGAAGCAGGCATAGCTGTAAACCAGAAATATCTTTGTGGTAGTAGAAATGTTCTGTATCTTGACTGTATCAATGTCAATATCCTGGTTGTGATACTGTCCTATAGATTTGCAAGATGTTACCACTGGGATAAAGTGGGTAAAGTGTATTTTCTTTTTCTTGAGATAGAATTTCACTCTTGTTGTGTGATCTCAGCTCACTGCAGTGGCGTGATCTCAGCTCACTGCAGTGGCGTGATCTCAGCTCACTGCAACCTCCACCTCCCGGGTTCAAGTGATTCTCCTGCCCCAGCCTCCCAAGTAGCGGAATTATAGGCATGTGCCACCACACCTGGCTAATTTTGTATTTTTAGTAGAGATGGGGTTTCACCATGTTGGCCAGGTTGATCTCGAACTCTTGACCTCAGGTGATCCACCTGCCTCGGCCTCCCAAAGTGCTGGGATTACAGGCGTGAGCCACCGCATTCAGCCAGTAAAGTGTATTTCTTACAATTGCATGTGAATCTACAATTATCTCAAAAGAAAAGTTTAAAAAATTCATAATTGTTATAACGTATCTGGCACAATAACATTCAATTTATTTTATTCTCTCTGGGCCTCAGTTTCCTTAATTATAATTATTGTAGCTAGTATTTCCTAAATATCTAGCATATGCCAGGCACTCTGTTTCATTGTCTGATTTAATCCACATAACAACCCTGTGAGGCACATACCATTGCCTCCATTTGCCAGTAAAGAAAGCAAAGTTCAGAGAGTTTAAATATTTTTTTCTAAGGTCACTCAGCTAGTCAGTCAGGATAGACTAGATTATGCTATATATAGTAAACAACTCCCAAATTTTAGTGGTTTAAAACAACAAGTTTCTTCTTTGCTCCTGCTTCATGTCCATGGCTCATGGGTTGGCCAGGAATGTTCTGTGCTATATTGCCTTCTATCAGACTTAGGCTGAGGGAGGCCCCATTTTTGTGCTTCCTTGATTGCTAAGGCAGGAAAAATGGAACACGGTGAGTTGTGTACTGGCTGTTAAAGTTTCTGCCCAGAAGTGACTCATCACTTTCACTCATATTTTATTGGTTAAAACAAGTTCTGTGGTCATTTATGTAAATCAAGAGGGCCAAAAAGTCCTGTTGTATTATTTAGAAGGAGAAACAAACATTTTTGGTAACAGAATTAATAAAGTCACAACTCAACCCCAAATCCATGATCTTTCATTTATATCACTGGTCTCAGAGGATTTTTGCAAGGATTAAAAATGTGAAGGACAGGCACAGTGGCTCACACCTGTAATCTTAGCACTTTGGGAGGCCGAGGCAGGCAGATCACCTGAGGTCAGGAGTTTGAGATCAGCCTGACCAACATGGAGAAACCCCGTCTCTACTAAAAATACAGAAAATTAGCCGGGCGTGGTGGCGCATGCCTGTAATGCCAGCTACTTGGGAGGCTGAGGCAGGAGAATCACTTGAACCCAGGAGGCGAAGGTTGCAGTGAGCTGAGATCGCGCCATTGCACTCCAGCCTGGGCAACAAGAGTGAGACTCCATCTCAAAAAAAAAAAAAAAAAAGTGAAAACATGGAAGGATTTAGCATGGGATCTGCCTTATAGTTAATGTTCAGTGAGTACTGACATTGAATCTTAAATATTGGTTAAAGTAGAAACAGGTCAAGTTTGTCTTCACTATTCTGGCCATTTTTTGGTACAAGCCTCTCTGGCCTCTCCTGGTACACTATGCCAGGAAGCTTCTTACAGGTGCTGAGGCCTCATGGCTGTGCCCCTTTGCTCCAATATCTTACCTCCCAGCAAAGTTCCTGTGCTCTGTTGATTTTCTCATGAATTTGCTCACAGTCGTATAGAGTCTTTAACTGATTTCAGAGCTGACCCTTAGAGAGTATTTATTCAACTCTGGAGAGAAAAATGAGGCCCAGACATGTCAGAGAACTCGCAGCTAGTAGTACAGCCAGAACCAGAACTCACACTTTTTTTTTTTTTTTTTTTTTTTTTTGGAGATGGAGTCTCATTCTTGCTGCCCAGGCTGGAGTGCAATGGCGCGATCTCAGCTCACTGCAACCTCCGCCTCCTGGGTTCAAGCAATTCCTGTCTCAGCCTCCCGAGTAGCTGGAACTACAGGCACGTGCTACCAAGCCCAGCTAATTTTTGTATTTTTAGTAGAGACGGGGTTTCACCATGTTGGCCAGGATGGTCTCGATCTGTTGACCTCGTGACCCACCCGCTTTGGCCTCCCAAAGTGCTGGGATTACAGACGTGAGCCAACGTGCCTGGCACAGAACTCACACTTTCTACTCCTGAGCTTAGTGCCCTTTCCTCTGCGTCTCACACTGGGCTGATCAACTGGTTCCTTGTAGCAAGTAGTTAGTGTACTTTGTTCACAGAGGGGATTTATGTAATTTTCTTACTTTCTTTCTCACAGTACTGAAGATGAACAAGAAGAGACATCAAAGGAGTCACCAAAGGAACTGAAAGAGAAAGACATGTATGATCACCAAAGAGAATGCCTAGGGATGCTTGTGTAAAGTCTTGGTTTTAAGGGAATAGTATATTCTTGTTTGTAAGGATCTTTCCATTTTTACGTGTAGACTTAATGTGAGTATGCTGCTTCTTTCACCAAAAAGTTGTTATCAAATTGGTGATATGATTTATAACTAATAGCAGCTTACACTCAAGGAAATGTAGTGATGATAATAATAATCATAATAATAATAAGTTTACGCTTAAGGTAGATTAAATCTGTTTTCCACGTAAATATCCTGGAAATATGGAATATTTCATCTATGGAAATAGTTTATTTTTAGCTGCTGATATGTTTAAAGTTACAGTATCTAGCAAAGAAAGTCTCTATGGTGCCAGGTGTGGTGGCTCATGCCTGTAATCCCAGCACTTTGGGAGGCTGAGGTGGGCGGATCACCTGAGATCAGGAGTTCGTGACCAGCCTGGCCAACATGGTAAAATCCCATCTCTACTAAAAATACTAAAATTAGCCAGGCATGGTGGCACACGCTTGTAGTCCCAGCTACCCAGGAGGCTGAGGCAGGAGAATCACTTGAACCCGGGAGGCGGAGGTTGCAGTGAGCCGAGATCATGCCATTGCACTCCATCCTGGGTGACAAGAGCAAAACTCTGTCCCTGCCGCCAAAAAAAAGTCTCTTTGGTAATAAAGTTACAATCTCTTTTAAATATGTTCTCTAATATTCTCTTTAAGATACATAAGATGTTCTAAGATATTCTCTAATTCTGGCCTATTGCCACATACAAATTTTGTTAAGATTATACTTAAAAAGTACCTCTCAGGAATATATTGTTTGATTTTTCTAGTCATCTTCTCATCATTACTGTGTGCTCTTAATTCTTTAGATCATTGACGGATATTCAAGACCTGTCTAGTATCTCCTATGAACCAGACAGCTCTTTTAAGGAAGCTTCATGCAAAACACCCAAAATAAACCATGCACCTACCAGTGTCAGCACTCCACTCAGCCCAGGTAATCACAGGGAAGAGAAGTGTTTGGGGAGAAGGACTTACAGCCCCAGCCCATTGTCTCTGGGAAGCCAAGCCGTGGTATCAGAGCTGGTGGCTGTGTTGTCATAGTGCAAAGGTTTTTCTTTAGGGCCAAAACTGGGTAATCCCATTGTAGGCCAGGGGGCGGGGTGATGGTGGTGGTGATTATTGGGCAGCCGTTAGGAGGTTTTGGTTAGAACTGCAGTGGTAAAGCCATGCAAATGCTACATCTCCTCTAAGCACTACTGAATTTAGTACAAAAACATTGAGCTTTGTAGAGTTTGCAACTTAAAACAGTACCTTGTGCTTAAACTTTATATAGTTCTTAAGTCCTGCAACCATATGCAACCAGCATCAAATATCCTCTCTTTAGTGGCCTTACTTCCAATATATTTGTGGTTTAAAAAATCACCGTTTATTTTATTTTGGTAAAGTTTAGAGGCCAAGTTTAGAGACTATTATTTTTTATACCATGAGGAGCTGTGTCTCAGATCAATGATTGTTTCAGTAATTTTTTTTTTTTTTTTTTTTAAAGACAGAGTCTCACTCTGTTGCCCAGGCCGGAGTGCAGTGGCGCAATCTCGGCTCACTGCAAGCTCCGCCTCCCGGGTTCATGCCATTCTCCTGCCTCAGCCTCCCGAGTAGCTGGGACTACAGGCGCCCGCCACCGCACCCAGCTAATGTTTTGTATTTTTAGTAGAGACAGGGTTTCACCGTGTTAGCCAGGATGGTCTTGATCTCCTGACCTCGTGATCCACCCACCTCGGCCTCCCACAAAGTGCTGGGATTACAGGCGTGAGCCACCGTACCCGGCCTTATTTCAGTTATTAACAATTTGGAAAATCCTTAGTATAGGTATAGGTTTGTGGGTTTGGATGTTTTGTTTGTTTGTTTGTTTGTTTGTTTGTTTTAATAATGTAAAAGATTCATTTCTGCACATCATATTGGGGCAGAAAAAACAAAAACAAAGGGAAAAAGGAAAAAAGGAGAAATAATATAAAGGATTCAGACAGTAACCTTCCGCTTTTCTCCAACAGGGTCCGTTTCTTCAGCTGCCAGTCAGTATAAAGACTGCCTTGAAAGTATCACATTTCAGGTTAAGACAGAGTTTGCCTCTTGCTGGAACAGTCAAGAATTTATTCAAACTTTGTCTGATGACTTTATAAGTGTCCGAGAGAGAGCAAAGAAACTGGATTCTCTCCTTACTTCCTCTGAAACTCCCCCTTCAAGACTGACTGGTCTTGTAAGTATATCAATTCCACGTTACAAACTCATGGAGTCAGCCCAAAGGGCCCAGTGACCCAAACTGCCAAGATTTCTCCAAATTCATTAAGAAAGCAAGAAATAAGCTGGGTCCTCTCCTGGCTTGCCTGGGACTCCTCTCTTGAGTCTATATTATGGGAGGCTTAAGTTTTGCTTCCTCCTTAAAGCCTTCCCTGGTTACTTCCCTGAGAGTTTTGATCGATCTCTACTGTTCTCTGAACTCCTGAACTAATAACCTGCAGGAAAAACACTTAATCATATACTGCCTTCTTCTCCTCCTCTTCTTCTACTTCTTCCTCCTTTTTTTTTCTTTTCCTCTCCCTTTCTCATATGTGTACCCTAGTCAGGAAAACTACAAGTTCTGGCCAGGCACAGTGGCTCAAGCCTATAATCCCAGCACTTTGGGAGACCGAGGCGGGCAGATCACTTGATTTCAGGAGTTTGAGACCAGCCTGGGCAGCATGACGAAACCCCATCTCTACAAAAGATACAGAAAATTAGCTGGGACATGGTGCCATGTGCCTGTAGTTTCAGCTACACGGGAGGCTGAGGTGGGAGGATTACCTGAGCCCAGGAGGTCGAGGTTGCAGTGAACTGTGATTGCACCACTACACTCCAGCCTGGGCGACAGAGTGAGACCCTGTCTCCAAAAAAAAAAAAAAAAAGAAAAGAAAAGTACAAGTTCCTTTATGAAAAATTGATTGTCAACTTTTTTGGTATTTGGCTCAAAAAAGGTCTCACTTTGAAGTAGGGAGATGACAAGGAATTTTATGTGTTCATTTAACCGTTAATTGGGCAGATTCTAAGTGCCAAGCACCATGTCAGGCCCTCTTCAAGGCATCCAAGTGTGAATAAGAAAGACATGATCCCTGCCTCAAAGGAGCTCACTGTCTAGTGAGAAAGACAGGCCTGATGTAACACAGCGGTAAGTACTGAGTGCTGAGGAGGCAGTCAGGGATAAGGCTTCCCAGGCCAGATGCAGTGGCTTATGCCTGTAATCCCACCACTTTGGGAAGCTGAAGTGGGTGGATCATTTGAGATCAGGAGTTTGAGACCAGCCTGGCCAACATGATGAAACCCCGTCTCTACTAAAAATACAGAAAAAAATTTGGCTGGGCGTGGTGGTACACACCTGTAATCCCAGCTACTTGGGAGGCTGAGGCAGGAGAATTGCATGAACCCGGGAGGTGAAGGTTGCAGTGAGCTGAGATTGTGCCACTGCACTCCAGCCTGGGCAACAGAGTAAGACTCCATCTCAAAAAAAAAAAAAAAAAAAAAAAAAAAGGAGGCTTCCCAGAGGAGGTGACATGTGAGTGAGTTTGACTTAATCAACAAAACAACTGGAAATGACTGAGCTGCATATGCCTTTTTAGCTCAACACACATGACAGTTACCATGTTTATCTCTTCCTTATAGAAAAGATTGTCTTCATTTATTGGGGCTGGATCCCCCAGCCTTGTTAAGGCATGTGACTCATCACCACCCCATGCCACCCAGAGAAGGAGCCTGCCTAAAGGTACCCTGTGTTTAATATCAAAATAGAAGTTTATAATCAAGGAGGCTTAAATTGATGCTTATCAATCTTTGATGCCACATTAGGTTCAGACAGAAATGCTGTTTTCCCCATGATTATAAAAGTAAAACACACTCATTGTAGGAAACTTGGAGAATAAATAAAAGCTTAACAAAGAAGGTGACTATACACTTTTTTAACCTCATGTACTTTTTTTTTTGCATATCTTTTAAATATTTTTATAAATATATAATAATATGTTTTAGCATAGTGAGATCATATTGTGTATCAGTTCTGGACTGCTTTATTCCCTTGTTATATTTTGAGGCTTTTCCCTTGTTATTAAAAATTGTTCATAAATATATGTAGTAGTTATAGTCCATTCTACATGTTGCTTAACCATTTTCTTATGTTTAAGATTTATATCATTTTCCAATTTTTGCTCTTTATACATAAATTTTTATCTGTACCTCTGATCCTTTCCTTAGGATAGATTCTTAGAAGACAGTTTCCAAATCACAAGGTCTGAGAATATTAGCAGTCTTGAGGCATATTACCTTTATTACTTTAATTTTAACGTCTTCTGTCTTTGGTATAACTCTTGGAATTTCCCTCAGGGGGATAGGGATTTTGTGAATTATGTTGAGGTATTTTGGTCAATGTTATAATTGAGCACTTGGGGCAAGACCCAAAGTGTGGTTGCCTCTAAATCCCCTGGCCTGATAATATTTAGTTAAAGGCCTCCTACTTTGTGCTTTTGTTCATTTTGACTGGTCCAGAACCTCTGTATTCCTCCAGCAGCCCTGGTCCAGATTGAGCCACTTAGTAAGAATTTGTACCTTACCTCCTCCAAATATCCTTAGGAAGGGAGGGGCATAGATCAAGCAGTACCAGGGTAAGGGCTGATGTAGGAAAGGAAAGGGATTGGGGTAGAAGTGGGGAGTAAAGGCCATTCACATGTTAGGAGGTCTCTACTGGAACTATTATGTAAGAGGCTTCCTTCCTCCTTAGTTTGTTTCATCATTGAGAGAAATCCTCAGTCAAGTCTATGTGAGAGCCGAGAAAAATTCAGTTCAGGTCCAGGAGGGTGTTAAGACATTTTCCCTTTTGTCTTTTTTAAAAACTAGTAGAAGCCTTCTCACAGCATCACATTGATGAGCTGCCACCACCATCTCAGGAGCTACTTGATGACATTGGTAAGAGATGTTCAATACAGAATATACTTCTCGGCCCTGTTAGTTATGTCACTGACCACAGTATGGTGTCTTTGTCTCAAGTGTGAACACTAGTATAAAAGGCTGTATGATGGCCTGGTTGAATATAGGAAGGGGCAGTTTTCCAAAATTTAGGAAGGGGCAGTTTTGCAATAAAATGAGCCACAGCCTGGCCAGGATGATTGGCTTGTGTCAGTTGTCATTTTGTTACTTAAAGGACTTATGTTGATGAATCTAAGGGGAAGTAACATTCAAGTGGTTTATTATGATGAATTTCTTTTATTAAAGGAGTTCTTATCTCCTTTTCAGACCAAACCAGCCATTCCTTTGAGGCCTGAGGTCTAGCTTCCCAGGCCAAGACACCTGTGCTTTCAGTTTTGCCATTAGCTGTAGGTATTAAAGGTATTGAAATTGTGAATAAATCCCCTTCCTAAGAACAGGGAAGTCAGTGGCACAAAACCTACAGAGACCAGAATTTTCAGGCAGAGCAGTTACCAACCAAATTTTATTTGCAGCTGATTGGCTGGCCCTGTCCAGCTGGTCTGATGCTGAAAGTAAATGTTACATTGTTATGGAAACTGGGGCAGGTGGTCTGTTTTCCTAGGAAAGACTTGACTGCGCCTTTCTTGACAGCCTGGCCAACCAGCCCTTCACCCTCAGAAAATGCATCTCATCAGACTCTGGATAGTCCAGTTCTTGTTATGGGACCTATAATTTCCTGAGGGGCACCCCTTGGTTTTCAGGGTCTCTGAGGTCTTGGGTTTCATAAAGGAGGAGGTAAATCAGAATTTTCAGGTCTGACTCAATGGACAGCTCTCTTCAGGGTCATTATCATAACCCTTAGCTCCTGTCCCTTGGCCTGATGAACTTGGGTGGAGCCAGTCAGTGCTGTCAGACCTTCCTTGGTTTCTTTCTTTTTCCATGGTCATAGGACCTTTCTTGCTTCACTTTACCCCTCCCCCAGTGCCACAGTGTTGTAGAGTCACAGGGTTGTTGGGTCAGGCTCTTAGAGCCCACACTCCCACCCCTGCTTTCCATATCTGGGATTCCCTAGGCAGTCCTTGCAAATTCCTCCTCTTTGGTTGCTCTTCTTAAAATAACAGAACTGCTGAGAGTGGAGGTCACCCCACACATGTCCTGCTCAGGTAGATTCTTAGTATCATTTGTTCCTCGGTCATGATTTAAGGCAGTATTGTAGGCTCCTTTGCAGTTTGATCATAGCTGATACTTTTTCTCTGGATCCTGCTGTCTTCCCTCTATAGTTGCTGTGTAAACCTTCCATTCACCTCCTCCATTTCAGCAGCTGTGTTACCAGACTTTGTCCTGGGCTCTGGCCTTATGGTGCTGCTGCACCCCAGCACAGTCTGCAGAAGCCTTCCCTCATTTCACTTATGGGAATTATCTGGACCAGGTTTCTAGGTAATGTCTGCACTTTGAGATGGGTCAGTAATTTTGCAGAAGGATAAAGGGCAGAGGGCACTTGAGTAGTTTCTTCTGATAATGGGCTTGCCTGCCTGATTACTATATATCATCACTCTGTTGTTTCCCTTAAAGAGACCTTTGGGGAGTTACTGGAACTCTCAACTGCTATTTTGGAGGGCTCACATCCAAAGCTCTAGGCTCCTGACAGGTGCCTAAAGTGGAAGGTTCTTTAGAACTAGGATACAGATGATCATTTAAGATCTGCGCAGGACTACTTTTAACAAGGACGAAAATGGATTTTTTAAATTTCAAATTATATTAAATGATCTTATGGGGACCCTTGACACCCATGGCTGCCAGGTAGGACTGCTTCCTGCACTGCAGGAAGGGAGAAGACCTGCACCAGCACAGAAGAGGACCATGCCAACGAGCTCAGGGTGGCTTGTCTATGCTGCCTCCCAACTTGCTTTGCTTTGCAGAGCACTTTGAGGATAAAGCAGCATACTGAGTTAGCAGATGCTTGTCTTAGTCTAGTGAGTATTCCTTGCCTTGCCTTTTTCCTTTCCTTTCCTTTTTCCTTTCCTTTGACAGGGTTTCACTCTTGTTGCCCAGGCTAGAGTGCAATGGAGTGATCTCAGCTCACTGCAACCTTCACCTCCAGGGTTCAAGCAATTCTCCTGCCTCAGCCTCCCGAGTAGCTGGGATTACAGGCATGAGCCACCATGCCTGGCTAATTTTTTGTATTTTTAGTAGAGATGGGGTTCACCATGTTGGTCAGGCTGATCTCAAACTCCTGACCTCAGGTGATCCACCTGCCTCAGCCTCCCAAAGTGCTGGGATTACAGGTGTGAGCCACTGCTCCTGGCCAGGCTGAGTATTTCTTTAGGAACTGGAAATGATGGATATTCTTTGCTTTCAATCTTTTCTTTTTCTTTTCCTTTTTTTTTTTTTTTGAGACAGAGTCTTACTCTGTCACCCAGGCTGGAGTGCAGTGGCATCATCTCGGCTCACTGCAACCTCCACCTCCTGGGTTCAAGCAATTCTCCTGCCTCAGCCTCCTGAGTAGCTGGGATTACAGGTGTGTGCCACCATGCCCGGCTAATTTTTATTTTTTTAGTAGAGATGGGGTTTCACTATGTTGGCCAGGCTGGGCTCGAACTCCTGACCTCAAGTGATCCCCCTGCCTCGGCCTCCCAAAATGCTGGGATTACAGGCGTGAGCCACCATGCTCAGCCTGCCTTCTGTCTTTTCATAAACCAGGAAAAAAGTATGAAATATAGGTGAATAGAGATGGGGAAACATTTAGATTGTTTTGATGTTACTAACTTTTTGAGAGACTATAAAATAGAGATTAAGAGCATAAACCTTAGAGCTAGACTGCCTGGATTTTTACCAATTTTACCACTTACTGTCTGTGTGATTTTTAGGCAAGTTTCTTAACCTAAATTTCCTCATCTGCTAAATAGGAGTAACAATAACACAGTCTATTTCAGAGGGTTGTTGTGAAGATTAATTGTGAACATTCATCCTGAATTAATGTATGCGAGTGCTTAGAAACAGAACCTGACACCTGGGGTTCTGCAAGTGTTATGTATGATCATCATCATTTCTATTTTGAGTGTTGTGTGGGATTTTGTCATACCTAAAGAATTCCTTTCAAACCTGGAATGCCCTAAAGCAGTGGTTCTCAAATTTTATCAGACATCAGAATCACATGAAGGGCTAAGTAAAACACACATTGCTAGACCCCCAGAGTTTCTGATTCAGCAGGTCTGAGATGAGGCCTGAGAATTTGCATTCCTAACGAGTTCCCGGGTTATGTTAATGCTGCAAGTCTAAGGATCACCCTTGGAGAACCACTGCTCTAGAGAACGGCAGGACACGCAAGGGAGGAAATAAGTTTCCTTTGGCTTTTGTGTTGTGACAGAGCTCTTGAAACAGCAGCAGGGCTCATCCACGGTGTTGCATGAGAACACAGCAAGTGATGGAGGAGGCACTGCAAATGGTAAGTGAACTACCTAGATTGTTTTCATCAGGTTCTTTTAACGCTGTCCTTGGCAACACAGTGGTACATATAGGGAAGTGTGACCTTGAGGTCAGGCACAACTCCACCTCAAGTCTGACTTTATAGTTATTTGTATGGCAAGCTGTTTTACTGTTTCTGAGCCTCAGTCGTCTTAATCTGTAAAATGGGGACAATAATTTCTGTCTCATGAAGTACATATTAGCTCCATGTACAGAGCCATGTACAAGTACTAACATTTTCAAATACTTAGCAAATGTTAGTCCTCTTCCCTTTATAGGACTGCTGGCAGGATGGAATGAGATAGCATATGTAAAATGCTTGGCATACATTAAAGGGTACATCCCTTCCCCACCCAAATTCCTTTCCTGGAGCTCCAAGTTAGAAACATCTAACAAGTGAGAACAAGATGGTCCCCAAAGTAAATTTGTGCAATTTGTTTTCATGGTTGCTTGCCTCCTCTTTTATGTGCCCTTTCTTTCTTCAGCTTCCTCTGTCTTCCTTGAGCCTTGGCACAAGCAAGGTTTCCTGTAGCTTCACCTGGCACTGAAAAGCTTCCAAGACCCCAGAAGCAGCTGCTGCAAATGCAGGTGGCCTGCAGACTGCCACCTGGCCCCCTGCTCTCCTGGGAAGAGGGGAGCTAATGCATTGCACACTTCAGGGACCACTGATTGGCCTTAATTTTTGCACTCTATTTTAAGGCAAGCTTTCTCAATTTTTTTTTCGTTCTAATAAAGTTAATTCTTTCAACTGTTTTTAGATCAAAGGCACTTAGAAGAACAAGAAACTGACAGTAAAAAAGAAGATAGTAGTATGCTTTTGTCCAAAGAAACTGAAGATCTTGGAGAGGACACAGAGAGGTAACAGGAAAAGCTGGACTGTTGAAAGGATTTAAAAAATTGTATAGTTTATGTTAGGTTTTTTTCTAATATTGACAAATAAGAAAGAAAAAAAGTGGGGTCTTTTTTCATACTATCCTAATAGCCCCTATTCCTAAAGGGTTACTTTTTTAAAAAGCGTTGCTTTTTTTGCTTTAAAAATGTTTAATTGTGATACAATGTATATAACAAAATTTACCATCTTAACCATTTTTAAGTGCACAGTCCAATAACCTTAATAAGTATATTCACATTGTTGTGCAACTAATGTCCCAAACCTTTTCATCTTGCAAAACTGAAACTCTATACCCATTTTAAAACTCCCCATTTTCTCTTCTTCCCACACCCTGGCCACCACCATTTTGCTTTTTGTTTCTATGAGTTTGACTACTGTTGATACTTTACATAAGTGAAATCATACAGTATTTGTCTTTTTGTGACTGGCTTATTTTAACTTAGCGTAATGTCCTCAAAGTTCATCTGTGTTGTAGCACGTGTCAGCATTTCCTTCTTTTTTAAGGCTGAATAATATGTTTCATTTATCCAGTCATCTGTTGATGGACATTTAGGTTGCTTCCACCTTTTGTTATGGTGAAGAATTCTGCTGTGAACATGAGTGTACGGATATCTCTTTGAGATCCTGCTTTCAATTCTTTTGGATATATACCCAGAAATGGTATTACTGGATCATATGGTAATTCTATTTTTAATTTTTTGAGGAACTGCCACACTATTTTCCATAGCAGCTGCCTCATTTTACAGTCCCACCAACAGTGCACAAGGGTTTCAGTTTCTCCACATCCTTGCCAACACTTGTTATTTTCTCTCTCTTTTTGTGGGGGTGGAGGCTTTTTTTTTCTTAAATATAGTAGCCATCCTAATGGGTGTGAGGTGGTGCCTCACTGTAGTTTTAGTTTTCCCTTCCCTAATGATTAATGATGTTGAACATCTTTTCATGTGCTTGTTGGCCATTTGTATATCTTCTTTGGAGAAATGTCTGAGTTCTTTGCCGTCTGTGTGTGTGTGTGTGTGTGTGTGTCTGTGTGTGTGTATACATATATATGTATACATATATGTATGATCTATATATATGTATACATATATATGTATGATCTCTCTCTATATACATACATATGTATGATCTTGCGCTCTCTCTCTCTCTCTCTCTCTCTCTCTCTCTCTCTCTCTCTCTATATATATATATATATATATATATATATATATATATAAATTAGAGATGGGCTTTATGTTGCCCAGGCTGAACTTGAAGTCCTAGGCTCAAGTGATCTTCCTGCCCCATCCTCCCAAGTAGCTGGGACTACAGGTGCAAGCCACCATGCCTGGCTCTTTGCCTATTTTTTGATAGGGTTATTTGTTGTTATTTTCTCTTGAGTTGTTTTTAGGGTTTTGTTTGTTTATTTTTACTTCATTTTGTTAGGCAAACACAAGTTTCAGTCTCTTTCAAAACATTTTAGTTAAAGGCCTTAGAAGAGAAAATGGGGGCAGTCTTCCAGACAATTCAGTCTAAAAGTACAAGGTTGCCTCAAGAAACCTGACTCTGTTCCTGATTTGGAGCTCTTTTTGCCTGTGTTGTAGGGTAAACTACTTCAGCTCACCTCCTCTGCCTCTTGACTTCTCTTGAACTATCATTATTCGGGGCCAGGACTAGGTTAAGGTGAGCTCAGGAGATAGACTCCTTGGATACAAAATTGAAGGGAGCACCAAAAAAACTCAGTAGTCAAAATAAGTAATATTTTAGTGCAATTTTTTTTTTTTTTGAGACAGAGTCTCACATTGTTGCCCAGGCTGGAGTGCAATAGGGCATGAACACCACTCACTGCAGCCTTGATCTCCTGGGCTCAAGTGATCCTCCTGCCTCAGCTGCCAAGTAGTTGGGTCTATAGGCTCATGCCAACATGCCTGGATAATTTTTGTATTTTTTGTAGAGATGGGGTTTTGCCATGTTGCCCAGACTGGCCTTGAACTCCTGAGCTCAAGTGATCCACCCAACTGGGACTCCCAAAGTGCTGACATTACAGGGGCCAGGCGCAGTGGCTCACACCTATAATCCCAGTACTTTGGGAGGCCAAGGTGGGTGGATCACTTGAAGCCAGGAGTTTGAAACCAGCCTGGCCAACATGGCAAAACCCCGTCTCTACTAAAATTATATATAAAAAAATTAGCCAGGCATGGTGGCACACACCTGTAGTCCCAGCTACTCAGGAGGTTGAGGCAGGAGAATCGCTTGAACCTGGGAGGCAGAGGTTGCAGTGAGCTGAGATGGTGCCGCTGCACTCCAGCCTGGGCGACAGAGCGAGACTGTCTCAAAAAAAAAAAAGAAAATTAAGCTCTTTTTACGTGATCAAAAGTTAGCTATTATTATTGTTGTCTCTTCCTCTTCCAAAAGGGCCAGCAGTGCTGGCCACAGATAGATGCCCCACAGATGCTCAGTCATCTCAGTGCTGTGAATGATCAATCTAGGCACCAAGCCAGAGTGGAAGACATTTTTTCAGATGAGCAGGACTTTCAGGCATTCTTAAAATACTCTACCCTGCATCTTCTAGCCTTTTCTTGGAAAAACATGTAGGAAAGCATGTATAGTTCTAGCCTCAGGTAGAAAACTAACTCAGTGACCTAGAATTGAGACAGAGTCTACCATCAGACTTGGGGAAGCAGTGATCTTAATAGGTGCTAAGGCTTTTTGTCAAGGGATTAAAGGACTATTTTGGTGCATATTTCTTCTTTCTTTCTTTCTTCTTTTTTTTTGAGACAGAGTCTTGCTCTGTCACCCAGGCTAGAGTGCAGTCGCGTGATCTCGGCTCACTGCAGCTGCCGCCTCCTAGGCTCAAGCCATTCTCCTGCCTCAGCCTCCCGGGTGGCTGGGATTACAGGCGCACGCGACCACGCCGGCTGATTTTTGTATTTGTAGTAGAGATGGGGTTGGACTGTGTTGGCCAGGGTGGTCTCAAACTCCTAACCTCAGGTGATCCACCCACCTTGGCCTCCCAAAGTGCTGGGATTACAGATGTGAGCCACCACACCCGACCAGTGCATATTTCAGTCAGATCTAAGTGACCTCTATGACTCCAGACACAATCTCACTGAGCTCTTGTTTTTTCATACATATAGTGAAAGCACAGGTTTTAAGGTCCCTTTCTACTCTAAAGTGTTATGCATCTTTGTCAAGGGGGATGGGAAATGACTGTTGTCTCCATTCTCTTCACTTGTCCTTAAACAGAGCTCACTCTACTCTGGATGAGGACCTGGAAAGATGGCTGCAGCCACCTGAGGAGAGCGTGGAGCTACAAGACCTTCCCAAGGGCTCTGAAAGGTTATTGTTCCCCAAAGGGGAATCCTTTTCTTCTTTTTCAGGAAGTGGGGCTAGGTTTTAGACTTCTTGGAGAATGAATGCCTGATGATGGCATTACATTGATTTAGATAAGCCAGCCCTGACTCCACCTGTCTGCACTCATATTTGCCCCTCTTCCTCTGACCACCCACAGTACTCAAGATATTGATTAGCAGATTCATATCATTATAGACAGAGGCTTCTAAGTTTGCTGTATCTTGGCCCTGCTACCTTTGACATTTTCATCAGTCATGTGAATTAAATCAGAAAAGGTATGCTTATCAAATTTTTAGATAACACAAATCTAGGAATGAATGCTGATGTGATGAGTGATAGACTGAGGATTCAAAATCATCTTGACAGGTGGAAATGTTAGATTCTGTAAAAGATAAAGGTCAAAGATCCAAAATTACAGAATGTGTGAGACCTGGTCTAACTGGAGAAGTTTTCATCAGAAGCTTCTGCTCACTATAATTTTACTGAGGGCAAGAAGTATGTCTTATTTTTGTATGCCCAGTAATGAGCCATGCATCTTGAGACATGATGAGAAGTCAAGAAATTCTTCCTGAGGAAGGCATGGGCAATGACTCTGTGAGGCCTGTTTGATGAAGTGCTGAAAAGGTCAATGCAGCATTGATGCTGGATATATAAAAATGTACTGTCCAGATGACGGTAATGTGCTGTTCAGAGGAGTCCTAGGACACATGTGGGGCTCCATTCTGGGTATCACATTTTAAAAGGGATATTAACAAACACAAGAGTGTGGCTACAGAACAGTCAGAGGTCTGGAAACCATGTCATATGAGAACAGCTGAAGGAGCTGAGAGGCTCAGCCTGAGAAAGGCAGATGGAATGGAGAATTTGATAGCTGCCCTCAAATACCTGAAATATTGCAAAGTGAAGAGAGTCAGCTTACTTGTCTGCCCTAGAAGACTAATTAGTGACTAGAAATTGCAGAGTAACAGATTTTTATTCAATAAAGCACAAACCTAATAGCCACAGCTATCTGATAAAGGGAAATAGCTGCCTGCCTTTACACTTATTTTAGTAATGGTTACTGCTGCTCAGGCAGTGGCTGGATGATTCCCTGTCCTGGGCATTTGAACGGGGGCGGAATATAACCCAAAGGCCTCCTCCAACTCTTGAACCTGTGATTCTATTAGTGGGAAAATATTAAGAGGGGAAAAAATCTCTCTTCACTCTAGCTGGCTTTATTTTCTCTCTCATTTTACGTATTTTGTTTTGACTATCCACCAAATGAAAACAGAAGAATCCCTAAACAATGTTATTTTGGTTCAACCAGCATCCACCGAGCACTGACAATGTCCAAAGCACTGTGCTAGGGGCTAGAGGTACCACAAAGAGGGATAAGATGGCTCTGCCGCCTATAAGGAGTTTCCAGTTGGGTCGGGGGGATGGTTTCTGCTTAATAGATTGACAAACATGGTCTTAAATTTTGAGGTACTTAAATTATTTACATATTTCACTTAGGAGAGAGTTTCGGGAAATGAAGATAAGATGATAAAATAAATGATGGTTTTGAAAGGGACACCAATCAAAACTTAAGTAAAATGCCTTTTTTTTCCTTTGGAGCAGTATAGCATAGTGGTTGAAAGCAGAGTCTAAGGCAGACTGAGTCTAAGGTCAGAGTCTAGCTCTAGGAATTATTAGGTGTGTAATTTAACTTCTCTGTGCCTCGGTTTCCTCATTGCTTAATGGGGATGGCAGTGGTAACTACCTTATATAGTTATGGGAATTAAATGAGTTAAATTATAGCACTTAAACCAATGCCTGGTGCATAGAGAACACTCTTGTTAGTGCTAGCTATTATATGGTTTTGTTGTTGTTGTTGTTGTTGTTTGTTTTTTGTTTTGAGTACAGTCCTGTTTTCTTGGCTGTTGTGTATACGTTTTGATTCCCCAAATAATTGTTGTTACAGGGAGACAAATATCAAAGATCAAAAAGTTGGTGAAGAGAAAAGAAAAAGGGAAGATAGCATTACACCAGAAAGAAGGAAATCAGAGGGTGTTCTAGGGACTTCTGAAGAAGGTATGAATTAATGTATGTTTATAATGTAGTCTGTAGTCCTTGGGCTTTGATGTGCTTCAAAGTTATTTAGAAATGTTTCCCAGATGCTATACATAATCCTCCTACCTTTGATAATTTATTTTTCTCTGCAGTTCAGCTCAGGTTTTCTGTTAATTGCCAATCATAGCTTTATCACAAAAACAGTAATAACATCCAATTCTATTTCCAAAGCAAGCTTTTGCCCAGTCTCATCATCATTATCTTGCACGTTGTCTGGGGAGACGTTTTGCTGCTTCTTTTTTTTTTAGACAGTTTCACTCTTGTTGCCCAGGCTGGAGTGCAGTGGCACGATCTCGGCTCATCGCAACCTCTGCCTCCTGGGTTCAAGTGATTCCCCTGCCTCAGCCTCCTGAGTAGCTGAGATTACAGGTGGATGCCACCATGCCCAGCTAATTTTTGTATTTTTAGTAGAGACGGGGTTTCACCAGGTTGGCCAGGATGGTCTCGATCTCTTGACCTCAGGTGATCTGCCTGCCTCGGCCTCCCAAAGTGCTGGGATTACAGGTGTGAGCCACTGTACCCGGCCGATGTTTTGCTTCTAATTGTCCAACGTCTTCCAAAGAGTTTTAAATTTAGCTCACATAGATGCTTCAAAATCCAGTAATAAATCATATTTTATGGAATTTAAGTGGAGTCTACAAGTAATGTGAAAATTATAAATTAACCTTAATTTTAAAACTATTTTGATAGATTTTGAAGGCTTCTGATATGCCCTTTACAATGACGCTCTCCCATATTTAAGTTCTTCCTACTCAGGAAAGTAAGAGACTTTAACTCTTTCAGATCATCTGGTATTCCTTTCACCTCTTCCTGATTTCCTTCTCATTCTCCCCATCTCTGCCCTGCTTTGTGCCCCAGAATGCTGACCCTAGTGGACTGCATCTCCTGGGCTTCCTGTTTGCCAATGACAGGCCCCAGCAGAAGATTAGTGGGGCTAGAGAGAATTTGGGGTATTACTTTGCCTCACTGCTTACTTCAGCACCTTGTGCCTGGTAGAAGTGGTGTCTCTCCACAAGTGCGGCTTCTGTAGGCAGTCCATTCTTCCCAATTCCAGCTCTCATTAAGGTCTAGTAACTGACCTCTCATCTCCAACACTCAGTTCCTTCAGACTTAGGCTTCCCACTGCTGCTAATCACTGGATGCCTTGACATTCCTTGTTTGTTCCCTTAACTCTAAATAAACCTCTGTATGTAGTCACTTCACTAAGGATCTTTATTTGAACCAGCCGTGGGTACATTCTGTTTCCTCCAGAACCCTGACTGCACAGGGCCCAGAACGTGTAGGCATTTAGCTATTAATAGTATTGATTTCACTGAGAAGATAATACAGGGACTTTGTGAATTAGTGTCATTAGCGCCCATTGCTGTGGCAGAAAACTATAGAATGTTAGGAGGGGAAGCCCATTAATTGTGTTTTTAGAAAGAGTCTATCTGGCAGAATATAACAACCATTGTAGGTAAAACAGTCTACTCTAAATTAGAGGGAGCACTAATATGAATACTGGCACCCTTTGACCTAGAAATTAATCATGTTGTTTTTTCCTTCCTCTTATATTTCATCAAGATGAACTAAAATCCTGTTTTTGGAAGCGACTAGGTTGGTCCGAATCATCCAGGTAATGAAATATCAGATGTTTGTAGATCAAAAGTCATGTTTATAGACAACAGAAGCAGACTTAAAAACATTTACCAGTGTCTAAATACACATTAATGACAAAGACTCCAATTTAGACAAAGTTGCTTAATTTTTAAAATGTTAGTGTTTATAGTTAATTAAACTATAAAGTGAAATTAATGCCAACTTTGATTCAATAAGTGATAGAGTCAGCATAAGAACAGTTTTAGGCCAGGCACGGTGGCTCATACTTGTAATCCCAGCACTTTGGGAGGCCGAGGCGGGCAGATCACCTGAGGTCAGGAGTTCGAGACCAGCCTGGCCAACATGGTGAAACCCCGTCTCTACTAAAAATACAAAAATTAGCCGGGCATGGTGGCAGGCACCTGTAATCCCAGCTACTCAGGAGGCTGAGGCAGGACAATCGCTTAAACCCGGAAGGCAGAGGTTGCAGTGAGCCGAGGTCGCGCCATTGCACTCCACCTGGGGGATAAGAGCAAGACTCCGTCTCAAAAAAAAAAAAAGAACAGGTTTAATATGGAGAGAATACAGAAGATGCTGCTGTCAATTGCTCTGTAGTCATTTTGCATTTCCATGACACACTGTTGGTTATAATCGCCCTTGATTATAAAGACCAAAATTCCTTTCCCTTGAATTTAATTGAATAGAAAGAGGATGTGGTTTGTGTCTTTAAAAAACACACATACCAACTCGAAACTTCCTTTTTTGTTCTTTAAAAAACATGTGCATAGGATAATCGTGCTGGATCAGAGTGACTTGTCAGACTGATTGGAATTGGATCATAGACGGACTCCTGGCCTGAGTTTGAGTGTCCTGGTTGTAAGCTCCTTTCTTCTCTTTCTGCTTCAGTTGCTGTCAGGGCAGCAGTTCCAGTTCTGTAAGTCTCACTTTGTTCAGCTGCCACAATAGACATCATCGTTTGGCCCTCTCTGTTAGCAGCACATTCAACCATTTGTTTTCAGTCAGATTTCTGAAAAGTGAGAGGTAGTTTTGATAGTAAAAATTTTTGGTTGTGCCTAGAATGGCTTTGGTTTTGTTGATGTTAATTTTCAAAAACTTTAACTCTTGTTATATAATAAAATGTTTAATTTTAATAACAGATTTTGCTGTGTAAGATATATTTCTGAATTTGAGTTATTGGGAGTTGGGGGGAGAACTGCCACCCAAAGAGGCTTCAATTTCTGACAAATATGCAGCTACCGCTACCACCCATTATATATACTGGTACCAGTCATCTGTGTCTCATAACAGAACTACAGCCCATCCACTTGGCTGAGAGTGCCATATTCCCATTCCAGCTAGAATTGGCTCACACAATCAAAGTACAGGTAGTGGCCAGATGTGGTGGCTCACGTCTACAATCCCAGCACTTTGGGAGGCCAAGGCAGGAGGATGGCTTGAGCCCAGGAATTCGAGACTGGCCTAGGTAACAGAGGGAGTTCCCTGTCACTATAAAAAATTAAAAAATTAGCCAGACATGATGGTGCATGTCTGTAGTCCTAGCTACTTGCAAGGCTGAGGTGGGATGATCACTTGAGCCCAGGAGGTTGAGGCTGCAGTGAGCCGTGATTACACCACTGCACTCCAGCTTGGGTGCAGAGTGAGACCGTGTCTCAAAAAAAAAAAAAAGTAAGTACAGGTAGCAGTAAAGTCCTAAGATAGTTTGAACTCATTAAGGTGAACAAATATTATCTCCATATATTTTGTATTGTACCACTAAGATCATAGCATTGTCTCTAAATTAGCCTGTTGTGACCACTGGCCAGATGCATATGTGAAGATTTTTTTTTTTTTTTTTTTTTTTGAGACAGAGTCGCTCTGTCACCCAGGCTTGAGTACAGTGGCGCGATCTTGGCTCACTGCAACCACCACCTCCCGGGTTCAGGCGATTCCCCTGCCTCAGCCTCCTGAGTAGCTGGGACTACAGGCGCATGCCACCACACCCGGCTAATTTTTTGTATTTTTAGTAGAGATGGGGTTTCACCATGTTAGCCAGGATGGTCTCAATCTCCTGACCTCATGATCCACCTGCCTCGGCCTCCCAAAATGCTGGGATTATAGGCCTGAGGCCCGGCCATGCAGATTTTTTATATACCTTCATCTACCTCCAGTTTGGAATCTTCATAATGAATAAAAACATTTTACTTTCTTTTTTTTTGAGACAGAGTCTCACTCTGTTGCCCAGGCTGGAGTGCAGTGGCACCGTCTTAGCTCACTACAACCTCTGCCTCCTGGGTTCAAGTGATTCTTGTGCCTCAGCCTCCTGGGTAGCTGGGATTACAGGTGTGCACTACCACAGTGCACACTACCACACCCAGCTAATTTTTGTATTTTCAGTAGAGACGGGTTTCACCATGTTGGCCAGGCTGGTCTGGAACTCCTGACCTCAAATGATCTGCCTGCCTCGGCCTCCCAAAGTGCTGGGATTACAAGCGTGAGCCACTGTGCCTGGCCATAAATAAAAACATTTTCTTAGAAGCTATGTGCTGTTGTGCAGTACTAGCCAGCTAACATGTTATTATTCTGTCTTGGTGAGTAAATAGTAGGTCTTTTGTTTGTGAAAACTGAATAGTTCTTGTTGTGGATGGTTGTATTCCTACTTCTTTGCACTCAGAAATTTTAGCCTGCACAGATAAAATGAGAAGGTATAAATCTATTTGACCATTTTAAAGTAAGGAAACAGTTGCTTGCTATGGTAACCAGAGGAAAACCACCAGAAAACAAATTAGTTTATAAATAATACCAGGTGAAGAAAAGTTTGATTTTCTTAGAGGCAGGATCTGGCTTTGTTGCCTAGGCTGGAGTGCAGTGGCACGATCATGGTTCACTGCAGCCTTGAACTCCTGGGTTCAAGCGATCCTTCCACCTCAGCCTCCCAAGTAGCTGGGACTACAGGCATGGGCCACCACACCTGGCTTTTTTTTTTTTTTTTTTTTTGGAGACAGAGTCTCGCTGTTGTCACCTGGACTGAAGTGCAATGGCATGATCTCGGCTCACTGCAACCTCTGCCTCCCGGGTTCCAGCAATTCTCCTGCTGCAGCCTCCCAAGTATCTGGGATTACAGGCGCCTGCCACCACACCTGGCGAATTTTTTTATTTTTACTAGAGATGGGGTTTCACCATGTTGGTCAGGCTGGTTTTGAACTCCTGACCTCAGGTGATCCACCCGCCTTGGCCTCCCAAAGTGCTGGGATTACAGGTGTGAACCACTGCGCCTGGACTTTTAAAAAAATTTTTTAATAGAGATAAAGTCTCCCTATGTTGCCAGGCTGTTCTCAAACTCCTGGGTCAAGTGATCCTCTTGTCTTGGTCTCCCAAAGTGCTGGGATTACAGGTGCAAGCCACTGCTCCTGGCCTGGGTGAAGAAACTTTAAAGGATACAGGGATTTAAAATACACCATCTTCCTCTCAAAAAACATATTCTAATTGATGAGACAAAACCAACATACGTACAAATGAAAGGACCAATAGCAGACATATCATGATAAATGATGAGCTACATTATTATGGCATTAATTATTAGTATTCATAAAGGCTACAAGTCCTAGTATACAAGTTCCTGCTGATAAGGATTGTAATCTCCTTTATTCAGAGTAGACTCTTCTGTCTGGCCAGTGACTGTAATATTGGCCAATATTAACGATTATGTTGGCAGGTATTATTTATTGGTTATAGAGCAACTATGATGTGCCGGTTACCTTATATACATTAATCCTTTTCTTGCACATAGCAGCCCCACTGTGTTTTCTTTTTTTTTTTTTTTTTTTTTGAGTTGGAGTCTTGCTCTGTCACCCAGGCTGGGGTGTAATGGCACAGTCTCGGCTCACTGCAATCTCCACCTCCTGGGTTCAAGCAGTTCTCTCACCTCAGCCTCTGGAGTAGTTGGGATTACAGGTGCGTGCCAGCATGCCCAGCTAATTTTTGTATTTTTAGTAGAGACAGGGTTTCACCATGTTGGCCAGGCTGGTCTCGAGCTCCTGACCTCAAGTGATCCGCCTGCCTGGGCCTCCCAAAGTGCTGGGATTACAGGCGTGAGCCACCGCGCCCGACTACTGTGTTTCTTTAGTATGCTTCTTCTCCCACTCTCATCATCTATTTCAGACTTCCATCCCTCACTTTGCATAAACTCTTTTTTTTTTTTTTTTTTTTTTTTGAGACAGAGTCTCGTTCTTTTGCCCAGGCCAGACTGCAGTGGCGCAATCTCGGCTCACTGCAAGCTCTGCCTCCTGGGTTCACGCCATTCTCTTGCCTCAGCCTCCTGAGTAGCTGGGATTACAGGCGCCCGCTACCGTGCCCGACTAATTTTTTTATGTATTTTTAGTAGAGACAGGGTTTCACTGTGTTAGCCAAGATGGTCTCAATCTCCTGACCTTGTGATCCGCCTGCCTCGGCCTCCCAAAGTGCTGGGATTACAGGCGTGAGCCACCGCGCCCGGCCTGCATAAACTCAACAGATGACTTTACCTCCAACTTTACAGAAAAAATAGAAGCCATCAGATGGGAATGAACTCAGCTGCCTGCCACCAAACCAAAACTACTAACACGGCCACATCTATCTGTGCAGAACAGAACAACAGTTGTAGGTGAAGCAGTCTGCCCTGCACTAGAGATGGACTTATTCTACACCTATTCTTTTCACTTTCCTTCCTTTTATACTGAAGGAGGTATCCCTCTTCCTGTTATACTGAAGGAGGTGTCCCTCTTCCTGTCCTTGGCCAATATCATCTTTTGTCCATTCAGGGGTATCCTTCCCAGCTTATAATTTCTCTTTTCAGTAGCTTCAACCCACCCCTCATTTTTTTTGAGACAGAGTTTCACCGTGTTGCCCAAGCTGGATTCAAACTCCTGGGCTCGAGTAATCCTCCTACCTCCGTTTCCCAAGGTGCTGGGACTACAGGCTGTTGTCACTGAGCCTGGCTGCTGCTTTTCTTTTCATCAGCATTAACACACTTGGATTTTCCTAACTTTGAAAAGCGTTTCCTGGATCTCACCTACTTTTCCAGCTACTGTCTAATCTCTCTACTCCCATTGCTACAAGAGTTCTTGAGAGAGTTGTCTACACCTGCTATCTTTAGTGCCTCACCTCCCACTAGCTCCTCAGCCCATTAGAATCTGAATTCTACTCCTTCTATTCTCTAGCAGTCATTTAAGATCACAGTGACTCTGTCGGGTGCTGTAGCTCATGCCTGTAACCCCAGCACTTTGGGAGACCAAGGCGGGTGAATCACCGGAGGTCAGGAGTTTGAGATCAGTCTGGCCAACATGGCAAAATCCTGTTTCTACCAAAAATACAAAAAAATGAGCTGGGTGTGGTGGTGCATGCCTGTAATCCCAGCTACTCAGGAGGCTGAGACAGGAGGATCGCTTGAACCCGGGAGATGGAGGTTGCAGCAAGCTGAGGTCCTGCCACTGCAGTCCAGCCTGGGCAACAGAGCTTGATGGTGTCTTAAAAAAAAAAAAAATCACAGCGACTCTTACTCCTAAATCTGATGGACACTTTGGCCTCCTTGTCATTTGCTCTTTGCCTACTCCCTTGGCTTTCCTGATGTCACACTCTGGTTTTCCTTCTATCTCTCTTGATTACTCCACCTCAGCCTCCTTTGGGGGTTCCACCTCTATCTTTTGTCATTGCAAGTTCTTCTCCTAAGAGACCTTGTTCACTCCCATGGCTTCAGTTAGTGTCTATATATACACTGACAGCTCCCAGATTTGTATTGTAGTCTAGGACTAGATTTCTCTTCTTAGCTGATATTACTACCCATATATTTGATGTCTCCACTTGGACTGAACTCATAGTCTTAACTTTCTCCACCTCCAGTATTCCCCTTCCAATCAGTGGTATTGCTGTCCAGTCAGCCACTCTAACCAGAAAATAACAAATTTTACAGGAGTCATCCTTGACTCTCCTTCCATTCCTTTACTCCTTACATAAAAAAATCAATCAGGCCAGGTGTTTTGGCTCATATCTGTAATCCTAGCACTTTGAGAGGCCGAGGTGGGGGGATTGCTTGAGGCCAGGAGTTTGAGACCAACCTGGTCAACATAGCAAGACCCTGTTTCTATAAAATATTTAAAAATTAGCTAGGTGTGGTGGTATGCACCTGTAGTTCTAGCTACTTGAGAGGCTGAGACAGGAGGATTGCCTGACCCTAGGAGTTCAATGCTGCAGTGACCCATGATAGTGCTACTGTACTCTAACCTGGGCAACAGAGCAGGACACTGTCTCAAAAAAAAAAAAAAAAAAATCAATCATTGGCAAGGCACAGTGGTGCACACCTGTAGTCCCAGCTATTCAAGAGGCCTCTAAAATCTATGTCTTTTATACCCATTTCTTTCCATTTCTATTGCCACTACACTAATCCAGACTATAATTAATTCCTCCCTGGACCATTGCAACAGCCTCCTGAAGTGGCTGCTCCCATCCAGTCTCACATTCAACAGATCTTTTTTGAATGACTCCTATGTTCCACGCACTACTTTAGGTGCTGGGGTGATCGCGAACAAAGCAGAGTCCCTGCCGTCCTGGAGTTAAATGAACAAACAGTAAATGCTAGGAAGAAAATAAATAGGTTACAGTGATCATTGGGTTGGGGAGCAACTTAACATTAGCTAGGGCTCTTCAAGGGAAAGTTGATCTGAAGAAGTGACCCTTGAGCTTTGATTGGAATGATGAGAAGGAGCCAGTCTTGTGACTCTGGGAGATGAACATGCCAGCAAGGGAATGGCAAGTGCAAAGGCCCCACAGGAAACACCAAATTAGAGCAGCAGAAGGCCAGTTTGGTGGAGGAGACTAATCTGGGGGGAGGCTGGTAGAGTAGAATAACCTGTAGGGAGGCTGACAGGAGATGAAGTGAGGCTGGAGACTGAGCAGGGGAATTATAGACCATGGCAAAAAGTGGAAATCCAGTGGAAGGTTCTAAGTAAGAGGACAGAGTGGGGTAAAACAAACTGAGTTACATTTTTTTAAAGATTTCTTTAATACTCTCTCTTCTCTAATTTTGTCTCTACAATGATCTTTTTAACATGAAAAAAATTGTTTTATTTCCTTGTTAAGATCTTTGCCCATAGCTCTTAGACATAACTGGATTCCTCTCAGTTCTTCAAATACCTCATGGCACATGCTGTTCTCCCTGCCCAGAATGTCCTTCCTCATAGGTACCTCATTGTTCGGTTCTTAATTTACTTATACTTCACTTCCTCAGGGAGTTTTCCTGAAGTCTATGAACCTTAGACTAGGTTAGGGCCCTCTGTAAGATACTCGCATTTTTCTTGCCTGCCCTCTCCCTGCCGACACACATAACCACATTTTTTTTTTTTTTTCCTGAGATGGAGTCTCGCTCTGCCACCTAGGCTTGAGTGCAGTGGTGCGATCTCAGCTCACTGCAACCTCCACCTCCCAGGTTCAAGCGATTCTTCTGTCTCAGCCTCCCAAGTAGCTGGAACCACAGGCGCGTGCCACCACACCCGGCTAATTTTTTGTATTTTTAGTAGAAATGGGGCTTCACTGTCTTAGCCAGGATGGTCCCGATCTCCTGACCTCGTGATCCGCCAGCCTTGGCCTCCCAAAGTGCTGGGATTACAGGTGTGAGCCACCATGCCCAGCCCGTAACCACATTTTTATTTCATAGCATGTAGCACACTTAAAAGCTAATAGAATGTTCTACCACCACCTGTGGTACATACAACTGTTAAGTTCCACAAGGCCAGGGATCATGTCTGGGTGGTTCATTGAGGTATCCCCAGCTCCTGGCACAGAATCTGCACATATTAGGTGCTCAACAAATATTTGGTAACTGAGTATTTTTAATCCTCAGAATAATCCTAAAAGTTGGATATTATTACTACTTACAAAAGAAGAGACTACCCAAAGAGGGTTCCATGACCTTCCCAAGATCATACTAAACATTAATTTGCGTACTTACAGTAAAACACAGTAGCTTATGTTGGAGTGTCAGACAAGCAAGCCCAGCCTCAGCCCTTCCACCAACAGCTTACCCTGAGACGATAGTTTAAGAGTGCCCTAAGCAAAGTTTCAGGATTGTGAATGAACCAAGGGCCAACTTCAAGTTAAAACTCATTGCTATGGTTTGAATGTTTATCCTCTTGAAACTCAGGTTGAAACTGAATCCCAGTGCAATAGTATTAGGAAGTGGGCCTTCAAGAGGTGATTGGGTCATGAGCGCTCAATCCTCTTGAATGTATTAACCCATTAATGGATTAATGGGTTATCATGGAAGTTGGCTAGTTATAAAAGCCACTTTGGTTCTCTCTTGTGAGCCCCTTTTGCCCTGTGAAGGCTTCTACCATGTTATGATGCAATAAAAAGGCCCTCACCAGATGTGGCCTCTCAACCTTGGACTTCCCAGCATCCAGAATTGTAAGAAATACAATTTTTTCTTTTTTTTTTTTTTTTTTTGAGACAGAGTCTCACTCTGTCATCCAGGCTGGGGTGCGGTGGCACTATCTTGGCTCACTGCAATCTCCACCTCCCAGGTTCAAGTGATTCTCCTACCTCAGCCTCCTAAGTAGCTGGGATTACAGATATGTGCCACCATGCCTGGCTAGTTTTTGTATTTTTAGTAGAGACGGGGTTTCACTATACTGGCCAGGCTGGTCTCAAACTCCTGACCTCAAGTGATCCGCTCGCCTCGGCCTCCCAAACTGCTGGGATTACAGGCATGAGCCACCGCACCTGGCCAAATGCACCCTTTTATTGCTTATACAGGGCAGATAGCTCTCCCTGCCATCCCCCAACTGGATGTGCTACTACCAAGGTCCAAGTTGGTCAGGGGCAGGTCTCCTGACTCCTACATTTCTTCTTCTTTTTTTTTTTTTTAAGAAATGACCCAGTCTTAGGTTTCTATTATAGCAACAGAAAGCAGACTGACACTGTGGTGACACGTCCTTTATGAACCTCATCCCAATCTCCACATCTATTCTATGGGTTTTGTGCCAAGTTTTTAGAATGTACTAAGTCCTTCAAGATGAGAAAGCAGAGAGAATACGTAGCAAGTTCTAGACCCATAGATGATTTATAAACATTGGTTCACTGTTGAATGAAATTACTAGAGTACCCTTGGAAAGTTTGGATTATTAGAAATTTTCAGAATAAGGCCAGGCACAGTGGCTCATGCCTGTAATCCCAGCACTCTGGGAGGCCAAGTCAGGTGGATCACCTGAAGTCGGGAGTTCGAAACCAGCCTGGTCAACACGGTGAAACCCCCCTCTCTACTAAAAATACAAAAATCAACTGGGCGTGGTGGTGCACGTCTGTATCCTAGCTACTTAGAAGGCTGAGGCAGAAGAATCGCTTGAACCCAGGAGACAGAGGTTGCAGTGAGCCTAGATCATGCCACTGCACTCCAGCCTGGGCAATAGAGTGAGACTCTGTCTTTAAAAAAAAAAAGAAATTTTTGGAATAAATTTCAATTGCTCTTTTCCAAATACATTACTTTTGGCTTCTTTCTGAATGCTAATGGTAATGTTATGTACTCATATATGTTGGTATTGGAAGTGGGTTATAGTGAGGTGCCCCCCAAGAGCTCAGAAATAAGTTGGTCCTGTGGGAGTTAAATAAGTAAAATCCACTCTCCTACTGGATACTACTAATTGTATAGTAGAGTAAAATTAAAGGACTTTTAATAAATGCATGGTTGAAAACAATGCTGCAAAAGAAGAGTAAGGAGGAGGGACTTGTCCTACCGTATATTAAGGTGTAGTATAAAGCTGCAATAAACAGTATGGCATTGGCATAAGAATGGTAAGAATTATAGAACATAATAGAGAGTTTCTAGCCTGGGAAATACAGTGAGACCACATCTCTACAAAAAATTTAAAAATTAGCTGGGTGCGGTGGCACATGCCTGTGGTCCCAGCTACTCGGGAGGCTGAGGTGGGAGGATCACTTGAGCCCAGGAGGTTGAGGCCACAGTGAGCTGTGTTCACACCATCACACTCCAGCCTGGGTGACAGAGCAAGATCCTGTCTCAAAAAAACTCAAAAAACCCAAATAGTCCAAAAAACATACCAAAGTATAAAGTTTGGGAATTAAGAATGTAAAACTTCTTTACTGCAAATAATGTCTGGACAAGGATAAAGTCAACAAACTGGGTGGAAATAATTGCAATATATTGGATAAACAAAAAGTTTATATCCCTAATATACAAAGAGTTCTAATAACCTGTAAGAAAAAGACAAACACCTTAATAGAAAAATAGACAAAGAACAATTCACAAAAGAAGCTGTACAGACAGCCAATTAGCATATTAAAAGATGTTCAGTTTAACTTGTAATCAAAGAAATGCAAATTAAAACACGGTTGTTTTTTACCTCACTGATTGCGGAGGACAAGTATTGATAACATCTAAGGTTGCTGAGAGTATGGGGAAACAGACATCTTCATTCACTGTGTTGGGGGTATAAATTGGTACTACCTCTCTGGAGGATATTTGTCAGTATGTATTTTAAATGTGACTACTTTTTGACCCAGAAACTCCATTTAGACCAGTATGACACAGATTCTATTGTACATATGTATCACCTGAGGGTCTTGTTAAAATACTGATTCTGACTAAGTAGGTCCAAGGTGGGCCCCAAGCTCCTGAATTTCTAACAAGCTCCCAGGTGGTGCTGATGATGCTGGTCCACGGACTACACTTTGAATAGAGAGGATTTAGAGAACTTTATACCCTGGTTGCACATTAGAACCATCTGAGGCATTTAAAAAAATACTGGTGCTCAAGCCTTACCCCCAAATTATCTGATTCATTTTGTCTGAGGTGGAGCATGGGCTTTGAAAGATCTCCAGGTGATTCTAATGTGCAGCCAGGATTTAGAACTATTGTCCTAAGGAGAAAATTGGAATATACACAAATATATATTTATAGTAATGTATGTTTATTGCAACATTGTTTATAATATTGAAAAATTAGAAACAACCCAAATGAGGTGGGCTACTCAGTAGGCTGAGACAGGAGAATCACTTGAGCCCAGAAGCTTTGAGGCTTTAGTGTGCTGTGCTCAGGCCTATGAACAGACACTGCACTCCAGCCTGGGCACCATAGCAAGAAAAAAAAGAAACAACTTAATGTCCAGCAGTAAAGGACTCATTTGAAACATTCTGGAACAACCATAAGTGGATTAATTAGAAATTACATCATAGATACAGATTTATTGACAGAAAGGTATTCATAACATGTTATGGAATAATGCTAGTACTAGGATGCTGGGAAGTTTATAATAAGACTATGTAAATTTATAATTAAATGTCTACATAGTAAATGCATAGAAAGAAATGTGGAAAGATGCTTATTAAAATAGTAACGGGGTCCTCTTAGGTGATTTCAACTTTTTATAATTATTTGTAAAACTGTTTTCTAATTTTTTAAAATATTTATTTATTTATTTGCTGGAGATGGGATCTCACCATGTTGCCCAGGCTGGTCTCGAACTCTTGAGCTAAAGTGATCTGCCCACCTCAGTTTCCCAAAGTGTTGGGATTACAGGCTGGGCCACCACACCTAGCCAAAGCTGCTTTCATTTTGGGGAATAGAAAGGGTTTAGAAATACTTAAAACTGGCTGGGCACGGTGGCTCACACCTGTAATCCCAGCACTTTAGGAAGCCGAGGTGGGTAGATTATCTGAGGTCAGGAGTTTGACACGAGCCTAACTAACATGGTGAAACCCCATCTCTACTAAAAAAAAGAAAATCAGCTAGGCATGGTGGTATGCGCCTGTAATCCCAGCTACTCGGGAGGCTGAGGCAGGAGAATCACTTGAACCCGGGAGGCAGAGGTTGCAGTGAGCCAAGATCACGCCACTGCACTGCAGCCTGGGCAACAGCCTGGGCACAGTTTATTTGAAACTCCATCTCAAATAAAAAAAAAAAAAGAAAAATGAAGCTGACCATCCTATAATCTCAATGACCCTTCAGAGTTCATAATAGAATTTTGGATATGGTAGAGTCTATGTCTAAAAGAGAGAATGAGAGAAAGAGCATGTGAAAGGGAGAGAAAGGTGACAGAGTCTCCTCCAAAATGGTCATCCAAATTGGAAAGTCACTTTTCAAGAGAGAACCGGAGTCCGGCTGATTGGATAGCTGACAGGATCATGAGAAAGGACATTAACATTTGTTGTGTGACACCCATGTACCAGGCAGTGGTTTCCAGGTGAAGAAACCAAGTCCCAGGGAAGGCAGGTAATTTCTCCTAGGTACACCTGTAGTCATTTATGATGGAAACCAATGATTAACTCCAAATTCCTTCTTTCTTTCTTTCTTTCTTTTTTTTTTTTTTTTTTGAGATGGAGTCTTGCTCTGTCACCCAGCCTGGAGTGCAGTGGCACGATCTCAGCTCACTGCAGCCTCCGCCTCCCAGGTTCCAGCGATTCTCGTGCCTCAGCCTCACGGGTAGCTGGGATTACAGGCACGCACCACCACGCCTGGCTAATATTTGTATTTTTAGTAGAGATGGGGTTTCACCATGTTGGCCAGGCTGGTCTCAAACTCCTGACCTCAGGTGATCCACCCGCCTCAGCCTCCCAAAGTGCTGGGATTACAGGTGTGAGCCACTGCACCCAGCCCAAATCCCTTTTATTTTGTTTTTATTTATATATATTTTTTGAGATGGAGTTTTGCTCTTGTCACCCAGGCTGGAGTAAAGTGGCACAATCTCAGCTCACTGCAACCTCCAACTCCCGGGTTCAAGCGATTCTCCTGCCTCAGCCTCCTGAGTAGCTGGGATTATAGGTGCCTGCCACTATGCCTGGCTAATTTTTTTGTATTTTTAGTAAAGACGGGGTTTTATCATGCTGGCCATGCTGGCCTCAAACTCCTGACCTCAGGCAATCCACCCGCCTCGGTCTCCCAAAGTGCTGGGATTACAGGCGTGAGCCACCGCACATGGCAAATCCCTTTTATTAATAAAACACTAAACTCTCCTGGAGCAAGAATGTGAGAATTTTATTATTTGAGCAACCTGGATTTTTACCCCAGGAGCAATGAAACAATCCATGAGACCTGGAAAAAGCTGAAGCTCTCTTTTTTTTTTTTTTTTTAACTTGTATACAGTACAGTTTCAAACAAAATTGGGGCAACTTTGTACTTCGTACCTTATTAAAACTGGGGCGAACACAGCGTGTTTGGTTTGATCTTGTCTTCATAGGATCTTCTGGCTGATTCCTTCTCTGGATGAGTCCTGAGAATTTCTAGAATCTCGGGAGAGTAAAGGAGGGTCTGGAGCCTTCTCTATGTACAAGGAAATCCCAGTTTTGTTAAAAACTTGCCAAAGGCTTGGTGATATAACTCCAAAGACAAATCCACAGATTCCTTTCAGGTACTTCTTTGGGATTCTGTGAAGAATTGTGGCTGTACACTAGGATGTTTAATAGGAAGGAAGCTCCTTCCTTTATGACATCACCAGACAGAGAGGTAGCTAAGGGGATTATTTGAGACACTCTTAGAACAACAGCCACTTTTGTGGGAGCCCAAGAAACAGCAGCTTTAAAACAGGGTAAATATTCAGGCATCATTAGGATCCTGAATACAAGCCAGCCAGTAAAATACGGGATCTACTCAGAAGGGCACAATCTATCAGATGGTCAAGACAAATAAACCTGGGGCCAAGGTAGCGGTTTCAGCACAGAGAGGGTCTGAGGTTACTACTAACACATCCCCTCAGCAGGGACATGGGTACGTTCTTGCCTCAAGCCATCGAAGTGCTGCAGTCTCCCTGAACCCTTCCCACCGAAGATCAGAAGCTGCACATCCCACCACTCCCCATTCAGCATCAGACTACCCTCGATCTGTCTCCCTCCAGTCAGGACCTGGACACTATGCAGTACCCACTCCTCGGGGACCCGAGACTGGACCAAGAACAGAATCATCCCGCCATTCCTCTCCCCATCTAAAGAGCCAGAAGACTCAGACACTGGCTTCCCATGCTTCAAGCAGACAATGGAAAGTTAGTCCACCCAGAGAGGAAGCAGCACGAAGAGGCAGTGAGAGCAAGTCAGGGCGCGAGGTCGGCCATCATGCTTCATCAATCCCAGATGCCAAATCTACTCATCAGTTGAGTTTTCAAGACCAGAAGAATAACTTACAATCACAAATCTTAGAAGATGACCCACCATCCAAGGTCCAGAACCCCCAAGGAGTCAGAGTTCCCCGTAGGATTTTGTCTTACCCAAAGGATGAAGCAGTACAAACTGAGCCCATCCAAAGAATTACGACTACTAGTGAGATCAGATCTCCAAGGAGTCCCTCTCTCCTAGAGCACGGAAGCAGCTGTGTCTCTGCAGACTATCAGACAGCCCAGAGAAGGGTCCCTGTAGAAGAATCAGAAACAGGTCCTTACGGTCCAATTCCTTCAAAACCCAAGGCCTTGTATAGGAATATGAACTTGGACTCATTGCTCAAACTCTCTGTCCTTAAAGATTCTGATGGTGTACACCGAGTTTCTGCACGGGTAGACCCTGAGTCTCTTCATAAGTATTCTGCCTATCCTGAAACCAAGCCCTCCGCAAAGGTCTTAGTATCATCACAGGTGGAGTCCAACGTGAGGACCCCAATCCGAGGAAACAGCGAGGTTGGCCGCAGGGTCACCATCTCCCCAGGGGTACAGTCAGTAGAGCCAACTCACCATGTGACAGTTCCATCAGTGTCTGAGGGCTCCCACAAGTCATCCATGTTTGTTACTCCAGAGCCCATCTATAAACAGCAAACCCAAAAACCCCCAGAAATTACTTACATGTCCCAAGGACCTACACCCAGGTATCCAGAACTCTCGCAAAAGCCCTCCATCCATGCAGAACTGGAACTGACCCCTAGGCCCTTGCCTCCTCGGTCCTTACCTAGGTACGGACCTGACTCCTCATGGTGGCCCTTGCTGAATCCTGAAGTTGAAACACCCCAAAGCCAGCTGACAACACCGGATTTTGAGCCTAAGTGCTCTCCTTCCCTAGATCTTTTATTGTCCGGTTTTAAAATAGACTCTAGCCCTTTCTGTGAGGATCTGAAGTTCCAGAGAGAGAAGGCAAGCCTATCACCACCATCACCACCAAAGGAGTTTCCAAGTTGGGCACCACTGAGTGAAGTGCCACAGACCCCCAAGCACACCTGCAAACAACCCATTCAAAGGTTTACTGCTTTCTTCCTGGGTATGTGAAGAAGCAGACTGCCCAGGTGCAGCCCCAATTTAGTGAGATGGGATGTTGGGGTGGGCAGGAAAGACCACCTCTTCATTCTGGGCCTAAGGGCTGCTCTCCTGCCAGTGCCAAAGCTAGTCCTATCCTTGAGCCTATTGCTCCATTCCTTCCCTGCCAGCTTCTCTGTGCTCCAAGCTAATGACATTGATGATGGATGCTTGGGCCGGGCGACAGGCATTGACTCCTCCAGGCAACACTGCTTACCTTTTTAATTGAAGGTAGTAGAGAGGGGCTTGCAGGGTTGAAAGCTGCTTCCTGAGTGGGGATGAAGAACTGAGCTGGGGTGAGGGCTGGCAAGGGCTGTTAAATAGAATAAGGGCCTCAGGTAAATACTCTGGCTACAAAGTGGAGAGGGTGGGATGCAGATGAGCTGGGATTCCAGGAGGGGAAAGGCATTCACAGTGGCACAGAGAGAGGGTGTAAAAAAGAGAAAGGGAGAGTGGGAATACGATATATAGTCCTAGGCTGGAGGAGCTTCTTGGAGAGGACCAAGGGCTGAGGGCACCTTTGAGTGGAGAAATGTGGAGCTAGAAAGGGAGCTGCAAGTAGTGGAGAGTGGGATGTGCATCCCACAGAGAGAAGAAAAGCAACCATCTCTCTGTTACTTTCAGATGTCTCTGAGGAAATGTACAATCGTGTCATCTGGTGGCTAAAAGGTCTGTGCTTTTCCCTCCTATGGGCCCACTGTGGGAGCTTGGGGGATGGGAGGACAGGTGAGGAGTGGCATCTATGTATCTACAGAGCTGGGTCGTTTAGGAGATAAATGCTGGGATTTTGACCTGAAGAAGCAGAGGAACTTCTCATCTTGCTGAAAATTTCACCATTAGAGTCATTTCTTTGGGGCTTGGAACCTTTTCCATTTTCAAGAGTCTCCTTTTAACAGGAAGTTACTTCTGGAATGGAGAATAATTTAAGCCTCATGGCCTTTTCAGCTTAGTTGGTCATCTATCACATGATTTTAAAAAATACACCAAAGCAAACCGCCTGCTTCACAGTCTTGCTCAGAGTTGACTTCACGCTAATTCAGGCTGGGGGCTCTTCTCATGTGTTTCTCTGGTTCCTCAGAACCCTCCTCATGCCCCAAGTTTACCACCTGGGGTACTTATTGGTGCTGCCCAGGCAAGATCTTCAGAGATGTCTGGGCCTCCCCCTTGAGGCCATCAGTGTGTCTTGCAGCTCTAGAATCCTTAAGAGAAGTGTCCCCAGGCCTTGTGACCCTCCTCTCCCTTTATACTCTTGGCCTCTCTGGGGGCAGGGGAGGGTGGGGACAAGACCTCAAGGAGTAAATCTTGGCAGCAGGGACTTCTTGCTGTGAGCATTGTGGCCCAAAATATACTCCAGCCCTATGAGCATGACAGAGGCCAGGGCTATGGATAAAGCAGTTCCTGGGGAGGAGAGAGCCCTGGGAATTCCATCCAATCCCAACCAGCATGAACCCTCCTAGTGATGGTCAGCAAAGAGCAGAGAAGGGCAGTCCTGCTCCTCAGAGGGAGCAAAGCTCTATAAAGTAGGGGCATAGTAAAGTACGAACTCGAGTTATCTAACTGGATTTGGGCCCTGGGTCCACTATTTTCTGACTGTGACCTTGGGTAAGTTATTTTACCTCTCCAAGCCTCAGTTTCCTCATCTGTTACTGAGAATAATGGCTCCCTCTTAGGGTTATTGTGAGGATTATTACAAGTTATTACCAATAAAACACTTAGCACGGTGCTTGGCAACAGTGAGCACTCAGTAAATACTAGCTGCTGTTGTTTGGGCCACTTGCACTAGGAAGGGATTGGGCCAGGTTTGCCCAAGTCCACTGGGCATCTTTAGTAAATTTCTCTTTTTCTCCTCCTATTGGCACTCTCTGAATTCCATTTGCTGCCCCCTGGGAATGCCTGGCTTCTACTCTGTTATGACAGATGAGGAGGTAAGAATGCCCCTGGGAGGTTACTCCCAGTCTTCCTGGGCCCACCCCACAATCCAAATCCATCTCCTGTCCTGTAATGGGAGTGGGCATGGAGGGAGACAGAGCTGCTCCCTATGGTTGGGCAGATTGTTCACTGCACAAGAGCACCTGGTAGAGGGGGCAAGTGGGGGGCTGAAATATAACCTGTGTTCCATTTGCCAAGCTGTGCACCTGTGGAACCGCATCTCCCCAGAGGGGGATTTGCACAAAAGCACTGTATGAGCTAGTTGCAGTCCGAGAAAGAACAGAGACCTTTTGGCAGATGATGACTCTTGCCAAGTGCTCTGTGGGAAGGCCGTCTAGGTAGCCGTTGGATCAGTCCCCACCTGGTTCTCCTCTTTTCAGCCTGGGGCATTCCAGAAAGGGGTCGCTTTTTTGGGTTACACACTATTTGGGTCCTCAACTTGGAAAAACTCAAGGTGGACTCTGCTGTCAGCAGTCCCGTGTCCTGATTTGGCAGTGTCCTGATTTCGCTGCATTGTTCCCATAAGTACTTTGGCTATTCTTGGCCCATGTTTGATAAGATGGTCAAAGCTCTTCCTACTTCCATTATTTTCTCTTGCCATATTTCTCTATTACCCAAAGCCTAGCAATGGCCTCTAATAGGTCCCATTCATAGGCTGACTCAGGATGGACAGTTGGCCACAGATAGAAAACAAATGAGTGCATAGTGGGGGTCAGCCTAAGCTCAGATAATGGAACAGCTGAAGGGGAGGTGACCAGAAACAAGGCTGCCACCTGCCACTGCCATGGGTTCTTATCCAACCTTATGCCCTGAGCTCAGCTATAGGTGGGAGTGGCTACTTTCAGAGATTATCTCCATGCAAGACAGTAAGTCCCTCCCTCCCTTTCTCCCTTCCTTCCTTCCCTCCTCTCTCTCTCCCTCCCTTCCTTCCATAAACAATTTTTATTCAGTTGCCTAGCACTCTGCTAGGCACTTTTAGGGGAAGAATTGAAGTTTCACAGCACACACATTCCTTGGCCTTGAGAAACTTGCCATGTGGTTGGGGAGATAAAACACAGACAGGAAACATTTAAACAACAATATGAAATAGTTTGTGCTCAAATGTCAAAATAGATGGAACAGGCTGAGTAAGTGCTCTTGGAGGGTCTTAGAGAGGGAGTCTGCAGGGAGATGGGTAGCGGATCAGGTTATGCCCTCCTTTCCAAAGCCAGGGGATGGTGGTGTCTTAGCTAGCCTTTTGCTCACCCCTAGATGCAAATCTGTACCTTTGGGAAGGGGTTAATATTTCCCTTCAGTCAAGATTTGATGTTTTTGACTGAGCAGGCTCCTCCCTGTTCTCCCCCACCTTCATCCCCTTTTTCTGTGCATCTTGTTTTAGTTTAGGAAGTCAAAAGCCTTGGCAACAGGGTGGCTCCTTCCTAAAATAGCTCTTATCCGGTCTCGATAATTACAGCTCTCCAGCCCTGTTCAGCAGCAGAGCTGCTCCCCAGAAGCCAAGAAAAGAAGGCTCCCAAGCAGCTGGGCTGCTGGTCTTCTCTGACTCTCTGGAGGTAGGATGGCATGGAGATGGGCCAGGTGCTCTCTAATGCATGAGAGAGCTAGGCTCTCCCCGGCCTGTCCCTCAGCCGGCATGGCCCCATGCAGCCTCAGGATGGAGACGCTGTGGTGCTGGTGTCCAAGGCCTCTGATTCCTCTGATCTGGGAATGGTTGACCATAGAGTCTGTTCCAGATTCCATTCCTGGCAGGAATTCTCTGGTGGCCTGGCCACGATGCCTGGCTTGTGGAAGGCATCATGTTTGTTGTTGAGCTTCACAAGCCTCTCTGGGTGAACAGCTGGGGATGGGGCCTGATTCAGCCCATCTCTTTAAGTGTCAGTCCCTTCCCAAATGGCCCCTCAAAGCCCTTTTGTCTAAGGAATGGGGTGGACAGATGCTTCTCATCCTTGGATTGGGACATTAGGGGCAGGAGTCTCCCCAGAGGAGGTTATGCTGGACTAAGGGAAGCATTCCTGATGGGTTTTTTTTGGGGATCAGAACTAGCAAAAGCTCAACAGGAAGGTCCTGAGGGTGCCCTAATGGGTCACTGGGGGCTGCCTTCTCACATAGCCCTGGGGATTTCCTGGAAATAAAGCAGTTCTGATGGGAGGGGCTGCAATGCCTTTGATGGACAGGGTGTGTTAGCCCCAAGATCCTGTGTCCTCAAGGCATCTGACCTACTCATCCTTAAATGTGACTTCTCAGGCTGTCATAGGGCAAGGTGGTTTACTCTCTGCTCTATCAATTATGCAAGAAACCAACTCTGGAAAATAGGCCAGGAATCAGAGGAGGCCATCTCACTGATACTTAAGGCAGACCTCAGTGTCTTTTGGATGACATGTCATGTGACCCTGAAGGGATGGGATGATCAGCCTCCTGTTGGCTTTTGAATCACAGGGACATTTTGCTCAGGTTGGCTTCCTTTACAAAGCGAAATCCAAAGCCTCTGAGGAACTCAGGGAGTTTCCACATTCATGAGGATGTTCACAGAATCCTAGGTCATGGGCTATGTGAAAGGAACCCTCCCTCGCTTTTTTTTAAAGTGTTCTGTTGCCCAGGTTGGAGTGCAGTGGTGCAATCCATAGCTCACTGTAATCTCGAATTCCTGGGCTCAAGTGATCCTTCTGCCTCAGCCTCCTGAGTAGTTGGGACTATGGGCACCAACCACTGCACCCGGCATTTCTCTTGCTTTGGGCAGAGGCTCGTAGTTGAGAAGAAAGAATTGTTGAAAGAATGGAGCAGAACTGCTGAAAACGGGGCAGGGCATCTCAGGAGGCTTTTTTTTTTTTTTTTTTTGAGACAGAGTCTCGCTCTGTCACCCAGGCTGGAGTGCAATGGCGCGATCTCGGCTCACTGCAACCTCTGCCTTCTGGGTTCAAGTGATTCTCCTGCCTCAGCCTCCTGAGTAGCTGGGATTACAGGCACCCGCCACCACGCCCAGCTAGTTTTTGTATTTTTAGTGGAGACGAGGTTTCACCAAGTTGGTCAGGCTGGTCTCGAACTCCTGACCTTGTGATCCACCCACCTCAGCCTCCCAAAGTGCTGGGATTACAGGCATGAGTCACCACGCCCGGCCTTGGGAGGATTTTTATAGCAGTTTGACCATTGTTGCACAGCTTCTTAGGAAGCAAGCATCTTACCCTGTCAGATGGCACCCTGTTCATTTCCAGCTACCATGGGCAGCCAATTCCAGAGCAGGATGGAAGGCTGGTGGCCTCTGGCTAAGACTTGCTAACCTGGGGACAGGGTAAGTTGACCAACTCATCAGGGTTTGCCTGGGACTTTGCTGGTTTTAGCACTGAAAGTCACATGTCTCAAGAACCCCCTCAATCCTGGGCAGACCAGGACAGGTGGTCACCTAATACAAGCTGTGGTGCAGTCTGCCTGGAAGCACAGAGGGAACAATGTCCTGGCTTCACAGTGAGACCTGGGCAGGTTACTCCCTCTGCCTATAAAATGGGGGCAGGAATATACAATGCTTTTCTCTCAGACTTGATAGCAGAGCTGAGGCCAGACTCCCTTAGTTCTTTGTTTTGCCCAGAATAGTCCCACATAGGGAAGAATCTGCCACATCCATTGTGGACTTTTTGGTGTATTTTCAGAAGGTGTGTGGTGACTGAAACCCATCTCCAACATCACATCTTTCTGCAGAGTAGTTTGGTGCTGTTTGAAATGGTGGATTTTCCAAGTAACAGAAACAGTGGGCCTGGGTAGATTAGGGAGCTTGGCTTCAGAGGCCAGGGTGCATACTTGGGTGAGGAAGTAAATCTGTAACCCAGGAGCCACCCTGACAGGTGCTCAGCCAGAGGAAGGCTGTCCTGAGAGGCAGAAATGGCCATGTCCCCTCACCCTCCTCTGCTCAGCTGCCTTTGGCTCAGCTGCTGTTAGGGGAGCAGCAGGAGACAGCTGCACCTTGGGGGCTGAATGAAGCCTGGAGGAGGGGGACAGAATGTGAGGCAGTTCCTGAGGGAAGCTCAGGCTGACACTGTGGGTGTCGCTTCCTTGGCACACCCACTGCCGGCAAAGTCATCTAGTTCCAGAGGTCTCCACAGTGGCTGTTTCTGGGAATTTGGGTCGGTAGGTCTGAGACCAAGCACCAGCTTTCTAGAGATGGTGTCTAGCTGGAGAAGCTGACTCCACAGGTGGTGGCGGCTTGGTCATTCCAATGTCAATTTAATCTAAGGCATTACTCTGGTATTCTCTGTCCTCCCATCTCTCTACACCTATTACACATGCACACTCCAAATCCTTTGGAGGGAAGGCATTTGAAATAGTCACAGTTGACAGTTACTGGTTTGATGTTGATAATTTTCTTATTAATGGAGATAATAGCTACCATTCATTTAGTGATCATGTTAAGTGCATTAGTGGGTTTTCATAGTAACCTATGAGTGGATTTATTCTCCCTATTTCACAGATGAAGAAATTGAGGCTCAGAGTTTGTTCATCAAAGCTGGAAGCATTTTAAGGAGCAGTCTGTCCCAGGGAGTCAACTATATGGTATAGAAACCCTTCTTCTATAGCCACGTCTCCCTGGAAAATACTTCTCAATATTTCAGCAGCACCTTTAGATATCAAGAATTGTGAAGGGAAAGGTTTTAGTGAGAGTAACATCTGTGTCTTTGTATGTGAACCACGGGGCTGGGAGGTGGGTGTGAGCTTGTGAGCAGCCAGGATGAAGGGCAAGTGAAGGGTCAATGAAGCGCAGAGCCTCAAGGCTTGTCTGGGCTCTAAAATCAGAATGGAAAACTAATCAATGAGTCCTTTTAGTCAATCCATATTGATCAGCCATCTCCTGGGGGCAGAGGCCTGGACACCCAGAAAAACATCACATCACATGTTTGCTGATTTGAAGTGAGCAGAGGTTAAAAGAAAAGACATAGTCCCTGCCCTTGAGGAGCTTGTGGTGAATTTGGTAGAGAAAAGTATACAGATGGGTCACTTGAAAGGGTGTGGACATCAAAGGACAAAGCAAAGTCCAATGAAATGAGTCAGCAAAGCTTCCAGCATGGAGGCATATGGAGGGTAAAAGCCAGGGAAAGACAGATTTTGGCTCAGTATAGTGAAGACTTTGGTAACTTGGCAGCCCAAAGGTTGAAGGGCAGTTGTTAGAATCAGTGAATTTTTGGCCATCGGAGGTATGTATTCGAGCAGAGGCTGGGAAGGCAGGGGAGCCTTCAGACATCTGGTGAGTAGTCACATTAGGAGGTTTGTAAGTCCTTTCCAACCCTGAGCTCCTATGGCCCTGCCCTGTTCACGGAGGGTGTTGGAAGGACTGTCTGCCCTATCAGAGTGGCTGGCTTCTAGCACCCTGCCAGCTCTGGAACTGCCCCTCTTTGCAGCCATTCAGCAGGTGCCAGGAAACACAGTGTTCCCCAGCCTTGCCACCCACACCTTATGCCTGCCCCCAGGATCATGGGACACATGGCAGCAGCTGGGGGAAGATTTGGGCTTAATGTATTTTGGTTTATTGCCTTTGTCCACCACAGACCTTGTTGGACAGACTTGCTGAGGTTTCCTTGAAAGACACAACCCAGTGATAGCCTTTGGTCCAAGGACTCTCTGACTGTATCGTCAGTGACTCATCTATCTCACTGGGGAAGGGATGTACAATTAGTTCTTGCGCCACTTTAGGGAAACTTAGCTACTGAAAGGCAGAAGTGGCCATTGCTAGTCATGCAGATCTGAAATCCTGATTTCCTGTGGTAATTGCTCTTTATTATCGGCTTTGAACCTGGGCCCTGGGATGGCCCACATGCAGCCTCCTTGCTTAGGTCCTGTGCCATACAACCTGCACCTATGGGTGGGCAGGAAAGACCTAGTGGAGGGGGCCAGGACATATCATGTTGGCCTGACCTAAGCAACGGAGCCCAAGACAGCAGGCTAGAGCTATGGTGGCTGAGCTGAGTTTCCCAGCTAGACACTCCCCTAGACACTTGGCTCAGATACCATGCCCTAGCAGTGCCTGGGGAGTTGTACTGTAGTCAAGGCCATCAATGCCTGGTGGGATGTTGAATTTTGAGGGAGAACTAGCGCTCCAAGAGTTAAGCCATGCTGAAGCAGAGTTGGCCAGGCCACCTGCTGGCTGGAGATGAGGAAGAGCACTCGGTAAATCCCCAGTGACTGACGCAAGGGCTGCTGTATCTTGGCCCTGCAGGTATTAGACCCTGCCTCCATCACACAGAATGTAAGAGCTAGACTTGGGAGAAGTCCAGTCTTCTCTTTCAGTGGGGGAAACAGAGGCCCAGAGAGGGCAAGGGACTTTCAGGCAGTGAGATAATAGCCAAGTTGGCATGGGACTTGTGCCCAGGCCAAGTTCTCTCAGAGCTCTCCGAATGCTGCAGTAGGTTAGCATGCAGGGCTTGTGCAGGTGGGATGGCTCAAAGTCAGTCTTCAGCTTTTATTTCACCCAGCATGCCTCATGTTAGGCCTGTGGTACAGTGATTAGAAAGAGATTAGACCCCAATATTCTTGGCTTAGAGCTAAGTTCCGTGGTCCCAGGACTTGCTTGGGGCCTCACTTTCCTCAAGGCAAGCTGGTACCAACCTGCTGCCTGGGCAGCAGGTGCCAGAGAAGAGCTGGGATTCCAGCCACAGCTGAGGATGAGCTGGTTGGGCTGCCTTTTGAAATGTGTCTGTGTCCACACTTGGAATTCAGCTGAGGCCACGGGGAGGGGCATGTTATAATAGAGGAAAACAAGGGTTTCTGCTGGGGCCTGTCTTCCCTGATGTAGGCTTTCTCCTTACCCTAGGCCACAGGACTCTGGAAGCACGCAAGAGGTATTCTTAGAGTGCATACATGAGTATTGGAGGCCCAGGGCTTTGAACAGTGGGGCTTTGTATAGTCCAAGCTTGACATTTGGGGCTGATGGTAGCAGCAGCTGCTGCTTCTGCAGACTTCCAACTGCCATTGGTTTCTCTCTTTATGTCTTTGTTTTCCTGAGTACAGCTTCCGATCCCCTGATCTACCCCAGGTCTTTTCCGGGAGCCTCTCTGTACCTTTAGAGGTTCCCTTTCAGGGAACCCAAGCTGCTGCCCCCATCCTACACGTCCTCCCCCTTCACTCAGATCCTGGGCCCTCTCCTGAATCACTGCATGTCCAACCTTTCTCCAGCACCTCCTGCTGCTGCCTTGTTCTCTTATCTTCCTCCAAGGCCTATAGTAGCATACAGCATATCCTCCTTCCCCCACTGCATCCACTTTTAGAAGGCCAGAGCTGTAAGGAAGCTTAGAAATCATCTAGTTTAATCCCCTCATTTTCAGGTATGGAAATTGAGACCCTGACAGGTGAAGTAAGTTGCTCAAGGCCACCCAGCTAGGAAGGTTTCTCCTCAACCGGCTGGCTCATGAACACCCTGCCATCTTCCAGTCCACCAGTGCCAAACAGCCAATAACATCTCCAGTAGCAGCCCCATTGTTTTTCTCAGCCTGATCTTACCTGCTGCCCCAGGCCCTCTTCCCTCCCCTGGCTGAGTTCTGACTGGTCCCAACCAGTGCTACTGGTTCACAGGTCAGACTGAAATACAGCAGGCAGGCCTCTGGCACTTCTACCAACAGAGAGGGCCGTGCCTGTGGGTCTCAGTTTTGTCCAGAGTGTATTCAGGCAGAAGCCAGTCAGCCTGCCATTGAGAGAGGGGTCTTGCGGGTCAGGAAGGGACATGCTTCTGGAAACTTCCACAGGAGCCTGACCAGCTCAGACCCTACTTAGCTCAGGGAATCCCTCACCAACACCCCACTCACCAAGCATCTGCCTTCCCCTAGCTGCTGCTCTGACCTTTCTGAGCCTCTAATGCCTCTAAAGCTTCTGGGGCATCTGTCCCCTCGGCATCTCACCTGCTTGTCAGAGGAAGAGTGGCCCAGCTGGGCCTGGGTCACGCCTGGGTTGGCCTCTCCTGAGGCCCTCCCCACTGTCCTCAGCCACAGGCAAGGCTACACCGCCCTGTTAAAGCCACTCAGCCTCTCCCTTCTATCCTTCCAGCAGATGATCCCTGGATAATTTGTGCAGCAAATCCTCTTTAATCTGTAATCTGGGGTACTGCATGAAGGGAACCTGCCTCTAACCTGCCCCTTCACAGCTCGGGTGGAGGTGGAGAATATCTGACATTCCCCTTTAGGAGGTGTAGTGATCAGTAACTTGGGCATCAGCCGGATTCACTTTGTGAAAACCTTGTTGAATCCCTGCGGTAACTAATGGTTTCTCTCCAACTCATGCAGCAACTCCCCCTCCCTTCCAAAGGCGTCTCCTTCTGGGGATGTCAGGTGGGCCGTTCCTTTTTCTTTGGGAACTGGCTCAAGCCCCCGCGGTGCTTCTGGAGCTGAGTAAAAAAGAGCCAGGTGTCCAGTGCAGCCCGGGGACGAGGAGCTGAGGCTCCCCGCTCTGTCCTGGGTGACTCTGCATACTCTGCGCATCCGGGGGTCGCGGGCTGCGAGGCCGGCCCCCAGCTGGGCACCCCGACCCACTTCGCGCCGGCACCGCTAGCAGCTGAGGTACAGGCCCCGCCCCGGGGCCGACTCGCTCCGCCCCCGCCGCCGGGCCCCTCCCGCAGCGGTCCGCACTCGGGGAGGCGGGAGGGTGACGGCGGTGCTGCGAGGTCGGCGCGCAGCTCCGCCGCGGGTCGCTCGGGCGCTGTCCAGGCGGAGCCGGCCCCGCCCGGGCTGCAGCCATGGTAAGGCAGGCAGGCAGGCGGGCGGGCGCGGGGCAGGGCTGGGGTGCGCAGGGCCGGTCGCTCCCGGGCGGCTGCAAGGGGACCCGCGGCACCGCAGCCGCGGCTGTGCAGGGTGGGAGGCGCCGTCGCCGGCCCCGGGCACAGGCTGGCACTGCTGCCGGGCGGCGGTGCGTCGCTGCTCCCAAGTTTTTCCCTCTGAGCAGCCACGGAGTGGGCGCCAACCCCTGGGTGATGCCTGCGCTCTAGGACGAAGGGGTGGGTCCGTGCTGAGGGAGGTGCCCGCTGGTGGAGACGCGCTTGTTGGGCTGGGGAAGGCGCATCAGTAATAAGCGGAGGTGAGGGTCCCCATCCTCGCCTGGGTCAGCTTTTACCTGAGTAACCCCTCCTCACCCACCTACCCTGGGCACAGGGGCCAGTACCAACTTCATTTGGAAAACGCAGAGGAGGCCCACAAACACTGCCTGCCTCACCAGGAGGGATGGTAAGACGCTTGGCCCCTCCTTCCCTCAGCCTGACAAGGGGCAGTCCCTGGCCCTTTCCCAAAGGGACCCCAGAGAGGGGGAGGCCCAGCCCACCATCCTGCCCGGTGGGATTAGCTATATCCTTCTGCCCCTGGGACAGGAACCATGGGAAAGCTTCCTCCTGCTGCATCTACCCGCTCCCTCCCCACCAGCCAGGTCCCTCTGCAGTGTGTGGGGGTGGGGGCACCCATCCCTGCCACCTGCCTGTAGTGGGAAGAGAAACAGTAACCCCAGCCAGCCTCCCTGGAGGTGCCCAGGTAGGAAGTTTTTGATGCTTGGCTCTGAAGATGTAATCTCTTCTCCTGACATTGTTGCCAGAGCCTGCCACAAATAACGTAAGGGTGTCAGGACCTCTAGGCCACACACCGTCCTCTCCTCTCAGTCTGGAAGCCCCACAGCCTTTGCCCTCTGCATTGGGGGACACAAACTGTTTACAGCAGGGGGGGATCACTGACCAGCCTGTGGGGCGGGATGTTGGCTGTGGGCAGCCTCCAGAAGGGAGCTCCCTGGGCCCCCTGGGATCAGAAGCTTTCAGGTTTGGTAGGGCCAACCTTTTGGGCTCTTGTCTCTCAAGCTGTGTCCAGGCAGAGGCCCAAGCCTTGGCCAGGAAGTCTTGGTGACCCTGTGACCTTCCCCCAACGGGGGTTCCTGAGAGAGGCCTGTCCTTATTCCTTTCCCCCACTTCTCCCCACATGGTGGATGGATGGACTGATTGTTCTAGGGATGGAAGCCTAGGGAAGCACTGATTGTCCCCAGTGCCAAGCCCAGCAGGGGCTAGAGGGGCTTTTTCTGCCACACACTAACTTCAGTTCAGCTGAGGTCTTGGTGCTTTCGGCTTGTCCGAGGCCACACTGTTCTTCTCTAATTAAAGACACACCCCCCTCCACCCCAACCACCATCACCAAAGTCCCCATCCTCAGGCCCCTGCCCTCAAGCCAGCCAAGTTCTTAGGCTGACTGGTTCAGATCAGACTCCTCTATGAGGGTCTCTTTGTCAAAGGAGGTCAGTGTCCTAGCTGCTTTGGGAATCAGTGGGGGAGACCCCCCCAACCCAGCTATGCCAGGGGGTTTAAATTTACATGTGAAAAGAATGACAGGCCAACATTAATGACCATCCTGTGACTTGGGATGCACCTTCTCTTCTCAGGTTCAAAGCAGCTTAAGGTATCTATCATCTGGGAGTGCTTTCTCTCCCCAGCCTCGCTGGGAGGCAAGGAAGGGCCATTCACAACTGAACATTAAGGTCCTCAAATTAAGACACTATCCAGACTCACAAAAGATGTTTCCACCCAACCAGAAACAGTGGACCCCTGACCCCTAGTTGAGTGCACACTTCCAACCAGGCCCCTTAATTTATCTCCCACCTAAATGGCAGCTCTGAAGCTTCTGGGCTGCCAGCCTCCCATTGCCTTGAACCCGTGCTCCTCAGAGACCAAGTGCTAACAGCTCCCCTGTTGACACTATGGAAGCCATGGAGTGATCTAATTGATACAGGTTGCTATAAGTCAGAGGTCAGGTGTCCTAGGGTAAGGGGAGTCCCTGGAGCAAAGTCTTCTCTGTGGCTGATGCTCCCTGCAGGGAAATTTAGGAGCAGATTTCTGAAACAGTGACGTTCCTCACAGGAAAAAAAAAAAAAAACAAATGAACACTTGGGAAGAAGTGTGGGACCATTCCCACAAAAACCTATATGGGGGAGTATAGGACATCTCACCTACTCCAGCACTGCTTAAAGTTAAGGTGAAAGAGAGACTGGGGGATTGAAATCCTTTGGGAATGGGTATCCTAGGTGGCTGTCCTCATGTGCTGATGGGCCAGGTCACTTGGGGATAGCTCATAGTCCTCATACAGGCCACAGTGTCCTTGGGGGTTAACAGGAGAGGTCAAATGGATCAAAAGCCTGGCTGCAAACAGACATTGGGAGGTTGGTGCTGTGCCCACCAGGGTAGGCAGCAGGCAGGCGTCATGGGACAGCCAATCAGAGGAGGAGGGGACTGCAGAGGAACCAAGTGATCCTGCTGCAGCTGAGCTGTCCTTGGAGGGTGGGAGCCAAGGGAAGGGGAGGAGAAGAGGGGTGGGGAAGGACATTCCACAGGCTTTTTTGGCCCCTGCCAGAGACAGAAGGGGGTCAAAGAGAAAGGGAAAGGAGCAAGCCAGGAAGCCAGACAACAACAGCATCAAAACAAGGCTGTTTCTGTGTGTGAGGAACTTTGCCTGGGAGATAAAATTAGACCTAGAGCTTTCTGACAGGGAGTCTGAAGCGTGGGACATGGACCGTTCACTGGGATGGCAAGGGAATTCTGTCCCTGAGGACAGGACTGAAGCTGGGGTAAGGTGCTGCTCTGGGAGATGGGTGGACGTGACCTGTCTTCCCCCTGCCTTGGCTGGGATTGGGGCTCAAAGTCAGAAAATGATTTGGTCACTGGCAGAGCTGGGAGTGGGGATGGACAGGCAGGAGGTGAGGACCCTGGTGTCCTGACTCCTTGTCTAGAGCCCCTGTGGCCCCCTCCATGCGGATGAGCAGCCAGGGCTGGCAGAGATGAGGATGGTGCTGGGTTCCCGGAGGCTCTGCTGGAAGATCATGGGGGCTAGGGATCTTCATTAGGGCCTTCCTTTCTCCCTTCCCTGCCCCTCCACTCAGTGCTCCTGGGAAACCAGGTGAAGCACAGCTTTCTCTCTCCCACCCTTGTCCTGACCCCCAGACCAACGGCTGGGTCATTGTGGATTTGTGCAGAGAGGCAGGATTTCCTGGAATTCCCCAGACTTATTAGCTGCCAGACAACACGTCGTGCTGCCCCCAGTCCCACCCCTTCTCTGTTGCCATGTAATTAATTGTCTAAGCTGGGACACTTTTGAGAGTGAAAGGGCACAATTAATCATGATGCCAGGACAGCAGGCATAGACTGGGATGTATGGTCACCACTGGACCTCACAAATGTCATAGGTGAGAAAAGCCTTGGGTTAGGCTTGCCTCAGGATAGCCTCTTCTGGTCACCCAGCCTCCATCTGCTGGTTCTAGTTTTGGGCTAAGGGGCCTCTTTTCCTCCCCTCTGTCCAGGCGAGCACTGGAGACTATGGCTATAAGCAGGTGTGAAGACTTCAGAGGCAACAGCCTGGCAGTAGCTCCTAGCAGACTTTTCCCTCTAACCTCCCTATCTCAACCTCTTCCCTCTGGCATACACCTGGCAGTATGCATATCTGCCTCCCTCAATTCTTCCCTTTGCAGGAAGACTGTGGCTATCTTATCTTCCTCACTCTAGCTGGGACTCCACAGTGGTCTGGGGTAGTCCCCACTGGCTTGGCTAACCCTCAGAGAGTGAGTCAGCCTCTGCAGCCGGCCCTTGTCCATTGTCTGGGGGTGGCACGTGGGTATTGTGAGGCAGAGCTGAGCCCAGCACTGCCAGGCACCCCACGAAGGAGGCTGACCCCCAAAGGAGAGGAGAATCTTTAGGGTCTAGAGCTGACAATGAGAGTTGGGGGAAACAGTTCCTCTTCTGAGCTGAGGATGGGGTAGAACAGGCTTCTACAGAGGAGTCAGTCCATTCTCTGCCTTCCACTCCCTGTGGGTCATGGTTCAGGCCAGGCCCTCTCGTGCACTGCCGGCTCTGGGCAGAGGGGGTAAGGAGACAACTCAGGGTGCTTCCCCTTATATGTCCCTCACAGTTGGGGGCTGTCAGAAGCTCTGGAGGCCCAGCCTTTCCCAGGCTCTTCCATCCTCCCTCACCTGGTCTCTCCCAGCTGCCTCCCACCCACAGTCAGCATCCACTGGCGGGTTTACTCTTCTCTCCCAGGGCCCAGGGTCAGATTTGGGTGTGGCTCAGTGTCTGGAGTAAGGGGTAGGATCAACTATACTGAGCGCTGGGCAGTGAACCCTGGGAATTGAGCACCAGCAGTAGAATCTGTACCCCAGTCCCCCAGCTCACCAGTAGTGACAGGAGGTACAGAACCCCCTGCTGGTTGACCTGCCTGATGCAGTCAGCTTTCTTCTCCCCTGCCTACTTCCCTCATGTCCCTGCCCCATTCTGATGCACTGTACTCTCCTTTTGGGTTTAATGCCTCTGTCTGCTCTATCTTAATCAGTCTGGCCTTACTTCCTGGCCTGAGACAGTCCCTGGCTAGGCCAGAACCCCAGGAAAGGCAGCCTCAAAAAACATGCTGCTGAGAAGGAGACCAGAACTGGAGTTCCTTAGTTCCCAAGAGCAGTTGCCAGGGCTCTGGGGGTGCCCAGGGCTCTTCCTGGACCCTGGGACCCTTCCTGGCATATTGGATTGGGGAGGCTTGTGAGCAGGTGAGGGAGGGATGGTGAGCACTTCCTCTGTCTTGGCTGCAGTTTCTTTTTCTTCTAACCACAAGTGCTTTCCCTTTCCCTCTTGCCTTCTCCTGTCTTCTGTCTCCTTCCTCATTCTTCCCTTCCGGCTCCCTTCCCGGCACCACCCATCTATTCTACCCACCCCGCTTCCCCCAGATCAAGCGTTTCCTGGAGGACACCACGGATGATGGAGAACTGAGCAAGTTCGTGAAGGATTTCTCAGGAAATGCGAGCTGCCACCCACCAGAGGCTAAGACCTGGGCATCCAGGCCCCAAGTCCCGGAGCCAAGGCCCCAGGCCCCGGACCTCTATGATGATGACCTGGAGTTCAGACCCCCCTCGCGGCCCCAGTCCTCTGACAACCAGCAGTACTTCTGTGCCCCAGCCCCTCTCAGCCCATCTGCCAGGCCCCGCAGCCCATGGGGCAAGCTTGATCCCTATGATTCCTCTGAGGTAGAGCCTCCAGCCCTGCCTTTGCCTTTCAGTGGGCTGCTGCAGGAAGACCGGGGGCAGGGAGCAGAGTGTGTGTGTGTGTGTGTGTGTGTGTGTGTGTGTGTGTGTTTGTGTGTGTGTGTATCTGGGACCTATTTCAGTCCTGTGTCAGCCCTAGCTCCAAGATATCTGCCCCCAAGGGCACTGGAAATTTGCAGTTTCAGCAAGGGCAGGAGGCCCAGCTGGTGGCCTCAGATGGGAACTCACAGAAGTCTGGCACTGCTTTTTTAAGGCTGGGGCAAAGGCCTGAAAGGGAGAGAAGATTGGCGCTGGGTGCCGGGGCCCCTTTGGCTCCTCACCGTGATGCATTCTGCCTTCCTGTCTACTAGGATGACAAGGAGTATGTGGGCTTTGCAACCCTCCCCAACCAAGTCCACCGAAAGTCCGTGAAGAAAGGCTTTGACTTTACCCTCATGGTGGCAGGTAAAAAAGGGGCAGGGCTGGGTTGGGCAGGGTGTGTTTCAGGTGGGGATGGTGTGTGTGTCCGTGAGTGGGAAGGGAGTATAGGTCGCAGGGAGCAAGCAGCGAGTGGCTGTACTGTTTTGCAAAACAGCCAGGAGTCATTGGCCTGTGAGAGTGTATGTATGTGGGGTGGGGTGGGGGTGGGGGTTCGAATTGGTTGCAAAGAGCATCTGACCAACAGTTTCCTAGCATTTGCCTCTTTTTGTGTGACCCTGGGCAATCTCTTGCTCCCCCAAGCCAATCTCTGTGCTTCCTCCCAGCTCTAAAATGCTATAGTTTGGTTAGTCTAGTTCCAATTAGATAAGAAAGCAGTCCCCCCTAAACCTTGATCCAGTGGAGTTGCTTTTTGGCTATAGATCTTACCTTCTGATTTGGTGCCTCTGTCCTCTCTCCTCTCAGGAGAGTCTGGCCTGGGCAAATCCACACTTGTCAATAGCCTCTTCCTCACTGATCTGTACCGGGACCGGAAACTTCTTGGTGCTGAAGGTAAGGAAAGGAGAGGACAATCAGGCAGACTTGCCTTGGGAAATTAAACTCACTCCAGAGTCTGGGGGATGGGGCTCTCCCCCACATGCAGGAAACCATGGCCTCCTAGAGAGACTGACAGCAGCTCTCCATAGGCCTAACTGCCTGGCAGCCCACCAGCCAGCTCCCTAAAGATTTGGGTGCTGAAGCAGGGCAGAGACCAGAGTCTTGCTCTCTGAATGAGTCTCTGACCCCCAAGGATTCCAGGAATCCAAGAAAAAAACCGGGAGCAGAGAAGAGGCTGGGGCCAGAGCCAACAGCCACCGGCATTTCCTGTGTTGGGAAATGTACTCCTTGCTGGTTCCCAGAGAACAGTCCCCCAGACAGCTTGGGAGTGGAGAAGGGGGCAGTGTGGATTAGGCAGTCTGAGCAACAAGGCTGGTTGGGGTGGGCGGTTCATCCTGACTGGGCAGGTCCCTGCCCTTGCCCTGGCCTCAGTTTCCCCTTTCTCCAGAGAGGATCATGCAAACTGTGGAGATCACTAAGCATGCAGTGGACATAGAAGAGAAGGGTGTGAGGCTGCGGCTCACCATTGTGGACACACCAGGTTTTGGGGATGCAGTCAACAACACAGAGTGGTATGTCTGAGTAAGCACAATCCCAGCTGCCCCTGAGCCACCCTTCTCCATACACAGGTACACACGTAGGCCCAGATATATCCATACTTATCAGGAGGAAGCGGTCTATGACCTTGAGCATGTGACTTCCCTTACTGGACAGCCATCTCCTCCTTTATAAAGTAAGAGGGAAAGGATTGGAATAGATGATTTTTAATGTTCCTTCCAATTCTGCCCTATGATTCTATAATGGGGTAGGGACATAAGAAAGAAGAGGCTGAGGCGGAAGTATCACTTGAGGCCAGGAGTTCAAGGCCAGCCTGGGCAACATAGTAAGATCCCATCTCTACAAAAAGTTTTAAAAATTAGCTGGGCATGGTGGCATAGGCCTGTAGTCTCAGCTACTGGGGAGGGTGAGGCAGGAGAATCACTTGAGCTCAGGAGGTTGAGGCTGCAGTGAGCCATGATTGCACTACTGCACTATAGCCTAGAAGACAAAGCGAAACCTTCCAAAAAAAAAAAAAAAAAGATAAGAAAGAAGAGCCTTAAAAACAAACACATGTGAAGTGTGAAAACATGTAGCACAGAGTTGATTACATAGTAGATGCCGAATAAACTGTCACCCTTTTTCCTTTCACTAGCAACATTTTAGGTGCCGCACACAATCTTGTTGAAGGGCTGGGCATGTATGGAGGGAGGGTAAAGGTGAGGAAGAATAGGCAAAAGGGAAAAATGGTGGAACTTTGTTTAAACTCCAGGCACCCTCTAGGCTACCTGCCGAAAGAAAAGCTGGATTTACCACAACCCCCTATCATTCGGGCTTTTTTATTTTTCAGGCACTGGAGGGACCCCCCTCCAGCTAATGGTCAGTAGGTCTGACCGTTACCTCCAGCTTAGGTAATGGTCAGACCTAAGTGAGTAGATGAAGAGGGAAATGGATGAGATTGACAGGAGAAAAGGTGGTAGCTTTGATGAAGAAGTTAGGCAGGCAGTGCTAAGAGCCCTAGACAGAGAGTTCAAATCTTGATTGGCATTTAGTAACTTCATGATCTTGAGCAAATGATCTCCTTCAATCAATTTACCTACTGTCTCTTACCTTCCATAATACTAATAATTTCATTTGCCAGGCACCTCACAGTTTAAAGTGTACCTCCATATATATTCATTTTGTCAGACACTTATTTAATTAAAATATACCAGCCCTTACCACCTCTCCAATTGATTTGAACATCACCCAACATGATGCATGCGCACTGAAAAGTGTAAAGGGCTATTTACAGCATACTCAGGAATTTTAACAATGGTAATTGCAGGACCAGCAACATAATTTGTTGGGCCCAGTGCAAATGAAAATGTAGGGCCCCGTGTTCAAAATTTTTAAGAATTTCAACATGGCAACGGCAGAGCATCAAATCAGCTAGAATGTGAGCACATACTAGATGTCCAGCCTGTGGTGGACATTTTAAGGGATTCAGAACAAGCATGAATGATTCCTATCCCTGAGAGGCTTATAGTCAAGTGGCAACAGGGAAGCAGGGGAGGTGGGGGCAGTTCTCTAACATGTTTCAATCAGATAGCAACTTAAATTAGTAAATGGGTCAGGCAATGTGTAGTGGCAAGTGCACTGAGCTGTAGGGGTTCAGGTGGGTAGAGAATTTACTAGCTAAATGACCTACAGAAAGTCCTTTTCCTTTCCCTCTCCTTCCTCCTTTCTTTTTTTTTTTTTTTTGAGACTGGTTCTCACTCTGTTGCCCAGGCTAGAGTGCAGTGGCCTGATCAACCACCTCCCGGGGCTCCCCGGGCTCAGGTTATCTTCCCACCTCAACCTCCCAAGTAGCTGGTACTACAGGTGTATGCCACCACACCAAGCTAACTTTTTTGTATTTTTTGTAGAGATGGGGGTCTCGCTATGTTGCCCAGTCTGGTCTTGAACTCCTGGGCTCAAGTGATCAGCCTACCTTGGCCTCCTAAAGTGCTAGGATTACAGGCGTGAACTACCACACCTGGCCTGGAGCAAATCTGTTAGCTGCTCTGGATTTAGTTTCTTCATGTATGAAATGAGAGTGATGATGATCATAATGCATAATGTCCACCTGTCAGGGCAGTGAGGATTAAACAAGATAATAGAAGAGCAAAGGATATGAAAATTGAGGTTCTTGGGGAAATTTATTTATTTATTTGTTTTGCTTTGTAGTGAAGAGAAGGGGAGAGCAGTGTGTATTGGTATAGTCAAAGGAGACTTCGTGGAAGAGATGGTTCTTAGGGCCTTGAAGGATGGAGTGGGTTTGGAGAGGTAGAGGAAAGGGTAGAAACACATGAGCAAAGAGGCTCTGAGGTTACACTGGAAACCTGACTTAGGGTTTCCCTGGCTTCCAGTTGGTATTTGCCTGCAGCCACCTTGCTATTCTTTTTTTCTTCTTCTTCTTCTTTTTTTTTTTTTTTTTGTGACAGTCTGGCTCCATCACCCAGGCTGGAGTGGTATGATCTTGGCTCACTGCAACCTCTGCCTCCTGGGTTCAAGTGATTCTCCTGCCTCGGACTCCTGAGTAGCTGGGACTACTCAGGTGCACACCACCACGCCCAGCTAATTTTTGTATTTTTAGTGGAGACAGGGTTTCACCATGTTGGTCAGGGTGGTCTCAAACTCCTGACCTTAAGTGATCCACCCGCCTCGGCCTCCCAAAGTGTTGGGATTACAGGGGTAAGCCACCGTGCCCAGCCTATTCTTACTGCTTTGTTTGATCACCTGGGCCCTTTCCCTCTCATCAAGCTAGTATTTATTAAACTTGCCTGAGTACTCAGTCTAATTTTGTATCAGGACATGTGAGATACACCCCACCCCATTCAGGAATTTCTCTAAAGATTTAGTAAAGCAAGCCAGGGAATAACAGTGTCTTAAAAACACTGCTCAGGGAGTGGGCTACTTCTCTGTAGTCCCAGAGCTCACTAGGTGGCTCCCACTCTCACAGTTTCTCTGCTTGTCTGTCCCTGCCCCAGCTGGAAGCCTGTGGCAGAATACATTGATCAGCAGTTTGAGCAGTATTTCCGAGACGAGAGTGGCCTGAACCGAAAGAACATCCAAGACAACAGGGTGCACTGCTGCCTGTACTTCATCTCACCCTTCGGCCATGGGTATGGTCCAAGCCTGAGGCTCCTGGCACCACCGGGTGCTGTCAAGGGAACAGGCCAAGAGCACCAGGGGCAGGGCTGCCACTAGCAGGTGGTCACAGGTTCCTGTTCCCCAGGCTCCGGCCATTGGATGTTGAATTCATGAAGGCCCTGCATCAGCGGGTCAACATCGTGCCTATCCTGGCTAAGGCAGACACACTGACACCTCCCGAAGTGGACCACAAGAAACGCAAAGTGAGGGAAGCTGGTGGTGGGAGGGGATCAGGTGGGCTTCTAGAAAGGATGTGGTCCCCAGAACTGTGGGCCCCTCATCTGTTTGTCAGATCCGGGAGGAGATTGAGCATTTTGGAATCAAGATCTATCAATTCCCAGACTGTGACTCTGATGAGGATGAGGACTTCAAATTGCAGGACCAAGCCCTAAAGGTGGGGCCACTCTAGGGCATCCCATTCCTATCTTATTTCTTCCGGGTAGAAAAAGGGAGTAGAATTCTATATTCAGGCTATCAGGGTGGGAAAGGACCCTGGCTTCCTAGAATGAAGCAGAGAAGATGACGATACAGGTGGAAAGAAAGAGGTGAGAACAGAGGGTGCTGACAGGCACCCCTAACCTCTTCCAGGAAAGCATCCCATTTGCAGTAATTGGCAGCAACACTGTAGTAGAGGCCAGAGGGCGGCGAGTTCGGGGTCGACTCTACCCCTGGGGCATCGTGGAAGGTAAAGCACTGAGCCTGTGACCAGGGTATCTCCTTGCCCTCAGTGGCTCTCCCCTACCTATGCCTCTGGCTGACCCCTAGCCTTGCTATGCAGTGGAAAACCCAGGGCACTGCGACTTTGTGAAGCTGAGGACAATGCTGGTACGTACCCACATGCAGGACCTGAAGGATGTGACACGGGAGACACATTATGAGAACTACCGGGCACAGTGCATCCAGAGCATGACCCGCCTGGTGGTGAAGGAACGGAATCGCAAGTATGACCAGAAGCCAGGACAAAGCTGGCAGGGGGAGATCCCAAGCCTAGCCTTGGGTGAGACCAAGCCCTACTTTTGTTCTTCTATAGGCCCTGGGCTCAATCTAAGCGGGTGCTGGGGTCCTCCTCGCCTTATCAACCCTTTTCTCCCTTTAGCAAACTGACTCGGGAAAGTGGTACCGACTTCCCCATCCCTGCTGTCCCACCAGGGACAGATCCAGAAACTGAGAAGCTTATCCGAGAGAAAGATGAGGAGGTGAGAGCAGTATGGGGTATAGGGGAGGTCTCCTGTTTGATCACCAACGTTGGTATCTCTTTGTTTGGTAATAGAAAGATCCCTGGCTCTGGTGCATATTTGGGTCCTGGATAGGTCAATAGGTGGTTCTGTCCAGAGTCTCCATCACACCTCACGGCTACCAAGGTTCTGGCTTAAGGGATTAGAAATTTGGGGCACTTTCCCAATACTAAAGGACTCTCCAAAAGTCCCCATTTTGATGCCTGTGCCTATTCCAGCTGCGGCGGATGCAGGAGATGCTACACAAAATACAAAAACAGATGAAGGAGAACTATTAACTGGCTTTCAGCCCTGGATATTTAAATCTCCTCCTCTTCTTCCTGTCCATGCCGGCCCCTCCCAGCACCAGCTCTGCTCAGGCCCCTTCAGCTACTGCCACTTCGCCTTACATCCCTGCTGACTGCCCAGAGACTCAGAGGAAATAAAGTTTAATAAATCTGTAGGTGGCTTCTGGTGTCCCTGTGTGTATTTTTATGACCTGGAGATCAAGATCCTGGGACCCAGTTTTGAAAGGCTAATGGTAGAAGATGTTGGTTTCTGGCTTTTAGTAGGGAAGGGAGAGTGGGGAAAACTTTCCACTTCCTTTCCCCTTCTAAGTCCCTGCTTAGAATCCAGCCTGGCTTCTCCATCTTGACGATCATATCTATCATGCCTCTGTTATCTGGGGTCTGGGTCTCTCTCCATCTTTCACACATACAGTACCTTTGGTAATAAAAAGATTCCTACCTGTGGTGCATATTTGGGTCCTGGATAGGTCAACAGGTGGTTCTGTCCAGAGTCTCCCATCACACCTCAGGGCTACCAAGGTCCTGGCTTAAGGGATTAGAAATTTGGGGCACTTCTCCTGGCTAAGGAGAAAGTGAAACCCTGTCTCTACTAAAAATACAAAATAGCCGGGCGTGGTGGCGGGCGCCTGTAGTCCCAGCTACTCGGGAGGCTGAGGCAGGAGAATGGCTGAACCCGGGAGGCGGAGCTTGAAGTGAGCTGAGATGGCGCCACTGCACTCCAGCCTGGGTGACAGGGCGAGACTCCGTCTCAAAAAAAAAAAAGAAAAATAAAAAGAAAAAGAAATTTGGGGCACTTCCCCAATATTAAAGGACTGTCCAAAAGTCCCCCCTGCCCTTTTTTTTTTTGAGGCGGAGTCTCGCTCTGTCGCCCAGGCTGGAGTGCAACGGCGCTATCTCGGCTCACTGCAAGCTCCGTAGCTGGGACTACAAGACTCCGTAGCTGGGACTACAGGCGCCCGCCACCACGCCCGACTAATTTTTTGTATTTTTAGTAGAGACGGGGTTTCACCGTGTTAGCCAGGATGACCTCGATCTCCTGACCTTGAGATCCGCCCGCCTCGGCCCCCCAAGGTGCTGGGATTACAGGCATGAGCCACCGCGCCCGGCCCAAAAGGCCCCATTTTGATGCCTGTGCGTATTCCAGCTGCGGCGGACGCAGTTTTGTATTTGATACCTGCCCTTGGGAAAACACAAGGTATTAACTGCGTGCAACCTCCTGACTTTCTGTTTCCCCTGATCTGGGAAAAGGGATAGGCAGGTTAAGCTCTACACTGTAGAAAGCCTGTGATAGAGCTTTGAACAAATGCTGCAGCCATTGTAATCACCAAACACTATAGTAAGTGCTGGGAATGAATAAAAACACAATCACCGTCCTACAGGAGTTCAGTATTTAATTAAAAAATTTACAGCATCTGCTAGATTGCAGGCTGTTCTAGACCCTGGAGTTCAAGTAGTGCAAAGTTCCTGTCTTCCTGGAACTTACCAACAGTACTGGAGTTTCAACGTTCTATAAACAAAGATGGGTGAGGACATTAGCCCCGGGCTAATTAAAGCGCTCAGGCCCGCTCCAGACCTGAGAATATCAGCTGAATCTGAATCAACTGTTCTCCATTTCTGTCGGTTGGTGGTATCGCGGGGCCACGGCGACCTCCAGCGGCCACCCTCCGTCTTGTGGTCTGTTCTGGGTCCCCGGGAAGGAAAGGGAGGGGCGATAAGCCGGGTCCTTGGGAGCGTCCTGGTCTCCCTTCGCTTTACAGACTAGGAGGCCGCAGCTAGCTGGCAGTCTCAGATCCAGGTTTCCCATCTCTGGGATGAGAGGAGAGTTCTTCACTCAGGACTGCCAGCGCAATGCAGGTCGTGAAGAACTGCAGGGTCGTTTATCGATACAAAGTGAGTGTTGGAGGAACCCATCAAGACACAGGAAGGGGGAAATCCTAGCGCCGCCAGTCGGAGATGACCAAGACTGAACCTCAGGCCCAGCCCTCCCTTCTCTCTTAGCCTGCAGGTTTTTCTCCTATTCTGGCGTTGGGACCGGATGACAGCTGCGAAACCAAAACGGGAATGGATAAACTGAGGTGCCACTGGGGACCTGTTTCAGAAGTACCTCCTGGGCGGGGCCATCACCGGAAGTGGCTTTAGGCATGTAACCTACAATGCCCGCCTCTAATTGCGCTACCAGTAGGCGACGAGCCGCCTCCACTTCCGGTCCCCAGAGCAGTGGCCAGCAGCCCCCTCTTTACTGCTCTCCTATTGGCTGCCGCAAGGACGCGCTGTGATTTCCCATTGGTCGCGTCTCCCCTCCGGCGCCGCGCCTCCTTCCTCCAGGTATAGTCTCGTCTTTAGGCATCCGATTGGCTAAAGGCTGGGAGGGCGTTTGCCCGACTCGACCAATGAGTGGGGTCGAGAGTGAGGGCGGTGGCTGCGTGATGGGGGCAGGGCGGGACTTGGCGTGGCCATTGGCCAGGGCGGGTACAGGCTAGAGATATGATTGGTTCAGGAGAGGGGCACTGTGGTGGGGTCGGGACTGCGCGGCCTCAGCAGCTGCGGGAGACGGAAGTGGCAAGAGCGCGGCCTCAGAGGGTCGGGCGGACGCCGCCTGGGTGAGTCACCGTGCCCCCTGCACTGCAAGCCTGGGAACCGCAACGACCGCGTCTTGCCCGGCTCCGCCCTGGCCCCCACCGGCTTTCCTGAGTCCCGCCTTCTGTCATTTGGGGCTCCGCCTCCCAGTCTTTAGGCTCCGCCCCTAGAACCTGGGCACCTGGGCTCCCCTGCCAACCTGGCCCGCCCCCTGGGACCAGATCCCCTAGGTCTGAAAACCCTGGGCCTCCCAGGCCTGATCCTTGTCCCTCCTTCCCTCCCTTCCTTCCCTGGGGCTGCTGCCAGTGGGCGGTGAGGCAGCACCTCTGGCTTGCCTCTTGCCGGTTCCCCCATGAGGGAGAATGGCCTAGGGAAGAGGATACTGTGAACAGGGAGGTGGGCAGTACCACAGATGGAGGCTTTTATCCCCGCAGCCTCCCGCAGGGCTCTGCTGCACTGCCTGAGGAAAGCAGGCATGAAGGAAAGTGTCAGTGAAACCTAGGCCTGGCTCCCTAAGTGAGCCTAGGAGGCCCTATCCTGAAATCCCTGTTACTTGGGCTCATTGGACAGATGCTGACTCCAAGGCCTGGATTGGCCTGATTCTGTCCCTGTTGTGTGGCCTCCTCTCCATAACCTCCACCCCACTTGGTGTCAAATACACTCAGGAGGACCTGTGCAGCCCTGCTGCCCTCTGATCACAGGTTGTGGTCCCCTCCCTCTTGTCCCACTCTGGACTCTGCCCCCAGTAAACAGGTCAGGTGGGTACTACTCCCAGACTCAGAGACTGGCAAAACATTCCTGTGGATTCATGCTCCTTCAACTACTGCCACTTCACCCCAAGAGTCAGGGCCTAAAATGAGCCCCAGTTGGGCAGCCTGTGTCTCTTCATAGTTGGCAGTTCTGCTCCCTGAGAAAGAAGTGTTCTCCCTCTGCGTCTGGAAATCAGGACTCCTGAATTCTGCTGAATAATCTTGGATGACACTCATTCCTGTTTCAGAACTTCGTGGCTGACTTCATGCCCTGCAGGATCACTTGTTGCTTTCTCCTCATGTAGCTCCCATTGCCTCTCTCTGGCATGGTGACTTGTGGAGAGACTGGAGTCTCTGTGAGGGAGAAGAATAAGAGTTGTAGAGAAGGTCAGGGGTAGATGTGTGTCATTTGTTGATTCTATGGTAATGTTAATGGGGTCCTTTACTTTTATGTTCCTCTGTCTCCTTACAGTGAGAAGCAGGCAGCCAGTACCCTTGCCACGGTAGAATGGTGAGTACCCTGTCTTTCCTCAGGCCATTGTGTTTTCTGTAATCCATGTGTCTTTCTCTGTGAAGCTGCCCCACCTGTCCTAGACCTTGAGCTCCAGGCTACCCTGTTCAGCTCCTAAACATGTTCATCTGCCCTGGAGATAAATTAGGGTTTCTTTAGATTGCAAAACATCAGCCAGTATACAGCACTGGGACTGGAAGCTTCTAGAAATCATTTTCTGCATGTGCTAGGCCCCACACTTTCCTCCTACTCCCTACCCACCACTGGTTCTATTAACCCTTCATAACAGCCCTCTTCTTGCTTTTCTTGGGTCCCCGGTAGAATCTCTGTGTTCTGGTCTGAAAAGCTGGGCCTTCTTTATCTCAAGATCTTTGGACTTCTGGTGGGTCCTTTGAATATTGTGGATGCTATATCAGGAGTGACTCCACCAAAACTGTGGGGCTTCTCTAGTTCCAGGGTGCTGCTGTTAAGCCACTACAGGTGACAGCTGATTGAATATCTATCAGGATAGCATCTTCAGGGTGCCCAGAATATCACCAGAGGTGGTTTACAATGATCCTATTAATTTTCCATTAACTGTAACAGCCCTTCTCTCACCCCAAGTCCAGGGAAGCCCTTAACTCCTAAGAGCTAGGAGGAGGCAGTGAGATGGGAAAGGCCTAGAGAGCTGTAGGCCCTGGCCCAGACCAGGCCCTTAACCTGGTAGTATCTCTTCGGTGTCTTTTAGGTGTCCCTTGTGCTTAGGGGCAGGTTAAAGAATTCAGTAGATGAGAGGATTTCCTCCTTCCCTCCCTTCCTTCCATAGACATGTGGATTTGGTGTGTGCACTATTGGTTCAGTCTCTTCTCAGAAAGCCTGCTGGTTTTGGCCCCCACCAACAGATAGCTCCTCTTTTTCTCTTCTGGGCTACCCTGAAAAGAGCATGGGCTTCACAGTCAGCTTCATCTAATTTCAAATCCTAGCACCACCACTTAGTTAAATTACATACTTTCTCTCTAAGCTTGAGTCTCACGAGTAAGACAGGATAAGGTTTACTTCTTGGGGCTTGAAAAGTTTTACTGAGATAATGTTAGAAACTGCCTGGCTCATTGTAGATGCTTAATAAAATGTCAGGTTTTCTTTTATTACTCCCTTCTCCCCCAAACAAGACAAAAGCCCTGGTGTCTGAAAGTTACAAGGTGCAGGAAGTTTGGGGTTCCAGCCACCTCCCTCTGTGACTCTTGGTGACATTTTGAGCCCCTTATTCCTGGTCCTTATTCCTTGGCCCTCTACCCAACTCTCTCTACTCCGCTGCTCCTGGGTTTCAAGTTTCGTTTTTTTGTATAGCTTCTGTGGTCGATACTTCTAGCTCTTCACTTTCCCAGACTAAGAAATCCTTTCTCCTCCAAGAAGGGCTTTCTTACCCAGAGATCAGAATGTGAAACAAGGGAGAGATGGAGCTGAAGGAGTAGGGTTGGGTAGGGGCGTTGGAATAAAAAGCTCATTTCCCTTTCCAGGAGCGTGGAATGACTAACCTGGCACCATTCTAAGGGGAAAGAAAGGTTTAACGAAGTCACGGGATTGAAGGACCCTGATGGGCAGGGGCATGGTGGGTAGTGGTTTTGGAGGGAAAGGAGGAAGCAAATGGGGTGCGGGTAGGTGAGCTCCACCTTGGGATCCAGAGCAGGCGTCGGGGGAACTTAGGGGAGGGGGCGCGGGGATGGGTTTGTAAGAGGGCATGGGGTGGCTCACCTTAGAAGAAGGGAAATGAGAAGATGTGGGCGGTCCCGTAGCCCAGATTCCTGAAAGCTCCTAAAGGTCCCTGGAGTAGGGTACGCCCTCCTACGAGGCCCAGGGTCCGCGGGGAGGGAGGAGGCTGGGCTTGTGGGCGGGGCCCGCGGAGCCGCCCCGCCTCTACCTCCGCCTTCCCGCCGCGGTCCCGGGCTCTCCCCTCGCCTGGCTCCCCTCCCTTCTGCACTCGTGCGGGAGGGCGGAGCTGGGCCCGCTCCATTGTGGAGAGGAGGGGAGAGGCGCGCGGGAGCCGCGCGGAGGCCCGGCCACCAGCGCCCTAGCCTCTTGGCCGCCGCGGCTGCACCTGGCGAGCCCCGCAGCCGGGATGCGGCGGGCGCCCGGGGCTGGCGGGCAGCGCAGCGGCTCCGGGGACATGTGCGCTGGCCCAGACCGCCCGCGACCATGAGCCTGACCGCCCGCGTCTCCTGCTCCATGCTTAGCTGCTTCGTAAGTGCCCACCCTGCCTTTGGGGGCCTAGGAGGCACCCGCAGCCCCGCCCAGGGTCAGCCCTCGATTTCAGCCCATCCCCCTTCCCGAGGCCCCTGGCCCGGCCCCGAACGTTTGGGGGGCAGGGAAGGTGGGTTAACCCTTTTATTTCTTGGACTTGCTTCAATCTTTGGGTGCCGGAGATGGTCGAAGGCCAGGAATGGAAATTCTGTGGTCCATCCTGGCCCCGCAGCCACTGCCCTTGACTGCAGATCTCTAGGCCCCGCCCTGCAGGGGTACATCCCTTTACCTCCGCCTCTCCCTCTTGGTCCCACCCGCTGAATCCTTGCTTGGGGATGTGGGATGTGGCTAGTAGGCTGAATGGGATGTTAGGAGGTTGGTCGGGGAGCACGGGATGTCTTTGAGCTGGCTTGGGGCTCCAGTCCCTTCCCTCTTCCACCATTCCATCCCTCACCTGGCATGCCAGCCTTTTCTCCTTGACTGTCCCCCAGACAGCCTCTCTTCTCCATCTTCCCTGCCTCTGCAGGGTTCCGTACCTCTGCATCATTCCCGGTCCTCCCCTCCTCCCGCTCTGGCTGATGCTCCTTCCCAGCTTCCCCCATCTGTCCTCTCAGCTGTCCCCCCACCTTCCCCGTGGGTGTCTGCCGGGCCTCCTCTCTCTCTCTCCCCTGGCTGTCCTTGGGTCTCCTGGCTCCTCCCAGGCGCGTGGATCCCCCCGGGTCCCCTCCCTGGTGGTTGGGAGGGGAGTTCCTTTTGCTTGCTGTGGGTATTCCTCAGGAATTCCCCTCTGATTAGCAGGCAGAGCAGGTTACTTGGCAGGTAATGGGGGCTTGTCAGCAATGTGGGTCTAACAAGAAGATAAGCCCAGCTCTCAAACACGTCTTCCTTTTGAAAGCGTCGGTGAAGGCCCTCTAGAGGCGTGGGACTGAATCCCCCCACCCACTCCTCTTTGTCTCCTTCACCCACCAGATTGAAGCTTCAGTGGCTTGTAGGCGCCTGATTTCCCTTCTCTCTGAAACCAGCTGCCATACCTGGCTCCTTTTCCTCAGGACAGCACTTTCCCATCCCCACTCCTGCCTTACCCTTATGCGGGTCTAAGGGAAAGAGTCTTTCTTTTCCTTAGTTTTCTCTCCTCCATTTTTGAAATGTTGGTTCTATAGGAGAGTCCCTCTTTGAAGAGTGCAGATTCCCAATTCCTCCTGGGGCCTCACTCTTTCCTTAGGCTTAATAGGCTGATATGCTCTCCATTTCACCCTTCCCTGTCTCCAACCAAGTCAGATCTCTTTTCCCTTCTCTGGTGACCAGAACCTTTAGAGGTGTGTGTGTGTGGGTATCTGTGGATTTCTTGGTGGGGAGAGGAGCAGAATGAGCCTGATGGGCTAAGTGGAGCTTGGTGACTTAGGACTGTGGCCTTCCTACAGGGTGAGGAGGGGCCCCCCAGCCTGGAGTACATCCAAGCCAAGGATCTGTTCCCCCCCAAGGAACTAGTGAAGGAGGAAGAGAATCTTCAGGTAAGGAGGAGTTGGGGGCCAGGATAGATGGGGCTCCCTGCCCAGTTAAAAAACACCCTCCCTTCTCCCAAAAATCCTCAAGGGCATCTGGTACCAGAGCTCTGGCTTCATGTTCCCTGGTCTCTGGAGGAGGAGGGTTTGTCTGCGCATCCTGGAGCCTTTGGCCGCAGGGAAGGAAAGGCAGCTTTCCTGTACAGCTGTTGCCTGGTGCTGTTACCGTGGAGAGAACTCTCCTCTCTTGCCTTGGCCCACCTTTTCCAGAGGGGATCCCACAGATCAGGGGCTGTAGAAGAGGATAAGGTGGTCACTCACTTCTGGACTGAAGGTTTCTCTGCCCCTTGACAGGTCCCCTTCACAGTGCTGCAGGGTGAGGGAGTAGAGTTCCTGGGCCGGGCAGCCGATGCCCTCATTGCCATCTCTAACTACCGGCTGCATATCAAATTCAAGGACTCTGTCATCAACGTGAGTTTCTGTATTGTTCTCCTACCCCTAAGCTAGAATCCCTATGAAGTTCAAGGTGGGATTGTTCCAAGGCTGTCCTTGATCATGTCATTAAAAAAGTTGGAGGCCGGGCGCAGTGGCTCACGCCTGTAATCCCAGCACTTTGGGAGGCCGAGGCGGGTGGATCACTTGAGGTCAGGAGTTCGAGACCAGCCTGGCCAACATGGTGAAACTGTGTCTCTACTAACAATACAAAAATTAGTCGGGCTTGGTGGTGCGCACCTGTAATCCCACCTACTCGGGGGCTGAGGTACGGGAATCACTTGAACCTGGGAGGTGGAGGTTGCAGTGAGCCGAGATTGTGCCACTGCTGTCCAGCTTGGGTGACAGGGTGAGACTACCTCTCAAAAAAATAAAAAAAAAAAAGTTGGGGATCCCTTCTGTTTCTCTCTGACCTCATGTTTTCCTGCCTCATTTTCCTAGCTCTGTTTCTGGCTCATTCTCCTTTCTCCTCTTCTCTCTTTCCATTATTCTATTACTGGCCCTTCTAAGGAGCACAGTGGCATTGTTGGAAGAACACAGGCTTTGGAGTCAGGCAAACCTGGGCTCTTTTCCTGCGTTGCCACTCACCAGCTGGGTGACCTTGGTCAAGTCACCTAACTGAGGCTTGATTTTTCTCCTCGTAATATGGGCTGAAAGCACCTGCTGTGCAACGTTATTGGGATCATTAATTGGGATCACATATGCAGAGGACTCCGTACAGTTACCAGGTGCTTAACAGACCCTCAGTAAATGTTGGTTTCCTTCCTGCTATTGATACATTAGTGCCTACGCTAGGGTGAGGGTGAGGAGTGGTACCCAGTGGGGAGTCTGAGCTTCAGTTTGCCCTTCCTCTACAGGTCCCCCTCCGGATGATTGACAGTGTGGAGAGCCGTGATATGTTCCAGTTGCACATTTCCTGCAAGGACTCCAAAGTGGTGAGGTGAGAACAACGGAGCCTCACTCAGGTCCCCTGGCCCTAGTCTTGTCCAGTTCTCTGTGCTGCAGGGTTTCTCTGGTGCAAGAGAGGAAAGATCCTGCCTCACTTTCCCCAGTTGGAAGAAAAGGTGAAGACCATGTTCTGGGTTGGGAGGTCAGTTTACTGACCCATAGGATCTTGACCTGAAAAAATGGGGGTAATGCCTAGTTCATGGAGTCATCGTAAGGATTAAGTGAGATAATGTGTATGTGTATGAAAGCACCGAGGACAATATCTGGCACAGAGCACTCATATTATTGTTGGTTTATTTATTTATTCATTTGATATACATGTATTGAGTACCCTACTCAATGCCAGCCTGTTTTAAGCCCTGGGGATACAGCAGGGAACAAATAGACAAAATTTTGCCGCCTCAGAGAGCTTACATTCCAATGAGGAGATACCAACCGTAAGTAATAAGTAAAATTTGTGAAATGATAGTAAGTGTAAAGGAAAAAAATAAAGCAGGGAAAGGGAATAAGGAGTGCTATGAGGGTGAAGATTGTAAAACAATCAGGCTGGGCACGGTGGTTCACGCCTGTAATACCAGCACTTCGGGTGGCCAAGGTGGGAAGATCCCTTCAGCTTAGGAGTTCAAGATCAGCCTGGGCAACATAGCGAGACCCCATCTCTACTAAAAATAGAAAAAATTAGCCAGGTGTGGTGATGCGTGGGGAGATCGCTTCAGCTTAGGAGTTCAAGATCAGCTTGGGCAACAGGACGAGACCCCATCTCTACTAAAAATATAAAAAATTAGCCAGGCGTGGTGATGCATGCCTGTAGTCCCAGCTACTCAAGAGGCTGAGATAGGAGGACCTCTTGAGCCTGAGAAGTCGAGGCTGCAGTGAGCTGTGATTACACCACTGCACTCCAGCCTGGATGACAGAGTGAGACCCTGTCTCAAAAAAACAAAAGTGATCAGAGAAGCTGCACCGAAAAGGTGGCAGTCGAGTCAAGACTTGAAGAAAGTGGCCATGTGGCTATTTGGTGGAAGAGTGTGCCAGAGACAGAGAACGGCAAGTGCAAAGGCCTTGAGGTGGGTGTGTGCCTGCATATTGGGAGACTGGCAGGGAGGCTGGTGTTGTTGGAGTAGAGCACGTGTGGGTGAGGGTAGTGGGTTATATGACCTGAGAACAAAGCCGGGTGTCAGACACTTTGGCTGTCATGAAGACTGGCTTTTACTTTGAGGGAACTGAGAAACCACTGGAGGATTTTGAGCAAAGGAGTGATGTGATCTGATTAATGTTTCATAGAATCACACTGGCTGCTATATTGAGACTAGATGAAAGAGAATGGGGGCAAGAGCAAAAGCAAAAACTGGGAGACTAGTTAGGAAGCTATTGCAGTTACCCAGATGAGAGATCATGGTGGCCTGTCTGAGGTGGTAGCAGCCAAAGCGGTGAGAAGCATTCAGATTCTGGGTGTATTTTGAAGGTGGAGATGAGAAGATTTGCTGACAGATTTGAAGTGAAAGAAAGAGGAATCTGGATGACTCCAAGGTTTATTAAAAGGATACCTACTTTAGAGCCTACCATGTGCTCAGGTCTGTGGGGCATTCAGAAGGAGCATTCACATTGCCCTTCCCTTCAAGGAGGCTAAACTCTAGCTGCTGGAAGAAGATTTAACATGTGGCAATATGCTATGGGAAAATGTGTTGCTTAGTACTCCAAGTAGGCCAGGCACAGTGGCACATACCTGTAATCCTAGTACTTTGGGAGGCCGAGGGAGGAGGATCGCTTGAGCCCAGGAGTTCAAGATCAGCCTGGACAACATAGAGAGACCCTGTCTCTATGAAGAATTTAAAAAGTTAGCCAGACGTGGTGGTGCACAATTATGGTCTCAGCTACTCAGGGGACTGATTTGTGAGGATTGCCTGAGCCCAGGAGGTCGAGGCTGCAGGGAGCTGTGATCGTGCCACTACACTCCAGCCTGGGTGACAGAGCAAGAGCAAGACCCTCTCTCAAAAAAAAAAAAAAAGGTATATATATATATTCCAAGCACATTAAGAATCAAGAGAGGAAGGAGTTTCTGGAATAGAGTAGGCTGGGAAGGCTTCAAGGAAGAGGTGAGACTGAAACTATCTTCAAAGCATCAGTAGGATGTGGCTAGGCAGAGAGGAGACATTATCAAGCAGAAGATAAACCAAGGAGATGGGAAGGATGTGAGCAGAACTTCCCGCCTGAAGCAGAAGGTTTGAGTTAGGGAGTCATGGGAGATAACACTGGTCCATTAGGGTAGGGACAAGGAGTGCAGACGTTCAGGGCCACATGGTAGCATTTAGATTTGATACGAGAAACAGTAGCGCCCCATTCGAGAGGATAAGTATGCCTCAAACACAGGAGTTCTTGGGAAGAGAATTATCACAAGAGACAACTTCTGTTGGGTGTTGGCCAGTGTCCCTCGTCCCCCCACCCTGGGTCCCCACTGCTTTACCTCTTGCTTTGCAGCCTTCTCTCCTCACAGCCTTCCTGTGGCTGTGTTTTTGGCCCTGATAGCCCCATGGCACAACTGCACTTTGCCTCACCTAGGCCTGTGGCTTCTTGCCTGGCAGGTGCCACTTCTCCACTTTTAAGCAGTGCCAAGAGTGGCTCTCACGGCTAAGCCGAGCCACAGCAAGACCTGCCAAGCCTGAAGACCTCTTTGCCTTTGCCTACCATGCCTGGTGCCTGGGGCTGACCGAGGAGGACCAGCACACTCACCTATGTCAGCCAGGTGAGGCCAGTCTATTTTCTTTGGGAGGCTGCTTCTTACCCCTTAGTTCTCATCCCTCCTCCACTCCTGCACATTGGTGCTCTGGGAAGCTAACCATCGTGGGGGCTCTGTTGCAGGTGAGCACATACGTTGTCGACAGGAGGCGGAGCTTGCAAGGATGGGCTTTGACCTGCAGAACGTCTGGAGAGTCTCACACATCAACAGCAACTACAAGTGAGAGGGTTGGGGACCAAAACACCTTCCACACCAAACTACTTCCGTGTTTGGATAAAGTGTGGTGGGCACAGCTTCTGAGTCTGAGAGGGAGGAAGGCTCATGGTTTCTCTTCCCACAAAGCCATCCCCAGGGATCCTGTCATCACATGTTTTAGACCCAGTGCAGTGACCCCCACCTGGTCTCTTCTCAGATTGTGCCCCAGTTACCCCCAGAAGCTGCTGGTTCCTGTGTGGATCACTGACAAAGAGCTGGAGAACGTGGCTTCCTTCCGCTCCTGGAAGCGGATTCCCGTGGTTGTGTATAGGTGAGGCAGTGGGGCTGGGAAGTAGGGAGGCCATTTCTTATGCAACAAGGAAAGAGTCAAAATTGGAGATTTTGGGTAACCTGGTTGACTGAGAATTGACACTCTATGGGGAAGTATGAAATAACTTTAAAACAAAAACTATCTTAGTTTTTTCTCCTAAGAATAAGGCTATTAGGGAGTTTATTCATTCCCCCCCTTTTTTTAGAGTGTGTGTGTGTGTGTGTGTGTGTGTGTGTGTGTGTATAAAATAGTACATTATTTTATACACACATTAGTACAGGGGTTGGCAAACTGGCCTGCAGACAAAATCTGGCTTATAGCCTATTATATAAAACGGCTTGTAAGCTGTGAGTGGTTTTTACATTTTTAAAGGGCTATTTTTAAAAAAAGCAAAGAAGAATACATGACAGAAACTGGTTGTGACCCACAAGGCCAAAAATTGTTGTCTGGTTTTTTACTGAAAATGTTTGCTGATCCCTGCACTAGAATATTGTAGCTAAAATAGAGTGAGACAGGAAGTAACCCTGAAGTTTGGAATTGTTCCTATTCTTGGCTCAGCCAGGCCTTGTTCTCCTGCTGGGTGTCTGTACCTGGAGCAGTTGCTGTGCAGATTTGATGAGTCAAGGTCACCTTGGACATACAGAGCCCATTTGAGAAAGTATGTGTGATGGTGCTTTGTAAACGGTGAAGCCTGCTAGTGACGTTGGGGCTTTTGGTTGCTGTTATGGCCTGGATGAGTTGGTAGCCCCTGCTGGCTCTAGAGACTTTGGTCTAACCCCCTGAGGTAGGCCTCTGGAGGCTTCGAATGCCAAGGGCATTACGGTTTCTTCTGTTTTGTCAGACACTTGCGCAATGGGGCTGCCATCGCCCGCTGCAGCCAGCCAGAGATCAGCTGGTGGGGCTGGCGCAATGCTGATGATGAGTACCTGGTCACGTCCATTGCTAAAGCCTGTGCCCTGGACCCGGGGACAAGGGCCACTGGGGGCTCCCTCAGCACCGGGAATAATGATACCAGCGAGGCGTGTGATGCTGACTTTGGTAAGGTGTGGATGATGCTAACCCCCCAGGGAGCAGGCCCCCTCCTTGGCTTCATTGGCTCCCAGGGAGTCCCCAGTGAGAGTCTGGGAAGATGACAACACACGGGGTGCTGGGGTCCCTGCCTTGTCAGAAGCTGTGGGGTATGAGGGGTCTCTAGTTGCATGTTCTGCCTTCTGAGAGGGAGTGCCAGAGGGCCAGCAAGAGGTTGGGTGGCTGGCTGACTCAGGGACTCCTTCCTGCTGTGTGTTTAGATTCTTCTCTGACTGCGTGCTCTGGAGTGGAGAGCACAGCAGCTCCTCAAAAGCTGCTGATCCTGGATGCGCGATCCTACACGGCAGCAGTGGCCAACCGGGCCAAGGGTGGAGGCTGTGAATGTGAAGGTATTGCTGTTATCCCAGTGTCTGCAGCCAGCCTGTGCTCTGGGTGGCTTTGGTGAGGAGGGGGTTGGGGGCCATTTGTATAGTGGAAAGAGCCCAAACAAACCTGGCTTGTAATCACAACTTTGCTACCTACTAGCTATGGCTATGACTATGCTGAAGTTGCTTAATCTGTCCAAGCTTTATTTTCTCTTCTATAAGAAGGGGATGTTACACACTTTGCAAAATTGTTGGGATGATTAGAAGTTGCATATGTAGGCTGGGCCCAGTGGCTCATGCCTGTAATCCCAGTACTTTGGGAGGCAGAGGCAGGCGGATGGCTTGAGCTCAGGAGTTTGAGACCAGCCTGGGCAACATGGTGAAACCCTGCCTCTATCAAAAATACAAACCATTAGCTGGGCATGATGGTGCATGCCTGTGGCCCCATCCCAGCCACTTGGGAGGCTGAGGCATGAGAATCGCTTGCATCTGGGACGCAGAGGTTGCAGTGAGCTGATATCATGCCACTGCACCTCTAGCCTGGGTGACCATGAGACCCTGTCTTAAAAAAGAAAAAGAAGTTGTATATATAAAATTATTGCCACAGAGCAGCTACTATTTATTGAGAATTGATTATATATTGTCTTTCTAAGTACTGCTATCATTTGTCATTACTGTTACTATTATTAATATATGGCACCTGAGTCTCCAGAGATACAAGTGTGATTCAGATTTCAAGACTGTATTTAGTTCCTATCCTGGAGTGCTCTGCCCTGCCAGGAAAGCTTTGTCCACCAGGACCACTCTTGTCCTGGATGCCTGTTTCCAGGACGTGCTTTTTTTGTTTGTTTGTTTGTTTTGAGACGGAGTCTCGCTCTGTCGCCCAGGCTGGAGTGCAATGTGCCATCTCAGCTCACTGCAACCTCCATCTCCCAGGTTCAAGCAATTCTCCTGCCTCAGTCTCCCGAGTAGCTGGGATTACAAGTGCCTACCACTATGGCCAGCTAATTTTTATATTTTTAGTAGAGATGGGGTTTCACTGTGTTAGTCAGGCTGTTCTTGAACTCCTGACCTCAGGTGATCCAACCGCTTCAGCCTCCCAAAGTGCTGGGATTACAGGTGTGAGCCACCGCGCCCGGCCTAGGACGTGCTTTTATGTCCCACTCTCCTGTCATGTCTACAGAGTACTATCCCAACTGTGAGGTCGTGTTCATGGGAATGGCCAACATCCATGCCATCCGGAACAGCTTTCAGTACCTCCGGGCTGTGTGTAGCCAGATGCCGGATCCTAGCAAGTAGGTGTTCCCTACTTGGATTCCTTCCAGTCTCATTCCTTACCCAGTACCTCTTATTCTTGGAAGATTAGATGGGGAGATGAGAAGTTTGGAGAGCAGGAGACCTGAGGGCCTGGGTGGAGTTGGGTGCCGTGGGCTAGTTCCAAGAACCCTTCCACTTCTCAGCCAACACTTTGGCGTGGTCACAGGACATGGATTCCTTTCGTTTGGATCAGTTGTTCTACTCAAAGAACACAGAGAACTGGGGAGAGGAAATGGCTGAGTGTGCATGTGATGCTTCTCAGTTCCTCTTTTGAGCTTCAGATGCTTTTATCTGCTGTAGGTCCTGTCTTCCCTACCTTCCTGCTAGATACCTCTTGTCCAAAAGGCCCTGGGTTGTACCTCTTGGTTTCAGTTCTCAATGGGGACTTTGTTGGGTGGGGCTGGCTGTGGATGGTGGAGAGACTGCTGTGGCCTCAGCACCCTTTGTGACCGACTTGATGTCTGCTTTTGTGTAGCTGGTTGTCGGCACTGGAGAGTACCAAATGGCTGCAGCACTTGTCGGTGATGCTAAAAGCAGCTGTGCTGGTGGCTAATACAGTAGACCGGGAAGGCCGGCCTGTGCTGGTACACTGCTCAGATGGCTGGGACCGCACACCGCAGATCGTAGCCCTGGCCAAAATATTACTGGACCCATATTACAGGACGTTGGAGGTATTGAGAGGAATTCGGTGGGAAAACCAGAAGGAATGTGGCAGGAGGGAAGGTGTTGAGCCCTCTGGATCTGTCCTGGGGATCTTTCAGTAGAGGACATTGGTGGCTCTTTTTTTCTTTTTTTTTCCAACTCCCAAAGGCTTGGAAAATTGGTGGCTTTGAGTCCTCTTCTAGGTCCAGTCCTATTTTTCTTTGAAGCTGCCAGCTTCCTGCTTTGGGCAGTTCCCAGGGGAGTAGCACATCAGCATTTCCAGAGAGGCCCTATGTTTGAACAGTTTCTTTTTTTGCAGGGCTTCCAAGTGTTAGTGGAGTCTGACTGGCTGGATTTTGGGCACAAGTTTGGAGATCGCTGTGGCCACCAAGAGAATGTGGAGGACCAAAACGAACAATGCCCTGTGTTCCTCCAGTGGCTTGATTCTGTTCATCAGTTGCTTAAGCAGTTCCCCTGCCTGTTTGAATTTAATGAAGCATTCCTGGTAAGTCCTAAGGCCTGTGACAACAGGGATGGGGGGAATGACAGCCCGAGGCCCCCAGGTGCAAGCTCTCTCTGCTTTCTAGGTAAAACTGGTGCAACACACATACTCCTGCCTCTACGGCACCTTCCTGGCCAACAACCCCTGTGAGCGAGAGAAGCGCAACATCTACAAGCGGACCTGCTCTGTGTGGGCGCTCCTTCGAGCTGGCAATAAAAACTTTCATAACTTCCTCTACACACCCAGCTCAGACATGGTGAGTCTGAGCCCTTTTCCTGTAGGTGCTATTTAGAAACCTATAGGGAGAAGCAGCTGAGTCAGTAGGGAAAATGTAGAGTCAAGGGCTTAGGGAAAGAAAAAGGACAAGGAACTCTTGACAAAGCACTAGTATTGGGCTGCTTCCCTAGGTCCTGCATCCTGTTTGTCATGTCCGGGCCCTGCACCTCTGGACAGCTGTTTATCTGCCAGCATCATCTCCATGCACACTTGGGGAAGAAAACATGGATCTTTACCTTTCCCCAGTGGCCCAGAGCCAGGAGTTCTCTGGCCGCTCTCTGGACAGGTAAGAAAAGCCCTTCTTCCTTTCTCCTCTCTCCACTAGGAAGGCAGTAACTGTTTCCCATCTCATCTAAATGTTCTCTTTCTTTCTTTTTTTTGAGACGGAATCTCACTTTGTCGCCCAGGGTGGAGTGCCAGTGGTGCAATCTTGGCTCACTGCAACCTCCACTTCCCGGGTTCAACTGATTCTCCTGCCCCAGCCTCCCGAGTAGCTTGGATTACAGGCACCGACCACCACGCCCAGCCAATTTTTTGTATTTTTAGTAGAGATGGGGTTTCACCATGTTGGCCAGGCTGGTCTCAAACTCCTGACCTCAAATGATCCACCTGCCTCGGCCTCCCAAAGTGATGGGATTACAGGCGTGAGCCACCGTGCCCGGCCTCTTTCTGAGGTATTTAAAAGCAACTTCTTGAGTCATTTGCAGGAAAAACTTGGCCAAGACTTGTAGCTAGCCTGGAGTGCACTCTGTGTGTTTTCAAGGTCCTCTGAAGATAAGGTTGGATACTTTCTTTCCTGGAGGAGCTGCTATCACTCTGTATGATATACCCAAGCAGGGGAGAGAACAAAACAGAAAGGACTGTTTTAGGAAGGTTTGTGGGAATGGTCTTGATTTTTGTTCACTGGTACAGGGCATGGGGAGCTTGCTATATTAGTAGCAACCTTTGTTGTGTCCAGCATTAGCTTCCAGAAACATCTGACTCTCAGGGAAATGGGTTCCCAGCAGGAGGATGGCCTTATATTACTCCCTCAGAAAAAGGCCAGAATTTAAAAGGGAGACATAAAATTAGGTATCTTCTGGCTCAATGTTTGGGGAGAAGTGAGATGATGTTGGTTAATTTATGAGAGTAATACCTATTTCTTGTTTTAAAAAAATAGTCAATATAAAAGTAGAAAATGAAAATCTTCCCTTATGATCCTTGTCCCCACAGGTGTCCACTGCTAACATTTGGTACGTGTCTTTCCAAATGTTTATCTCTACATAGGTAAATCCACACTCACGCTTTCATATGGAAACATTTTTTATAAACAAAATCAGAATATTTTTACATACGCTTTTTACTTTTTTGCATATTCTGCAAATTGTTTTTCCCGCTTTGTATTAGGTTGTCTTCTCATGACAGCACATCTAAATTCCCTTTCTTGTTTTTATTGGCTTCAGAGTAGTCCACAATTTATATAACCAGATTCCTACTCATCATTTAGGTAATTTCCATTTTTTTTTTTTTTATCATTACAGGGAGTGCTTTACATCCTTATATGTGTAGCTTTTTAAAAATTTGTAAATTACAGGCTGGGCACGGTGGCTCATGCCTGTAATCCCAGCACTTTGGGAGGCCGAGGCAGGTGGATCACTTGAGGTCAGGAGTTCAAGGCCAGCCTGGCCAACATGGTGAAACCCTGTCTCTACTAAAAATACAAAAATTAGCCGGGCATGGTGGCAGGCACCTGTAATCCCATCTACTCAGGAGGCTGAGGCATAAGAATCGCTTGAATCTGGGGGGGTGGAGATTGCAGTAAGCCAAGATCACGCCACGCACTCCAGCCTGGGCAATAGAGTGAGACTCCATCTCAAAAAAAAAAAAAAAAAATTGTAAAATACACATGCTATTTACCATCTACACCATTTTTAAGTACATAGTTTAGTAGGGTTACTTTGTGTGTTTTTTTTTTGTTTTGTTTTTTTGTTTTTGACAGAGTTTCGCTCTGTTGCCCAGGCTGGACTGCAGTGGCACAATCTCAGCTCACTGCAACCTCTGCCTCCCGGGTTCAGGTGATTCTCCTGCCCCAGCCTCTCGAGTAGCTGGGATTACAGGCATGCGCCACCATGCCCAGCTAATTTTTGTATTTGTAGTAGAGACGGGGTTTTACCATGTTGGTCACACTGGTCTTGAACTCCTGACCTCAAGTTATCCACCATCTCGGCCTCCCAAAGTGTTGGGATTACAGGTGTGAGCTCCTGCGCCTGGCCAGTAGGGTTACTTTGTATGCATATTTTTGCATTTGTGCTAGTATTTTTGAATGAAAATACTGTGCTCAAAGGATATATATACATATATACGCGTATATATATATACACATATATGTATATATATCCGTATACATATATACATGTATACGTATATACATAGACATATACATATATGTGTGTATATATGTATACTATATATATACACACATATATACATATATACGTGTATATATGTGTATATATATCTCAAATTTTGATATTTGTTTATTGGCTGAGAGCTTTTTTGTTTTTTAGAGACAGGGTCTTGTTCTGTCACTCAGGCTGGGTGCAGTGGCACAATTATAGTAACCTCAAACTCCTGACCTCAGGTAATCCTTCTGTTTCAGCCTCCCAGGTAGCTAATTAGCTCATTAGGCATGTGCCAATTTTTATTTTTTGTAGAGACGGGTCTGTTGCCCAGGTTAGTCTTAAATTCCTGGCGTCGAGTGATCTTCCTGCCTTGGCCTCCCAAAACACTGGAATTACAGGTGTGAGCCACCATGCCCAGCCTGGCTGAAAGTTTTTAAAGTTAAAATATAACATATGTTATTGGTTGAATATTATAAAGGAAAACAAAAAGCCCAGCATCCCAAATTATTGGTTTTAGGGTCTTTTGAACTAAGTCATTGTGAGGGGACCGTGATAGGTTTCAGGATTTCAGTGATTTTTTTTTTCCTTCCCCAAACTATGCAGAATTTGGCTACAGGTTCATAGGTTTACTTTTCCTGGGAGAGGGGCCATAACTTTTAATCAAATTTTTAATAAGCTCTGTGACCCATTTAATAATCATTTCATTAACTTAGTATCTGATTTATCAATTCAACAAATGTTTCTTTAATACCTACAAGTTGCGTATTACTGTACTAGGTTTTGTGGGCTACAGCAAAGAAATAGAAGATATTGGTTCTACTTTCAAGATAATTTTAAGCTGTAAGATAAGACACAGAACAACTAGAGAGAGCAATTCTTTTTTTTTTTTTTTTTTTTTTTTGAGACAGAATCTCGCTCTGTCACCGGTTGGAGTGCAGTGGCGCAATCTTGGCTCACTGCAACCTCCGCCTCCCGGGTTCAAGTGATTCTTCTGTCTCAGCCTCCCGAGTATCTGGGACTACAGGTGCCCACCACCACACCTGGCTAGTTTTTTGTATTTTTAGTAGAGACGGGGTTTCACCATGTTGGCCAGGATGGTCTCGATCTCTTGACCTCGTAATCTACCCGCCTCGGCCTCCCAAAGTGCTGGGATTACCAGACCCGGCCAACTAGAGAACAATTCTAAGTCAACATCTAAGCAGATAAGAATGTGTGTAGTTCAGGCTGGGTGCAGTGGCTCATGCCTGTAATCCCAGCACTTTGGGAGGCCAAGGTGCGCAGATTGCTTGAGCCCAGGAGTTTGAGACCAACCTGGGCAACATGGTAGAACCCCACCTCTACAAAAAATGCAAAAATTAGCCAGGCATGGTGGCGTGCGCCTGTGGTCCCAGCTACTTGGAGGGCTGACGTAGGAGGATTGTTTGCTCCCAGCAGGTTGAGGCTGCAGTGAGCTGTGATCATGCCATTGCACTCCAGCCTGGGTGACACAGCGAGACCTTGTCTCAAAAAAACAAATGTGTGTAGTTCAAAGCTTTAGAGAAATGATGTGTTTTTTAAAAGGGTCACTTGGTGGCTGTTTTACTCAGGAAATTTTCATGAAGGACCAGACAAGAACTGTGGGTCTTTTTGTGTTCTGTGTATCTGGCTTAGAACCTGGCACGTAATAAGTAAATTTAAATAAATTTACTAAAGTAAAAATTTACTTAAAACTGGACAAATGGCTGGGCGTGGTGGCTCATGCTTGTAATCCCAGCACTTTGGGAGGCCGAGGCGGGCGGATCATGAGGTCAGGAGATCAAGACCATCCTGGCTAACACGGTGAAACCCCGTCTCTACTAAAAATACAAAAAAAAAAAAAATTAGCCGGGCGTGGTGGCAGGCGCCTGTAGTCCCAGCTACTCTGGAGGCTGAGGCAGGAGAATGGTATGAACCTGGGAAGGCGGAGTTTGCAGTGAGCAGAGATCGCGCCACTGCACTCCAGCCCGGGCAACAGAGTGAGACTGTCTCAAAAAAAAAAAAAACTGGACAAATGAATGAAATAAAGGGAGTTGTGAGCTCAGTAACAAGGTTAGTGGAGAGGGGTCCAAAGCAAGTGGATACATGAGAGGTAGGGTTTTCTCGCTCCATTGCCCAGCTGGAGTGCAGTCACATGATCTTCTCAGCTCACTCCGCCCACCGGGTTCAAGTGATTCTTCTGCCTCAGCCTCCCGAGTAACTGGGATTACAGGTGTGTGCCACTACACCTGGCTAATTTTTGTATTTTTAGTAGAGACGGGGTTTCGCCATGTTGGCCAAGCTGGTCTCGAACTCCTGACCTCAAGTGATCCGCTCACCTTGGCCTCCCAAAGTGCTAGGATTATAGGTGTGAGCCACTGCACCTGGGTGAGAGGTAGTTTTTTTTTTTTTAAAAAAAAAAGAAGTTCTGTGGCTGGCAGGGGTTGAGAAGGGGCTATTTTAAGGAATAGTGGAAATATAGGACAGGTCATTGAGGGCATTGAAGGCTTTAAACATTACAGTGAAGAGTTTATTTTGATTCAGTTGTCAATAGGAAGTCATTGTAGGAAGTTACTGTGGTCTGCTGACAGTGGGATCCTTGGAGAACTAATCAGTGAGTACAGGGTAGCTGGAGGCACAGAGACCAGCCAGCACTGCTGTAGTAGTTCAGATATGAGGGGAAGAGTCCCTGGCAAAGAGAAAGGATTAAATTCAGAAGCACTGTAGAGAACCATTGGCAGGCTACAGAATTGAAAGTTGGAGAGTAGAAGTGAAAAGTACTTTGGGTCCCAAGTATCTGAGCTTAAAAAGTAGGAGAATATTAGTACCACTAATAGACATTGAAAGGTCGAGAAGACCAGCCAGTTTGGGGAGAAAGCGGAGATACAGGGAAATTGGGATTGAAATATTAGTTGACAGCAAAGAAGGAGGTGTGTTGTAGGCAGCTCAAGATGGAGAGTAGATTTCGAGAAATAATTGGTATAAAGATTTTAAAGGAAATGGTCTCTGTAACAACTGACCTGACTTACCTTTGATTCTACCTTTCCCTAGATCAAAAATGTCCTTCTTCTTCTCCTTCTTCTCCCCCTCCTCCCCCTCCTCCCCCCTCCTCCCCCCTCCTCCCCCGCTTCTCCTTCTCCTTCTCCTCCTCCTTCTTCTTCTTCTTCCATTAAAGTCATAAACACATTCTTCTATACCCATCTCAAATCCTACCCTCTCTCTGTAGCCTTCCTTGACCTCCTAGCTGGATGAGCTCTCTCTCCTTGTTGTAAACTCAGGTATTATTATCTCTGTCAACATTGCTGACTAACCTTTGGTACACATAGAATGAGTTGTGGAGGATGGCAGAATGTTGTTATTTGAATTTGGATGAAGAGCACATGGAAGTTAATTATATTCTTCTTTTTGTTGTTGTTTGAGACAGAGTCTTGCTCTGTCACCCAGGCTGGAATATAGTGGTGCGATCTCGGCTCACTGCAACCTCTGCCTCTTGCCTCCCAGGTTCAAGCGATTCTCATGCCTCAGCCTCCCAAGTAGGAGCTGGGTTTACAGGCATGCACCACCATGCCCAGCTAGTTTTTGTATTTTTAGTAGAGATGGGATTTCACCATGTTGGCCAGGCTGGTCTTGGACTTGTGGCCTCGAGAGATCTGCCTGCCTTGACCTCCCAAAGTGTTGAGATTATAGGCATGAGCCACTGTGCCCAGCATATTCTTTACTTCTTTTGTATGCTTGAAAGTTTCCATAATAAAAAATAAAATGAAAGAAGTCAGCTGTGGCACTTAAAAGAATACAGATCCCTAGGCCCCACTCTTGGCCATTCTTATTCAGTAGGTCTTGGGTGGACCCTGGTTGTCTGGATGTCTAAGAAGATCCACTAAGATGCCTGATGTGTATCACACATTCAATTGGCACCTAGCAGTGGAAACCTCATGTTGTATTTTGAGCTCATTCATTCATTTCTCAAGTCATTTGCCCCTGGTACTGTGCTAGGCGCTGGGGATTCAAATAAGACAGAGTCCTGCCTTCAGGACACTTCAGTAGAGGGAGTTAAACAAGTAAACAATAAAGTGCAATAATGTGTTATAGGAAGCACTGAGCAATGTGCTTTGATGTGGATTCTTTTGTTTAATCTTCATAATAGCTTTAAGAGCTAGGTACTTTACCTTTATTCCATAGATGAGGGATCTGAGGCGTAGAGAAGTTAAAGTCACACAGCAAAGATGTTGTTAAATTGGGATTTGAACCCTGCCTATGGGACTCCAGGAACTATAATGATAACCACTGTTATTGCCTTCCTGGAATTTCGTACCATTAAAAAAATCAAAATTCGTCACAAAAGGTATATCAAGTATGTATAAAACATTTGTTTTAAGTTTCAAAAACCGATTACTTAAAATAAGCTGCGTTGTAACTGCCTTTGGGGAATTTTTCCGCATAGGCTGAACTGACTGAGCCATCTAAAAATAGGAGGCCAGTGAAGCCTCTACTGTTTCCCTGGTGAATTTCACTCAAGTTTTCATTGCTCTAAGGACTTTGAACTGCATTAATAATCAGGATGGTCACTCTTGAAAATGTCCCTTAACCTATCTGGTATATATGAATGCCTCTAGAACTCTGAGTGCTATATACTAGGGGAAGTTTCATGGGGCCTTGGGAAGCAGAGGAGCACACTGCTGCTAAGTGGTTATCAAGAGCAGTGTTGAGGGAGTTGTGTTGTCTTAATAAAGTTTGTGGTTATTATGTTTGTGGTTGGTTGCCTGTATTTTGAATTCTCATAGCATCTCTACAAGGTATGATTTATTATCATCATTGTATAAAGGGAGAAACCAAGTATCTGAGAGGTTAATTTACTTATTTGTAGTCATGTAGCTAATTAGCGTCAGAGCCAATATTGTCTAGCTCCAAAACCCATCTTCTTTCTGTTTTACTGTGATGGAGGCAGTGGGATATTGGGTTTGAGTCTCAGGTATAGTCCTAGCTGGAACAGTAGATTCAGAAGGCATTGGCATAGAAGGCAGCTGAAACCACTGTAGTGGTTGAGATTGCCCAGGGAGACTGGTAGGTTGAGTGCTGACAAAAGCTGAGGATAGATTTTTGGGTTCCGGAGGACACGGTCCATGTCTCATGCTTTTTTTACAGAGTAAACTTTCAGTGAACATTGGTTATTTGTGATCTTAAGGGTCCTTATTTCTAAACTTAAGTGTTCTTAAGTGTCATTATTTCTAAACTCTGGCTTTGATATTGCTCCATTGATTCAGTTCCATATATTGTATTGCAAGTGCCCATCTCCTGACCTGGAGGTGTTATATTTGTCTTTCCAGATTACCTAAAACCAGATCCATGGATGATCTTCTTTCTGCCTGTGACACAAGCAGCCCCCTGACTCGTACATCCAGTGACCCTAACCTGAATAACCACTGTCAGGAGGTCAGGGTAGGCCTGGAGCCCTGGCACAGCAATCCTGAGGGATCAGAGACAAGCTTTGTGGACTCTGGGGTAGGAGGGCCTCAGCAAACTGTAGGAGAAGTGGGTCTTCCTCCTCCTCTGCCCAGCAGCCAGAAAGACTACTTGAGCAATAAACCTTTCAAGAGTCACAAAAGCTGTTCTCCAAGTTACAAACTGCTTAATACCGCAGTGCCTCGGGAAATGAAGAGCAACACCTCTGATCCTGAGATCAAAGTCCTAGAAGAGACTAAGGGACCAGCTCCAGACCCTTCTGCCCAGGATGAGCTGGGTAGGACTTTAGATGGCATAGGGGAGCCACCTGAACATTGTCCTGAAACAGAAGCTGTCAGTGCACTCTCCAAGGTCATTTCTAACAAGTGTGATGGAGTTTGTAATTTTCCTGAGTCTTCCCAGAACTCTCCTACAGGTACGCCCCAACAGGCCCAGCCAGACTCCATGCTAGGTGTGCCCTCCAAGTGTGTTCTTGATCACAGCCTCAGCACCGTTTGCAACCCACCGAGTGCTGCCTGCCAAACTCCTCTAGACCCAAGCACTGACTTCCTCAACCAAGATCCCTCAGGGTCTGTGGCAAGTATCTCCCACCAGGAACAACTGAGTTCTGTGCCGGATCTGACCCATGGGGAGGAAGACATTGGTAAAAGAGGAAATAATAGGAATGGGCAGTTATTGGAAAATCCTCGCTTTGGGAAAATGCCATTGGAATTGGTCCGGAAGCCAATTTCTCAGAGCCAGATCAGTGAGTTCTCTTTTCTAGGGTCCAACTGGGACAGCTTCCAAGGGATGGTGACTTCATTCCCAAGTGGGGAGGCCACCCCTCGGCGGCTGCTTTCCTATGGCTGTTGTAGCAAGAGGCCAAACAGTAAGCAGATGCGGGCCACAGGGCCCTGCTTTGGGGGCCAGTGGGCTCAGAGAGAAGGTGTGAAGTCACCTGTCTGTTCTAGTCATTCCAATGGACATTGTACTGGCCCAGGAGGAAAGAACCAGATGTGGTTGTCCAGTCATCCAAAGCAAGTCTCTAGCACAAAGCCCGTTCCACTGAACTGCCCTTCTCCAGTGCCTCCTCTGTATTTGGATGATGATGGACTCCCCTTTCCCACGGATGTGATCCAGCATAGGTTACGGCAAATCGAAGCAGGGTACAAACAAGAGGTGGAGCAGCTACGTCGACAGGTGCGTGAGCTTCAGATGAGGCTGGACATCCGTCACTGCTGTGCCCCTCCAGCAGAGCCCCCCATGGACTATGAGGATGATTTTGTAAGTAGTCACCAACTGCCATACACCCATTATTTACTCTGTTCATCCAGCCTTCCCTCCATTCAGCATTTATTCGTTGGGTACTTGCTGTGTGCCACTGAGTTAGGTGCCTGGGCTATAGGATGAAAAACAAGTAAGCAATTAGAATGATGTTTTTAAGTGCTATGATTGAGGAGGCATCAGGTGTTAGAGGGCTGGAGTGGAGTGAAACGTCAAGGAAGACTTTCTTGAGAAGGTAATGCTTGAGCTGAGTGCTGAAGAATGTGTGATACTTAGCCAGGTAGACAGTGAAAACAAAACACCATTTGCAGAAGCGTAGTGGCAATAGATACTCCAATGATATGGCTTAAAAAGATGGGACATGCGAGTATATATGTGTACATGCATGCATACACGCTTACACTGGGGCTATGAGAGACAGTCAAATAGGGTGGTGGGAGGTGACATTGGAGAATTAGGTGGAGATTACAAGGGTCAGGTTGAGTGCCCTTCTTGTTTGGATTTTACCCTTAAGGCAATAAAATTTTAGGCCAGTGCACAATATGATCAGAGTTGTAGTTTAAGAAAATGACTCTTGCAACAATGTACAATTTTTTTTTTTTTTTTTTTTTGAGACGGAGTCTCGCTCTGTCACCCAGGCTGGAGTGCAGTCGTGCAATCTCAGCTCACTGCAACCTCCGCCCTCCCGGGTTCACGCCATTCTCCTGCCTCAGCCTCCTGAGTAGCTGGGACTACAGGCGCCCGCCACCATGCCCAGCTAATTTTTTTTTTTTGTATTTTTAGTAGAGATGGGGTCTCACTGTGTTAGCCAGGATGGTCTCGATCCCCTGACCTCATGATCCGCCCACCTCGGCCTCCCAAAGTGCTGGGATTACAGGCGTGAGCCACTGCGCCCGGCCCAACAGTGTACAATTTTAATGAGGCAGTTGAGACCCAGATTGGGAGGCTGGTAAGGTCATTTTGGAATAATCCAGGTGAGAGATGAAGACTATAGGCTGTGCAGTGTTGGGCAGCCTCAGGTTCTGGCACCATAGTCCTTGGGGAGCTTCTAGGAGCCAGCTTCCTCTCCATGGTATCTTGCCATTTACACAGACACTTTCCTTCCTTCTGTTAAGGTGCTCCCCACTTGCCTGCTTCTCACTTCTCTGGTGCTTTAAACAGGAGTCAGCAAACTTTTTTTTTTTTTGTAAAAGGCCAAATAATAACTATTTTAGGTTTTGTGGGCCATACCGTCTATGTTGCAACTACTCAGCTCTGCTATTGTGCAAAAGCAGCCGTAGCCAGGCACTGTGGCTCACGCCTGTAGTCTTAGGACTTTGTGAGGCCGAGGTAGGTGGATTGCTTTAGCCAAGAAGTTTGAGACCAGCCTAGGCAACATGGTGAAACCCCATCTCTACAAAAATTACAAAAAATTAGCTGGACATGGTGGTGGACGCCTGTGGTCCCAACTACTCAGGAGGCTGAGGTGGGAGGATCTCTTGAGTCCAGGATGTTGAGGCTACAGCGAGCCGTGATCATGCTGCTGCATTCCAGCCTGGGCAAAAGAGCGAGACCTTGTCTCAAAAACAAAACAAAAAGCAGCCATAGACAGTAAGTAAATGAATGAATGCAGCTGTGTTCCAGCAAAACCTGATTTACAAAAACAGGCAGTGGGCTAGTTTGGCCTGTGGGCCATAGCTTGCCAACCCCTGGTTTAGAACATAACAAGAGTCTTTCTATGCTGTGGTGTAGCATATCGGTAAGAGTGTAAATCTGAAGCTACAATACTAGGTTCAAATCCCAGCTTTACTACGTATCAGCTCTTTCTCTGTGGCTTCATTTTCTTATTTGTAAAATGGGGATATTAGTAGTATACATTGTAAGACTGTCATAAGAAATAAGTTCATGTGTGTAATGCACTTAGCACAGTGCCTGACACATGGTAAACAGTAAGCGTTAATGATGATGAAGATAATTTGTTGTCTTTGCCTTTTCATCAGACATGTTTGAAGGAGTCAGATGGCAGTGATACTGAGGATTTTGGCTCTGATCACAGTGAAGACTGCCTTTCAGAAGCAAGCTGGGAACCTGTTGATAAGAAAGAGACTGAGGTATGTTTAGGCACATATGTGGTGGGTACTTACGTGAGCCAGTGAGTCATCATATTTTCCAGAGATGAATGACATGCTGTAGACTGAGCTGTCCCCCAGAGGAGTGTCAGCCTGGTAGGCAAATGGTAGCCAGTTATGAAGATAAGCCTTGTCTCTTTCTGCTGGGGTGCTTTCCTCATTGCAATGTTGCTCTTCCAGTCTGTCAACAAGGACCAGGAATTTTTCTTTGTGCCTTCTATTAGGTGACTCGCTGGGTTCCAGACCATATGGCATCACACTGCTATAACTGTGACTGTGAATTCTGGTTGGCCAAACGAAGACACCATTGCAGGTAAGATGTTTTGTATGATTTAGTATGACAAAAAACAGGGCAGGCCAGGCGCAGTGGCTCACACCTGTAATGCCAACACCTTGGGAGGCCGAGGCAGGCGGATCATGAGGTGAGGAGATTGAGACCATCCTGGCCAACATGGTAAAACCTGTCTCCACTAAAAATACAAAAATTAGCTGGGCGTGGTGGCGCATGCCTGTAATCCCAGCTACTCTGGAGGCTGAGGCAGGAGAATAGCTCGAACCAGGGAGCTGGAGGTTGCAGTGAGCCGAGATTACGCCACTGCACTCCATCCTGGCAACAGAGCAAGACTCTGTCTCAAAAAGGACAAAAAACAAAAACAAAAATAGTGTAATACATATGTATAGAACTAAGTGGAATTAGTTTGGAAGTGGACACCTCTTTATAGAAACTATTTTTGTTTGTCCCCAACTTTTCATTTAGTATCACTCATTCTCAGTATATTGGCATTTCTTAATATTAATTAATTAATTATTTTTTTATTAGCGATGGGCTCTTGCTATGTTGCTCAGGCAAGTCTCAAACTCCTGGCCTCAAGCGATTCTACTGCCTCAGCCTACCAAAGTGCAGGGATTACTGGTGTGAGTCACCCTGCCTGGCCAGTATATTGGCATTTCTGATGAACTCTTCCCTCTTTCTGCTTTGACAGAAATTGTGGGAATGTATTTTGTGCTGGATGCTGCCACCTGAAGCTGCCCATTCCTGATCAGCAACTCTATGACCCAGTTCTCGTCTGTAACTCATGTTACGAACACATTCAAGTCTCTCGTGCCAGGGAACTCATGAGCCAACAGCTGAAGAAACCCATTGCTACAGCTTCCAGTTGAATGCCGGGGAGAAACCTGTCCAATTTTAGCAGGTTTGAAGGGAGGATCTTCTTCAGTTGTAGTTTGGAAGGTTCCTTGGTGTGGCTCATGAAATCACAGAGCTCAGAGATACCATCTTGAGAAATCCTCCTTGGTATCATGAAACTGGAGCAGAGGAATTGCAATTTAGCAGGAGGTCCTCTACTGGTGATACCCTCACCTTGGGGTAATGGTCCTAACCCAGACCCAGGGTCTGGAAGCTTAATGTTGAGTTGGTGACTCCAGCCTCTTTCTCCTGGAGGTCACAAGATGATGATTGCGTAGATGTTGCCTGGTGCAAAGTGCCCCAAACAGCAATAGAAAGGCATATGTATAACCAAACTCCAAGTGATAACCAGACCCATCTCTCCTCCACCTTGACAAAAGCAGATTATAGTATACAAGGTAGGAATTCCTGTCCTATTTGAGATGAACTATATCCTGTACCTCTGTGCTCTGTGTCTGCATGAAGGCTCAGCCTTTAGAGGCACTCCTTCTAGTTGCATTAGTACTGTCTTTCTGTGGAGTTTGGTTTGAAGACTGGCTCAGCAAGTGGAGGTTTCAATGTATTTTTCAGTTGGCTCATCAGCCAGCATTGGTGAATATTCAGTTTAGGGGAACAGTTCTAGGGAGTGAGACATTTTTGGGAGCAGAGGAAAACTCTGCTGATGTTCGGTCCTGGCAAACATTGAGTTATTTTGAGCTGTGAAGGCAGTCGTCTCTGTTACACAGTGGCAGCTCTTGAGTTATGCACTGTGAAGAATGAGAAGGGAAAAGCAAAAATTATCCTTGTGAAATATCTGCTGATTGTGCCCTACTCTTTGCACCTGACTTTTCCTAGTTGTCCTGGTGCTAACACAGGAGCTACACCTTGATCCTCTCCTGGCATGAAAATAAAACAAAGGTTTTCGTTGTTGTTGTTCCATTGCCCATTTCCCCCATGTTGTCTTTCCCTTGGCTGATGCCTCCTCTGGGTCACATTGCTTCTTATCCTGAACACTTGACACCTTGAGGGTAGAATTTAGCGTTTGGTTTTTACCTCCTAGCATATGCTGTTTGGTATGTGAGGGTTTCAGTACAAATGCTGCTGTCTATTTCTGTGCACTTAACAATGGAACCCAAACAGAAGAGAATAAAGCCTTGATACCAAAATTGGGAAAGAACATGTGTCCATTTGGACCAAACGTTGTTGGTTTTTAAAAAATTTTATTTTGTTTTTTTGTTTTTGTTTTTGTTTTTTTTCATCTTAATATGTACCAGTGGCACTTAACCAAAAGATACAGTGATATAGCCATGTACTGTGGGTGGGACAGATACAGTCTCCTTGGCCTATAATGAAACCACTAGGACTTTATACAGTTTTCCTTAATTTGTTGACATATAAATGGTAAATTATATTTAGGCTTATCCTGTTTTGAAATGATGGTAGTCATCTTTCTTACTGCTACTTTCATGTTGCTTTCTAGAAAACAGCATTTCATTCCAAAATAACTAGGATCTGCATTTAGAACAAGAATCATTATTTGTCCTGACCTTTTCAGTCCTACAGAGACGCATCTGTGGTTCTTTTGTACTTGCCATAGATGTAACCTAAAAAGTTTTGGCATATTTAGGTCAGCCTAGCGGAACTTTTTTTTTCATTTAAATGGAGCTGAATAATGGAGATTTTGTGTCTGCAAAATTCCTGAGATCATTGAAAAAGTAACAAGCTGTTCCTTGTTTCTGATACATAAAATTATTTTAAGCATTTTATCAATCATTAAAATTTACTGCCAGTTGTGAGTGGCTTTTTAATTAACTTGTCTTTCATTGCACTTCACTCTGCCTGTTTTCAAGGGGAGTAAGATTGGTAACATTTGGGGAGACTGTATCTGTCTACTTAGCGTGGCTGTTTTGAGGGACTGTCCCATCAGTGAACAAACTGCATGGCCTTGGAGAGAGACTCTGGGCTCTTGGCTCAGATGTGTTCATCAAATACTCCTTTCAGAGCTGTTGTGGGTGTAAGTGACATGATGTGGCCAAAAATCCAAACTGTGCAGTTGCGTTGTGACAAACATGCAATGTGCTGTAAAAATTCAATACAGTTTAAATAAAATCTCTATATTAGTGCTGCTTTGTTGGGTCGTTTTATTTTCATTTCTAAAAAAACTTAATATTCACTTATTCTTTGACCATGAGAAGAGTAGAACATTGTACCCCTTTCTCCCAGCAATTTCCAATTTATTTATTTTGAGATGGAGTCTCCCTCTGTTCCCCAGGCTGGAGTGCAGTGGTGCGATCTCGGCTCACTGCAACCTCCGCCTTCTGGGTTCAAGCGATTCTCCTGCCTCAGCCTCCTGAACAGTTGGGACTACAGGTATGCTACCACGCTGGCTAATTTTTGTATTTTTAGTAGAGACAGGGTTTGACCATGTTGGCCAGGCTGGTCTCGAACTCCTGGGTTCAAGCAGTCCACCCAGCTCGGCCTCCCGAAGTGTTAGGATTACAGACATGAGCCACTGCGCCCGGCCAATTTCCGTTTTCAAATGAACCTCTCTTTTTGAATCAGCACAGCTCTTGTTACATTCTTATTTATTGATTGGCTAGGGATCGATTCTTATGGATACCGTAGAATTCTGTCCCATCTTTATTTCTCTTTAATGTCTAAAATGCCACCAGCTAGTTGGGCAGGCACACAAGATAGTACTTAGATTCTTGTGATTCCCTCCTCCTAGGGACCTCAGTTTTCATCTAACCTTGAGTAAATTGTCTTGAACAAATACTGACTTAAAAGAGTGTATCTTAAAAGATACAAAGGGCTACTATCTAAAAGGTGAGTTCGTTTACTCAAGATATTATACCTCCAGTAGCATCATTTTTGTTTGAGAGGTAAGCAGTTCCACTGTTAGCAAAGATTACAGACCAGACCCTTTGGTCCCCAGAACGACCAACTCTGCTGCCTAACGCACACTTTCTCTGCATTCCAAGTCTCCACTAGTTGGCTGGGCCGAAACACACGCCTCTTGGTATTCCACGGTGGATAACTGGGCTTCTCTCTTGTCAGGACTTAGAACACCCCGGCAGACAGCCTTCCCGGCCTGAAGTCTGGGAACGCCTGGGGAAGGGGCTCCTGCCCGGGTCCCGCAGGCGTCCGGCGGGCCGAGCTGGGGCACGCGGCCGCCGAGGGGGAGGTGCCCACGCCGCGTGGCGGGAACTCGAGGCCCCATTGGCCGCGCTGGGAGGCGCCGCGGGGCCTCGTGCGCCAACGGTCCCTGGTACGCGGCGGATGGGCGCCGGCAGGAGCGGGCAGGGCGAGGCGAAGGCCGGGGAGGGATCGAGAACGGTGTGGGAGAGCTAGGCTCGGGGGGCGAGGCCCCGGCCCGGCGGGGCGATGGAGGCGCTGCTCTCCACCCCCATCAACCCCAACAACTTCCCCGCCAAGCTGTGGCGCCTGGTGAACAGCCCGCGCTACCGCTCCATCCGCTGGGACGGCCGCGGCGAGGGGCTGCTTATCGATCAGCCGCTCTTCGAGGCCGAGCTGCTCAGCCCGCCCGGGCCGGGGGGCGGTGGCGGGACTGCGGGGGCCGGGGCCGAGCCCGAGCTCTTCAAAACCACCAGCTTCACCAGCTTCATCCGCCAGCTCAACCTCTACGGCTTCCGCAAGGTGGTGCTGGGCGGGCCGGGGGGCGGCAAACCGGCAGGCAATGGGCCGCTCCATCACTTCCACAACCCGCACTTCCGCCGCGACCAGCCACAGCTGCTCGTGCACCTCAAGCGCCTCACCAGCGCCAACAAGGCCAAGCTGGCGGCCGGCCTGGAGGTGCCCTGCCGCCCGCCCAACCGCTTCCAGCGGCTGCTCATCACCTCGGCCTCCGCCGCCACCGCGCCACTGCAGCACCAGCAGCCGCCGCCGCCCGCGGGGCCCCGGCCCGAGCCGCACGGTGAGTCCGGACTGCCCGTGCCCTCGCCCACAGTGGGCACATGGGCGGCGGGGAGCAACCGCCGCTGGAGGGCGCATTTTCGCACGTCCTCACGCTATGGGCGTCGGAAAGGCGCCGGGGACCCATTGGCCGCTGTGCTTCCCGAGACTGGCGGTCCCGCCACCGCCGCCGTTCTCAGCGGCACCAGCACGGTGGCCACCGGCCCTCCCCTGGAGGGTCCGTAAGCATTCGGCCCCTTCTGAGCCCACTGGCAGCAAAAGGGACCTCCGCCTCTTAGGCTCCCTTCTACTCGTCCCCGGTTTGAACCCCAGGAGTTTACCTGGTTGTAAGCCTCCGTTTACCTTCCTGAGACCCACACTGTCCACTGTAAACATGTGGACTCAGTAGTCCTTCGTTGAAACATTGGGTCTGGAAGAAACAAAAGGGGCTCCTTTGCTCCCGTGGGAAGCAGAGTGGAGTCACCCTACGGGTTAAGGCGGGATGGAACAAAATCGTAGTCAAGAGAATTTAGAACATTACGGTTGGGCGTGGTGGCTCACGCCTGTAATCCCAGCACTTTGGGAGGCCGAGGCGGGTGCATCACGAGGTTAGGAGTTTGAGACCGGCCTAACCAACAGGGTGAAACCTCGTCTCTACTAAAAATACAAAAATTAGCCAGGCATGGTGGTGCACGCCTGTAATCCCAGCTACTTAGGAGACTGAGGCAGGAGAATCGCTTGAACCCAGGAGGCAGAGGTTGCAGTAAGCCGAGATAGTGCCACTGCACTCCAGTCTGAGCAACAGAGCGAGACTCGGTCTCAAAAAAAAAAAAAAAAAAAAAAAGAGAGAACTTAGAACATTACAATAGCAGGCAAGGGAAAGTTTTGGAAAAGGTGCCTGCAGTGGAAATTTGTCCTTGAAGAGGGCTGCCACCTTCCACCTATTGGCACATCTAAGAAATCTTAGAAGTGCTACGACAATCATCAGATTTAAGGTTCTGGTTAATGTGTAGAATGGTAGACGTTGTTTATATACCTTAAGAGCAAAAATACAACGATACATCGTGGCTTACAAGATATAGTTCCTATGTAGAATGAATTGGCTACACATTTCTTTCATTGAAGCAAATTAGAGCTTGATGCTTCCTTAAAGGGGTATGATTAGACAAACATAAGGCAAAGATGGTTTTCTTTACAGCTGTCAAGTTTTAGTTAAAAAAGAATTTTAGAAAGCTCACATTTACAGCCTTTGGAGTTTTCACTATTGGCTACAATCTTTCAGTATTGAAAAAACTTTTTGGTATACATCTGTATTTAGTAAAAGTTAAGAAACCCTCTGTGATAGTGGATTATTTATTTTTTATTATTTGTTTATTTTTTTGAGACGGAGTTTCGCTCTTGTCACCCAGGCTGGAGTGCAATGGCGCGATCTCGGCTCACCACAACCTCCGCCTCTCGGGTTCAAGCAATTCTCATTCCTTAGCCTCCTGAGTAGCTGGGAATACAGGCGCGTGCCACCATGCCCGGCTAATTTTTATATTTTTTAGTAGAGACGAGGTTTCACCAGGTTGGCCAGGCTGGTCTCGAACTCCTGACCTCAGGTGATCCGCCAGCCTTGGCCTCCCAAAGTGCTGGGATTACAGGCCTGAGCCACTGCGCCCTGCCTATTTTACTTTTTGAGATTAAGTCTCACTGTGTTGCCCAGGCTGGCGTGCAATGGCAAGATCTCCGCTCACTGCAACCTCTGCCTCCCGGGTTCAAGTGATTCTTCTGCCTCAGCCTCCAGAGTAGCTAGGATTTTACAGGTGCCTGCCACCACACCTCGCTAATTTTTGTATTGTTAGTAGAGATGGGGTTTCACCATGTTGGCCAGGCTGGTTTTGAACTCCTGACCTCAGGTGATCCGCCCATCTTGGCCTCCCAATGTGCTGGGATTACAGGTGTGAGCCACTTCACATGGCCAAATTATTTTATAGACTTGATTTTTTTTTTTTTTTTTTGAGATAGGGTTTCACTCTGTCCCCCAGGCTGGAGTGCAGTGGCAAGATCTTGGCTCACTGCAACCTCCACCTCCCGGGCTCAAGGGATCCTCCCACCTCAGCCTCCCGAGTAGCTGGGACTACAGGCGTGGCCACCACACCCAGCTAATTTTTTGTATTTTTGGTGGATACAGGGTTTCACTCTGTTGCCCAGGCTGGTCTGGAACTCCTGGGCTCAAGTGATCTGCCCACCTTGGCCTCTGGAAGTGCTGGGATTACAGGCGTGAGCCACCACTGCGCCAGGCCTGTAGACTTGATTTTTGATGCTCTTCCCCCTCTTCCAGGAAGGCAAGGGTGGCAATATTCCATTTCTCTGTTTAAAGAGTCCATGATATGAAGCAGTATACCAAGAAACCAACAGGGTGTAATCATTCATTCATTCTTCACCTTCAGCTAGGAGAGTAAATAAAAACATTTTCAGCATGTTAACATGGATTTACTATAAAGAAATCTGGGGCCGGGCGTGGTGGCTCACGCCTGTAATCCCAGCACTTTGGGAGGCCCAGGCAGGCGGATCACAAGGTCAAGAGATCGAGACCATCCTGGCCAACATGGTGAAACCCTGTCTCTATTAAAAATATAAAAATTAGCTGGGCGTGGTGGCGGGTGCCTGTAGTCCCAGCTACTCGGGAGGCTGAGGCAGGAGCATCACTTGAACCTGGGAGGTGGAGGTTGCAGTGAGCCGAGATCACACCATTGCACTCCAGCCTGGGCGACAGAGTGAGACGCTGTCTCAAAAAAAAAAAAAAAAAAAAAAAAAAATCTGGGTTATTTTTGAGTTAATGGAAAAGTTTAAATGTACAAATAAAATAACACTATGTTCAACTTAACCTTCGCCCAGGGTTATGAATGACAACAGTACTTGGTTCATTTGGAATTTAGAAGATAAGGAACTAGGTTATGTGACCACTGTGGAGTTTAGAAGATAAGGGATTAGGTTAAAGTTCCAACAGTAAGTTGAAAAAGCAGCAGTGGCATAAGAATGTCCTAAAGGAATATTAGGCCACTTCCATGTGATGGCCATTGATTTTGGTAGGGAATGATAGGGGGCAAGGCAATGGAGACAATACCATGGCATACATTTGGCAGAATCTCTGACATGGATTTTTTTTTTTTCAGGTTGCATGTCTGGTGGGTATAAGGAGAAAAGACTAGAAAATATGTTTTTGGGAGAAATGGGATAACCACTTCAAACAAAGAAACATCCATGCATACACACACACATAAAAACCAACACTTGCTCTTTTCTCTTCTCTGACCTTTTACCCTCAACTATCTTAAACTCAGTTGTATTTTAAGGATAGAGTCCATTTTAATTGAAGAAATTCAGGGCCATCTGGCATCTGATTTTATTCACTTATACTTCAGTTGGTCAGCATTTAAAGATTACTGTTTGTTGAAAAACATAAATTCATGGTTTTTCAGTATAGATTATATGTCAATCCATATATAACTAAGTTATTGTTTTCATGCCTTTCCTGTTTGGTGTTTTTTTTTTTTTTCCTTACCATTCTACCTGTTGGTATGTGCAGAAGGTATGTCAGGTGTGGACTGTCTATACCATAGGTTTGGTTCACTAGGGAATTGTGTTACTGGTTCAGGTGGAATGTAATTCTGCTTTAAGTTCAAGAATATTAGAACTTGAATAATTTAGCAAAGTTATTCAAGAATACAACTTTGTTTTGTTCTCATTCCATGTTCTAAGTCCTTGGCTCTTCTACTTTTCCTCATCTCATTTTTCTTCTTCTCGAATCTTGCCTTGGTTATGTGCCTGACTACACTGCTACTGCTTAGTCTCCATTTTTTCTATGTTCTATTTCAGTGTATGGGTTGAATACTTCTCTCTCTATAATAGAATCCTCTGTTTTAGGACCTAGTTCTTTTATTTAGAGCCACTGAACCAATTGCACTGTTCACCTTCCAAGAGTATACTTGATAAGAAACAGATTGCATGTTTTTCCTTTGTGCGCTTTTGTTATTTTGTTTTTAGGAGCAGTTTATTTTATACGATATTTGTTAAAATATCCTAAACTAAGTAACAGATCTGAGAAGTGGATAATCTTTTACCTGGGGATACCATGCTCTCAAGAGGCAAGTTTTTGGATTCTTTCCTGGGAATTGATTAATTCAGACGCACTTCCATAAAAGAAATAGAATTTTTGAGAACACAATTTCATCCTGCCCTCTATTTCCAGAATTCTGGATTCAAACTTTGCCAAATATATCTTAAAGATATTTTGAAGACATATAGGTGATGCTCTGTAATGTTGATCTGAATTGAGCCCTATGAAGTAACCCTTAACAGAAGAATAAATAAGGGCTAAACATGTCTTGGTTCTTTATTTTAAAAAAACAGACTTAAAAGAATGTTCTTTTAATCTTGACTGTGTTCTAATTTTAACTGCATCTAAAATAGTTAATTGGCCATCACTCCAAGTTTATCATGATAGAAGTAGACAGATATAAAACAATTTAAGGTAGGGAATTCTTTAATTAGCTGCTTAAGTTATTGACAGCCTGAAAATTCACCAACAGTTTATCCCCGAAGAGGGCAGAGCTGTTGTACTCTGTAGGCTGTATGTAGTGTTGACTGCGAGCATCCCAGGAGAAATCAGGGAATGGGTAATTTTGGACATGCAGAAACACCTCTTGTGAAGAGAGAGAAAAAAAGGAGGGGGTGTCAGTGGTGGGTTCAAGGTGTATGTACCTGCGGAATTGCTAGTCAAGCAGCGTAAAAACTGTTTTATGCTTTTTTTTTTTTTTTTTAAAAGACAGAGTCTCCCTCTGTCACCCAGGCTGGAGTTCAGTGGCATGAACATGGCTCACTGGTGCCTTGACCTCCCAAGATCAAGTCATCCTCCCATCTCAGTCTCCTAGCTGGGACTATTGGTGCATGCCACCATACCTGGCTGATTGTTTTATTTTTTGTAAAGACAAGATCTCACCTTTTTTTTCTTTTTTCTTTCTTTCCTTTTTTTTTTTTTTTTTTTTTTTTTTTGAGATGGAGTCTTGCTGTGTTGCCCGGGCTGGAGTGCAGTGGCGTGATCTCAGCCCACTGCAACCTCCACCTCCCAGGTTCAAGCTATTCTCCTTCCTCAGCCTCCTGAGTAGCTAGGACTACAAGGTGTGTGCCACCAAGCCCAGCTAATTTTTGTATTTTTAGTAGAGACGGGGTTTCTCCATGTTAGTCAGGCTGGTCTTGAACTCCTAAGCTCAAGTGATCTGCCCTCCTCAGCCTCCCAAAATGCTAGTGTTACAAGTGTGAGCCACCGTACCTGGCCAGGATCTCACCATTTTGCCCATGCTGGTCTGAAATTCCTGAGCTCAAGCAATCCTCCCGCCTTGGCCTCGCAAAGTGCTGGGATTAGAAGGATGAGACACTGCGCAGGGTCTATTTTATTTTTTGTACTTTAAAGGAATAAAGGAAAAATAGTTTTTAAGAGATCTATCATTTGAATACATTCAATCTTCTGAAGTAGGATTTTTTCCCCCTATTAGATAAAGCCTCTTGATTTCCAGGGCTTCAGAATTTGTGTTGTTCATATGTGCGTATTTGTTTCTTTTTGGCATTAATGCTTTATTTATTTATTTATTTATTTTTAAGAGATAGGATCTCACTCTGTCATCCAGGCTGGAGTGCAGTGGCACGATCATAGTTCACTGTAACCTTGAACTCCTGGACTCAATAATACTTTATTATTTCTTTTCGAAACAGGGTCTCACTGTGTCACCCAGGCTGGAGTACAGTGGCTCAATCTCAGCTTACTGCAACCTCCACCTCCTGGGTTCAAGCGATTCTCCTGCCTCAGCCTCCTGAGTAGCTGGGATTACAGGCATGCACCATCGTGCCCAGCTGATTTTTGTATATTTTGTAGAGATGGGGTTTCACCATGTTGCTGAGGCTGATCTTGAACTCTTGGACTCAAGTGATCTGCCTGCCTTGGCCTCCCAAAGTGCTGGGATTACAGGCATGAGCCACCGTGGCTGGCGTGCTTTATTCTTTAAAGGAAATTAAACTACAGAAATAGAATGACAGATATGTAACTTGTTGAATGGGTTTACAATCTAATTATTTGGAAAAGCAGATATTTGAGTGTTAACTTTCAACGTGTAGTTTAATACTTGAGTAGCACATAATAAGTTTTCCCTCCGTTTTACAGATTAGCTTAGTAAATTGAAAGGAACTTGTGAATCAGTCACATGATTTAATGCAAAACTCTCCTTAGGAATAAATTAGGCTAGCTTTGTTTATGTTCAAGAATCATAATCCATAGTTCTGTATCATTTATATTCTCCCTTCCCTCATTACATACTATTGCCCTTTCTCTCTCTTCCTTATCTCCACTTTTTATTCCTTTTTACATTGCTAATAAAGAGAAGACAAGTATCAGAATCTCTGGGCCTGGATTTGTGGATTTTTAACAGACTCTTCAGGTGATTCAGATGTAAACCAATGTTTGAGAGCCACTGATATCTGGGAAAGGATACTACTGGAAAGACTCTGAAGAAAGAAAAATCATGGAAAATGATTGATTGATTTAAGGGATGAAGGAGGAAACTAAGTCAAACTTTTCAAGCCTGACTTTTTTATAAAGATTATCATTTTTAAAAATTTGAAAGGGAGGGCAAGACATGGTGGCTCATGCCTGTAATCCCAGCACTTTGGGAGGCAAAGGCAGGAGGATCGCTTGAGCCCAGGAGTTCCAGACCAGCCTGGGAATGTGGCAAGACCTTGTTTCTACAAAAAGTAAAATAAACAGTGCTTGGTGATGTGCACCTATAGTTCCAGCTAGTCAGGAGGCTGAGGTGGGAGGATTGCTTGAGCCTGGAAGTTTGAGGCTAGAGTGAGCCAAGATCACATCACTGCACTGCAACCTGGGCAACAGAGTGAGACCCGGTTGCTAGATAGATAGATAGATAGATAGATAGATAGATAGATAGATAGCAAAGAGCGTTACTTTTTTTTTTATCTTGTTATATGTTCCACACCCATTTCTTTTATTTTTTGGTGGAGAGCTTATTTTTATGCCTATTATTAATGTTACAAAATTGTTTGAAAGACTGAATGGAAAACTTTTAGGAAGTAGCTTACACGTTGGAAAAATCTGGGTCAGGCAAATAAAGCGAAAGGTAAGATGGCCAAATCATGTATAAAAGGCTTTTAATGTTGAATTTTTGATTTAACATTTGATTTAATGTTAGAATTTGGGCACTTTATCTTTTATGACTATCGCACTGAGAAAACAAAGGTTTATTTGATTCTTCTTTCAGCATTATATGTCTCATATTCTTGATTCTGAACTTGTTTTTACCAAACCTAAACTTCTGTTGTGTTAAAAATGGCTGATAGGTGAAGAGTAGCATATTTTATGACCTTTGGTTTACTATGTCTGGTGATGTAATGCAAAATTAGTAAATGTGCTCTTCCTCTTTTATGTAGGACCAGTGGCTGTAGGACAATTTCACCGGTCATTTCGTCGAGATAGTTTGTCTCCTTACTCCTGTGTATCAACTCCATCCCACGACCACAGTACTTACCCTCTGAAAGGTTTAGATCGGACCCCAGTTCCTCATAGAATATGGCAGAACTCCCTTGGAATGCATCCTGGACAAGTGGAGACATCTCCCACATTTTCAGATAAAGGGGTTCCGTTTCCTGTACTCCAGAGGTTTCCAACTGAGGTTACCTATACACTGCAGCCCAGCACCACATCTGTACATGTTCAACAAGGTCCTCAAACAATGGTCAGCTCCTCCCAAAAATACAGTAACTACACACCCTCAGCACAGTACTCGCAAGCCTACTATCCAACAGGTATGACAAATTCAGGTTCATGGCCTTCTATTTAAGGTTGTTTATAATGAGCATATATATATATTTTAAATGCATTTTAATGTCTATGTGCTTTAACACAAACAGTAGGAATGTACACCTAAGAAATGGCAAAGATTTCTTAGCAGGAGATATTTTTAAACAATATACAAAATTTCATTGTGTTTTTAAGGATTGTGAAAATTTTGTTGATGTATAAAGGTGTGTATTGTTAGTGAAACTTGTATATTCAAAATATGTCCTAGTTATGAAATTAAGACTTAGTACCCCAAGGCCAGATGTGGTGGCCCACACCTGTAATCCCAGCACTTTGGGAGGCTGAGGCGGGTGCATCATTTCAGGTCAGGAGTTCGAGACCAGCCTAGCCAACATGGTGAAACCCCAATTCTACTAAAAATACAGAAATTAGCCAGGCACGGTGGCAGGCGCCTGTAATCCCAGCTACTCAGGAGGCTGAGGCAAGAAAATTGCTTGAACCTCGGAGGCAGAGGTTGCAGTAAGCAGAGATCACTCCACAGCATTCCATCCTGGACGACAGAGTGAGACTGTCTCAAAAACAAAAAGCAAAAAACCTTAGTACCCCAGAACCTTATTTTAACTCTGTACTTGGTGCTGTAGTTTTTTTTTAATATGTTTATTATATATTTAATATGGTTTAATCTTAAGGTGAGATTACCTCATAATGAAATCATTTAGTATCTCAGTAATGATATTTAATGAAAAAGGATACTCTCTGAACATTGAATTCTTTAGTAAAAACCTGGTGAACAGTGGGATCTCCGCAGTGTTATTCCTAGGCAGCTAAGAACTGGGGAGTAGCAGAGAGAAGGAGAAACCTGACAATGACAACTGACCTGGAACTCAAGCAAGGGCATTGAGAACACGCTGGTAGATCCCAAGCCACTAATTGGGAACGCTTATGATAGTTATCATCTGTTTTTTGCTTCTTGGGGAAAAAAAAAAGTTGTGTTTTCTTCTTTTCTTTTCTTCTCTTTTTTTTTTTTTTTTTTGGAGATGGAGTTTCACTCTTGTTGCCCAGGCTGGAGTGCAGTGGCGTGATCTTGGCTCACTGCAACCTCCGCCTCCTGGGTTCAAGCAATTCTCCTGCCTCAGCCTCCTGAGTAGCTGGGATTACAGATGTCCATCACCACACCCGGCTAATTTTTTGTATTTTTAGTAGAGACAGGGTTTCACCATGTGGGACAGGCTGGTCTCGAACTCCTGACCTCAGGTGATCCACCCACCTTGGGCTCCCAAAGTGCTGGGATTACGGGAGTGAGCCACCCTGCCTGGCCATTTTTTTTTCTTTTTTAATAGAAAACTTTTTGCAATATAATCTTACCATTTCACTCAAATGTATTTTCTTTTCTTTTCTTTTCTTTTCTTTTTTTTTTTTTTTGAGATGGAGTCTCGCTCTGTTGCCAGGCTGGAATGCAGTAGTGCAATCTCGGCTCACTGCAACCTCCACCTCCTTGGTTCCAGTGATTCTCCTGCCTCAGCCTCCCGAGTAGCTGGGACTACAGGCGCCTGCCACCAACTCTCGGCTAATTGTGTGTGTGTGTATGTGTGTGTGTATATATATATATATATATATTTATTTATTTTAGTAGAGACAGGGTTTCACCATGTTGGCCAAGCTGGTCTCAAACTCCTGACCTCGTGATCCACCCACCTCGGCCTCCCAAAGTGCTGGGATTACAGGCGTGAGCCACTGTGCCTGGCCTCAAATGTATTTTCAATTTTGCAAAAACACAACAGCAGTGGCATGTATTTCATCATGTGGTATGCTTTTTACACAATGATGAAATGAGGCAATAGAAATAAGACAAGGGTCAAAGCTTTCAGAAAAGACCAGAAAGAGAAGAAAGGGGGCATTCCAGAAAAGACCAGAAAGAGAAGAAAGGGGGCATTCCTTTGCCCTGTGAATTAATAATCTAGGATCTTTAATTTTTTCAGTTATGTAAATCTGGAAGCAATTTCTGGAGGTCTTTTGTTAGACCATTTCTCCCAGGCGGCACTAAAGGGAAAGCTAAAATATTTTTTTATTTTAAATATTAAAAAAAAAAGATATTTACTTAAAGTAGAAGAAATGTAAATTAGAAAAGGGAATGGAGTGGCCGGGCACGGTGGCTCATGCCTATAATCCCAACACTTTGGGAGGCCGAGGCGGGCAGATCACGAGGTCAGGAGATCGAGACCATCCTGGCTAACACGGTGAAACCCTGTCTCTACTAAAAATACAAAAAAATTAGCTGGGTGTGGTGACGGGCACCTGTAGTCCCAGCTACTGGGGAGGCTGAGGCAGGAGAATGGCGTGAACCCAGGAAGCGGAACTTGCAGTGAGCCGAGATCGCGCCACTGCACTCCAGCCTGGGCGACAGAGCGAGACTCCGTCTCAAAAAAAAAAAAAAAGGGGAATGGAGTAATTTGTTGCCATTTAAAAATTATAAATCTGGGCCTGGCATGGTGGCTCACACCTGTAATCCCAGCGCTTTGGGAGGATGAGGCGGGCGATTCATGAGGTCAGGAGTTCGAGACCAGCCTGGTTAACATAGTGAAACCCCGTCTCTACCAAAAAAATACAAAAATTAGCCAGGCATGGTGGCGGGTGCCTGTAATCCCAGCTACTCGGGAGGATGAGGCAGGAGAATCACTTGAATCTGGGAGGCGGAGGTTGTGGTGAGCCAAGATCACGCCATTGCACTCCAGCCTGGGTGACAGAGCAGGACTCCATCTCAAAAAAAAAAAAAAAAAAAAAGTATATATATATATCCCTAGCCCATACCTGTCGTCAGGCCGCGAGGGCAGCGCTGGGAGGAGGTGGCTGGACCCAGCAAGCGCCCGCGCGTGTGCCGTGAGGGGGAAGCTGCCTGCCTGTTCCCTTAGCCTTCCCTTCCCCCGCCCCCGTCTCCCAACCGTGCCACATGGGCGTCCGCTGCCAAAATCAGTAAAAAGGAGCTCAACTCCAACCACTACAGGGCCGACGAGACCTCAGGAAAAAAAAAACAGCAAGAAGCAATTGAACACATTGATGAAATCCAAAATGAAATAGACAGACTTAATGAACAAGCCAGTGAGGAGATTTTGAAAGTAGAACAGAAATATAACAAACTCCGCCAACCATTTTTTTCAGAAGAGATCAGAATTGATCGCCAAAATCCCACATTTTTGGATAACAACATTTGTCAACCATCCACAAGTGTCTGCACTGCTTGGGGAGGAGGACGAAGAGGCACTGCATTATTTGACCAGAGTTGAAGTGACAGAATTCGAAGATATTAAATCAGGTTACAGAATAGATTTTTATTTTGATCAAAATCCTTACCTTGAAAATAAAGTTCTGTCCAAAGAATTTCATCTGAATAAGAGTGGTGATCCATCTTCAAAGTCCACTGAAATCAAATGGAAATCTGGAATGGATTTGACAAAGCGTTCAAGTTAAACTCAGAATAAAGCCGGCAGGAAGAGGCAGCATGAGGAACCAGGGAGCTTCTTTACCTGATTTACTGACCATTCTGATGCAGGTACTGATGAGTTAGGAGAGGTCATCAAAGATGGTATTTGGCCAAACCCATTACAGTACCACTTGGTTCCTGATATGGATGATGAAGAAGGAGAAGAAGATGATGATGATGAAGAGAAGGAAGGATTAGAAGATATTGATTAGAAGGAAATGAGGAAGATGAAGAAGATGAAGATGATGATGAAGGGGAGGAAGGAGAGAAGGATGAAGGAGAAGATGACTAATAGAACACTGATGGATTCTGACCTTCCTTTTTAAAAATTTTCTCCAGTCCTTGGGAGCAAGTTGCAGGTTTTTTTGGTTTTGTTTTTTTTGTTTGTTTTCCTCTTGTGCTCAGTCACCCTGTTCTTGAGGTCTCTTTTCTCTACACCATGATTCTCAACTTATTTGGGGGGAAATACCTTGAGCAGAATACAAAGGGAAAAGAGTCTCTACCCCTTTCTGTTCGAAATTCATTTTTATCCCTTCTTGTCTGAACAAAAACTGTATGGAATCAACACTACGAGCTCTGTGGAAAAAAAGAAAAACTTCCTCCCTTCTCTCTGCTGGAAGCTGGAGGATGTGAGGCCCCTGAGTAGCAGTGCCCAGAATTCTAGCTTTTCTCCTCCTTTCTCTGAATGAAAACATTTAGCATTTACCAACATGTATCTGTCTACTTTCTCTTGTTAAAAAACAAAACAAAACAAAATCTTAGAAAATGTGTTTATAGAAGGTCACCAAAGGGTGGGTTTGAGATGTTTGGGGGGGTTAAGTGGGCATTTTGACAACATGGCTTCTCTTTTTGCATGTTTAATTGTGATATTTGACAGATATCCTTTGCAATTTGACACTTTTTAAAATAAATTCTCTGCTAATGATGACTTGAGCCCTGCCACTCAATGGGAGAATCTGCAGAGCCTGTAGGATCTTATTTGGAATTGACATTCTCTATTGTAATTTTTATCCTGTTTATTTTTAAATTTTCTTTTTGTTTCACTGGAAAGGAAAGATGATGCTCAGTTTTAAAGGTTAAAAGTGGACAAGCTGCTTTGTTACGATAAAACTAAATGTGTACACACAAAACAAAATTATAAATCTGGTGACTGTTCTATTTAATAGTACTCACTATTTTCTAGCTGTTAATATCCAACCATATACTTGTATCGTTGGCTCATTGTACCTAAATATAGCAGTGAAAGGGATTATTTTCCCAAAATGTTTTAAGTTTAATGATATTAAAATCATCTAGATTGAGTTTTATAGATTTTCAGAGCTGTTACTCTTTTGGTGAATGGCGTTGAAAAGAAAAGGAGGGAATTACATGAAGTAAGGATGATTTTGGACTTTTAATCATTTTGCCTATTAGAAATTAAAAAAAAATTTTTTTTACCATGTTACATAGAAAATGGTTAAGGCCTAATTTTTTCCCCCAGATTTGCCCAGCTACTTCTTTGAAGAACCAAAATATATGCACAATCTTTGAAAACAAGATGGCCAGGTATAGTGGCTTACACCTGTAATCCCAGCAATTTGGGAGGCTGAGGTGGAGGATTGCTTGAGCCTAGGAGTTTGAGGCTGCAGTAAGCCATGATTGTGCCACTGCATTCCAGCCTGAAAATGTATTCCAAGTTTCAAGCAATCCTCATGGAAACTACTGGCTCTAAATTTTATGAAAAGTACTCATATATTATTCACTAAAACCACTACAAATGTTATAGTTAATATTTATTATAGAACTGCTGTTTGTTAAAATTATTGTTAAATTTGGACATGCTGTTTTAAAAATATTTTATTTTAGCTTGATGTAAATTATAAATTGGGAGTTGTCTCCAAGTGTTTAAGGTAAGAATTAGGAAGGAGGCATTAAAAAAAGAACAAGTAAGTGCTGCTGATGTTTTTATAGTATACAGTATATAGAGAATTTTGTGTTAACTGAATTTTTGTTTTGTCTTCTTTAATAGGGATGATTGAAATGACTATAAAGTTTCTGAGATTATGAGAATAAGAAATCTCATGATGACTTCTAGTACATAATGTGGGCAAAACTACTTTGAGCATTCTGAAGTACTTTGTAAATGAAAAATTTTATTGTTAATACAAAAAACTTGCAATGGAAAAGAAAGTGCCATAAAAATACCCTAGAAATACTTAATTCCTCCAAGTTATGGATGAAGGAAATAAAAAGTAGTGAGCAATTTAACCAATATTTAGTGAGTACTTATTTATGAAGAGTATTACAAATGACTTTACCAAAATTAAATAGAGTATCATTCTCACGAGGCGGGTGGATCACTTAAGGCCAGGAGTTCCAGACCAGCCTGGCCAACATGGTGAAACACAGTCTCTACTAAAAATAGAAAAATTAGCTGGGTGTGGTGGCAGCACCTGTAGTCCCAGCTACTTGGGGGCTGAGGTGGGAAGATTGCTTGAGCTCAGGAGGTTGAGGCTGCAGTGATCCGTGATTGTGCCATTGCGAGCAAGACCTTGTCTCAAAAAAAAAAAATTGTGTTATAAAAATAAACTTGGATCTGGTCTTCAAATAGTATAACCAGTAAATTTTGAATTTTATAATATTTCATAAATTGTTAATTTCTTTAGTAAAGTCAAACATTGAAACTAAAAAGTTGCCATCAGACTAACTCATAAAATGACTCATTGGAATCATTTTTTTTCTTTCTCACGTTAGAAGCAGACTGGAATCATTTTTTATATTTGTTGTTTTTCCCTTGAAGTGTCAGTTTTCCATTCTTACCACTTCTTCAAAGGCAAGATTTTGTAGATCCAGCATTAGTTGACTCTTTTTATTCTTGCTTTATCTAGAATTCAATTTTTCCTCTGATGTTATTTTTGGTCTGCAACTGTAATTTAATTTTCCTCTTTTATGAAAAACTTCATTTTAAACCTTTTAATTTTACTTATTCTCCACTATATATTTGAACATACTTAAGAATATTCATCTTTATATATAGAATCCTATATTGAGAACTGTTTTTCTTTAATGCTGAATAGACTCAAAATCAACTTTGCCTTTTTTTCAAAGTTTTAAACTCAAGGCAATGGTTAGTAAATTTGTAGCTGCCCTTCATCTCTTTTTTTATTAACACATACTTATATAGTAATCACTATGACCAGGCAGTGTTCTTAGTACTCTTTAAATATTCACTCATTTAATCCTTATAATACTTTTATAAAATAGTGTAATTATCCTCATTTTAAAGATGAGGAAACTGAGGCACAGCTAGGAAGCTGTGGGCTTGGAAACAAATCCAGACAATCTGACTCAAGAGTCTGTTCTTTTGGCCACTGTGCTCGCCTGCCCCCCTGCCTGTCTGCCTGCCTCTCATGAAGAGGGTCTTTTGTTTTTTGCTTTGTTTTTTTGAGATAATTTTTTTCTGGTATATCTCTTCCTCAGAGTTAGTTCTTCCCAGATAGGGTGGACAACAGCAATTGGTAGGGGAATCTACCTTTTTATGCTGCTGGTGGCATTGGGATTGCTCTGGGTTATTGACTCACCAGAGTAGAGAGAATGTACTCCAATTGCTAGAGTGGGAGGTTCAGCCTGGGGGCTCTGGGGAGTGGGGCTGCCTCTAATTCATTTCTGTATCCCCCTACACCTAGCATAGTGCTTGCTGTAATGGGCCCTAAGTAAATAATTTATTGAATGGAATGAACTAGTTCTAGTCCCAGGTTTGCAGTTAATCATTGGATATGAACTTCAGTGGATTATATCATGTTATGTGGCCTCATTTCCCTTTCTATAAAGTGGCCTTAATAGTTTGAGTGAGGAATTAAATAAATTAATATATGTGAATAGGCTTTGTAAAATTTAAACACTATTTACATGTAAAGGATCAAGTGTTTTAAAAGCTGTGTTTATTTTTATTTTTATTATTTTTTAAGAGACAAGGTCTCACTTTCTCACCAGACTGGAGTGCAGTGGCATGATCATAGCTCACTGCAGCCTGAACTCCTGGTCTCAAGCTATCCTCCCACTTCAGCTTCCCAGGTAGCTAGGACTACAGGCACACACCACCATGCCCAGCTAATTAAAACACTTTTTTTGGGGGGGGTACAGCTAGGGTCTTGCTTTGTTGTCCAGACTGGTCTGAAGCTCTTGGCCTCAAGTGATCCCCTGCTTAGCCTCCTGAGTTGCTGGGATTACAGGCATGAGCTATTGTACCTGTCCAACAGCTGTTTTTTTTAAATGGTCCTAGAAGGCTGGGCACAGTGGCTCACGTCTGTACTTCCAGCACTTTGGGAAGCCAAGGCAGGTGGATCACTTGAGGTCAGGAGTTTGAGACCAGCCTGGCCAACATGGTGAAACCCCATCTCTACTAAAAATCCAAAAAAAATTAGCCAGGCATGGTGGCGCACACCTGTAGTCCCAGCTACTTGGGAGGCTGAGGCAGGACAATCACTTGAACCCGGGAGGCCGAGGCTGCAGTGAGCTGAGATCGCGCCACTGCACTCCCGCCTCGGCAACAGATCAAGACCCTGTCTCAAAAAAGTAAATAAGCCTAGATATTAACACTTTAAAGGCTAAATAACAGAATTTATAAGAATATATGCTTTCCCCCAAGGTACACGTGATATTTTTAATTTTTATTAGAAAATATATATCTGGCCAGGCATGGTGGCTCATGCCTGTAGCCCAGCACCTTCAGAGGCTGAGAGGCAAGAGGATTGCTTGAAGCCAGGAGTTTGAGACCAGCCTGGGCAACAGAGCAAGATTGTGTCTCAAAAAAAAAAAAGAAAGAAAAGGAAAGAAAAAGAAAAAGAAAATATCCATTTTGGCATGCAGTTCTAGGTTAAAAAATACGTATGTGTGTATCATTTAAGATTTTTCTGAATTGGCCCTTGGGCAAAAAAAGTTACTGATTATTGTTTTAAAGTACATTTAAATTCTATAGGTGTGATCTTTATGCTTCTAATCCTACATCAATGTACATAAATATAGAATATAGAATTATAAGAGCTTTTTGGTGCTGTTACTCTTGTTCTCAGGCAGTCTGTATTGCTTCTCTGAAAATACTTGATTTTGTGCTTATGGAAAAGAGGCACTTAGCACCAGGAAGCTCTCTCTCTCCTCTGCCAGGAGAAACTAAGCAAAAATACAATCATATTTACCTTTTTAAAAAATTGTGAAAAAAATATGCATAACATAAAACTTAACCACTTTAACTATTTTTCAGGGTACTGTTTTGCAACATTAAGTACATTCACCATCACCACTGTCTATCTCCAGAACTTTTTCATCTTCCCCAACCGAAACTCTGTACCTGCTAACCACTAACTCCCTATTAGAGAATGCCAACCTGTCCCTGAGGTGGAGAGGTTGTCCCTAGCAACCACCATTCTATTTTCTGTCTCTATGAATTTGACTATTCTAAATATCTCATATAAGTGGAATAATATATTTAATATATAAATTTACCATCTTTTTTTTTGAGACGGAGTCTCACTCTGTCACCCAGGCTGGAGTGCAGTAGTGCGATCTTGGCTGACTGCAACCTCTGCCTCCCGGATTCAAGTGATTCTCCTGCCTCAGCCTTCCGAGTAGCTGGGGCTACAGGCGTGCACCACCACACCCGGCTAATTTATGTATTTTTAGTAGTGACGGGGTTTCACCATGTTGGTAAGGCTGGTCTCGAACTCCTGACCTCGTGATCCGCCTGCCTTGGCCTCCCAAAGTGCTGGGATTACAGATGTGAGCCACTGCGCCCATCCAAGTTTACCATCTTAACTATTTTTAAATATACAATCCATTGACACTACTTATATTCACAATATTGTGCAACCCTCACCATTGTTTCCAAAACTTTTCATCACCCAAATTAAACTTGGTACCCATTAAGCAATAGTTTCCCCCAACCCCTGGTAATCTCTAATTTATTTTTTGTTTTTATGAATTTGACTTTTCTAGGAACCTTACATGAGGAATCGTATAATATTTGTCCTTTCATGACTGGCTTATTTCACTTAATGTCTTTAAGATTCATCTATATTGTAGTATGTGTCAGAATTTTCTTCCTTTTAAAGGCTGGATAATACTCCATTGTATATGTGTAACACATTTTGTTCATCCACTCATCTGTTGATGGATACTGAGTTGCTTCCATCTTTTGGCTGTTGTAAATTTTGCTGTGTTGAACATGGGTGTACAGATACCTTTTCAAATGCCTGCTTTCACTTTGGGGTATAAACTCAGAAGACCTTTTCTTTACCTCACCATAAATGAGGAGATACTGGGGTTCTAGTTGCCATAGGAACTTATCTTGAAATTAAATATACTATTATAATGCTTTTTCTTTTGAGCATTTATATTATTGGGTATTTTCTCACTGTTGACATTATACTATTCTGGAGTAGATTCAAATTCTAAGTATTTTAATTCTATATTTGAATCACTTCCATAGGATAAAGTATATTAACTTGTTTGCCTCACCTATAGCGGGAGCAATAATTTTTAGTAACTCTGGCTTAACATTTTTTTATTACTTAGACATTTTTTGAAAATGTCATTAATGCCTATATTTATATCTGAAATGGAATTCTTTTAATTATTTTCAGTTTTTCTTTCTACATGGAATTTAATGCCTCAACTGAACACTGCCTTCAGGAAGACACTGAAAGTTCTTTGTGCAGATGAATGTATCTTAGGACATAGTGATAAACTAAGTTTTATAAATGTCAGTGCTTTCATAATGCACAGTTGATTATTTTTTCATATACTAGGCACATAGTCAAATTTCTATGCCTAGGTTTTCATATTCAGTAAACTTACTAATACTTTGTTCTATTTTGTTGACTATACAAAATAGGACTACAGTGGTAAGGAATAGCCATTGAGGAATCTTTTTGGAGTATAATCTATTCAAATCCTCATTTTCTTCATACAGGTACTGTTTTACTTTCCATTTGTTACTGGATACTTTAAAGAACATTTACTTTTTCGCTGTTTCCTGAGATACTAACTCAGCTATCAAGCTATCAAAAATATATTAACATATTCTCTGTTATATATTGTAGTTTATTTCTCTGAGAAATTTATTTTAAAGTACATTTTTACACCTATTCAAAATGTGTAACCAATGGAGTCAGAAACTTCCGAACAATAAAGCTAATCCTTTTATTGATTTATTTGTAATGAAACACAGCTTTTTGGTACCCCGATGGAATGGACCTGCAGCTCCTAAGTCTTTCTCTACTTCTGGGTGGCTAGATTTTCCTTAGCTGCTATAACTCTAGGGGAAAAAGCTTTTTTTTTTTTTTTTCCCTTCCCGAGTTTTGGCAAGCTCTGCAGATCCTGCTTGGTGTTTAGCTATTTGGATTCAATTTATTTCCTAGGATATTTGTGCTGTCAAATACTTTGGGAAATCAAATTCAAATCCAAAACATTTAAAATATATATTTGAATAACCTTCAAAGGATCAAATCTAAGAACTGTTCAGCTAACCTGTATTGGAAATGATAACAGCTTGAATTTTATGAGGCAATCTTAGTAATATATGGCCTTTTAAAGTCACCAAAATTGTTAAAAAAAGTCATCCAAAAAATAACCTTTATATTTATGTCTGAACTATAATTTTGCCCATTATTTCAAGTTTTCTTTCTGTGTGCAAAATTTAATGGTTAAATTGCTCATGATACAAAGAGAAAATATTTATTTCTAGTATATCTTCATGAACTTCTGATGTTTCAAGAATCAATAGTCATGGAGAAATAGGGAAGCATTTCGGCTATTTTTTAAAAATTCTTAGGTCAATTTACCTTTAAAGATTAAATAATGAGATTAGCACACTCAAAATATGAAAAATGTGGACATAAAAAGGGAGAGTTGCCACCTTATTGATAAAGACACCTTTAAAGATATTCGGCAAGTAGAATTCTAGTAAAACTACAAATGTTACATTTCAGGAACAGGGTTTAGCTTAGGGAATTATTGTGAGATATATATATATGTAAATTTTTTTTGTACATAGAGTCTTACTCTGTCACCCAGGCTGGAGTGCAGTGGCACAATCATGGCTCACTGCAGCCTCTACCTCCTGGGCTCAAGTGATCCTCCCACCTGAGCCTCCTGAGTAGCTGGGACTACAAACATGTGCCGCCAAGCCTGGCTGTTTTTTGTATTTTTTGTAGAGACGGGGTTTCACCGTGTTGCCTAGGCTGGTCTCAAACTCCTGGGCTGAAGGGATTCACCTGCCTCAGCCTCTCAAAGTGCCGGGACTACAGGAGTGAGCCACCATGCCTCGCTGTATTGTGGTATATTAAAGAGCGTGTGCTTTGGAGTTTAATTACTGACTCTGTCACTTCCAGCTTTGTGACTTTTGGCAAATTACTTAATATCACTGAGCTTTAGTTTACTTGTTTTGTAAAGGCAATGTATGTAAAGCATTTACTACTGTGCCTGGAATAGGGTGGGTGTTCAATGTACATCATCCTCTGTTTAAACCACAGTTGTGATATTAATAACTGATTCTCACTTATACTGGAGAGTCTCTACAAAAAAGCAGACTCAACCTATTATTAAGACTGCATCTGTAAGTAACTTTGCTAGTACCAAGAGTTCAATCTTTTCACAGTGTCCTGACTATAAAGGGAAAGTTTTGAAAATGTGTTTCTTCAGTTAAAATAATAGCAGCTAACACTTACTGTTTGCTTACTGTGTACCAGTACTCTTCTAAGTTCTTTATGGATATTAGCTCATTTATATCACAACAACCACCATATTTGGTAGGTTCTATATTCTGTTATTATCTCTATTTTAATAGGATGCAGAAACTGAGGTACACAGAGATTAACCATGCTCAAATTTACACTGGGCTGTAAAGCCAGGCTGGTGGAGCTGGGCTCCAAAACCAGGCAGTCTGGCTCTGTGATCTGCATTCCTGACCACTTGCCTAAATTATTAAAACATTTTTGTGTACATTTCTACTGGATGCATTGTTTAATGGTGGAACATTTGGAGAATACTTCATAGTTATTTTACTCTTTTAAAACACTCCACCCTCCAAATAGTTGTTACTGTTGAAATGATTGAAATACTTATTTTGGAATTTCAATATATTCCTCTATTTTCAATAAAATGAAATTACTTTCAATAAGAATATATGTTTGGTTAGAAAGGTAACAAAATGCTTAGGTGTTAAAGAAATGATTTATAAAAATAGACATTAGACATGACCCTTTTAAAGACCTTTAAAATTATTTTGTTACTGTGTGTGTTGTTTTCAATAAATAACACCACCTAATTGGACTAAATATTTTGTTAGACATACAAAAGAAGTTCTTCAAATTTGGATTTCTTTCCATGTTGAAAGAGGGGAGCTCCTTGAATGCTATAGAAATGTATTGTGGTTGATGGCTTTTCTGTGTTTGAATTTGTTCCAGCTGTGCTACAGTGCTGTTCTCCTACCCACATGGATGCTCTAAGTAGTTGTGTCACTCCCACTGCCTCTTCCTATGCACACTGCAACTACTTCCAGGTAAGATTCTTGCAACTGTGGCCATGCTCCGCGCTTTATGTGCAATTTTATCGATATTGCAAAATTTCAAAGTGTAATTTTATATTAATGAGTAACCAGAAGTAAGCTGTGGATTAATGGGCTTTGTTTTCTCAATTCTTAAAAAAAAAAAGAGAGAATTGATATAAATAATATCTCAGAATTCTTCTAGGCCAGAACTGTTCAATATAGTAGCCACTAGCCACATGTGGCTATTTAAGCTAATTAAAATTAAATGAAATTTAAAAATTCCTCAGTTATACTAGTCACATTTCAAGTACTCAATAGTCTCATATGGTTATTAAAATTAAAATTAAATTGATTTAAAAATTATTCCATACTTAACGTAGACACATTTTGAGTGCTCAGTAGTTTCATATGGCTTATGGGTACTGAATTATACAGCACAGATCTAGAACATTCCCATCATTGCTGAAAGTTATTTTAAACAGTGCTGTTCTGGATTTTTCCAAGGTAAAATGAATACCAGATAAACGCTACAAGTGTGTAAGTCACCAAATGACAGATTCTTCCAAGATGATACAGATAAATTAGACTTTTCTTTTTAAGGAGAAAGGAGAAAAATGTCAAAAATGAGAAATTTAAGTGGTGGCCCCCTTCATCCATAGCCCCTATGTTGTAAACACCATAATGGTTCAGTATCCCTTAGTCAAAATGCTTGGGACCAGGAGTGTTTCAGATTTTGGATTTTTTCAGATTTTGGAATATTTCCAAAAACATAATGAGATATCTTGGGAATATGACCCGAGTCTAAACATAAAATCTAATTATGTTTCATATATACCTTATGCATATAGTTTAAAGGTAATTTCATGCAATATTTTTAGTAACTTTGTTCATGAAACAAAGTTTGTGTTAAGTGCTTTTCTGCTGGAATTTTCCACTTGTGGTATCATGCCAGCACTCAAAAAGTTTCAGGTTTTGGAGTATTTGAGATTTTAGAATTTTGGATTAAGGATGCTCAACTTTTACTTCAAATATCTTCTCATTGTTTCTTAGGAGACACTTGCTTGGAGTTAAACGTTTTATATAGCTATTTTAAGGATACTTTTAAATTCCATGCTTTGTATTTTTATGCTGTAACTGCCAAAGATTGGAATTGTGTGTTTGCCTTGGATAATCATCTAGCCAAGATAGTTTCAAGATAGTCTCAGTTCTTAGGAGAATATCTTACTAGTGGCATTAGGGTACTCAAAAGAACATTCCCTTTTTTTTTTTTTTGGAGAAAATCTACATAGGAAGTCAAATTATAATCAGATTGTTGTTTGGAGTATAGAATGAGATCAAGGGGACTTAGCTGGCCATTTTTCATGGCTGATATGATCAAGCATGATATCCTAGCCCATTCATCTTCACTGGAGGGACATACCTATCCCACAGTTAGATGCTCTTGTTTGTGGGTCCAGGCACTCTCTTCTCTGGATCATGCTGGAGATACTATGGCAGTGTTTATATCTTGATTATGTTGTGTGCTAAATAAAACATTTTTATAAAGACCTTTTCTTGTTATAGAGACAATATATGGCCGTGTACAATGGGTCATGCCTTATAATCCCAGCTCTTTGGGAGGCCATGGTGGGAGGATTGTTTGAGGCCAGGAAATTGAGATGAGCCTGGGTAACATAGTGAGTGAGACCCTATCTCTTAAAAAAAAAAAAAAAAAGAAAAGAAATAAAGGAAGGAAGAAGGAAGGGAGGGAGGGAGGGAGGGAGAGAGAAAGGGTGGGTTAGTTGGATGTAGTGGTGCATGCACCTTTTGTCCTAGCTTGGGAGGCTGAGGTGGGAGGATCAAGCGATCCTCCCACCTTGAGGAGTTTGAAGAGTTTGAGGCTATAGTGAGCTATGATTGTGCCACTGTATTCCAGCCTGTGCAACACAGTGAGACCCTGTCTCAAAAAAAAAAAAAAAATCTGCCAGGCGTGGTGGCTCACGCCTGTAATCCCAGCACCATTTTGGGAGGCTGAGGTGGGTGGATCACTTGAGGTCAGGAGTTTAAGACCAGCCTGGCCAACATGGCGAAACCCTGTTTCTACTAAAAGTACAAAAATTAGCTGGGCATGGTGGTGGGCGCTTGTAATCCCAGCTACTCAGGAGGCTGAGGCAGGAGAATCGCCTGAACCTGGGAGGTGGAGGCTGCAGTGAGCCAAGATCGTGCCATCGCACTCCAGCCTGGGTGACAAAAGTGAAACTCTGTCTCAAAAACAAAACAAAAAATTTTAAAAAGACAATACGTGTTCATCATAGGAAAATAGCAATAAGCACACATAAAATTTTGAAATAGAAAAATGGGAAAGTGTTTCAGATTCCATCCTGAAAATAAATGCAGTTGGTTTAGTTGGACTGTAGGTATGGGTGAGAGTGTGCGTGCACAGTCAGTACATTGTATTGTTTAAGAGCAAGAGCTCTTGAATACGGCAAACCTAGGCTTGAAACCTGGCTCTGTCAGTTATTTCATTGTAACTTTGGGTAAATTAGGAAGTTTCTGGACCTCAGTTTTATCATTTGAAATGGAGATTATCACATTTCACAGGGCTCTTTTGAAGGTTGGATGAAATCTATATAAAGCACTTTGCATGTGCTTGGCACATAGTAATAACTCAATAAATGTGCTATTGGCTATAGTCACTTAGTGCTTATACCATTTGAATTTACATTATTTGGCATTAGTGGCCTTCTGAAAATCTTTGACAATCTTTGTTAATGATTGTGTTTAGCAGCATCAACTCACTACATACTTTCTTTAATCATAACTCTTCTGTATTTTAAGTTTATAATCTGATATAATCAGCAAACATTTATTGAATGCCTACTCTGTGCGAAGCTCTTCATTGTGCAACATCAATTCATTACATGTTTTATTTAATCATTCTTCTGTATTTTATGTTCACAGATCTTTATCACCAAACATGTATTAAATGCCTACTCTCTGCAAAGCAGTATATACAAGGGAATATATCTTAAAGATGTAAATCTAAAAGCAACAGCCATTTTAGTCTATTGCTTTGTTATTAAAAATAAATAATCCCAGGAAACAAAGGACATTTGATATTCCATCCATTTTTCCCCATATTATTTGGAACAGAATATTAGTACCGCTCCCTGAATCTGTAGAAGGATTGGTAGACTTGTGAGCATCCTGTGTTTGAAATTTCCTTACTGCATTCCTGAAACAGTATATGATAGATACAAATTATGTTTCTGTCTGTCAGCCTTTATGGAAGAATTTGGTGTATAGATGCTTTATCAGCAAATAGGTATTTGGGTACTATAGCTTTTGATTTTGTACAGTTTAACCTTAAGAATTATTGACCATTGGAGTATTAAACTTAGCAGAGTGGTTGACATGTAGTATATACTAAGTAAATGCTAACAGTAGATTTGAAGCTACTATTGCTGAAAAGTAGATTAGTGTCTAGGTTTTCTTAGTGATCTTTAAGTTTAATCTATTTATGTTTAGCACTCATCAGCCTAAATATTGTAGCTTTCCTCCTTAATCTCATATTTTATTTTCTATCCAAACAGTTATATTTTTTCTTTTCCCAGAATCCTTCAATGCAGTCCTCCTATCCAGTTGAATTTTTGCCTTCCAATTGGCCCTGCAGTACTACTGATGAAAATACAAAGACAGAAGTAAACCTAGAGGCTGTCTTTCAGATAGTTGATGAGTTGCATTCCTCCCCTAAATTGGAGATGGTAAAGGTGGAGCCTGTTGAGAATCAGTGCCCAACATCTCCGTCTTACAGAGGCCAACACATTTTAGCTAATTCTAACAACAGCAATCCATGTTCTGCAAGTCAGGCTAGCCAGCTGGAGCCACTTACTCCTGTAGGCTCAGATATTATGTCTTTTGTGGTTGGAACAGAACAAGCAGTTGCCTGCTCTCTACCACAGTCACCTGAGTACATCTATACCATCCACACAGCTCAGCCTGTTGAAAATAGCACAATACAGGAATCTGCAGCCATCCAGCAAGCTCATGTCAAACTGAAGGAGCACCTAAATCATAATCCATCTCCATCTTCAGTAGTATTTGTGCAGGAAGGGCCACCATTCAGCACACACCAGGTAAGGGGGCAAAGAAAAAAATGCTTATAAAGCTCAAAGTACCTAGTACTTCTGCTAAAGACTATTCTAGTGGAGAGTTTGTTCAGATTTTATTTGGGTTTAATACCAGTTCATTATGGTTTCCAGGAGGATCATGTCCCAGTGGTTCTGCACAAAAGATTCAGAAAGAAGTTACCTTAACCCTTAAGCATCATCTCACTATATTATGCATGGTCTGAAGTCAACCTCTAAAGAGAGGTTGTCTAATTGAGCGTTGTAGTATGAAGCTTATTTTCATGTTATAAACATCTCTTGAGTTTTTGCTTCCTATCTTAATTTGGATAGATTAGATATGCCTGGCTGATAATTCTATTACCCAGGAGGGATGGTTTATTTGACAGATATTATGATGACTTTCCTAGCCATTTGTAGCATGGAGGTAAGGAGATGGTTGGAAGTCTTTTCTAACTTTATTACAGCATCATTGAACTGTAACTTGTGAGCATACTGTGTTTGAATTTCCTTACTAATATCTGCACTCCTAAAGCAGAAGGTAAAGGCTAATTCCTTTATTGCCACTAGTTTATTACAAGAAAATGAATAAACTTTAATTCTGAATAATTAGTAAGAATAATTCATCAAAAGTACATCCACAGAAACAAAGTCAAATAGCACGTTCTCATTTTATAAGAGGAAGCTAAATAATGTGTACACACTGAACATACAATGTGGAATAATAGACACTGGAGACGTGGAAGGATGCGGGAGTGGGAGGGGGAACGGAGATGAGAAATTACTTAGTGGGTACACTGTACACTATTCACCCAAAGCCCAGACTTCACCACTATGCAGTATATCCATGTAATAAAACTGTACCTGTGCCTCTTAAAATAATACCAAAAAAATCCAAATTAAAAAGAAATTTTTTTTTTTGAGGTGGAGTCTCTCTCTGTCACCTAGGCTGGAGTGCAGTGGTGCAATCTCAGCTCACTGCAGCCTCCACCTCCTGGGTTCAAACGATTCTCCTGCCTTATCCTCCCAAGTAACTGGGATTACAGGCGAGCCACCATGTCCAGCTAATTTTTGTATTTTTAGTAGAGACGGGGTTCCACCATGTTGACCAGGCTGGTCTTGAACTCCTGACCTCAGGTGATCCACCTGCCTTGGCCTCCCACAGTGCTGGGATTACAGGCATGAGCCACTGTGCTTGGCCCCAAATTAAAATCTTTTTTTGTGTGTGAATTAAGTATTTTTTCCTACTTTTTATTTTTTTCTTGATCTTAGCCTGATATGTGTATATATTTTTTTTCCATTTTGGATTTTTTCTTCAATAGGACTGAAACTCTGTTCATTGTTAGAAAGTCCCAAGATAACTTTTGGCAGGTTTTTGTTTTTTGCAGCCTTTTTTAGCTCTATTTTTAGATCCAAATGTCTTAAATTTATATCACCTCATTTTTTTTTAGCCTGACTGTCAAGATCTAGTATATTGTGTTAAGATAATATTGTAAATTCAGTAGACAAAATATAGGCCCATTATGGTTTGTTGTTGTTGTTGTTGTTGTTGTTGTTGTTGTTGTTGTTGTTGTTGTGAGATGGAATCTCGCTCTGTTGCTCGGGCTGGAGTGCAGTAGCGCAATCTTGGCTCACTGCAACCTCCACCTCCTGGGTTCAAGGAATCCTTCTGCCTCAGCCTCCTGAGTAACCAGGATTACAGGTGTGTCCCCCCAGGCTGGCTATTTTTTTGTATTTTTAGTAGAGACAGGGTTTCACCATGTTGGCTGGTGTTGAACTCCTGACCTAAGGTGATCCGCCCACCTCGGCCTCCCAAAGTGCTGGGATTACAGGCGTGAGCCACTGCACCTGGCCCCATTATGTTTTAAATATATTTGTAGAACACAGAATTTGTCTTTGTTCCTTCATAGTCACATCTGAAATATTTCAGATCTTAAAACTGCACTTGTACACAGTAACTTTTTCATTAACAAATATATCTTGGCCAGGCGCAGTGGCTCACGTCTGTAATCCCAGCACTTTGGGAGGCCGAGGCGGACAGATCATGAGGTCAGGAGATCGAGACCATCCTGGTTAACACGGTGAAACCCTGTCTCTACTAAAAATACAAAAAATTAGCCGGGCGTGGTGGTGGGTGCCTGTAGTCCCAGCTACTCGGGAGGCTGAGGCAGGAGAATGGCATGAACCCAGGAGGTGGAGCTTGTGGCGAGCTGAGATCGCGCCACTGCACTCCAGCCTGGGCGACAGAGCGAGACTCCGTCTCAAAAAAAAAAAAAGTATGTGTGTGTGTGTGTGTGTGTGTGTGTGTGTGTATATATATGTATATAAAGCTGTGTTTTAAACTTTTTATTTCATTATATAATTTTATTTTAAAATAAATTCATAAAGAAATGGAGTATTTCAGAAGTTGATCAACTTGACAAAGGGATTTACATTCCAAAGAAAATTTAGGAACTGTAAGAAAGAAACTTAGGCTAGGCATAGTAGCTTATGCCTGTAATTCTAGCACCTTTGGAAGCTGAGGTGGGAGGATCGCTTGAACCCAGGAAGTCCAGACTGGTCTGGGCAACATAGTGAGAGTCTATCCCTACAAAAACATTTTAAAAATTAGCTTGGTGTGGTGGCATACACCTGTGTCCTAGGTACTTGGGAGGCTGAGGTGGGAGGATAGCTTGAGCCTGGGAGGTCAAGGCTGTAGTGAGCCGTGATCACACCACTACACTCCAGCCTGGGCAACAGAATGAGACCCTGTCTGAAAGAAAGAAATTTGTATTTTATAAACAGGGCAGATATAGATTTTATAGGGGCTAAAGCTTATACAATTTTGAGGGCCTCTTTAAGAGAAAGAATACAAAATTAGTAGAATAAAGTATCCACATCCCACTGAAACCATCTAACAGGATCATGCCTATGGCCATTCCAACAGGAGAGGAAGTCTGATAGAACATATTCTACAGAGAAAAAAGATGGTTTTAACCAATCATGGTGAAACTATCTTACTTTTGGTCAGGTGTGGTGGCTCACGTCTGTAAACCCAGTGCTTTGGGAGGCCCAGGTGGAAAGATCCCCTGAGACCAGGAGTTACCAGCCTGGGCAACATAGCGAGACCCTGTCTCTACAAAAAAACCTTTTTTTTTTTTTTTTGAGATGTAGTCTCACTCTGTTGCCCAGGCTGGAGTGCAGTGGTACAATCTCGGCTCACTGCAACCTCCATCTCCTGGGTTCAAGCGATTCTCCTGCCTCAGCCTCCCGAATAGCTGGGATTACAGGCACCTGCTACCACGCCCGGCTAATTTTTTGTATTTTTGGTAGAGACAGGGTTTCACCATGCTGGCCAGGCTGGTCGAGAACTCCTGACCTCATGATCTGCCCACCTTGGCCTCCCAAAGTGCTGGGATTACAGCTGTGAGCTACCGCGCCCGGCCTACAAAAAAACTTTTTAAAAATTAGCTAATACCTGTAGTCCTAGCTGCTCAGGAGGATCACTTGAGCCCATGAGCTCGAGGTTACAGTGAGCTATGATTGTACCACTGTACTCCCGCCTGGACAACAATGTGAGACCCTGCCTTAAAACAAAAAAAAAAACCTGTACTTTTGTAAGTTAAAAAAAAATCAACAAGCTTCATGGTAGATATTCCTCTGATCATAAGTAAATGTTTTAGCTCCATATACATTTTAATAGTTTGTGTAGGGAGAAAGGTATAGTATCAATAATAAGAATGAAAAGCCTTATAAGCTTGTTTGTTGGATCATGTTCCCATAATAGAACTCCTCTGATAAAATATCTTAACTTTTAGCAGATATTTGGAGGAAATCTCAAATAATGAATGGGTTTAATATTTTAGGTGGATGCCAACATAAAATGCCAGACCAGTTCACGTGAGAATATCTTGCCGTCAGAACAGATGGGATTCCTCATTTCAGAAATGGGGCCTGCTAGCAAGCCTAGTGAAGACACAGGTTTAGCCACTCCAGCCAGATACAGAGAGCACAGAAGCAACTCACAACAAGGAAAGTCCCCTGGTAAGGATTATTGTGCTCTAGAATGCCAGAAGTAGAATCACGCTGTAGAATTAATATATGAATGACATTTTTTCTGGGTCTCCATTTATTATTCATAATTGTATTAGACCTGTCACATTGCTGTTTTTACATAGCTGTAATTTTAACTCTATATTTGTTCTTAATTATTGTTGTGAAGTATGTAATAGTTATTTTCTTAATATTGCATATAATGATTTGGGCTTTGAAAATATAGAACATATTAAGAATAAGCAAAGGAATTTAGATTATTTAACTTGGAGAAGGCAAGGATGAAGGATGATTTAATAAGTATCCTCAGATGCCAGACTTCGAAATTGTAGTTGTACTTACTCTGTTATTAACAGACTCTAGGACAAGAGGGCATGCATTTATATTGTGACAAGAGAAAATCAGATGGAAATTTAGGATATTATCCTGAGCGCATTTTAAAGATACTATAAAGTATGACCCTATACCAATGAATGGTTTGTTATTCTTGTGGTTTGTAAGAACCCAGAATAAGTGATTGTTTTAGGCACATACAGTTGATTCTAATAAGACAAAATCATATTTTTTGAAGAAATAGTAACATCTAATAAAACATGTGTCTCATATCATCCAAAAATCAAGTTACCAAAGTCTGCAGTGGACAATTTTAATATTCTAGAATTATGTTCATGTCAGGGGCATGCAGTGCAGGCAGAATGACAGTGTAGGTTAAAATGACAGACCATCATTTTAACCTACAATAATTTGAAAAATGTTGAGAACTTCTGTGAGAATTTTTCCAAAAAGTAAATTAATAGTGATATGATCATGGTGTAGCTCAGACTCATAGGGTTCTTTCTGCAAAATGTCTTTTAGGCTAAAAACTGTCTATCATTTATTCACTAAATTTAGCTTGCACACTTTTAGTTGATTATATTTTCCAATCCATAATTAAAGACTAAAGATTTCTTACCACTGAAGGTGTTTAACACAATGGCATGAGCCTTGAAGGCAATTTAGATGAGAGAAAGGCAGGAACTAACATTTACCGTATCCATTTTTGTGCCATAGGACAAATCTGTTGGAAGTGGCATTGTCATTTTAAACATCAGGAAATTTAGGCTTAGAGTAAGTAACTTGTTCAAAGTCACATATAAATTTGTTTTATTTTTTCATTTTTTAGAGACAGAGTCTTTCTCTGTTGCCCGGGCTAGAATGCAGTGGCGCATCTTGGCTCACTGCAGCCTCCACCTCATAGATTCCAGCAATTCTCATGGCTCAGCCTCCCGAGTAGCTGGGACTACAGGTGCGTGGCACCACACCCGGCTAATTTTTGTATTTTTAGTAGAGATGGGGTTTCACCATGTTGGCCAGGCTGGTCTTGAACTCCTGGCCTCAAGTGATCCACCCACCTCGGCCTCCTAAAGTGCTGGGATTACAGGCATGAGCCACCATGCCTGGCCCTTTTTTCTTTTCTTTCCTTTTCCTTTTCTTTATTATTATTATTATTTTTTTTTTCTGAGACAGAGTCTTGCTCTGTTGCCCGGGCTGTAGTGCAATGGCGTGATCTTGGCTCACTGCAACTTCCACCTCCCAGGTTTAAGTGATTCTCCTGCCTCAGCCTCCTGAGTAGCTGGGATTACAGGCACACTCCACCACGACTAGCTAATTTTTGTATTTTTAGCAGAGGCAAGGTTTCCGCCATGTTGGCCAGGCTGGTCTTGAACTCCTGACCTCAGGTGATCTGCCTGCCTCGGCCTCCCACAGTGCTGGGATTGCAGGCATGAGCCACTGCACCCAGCTGCCTTTTTTCATTTTTTATAGAGATGGGGTCTCACTATGTTGCCCAGGCTGGTCTTGCACTCCTAGGCTCAAGCAGTCCTCCTGCCTTGACCTCTCAAAGTGCTGGGATTATGAGCATGAGCCACCATGCATGGCCAGTCACATATAAACTAATATTGCTAATATCCTACCCTAAGTTGTCTGCCTGTAGAGCACATATTCTTTCCTTTTAATTTTTTATTGTGTTGAAGAACATGTAACATAAAATTTATCATTTTAACCATTTTTATTTTTAATTTATAATTTAAATATAATTGTACATATTTATGAGGTACAATGTGATTTTTTGACACATGTATATGTAGTGTAATGATCAAATTGAGATAATTACCATATCCATCACTCTAAACATTTATCATTTCTTTGTGGTGATAACACTCTAAACCTTTTCTTCTAGCTGTCTTGAAATATACACTACATTGTTATTTGCTACAATTATGCTACTGTGTAATAGAATACCAAAGCTTATTCTTCCTATCTAACTACAACTTTTGACCAACTTCTCCCAATATCCCCACTTTCCTACTTTCCCCAGCCTCTGGTATTTACTATTCTACTTTCTTCTATGAAATTAACTTTTTTAGCTTCCATATATGAGTAAGATCATGTAGTATTTGTCTTTCTGTGCCTGGCTTATTTCACTTAACATAATGTTCTCCAGGTTCACCTATGTTGCCAAAAATGACAAGATTTCATTCTGTTTTATGGCTGAATAGTATTCCATTGTATATTTATGTACGTACGTGTGTGTGTGTGTGTGTGTGTGTGTGTATATACACACACACATATATATATATACACACACACATATATATATATATATCACATTTTCTTTATTCATCTGTAGATGCGTATTTAGGTTGATCCATATCTTGGCTATTGTAAATAGTGCTGTGGTAAACACGGGTGTGGAGATGTCTCTTCAACATACTGATTTCATCTTCTTTGGAGATACATCCAGTAGTGGGACTGCTAAATTATATAGTGGTTCTATTTTTAATTTTTTAAGAACCTTCATACTGTTTTTCTATAATGCTATGCTAACTTACATTCCTACAAATAGCATATAAGAGTTCCCTTTTCTCTGCATCTTTGCCAGCATTTGTTATTTTTTGTCTTTTTTATAATAGCCATTTTAACTGGGGTGAGGTGATATTGTGGTTTTGATTTGCATTTCTCTGATGATTGGTGATATTGAGCATTTTTCCATATATCTGTTGGTCATTTGTGTATCTTCTTTTGAGAAATGTCTATTCAGGTCTTTTGCTCATTTTTAAAATCAGACTGTTTTTTGTTTTTTTATTTGTTTTGCTTCTGAGTTGCTTAAATTCCTTATGTATTGTGCATATTAACCTTTTGTCAAATGTATAGTTTGCAAATACTTTCTCTCTTTATGTAGGTTGTCTCTTCATTGTATTGTGTCTTTTGCTATGCAGAAGATTTTTTGTTTGTTGTAATCCCATTTGTCCATTTTTGTTTTTGTTGCCTGTGCTTTCGAGGTCTTATCCAAAAAGTCCTCGCCCAGTCCATTTTCATGAAGCATTTTCCCTATGTTTTCTTCTAATAGTTTCATAGTTTTGAATCTTACATTTAAGTATTTAATCAATTTAGAGTTGATTTTTATATATGGTGAGAAATTGGGGTTTAGTTTCCTTCTTCTGCATATGGACATCCAAATTTCCCAGCACTATTTATTGAGGAGACCGTCCTTTCTCCAATGTGTGTACTTGGCAACTTTTGAAAATCAGTTAGCTATAAATGTATAAATTTATTTTTGGGTTCTCTATTCTGTTACAATTGATTTAGATGTCTATTTTTATGCCTGTACCATGCTGTTTTGGTTACTATCGCTTTGGTAGTGTATTTTGAAATCAGGTAGGGTGATGCCTCCAGCTCTGTTCTTTTTGCTCAGGATTGCTTTGGCTGTCTGGGGTCTTTTGTATTGCTATATGAATTTTAAGAATTTTTTTTCTATTTCTGTGAAGAATGTCATTGGTATTTTGATAAGGCTTGCATTAAATCTGTACATCACTTTGGGTAATATGGACATTTTAACAATAATCTTCCAATCCATGCACATGCGATATCCTTCCATTTATTTATTTGTGACCTCTTCAACATCTTTCATCAATGTTTTATAGTTTCCATTGTGAGGATAATTCACCTCCTTGGTTAAGTTTGTTTCTAATTTTCTTGTAGCTACTATAAATGGAATTGGTTTCTTGATTTCTTTTTCAGATAGTTTACTATTGGCATATAGAGAAACACTACTGATATTTGTAAGTTGATTTTGTATCCTGCAACTTTACTAAATTCATTTATTAGTTCCAATTTTTTTGGTGGAATCTTTAGGGTTTTCTATGTATATGATCATGCCATCCACAAACAAGGACAATTAGACTTTCTCCGTTCCAATTTGGATGCCATTTATTTCTTTCTCTTGCCTAATTGGTCTGGCTAGAATTTCCAGTACTGTGTTGAATAAAAGTGGTGAAAGTGGGCATTCTTGGCTTGTTCCAGATCTTCGAGGAAAAGCTTTCAACTTTTCATCATTCAATGTAATGTTAGCTGTGGGTTTGTCATACAGGGCCTTTATCGTGTTGAGGTATGTTCTTTCTATGACCAGTTTGTGTTTATCATGAAGGGATGTTGAATTTTATTTTTTATTTTTATTTATTTTTTTATTTATTTTTTGTTTTGTTTTGTTTTTGTTTTTGTTTTTATTGATCATTCTTGGGTGTTTCTCGCAGAGGGGGATTTGGCAGGGTCATAGGACAATAGTGGAGGGAAGGTCAGCAGATAAACAAGTGAACAAAGGTCTCTGGTTTTCCTAGGCAGAGTGTTTGTGACAGAGTCTCACTCTGTCACCAGGCTGAAGTGCAGTGGCGCAATCTCGGCTCACTGCAACCTCTGCCTCCCAGGTTCAAGTGATTCCCCTGCCTCAGCCTCCCAAGTAGCTGGGACTACAGGCGCGTGCCACCATGCCTGGCTAATTTTTTTTCTTGTGTTTTAGAAGAGACGCGGTTTCTCCATGTTGGCCAGGCTGGTCTCGAACTCCTGACCTCAGGTGATCTGCCCACCTCGGCCTCCCAAAGTGCTGGGTTTACAGGTGTGATCCACCATGCCCGGCCAGGATGTTGAATTTTACTGAATGATTTTTTAGCATCTGTTGAAATGATCATGTGGTTTTCATCCTTGATTTTGTTAATGTAATGTATTACATTGATTGATTTGTATATGTTGAACCCTCCTTGCATCCCTGGGATAAATCCCCCTTGGATTATGGTGAATGATCTTTTTAATTTGTTGTTGTTGTTGTTGTTGTTGTTGTTGTTGTTTGAGATGGAGTTTTGCTCACTCTGTCGCCCAGGCTGGAGTGCAATGGCATGATCTTAAGCTCATCACAACCTCTGCCTCCTAGGTTCAAGTGAATCTCCTGCCTCAGCCTCCTGAGTAGCAGGGATTACAGGCGCCTGCCACCATGCCCAGCTAATTTTTGTATTTTTAGTAGAGACAGGATTTCGCCGTGTTGGTCAGGCTGGTCTCAAACTCCTGACCTCAAGTGATCTGCCTGCCTTAGCCCCCCAAAGTGTTGGGATTGCAGGCGTGAGCCACTGCACCCGGCCTGGTTTGCTAGTATTTTGTTGAGGATTTTTGCATGTGTGTTCTTCAGGGATATTGACCTGTAGTTTTCTTTTTTTGTTGTTGTGTTTTTGTCTGGTTTTGGTATTAGGGTAATGCTGGCCTTATAGAATGAGTTTGAAAATATTTCTTCCTCTCCAATTTTTTGGAATAGTTTAAGTAGAACTGGTATTAGTGCCTTAAATGTTTGGTAGAATTTAGCAGTGAAGCCATCAGGCCTTAGGCTTTTCTTTGCTGGGAGACTTTTTGTTTGTTTGTTTTGAGACAGGGTCTCCCTCTGTCACCCAGGCTGAAGTACAGTGGTGTGATTATGACTCACTGCAGCCTCAGCCTCCTGGGCTCAAGTAATCCTCTGATGTCAGCCTCCTGAGTAGCTGGGACCACAGGCATGCAACACCATTCCCAGCTATTTTTTTTTTTATCTTCCCCAATTTAAATCTTTTAATTTAAAAGTAAACTTCACTGTTGAACATGCAAACTTGGGGAGGGCAGAAAGATCACACACACAAGGCTGCCATTTCACACCTGGAGGGTGGCGTGGAGGCCAGGCAGAGGTGCTCCTCACATCGCAGATGGTGCGGCCGCTGGGCAGAGGTGCGCCTCACTTCCCAGATGGTGCGGTGACGCCTAGCTAATTTTTAAATTTTTTGTAGGAATGAAGTCTTGCTATGTTGCCTAGGCTGGTCTCAAACTCCTGGCCTCAAGTGATCCTCCTGCCTCAGCATCGCAAAGTGTTGCGATTACAGGCATGAGCCACCATGCGAGGCCACCTGGGAGACTTTTTATTACTGCTTTGATATTATTGCTCATTATTGGTCTTTTCAGGTTTTCTCTTTCTTTGTGATTCAACCTTGATACATTTTATGTGTTCAGGAATTTATCCATTTCTTCTAGGTTTTCCAATTTGTTGATGTGTAGTTGTTCATAGTAGTCTCTTATCCTTTGTACTTCTCTGGTGTTAGTTGTGATGACTCCTTTTTCAACTCTGATTTAGAGGTTTTTTTATTATTTCTTTCTTTCTTTTTTGTTTTTTTGTCTTTGTTTTTCGAGGCAGGGTCTCACTGTGTTGCGAAGCTGTAGTACAGTGGCACGATAATAGCTCACTGCAACCTTGAACTCCTGGGCTTAAGTGATCCTCCTGCCTCAGCCTTCCTGAGTAGCTAGGACTCCTCGTGTGTGACACCATGCTTGGCTAATTTAAAAATTTTTTTTTGTAGAGACAGGGTCTTGCTAGGTTGCCCAGGCTAGTCTTGAACTCCTGTCCTCAAGGAATCCTCCTGCCTCAGTCTCACAAAGTGCATTGCAGGCATGAGTCACACCTGGCCGTCCTTTTTTTTTTTTTTTTTTAAAGTCTAACTAAAGGCTTGTTTAGTTTGCTTACCTTTTCAAAAAAACAGCTCTTTGTTTTGGTGATCTTTTATATTGTTTTTTAAACTATTTTATTTATTTCTGCTGTGATCTTTACTATTTCTTTCCTTCTACTTATTTTGGGTTTAGATTGTTTTTGTCTTTCTAGTTCCTTGAGATGTAATATAATATTGTTTATTTGAAGTCTCTATACCTTTTTGATGTAGGCATTTATTGCCATAAACTTCCCTCGTAGGACAGCATTTGCTGTATCACATAGGTTTTTGGTAGTTGCATTTCCACTTTCATTTGTCTCAAGGAATTTTTAAATTTTCTTTTTAATTTCTTCGTAGATCCATTGGTTGTTCATGAGCATATTGTTTAATTTCCACGTATTTGAACAGTTTCCAAAGTTCTTCCTGTATTGATTTCTAGTTTTATTGCATGTGGTCAGAAAAGATATTTGACGTAATTTCAGTTTTAAAAAAAATTGTTAAGACTTCTTTTATGGCCTAACGTATGGTCTATTCTGGAGATTGTTCCATATGTTGTTGAGAAGAACATATATTCTGTAGCAGTTGGGTGCAATCTTCTGTAAATGTTTGTTAGGTCCATTAGGTCTAAAGCACAGTTAACTCTGATGTTTCTTTGTTGATTTCTGTCTGGATGATTTGTCCATTGCTGAAAGCTGGGTGTTTAAGTCCTCTACTATTATTATTTTGCAGTTGATCTCTCCTTTTAGGTTTGTTAATATTTGCATTATATATTTAGGTGCTCCAGTGTTGGGTGTGTATATACCTACAACTTTTATATCCTCCTGCTGTATTAACCCCTTTATCGTCATCATCATTATTATTTCTGAGACAGAGTTTCACTCTGTTGGTCAGGCTAGAGTGTGGTGGCACAATCCCAGCTCACTACAACCTCCGCCTCCCAGGTTCAAGCGATTCTCCTGCCTCAGCCTCCCAAGTAGCTGGGATTACAGGCGCCCACCACCATGCCCGGCTAATTTTTGTATTTTTAGTAGAGACAGGATTTCACCATGTTGGCCAGGCTGGTCTCAAACTCCTAACCTCAAGTGATCCGCCCACCTTGGCCTCCCAAAGTGCTGGGATTACAGGCGTGAGCTACTGTGCCTGGCCTCCTTTATCATTATTTTTTATTGGTTTTAATTAAAGTCCTTTTTTTTTTTTTTGAGATGGAGTTTCGCTCTTGTTGCCCAGGCTAGAGTACAATGGCGCGATCTTGGCTCACTGCAACCTCTGCCTTCCAGGTTCAAGTGATTCTCCTGCCTCAGCCTCCCAAGTAGCTGGGATTACAGGCATGCACCACCACACCCAGCTAATTTTATATTTTTAGTAGAGACAGGGTTTCTCCATGTTGGTCAGGCTGGTCTCGAACTCCCGACCTCAGGTGATCCACCTGCCTCAGCCTCCCAAAGTGCTGGGATTACAGACGTGAGCCATTGCACCTGGCCTTAAAGTCCATTTTATCTGATATAAGTATAGCTAATGCTCTTCTTGTTTGGATGATGGAAAAGATGGAACATTCTTCTCCATCCCTTCACTTTCATTCTATGCATATCTTTTTTTTTTTTTTTTTTTTTTTTTGAGACAAAGTCTCACTCTCTCACCCAGGCTGGAGTGCAATGGCGCGATCTTGGCTCACTGCAAACTCTGCCTCCTGGGTTCAAATGATTCTCGTGCCTCAGCCTCCCAAGTAGCTGGGATTACAGGTACACGCCACCAAGCCCAGCTAATTTTTTTGTATTTTTTGGTAGAAACAGAATTTCACCATGTTGGCCAGGCCAGTCTCAAACTCCTGACCTCAAGTGATCTGCCTGCCTTGGCCTCCCACAGTGCTAGGATTACAGGTGTGAGCTACCGTGTCCAGCCTATGCATATCTTTTTTTTTTTTTTTTTTTTTGAGACGGAGTCTCGCTCTGTCACCCAGGCTGGAGTGCAGTGGCGGGATCTCGGCTCACTGCAAGCTCCGTCTCCCGGGTTCACGCCATTCTCCTGCCTCAGCCTCCCAAGTAGCTGGGACTACAGGCGCCCGCCACTACGCCCGGCTAATTTTTTGTATTTTTAGTAGAGACGGGGTTTCACCGTTTTAGCCGGGATGGTCTCGATCTCCTGACCTCGTGATCCGCCCGCCTCGGCCTCCCAAAGTGCTGGGATTACAGGCGTGAGCCACCGCGCCCGGCCGCATATCTTTTTAAAATTAAAAAAAATTTTTTTTTTTTTTTTGAGATGGAGCCTCACTCCGTCACCTGGGCTGGAGTGCAGTGGTATGATCTCAGCTCACTGCAACCTCTGCCTCCCAGGTTCCAGCGATTCTCGTGCCTCAGCCTCCTGAGTAGCTGGGATTACAGGTGTCTGCCACCACACCCAGCTAATTTTTGCAGGTTTTGTAGAGACAGGGTTTCACCATGTTGGCCAGGCTTGTCTTGGACTCCTGACCTCTGGTGATCCGCCTGCCTCGGTCTCCAGAAGTGTTGGGATTACAGGCATGAGCCACTGTGCCCGGCACATTGTGTGCGTATCTTTATAGGTGAAGTGAGTTTCTTATAGGTAGCATATAGTTGGGTCTTTTAAAAAATCCATTCAGCCACTCTATGTCTTTTAATTGGAGAATTTAGTCCATTTATATTCAAAGTTATGACTTACAGGTAAGACTTATTACTGCCATTTTGTTAGTTCTTCTGGTTGTTTTGTAACTCCTTTCTTCCTTTCTTACTGCTTTCCTTTGTGGGTAAGTGATTTTCTTTGGTAGTTTATTTTAATTCCTTGCTTTTTATTTTTAGTGTATCAGTTATGGGTTTTGTCTATGATTACCACAAGGCCTACAAAAAACATCTTACAGTTATAATTTATTTTAAACTGATGACAACTTGACTTTGATTGCAAAGAAAAGAAAAGAAACAAACAAACAAGAAACCCTTAAACTCTATACTAACTCCATCCCCCTTCACACTTTGACTTCTGGATGTTATCAATTTACATCTTTTTATATTGCCTATCTTTTAACAAACTGTTGTAGTTATTAATCTTTCTTCTTTTTGTATTTATTATTTTTAATAGTTTTGTCTTAGGCTTTACACTAAAGATATCAGTGGTTTATATATCACAATTACAGTATTAGGGTATTCTGAATGTCTCTGTATGCTTACTTTTATCAACGATTTTTATACTTTCAGATGTTTTCTTGTTGCACATTTAACATTTCTAGTAAAACAGGTCTGGTGGTGATGAATTCTCTCAGCTTTTGTTTGGGAAAATCTTTATCTCTCCTTCATGTTTGAAGGATAGCTTTGCTAGGTACAGTATTCTTGATTGGCAATTTTTTTTTCCTTCAACACTCAGAATACATCATCCCACTCTCTCTTGCCTGTAAGGTTTCTGCTGAGAAGTCTGCTGCCAGATGTACTGGAGCTCCTTTGTGTGTTATTTGCTTCTTTTCTGTTGCTGCTTTTAGGATTCTTTCTTTGTTCTTGATCTTTAAGAGTTTGATTATTGCATGCTTTGAGGTAGTCTCATTTGGGATCTGCTTGGTGATCTCTGACCTTCTTGTACCTGAATATTTGTATCTTTCTCTAGGTTTAGAAAGTGTTCTGTTACTGTTTATTTCAATAAGTTTTCTACCCCTTTTTCTTTATTCCTTCTTTAAGGCCATTGAGTCTTATATTTGCTCTTTGTAATTCTGTCCCATAGATCTTATAGGCATTCTTTGTTCCTTTTAGTTCTTTTTTTCTCCTCTGACTATTTCCTTTTTTCTTTTTCTTTCTTTCTACCTTTTTTTTTTTTTTTTTTTTTGAGACAGGTTCTCACTCTGTTACCCAGGCTGGAGTGCAGTGGCCTGATCTCAATTCGCTGCAACTTCCACCTCCCAGGTTCAAGTGATTCTCATGTCTCAGCCTGCCAAGTAGCTGGGATCATGCCTGGCTAATTTTTTGTATTTTTAGTAGAGATGCAGTTTCTCCATGTTGGCCAGACTGGCCTCAAACTCCTGGGCTCATGTGATCTGCCTGCCTCGGCCTCCCAAGTGCTGGGATTACAGGCATGAGCCACTGCGCCCAGATGAATGTTCTTGATATTAGTGGACATTTGTCGATATCTGGGCATTAGAGAGTTAGGTATTTATTCTAGTCTTTGCAGTCTGGCCCTGTTTGTACCTGTCCTCCTTCAGAGGGCCTTCCAGAAATTCAAAGAGGACTGCCTGTTGAGTTCCCTAAGCCTGTGGTCACTGTAACCACTCAGCAGTAGAGGGCACCCTAAGCCCACGTACGCTGCAGCTCTTGCAGACTCCTAGTCTCCAGTCCTAATGAACTTGAGGAAGATCAGGGAGAGTTCCCTGGGTTCTCAAGTAAAGTCCCCCTACACTCTTCCCTCTCTTTCCCCCAAGTTGAAGGAGTTCCTGTCCATGCTGCACTTCCTGGAGTTTGGGGAGGGGTGACATGGGTATTCCCATGGCTGTGGCAGCCGGTGCTATGCTGGATCACACCCTAAGCCCACAGCATCACAGAGCAGCACAGTACCAGGTCTTGCCTAAGACCCTCTGTCACTACTGTCAGACTGCCACTGATACTTATTCAGGCCTGAGATCACTTTAGTCAGACAGTGGTGAAGCTGGCTGGGACTTGGGTCCTTCCTGCTGGGGTGGCAGATTGCTTTCTAGCCCAGGGTAGGTATAGAAGCACCATCCAGGAGCACTAGAGTGGAATCAGGGGCTTTGGTGTTCTGCCAGGTGCTGTGTTTTAATGTGGTGGGGCTGGTACTAGGTTCCTAGACAGAGTCCCCTGCACTCTTTCGTCTCTTTTTTTTTGAGATGGAGTCTTGCTCTGTCGCCCAGGCTAGAGTGCAGTGGCACAGTCTTGGCTCACTGAAACCTCTGTCTCCCAGGTTCAAGCGATTCTCCTGCCTCAGCCTCCCAAGTAGCTGGGACTACAGGCGTGTGCCACCACACCTGGCTAATTTTTGCATTTTTAGTAGAGACAGAGTTTCACCATCTTGGTCAGGCTAGTCTCCAACTCCTGACCTCATGATCCGCCCTCCTCGGCCTCCCAAAGTGCTGGGATTACAGGCATGAGCCACTGTGCCTGGTCTTCTCTCTCTTTTACACAGTAGTCTCTTACCACACTTTACTGTGTAGAGCTGGGACAGGGATGACGTGGCACTCAGATAGCTACTGCAACTGGTATTGTGTTGGGTCGCACCCCAAGCCTACAGCCTCCCACAGCAGTACAGTGTTAGGGCTCACCCAAGAACCACTGTTGCTCTGGCCTGCCTGCCACGGAAATTTATTCAGGACCTGAGGCCACTTTAGTCAGCCCACAGTGGATCAGGCCAAGACTCAGTTTCTTCCCACTGTGGCAGTGGATTATCTTCTGGCCCAGGGCAGATCTGAATGCCCCTTCCATGGGCACTGGCATGGAATCAAGGGCCACAGGATTCTGCCCCTTGCTGTATTTTGCTGCGATGGCACCAGTACTAAGTTCAAATGCAAAATCTCCCCCATACTTCCCTTTGCCTCTCTTAAGTGTACAGATTTTCTCTATGCTGCATTGCGTGGGGTTGGGGGTAGGGTGCTCTGGGCAATGTGAGACTGTCCTTTCTACCCTCTTCAATGTGTCTTTTCTTGTTATGCTAAATCCAGGCACTGTGATTCATCACCTGATTTCTTCAGCTCTTGTGAAGGTGTTTTCTTGAATGGATAGTTGATGTTCCTGTGGGGGGAGAATCACTAGAGGATTCAAAACTGCCGTCTTGCTCTGCCTCTGCCCCATTTTAACCTTTTTTTTTTTTTTTTTTTGAGATGGAGTTTCACTCTTGTCGCCCAGGCTGGAGTGCAGTGGCGCGATTTTGGCTCACTGCAACCTCTGCCTCCTGGGTTCAAGCGATTCTTCTGCCTCAGCCTCCAAGTAGCTGGTATTACAGGCGCCTGCCACCATACCTGGCTAATTTTTTTGTATTTTTAATAGAGACAGGGTTTTGCCATGTTGGGCAGGCTGGTATCGAACTCCTGACCTCGGGTGATCTGCCCACCTTGGCCTCCCGAAGTGCTGGGATTACAGGTGTGAGCCACCACTCCCAGCCCCATTTTAACCATTTTTAAGTGCACAGTTCAGTAGTATATTCACATTGTTTGAAACAGATCTCTAGAACATTTTTATCTTGCAAATCTGAAACTCTATATTCATTAAATACAACTTTCCTTTTCCTCCTTCCCCTGGCTCCTAGTAACCACCATTCTACTTTCTGTTTCTATGCATTTAACTATTCCAGGTACCTCATATAAGTGGAATCATGCAGCATTTGTATTTTTGTGACTATATTATGTTCTCAAGGTTCATTCATGTTGTAGCACGTGACAGGATTTCCTTTCTAAGGCTGAATAATATTCCTTTGTACGTGCATATGACATTTTGTTTATTCATTTCTTAATAGACATTTAGGTTGCTTCCATCCCTTGACTATTGTGAATAGTGCCACTGTGAACTTGGGGGTGGAAATATCTGTTTTGTTTTTCCTTTTAAGAGATGAGGCCTCACAATGTTGCTCAGGCTAGACTCAAAACTCCTGGACTCAAATAATCTTCCTTTCTCAGCCTCCCAAGTACTGGGACTACAGGCGTGTGCCACCGCGCCTGGCTCCAACTATCTCTTTGAGACCCTGATTTCATTTGCATGTATCCAGTAATGGATTGCTGGATCATATGGTTAATCCAATTTTTAATTTTTTTAGGAAACTCTGTACTGTTTTTCATAGCTGCTATACTATTTTATAATCCCACCAACATTGCAAAATAGTTTTAATTTCTCCACATCCCCATCAACATTTATTATTTCCTGGATTTTTTTAAGGAAGGCTTCTGTAAGTAGCCATCTCAGTGAGCATGAGCTGATAGATACCTCATTATAGGTTTGATTTTTTTTTACATTTCTCTGATAATTAGTGATGTTTAGTATCATTTGTATACTCATTGGCTGTTTGTATATCATCTTTGGAAAATGTATATTCAAGTCTTTTGCCCATTTTTCAATTGGTTTGTTTGATTTTTTGGTGTTGTTCAGTTGTAGGAGTTTTTAAAACATATTCTGAATATTAACCCCTTAGCGAATATGATTTACAAATATTTTCTCCCATTCTGTGAGTTGCCTTTTATGCTATTTTGTCCTTTGATGAGCAGACACTTTTAAGTTTGATGTAGTCCCATCTGTCTATTTTGCTGTTTTTTCTTTTCCTTGTGCTTTGTGTGTCATATCCAGGAAAGCATTGCCAAGTCCAGTGTCGTGAAGTTATCTCTCTCTGTTTTCTTCTAGGATTGTTATAGTCTTAAGTCTTACATTTAGGTCTTTAATCCTAAAGACCTAAGTTAGTTAGTTTGAGTTAGTTTTCATATATGGTGTAAGCGTTTAACTTCATTCTTTTGCATGTGGATATCCAGTTTTCCCAATACCATTTGTTAAATAGAGAGATTGTCCTTTCCCCAGTGAGTGGGCTTGGCACCCTTGTTGAAGGTCATTTAATAATATATGTGATATTTAGTCTATTGAATATTCATTGATATATTTGGCTGAATTTATGCCAGTAGCACACTGTTTTGATTACTGTAGCTTTGTAGTATGTTTTGAAATCAAGAAGTGTGAGTCCTCTAACTTTGTTCTTTTTCAAAATTGTTTTGGCTATTTGGGTTCCCTTGAGATTCCATACGAATTTTAGTATGAATTTTTCTATTTCTTTAAAAAAAATTCACTGAGATTTTGAAAGGCATTGTATTGAACTGTAGATTGCTTTGGGTAGTATAGACATCTTAACAATATTTCCAGTCCATGAACATGGAATGTGTTCTACTTATTAGTGTCATCTTTAATTTCTTTCAGTACTGTTTTGTAATTTTCAGTGTAAAAGTCTTTTGCCTCATTCGTTAGATTTATTCCTATTTTATTCTCTTTGATGCTATTGTAAATGAAATCTTTACTTTTAAGTTTTAATCTCACAAACAGTGCACAAATACATTCTCCTTGTAAGAACTGCTAAGGCCAGAATTCCCTTTGACTACTACCTCCCCATACTGTTCCCTTTATGTCTTCCCCAGACGTAACCACATGTTTTTTCTACATCATCTTAGTAATGGCACAGTCACTCGAATAAGCAGATAACCTTTTCAGATAATACTCCGGAGGGAAAAGTTTCTCTTATATAAGTTTGGGTATATTTGTTAAAAATTATTCTCATTACTTTATGGTTACACGTACTAGACTACTGAACTAATATAACAAGAGAAACTAAAAAGAAAGTTAAAGGATAGATACCTCTGATTATGATTTAAGAACAGTATATTCAAAGGTTCAGAGACAAGATGCTTTCCTGAGTGTATACAAAGGAAGAGATGCTTGAGACTGAGGGATGGGGTTGGTTGGTAGGGGATGGGTTGAGGCAGAGGGCTCGAGAGCAGGCAAGTTGATTAACGGGTCATATATAGAGTAGTTAACACATCCACATATCCTTGCCTCCTTCTGAAGAGCGTTGGTAGGTAGAAATTGGATGTTTCTCCTTTAAAAAAAATGAAAGACAGGGGTGGGACTTAGAAATCTCTGTTTCAGCAGTCGTCAAGTTGGGGAACTAAGAATGAAAGGACTGATCAGATGCAGTGGCTCACACCTGTAATCCCAGAACTTTGGGAGACCAAGGCAGGTGGATCACAGGGTCAGGAGTTCGAGACCAGCCTGGCCAATATGGTGAAACCCTGTCTCTACTAAAAAATACAAAAATTACACTTTGGGAGGCCAAGGCAGGCAGATCACGAGGTCAGGAGGTTGAGACCATCCTGGCTAACACAGTGAAACCCCGTCTCTACTAAAAATACAAAAAATTAGCCGGGCGTGGTGGTGGGCGCCTGTAGTCCCAGATACTCGGGAACTGAGGCAGGAGAATGGCATGAACCTGGGAGGCAGAGCTTGCAGTGAGCCGAGATCACTGCCACTGCACTCTAGCCTGGGCAACAGAGCGAAACTCTGTCTCAAAAAAAAAAAAATGCAAAAATTAGCTGGGTGTGGTGCTGCATGCCTGTAGTCCCAGCTCCTCAGGAGGTTGAGGCAGGAGAATCACTTGAATCTGGGAGGTGGAGGTTGCAGTGAGCAGAGATGGCACCACTGCACTCCAGCCTGGGCAACAGAGACTACATCTCAAACAAAAACAAACAAACAAAAAAGAATTAAAGGACTAACTAAGTCTAGCCCATCTCTTCCACTTATGAGACAAACTCTACTTGGTTTGTCTCAGATATGCAAGGCTTATTTTTCAAATGTTAATGTTATTCACCATATTAACAATATAAACGAGAAAAACTATGACCATTTAATAGATGCAGGGAAAGCATTGGACAAAATTTTGCACTATTTTATAGTAAAAACTCTCAACAAACTAGGAATGGCAGAAAATTCCTCAAACCAATAAAAGAGTATCTATAAAGTGTGTACAGTAAAGATCATAATGGTGAAAAGCTAAACCATTTACCCCCCAGAGACTGGGAACAAGGCAAGGATGGCCACTTTCCCTACTTATCTTCAACACTGTACTGGAGGACCTCACCCTTGAAATAAGGTGAAAAGTTATATACATCCTGTATGTTTACAACTCTTTGACTTTGATCACATAGCCACAGCCAATTAATTTTAGGGTAGTTTTGGAAAAGAAATCTTTGGCTAGGTGACCATGTACCCACCTAAGCATTCCACCACCATGGAAGAAGAGGTAAATGACTTCTGGGGGACAGCCTCTGCCAAATCCACTGCTTTGACTACCCAATTATCAGAGCACAGCCATGTTAGTATACACAGAACATGCTCACATTCTCCCCAAGAGAGACAATGCCAAAGACCCATACAATTATGGCATCCTGCTTAAAGTCAGGATCTCTTGAGTATTATGAAATTCTTTTCTGTTAGATGGCTCTTCTTTGTCTCGTAACATAAAAAACAAGTTATCCATCCTCCCCCCTCACTCACACATACCCAAATTAGAGTATTAGAATAGGATATGTAACAAGTAAAACTTTCACTCAAAAAAGAGAAAAATAGGAAACATACAACAGTCGCTGTTTCACAGCATTTATCAAATCCTGCTGGATGGAAACTGCAAAGATTTTCTGCCTTGACAGTAGGATAAATTCCTTGGTTAGCCCATCAGTGAAGCCCTGCTTTTGCTTTCTGGGAGTATTTTTCTATTTGTTGTCTCCATCACCTCTGGCGTTCCCTTCCAAGAGGGCTCTTCCTGGTTCACTATCCTTCATGGACTCATCTGAAGTGGTCCTCAGGGATATGCTTTTTTTTTGGAATGATCAAGTTTTTGTTGCCTACTTCTTTTCAAAGCCAACTTTTGTATTTGTTAATTTTTTCCATTGTCTGTTTTCTATTTCATTGATTTCTACTCTTATCTATATTATTTCCTTTCTCGTATCACTTTGGGTTTACTTTCTTCTTCCTTTTCTGATTTTTTAAGGTGGAACTTCAGGTCACTGATTTTAGATCTTCTTTTCTAAGATTAACATTTAAAACTATACATTTCCCTTTAAACATCGCTTCAGCTGCATCCAGCAAAGTTTGGTGTTGTATTTCCATTATCACTCAGTTAAAAATATTTTCTTTTTCCTTGTGATTTTGTCTTTGATTCATGCATTTTTAGATTTATTCCCAGATATTTAAATAAATTTATATTTATTTCCAGATATTTGAGGTTTTCCTAGTTACTTTATTGTTATCGATTTCTAATTTAATTGTGTTGTGGTCAGAGAATACATTTTGTATAATTTTGATCCTTTATATTTATTGAGACTTGTTTCATGGCCCAGTGTATGGTCTATCTTGGTGAATATACCATTTGCACTTGAAAGTAATGTGTATTCTGCAGTTGTTAAATGTAGTGTTCTATCTGTCAATTAGATTAAGTGTTGATTATGTTGTTCACATCTTTCCTATTCCCTGAATTCCCTATGTCTTAATTTTTTTAAACCTCTCATATTTTTTTCCTCCACATTTCCTTTTTGAGTTATTTCTTCTACCTTCATGTTCACTCTTTCTCTGAGACTAGGTCTAATGTGCTGTTTGACTCATCCACTGAGTTATTAATTTGATTATTTTTCAATTCTAGGATTTCTGTTTGTTCTTTTTTCCAGACCTCTGGTCACATTTTTGAGTTTCTAGTTATCTGCCAAAATTTTTCAAGCTTGGAATTTGCCTCCTTGAAATAGTAAGCATGGTTGTTTTCTTGCTGAATTCTGGTAATTCCAGTATATGGAGTTTCCACAGGTCTCTTTCAGTTGTCTCATTTGTGTTGGTTCTCAACCACAGTGGCTACTCCCTCATGTAACTGGTTATTTTCGCTGTATGCTGGACATAGTATTTGAAGAATAGTATTTGAAAAGTTACTTGTAAAAATAATTTAAGGCCTAGGATGACATTATCTTCCTCAAATAAGATTTGTTTCTACCAGGCAATTGGGGTCACTGGCAATTAGGGATCACCTTAATCCAGTTCAGAGCCTGAGATTTTTCTGACCACAAACTGTGCAAGGGCTTGTTTCCCTGTGGTTCATCCTCTCCTGGGTGCAGCTTATTGAGATCCTAGCCATAAAAGTGGGAATCTCATCAGAACTCAACCTTTGACAAGCCCAGTCTCTGACATTTGTCCCTCTAGACCCAAAAGGCAAAGCTCAGCCTCTCAATCTCCTACAGATGGCAAATGTCACAAAGGTAAAAGTAGCCTCAAATACAAGGCTTACTCTCTGGATCCCCACTCTCACCTGACACTCAGCCCAGTCATTCTTTACTATCTCATTACCTTTTGAGACTTTTAAAGAATATTGTTTCTATCATCTGTCCAGGTTTTTTAGTTGTCTTCAATAGGAAAGCTGGTCTTAATTATCAGGCCTGACATTACCAGAAGTGGTCATATCATTAAAAAAAAAAATTCTTACCTCTTTACCCTTCCATTTTTCCTATTTTTTCTTTAGTCCAGTATTGGATATGCTGAGATGAACTTCTCTCTCTGTTTTTTTCTTTCAATTTTGTTATACTTTTATCTTTTTTCTATTTTGTGGAATGTTCCTCAGATGAAACTTTCAAATGTTTAATTTTAAAAATTTGGCTACTAAATTTATAATTTCCAGTTGGGCATGGTGGCTCATGCCTGTAATCCCAGCACTTTGGGAGGCCAAGGCGGGCGGATCACCTGAGGTTGGGAGTTCCAGACCAGCCTGACCAACATGGTGAAACCCCGTCTCTACTGAAAATACAGAATTAGCTGGGCATGGTGGCGCATGCTTGTAATGCCAGCTACTCAGGAGGCTAAGGCAGGAGAATTGCTTGAACCCGGGAGGTGGAGGTTGCAGTGAGCCGAGATCGCGCTATTGCACTTTAGCCTGGGCAACAAGAGCAAAACTCCGTCTCAAAAAAAAAAAAATTATAACTTCTAACAGCTCTTTTTTATTCTATTCTATAATTGTTCCTTTTTGGGGGAACTTGCTGTTCTTTTATATGGATATAATATCTTCTTATAGCTCTCTGAGGATACTAAATGGAAGGGCTGGTTTTGAAGTTGTTTCCCCACAACATATGTCAGTTTCCTCTACGTTCTTTCTGGTTTTTTTTTTTGGTTGTTGTTGTTTTTGTTTTTTTTTTCCATTGGCTTTCTTCCCTATTCAAGAATGGAGCATTAAAAAGCTTACAGAAGCTCTGTTGACAAGATTTGTCAACTGTTGGGCTTAGCTTAATGTTAATCAGCATGTACCACCAATTTTTTTTATTTATTATTATTTTTTTTTTGAGGCAGGGTCTCACTCTGTTGCCTAGTCTGGCACGATCATAGCTCACTGCAGCCTTGATCTCTGGGCTAAAGTGATCCTCCCACCTCAACCAACCTACCCCCAACCCCCCAAAGAAGTAGCTGGGACTACAGGCACATGCCACCACACCTAGCTGATTTTTTTTTACTTTTCAAAGAGATGGAGTCTCACTGTGTTGCCCAGGCTGATCTCCAACTCCTGGTCTCAAGCAATCCTCCCAACTTAGCCTCCCAAAGTGCTGGGATTACAGGTGTCAGCCACCATGCCTGGCCTTAAGGCACTTCTTAGTGCAACTTCAGGTTGGGGTATTGAAGCAGTTGGATTCATGACCCAGTTACTGAACTCTAGTCAATAAGTTGTCAACCACAGGCAGTCAAATATTCCCTTCCATCTCTGCTTGCACACTAGGTACCTCTAGCCTGAGTTTATCTCTTCTTTTAGGGCTTTGCTGAATGTGTCAAGAAATAGTCAACACCTTGTGATTTTTGTCAATCTTTTCCCCCATGGTTGTATGTTCACTTGGCATGTGTGGTCTGACTTCCATGGTGTCACAGGTAATGATTTTACCAAATATGTTGGCATGGATAACAAAGATCACCAACATTCTAGCTTGCTGTGTCCTAACCATGTGCTGCCTGACTGCAAAGCCAGTAGCACATATAATCATGTATCCCTTAATGACAGGAATGTATTCTGAGAACTATGTCATTAGTTAATGTTATTGTTTTATAAACATTGTGAATTGTACTTACACAAACCTAGATGATGTTGCCTACTACATACCTAGGCTGTATAGTATAGCCTATTGCTTCTAGGCTACAAACCCTTACAGCATGTTACTGTATTGAATATTGTAAGCAATTGTAATACAGTGGTATTTGTGTATCTAAACATAGCTAAGCATAGAAATGGTACAGTAAAAATAGAGTACAATCTTACAGAATCATCATCATCTATATGGTCTGTCACTGACCAAAATCAACCAATTATTTTTTTTTTTGGCAATTTGATTGGCAAAACTTTAACTGTTGATAATATCCAGCTTTGATAAAGGTATAGAGAAAAGGAACCTTCTCTATGCTGTAATTGGAATGTAAATTCGTATAGCCCTATAAAGGACAATTGGCATTATTTATAGATAACTAAAATGCTTATGAGTTTTGACTCAGGAACTCTACTCCTGGGAATCTCTCCTGTAGAAATGTGTATATTCCCAAAGGTACTCAAAATAAGTTTGCTATAGTGTTATTTATAATAGCAAAAATTTGAGAAAAGCATAAATGCCTGACAGTGGGGAACCAGATACATTATGACATCTACATAATAAAATACTGTGCAACCATTTAAGAAACTGAAGTAGCTTGATGTGTTGTGACCTGGAAAGACAGTAAGTGTTCATAATGTGTTCAGCAAATGGGTAAGTTGCAACACAATATGTCTAGCACAACCCCCTTTCTAGAAAGAAAGAAAAGAAAGTATATGCTGTAAAATTATAGAAAAAAGTCTGGAGATATACGATATAGCTGATAAATATAACACTAGTTATCTCTCAGAAGATAGAATGTATGGGTGCAGGGGTATGCTTAACTTCTCAATTTGTATATGTATATATAATAGGATTACGGGAAATTTTCACCATCTGTATTCTTCTATGTTTTTCAAATTTTAAAAAATCTAAAAATACTAAAAGTAGTTTAAATACTTGAAGTGTTCCTATAGCAGGAATATAAAAGCCTTAAAGTAATAGAAATGAACAATTTCAGAGTGTTTTTAAAAAATATTTATATCCCAGATAGTAAACTGACTTTTGAGGTTTAGATATGATTGACTCAAGATAAACTTACCCTATACCAAGAATGCCTTTCTAAGATTTCTGAGACTTTCTAGGGTTCACAGTAGCTTTTATTTTTGAGTTTCTGCTTAAATGTAATTCCAGACTTGTCCATATCTGACCTCCCAGGGCTGTTCTTATCTGTCTGTTCCATGCTATACCAGATGCAGAACTTGGCCCACTTTCTTTGACCTCTTCCTCCCTTTAAGCATTATGCTAGGCATGTGTATGTGTAGCACACTTTTATGAAGATGTCGGGAGGCAGAAATACCGACAGAAATATTTAGAATACCGCAAAAATGGAATTAAAAGGCCCCCAGTCACTTTACGGCATCTTTCCTTGTCACTAGTCAATATGGTCCTCTGCCATGTTGCTTTCTTTCCTTGTACTAGCACCAGACCTTCGTTTCTCTGCTTTCTGTTGTTGTTGTTGTTATGGTTGGTTTTTTTTTTCTGCTCTTTCCCCAGGTGCTGAATTCCTGTGTTTTACTTAGGCAAAGAAGGTTAGGTATCTCTTCTATTTTTTGATGTTTTTAAGGCGTCATTTTTCCCAACCAGAACAATCTATCGAGACATATTCCTCAACAAAGACAATTACCTCCCTGAGAGGAACTCTGGTGCCTGCTGTTAAAAAAATAATTTCCTCTCTTTCACTACATGTTATGGTTATAAGTGTAACTGATAAAATAATTAGCACAGTAATTATCTTTATTAACTCTTCCTGTTGTTTTTTTTTTCTAAGTAAAGCCTTATCCTTTGGTCAGTGCAGTTAATAGATGAGTCTTAATTGATGTTGGCTTCCTGCTGTGAAACATAAGAGTTGTGAAATCTTGGCATCATTATGACACCTAATCACATTTTCATTTTATTATGGACAAGAGGAAAATGAGTTATGATTAAGCTAGAACCTCTCTGCTAAAAAAAAAAAAAGTTTTTTAATTAAAGTGTAGGCAGAAATACAATTCATGAAGTTGCAAATGATTCTGCTCTGATAGACCTTGGCCTAGCAGTTGGTCTATGAAAACATGGCTATATGTAAGGTCCCATGGCATTAAGAGACCTTAACCAAAGTCAATGTGTGAGATTAATATACTGCTCATTAAAAACAGTACAGCATATGGTTAGAAAGAAAGCTTTTGGTGTTAGAAAAACCTGCATTAAAACCTGGATTCTGCTCTTTACTGTGTGACCTTGGACGTGTTTACCTAACTGAGCTTTGGTGTCCTCATCTGCAAAATGAGGAATATGGATTATAATGATATAAATCATAGAACTGGCTTAGTATTATGCTGGGTTACATAGTAAGTAGTCCATACATAGTAGCAATAGAATTTTAGCTATTTTTATAACATTTACTTTTTTTTTTTTTTTTTTTTTGAGATGGAGTCTCGCTCTGTCGCCCAGGCTGCGGTGCAGTGGCGTGATCTTGGCTCACTACAAGCTCCACCTCCCAGGTTCACACCATTCTCCTGCCTCAGCCTCCCGAGTAGCTGGGACTACAGGCGCCCGCCACCATGCCCGGCTAATTTTTTGTATATTTAGTAGAGATGGGGTTTCACCATGTTAGCCAGGATGGTCTCGATCTCCTGCTCGCCTCAGCCTCCCAAAGTGCTGGGATTACAGGCATGAGCCACAGCGCCCAGCCAATATTTACTGTTCTTATGTTTATTACCACTGGTTACTTTTCAGATGGCTAGTCTCTATTTATTTATTTATTTGTTTATTTATTGAGCTGGAATCTCACTCTGTTGCCTAGGCTGGAGTGCAGTGGCGTGATCTCGACTCACTGCAACCTCCGCCTCCTGGGTTCAAGCGATTCTCGTGCTTCAGCCTCCCAAATAGCTGAGACTACAGGCATGAGCCACCACACAACTGATTTTTGTATTTTTAGTAGAGATGGGGTCTTGCCATGTTGGCCAGGTTGGTCTTGAACTCCTGACCTCAGGTGATCTACCCACCTTGGCCTCCCAAAGTGCTGGGATTACAGGCATGAGCTACTGCACCCCGCCTTAGTCTCACTTTAAATTCACGTAGGCTGTCAGTGTTGCAGCAGTCCTATAATATTTTCTAGTCAATATATTCCCCATTCTCCAAAGCCACTCTATTATATCCTGTCCTCTCTGCTCCGTTTCCAACACTCCTCCTCTCTCTTCATTCGTGGCTGTGACCCTGTTTTATATCTTACTGAGAAAATAGAAGCAGCTAGAATGAAGCTTTCATATCTTCCCACCAACATATTTATCAGTCTACTTCCAATTGTAACCCTACACGCTGCCTTTCCTTCTGTTATAATGGAAAAGGGCCAGTCCTTTCATTTGTATACAGAATCCTGTCCCCTTTGGTGTACTCACAGACTTAGGACCTACTGCTATCCCCCTTACTCTTCAATAATCACATTGTATCTTTATTTTTGCTTTCCCCCTAAGGCAGAGTCTTCCTCTGTCATCCACGCTGGAGTGTAGTGGTGTGAATACAGCTCACTGCAACCTCGACTTCCCGGCTCAAGCAATCCTCCCATCTCAGCCTCCTGAGTAACTGGGACCACAGGCTCATGCCACCATGCCCAGCTAATTTTTTTAATTTTTATAGAGACAGGGTCTTGCCATGTTGCCCAGGTTGTCTTGATTTCCTGGTCTCAAGTGATCCTCCTGCCTTGGCCTCCAAAGTGCTGGGATTATAAGAGTGAGCCACAGTGCCTGGCCACATTTTATCTTTTTTTTTTTTTTGAGATGGAGTCTAGCTCTGTTGCCAGGCTGGAGTTCAGTGGCAAGATCTCGGCTCACTGCAACCTCCGCCTCCCAGGTCAAGCGATTCTCCTGCCTCAGCCTCTTCCCAAGTAGCTGGAATTACAGGCACGCGCTGCCACATCCAGCTAATTTTTGTATTTTTAGTAGAGATGGAGTTTTACCTTGTTGGCCGGGATGGTCTCGATTTCCTCCCAAAGTGCTGGGATTATAGGCATGAGCCACTACGCCCGGCCTAACATTTTATCTTTTATGTTAGATAATTCCCATCAGCATGCAAACATGTCGTCATAGGTTCTATGTTTTAAAAATCCCTTTGGGCCAGGCACAGTGGCTCACGCCTGTAATCCCAGCACTTTGGGAGGTTGAGGCGGGTGGATCACCTGAGGTCAGGAGTTCTTGACCAACCTGGCCAATATGGTGAAACCCCGTCTCTACTAAAAATACAAAATTAACCAGGCGGGGTGGCATGCGCCTGTAATCCCAGCTACTCGGGAGGCTGAGGCAGGAGAATCAATTGAATCCGGGAGGCGGAGGTTGCACTGAGCCAAGAACACGCCACTGCACTTCAGCCTGGGCGACAAGAGTGAAGCTCCATCTAAAAAAAAAAAAAAAAAAAATCCCTTTGACCTTTCCTTCATACCTCCATGTAGCTATTCCTCTACTTTTTCTGCTTTCCTTAGAGCAAAGCTCCTTGGAAGCATATCCTTACTTCAACTACTCCAAGCAGATTTTTCTTTCTTCTGCTCAACTGAAACTTCATTTGTCAAGGTTTCCAATGACTGCCATGTTGCCAAATCCAGTAGCCAATTATCAGTCCGTATTTTACTTAATTCACCTCAGCAGCATTTGAACAGATTATTTCAACCTTCCTGAAATGCTTTCTTCTGGCTTGTGGAACATCTCCCTTTCCTAGTTTTCACTGGCCAACTCTGTAGTTTCTTTTACTGAATACTCTTCAACTTTCCTAATTTCTAAATATTGATGAACCCCAGAGCTCAATTCTTTCTCTCTCTCTATTCAATTCCTAGGTAATCTTAACCAGTCTCATGCTTTTATTATCACCTTTGTAGTGGTGTCTCCGAAATCTGTATCTTAAGTCTCAATCTTCTCTGAACCTCACTTGTATACACTACTGCCTACGCTACGTCTTTGGATGTCCAGTAGGTGTCCCAAGCTTAATATATTCTACCTTTTCCCCAATTTTACTTATTTACTTATAAATAAATAGTATTGGCCAGGCGTGGTGGCTCATACCTGTAATCCCAGCACTTTAGGAGGCCAAGGTGGGCAGGTCACTTGGGCTTAAGCGAGACTAGCTTGGCCAACATGGTGAAACCATGTCTCTACAAAAAACATGCTTGGTGGCAGGTGCTTGTGGTCCCAGCTACTCGGAAGGCTGAGGTGGGATAATTGCTTGAGCCTGGGAGGCAGAGGTTGTAGTGAGCTGTGATTGTGCCACTGCACTCCAGCCTGGGCAACAGAGCAAGACCTTGTCTCAGATGAATGAATGAATGAATGAATGAATGAATGGTACTTCTAGTCATCTGGTCAGCCACAACTCTTGGAGTCTCCCTTGACTCCCTTCTCTCACATGTCCAGTCCATCAGCAAATCTTATCAGCTCACTGTAGATGCAGATCCAGAATCTGACCATTTCTCACCTCCTTTATTTGGTGTCGCCATGGTCCAAGCTACTACTTTCTCTTGCCTAGATGACTGCAGTAGCTTCTTAAGGTTTTTCTGCTTCTGCTCTTGGCCCCTACAGTCTTTCTGCCAGAGTGATCTCTTAAATCAGTAATTATTTTCCCATCTAAATTTATTTAATAGTTTTCTATATATATATATGTAGAAGAAAATCTGAGAATCCTTACTGTGGTCTTCAAGATGCTGAATGATTTGGCTCCTGGCAACTGTTCTGGCTTCATCCCCTACCACCTTCTATCTCCCTCATCTAGTCCAGCCCCAGCAGTTTCTTCACTATTGTTTAAGCATACCAAGAATGCTCCAGCCTTTACACTTGCTATTGTCTCTGCCTGAAATGTTTTTCACCCAGATTTTCACATGGTGTGTTCCTTCATTTCATTCAGTCCTCTGCTCAGATGCCAGATCATCACAGAAATCTTCCTGACCATGCCATCTGAAATGGCACCCTGTTCCCCATGTCCTGCCCTCCTTCAGTCTTTATTCTTCTTTGTTTTTCTTCTGCAGTGCCTATTACTACTTGCTATTTTTCTATAATTCCCACCCCCACTCTTTCTAGAAGGTTGGTTCTCTGTGGTTGTTTTACCCATTGTTGTATCCCCAGGACCTAGAATATTACCTGTGGCACTCCTTGTTGGATAAATAAATGAATGAGTTGCTTTTTTTCTCCATATACATTCTTATCTTACTAATGTACTTTTTAAAAATTTATGGAAAAATGCAGTCTTTTAAAAAATTGTGATAAATGCTCATAAAATTTACCATCTTAACCATTTGAAAATGTACAGTTCAGTTAATGCCACTGCTACCATCACCACCATTTCTCTCCAGAACTCTTTTCATCTTGCAAAACTGAAACTCTATACCCATTAAACAGTAAGTCTCCATTTCCACTGTCCCCTGAATGCTGGTAGCCACCATTCTACTTTCTGTGTCTGTGTCTATGTCTACATTTTGTCTCTATGAGCAGTCTTTTAGTTAACCACTAAGAGGTAAGGTTTGAATATTTGGGAAGTCAAACCACCCTCAGGTTTCTTTTAGCAAGTACTTACTGAATGCCTGCCTTGGGCTTGGTACTGTGCTAGGTCCAATAGGGTTACACAAGTGGTGTCTTCTACAGTTCTCTTCTGCTGGAAACAAGAATTGTGTATGTTTTACAAAAGACACCATTCCATATCTCATTACCATGCTCTGATACTGAAAACTAAGATATGTTTTGGTATGTGTATTAGTCAGGGTCTTACAGAGTGATAGAACCAATAGGATATATATGGTCATGCACGGCATAATGACATTCAGTCAATGACAGACCATATATATGGAACAGTGGTCCCGTAAGATTGTAAATAATGACATTCAGTCAATGACAGACCATGTATATGGAACAGTGGTCCCGTAAGATTGTAACACTGTAGTTTTATGGTACCTTTTCTATGTTTAGATACATAAATACTTACTATTGTGTTATAATTGCCTACAGTGTTCAGCATAGTAACTTGCTGTACTGGTTTGTATCCTAAGAGAAATAGGCTATACCATATAGCCTTGGTATGTGTGTTAGTCCGATTTCACACTGCTGATAAAGACATACCCGAGACTGGGCAATTTACAAAAGAAAGAGGTTTAATAGACTTACAGTTCCACGTGTCTGGGAGGCCTCACAATCATGGTGGAAGGTGAAAGGCATGTTTCACATGGCAACAGACAAGAGAAGAGAGCTTCTGAAGGGAAACTCCCCCTTATAAATCCATCAGGTCTCATGAGACTATTCACTATCATCAGAACAGCACGGGAAAACCTGCCCCCATGATTCAGTTACCTCCTACCAGGTCTCTCCCACAACATGTGGGAATTCAAGGTGGGATTTGGGTTGGGGACAGCCAAACTATATCAGTATGTAGTAGGCTATACCATCTAGGTTTGTGTAAATATACAATGTGATATTTGTGCGGGGACAAAATCACCTGATGACACATTTTTCAGAACATATCCCCATTGTTAAGTGACTCCTGACTGTATATAGACATATAAGAGGGGATTTATTAGGGAAATTGGCATATACTGTTATGGAGGCTGAGAAGTCCCACACAAGCTGTCTGTAAGCTGGAGACCCTGGCAGTGTAGCTCAGTCCAAGTGTAAAGGCCACAGAACCAGGGAAGCCAATGGTGTAACTTGTCCAAGACTAGAGCCTAAGAGCCAAGGGGGCTTGTGGTGTAAGTCCCAGAGTACAAAGGCTGGGGAGTCTAGAGTTTTGATGTGCAAGGACAGGAGAGGAAGAGTGTACCCCAGCTGCAGACACACTTGCCTTTTCTCCATTTTTGTTCTCTCTGGGCCCCTGGCTGACTGGATGGTGCCTACCCATATTGAGAGCAGATCTTCCCCACCTAGTCCACTCAGACTCACATGCTAATCTTCTCTAGAAACACAGACACATATCCAAAGATAATGCTTTACCAGGCCAGGTACAGTGGCTCACACCTGTAATCCTAGTACTTTGGGAGGCTGAGGTGGGTAGATAATCTGAGGTCAGGAGTTCAAGACTAGCCTGGCCAACATGGCAAAACCCCATCTACTAAAAATACAAAAATGAGCCGGGTGTGGTGGTGGGTGCCTGTAATCCCAGCTACTTGGGAGGCTGAGGCAGGAGAATTGCTTGAACCTGGGAGGCAGAGGTTGCAGTGAGCCCAGATTGCGCCACTGTGCTCCAGCCTGGGAGACAGAATGAGTGAGACTCCATCTGAAAAAACAAAACAAAACAAAACAAAAACAGTAAAAAAAACAAAGATAATGCTCTACCAGATTTCTAGGTATTTCTTAATCCAATGAGGTTGACAAAGTCAACCATAACTATGAATTTTGTATTTATAGCCATTTCCTGCTTTCCCCTTCTTTTTGTCTGGTCATTTCAAATTGACAGGAAAATATACCTTTTTTTTTTAAGGTAAAATTAACATAGAATTAAACATTTAATTTTTTTTTTTTTTTACAGAGTCTTGCTTTGTTGCCCAGGCTGGAGTGCAGTGGTGTGATCTTGGCTCACTGCAACCTCCACCTCCTGGGCTCAAGTGATTCTCCTGCCTCAGCCTCCCAAGCAGCTGGGATTACAGGCGCCCGCCACCATGCCCGGCTGATTTTGTATTTTTAGTAGAGATCAGGTTTCACCATGTTGGCCAGGCTGGTCTCAAACTCCTGACCTCAGGTGATCCATCCACTTCGGCCTCCCCAAAGTGTTGGGATTACAGGTGTGAGCCACCACGCCTGGCCAAACATTTAGTTTTTTAGTTTTTATTTTTTTAGACAGGGTCTTGCTCTGTCCCCCAAGCTGGGGTGCAGTGGTATGATCTTGGCTCACTGCAACCTCTGCCTGCTGGGCTCAAGCAATCCTCCTGCCTCAGCCTCCTGAGACTACAGGCATGGGCCACCATGCCTCGCTATAAGTTAAACATTTTAAAGTGTACGATTAAGTGGCATATAGTACATTCATAATGATATACAACCTCCACCTCTATTTAGTTCCAAAAGATTTTCAGCACCCCAAAAGAAAAACCCATAACCATTAAACAGTTGTTCCATATTCCCACCTTTCCCCAGCCCCTGGCAACTACCAATCTGTTTTCTGTCTCTATGGATTTACTTATTCTGAATGTTTTATATAAATGAAATAATGCAATATGTGTGTGACATTTGTGTCTAACTTACTTTACTAAGCATAATGTTTTCTAAGGTTCATCCACATTGTAGCATGTAAATCAGTACTTCATTTCTTATTATGGCTGAATAATGTTATGTTATATATGTATACCACAATTTGTTTATCCATTTATTAACTGATGGGCATTTGGGCTTTTTCTATGTTTTGCCTATTGTGAATAGTGCTATGAACATGCATATACGAGTATTTGTTTTAGTAACTGTTTTTGGTTCTTCGGGGTCTATACCTAGAAGTGGAATTGCCGGGTCATATGGTAATTCCATGTTTAACTTTTTGAGGAACTGTTAAACTATTTTCCATAATGGCTGAACTGTTTTACACTTCTGCCAGCAATGCACAAGGGTTCCAGTTTCTCTACATCCTCGCTAACACTTGGTATTTTCCTTTTTTAAAAATTATTATTAGAGCCATCCTTGTGTTGTGAGGTGTAATTCGTTGTGGTTTTTTATTTTTTTCTGAGACAGAGTCTCACTCTGTCGCCCAGGCTGGAGTGCAGTGGTGTGATCTCGGCTCACTGCAAGCTCCGCCTCCTGGGTTCATGCCATTCTCCTGCCTCAGCTTTCCGAGTAGCTGGGACTACAGGCGCCCGCCACCACACCTGGCTAATTTTTTGTACTTTTAGTAGAGGCAGGGTTTCACTGTGTTAGCCAGGATGGTCTCGATCTCCTGACCTCGTGATCTGCCCACCTCGGCCTCCCAAAGTGTTGGGATTACAGACGTGAGCCACCGCGCCTGGCCTTCATTGTGGTTTTGATTTGCATTCCCCTAATGACTAATCCTTTCATGAGCTCGTTTGCCATTTTTATATCTTCTTTGGAGAAAATATATTGTTTTGAGAACTATAATAACAATATTCAACTTGATGAAATCTTTTTCCTGTTTTCCTTAAATTTATCTTGATTGTACCCATAGCGTGTGCTATTAGAAGAGGAGTTAGTAAACTAAGCCCTGTGGATCAAATCTGGTTTGCTGACAGTTTTTATATGGCCTACATGCTAAGCATGGTTTTTACATTTTTTAATTGTTGGAGGAAAAAATCAAAAGAATATTTCATGATACATGAAAATTATGTGAAATTCAGATTTCAATGTCCATAAAGTTTTATTGGAACATGCAGTCACAGCCGTGCATTTATGTGTTGTCTTTGACTGCTGTCGTGCTACAATAGCAGAATTGATCAATTGCCATAGGGACCATATGGGCCATAAAGCCTAAAATATTTATTATCTGACTCTTTACAGGAAAAACTTTGCCAACCTTGTATTAGATGTTCTTGTTCCTTGTTCTTAGCTTCTGATATTTTTGCAGCCCTGATCATTGATGGGCAGAGAAGCCCTTAGGAGAGTGAGGAGGCACCCCTTGTGGGGAGAGCTCAAAATGGAATAGCATTCAGTTTAGTTCTCATAGATGACCAAATGTTTTTTATCTTGGTAGATACTAAATTTCAAGTTAAAATATTAATGATAGGAACCAAATAAAAAATTTCTAAAATATCATTTAAATTTCATCTGTCATTATCATTAAGAGTATCTCTCATCAATAATGTTCCAACTCTTAAAATACATTATTTATGATGAATATAAGAGAATCTCATGAAATCCTCCTCTAAAGACTCCTTTGGCCCCCAAATTCTGAAATGCTATAATTCTGACATTAACTGTTGGAATATCATTATGTTGCTCAATATCACATTGAACAGGAGCATCTTATATTGCAGAACTTATCAGTGCCCTTCCGTAACTAAATTATAAAAATTTAAAAACTAAATTAAAATTTTCTTTAACCTGTGTAAGAAGGGACATCTTCTCACACTTGAAGCTTTATTTGACATTTTTATTTTTATTTTGTTTTATTTTGAGATAGTGTCTCTGTTGCTTAGTCTGAGTGCAGTGGTGTGATCAGCTCACTGCAGCCTTGACCTCCTGGGCTCAAGCTATCCTCCTGCCTCAGCCTCCTGAGTAGCTGGGACTATAGCCACATGCCACCACACTCAGCTAATTTATTTTTGTATTTATTTTTATTTTTTTATAGAGACAGGGTTTCACCATGTTGCCTAGGCTGGTCTCGAACTTCTGGATGCAAGCGATCTACCCTCCTCAGCCTCCCAAAGTGCTAGGACTCTAGGTGTGAGCCACCGCACCTGGCCAACATTTTTTTTTCATAAGAGACTTCGAATTGATTAGGTGTCCAAATTGTAGTGATTTCAGTGATGTGTATTTTGTTAGGGAGGAGGTTATCCATTACAGCCACTGGCATGCTTTGTGTAGCTCTTTTGAGTACATGCTGACTTAAGGAAATAACTTTTAAATAAAAAATACCAAGAGGTAAAGAATATTAGACTGAATCATGCTCTTCTGATTTCTGCAATGGTATTACCCTAAACCAAATGTACCCAAATATTAATCTCATTGTGGGAACTACACTCTGATAGGATGTTTAGTTTTACAGTCAAAGGAAACTGAATGTTTAAGAGCAAAGTTCAATTCATTCCTGAAGAAAATACTTCCCATTTTATAGCTATTGGATTATGGATGAGATTTTATTAAGGTAATAGCCCCAAAACCCTAGAGGATGCTCTTGGTAGGAATGATCATTCCCAAACAAGTAGATGCAATGCTCTTGTCTCTTGGGGCCTTTCACCTCTCAAGCCTGTGATTCCCAAATACTTATCTTCTCTGATGAATATGCAAGTTTATCTTTTGAGTGAAGGCGTATAAACCTCTAGCAACACCAAGCTAGTCTATGTCTTTTTGTATTTTTATTGATTTCTGTACTCCTTAGCTCCTTGATTGGCAACTTTGTTAATGAAGGAAGCTTGCTTTAATAAAATTATGTTTAGATGCTTGTTATTAGAAGCTGTGTGCCAAATGCTACTTTAAAGCCCAATTATTAAAATTCAGTGGGTTTGTTACTACTGTTCTTCAGTCTGCCTCCCCATTTGAGATCTGTAGTTGCTTTAACAGTCATTTCCTTTGTCCTTATCAATAATTACTACTCTGCTTTCAAAGTAGGGTTACAACTGGGTCTATTCATATTCCAAAATCTTATTTTAGTATTTTCTACCACCATATGGCCTGTCCTTTATGGAGCTGGTATGTCTCTATAGGTTTAGAAAATGATCATAGTTAGGTGTTATTCTTTTTGGTCAGCTTTCAAAAATCCTGATGCCTAGGTTGCATTCCACACCAATTAAATTAAATTAGAATGTCTGAGGGTGGGAGGGGCCCCAAGCATCAGTAATTTTTAAAAAGTCCCAGGTGATTCCAATATGCAGCAAGGTTTGGAAACCATTGGCTTTACTCATTAGCCAAATGGCTTAGAGGCTCTTCCTCCTAGTTATCTACTAACTACTCAGGATTAATTACATGACCTTGACACAATGCATTTAGCTACTTGAAAAAGAGATGTTATGTAAATGTATTACTGTTATCATTATTATCATTATTACTTAAACTTCAGAGAAGCCATTTTATGGTAAAATGTGCATAACATAAAAGTTACCATTTTAACCTGTTTTTTTTTTTTTTTTTTTTTTTTTTTGAGATAGAGGTCTTACTATGTTGCCCAGGCTGGAGTGCAGTGGCTATTCACAGATGCAATCATAGGACACTGCAGTCTCAAGTAATTCTCCTGCTTCAGCCTCCCAGGTAGCTAGGACTACAGGTGTGCATCACCATACCTGGCACATTGTAATTTTTTTTTTTTTTTTAAGGTGGAGTTTCACTCTTGTTTCCCAGGCTGGAGTGCAATGACGCAATCTCGGCTCACTGCAACCTCCGCCTCCCAGATGCAAGCGATTTTCCGATTCTCCTGCCTCAGCCTCCCGAGTAGCTGGGATTACAGGCATGTGCCACCACGCCCAGCTAATTTTGTATTTTTAGTAGAGATGGGGTTTCACCATGTTGGTCAGGCTGGTCTCGAACTCCTGACCTTGGGTGAGCTGCCCGCCTCAGCCTCCCAAAATACTGGGATTACAGGCATGAGCCACCGCACCCGGCCTCATTGTAACCATTTTTAAGTATACAGTTCAGTGGCATGAAATACATTCACATTTGTATTTCATGTGAATACAACCATCACTACCATTCATCTACAAAACTCCTTTCATCTTCCCAAACGGAAACTCCGTACCTATTAAACAACAGCCCTTGGCACCTACCATTCTATTTTTTGTCTCTGAATTTGACTATTCCAGCTACCTCATATAAATGGGATCATATAGTATTTGTCTTTTGTCTTTTTGTGATTAGTTTATTTCATTTATCCTAATGCCTATTGTTGTAGCATGTGCCAGAATTTCCTCCATTTTGTTTGTTTGTTTGTTTGTTTTGAGACAGGGTTTTGCTCTGTCACCCACACTGGAGTGCAGTGGTGCCATCATAGCTCACTGCAGCCTTGAATTCCTGGGCTCAAGCAATCCTTCCGCCTCAGCCTTCTGAGTAGCTGGGGCTACAGGCATGTGCCACCACTCCTGGCTTTCTTCCTCCTTTTTTTTTTTTTTTTTGAGACGGAGTCTCACTCTGTCGCCCAGGCCGGAGTGCAGTGGCTCCATCTTGGCTCACTGCAACCTCCATCTCCCGGGTTCAAACAATTCTCCTGCCTCAGCCTCCCTGGTGGCTGGGACTACAGGCGCCTGCCACCATGCCCAACTAATTTTTTGTATTTTTAGTAGAGATGGGGTTTCACCATATTAGCCAGGATGGTCTTGATCTCCTGACCTTGTGATCTGCCTGCCTCGGCCTCCCAAACTGCTAGGATTACAGGCATGAGTCACCACTCCTGGTCCCGCTTTATTCCTTTTTAAGGCTAAATAACATTCCGTTATATGTGTATACCACATTTTGTTTATCCATTCATCTGTTGATGGATACTAGGATTTCTTCTCCCTTTTGCCTATTGTGAATAATACTGCTGATTATACTGCTGTGATCATGGGAGTATGAGAAACTCATTTTAAGTGATAAACTGATAAACTCTCCTTCCACAAAATACTTATGTGGATAAATTACTTGTTCTATATGGCTAGGTTGTAGTTCACCAGATGAGTAAGCACCTATCCCTGGTGACTAGTCTGTCTTTTACAAAATATGACAAAAATTAGGTACTATTTCAAATGCTTTCTAGATTTTCTACCAAGTGGTAGTAGAATTCCATTTTATTTGAATCAGCTATCCTGCTCGGGCTGTGGATCAATCCTGTAGAGGCTGTGTTCCAAAAATGTAGCAACAAAAGTCTTTGTATGTTGAGAATGAAATAAAGGGTTTGTGCTGTATACTTTAACTCACAAATGCTAAAGCAAAGTTGTAAACTTCAAAACCAACCTAAAAATGCTCCCTGGGCCGGGCGCAGTGGCTCACGCCTGTAATCCTAGCACTTTGGGAGGCTGAGGCGGGCAGATCACGAGGTCAGGAGTTTGAGACCAGTCTGGCCAACATAGTGAAACCCCATCTCTACTAAATATATAAAAAATTAGCCAGGTATGGTGGTGTGCGCCTGTAATCCCAGCTACTTGGGAGGCTGAGGCAGGAGAATCGCATGAACCCGGGAGGCGGAGTTTGCTATGAGCTGAGATTGCACTCCAGCGCGGGTGACAGTGTGAGACTCTGTCTCAAAAAAAAAAAAAAAAAAAAAAGCTCCCTGGTCATGTTGCTCTAGAAGTTGTAAGCACATTAGCTTGAAGCTAGAAGCCACTTTAAGATCCTTTTATTGCTGCCTGTGTTCCTCTATAGACGTTTTAGCTCAACTTCTACACATGGTCTTAGCTTTTTTGTATTACAGAACCTAGTACCTAATTTGCATTTTTACTTCTTTCATTCTTAATGAACCACTGTGTGAGGACATGCTTTCTTTTTTATGGACAGTTCAGCTAGGTGTTTTTACAAGAATTCAGCTGTGTTAGTCAATAAGTGGGAATTTTATAGAGTCAATCAACTTTGGAAAAATGGTGATTACTTATTTTAACATTGTTTTTTCTGAAGGCATTGCCTTTTCATGTTCCCACAACCCACCCACCTACTCTTACAGCATGAAGGAAATGAATTTTTATTTGTATGTGTATATTCACTTTGATCCCTTTGACACTTTTCCTTACTTTTTCACTTACAATAAAAGGCAATTGAAGGCCAGGCACCGTGGCTCACGCCTGTCATCCCAGCACTTTGGGAGGCCAAGGTGTGTGGATCACTTGAGGTTAGGAGTTCGAGACCAGCCTGGCCAACATGCTGAAACCCCGTCTCCACTAAAAATATAAAAATTAGCCGTGCGTGGTGGTGCATGCCTGTAATCCTAGCTACTTGGGAGGCTGAGGCAGGATAATCAGTTGAACCCAGGAGGCAGAGGTTGCAGCGAGCCGAGATTGTGCCGCCGTACTCCAGCCTGGACGATAAGAGCAAAACTCCGTCTCAAAAAAAAAAAAAAAAAAGGCAACTGAGGTGAAAAGAGTCTTGGCTATACTACTGAAAAGGAGGGACACTAAAATTTGTTGGTCTCTTTGGGTTACAACTGGGCTGCATCAGTGTGCTTTAGAGTTACAGGAATATCCCGAAATTGAGAATCTGATGGGACTATACAATTTTAGAGCCAGTTCTACAGGTGAGACATAGACAACTTGTTCTGCTTGTCTGAAAACTTGTCTATAGAACTCTACAGAGAGGCTAAGAGGGAGTAAACTATCCTTTCTTTCTAGATCTTCATCTGCTGGTGGACGTGGCCTGCAAGCAGGAGCGCTTTCCAAAGGAGGAAGAATTAAAAGAGTGAGGAATGGATGACAAATGTGACATTGTGCACTAGCTGTAGCTGGAGGCAGACTAGCCTTGCACATGACAAACTGTTGGGATTTTTTCAGTTCTGTTAAGGAAAAAAAAGTATTTTTTGTTTCGTTAATTGAGAATTTTGTTAATTGAGAATTGGGAATTTGTATGTACTACAGTGGTTCAGTTCAGATTATCTGCCTTGACAAACTACTGAACATCTAGCAGCCACGTTTTTTGGCTGCCCAGATCCCTTTTAAATGAAAAGTTCTGACCTTCTGTTATAGTCAAGGAGCATCTAAAAACTGCTCCATCTATGGTACTAAGAATAATCTGTGTGTGTGCTGATTTGTTGTCTTGCCACTCAAACTGTAGTCAGCACAACTTTAGTGGGGAATTCAGTCTCTCTGATTCAAGTCACAGTGTGATCCTTTTAGAGGAGATTGTGTGAGAAACAAAGGCATGTGAGGTCACCAGCATCACAGGTCTAAATGCATCAGGAATTCCAGGGAAGAAACTCTGGAGAAGAGCTAATTTTCTAAGTGATTAACCAGGAAATTCTCTTACTTCCTAACCCAGCATTCTGTTTTAAGAGCAAGGCATCCGGACTTGGACCATCTATCACACTTAACAGCCCCTGATTCTTTTATATTAATGGAAGCATTCTTCTATTTTCATATCTTTCTTTAATTTTAATGATACATTATCATAAATGGTAAAAAGATTTTATTAATATATCACTTATTTAAATGTCTTTAAAGAAAGTATTTAACTTGTTTAATATAATTGTATTTATAAATGCTGATAGATTTAAAGGTTTTAAAGTTTTATATTTTTATTATTGCAGGATAGAAGGATAAAGGATGCATGTGTAGTATTTTTATTTTGAAAGGAAAATGTACAATGTGTGAACAAAAACATTAAGAGATTTAATATACTATTTTCTTATTTTAGATTTTTACATTCAATAAGTATAAATTCTCATCTATATAAGGTATTGTGTGCAAATTTGGGAAAAAACTGATTAGCAGCCATTTAGTAGAAGCTATGCCTCTGATTTTTAAAGAATGGTTTCAATCTGGTTTAAGCTTCTGAGAGAATTTTGGATAATGGGATAGATGGTAACATTTTTTTCTTATCCCTGTTACAGGATTCTAGATTTGTGCAGTAGGATTGTGGGACTGTGTTTTAGGAGAGAAGGATGTCTTGGATGTCCAGTTTCTGTGGTTAATCCCTTACTTGCTTATCCAGTGACAGCAAGAAACTTTCTGATTTAAAGTCTTTCAATTGACCAAAACTTTCTTATTGGATTCTGTTTCAGTTCTCCTATTAAGCACTGCAGAAACGAAAGGAAAGCCTAGGAATATGAAACTAATTAAAAAGGCACTTGGTGATATGACATAGTACTATGCTAGCCGTTGTGGATGTAACAGTTCATTTCTTATACTGCATTGTGCCTTCCCAATGATGTCAAACCCTAGAAATATTACAGAGATCTACTTTTCTGGAAAAGGGTGAGCTCTGTATTGATCTGCAGTGACTCTGTTTAGATATTAAAGTAGGTTCTGAAAAGCGACCTGTGTGGTCCCTCTGATTAGACTAGTTAATGTCTATGTGATGGGCATTTATTTATCTTTATTAGCAAGGTTTAAAAGAGCAAATTATCAAGACACCTATATCTTTTGGCCAGACTATATAATATTTTGTCAGAGTATGTGAAGAGGAGACCCAATTTCCAAATGAAGGAACTTTGCTTTTTCTCTGTCATGTTGAAGAGCTAATATACTGTGTAGATTTTCCCCTAAATATGGCTTTCTTAGCTTTATAGATGTTGAGATAATATCTTTTGAGGAACACATGTCAAGCAGGAACCTTGGCATAGATTTGGTTTCAGTTGTTTTAAGGCTTAATTAATGAAATGCCTTAATCAGCTTTCCAAACATTTTTATATATGAATACAGCAGACCAAGGAGCTGGATCTCCTGCTATCCTTACACGCCTTGTATCTATCAACTAAAGCTGTCATTAATGACTTGGGCAAAATGGCAAGAGGTATAATAAAGTCTTCCTGTGAATTAGCCAGTAGGGTCTGACACAACTAGTCAACTAACAAGGTTCCTGACTAGTACCTCAGTATTTCAGCACCTTAAGCACTGATAAATTTCAATCAGTCAACAATAAAGTGAGTGTTCCAACTAGACTTGTTGTCTTGCTTGTTCTTACTGTTTGGTGATTAATAGAAAATTCAATAATTATGACAGTTAATAGTATAATTCAAATGAGATTTACTTTATTTTTCAAATAATCTGAATTTTAAAAGTTTTTTTTCATTTGTACTTGAATAGCAATGGAATTTTTTAAATGCCGTTAGGGATAAGGACAATTCTTAGACATGTTTTACAGAAACCTACATTTTTGGAAAAGGATGAATGATCTTTGATAAATTTAATCAATCCAGAGGTGAAAGTAGATCCTGAAGGATGATCTATCTCATGTATAAGACTAGCTAGTAGATGTCATTGAGACTTAGGCATTTCATTACAATAGTGATGGCATCTTTATGACATCTCTAGGAAAATGTAGTAGTATATCAACCCTAGAGGGTAACTCCAAAACTTTGAAGCTGAAGAATAATTGCTCTTGCAATTCTGGTGATCTAAAACAGTGAACTAAGCTACATAGAGCTGTTTGGTTTGATCTTGAGTTTCTCCAAGTCTCCAGGTTCATGATGCATATCATCATCATTTCCAAATCTCAGAGTTTCCTCAAGAGAGGGCAACCACATTTGTAACTGTCTTCTTTCTGTCAATTAAGTGTGTGTATTAATTACTAGGGCTAGGTCTTTTCATTCCTTTGCACGTTTTAAGCAGGAATAGATGAGGCAAAGCCCATTTGTAGGTTATTTTTTAGTTTAACTATGTTAAATTAAACTATGTTGGTCAGGCTGGTCTCAAATTCCCGACCTCGTGATCCACCCACCTTGGTCAACCAAAGTGCTGGGATTATAGGCGTGAGTCACCACGCCTGGCCCAACAAAAATTTTTTTTAAATTTGCAGGGTGTTGGCCAGGCGCAGTGGCTCACGCCTGTAATCCCAGCACTTTGGGAGACCGAGGCGGGTGGATCACAAGGTCAGGAGATGGAGACCATCCTGGCTAACACGGTGAAACCCCGTCTCTACTAAAAATACAAAAAATTAGCTGGGCGTGGTGGCGGGCGCCTGTAATCCCAGCTACTCGGGAGGCTGAGGCAGGAGAATGGCATGAACCGGGAGGCGGAGCTTGCAGTGAGCCGAGATAGCGCCACTGCACTCCAGCCTGGGCAACAGAGCGGGACTCCGTCTCAAAAAAAAAAAAAAAAAAATTTGCAGGGTGTGGTGGGACGCACCTGTGATCCCAGCTACTCTGGAGGCTGAGGTGGGAGGCCATGAAGGTCAAGGCTGCAGTGAGCCATGATGGCACAACTGTGCTCCAGCGTGGGTAACACAAGACCCTGTCTCAAACAACAAAAATAAACAAAAAATTTATTTTCGAATTTGTCTTTGATCTAGGTTAGTTATTAGATCTGAAATTCTGAAACTACTGTCATAAACCTTATCTACAGGGGAAACAATGTTGAAGGTCAATAGGCTACTCATCCTTTTTGCTTTCAGAGGCATTATGTCATTTAATCTTTACAACAGACCTATCGTAATTATTATCATCAGCATTTTACAGATGATCAGAGATTCGTTTTTACATGAGGTAAGAAACACATAAAATTTACTATCATAACCATTTTTAAGTGTACAGTTCACTAGATTTAACTATATCCACATTGTTGTTCATTTGTATAATTTTGAAAGTTTATGGCAGCGGTTCAGAAATAAAATGTCTCACCACAGTCAAATATAATCTGGTAATTTGAAACTTCAAATGTTATAAATGTATTAGAAACTGTTGTATTATTTCTAATGGCAGGGTAGTAATAAGGATTATAGTTCATGAATGTGGTAATTAGCCAGAAATTCATTTTCTTTTTGCCTATGTTCTTCTCATTAATCATATTTTACCCTTTGGCTTGTATTTATGACATGGACTTATTTGGAGTCTTACATTGAAGGCATAGGTCTGATCCATAGTATTATTTCACCTCCCAAAGATTGAAAAGAAAATAACAGTTGGATTCCAGACATCTGACATCAACCTGATTTGAAAGTTCCATATAGGCACAGTTTAGACAGAGCTACTGAATTTAAATTAGTAAGAGCTGAAGAAAAGCTAAGCATAAAATGGACAGAGCCCTTCCCAGGGTAGCAGACATAAGCAGCAATAAATCAGTAAGTACTAAAACACAGGATCACTTTATTCTGGCTTTCTGCCATTTATAGACACTCAAACTTGGAATGAGCAGAAATCCTTTTGAACTTATATTTGCAAAACCTTGTGTCCATTCTTTTATCTTCCGGATTACCTTTATTTTTTTCTGTTTATTTCCTCATACCATCATCTATGCTCTGTTGGGTGCAGAGTCTGCTTAGATATCTTTGAGTGGCCCTGATTTGCATGTGGTAGCTTGCTTACCCAGAGAAAGGTACTCGGGATCGAATTGGATGCAGTTTAGCTGTGGCTCAGTAGAGGGAGTAGAGGAGCTGAGGGAGGGGGGAGAGCGAAAGAACGGGTCTGGTTAAGTAAGTGTTGTGTGTGAGCACCAGGAGGAGGGGGGCAGGGTGGGGAGTGGTTGCCTCTAGCAGCTCCACCCTCACTTTGTCAGCAGGTAGAGAGCGTGATTGCAGTCCCAGGGGAGGGAGTCAGAGCTAGAACACCAATTACAAACCACAGGCTTCCTGCTCTAGGGAGTTGATCCAGAATTGTCTTTCTGAAAGGAAGCACTCGGAATCCTTCCGAACTTTCCAAGTCCATCCATGATTCAGAGATACTGCCTTCTCTCTCTCTGGGATTTTATGTGTTTCTGATAGTGAATTGTTGATGTATTTGCTACTTTGCTTCTTTTCTCTTTCAAGACTTGATCATTTTATATGCTGTTTGGAGAAAAAAAGAACTTTTGTTAGCAAGGAGGTTTCAGAAATGATTTTGGATTTTCTGTAAGTGTTTAATTTAGTTCTAGGGGACAGCATCTCTCATCCCGGAGTAAATTTCTGCCTTTGACCTGCATGGATTATTTTTTCAGGCTGCGGAATTTCTCGGCACCTACCTGTAGTATGGGGCACTTGGTTTGGTTGCAGAGTAAGAAGGTGGAAGAATGAGCTGTACTTGGTTAAGCAGTTGAAACCTTTTTTGAGCAGGATCTGTAAAAGCATAATTGAATTTGTTTCACCCCCGTGGATTCCAGTGGGCCCGACAGCGCAACAGGTTTGCAGATTTCTTTTGAAATTCCTTTTTCCCCCCTCCCTCTGCCTCAGCAAAAGAAAAGAATCCATATAACAGGTTCATGTTCAATTGCTTGGCTTTTCAGCACTTATTCTGAAGACTTTATAATATTTTTAAACTTGACCTTGGAACACAGAGGGCTTTGTGGGTGAGGTGTATTTATATTTACTTAAGGGTGCACATTTTAAAAATCTTATTCTGTGTTTGTACAAAGACGCAAATTTTCATAGTGCCTAGAAATAGCACAGATCTATTCTACTCAAGATTATTTGTATTTTTTCAGGGTATTCTACCTAGAGCCTGTGGTTAATCGCCTCCCTGCTCCCCCTACCTTTTATTCCCTACCCCCTCAGGGAATTTGGATACATGTGAGGAATAGTCCTTTGTTTTTCTTATGAACCTAGAAAATTACAGATCATAAAATCTGGATATTAAAGTAGTTTCCAAAAGCATCTCATGGGAAATCAAAGTGCTCGGCATTTCCGAGCTGGAGAATAAAATCAAGAATCCTTAAGAGAGAAAAGAAAATGGAGATGGAAATATGAATTTTAACTGGGAAAAATAATTGGAAAGCTAACCTTTTCAAATACTCTAATTATGAAAGTTGGAAAAGGTTGTGATGCTCAGGATTATCCTGTAATGTGTGAAGATACATAAATTAGCACCTAATTTATAGGCAAATTTTGGTAAAACACAAAAAATTATGGTATGTCTAAGTTCATGAAAAGTATGTAAATGCAGTGGGCCTAGAAACCTGGCCACACTGAAATACAGTTTAATGTGGAAACTTTTCTAAATACATATTGTAGCATCTTTGGACATCAACGTGTGGCCTGAAATTTTTATTATTGTTCCCTCTTCTCCTCCATTAAAAAAAAAATCTCCTTGTGGTATTTAGTCATTTACCATTAACACATATTATGGCTTAAAAAGGGCCATCCCTTCCTTTTCTGAGCTGGAGTTCTTCACGCTCACCTTTGATGCATGGCCTTAGCTGTTTACTTTGCCTTGTTTTGTTCATGAACATTGGGTTTAGTGCCTGGCAACTTGATGCATATGGAAGAGCAATGCCAAGTGATCTGACATAATACAAATTCACGAAGTGACATTCAATCACAAGCAAAGTTGGAAATTCCAAAGAGAAGTGGTGAGATCTTTACTAGTCACAGTGAAGATGGGAGAAAATGACATACCTGCAGCAGATGTGGGCTGAAAATATCCTCTTCTCTGCCCAATCAGGAATGCTACCTGTTTTTGGGAATAAACTTTAGAGAAAGGAAGGGCCAAAACTACGACTTGGCTTTCTGAAACGGAAGCATAAATGTTCTTTTCCTCCATTTGTCTGGATCTGAGAACCTGCATTTGGTATTAGCTAGTGGAAGCAGTATGTATGGTTGAAGTGCATTGCTGCAGCTGGTAGCATGAGTGGTGGCCACCAGCTGCAGCTGGCTGCCCTCTGGCCCTGGCTGCTGATGGCTACCCTGCAGGCAGGCTTTGGACGCACAGGACTGGTACTGGCAGCAGCGGTGGAGTCTGAAAGATCAGCAGAACAGAAAGCTATTATCAGAGTGATCCCCTTGAAAATGGACCCCACAGGAAAACTGAATCTCACTTTGGAAGGTGTGTTTGCTGGTGTTGCTGAAATAACTCCAGCAGAAGGAAAATTAATGCAGGCAAGTATAACTTTATTATATTTCACTTTCCATCTGTTTGAAATATGTCTTTCTTCTTTTGTCTCCCAAATGAAATACCATACACGGGCTTCTACTGCTTAGCTTTCTATTTCATAGAAAGAGTAGATACTGCCTTATTGGCATTCTAAATTTAGCAAATTATTATTTTATACTCTGGAGGAAATACATAAATCCTATATTTTAGAAGATTATCTGCTTATTTTAAACTGGTGTTGCATAACTACTTAGATAGACATAATAATACCTTTTTTTCAAGTGATATATTCTGGGCACTAATTTTTGATAGATGAAATATATGAGCTTATATTTAATTGATGCGAGGATTGTATTTTACATCCTGTTTAAATTGAAGTAAGCACTAAGAAGGTTGATTTTAATGGTCAGCAGCACCTGAAATTCTGGAATGCCCTTGGAGCATATTTGATTACTGTGTCACTTAAAATTCAGTCAAGCTTGAATGCTATGGCTGGCCTTACACCACGTGTGGCACCCTATTGCTAACCCCAAAATGGAGAGGACTGGATTACAAAATGGACACAAGGTGTAAACCTGCCTCCTGATCACTTTGGCCTTGTCCACACATAATTTTATCATTTTCAGGAATTTAAATTTAACATGTTTTTTACTGATCCGCCAAGTTTTTCAGACATAGTTTCTTAGGCTTTCAGGCTGTGAATTTTGCCTGTAAGTCATTCATACATGGCCTATTCTTTATGTGGTGAATTTATGAAATGACTGGGGGCACAGCATTTCATAGACCAATTGCTCATTCCCCATAGTAAAGACAGAGCCTAGAGGGCTATACCTTTTTAATGGGCATTCCATTGTCTTACTCCATAAAATGATGTTGCTTATTGATTGAAATTTATCATGTAAAAGAACACTTCTTGCTGTAGCTACTGGACACAGGTTAAAATATTCTTAAGTGTGATCCATCTTAGCATCCAAACTCAAATTTTAATTTTGTGGTATGAACAGACTATGAACAGAACCAATTTATTGTATGAATTTTAATTTTTGTCTACTTAAAGAAGATAGGAAAATTTAACAGATTATAGAACTTATTCCTAAACATGTATTCTTTAATATATGGTTTAGTGGTTATTCATTATCACTTCTTAGGCAATATTTTGAAGCTGGGATAAATGAAGTGAAGGAGAATTAGGTGAAAATGGAAGGCTTTGCTATTTAGAAAAATAGGAAAGAAGAGTATATCTGGAAAAATGGCATAAGATTTTTTTGAATAAGATAATTTGGATTCTAAAATGGAATTAGGAATACTTAAAAGCTGAACTCATAAATCATCTTGAATACTATGGCAATTGGAAAGGAAACTTCCTTCCTGGCCTTGCCTAGTTAATACCCTGAAGCATGAATTGTGTGCTCCATTTTAGGACCGTAAGTAATTTTGCTAGTCATATTTTGATATCACTGAAGTTTTTGAGAGCCATACGTGCCTTATTGATAACCTGTGATAGCATGTTCAGTGGGCTAATTATGTGTTCCATAAAATAATGTATTCTTTTAAGTTTTAATCTTATTATCATAAAGCTCTACATAAAGTTTGTGTTTTCATAAAGGAAAAAGTAAACAAACAGCACCAGTTGGCATTCTCTTTGCCATTCATTATTTTATCAATCTTTATCATGTCTTCTATTGTTCTATCGTTTTTCTCACTCTGGCAAATCTTACCAATCTATTTTGTTTTTTAAACTATTAACTTTGATCCTATCATTATACATTAAGTATTGCTTTTACTTTGTGAAGAGGGAATTTCATCATAACTTAGCAAAGACTTTCAGCCTTTACAGTGGATAGTTTTATGTCATTGGCAATTTTTAGTCATCTCCTTTCTGTCCACATATGCTTCGTTTAGGTCTTTAAATAAGTTTTTTCACTAGCTTAGTATTCATTTCTGGATACTTTCCATATTGGTTTCGGTTTATTGTCTGTTAATCAATTTTTAATCTACAACAGTTATTAAAGTTTTTCAACAGCCTCTTGTGAGAAACTTTTTTAAAAAACAAGCTTCTGAATTATATATATGGTTTTCTTTATCCATTCTTTGATTAATTCTTTCAAAGAACTCTAGTGTGTTAGGGACACATGGTTTACACTTCTGGAATCCATGCTGTTTGTTCCTTATCAGATTACACTGCAACTCAGGTTTACTCAACTGTGGTTAGCCAAGCCTTCCATTTAACTGAAGTTCTGTTTATATCTTCTAGAGATGTGCTTTGCTGAACTTTAGCTTTCTCAATGGAGAGCTGTACCCTGGTGTCAGAAATCTAAAAGTAGTCTTCTCTTCGGTTTTGAGGAATTCTGGATAATTCTGTGAATCCTTCTACCTATGAATTGTTGTAGTTACCTGTTAAGATTATTTGTCTCCAAAGATTGCAGTCAAATCTTTTTAAACTTGAGGATGCTATGTATGTACCAAAAAATGTACAGTTATGAGAACAGTGATTTAAAAAAAAAAAAACCATGTTGTTATTTCTGGAATTCTGAGATAATTTCTGAAAATCAGACATTTCTTTACATTTTGCTCAATTAATTCAGTGTATAGACAATTTCATAAGGACCAAACTGACTGAATTTTCATTTGTATTATGATTTTAATTTTTTCTTAGACAAAAGGAGACCCCCCCCCTTGACAATGTGCCCCCAATTTGTTGAATAGTAAAATAGACCATAGAATTGCCTCTAAAAGAATTTTGTCTCAACTTTATCTGATGGCTGTATGTATAAGGGCATTAAAAGTCAAGTTTTGATGATTTTTGTTCTGATTCTTATCTCTCAGTCTTTGTGCTTAGGTTTCTCCTTGCCAATAGTAATGATTCATTTTACAAGGTATGTTCAAAATTATAAATTGTAATATTCTTCTAAAAGCGCTAGAAGAAAGTCAAAATAGAAGAGGAAATGGTGTTGCCTTTGCCCTTCTATTTCTCAAGTCCTCTCTTTTCCATTTCAGAACATCTCATTTTAGTCCTGTCCAAATTTTATTATTTTCCCCAAGAGTTGCTTCTTTATATTACTGTATCATTCCAACTCTTTTTGCAGGTTTGTCATTGTCTTTAAAGTATCTAATTCTTAGGTTTCCCCTATATTTGCCAAAATATTTGTCTCTTCCTCTTCTCTGATTTCCTTCCACTCTTTTATTTTTCTTTTGTTTTCCACTGAATTTGTATATTTAGGATTACCTTCCACTGCTATTCTGGATTGGTATTTTAATAGCCATCAAAAATCTAGGTCAAGGAAACTTTTCAGATCTCCTAATTACCTGGCGGTGACTGATAAAAAGGACTAAATGATAGTGATTACTTCTTACTGTTTTTATTCACATTGGAATATATTCTTTCTCTCCTGGTTTATACCATTGTAGAAGGAAAAGTGTTGGAGCTGATTCATTGTCTAATTTCCGGTTTTCTGGTTTGGTTACCTCTTATCAATGTTTGTTTCTTTTATTTCAAGCAATATTATTGCCACCACTTCTAAAAGTGATTACAGTCATATTTTATTTCTCAATCCTGTTTATCATTTATAAATATTATTTCAAGGGACAACTCAAAATTAATCTTTCTTCTCAGAGCAAAAGAGTAAGAGGATCTTAGTGTAGCACAAAGAGGTCACCAATTCTCTATCACACTCTTCCTGCTCAGCTGGTTATCCTGGATTTTCTTAGACTCCAGGATAAAGTTATGATCAAGATTAAAATGTATTCCCCTGAGTCTTCAGACCTACAATGGGAGCAGCAGTAGTTTAGCACTTGGCCAGTAGCAGTGAGCACCTCCTGGAGAAATTCCCCTTTGCACAATGTCTCTGCTTGCCTCTTAATTTTATCTGTTAGTCAACACATAGTTATCCCATCTTTGCATTTTTACATTATTTGTAGGCAGGACCTGAAACTTTAAGTTTTTGGCCAAAGCTAGAGAGACAGTCCTATATTGCAAACTATAGTTGACAAAGTGTCTAAACTGTGACTTGGGGGGCTTGACTTTTAGTTCTACACACAGAAGAATATGCTGACACTAAATATTAATAGTTGTGTGATTTGGGACAAAATAGTGTTTACCTTTCTAGGCTTCAGATTCCCAGGCTGTGAAGTTGAGGAATTAAAATACAATATTGCCAAACTTGTGCTATTTACATGCACTTTACATGTATTAGCTCACTGAATTCTCATAATAACTTTATGAGAGAAGAAATTCAGTACCTTTATTTTTTACATTTTACAGATAAGGAAACTGAGGATTAAAATGTTAATATCTGTCAAAGTATTAACTATTATTATCTAGTAAGTGGTGTTGCTGGAACTTGAACTGCAGAGCCCATGCTTTTCCAGCTCTAAAATTCTGTATATGTAAGAATGCCACAGATGAAGAGAATATCAGTATAGGCTTTGTATAAAAAATTTATTTCCAGAGTAGAAAGGAATGAAAGTGATGAGTACCATTATCTGAGATTGATCCAGAGTGCATCATATCCTGCTACCTTCTAATAATCTCTGTATTTCTTCTATTTCTCTCATTTTGTGTTTCATTTGCAAAGATACTAGTAAATCACAATGTCTGTTTACTCAGTATCTCCCTTATAATGTAACATATTTCATCACCTTTCTCTTCATTTTAAAAGTCTAGGTTAAGTTATCTAATATAGGAACCTGAAATAATAAACACTGACATAGCATGCATTTAACTGGCATTGCTCAAGTTAGAGTTCCTTCTATGAAGAAATTTTGAAATAGAAATTTTGTGATTTTGTTTTGATGCCAGCCTTTAGAAGAAGTACAGAGTAGATATTCAAAGTATGATCAACTCTGTTACTTATGTAAATGAAGGTGCAGAAAATCCAATTAATTAATTACTGACTTTGGAATGTAGTCAGGAGTACACCATCAGACACAGTTCCTCTGTGCGCACAAACATTCTTAGGTGCTTGTCTCCTGTGATCCCAGCTCAGAGCCTTCCTGACATGGCTTTTAGAGTCTTCTATTCTAGACTTGGCCTTGTTGTTAGAAGCCTGGCACCCACAGAATAGAAGGAAGCTGCAGAATATTTTTAATGATAATTTTTCAAGTTAAGAAGATATCTCTTTTATAAGTTATCATCAAACAGATTTATATATATCACAGTTCTGTACTTCAACAAAAATTTGTATCCAACAAAAATTTGTAAGTTCAGCTTCGTACATATCTGGTTAATAGGAGGTAATGAATGAAATATGTCCCTGGCTATTGCTCCCATCAGGCTATTTAGTGTTCATTTGGCAGACTCTCGGTTGGTGGGGGGCGGGGCTGGGGGGGTAGGTACTTCCTTGGGTTTTGTATTATAGTAAAGTGTGTATGTATATATGTGTGTGTGTTGTAATTAGCCCAAAACTAGCCATAATTTACTTTACTTTTTTTGTTTCTTTGTATTTTGAGATAGGGTCTTGTTCTGTCTTCCAGGATGGAGGGCAGTGGCACAGACACGGCTCACTGCAGCCTCAACCTCCTAGTCTCAAGCGATCTGCCCACTTCAGCTCCCCCAAGTAGCTGGGACCACAAGCACGGGGCACCATGCCCAGCTAATATTTCAATTTTTTGTAGAGACAGGGTTTTGCCCTGCTGTCTGCAGTATTAAAGGTATTCCCGGGCCAGGTGTGGTGGCTCATGCCTGTAATCCCAGCACCGTGAGAGGCTAAGGTGGGAGGATCACTTGAGCCCAGGAGTTGGAGACCAGTCTGGGCAACATAGTGAGACCGTCTAAGAAACAAGGTATTCCTGGAGATCATGGTTTTGCTTTTTGTTTTTGTTTTATTAAAAAGTCTTTACATTTTGTTCATTGGAAAGAGTTTATTGGATTTTTTAAATGTTTTTTTCCCTTTTATCCCTTTCAAATTGCTAATTACAGTAGATTTTTTAAAATGTTATAGATGAGTAATATCCTGTTAGGAACCAGAATTGGTAGCAGGATATTGTTAGAGAAGGCTGTGAGAATGATATTCCATTAACTTTATGTAGAAATTTTCTTCCAAGAAGCTTAAAATGATTTGCAATACCTGGAGCCACGTAAGAACAGGTGATATTAACTCCATTTTACAGAAAAGGAAATATATTGGGAAAGAGAAAGAAAGTAAATCATCTAAGAACAAAGTTGCACAGAGACTGAGCCAGTCTGGTTTGCAGGAGATAGGAGAGTAATCAATTTTTAAGGAATCTGAAGATGTGGATTCCTCAGGGGTCAGTTCTACTGAGTGGAAATCCTAAAGGTCTTTTCCTATTTCCCTGAGGACTCATATTCTCCTTTCCTGCTTCATTTTTCTTTACAGAATTATTGACGTGGCATGCTGTAATGTTTCAGTTTTGTAGTTGTCTATCTCCCCACAGTGGAATATGAGTTCTGTGAAAGCAAGGATTTTTGTCTCCTTTGTTCAAAGCTGTATCCCTGAGAATGGCACCTAAGTATACTTACTCCTTGGGCATGGTGGGTACTCAGTAAATATTTATTAATGAATATAATGAATATTGTGGTATTGAGTAACTCTGATGGCTGGGAGATCACTCTAGAATAAAACATGCTTATCACATTTTTAAAGTATGTTATAAGGTGGATTATTTTGAGTGTGTGTGGCTTGATATAGCAGGCTATGTTCCTTTACTCTTCTGACTTACCAACAGCCTCGTGTGTTGTTATTTCAAAATCATAAATATGGCTGTAATCAGTATGTTTAAGGTGCTCCTTTACACAGGATTTTTAAATTTTTTCTTTAGTTTGATAGCTTAAACCTTGCTGTTTAGGATATTTTGGTTTTCCAAGAATGATTTATTCAGGTCCTGATTTTAAACCTTTGATTTTAGGATATTAGCGTGCATCCAAAGGACCTTACCTTCTTAGTACTTAAATTTGTGATTACCCGTTCTGGTTTTTAGATACCCTAAAGCACAGTTTTTAATCTTGTTTGTGTGTGCCACAGGCCCCTTTGAGAATGTGATCATTGTTATTGACCATAGGCACAAAATACACACAAATACTTAACATACACAATTTTGCATAAAATCTCAGTGAGTTGACTCTCTAAGACATATCTAGAGATCTAAGGACTCCAGATGAAAAGCAACTATCCTAACATAATCCCAATTATTTCAAGAAATTAAACCAAATTCTCAAAACAAATTTACCTTCAGTTTACTTAATTTGAAAAGTACTTGTATGTATTACTTAAAGTCAGACAGACAACAATATTGTGATGCAGTTATAAGAAAGTGGCCTGACCTTAGGTGAAGGAACTCCAGAAGTAAAAATTGATGTCTGACAAAGATCTTCTTATGTGTAGTAAATGAATTCTGCTCTCCAAATATGAAGTGAAACTGCATCAATTCAAGAAATGCCTACAATCCCTTCAGCATGGTGGTTCCACTGAAAGGCCCTTAAGAATAACGGATATTTTACTCACATGTTTTGAGATTAGTAGAACCGTCGTGGCTTTATGTGTCTATTTAGTTACTACATTCAGAAAACTGAGGGTATAAAACAAACTTTAACTTTGTTTTCTTCCCGTGTCTTTAGTTTCCAGTCTTTAAGCTCCATTGCTTTCCCTAGGGCAGTGTTCTTTAGGCCCTTAAATTTCTATTTGCTCTAATGGAAAACTTTATATATTTTTTAAAGCCAAGATTTGTTGTTGCTTGCTTGTTTTGAATAACAGATAAGCTACTTTACATACTCTTTTTATCTGGGTTCTAAACTTACAGTTCATGGATAAATTTTATTTTGTTCTATACTTTTTAATATATTGGAATCTGTGTTTAATTTACAAATTTGGAAACACCAGAGTAACCAAAATGATTTAAAAACTAAGGTTTTTTTAAAATTGTAAGCACAAAGGCCTGGTGCATTATTCCTCAAGATAAGAAGTTAGACTACAATATTTAGAAATTCTTGTCTCTAGGCTGGGTGTGGTGGCTCACGCCTGTAATCCCAGCACTTTGTGGGGCTAGGGCAGGTGGATCACTTGAAGTCAGGAGTTGGAGACCAGCCTGGCCAACATGGTGAAACCATGTCTCTACCAAAAAATTTAAAAATTAGCTGGGTGTGGTAGTGCACACCTGTAGTCCCAGCTACTCAGGAGGCTGAGGCAGGAGAATCGCTTGAATCTGGGAGGCAGAGGTTGTAGTGAGCCAAGATTGTGCCACTGTATTTCTGCCTGGGTGACAGAATGAGACCCTGTCTCAAAAAAAAAAAAAAAAAAAAAAAAAAATTCTGGTCTCTGAATCTAAAGCAGAGGCAGCATAACTATCTTCACGACTCCTGTTTGTTGTTGTTGCTTTAAATCTAGAATACCCTGTCATGATGGAAATTGACTATAATACAACTGTAATTTTAAATAGCACATTAAATTATTATGTACCTATCACTTTTGTGCGTGCTAGTATATCAAAAAGGTATTGTTATACATATATAAATATATGACATTTGAGAAACACTGTTGGTATTTTACTTCTGTAGAATAATTCAGATGAGACTAAAGGCCTTATAAGTCTACTTATTTTGCTATTTTAAAAAAAAAAAAAAGTATAGATTTCCATTCGTTTTTTCCCCCAAACCATTTTCTACAGTCTTTTGTATTATCTACTTTAAAACAACAAAAAACATCTTTTATATGATCTAGGCTTTGTGTTCCCTCATTTTAATATCTTCTACCTGGAATTATATTGATGATCTGACTTTAAAATTCTTGTGGTCAAGTTTCTTTAACTTCTGAAGGACTGTATTGGCTCTATATTGGAATTAAGTCCTATTCAGTTTTCCATTCTTAGAGTAAAATACAGTTTTGATGGAGGGGAGGGAAAAGTGGCAGAATATTCCATTTGTGAAATATAATCATCAAATTTCAAGCTAGAAAAAACAATCAGTCCAGTCTTCTCATTTTATATATGAAGAATTGAACTCAGATTAGTGCTTATCAAAGAATTCCAATCTGCTGCTATATCTTACTGGCCAATATTTTTAGCATAGTTTATTTATTTATTATAAACCTTTTGGGGTCACTGCAGGGAAATTAAAAAGCACATGTCAGCAGAGATTTCCCCCTGAACATTCCATTAAGAAGATATAGACTGCCGCAGGGTCTCTTTCCTCTTTGATCCCTAGTCAACTACAGGCATACTTTAAAATAAGTGAACAGACCAAAAATACCTCACCACAGTTTAGCAATACTTTACGTGGTGCATGTGTCATTTATTCTGCCACAGAATCACTGCACATCAGGTGGTCTGTAGTCCTGGATCTTCTCAGAGCAATATCACCTCTTTATAAAGTCTAGGCTAAGAATCTTACCAAGACTAGAAGGGGCACTGGATTCTCTAGATGCCTTATAATGTGGTTTTCCTATTTGTACCAAATTCTGTGACAGATACTATAGTAATTCAAAGAGCAACACAACACCTTAGCCTTGTCCAACTGAGGAGAATCAACTTAAACAGCAGGAGGCATTATGTATTGAATGCCAGATGTAGGTGTAGGCATAAATGCATTAGAGTGCTGATTTATTTATTTTCTCTTTTTCTTTCTTTCTTTCTTTCTTTCTTTCTTTCTTTCTTTCTTTCTTTCTTTCTTTCTTTCTTTCTGTCATTAGAGACAGGGTCTCTCTCTCTGTCACCTCTCTCTGTCACCCAGGCTGGAGTGCAGTGGCACCATCAGAGCTTACTATAACCTTGAACTCCTGGGCTCAAGCCATCCTCCCACTTCTGCCTCCCAAAGCTCTGGGATTACAGGCATGAGCTACCATTCCTGGCCTAAAGTGCTGATTTTCATTTTTTCAAGAGTCATTCAAATGACTGTGGTAATTCTGTCTCAGATTCCCTATGATTAAAGAAAAAACAAATGAAAAAATATTAAATTTTAACCCAGGCAACTTCAAGTAGCTTAAAGTTAGAGAAAGAAGTACTACAGTCCGGGTGCGGTGGCTCACGCCTGTAATCCCAGCACTTTGGGAGGCCGAGGCAGGTGGATCACGAGGTCAGGAGATCGAGACCATCCTGGCTAACATGGTGAAACCCCGTCTCTACTAAAAATACAAAAAATTAACTGGGCATGGCGGCATGCACCTGTAGTCCCAGCTACTCGGGAGGCTGAGGCAGGAGAATGGCATGAACCCGGGAGGTGGAGCTTGCAGTGAGCCGAGATGGTGCCACTGCACTCCAGCCTGGGCGACAGAGCAAGACTCTGTCTCAAAAAAAAAAAAAAAAAAAAAAAAAAAGAAGTACTACAACCCAGTCATACCTTCTAAATTTTTACTGTTATCAGTTAATTACAGGTTGTTATATTCCTGTGTGTTTAATACTCATCTTTAGCATTTTCTTTAGGAGTCTAGAATGACTAGATACCATGGCTTTTTTTTTTCAGATTGTAAACTGACTTTCTAAAATGTACCAATCAGTCCCTGTTAAATTTTAGTTAAAACAGTAAATTTAGCTTTAAACAGAATTCAACATATTGGAAGTTTTGTTTGAATTTATCTCAACTAGCTTGATTTTAATTCTTCGCAAACTGCATTCCATAAGGGAAGAAATAAATACTAAGACCTTTTATGTAGAAGGTGAAGAGTATTTGAATATCATATCTATTTAGCAAAAATTGTTTCTAGTACCATTTTCTTATTATTGACTTTAGTCATAAATGTGTGTTATTCCTGTTCCCTAAAATGTGTTGATTTTAGTATGATATGAGGCATATAGAGAACCATTTAAGAAGAATGTACCGATCCACTGTGACATTAGGTTATTTTACTCTAAAGTTAGTAAACTCTATGACATACATTAAACATTTAAAAATTATCATTGGTGAGTATTTGGGATTACTGAGTTGCCCCCTTGGGGTATATGAAAAGTCCCTAGGCACCTTATGATCATTTTAAGTAAAAGCAAGTCACTTAATCTTTCATCTGTTGGTGTAGAGTTGGGGGAGAACTAAATAATCTTTAAGATCCTTTCCAGCTCTAAACTTTTAGAGTTTATGCTTATTCTAGAAATAGATTTCATATATTAAAGGGACATGTATCTTGCCTATTTAGTTCTTTTTCTTTGTCCTTAGTTGTTGGACATCAAAGACAAAATTTGTTTGGTAGGTGATAGAAAAAAATCTGACTAAATTAATGTCTTACAATAAATAGGTAGCAGAACTAAGCATGAGACTCAGTTGTACTCCCAGTCTTCTGGTCCTGTACTGTCTTTGCATTCCAGTTAACACACTCAAAAAAGGAGCCTTTCTCTGGAGTTTCATATTTTAAAATATCTGTAGTAGATTGAGGACCCTTATTGTAAATGCTTCGTCAAGGTTGTCCCAATGATCAGAGCACACTGACTTCAATCACTAACCTGCACCTAAGTGAATCTAACCTTTGGAAAAACCTGAAAGAGCCAGAGACAACCTAGAACCAGTCTGGATGAAAGTAAAAGGAGTAGGATGCTTCTGATCCTAAGTACTCTGTGAAGTGAATTATTAGAGATAAGCTGAATACTTATACTAAAAATAAGATTTCAGAGCAGCTGGTGGGTGTTCACCCATGGGGTGAGGGGGATAGAGCTCTAGTATGTAAGCATCTGGAGGCAACTGGGAAGAGTGGAAATGGGGCCATCTGATTAGTAACTATGCCTTGTTATTAAACCGTGACTTTCTGCATTGTGTATTCCCAGAGTTGGAAAACTTCCGCTGGCAAAAAAAAAGAGAAGGGCCGCCGTGCTGTTGCTGAGGGCCATACAGTAGACACAAAAGCGCCTTCTTAGAGGCCTTCAGCAGAGGCAACTTGTACAGGCAGGCCTGTTCCTCTCAAAGACTGGGAATCAGATTCTTTCCCCAGGGGGTTTCCAACTAGTTTGCACTTCAGAAAAACCTTTTCTTTCTCCTGCTGTTCACGCCCTGCAAAGAATTTTCTTCCAACCAAAGAAATTGTTTTATAATCAAAGATCCTTGTCCTTAGTTGTTGGACATCAAAGAAAGTTTGGAGGAGACTGGGGGATTATGTGAGTGCCTAGAATTTATTTTGAATGCAAACTTGCAACATTAGCAAGTCCCCCAAAGAATATACTCATCTCAGAGCTGGGAGAGAGCCTAATATAACTAAGTCTCTATTCTTCCTTGGTTGGATGTGCCTCAGTAAGATACAAATGAGTTGAATTGCCTTATCTGGACTTAATTCATGTATGTTTGGTTCTTGAGGTACACGCTTACTGGAAGAGGTCCCCCAACCCATCTTCCCTTTTAAAACTGGTGTTTGGAAACATCAAACACTACTAATAAACTCGAAACAACAACCTACCCCCCCACCCCAAAAAAACTCCTTTTTTAAACCAATGTTTGACTCTTGGGAGTTTGGGGTTTCTCCCAGGACAGTTGATATCACCAAATGTTGGGAGCCACATTCCCTGCATTCCTCTACTGTTGCTGAGGTGTTGATGATGTCATTTTCTCCCACAAAGGAAAACCTCAGCACCCTGAGGGCCTGAACTCAGGTCTTGGCAGGTAAATCAAGGAAGAACTTACTTTTGGATTTCAACTGATTGAGTCAGGCATAAAGAGACACAACCACCATGTTAAGTATTAGTGTCACAGCCTCATCTCTGGGACCTGAATAGACAATTTATCATTTGAAGAAAATTAAGACTATAACTTTAAGAAATTATCTTCTGGGTAAGAACAATGATTCATTGAATATTTTGGTTCTTACACTTTGGGGCATTTATAGGGCATTGTTCTCAGAGATTTTGGCTCCCTCTTAAATATCCTTCTCTGAATCCACAAATTTTCCAAGCCTTTCCGGAACCTGTTTGTAGATTATCTAGCTTTCCTTCCTTGAGCAGATTAACAACAACATAAACAAGAATTAGGGGAAAAAAATGATGGATAGGGCAAATTTAGGCAGAATTATGCCTTGGGCAAAGTACATTCTTGTTATTTTATCTTGGTTCTGTGGTTATGAACTGAAGAGAGCATTTGCTCTAGAAGATTTCCAATCTCTTCCTATCCCTTCATCACAACCACAGAGTAGTGGTTAGAAATAGATTCCAGGAACACCAGAAATGTTCAGTATTTCCAATGGTGACAGCTAACAGTGCCCTCACAGGGATCCTTTGAGCACTCTTCCTCTGAGCCTTCTTGTGGTGTCCTTGTGGTCAGGAGACACATCATCAATCACAAAGACTTGCCCTGGAGACAAACCTGGTAAAAATAATCAATTGTCTATCTTTGCCACTAGAAACAATCCTTTTGTTTTTACTTGGTTCTGAACAAACATGCTGTAGTTTTTTAGAGAAAGACCGTCTCTTTCATGGAATCATCAACTGACCATTCTCAAAAATTTGAGATGTGCTAGTTTGTGTTAGGAAGGTAAGGTAGGATCTGGGAAGTAAGTAGGATTTGCCAAAGGTTTTTATTCTACTCAGCAGTGCTAACTTGTCTGTGTTACTCCTATGCAGGTATTAGATTATAGGTTTTTTTTTTTTTTTTATGCTAGGAATATATGGATAAAATTCACTGAAATGAAAGTGTCCCTTTAGTTTATACAGGGGAATAGGGAATTGAATTTATAAGGAGAGAGCCCAGCCTGCAACTGACCTTTCATTTTCATAGTCTTATTTCTCCTGAGTTGATGTAAGCTTAAAACAAATGAATGTATTATATAAAATGTCCTACTTTTTCAAGCAATGTCAATCTTCAGGGTATGGAATAGGATTTGGCATTTTGTTTCCATTTTTATTGTTTTGTTTTCTAAAGGGAGGTTTGAGTTAGAGCCTGTCTGGCAAGATTCCATACTTCTACCATACCACCTGTCCTGGCAGAGACAATGGAATCAAAAGTCAAGTTCTTTATGACTGCACCTGCCTCGTAAGTGTTGCCAGAAGATCTGATTTTCTCTTGTAGCTAAACTCTACACAGAAACGAGGGCTTGGCACCCAAACAGTGGGTGCATACCCAAACACATGGATGTTCCAATATCAGGAGGACTAGTACCACTAGTTCTCCAGATGACTTGTAAAATAGTCTTTGGCATGACATTCAACGATTATTTAATTTATCAAATGGAGGAGAAGTAACTTTCTGGTTTACCTGGTTTTCAAGACTTTCATGAGGATCTATTAATAAGCATGAATCATTTGGTAATTATTATTTGAAAATTACCTGTCCAGTGCTGCATCTAGTGAGCATGAAGGAAAGTATGTTCTCCCCAAAATAGATCAGGAACATATCTCTGAAGTCAGACCACCATGCAAAGTTCCTAAGGTGAGAAACTACCATTTCTGCCTGTTGCTTTTTCCTTTTCCCAGAAATGTAGGTTACCCTATGGTCACCAGTTGAATGCTCTGTGATTAGGCAGTTGTTTTGTAGGCAGTCTGACATCCTAGATGAGAACTTCTTTCCTTTTGAATATCAGAGTGTTTCTTGGGTTCCCTCAGGGCAGAGTTACTTCATTATCTTCTAACTTATGTATAACTGGATGCCTTCTGGCCTAAGAACATAATTTCTATCACCAATCAAATAATTAAGATAATATGCCCACCAAATGGTGCTCTTTGCACAGGATTCATATATAATGATATAATATGATAATAAGGCATAAAAGGTATTCTAAAATGAGGAGCGACATCCTACAGTGAAAAGTGCTCTCAGTAGACTTGTATTTTAATCTCAGTGCTGATCCTTCTTAGCTTTATGACGTAAAGAAAAATTGCTTAACCTCTTTGAGCTTGTGGCTTCCTGAGTAAAATGGGAATAATAGTAATAAATGGCCTAACTACCTGAAATGAAATAATGTATGAGTGTTGCCTTTGAAAATGGCAAATGTTAGGTATTATTATTAATAGTAATTAAACTTGAGCTATTCCTTATTCACCTAATTACTATCAGAAATATTACTAAGTGTGAAGGTTATTGATTTAGACTCCGTTAACCTATTTGCGTTCAATTTGGCATCAGCTTAACATAACTAAGCAAGACTGTTTGTATTTTTAATGTAGCCGAAAGGACAAGGCTTTAGCTTCAAAATTTTGTGGGTTAAGGGTGCTGATTAAATATTACCATAATGTAGTACAGGTAGCCTTAGTGGTTTAAAGAATGACTAATAGTATGTGAGTTCTGGGGTGGGAACTTAATACCTGTTACTTGTGGTACGGTGAATCACTTATCTGCCCTGGACCTTTGTATGTGTGCCTGTTCCGTACTGGTAACCCCATTAGCTTCCTTCCATGATCAATGAGGTGATCACTGACACAAAGCAGCTGTTTTCTAAGTTTTGACTTATCAGAGTCTGAGGGATCCTAGAACCACATTATATATCACTCTTCCATCTTCCCTTTTTGAAAATTTAGAGTATTTTTTTAAATTGCTGCTATTGGCTGGGTGCGGTGGCTCACGCCTGTAATCCTAGTACTTTGGGAGGCTGAGGCGGGTGGATCATGAAGTCAGGAGTTCAAGACCAGTCTGAACAGCATGGTGAAACCCAGTCTCTACTAAAAATACAAAAATTAGCCAGGCGTGGTGGTACGCAACTGTAATCCCAGCTACTTGGGAGGCTGAGGCAGGAGAATCACTTGAACCTGGGAGGTGGAGGTTGCAGTGAGCTGAGATGGCACCACTGCACTCCAGCCTGGGTGACAGAGTGAGACTTTGTCTCAAAAAAAAAAAAAAAATTGCTGCTACTCTGGGACAGTTGCTCAGAATGCTGGCGCTTCAGCTTCTGGTGTGTAGCTTGCAGCCATGTTTCTAAGGACCAGAAGGGAAGGAGTTCAGGATTGTGAAGGGGACTACTTTCCCCAGTTCATTATACTGTGCTGGTCCCAACATGTTTTCTGAAACTCAGCAGATACGATTCTATAGCCTGCTTGGAAATTATCCCGCAAGTCTCTAAGACTCTCAGTTCCCTATCTGAGAAGAATTGGATCAAAGTAAGAATAAGCAGAGTTTTTGTCATAGCATCTATCAAATATTTGTCTCCCTGAAAAAATTTTCAGGTAAAGACCATCCTTTGAGCCTTCTCAGAGACCAACAGTCTGCAGTATAAAAAAATCTGTGTTCAGTGTTTTGTAACTTTACCAATTTGAAGTCTCTTCCCAAAATAAGTAAATAATGGGATAAAGGTAATTATGGGTTTCCTCATCTTTTCTACTTACCTGTTCCCTGTTATGATTAAACACACATGGCTTATAACTCTTTTGGAAACAAACTGAATTACCATTATTATCCTTTCAACACTTGCATGGTATTATAATTCATTTCAATCACCAGTACAACACAGTGGGAGTTAGGAGACCAGTGGGGCGTGGGGAGGACCTGGAGAAGGGCAAACATTTTCCTTTTTATTGGTTTTGGGAAGCCTCCTTCTTCTCCGAAGGCACTTCTTGGGGAAAACTGTTTTCTTCCCAAAGCCTAATAAAGATTAGTAAGAGATGTCTGCAAAGATTTAGAAGCTCTTTGAAAGAAAGACAAGGATAAACATTCACTATCACTGTTATTATCATTAAAAAGGAAAGCCCAGCATGTGATGTTTTGGGTCACTTCCAGTGGCCTTGTTTGATGTTCACGGTTCCTTTTTTGACCTTTACTTCTTGATATCTTTATACATTTATTGAGGCTATTGGACAAAGTCTTGAGATACTGAGCAATACAGTGCTAAGAATGAATGATTGCTAGACTCCATTTCTATGGGTGGAATTTCTGAAAATGTGTTTTGTCTTTAGATACCCTGTTGTTCCAGTTTGGCAATATTGGTGGCAAGGTTAATTTAATATCTGGTCACTTGAATTTTTACTTCCTATTCTGTACCTTACCCCAGAACCAAAGTTCTATAGGATACTTTTCATTAAATAAATAATAAATTAACTGGAATTTTTTCTCTGCTATGCTTATTAACCAGAGATATATCAAAAAAGAAGCAGATGTAATGGACCTAAAAAGCAAATAAGAACTTCCCAGGGAGATTGTAAGTTTAGCCCAGTCTCTTATATTATTTCATGCCAAAAATGACCATAATGATATCCTTGTAGTGTAGACACCAAGTAAAGGCTAACTTTCATTCAACATGATGTATTTAGGCAGGAAAGTGCACCAATACATTGAAGAAAGGATTTCAACAGTACAGATTGAATTTTTAAGGACTTCCTGGTCTTCAGAAAGGTAAATAAATCACTGTCAACCTAAAAGGAAGAAGCTGAGGCAAAATTAATATAAGTGGAGAGCTTATTTGAGCCAAGTTTAAGGATTGCAACCCCAGAGCCTAGATTCAAGTTGCCCTGAATATACACTCTGATTAGCAGCAGTTACAAGTGGATTTTTAAAAGCAAAAAAGAGGGATAGGGAGTGGGCTGATACAAAGTTGTTTGTCAGAAATTCTCATTGGTTTACAGAAATAACATTGATTAGTAATTGGCTATACATTTTTAAGCTACAGGGTATGGGTTATAGTGTCTGGTGTGGCATTATTAGATTAATTTATAGCTATTTGTGGCAATAGCAAGCAGTTTCAAGAGATGAATAACATAGCCTAAAGCGGGGAGTAGGACTTGACTGCGGTCTCATTTTAATGTCTCTCTGGGCCTGATAATTAAAAGGACTTGCATTCTTCATATAAAAGCTATTTTCTTTTCTCATCACAAACTTTTTTTTTTTTTTTTGAGACGGAGTTTCACTGTTGTCACCCAGGCTGGAATGCAATGGTGCAATCTCGGCTCACTGTAACCTCTGCCTCCCAGATTCAAGTGATTCTCCTGCCTCAGCCTCCTGAGTAGTTGGCATTACAGGTGCCTGCCACCATGCCCAGCTAATTTTTGTATTTTTTTAGTAGAGACAGGGTTTCACCATGTTGGCCTGGCTGGTCTGGAACTCCTGACCTCAGGTGGTCCTCCCGCCTCAGCCTCCCAAAGTGCTGGGATTACAGGCATGAGCCACCATGCCTGGCCAAAAACTTTTATTATTAGCGACTTGTGCTAATCAGAATATTCTGTTCCATAATTGGTAGTTGTATTTGAGAATTAGGTAGAATTATCTCTTTTCTTTTCATGTTTTTGGTCTTTTCTTTTGAGTTTGTGGGATTGCTGTGTTTCATAAAAAATGGCACATTCTTCATAATCCTAGTTGATGAATTGTTTCACATTTTAAATGAATATCCTGTAATAAAGTTTGCTTGTACACATACATTTATTTTTCCCCCTCTAGGTTTTCAGTGGTTTTCTTTTCTTTCAATCTCTACCCTGATTTCTGTATTCCTACACACACGGAGTTTTTTTTTTTTTTATTTCTAAGCTTAGCTGTCATCAAATAAAGGTAAGCTAGAAAATCAAAGCCCTGAATCTTTCCATCAGAACCAAAGGAACTCAACAAGTTCTGAAGGAAATTGAAGTTGAAGATTGTGTATGTCATACCAACCAGTGACAGAGAATTATTTGAAATTAGCATCATATTTGATTTTATACAAAAGCAACTACTATGGTAGTGTGTGTGTGTATATATAAAGGATAAAAAATGTTTAGGTTAGAATGATTATGTCTATATATTGTATAGATGTATTCCATACATATATACATATTCCATATTGTATATATTCTATAGAGAGAATATTCTAAATCCTTATTTTCAATCCTTTAGAGGAAGCTACTAACTCTAAGCAAACCTCAGACCAGTCTCTAAAAATAGCTCCCTTTGGAGACCCTGAAGCCAAATTAAATATCTGGCCTTTGAAATTTTGCCTGTTGAGAGCATGGTTACATGTAAAATGGATAACCTTAGGACAGTACCCGCTCTGTTTTTTCCCCCTCAAGTCCCCTCTTCCACTCATTATTTTAGTTAATTGTACTTAGTAGAAAACAGTTAAATCTGACCTCCTCACAGACTGACTTCTTTCCCTCTGTTTCAGCCTTGTCTAAGGCTTATCTGTTTCAGCATGTGGGATCTGAGTTTTTTTCCTGTTAAATGGTTGCGTGCTCATCTCTCCTCAGTTGTGTTGACTATCTTGCCCCTTAAGAATTTTAATCTACATGGTGGTCCTTCTGTTTTTTGTCTCTTATTTTCATTTTTGGGTGATTTGAAAATCCATGCCCACTGTCAAGTCAAACGTTTCTTCTATCAACAGTTGTTATCATTTCTGTATCCTCCATATCACGTTGGTCTTTTTTAGGTTGGGATTTTGATGAGCAGGCCTGTTCCCTCCTATGTCATATGCTATACTGGGTTCACTGTCTACATTTCAATAAATGTGATAAAATAACCATCATTTTGTTGAATAAGTTGGTGTATTGCTGCTGTTGTTCCTCTGGAGACAGTTTTCTGCAGGCTACATTAACAGGCAATGGAAATGCATGCCAGGCTACATCCTAACGGTTGTGTCTTCCCATCAGAAAAAGATCCTTTTACCCCTCCCTGTCAAATGAAGGCTTAGATTTTAGAGACAATTCCAAAATACAGAAAATGAAAGAGAAGAACTGAAATCACAGCATCTGTGATTTTTCTCTATCCTTAATAGTGAGGCAGCTTCTTAGAGGATTTTATTGTAATATGTTGATAAAATGTTTATAGTCATCCCTTTGCAGTTTGTTTAGAAAGTAGTTTCTAAGCAGCAGTTCCTGCATCATCTACAGACTTTTAGCTAGAGAAACCACCTTTCTTTTTGTCAAGCTGCAAAACAAGTCTGCTCTTTTTTATTTAGTTTAACACCTGATCTTTATAGTGAGGGACTAAGTTACATGATCTTTCTTCCAAAAGAATATTTCTCAGATTTTTGTGTTCTATAGCTTTCTGATTAAATTGCCATAATAATATAATTACTTATTAGTCACAGGGAACTGTGACTATTTATTTCTAGGAGTTCAAGTGTACACAATAATAAACTGTCCCTCATAAAGGGGTAAGGGGTAATTTCATAGCTGTTGCTGTGGTAGTGGATTTGGATGCATCTGACTATGGAACCAGATCTCTGATCAGAAATAGTTGAGTTGTATATACATTTAAAGCTAGGGAACTTAACATCACATTATATTGCCTTGTATTGACAATCATCTTTCCATTATCTTTGGATAAGTAAGACATGCTATGACAGACTATTTGGCTGTCTCAAAGTCATTGCCTTATATTTTTTTCCCAAAGGAATTTCAGATCCTGTTTAATATTTGCTAGTTTTGCTAGGTACTGAAGGCAGAAAGAGGTTGTAGTAGTATCTTGTGAGGAAGGAAATCAGTGTTTCTTATCCATTTTCCATATACTGTCAATCTGTCCAAACAGACTTATTATACAGCAAACCGATAAGGAGCTTTGTTTTCCTCTCGATATACTTGCCTGCACAGCACCATGTGCCACTTTGGAGAGCTCTGTGGTGGAGTTTCAACTCTCTGGATAAGGTGGAATAGCTGAACCATTGTGCCTCCATAGATTTTCACAACCCTGAAAGTAACAGCAGTTGGGAGGATGAAAGAGGGCTATTTCCCACCCACCCCAAAAGTCCTAAAGTTCAAAGACACAGCTGGTCTTTGTCTGGTGTTTCAATGGAGCCAATGCATCTGGAGCAGCCCAGTTACTGGAGAGGTAACTATTGCAGGTACACTTCCTGTTGTTATTCTTGGAAGTATTCATCTAGGTGGCCCTTGCCCTTCCCTGTGAATCATCTCCTCAAGTCCTTCTACCCTTTTGTTGGCCTGCTTTGAACTTCTTGTCTGTTAACCTCTTTTACAAAGTAAGACCTCTAAGCATAGGATAGGAAGTGCTCCAGGTGTACTCTCACCCACGCTGTGTGAGGATTGTTCAACTATCTGGTTTCTGCATATTTCAGAAGTGCAGTGATACCTAAGTTCTTACTTTACTTGATTTCTTCTGTTTCTCTAATAACTTTCTAAATTATTTCTCTTCATTTACATAATACTCAATGCTTTACTTTTCTTCATTATTCTATTTGATATCAAGTCATAGATAAGCCGAAGACATGTTCTCTTCTTTTTTTAAGGCTATTTTCTATAAGAGCATGCGGCCACATTCTAAGAGATTCTCTGAAATTTCTTCTAAAATTCACCGTCAATGGATAGGGTTTCCTTTTGTAGTTTTACCTTTCAAACTTACCACTGACTCACATTCTTTCTTTCATTTCATTGCAACCAAGATTTCTAATTGTGTTCTAAAAATCAAACTGAACTCTTGTCTTTCCTCAAGAGAGAAGGGTATCCCCAGTAGAGAGGAGTCTAGGGAATGTTGGGAGTGCTTCTCTGAAACAACCCAACCACATCCAATTCTGTTTCTTTTGGAGACGGAGTTTCGCTCTGTTGCCCAGGCTGGAGTGCAGTGGCGCAATCTCAGCTCACTGCAAGCTCCGCCTCCCAGGTTCACGCCATTCTCCTGCCTCAGTCTCCCGAGTAGCTGGGACTACAGGTGCCCGCCACCACGCCTGGCTAATTTTTTTTGTATTTTTAGTAGAGACGGGGTTTCACCATGTTAGCCAGGATGGTCTCGATCTCCTGACCTCATGATCCGCCCGCCTCAGCCTCCCAAAGTGCTGGGATTACAGGCGTGAGCCACCGCGCCCGGCCCTCCAGTTGTGTTTCTATTCAGGGCACTGCCCAAGTAAAATGCACATGAGTTATGATCTGTTGTAGAAAGTATTACAATGAAGCGCAAACATTAAATTAATCAATTTCTTGACCTACATTGTAATCAAAATAGTACAGTTGACTATTGAACAACACAGGGATTGGGGCACTGACTTCCTGCACGTCAAAAATCTGCATATAACATATGATACCCCCAAAACCTAGCCTACTGTTGACTAGAATCCTTACTAATAACAGTAGACTAACATATTTTGCATGTTATGTGTATCATATACTGTGTTACAATAATGTAAGTTAGAAAAAAGAAAATATTACTAAGAAAATCATAAGAGAATTTTTTTTTTGAGATGGAGTTTTGCTCTGGATGCCCAGGCTGGGGTGCAGTGGCACCATCTTGGCTCAGTGCAACCTCTGCCTCCTGTGTTCAAGTGATTCTCCTGCCTCAGCGTTCCAAGTAGCTGGGACTACAGGCATCTGCCACCATACTGGCTAATTTTTGTATTTTTAGTAGAGATGGGGTTTCACCATTTTGATTAGGCTGGTCTCGAACTCCTGACCTCAGGTGATCCACCCACCTTGGCCTCCAAAAGTGCTGGGATTACAGGCATAAGTCACCGTGCCTGGCCCAAGAAAATGTATTTACTATTCATTAAGTGAAAGTGGATCATCATAAAGGTCTTCATCCTCCTTGTCTTCACCTTACTAGGTTAAGGAGGAAGATGAGGGGTTGTTCTTACCGTTTCAGGGGTGTCAGAGGCAGAAGACAATCCACGCAGTTCAAACCTGTGTTGTTTAAGGGTCACCTGTAATGTCAAATGTATCTCCTCCTCAAGGTAGATAACCCAAAGAAGAGTCTTTTAACACCAGGGCCTATGCCCCACTACACAGGGTGGGTCACCAGCTGCTCCATAATAGCAACATTAACCAGCAAGTTAGGACAAGAGAATGAAACAACCATATCCAAGTGAAGCTTCAAGGAAACACAAGGTAATAATGATTATTATATTCACATATGGATAAAAGAGCATGAATGACATCCATTGTTGCCAAAGTTTCTTGTGAGAGCATTTTGTGCTAAGTTATATGCTGTCCTCTACATTAGGCTGTGTATGGAGATAAAGAAGCCATATAACCCCCTGTCTAGATTTTGAAGACAGATATTCCCCTTTGAGAGAATCGTTGTAGTGATAGTAGTTTTGGAATGAGTGTGTAACTGTCTTACATATTGACTTTAGATTTATACATCTTAGTTGTAGGGACTGCCATTTATTTCCCTTCCATATGTATTCCAGAGGTCAATAGGTACTTAATAAATAAGAAGTAAAAATGACTATTTTCCTAAGCTTTTCCAGCATTATTTGATGATAAGTTCATTTTTTGGTCATAAACTAGCTGGCTTCCCATTATATCTCATGATTAATATGAAGTATGTATTTGTGCAAAAAACATTTTGATAGTTCCTAAACAGATGCCATTTAGTCTCTTGGGATTCACCCCAATAAAGAGGTATTTTCTTAGCTCTCCCTACTTTATCCACTATTATTTTTGAAGTTTCCTACTCTATCCTGCTCTGTCCTGTCCTTAAGATGATATTCTTTTACAAATTGTGTGCATATCCCGTGGGGGGAAAATATACTTTCCTCCCTCCTCTGATAACTGCCCCATAATAATTAGTCCATTCTTCCAGATCCACTGTCTTAGGGGCTGCTTGCTCTATTATGTGGTGTAGATTTCTGTTTCATCTTGAGGGTCGTTTTTCTACCCCCATCCTTTAGCTACCAGCTGCAAAGACTCTTACATACACCTCCTAAACTGCTTCAAAAGGAATCTGGTTCTCCTGGCCCCAGTACTGACCTTGACCCTCTCCCCAGTCCTGAGTGGTCCTGGAAACTCAGTGTCCCCAGCACCTAATTCATGCTGATCCTCTGACTTTCTTGCTTGGCCTCTGGAGAGACAGAGAGCACATTCTGAACACTCCTCCTTTTGTGTCGGCATCTCTATGAGGTGCTTTGGAAGGACTCCAGCCAGGCATGGAAGGGCTCTTTGATAATATCTGACGGGTGGGTAAGAATTTCGGGCACCTGGCCAAGATACACATTGCCTGTAATCGTTAACTCAGCCTGTAAACAGTTCAAACGACACTGAGAGGCCGTCAGTTATTACATTAGAAGAAGCCTTTCATCTCTCTTGCTCAGAAGCCAGGGCGTCCAGCGTTGGCCCCCACTGTGGTGACTGGAGCCATGGTACTCTGTGCACAGCCACCAAAGCCCAAGACATGCAGGGACACACAATGGAACCTGCTCCAAATGACTGACTTTCAAACTTTCAGCATTGGAGCAATAACTAAATCGTTAATTTCCTTTTGTTCTGCACCTGGCTGATGCTGGAAGGAAAAAAATGTGTTGGGCGGTGTGGAATGGGGGTAGTGGTGGAGAGGTGGGATCCCTGACCAGGAATAAACAATGGCAAAGGAATTATCTGGAATTAGAAATTTAATTTTTCAGCTCAATTTTCCAGCACACACTCATGTCTGAAGGCTCATCCCTCACCCTTTTTATTTGTCCCACTGCTTCACAATCTTTCTAAGTTTGGTCCTCAGTGTACTCCATATCTCCGGTTGGCTTCACAATTACTCAGTATTACTAAACCCTGGTGCAAGGCACAATGCTGGGCCCTGGAGAGGGCCTGAAGGAGCATAAGATAACAAACATTCCTGCCCTCAAGGTGCTTACTAACGGAGCCCTTCAGATACTGTAGATATGTACTAGAGAACTCTACCTTGAGAATTTATAATAAGTGCTAAATAAGATATACAGTGAGTTTCTATGGGAGTTTACAATGAGAAAGAACAGCAGTGTGGAGAAGAGTGATCAGGGAAACTTCATTCTGTGAAAAACAAAAAGTTTCAGTCCTTTGTTTAAAATTTGCTTTTCTTTCATGTTTCTCATCCATTTTCTTTTGCCTTTTTCATTAAATTGCTACTTTCGCTAAGCAATATTGAGTATTCTAGGCACTTAGTAAACGGGATCATTAAACCTCTTTTAGAATTTAGCTGAGGAGCTAGAATTTGAGTATGCTGGTATCAAAGGATGGTGCAGGAAAACCAAGTACAACTGATTGTAAGCATCTTAATTTCAGAAGACCCTTTTCTGATTACTATTTCTAAAGATGTTCATATAGTTTTAAGGCTACTGTTACTGAAACAGTGTAGATTAGGCCACAGGTTTTAAGTAGCAGGTGAAATAAAATCCTACACTCACTGGTATTCAAGGTGAGCATCGAAGTTGCAGGTTTTACTCTTTACACCAGAATCCCAAGTGTAAAGCAGCTAGACTCTTTTGCTCTAGAAAACAATATCTTAACATTTGCCTCACTTTCTTCAACTAAAGAAAAATGATAGGGCCACGTGACATTCTTCTAGAAAATTTTTTTTAAAAAAAGGATCTACCTTATATAACTTGACTGGGGCCCTTATAACTTATTAGTTAGAAAGCTCTGATCTCATGCCTTCTGTTTTCTTTGTTTTGTATTCCATTTTGCTCAGCTTTCGGGGCACCATTTCATTCCCTTTACATATTCTGGATTTGGGGTTTGTCTCGTTCCCACCTTCCACATTTTCTTTGCTGATTCTGAATGTAGCTTTGGAGGAGCATGGATAAAATAAAAGAGTGCAGAGCTTGAGGATGAGGACATGCTGCCCTGCACCCCGTCATGTGCTCTGCTTCTGATTTACCAACTGCAGAGATAAGCAGTGTATCCTTTCTTTCATCTAAGACGAGTAATACTTTCTTCCATGGAAAAAGCAGTAGTTCAATCTTAAAAAGAAATTAGGTCCTTTAGAAGAATTGAAGCACTAAAGCAAACTAAATCAAGTTTTGTTACCATTTTGTCCAGCATTGTTGTTTGTTCAATGGTACACAGGACAGTAGTTATTTGAAAGCATGTGTTAGATCATATTTATGTAGTAGAATTGTAGAAATACAGAATTTATAAGATACAAGAAAGCTTTGAAGCTTCTGCAGATGTTTCAGATCCACTCAATTCAATGCCCTGGTTAATACTGAAGTGATATGTAAATTTAATATTATGGGGAAATAATGGAAGAAGCCCCTGTTCTTCTACCTGAACATGGAGTCTATCTTTTGGGAAATGACCAGTTTTGCATATTGGCCTCCCACTCTGGTGGTTTTCATTCTACATGTAGTAAGGAAACTGCCTAGAATTGTTTTGGTCCCTGTTGATCAACGGTTAGCAAATTTTAGCATATATCAGAATCAGTTTCAGAAGGCTTGTCACTCAAACTCCAATTCCTATTTCAAACTACCTTTAAGATTTAAATGTTCATCTCTCATTTAGTATATCAAGACTGACTTAAATTTTCCCTACTCTAGCTTTTTTCTAATTTCCCCATTTTGTTAATGCAACATCTTTTTTCCAATTCTCCAAGTTTAGAACTTTTAACTCCTCCATTTCCTTCATCCTGGTACTCCAATCTGTCAAGTACTTTCAACACTTCCTTCATAATTTCTGTAATTAATTCCTTCTCCTTTTAACTATTACTACCAGAGTTCAAGCTCTGATCGTGCAGTACTAGATTACTGGAACAGCTCTCTAATTGATTTTCCTACCACTAGTTTTCTCTTCATTGCACTAGTTTACTCTGCTATTAAATTGCTCTGCTTACAGTATTGTTTTGATAATGAGATCCCCTGAAGAATTTAGGATGATTCCTTTTTTGCATATGAGAGCAAGCTCTAACTCTCATCTTGGCATGCAGTAGCCTTTGTAATTTGATCCTACCTCAGCTATCCAAGCTATCTTTGCAGATCTATTTTTTCAGTCAGACAAGTCTTCCTGTACCCTGAAGACTTGAGAGAAACTGCTCAAGAACCTTACTTTTTCTCTCACCTGGCTCCTGGTTTCTTCTCAAGTAAGCTCAGAAGTTTGAAAAATCCATTTGACAGATCCCAGTGGACTAGATCCTGTGGCTATTTTTTTCCTGTCCAAATTCTGTTGTCTTTAAGGGTGAGCTTAAGATCCATCTCCTTGACAAATCCTGTAGGACCTATTGGCTTTACCACACAATGTGGCCTTTGATACAATGTCGTTTTGTACCACCATTTACTTTGTGTATATGTCATCTCCCCAGTGAGAATGTACCTCCTGGGTTGGACCTAACAGTTTTGGGAAGAAGATAGGTGCTCATCAAATACTTGCCAAGTAAGAGGCCATATTTCAGACCCATTCTGATGTACCTGTGAGGGAAATCTCTGTGCATGCCCATCCAGCATTGTACTCAGTGGTCACATGAAGTGAGTCTCTGTTTCTTGACAAGGATCACTTGGGAGCCATTGATATGCCGTGTCACAAAGGGTTTGGGGGAAACTGTAGCAGCTGTCATTTTAGGGAGAAAGATGGCTCCAGAAACAGGTCTGATAATGTGCAGGCAAGGAATCAACTTACTGACAGAGAGCAACTCTAGTAGTTAGGTATTTGGCTAGGAAAGGGGCTTAGCCTCTGAAGTATTTCAGGTAGGTTTTGGCTTAGCAATTACATATGCTGCTACTTTCTGAGTTAAGCCTGCCTAAAAACAAAAGTATGGCCTGATGACTGGGTGGTTACTCCTATACCCTAAGAACTCATTTATAGGCATCTGCACAGAGGTACCCACCCGAACAAACATTAAGAAGAAGCAAAGGAAAGTGCCTGAAGCATAGTCACTGTGTCAACAGAAATATCAGATAAGGTGGTTTTATGGAGGGGGTGTGTGTGGTGGGGGGAAGAGTTGATGCACCTGTGGTTGGTGATTAAGAAACTTGGTGCCACATTATATGGCACCATGAAGCCACCTTATGTCCCAGCCACCCCATGGTGGCTGATGTCATATAATTACCCATTTGCTAACTGGGCCAAGAGGAAATGTATTGGATGAAAGCCAGAGTAAGATAGTTATATCTTAGCTGAGCCATATTCAGAACTATTCGGAACTTTTTGGATCTGCTTTTGTTTTCAGTGAAGCCATTGTCATTGTCAATCTAATAGTAGTTGACTTTTATAGGTGTCCTGCACTTTGTTTTTTTGTTTTTTTTTTGAAGATGGAGTCTCTCTCTGTCGCCCAGGCTGGAGAGCAGTGGCACAGTCTTGGCTCACTGCAACCTCTGCCTCCCAGGTTCAAGCGATTCTCCTGATTCTCCTGCCTCAGCCTCTTGAGTACCTGGGATTACAGGCACCTGCCACCATGCCCGGCTAATTTTTGTATTTTTAGTAGAGATGGGGTTTCACCATGTTGGCCAGGCTGGTCTCGAACTTCTGACCTCAAGTGATCTGCCTGCCTCGGTCCCCCAAAGTGCTGGGATTACAGGTGTGAGCCACCGCACCCAGCCAGGTGTCATGCACTTTGGCGTACCTATTTCTAAGACAAATATGTTCTCATGTAAATGTATTCAAGTGTGTTCCCATGGCTCACACAAGCTGCCCAATTATGATATCTCCTCAAGCAGGAACAGGGTCCAGACAATTCCTTTTGGCTGAACTAGGACTGAACTTAATCCCAGACTGACTCAGCTTCTCTGTTAACATTGTTTGAAATTCTGATATCCCTCCAGAGGTTGTTTCTAACGAGTGCTTAGTGTGAAGTACGAATCACAAAGAAATGGACCAAAGTGGACCTGGGAGACCAAAAGCTCACGTTTTCAACATTAATTTAGCACACATTTATTGACTGCCTTTTATGTTAGAGCATTGTGCTATGCGGGATTATAAAGAAACCCCTGCCCTCAATTTAGTAAGTGAGAGTATAGGCCAGGCATGGTGGCTCACACCTGTAATCTCAGCACTTTGGGAGGCCAAGGCAGGAAGATCACTTGAGGCCAGAAGTTTGAGACCAGTCTGGGCAACATAGCAAGACCCCATCTCTGTTTATTAAAAAAAAAAGAATATAAAGCAAAAGGTGAAAATTACCACACATAGATACAAACGAGATATTTGGGGCATTTCAGATGAAGAAGAAGAGATTCTTCATGGAAGAGGTAGCATATGAACTTGCCCTTGAAGGATATATAGGATTTTAATAAGTCACAGAACAGAAATAATAGGCATTCCAAGAGAATGTGAGAGAATAGTGAGTAATCCAATTTATTTTGGACAAGTAGTATGGTACATTGAAGAGGTGGGGATGAAACTGAAAAGGTAGAGGAGAAGGGAAGAAACACATACTTTTGAGTGATTACTATGTGCAGGAACTGCTGGTACTTTAAATATGTTACTTCATTTTATCTCCGCAATGATCTTCTTGCACGGTGTTGTTGTTTGTTTTGTTTTGTTTTTTTACAGAGTCTCTCTCTGTTGCCCAGGCTGGAGTGCAGTGGCACAATCTCAGCTCACTGCAACCCTCCACTTCTTGGGGTCAAGCGATTCTCCTGCCTCAGCCTCCCAAGTAGCTGGGACTACCAGCGCGTACCACCAAGCCCGGCTAATTTTTGTATTTTTAGTAGAGACAGGGTTTCACCATATTGGCCAGGCTGGTCTCGAACTCCTAACCTTGTGATCCTCCCACCTTGGCCTCCCAAAGTGCTGGGATTACAGGCATGAGCCACCACGCCCGGCTGCATGGTGTTTTTTGTTGTTGTTTTTTCGTTTTTTGTTTTTTTAGGGACAAGGTCTTGCACAGGCTGGAGTGCAGTGGCACAGTCATAGCTCGCTGTAGCCTCAACCTCCTGGGCTCAAGCAATCCTGCAGCCTCAACCTCCTGAGTAGCTGGGATTACAGACATGTGCTAGTGTGCCCAGCTAATTTTTAAAAAATTTTTCATAGAGATGGGGTCTTGCTATGTTTCCCAGGCTGGTCTTGAACTTGTGAACTCAAGTAATTCACCCATTTTGGCCTCCCAAAGTTATGGGATTACAAGCATGAGCCACCATGCCCAGCCTCCATTTTTAAAACGAGACTTAGAGAGATTAGGTTACCCACAGCTTGGAAGAGATAGAGTTGAAATGCAAAACCGAGTTGAAATTTAAAACCAACTTATCTGATTCCAAAACCAGTACAGAGCACCGAGGCCTTGATTTGATAGGCTATGGAGTTTGAATTTAATTCAGAAGACAGTGGACAGCCACTGATAGTATTTGAACAGGGCAATGATAGGATCAGTGCTGTGTCTAGGAAGATTGTTCTTGAAATGACAGAGAGCTTTAGAATGGTGAAAGACTAAAGACTAGTTAGAAGTCTGCTGTAATGGTTCCAACTCCAGAGACATAGAAAAGATAGGTCTCCAAAGACAAGTGATGGCATAGTCTTTGCTCAGCCAGAGTCTCTAGGAAAATGGTGGTGCCGTTAACTGAAATAGGTTAAGTTAAGAGAGGTTATTGGCTTAGGGTGGAGTGCAGGGAGAATATGATATTTAGGTTTGGTATATTTAAGTTTGAGATATCAGTAGGACTTCAAATAAATAAAGTCTAACAAGCATTTTGAAGTATAGAAGATTTGACTTCAGAGACCAATTTGGAAATCATAATTAAAGATACTGGAGTGAATAAGAACCTCAGAAGAGAGGTAATAGAGATCAGAGAGTACATCTTTAGGAAACATACATATTTAAACAAGAAGAAGAGGAAGAAAAGTAAGAGGAAGAGGCAACAAGTGAGGACAATCAGAGAAGTGGAAGAACTAGAATAGTATTATGTCATGAGCAACACGTGAAGAGTCAAGAAGCGCGTATTTATTGGGTCAGAAGTAATTTAGGGCTGTTTGTCTTGCTGTAGCATCAGTCCCTTTCTTAGGAAACAACTGACACCATTAAGTTCAAACACATTCATTTTTCTATTTCAACTCTGTTAGGGAGGAAATTCAGCAATCAAGAAAACTGTTTTCCTGTTAAAGATGTGTTTGGTAGTCACATTTTTCATTTAAGCTAATGAGAGCTCTCAATTTTACTGCCAGCAAAAGAAAGCAACATTTTGAAGTATTTCTCTATGTCATTGGAGGTTTAGTTCCCAAGAAAGCTCTTGTTATGTCCGTGCTTCTGCCCTTTTACTCTGTGCTTCTTCCTGTGGTCTGTCAAGTCTCCCTTCATTAGATTTAGTACCTGAAACCGATGCCCAGAAGCCAGGTCACAAGCCCAATATGCATTGCATTGTCTCTTCAAGCCTTAGTTACCTAATTTGTGGAACGGGTGGTACTAATAAAGGGAGAGTAAAATAGCTAATGAAGGATTATAAAGCACTTTGCTAATATAAAATGCAACATCAAAGCTGAATAATAATCTTAATTTAGGGTGAAGGGTTCCATTAGCAGAGTAAAAATAAAAAGGACAAAGGGTAGTGTTGCTTTGTACCTTGATAACAGTGTACAAATCAAAAGTGCTGCTATTGATCCTCATTGCCCTGTGAACTCTCAACCCAGGAATTTGGCTCCCCTCCCTAACTCTCTAAGTACTTCCCTTACCCACTCAGTGTGGTGATGGCACCTCCCTGAATCTCCTGACAAATGCGAACAGGAACTCCTATTCATCAGAGCCAACTTGATAACTGAGAAGATTCCTCTCTCATTTATCAGCCTTTGATTATCTTTTTGTGTCTCTTACTATTTGCGCTTAGCAAGAAAAATAAAGAGGTTTGAACAATTAAGAAGTAACAAAGAGCTCATAGTTCACAAAGAGCAAGTCAAAGGATGTCTGGAATATTTGAACATACAACTGCCTTTGGCATGAGGTGGCCTACATACATTCTCAGGGGCAGGATAGGCTGGAGAGCTGATCAAGCTGCCGGGAAGCTGAAGCAAAGGCAGGGTGGTGGAATCAAATGTCTCTTCAACTGAAGACTTTAAAACTTGGGCTTTAGCTGGGCGCAGTAGCTCACACCTGTAATCCCAGCACTTTGGGAGGTCAAGTCGGGTAGATCACTTGAGGTCAGGAGTTCGAGACCAGCCTGACCAACATGGGGAAACCCCATCTCTACTAAAAGTACAAAAATTAGCCAGGCATGGTGGCACATGCCTGTAATCCCAGCTACTCAGGAGGCTGAGGCTGGAGAATCGCTTGAACGCGGGAGGCGGAGGTTGCAGTGAGCCGAGATCACGCCATTGCACTCCAGCCTGGGCAACAGAAAAAAGAAAAAAACACCAAAATGCAAAAAACAAAAAAACTTGGGCTTCAGCTGGGTGCAGTGGCTCATGCTTATAATCCTAGCCCTTTGGGAGGCTGAGGCAGGAGGATTGCTTGAGGCCAGGATTTAGAAACCAGCCTGGGCAACACAGGGAGACCCTGTCTTTACCAAAAATAGAAATTAAAAACATTAACCAGGCTTGGTGGTGTGCTCCTGTAGTCCCAGCCACTTGGGGGTTGCTGAGGTATGATCCTCCCAGGTTTGGGCCTGGGAGGTCGAGGCACCAGTGAGCTATGATTACACCACCACACTCTAGCCTGGGTGACAGAGTGAGACTCTGTCTCAAAAACAAAGAAAAACAAACAAAAAAACTTGGGCTTCAGATACATCCTCTTTTCAAATAATAAAGGACGGGGGAAAAATGTAATTCATCTCTCATCCCACCAAAGGTAAGAAAAACCCACTCAGAAAAAATATGGAATATTATCCAGAGTGAACTGATTCTAAGCTTTCCCAGAACTTTTCTGTGCAGATCTCTGGGCCAAGTCCTCATAAAATTTTGGTAGGGACTGAAGTTCACTGCAGACAGCTGACACTATGGCCTGAAGCCAGTGGGGAGCAAGAGTTTCTTTCTGTCAATACTGCAGGGATTTTTTTTAATTGTTTGTAATAGTCTCTAAATGGCTTCTCTCAAAAAATAACTTAACAAATCTGGGAGAGAGACTGAAGGGCCCAAAATGACAAGAGAGTACTTCAAAGCCATACAGCAAGAGCAAGTTAGTCCATCATTCCACATTACCCCAGTGTTTATGTGCTGTGCTCTGTGCATTCCCATGCCCTGTGTGTTGTCTAACAAATGGCCTTAAGACCCTGTGCATTGAGCACGTGTATACACTGCTGTAGCCTACAGGCAGGTGTTACTCTCCTGAGACCGGGACTCGTTCCTTTGGGGCAGAAGGCTGTTGCTTTCTTCCCCATTCAGGGTTATGCATAACTCAGCAGTACACTGATACTGAGAGGAGACAATAAAAGCATAACGGGATGGGTTATTAAACAGGAAGCTTCTCCAGAAAGAAGTGAGTTTTGTTCAGGGTTGTGGAGGAGATCTAGGCATGATGGTGAACAGGAAAGAAGAGAACTCTGCCTTGTGATGAGGTCAAGATACTCTAAAGCTGACTTTGAAACTGAAACTTACAGGGAGTATACAGAAAGTTTCTGAAGAGAAAGCAGAAATCTGAAAATAATCATATCCTGATAAAATGACAGAGCAACCACCAAATATATTTTACCTCACATCTGTTTATTAAAACAGATGATTCAACATGCATTTTTCTTAATATCTACTGTGTGCATGGCATGATGTTAAGTGATGAATAAGACCTAGTCCCTGACCTCAAGGAGCTCAGATTCTACTTTGCAGGAAGGAGGAAAGAACTAATGTTTTATTGCACTAAGAATCAGGCATTCTGCTGGAGGAAATAGGTAAGAGAGTGGGTCACAATGCAGCATTGACCCACAGTAAGAGGTAAGTGTCATTTAAGAATTTTGTATAGATGGCTTCAGGGGAATATATGAGGGAAAGTATTTAGTTTCTGGGGACTGAGGGCTGGTCAAAGGATTGGAGAAGGGCCCAATTTGAACTGGCATGGGGAGTCAAGGGCAAAAAGAGGTAGAGAGCTATAGGATTGGAGTTCTCACAGTCTTTGGATCACAGGGGGATAGGAGAGGTGCCATTTTTTTTCTCTATAGAACCAAGGAAATAGGGAAACGTCCATGGGAAGAGAAAGGAAAAATAATTTGGCAGAGAACCAAGCTATTTTCCCATCATATGTTTTCTGTAAAAGACTTCTTAGGAGCTAAGACAGTGTTTTTCTGCTTTCATTCTCTTTAATGCCTAGAATTCTGCCATAAAAGGCTATTTATATATCTTACTTTTTAGTTCCTAGGAGCGCAAGAGATGCTACTATTGGGAATTTCTAAAATATTCAGAGGATGGAAATACCAGCTGGCACCAATGCTGAGATATACAGGCACCATCCATAGAGACCCAGTGAAATTCTGAGCCCCAAATGGCAATCCCTCCCAGGCTCTCCCAGAGCCATCTCACTTTTTCTTTTATCCCCTGCCTGGAAGGCTACACTGTGGGTGGGAATAAAAATCCACTCTCCTGTTGCATCTAGGCAGCTGCCAGCAGTCTGTTTGCCTTGTTCTTTGCTGGCAAATCATTAAACAGTCCCCCCAAAGCAGGCCTCTTCCCTAGGGCCACCGCATGGACAAAGATTCAGAGCTGTGGTCAAAGGGCTGTCAGCAGTCAGGCTGGAGCCCTTGGGCTATCTCCAACACAAGCCCTTCCTGGCTGTTGCCTCTTCTGAACAGAAGCCTTCTTGGCCTAATGTCAACCCCCCAATGGCTTCTGAGGAGAGACTCTGGGCATCTGAGTTGGCTGGTGGCTTGAATAATTTTGTCCTTTTCCTCCTGATGTTATTTCTGAGTACAACTACCCCTATGATCCTTTATTGTTTTCTTTATTGAACCCCAGACCCATCCTCCATAATTTTGCCACTTTGCAATGTAAATACAATATTGTGTGTTACTGCCCAGGATCTGGGGACTGGGACTAGCCGAGCAAGCTTCATAGCTTCATTCCATCCCCACTTGCATTGTGCCAATGCAAATCTGAGCATAGAAGATTTCATTGAGCCAGCCCATTTGGAGACAGTATCTGCCCTCAAAGGGCTTCTAAGCCCCAGGGCAAGCCAGTTGTGGAAGACAGCAGTATGGAGCAGAGTTTGCAGGACACCTTGAAATCCCTACAGCCTCTGAGCAGGAGACTAAGCCTGAAAGACCTGGACTATGTGTGAAGTAACCATGTTAATGAAGCTATTTCGCACTCTTGCACTGCAATCACCAAACTTAGCAATGCTCAAGTAGCTCTGCCGGTAGTCCAGATGGGCCTCTGGCGTATTTAAATAAATGATCTGGTTTCCTTAAGTTTCATTTCTTTGGTGTTTTTCACAGGGACTGTCTGGCTTTAGTCTTTGGCCTTTTAAGCATTGAAATCTTAAATAATTACTCAAAAATAAACACTTATCTGATTCTAGTAGGTTTTCAGATTCCTGCCATCTCTGGTGTGAGCTTGGCTGGAACAGGAACAGCAAAATCAAATAATAAAGCAAACTGTGTCAAGGCTGTTTGCAAGTAGCACATTGGGTTAGGTGTGAGAGTTCAGTTAACTACTTTGTTGTGGCAAGAGTTAAGACCATGCCTCAGAAGGGCCCTAGACAAAGCCTCTATAGACCTTATCCTGGGCCTGTGGGAATTAGATATTACCCCTAGCAATACTTGCCATCTGTGTCAAGACCTCGGCCTTTCTGCAGAGGACTTCTTTGGATAAGACCTAGCTAAACAAGGGGGCTCAGTGGTACTCCTTATAAGATGGAGGTCAGTGAGGGTGACAAAGATCTTTCCTGGGACAGTGGTCAGAACTCAGCTGACTTCCCAGAACTAATTAGTATGATTTTTGGATGGTTGAGCCCTGAGTTCCTCACCTGGTGGAGAAAAGGAGTCCAGAACACATGACTGGGTTATCTTTTAAGGTCTTGATCTTCACAGGCCTCAGAACTTGGTATTCTATTTCATGGCCTTGCTTCTAAAGATCCCTGATGTAACTAAAATGATATTTGACGGGCTCCCTCTTCTTTGCTTCTAACTTCATGAGTAGCTTTCTAGTACCTTTGTAGTTAGAGGTCATTCTGACTGAGTCAGGTCAAACCCTGTTTCCATGTGAGAATATAATGATATAAAAGTTCTACTTCTTGGGTGGCTGGGATTTTTCTCCTGTCTATGATTAGTGCCAAATATACTTTCTTCTCTGATATCACTTTATTTCAAAAGCAGCTCAGATAATTAGCTCTTGTTCTCCTTACCTTCTTCCATTTGCTTACGAGTGCACTCCTGACCTGTGAATCACCATAGAAAGATGCCAGGCAGAGTGTGGGGTCAGGAGAACCCCACCATGGGGGCCGTTTTCATGTAAAGAAGCCTAGTTGCATCATGGAGCTCCAGCACAGTCTGAAATGAGGATAGGTGAATTTGGAAATTGAAGAATGGCGTCTGTAATGTGGGGTGAAGGAGTAAGGAAAATGGCAGTCTGGCTGAATGACCATTACTTGGGTCTGAGCTTCTGTGACCTCTAATTTCAGGACACACCTTTCTCATCCTAAAGCAACAGGGACTTTTCACTGGGAAAGTGTCTCTGAGCAGCGTCTGGGTCTGGCTGCCTTTGTTGTGGCTAGGAGAGGAGATGAGATAAACCGTAGAGGAGAGGAAGGAAGCCGAGGCTGGGAGGCAGAGCACAAGGAGCAGACAGATCCTGCTTCTGTCTTGTTAAGAATGATTCAAGTTTGAAAATTCTAGAAATGGGGACCCTGAAGCCTTCCACTGTGATCCCAGGCATTATATTACAGTACTCACCTAATGCTTACCATGCCACAGAAAAGCCTCCCCAGCGTGCATACCCGGAGGCAGTGTGGGGTTGAATTTAGGGGACCTCAACCTCCTTTAACTGGGTGTTGACTAGGTTGACTAACTTTAACTAGGTGGGCAATCTGTAACTTGAGTCTTGCTTTCTTCAGCTGTAAAAGACAAATTTTGAAGGTCCATTATGGGTGTGAACCAGGCTCAGCTGTTAGCAATTTACATCTCTTCTATAAACTACGTGGCAACTGGATTCAAATCAAGTTTTATTCATTCTTTCACCAAACACTAAGGGCCTATGATATGCAGAGCCCCCGACTGGAGTTTCAGTGAGCTCAGTTTTTCCCTCAGTTTTTGCCACCCTGCTTCCTATTAGATTCTGGAACATCATTTCAGTTCTATCTTGTCAGCTCTTTCGCTCACCAGCACCCCTGTTCCCCCAAGGAGGTTTCCTGAATCAAGTGAGAAATCATGGAGGCCTCTTCATCCATCCCCTGCTAGTGTGCACTCCCATCAGATGGCCCGAGGTTATGCTTCTCCCTCCCCACCAACATTATTTACTTTTGTAGCTTAAAAAATTATACGATGAAGCAGGAATACACTTTTCTGGTAAAATAATTTTTAAAAAATAGATAGCATGCTTGTAATCCCAGCACTTTGGGAGGCCTAGGCAGGAGGATCACTTGAGCCCAGGAGTTCAAGACCAGCTTGGGCAATATGGTGAAACCTTGTCTCTACAAAAAATACAAAAATTAGCCAGGCTGCTGAGGCACACCTATAGTCCCAGCACCTCAGGAGGCTGAGGCAGGAGGATTGCTTGAGCCCAGGAGGTTGAGGCTGCAGTGAGCTGAGACTGTACCACTGCACTCCAGCTTGGGTGACAGAGCAAGACCCTATCTCAAAAATAAATAGAGTAAAATAAAATAAAATAAAGAGAAACTCCTCTCGACAATTCCCCAGCCTCCCAACTTGATTCGTGGAAACTCAGTCATCTCAGAGAGATAGTGACAAGTTTATGTAAGGTTTTGAAAGAGGTCTTGAGGTTCCCAAATCTAAGCCTGAACAATCACCATTAGGATCTAACCTGTAGATGTGAGCATTGACTCCCTTCAATACAAGGCAAGGTGACCAAGCTGGGCCTCAGTGGTGGGCCTATTCTGGTGCCGGGATCCGGAAGAAGCAACTTCAGGCCAACCTGTTTTTTTCCCACCCCCATATCTGCAGGAGCTTTACTTTATGATGCCGGTGTGTCCTCCTACCTAAGATAAAAGTTCAGGTAATGGAGGTTGTGCAGGAAAGGATGATTGTAAAATCTGAAAAGAGGAAATGGGGAGAATGATGCCTTTGATGCCTGGCCAATGTTCTTGATTACAAAGGCAAAATTGTAGCAAGCAGTAAAGTTACCTGTCCAAGGCCTGGTTGAAGGTCTGTACGTGGAATCAGAGAACTAAGAGACAATTGCAGCAGAGGTCGGTGGTGGGGGCAGGAGGGGGTGGGTGGGTGGGTGGGGAGGAGAGTTCCTGGGAAACAGGAGACAGTGAAGAATTGCTTGCAGAAGCACACACCCAAAGAGGAGGAGATGCCATGGATAAGGGGAGACCAGCATTAAGTTCCAGGCCCAGTTGAGCCCTGAAATGCCCTTTGTGAGGAGGTAATGAGATCACATGGCTTCCTTCATGGGAAGGAGGCAGGCTGAGAACTGGAAGAGCTTGTTCAGTGGGGTTTGGAGGGCTGAGAACAGGAGGGAAGTGACTGTGGATAATGAGCTGTCCCAGAATGCGCCTTGCAGAACACTGGCATTCAGAAGCACTGTTGATTACCAAAGAACGGGGGAGGGGTTCAGAAAAGGCCTTGTCCCTTCCAGGAATAAGAAGGGACTTTATTATAGATGCAGTAATAAAAACAGCTGCCATTAAGTGAGCACTTACTAAGTGTCAGGCTTTTTGCTAGGCACTGATATCCATTATCTCCTGTCTACACAAAGCATTCTTGTTCCCATTCCAAAGACGAGCAATATGAGGCTCAGAAAGATTAACATGCCCAAGGTCACACAGGTAAATGATGGGGTCAGAATCTGAACTCTAGGTCTGTCTTGGGAGGGAGGGGAAAAAATCAGAACAAATAAGTTAAGGAGGACACAGGGAGAATAGACTCAGGAATATGAAATACAACACACACCACCGAAGGACAGTTCACATGTCTTTACACAGGGGGTATAAAATATGTATGCAAAGCTGAATTCTGAGTCAGAATGACCCAACTCGTGCTTGAAAGCAAGTGCCTCTTAATTTGCCCCTCATGGCAGCCTGTGAGACAGTGGTGTCCTAACTCCTGGCCTTTGAGGAAGTCAAATTCACCAAGTTTCCATGAGCCCTCCACAGCCACACCCTTCTCAAATCAGGCAAGCTCATTTCTCTTGACCCTCCCCTGGTGTCACTGAGGGGACAGGTGGCCCACTGTAGAAATCGTGTTTGCATCTTCATGATTAGGAGACCTTGCATTCCAAGGAGACAGATGTATTTGCATCTGTTTTCTCAAGAGCCCGCTTCCTGGCTGAAAATTCCTTGGAGGAAGGGCAAAGACAGCCCCTGTGTTATACCCAGGGAATGCCAATGCTGTCTTTCTTGCTAGGTGCTGAACTGAGTCCTAGTTCAAATGGCTATTATTTGTTTTTAATTTGAGAATATTTGAAAAGCTCTCATTGTAAAAGAGTCAAGCCATACAAAAGTATAATGAGTATGATTGTCATACCACAGATATAATTGTACTAGAAAGATCATGTTACTTTATTTATTTATTTTTTTTATCAAATCTAACACCAAGGTCCTATCCCATTAGCTGCATAGACATTTGTTTTCAAGGGCACTTCTCCTCATAGAGTAGCACAAAAGTCCCAGAGTTTTATGAAAACCAAGATATCCAAGGGACCCCTCTGATATTCATCCATGCTGGCCACCACAGATATGTTTCTTGTCCAAACACAGGCATTCCCTTGAAATCCACGCAGGCACATCATCTCTCCCAGGGGCCAGCCTCCTGGGGTCTAGTACTCAGTCCTTCTCCAGGGACCCACCGCTTCTGGGGCACAGGCTGCAGCTTCCCACTACTCAGCATGGCTCCAGGCCCCTCACACTGGCTCCAGACACCTCCTTCCTGCCCTCCTGGTTCTGAGACTTTGACCCCTCCCTTCACCACAGGCCCTTCTGCCTTCAGGACACTCACACTTCCTCAGTGAGTTCAGTTTTTCTGCAAAAGCCAGGAAGGGAGAACTTTAAACAACATTTGCTTTTGGCAAATGCCCCTAAGGCAAGGAAATAGAAGGTGAAGCCATCTTCTTGGAAGGGAAGGAGGGAAAAGACATGGAACAAAATATAAATAACTGTCGTTCTTTTTTATTCTTCTACAACAGCAAAAAACAAAACTCAAATCTCATGTATTATCTTCTGATCAAAGTATTCAAAGCAAAACACCAAAGTCCCTCTCTACTACCCCCTCTCTAATTCCTCTCCCAGAGCAACCATTATAGGATTTGGGTGTGCTCTGTCTTGTCTTCATAGTTAACTATCGTCAATTATCTGGTTATAGACTTCCAATATTTAATCAACAAATATTGATTGAGTGCCCACAAAGTAACAGGCAGTGGGGGGCAGGCTAGACTCAGTCATCATCTGGAGAAGAGAGGGAAGTAAGCCGACAATTACAATACCGTGGGGTAATGTATGATTAGGGAAATGCCGGACAGAGCAGCAAGTGCCAAAGGTGTTCAGGGAAATGAAACAAGTTATTATTTCTGGAACATAGGTCGCAAGGTGGGAAGAGATATAGGATGGGAATGTTAAGCCATGAGGCAGGGCCCAGACCAGGCAGAGCCTTTTCAGCTATGTTTAAGAGTACAGACTTTATTTCAGGAGCTATGAGGAGCCTTGTAAGAGCTGCAAGTAGAAGAGTAACGTGCTCAAGTTAGCATTTTAGACCACTTTGGCTGCAATATAGAGAACGAATGGGATGAAGTGACCCTAGGGAGTAGGTTATTTCGGTAAATAGGGTTGGCAGTGATGGTGGCCTGTATTACAATAGCGATAGTGAGAATGGAAGAAAGAATAAAATAAGACAAATATTTAGGAGGTAGAATTGTTAGAATTTGGCGATTGATTGGATATTGGTGGTTAGAGTGGGGGTGAAGGAGATGGAGGCTAGGAGGACAGCATCTTGCTTGGGTAATAGATGGATGATGGTTCCAATCCCAGAGACAGCAAACACTGGAGGAGCAGTTTTGGGGATAGAATGAGTTCAGTCTTGAGCATGCTGAGTTTGAGGTGTTCTACTTAAGATTATTAAGGTAGAAACGTCCAGGGTTAGACATAAGGGTCTGGAGCTCAAGAGAAGACCAAACTGTACATATGTAATCACTGACCTCTGTGTGGGCACCGTAGCCATGGGATTGGCTGCTGTCACCCAGAGAAGTCATCAAGAGTGAAAAGAGGGGGCCAGACACGGTGGCTCATGCCTGTAATCCCAGCACTGTAGGAGGCCGAGGCAGGCAGATCATGAGGTCAGGAGTTCAAGACCAACCTGGCCAACATAGTGAAACCCCATCTCTACTAAAAATACAAAAATTAGCCAGACATGGTGGCGGGCGCCTGTAGTCCCAGCTACTTGGGAGGCTGAGGCAGGAGAATTGCTTGAACCCAGGAGGTGGAGGTTGCAGCAAGCCAAGATTGCACCACTGCACTCCAGCCTGGGTGACACAGCGAGACTCTGTCTCAAAAAAAAAAAAAAAAGAAGAGTGAAAAGAGAGGAGGGTCTAAGAATCCCGGGGGTCACCATCAACATTTTAGGGACTTGTATTTGGGTCCTTATGCTTTAGTAAGATAAATTTTCTTAGTAAATGAGTTCGGGGAAGGTATCATGTTTTCAAAATAAAATGTAAATTGTTCTTAAATATTTTTTTAACCTTATCCTACTACTACTTTCCTTTTTTTTTCTAATCTCTACCACTTACTAGCTGTGTAATCTTGGGCATGTTATTTAACCTTTTAGTGCCTCAGTTTCCTCATCTTTAAAATGGGAACAATAACAATCTCTACCTGATAGTGTTGTTATGAGGATGAAAAGAGTTAATATGAAAAAGTGCATAGAACAATCACTGGCCCACAGTATTTACCCAATAAATATAAACTGTACTGTCCCCATCCTGACTATCATTAGCATGGAGATGGATGGAGGGTTGCTGGATGGAGGGTTCATTTGGAGCTCCATGGCTCCGACAATGGAGTCAGGCAGAGTTGAGTTCAAATCTTGTGTGACCTTGATTTCTCTCAGCCTCAAGCTTCTCTTCTTTAAGTGGCTATGATAGGGGTAGTGGGGAGATGGAGATGGTTAATGGGTTTTAAAAAAAAAGTTAAAATGAATGAATAAGGCCTAGTATTTGATAGTACAATGGGGTGACTATAGTCAACAATAATTTTATTGTACATTTAAAAATAACTAAAAGAGTATAATTGAATTGTTTGTAATACAAGGGATTAATGCTTGAGGAGATGGATATTCCATTCTCCATGATGTGATTATTACACATTGCATGCCTATATCAAAACATATCATGTATCCCATAAATATATACACCTACTATGTGCACATAAAAATTAAATAATTGTTTTTAAAAATGGCTATAACACCTACCTTATGGTGAAATAATGTCTAAAAGCTCTGGCACACAAGAGGCCTTTATTGATGTTTAATTTCCTTCCATTCCTTCTTCCATAGTTGTTAATTCGGAACCAGGCAAGTTTGGTGGCTCATACCAGGTTTTTTTTCCCTTCCACCTTGTCAGAGGTATCCTACAATGCAGCACTGAGCTGTAGATGCTGGTTCCCTGTTCAAACCTGGGGAAGAGTGCTGTTTAAATATCTGCAGACACACTGTAGGAACTTCTCCAAAGTGACTTTCCTCTCCCAGGCGACCCTCTGGTCAGTGAGCGGCATCTTGGAGTCATCAGGAGAAGGCTGGACCATGTGGGGAGGGTCGAGGAGCAAGCAGAGCAGAACCTTCTGTGGCTGCGATTTGTCCTTCCTCAGGGAAGGCCTCCATCTTCTGCTCTGGTGGAGCAGCTGCCTTCAGATTCCCCACCACACCAGAGTCTCCTCCACAGTCTTCAGAGAAATTGGTCTCCAGTGCAAATCTGTGGTCTCAGCTCTGTGGCCTGACTCTTGCAGATCCTTCCAGCCTTATGTCCTGCCTTCCCTTTCGTGCCAGACCTCACTGCCCACAGTCTACCTCAGCCTCGTGCTAGGCCTCTGTTCCTTGGTGCAGTGGCTTCCTCTGCCAGGAATGTGGCTCCCCAACCCCGCTCCCTTTCATTGGTCCCTGAGGTGAACACATACCTAGTTAGCCTTCCAGGTAGCTCTCCAGTCACCTCTTGTGAAAACTGCTCTGCTTCCCATATGTATTGTTAGCTGCCCCTCTTTGTGCCCTCCCATAGGCCCCTTGCATTGTAACATCACGATGTGTTTGCATGCTTGTCTTTTGAGCTGCTTTAAGGCAAGGAGCCTCTCTTACTCATCATTAGCTCCTCACTGCATTGGACAGAGCCTGACACCAAGGGGGCCTTCCGTGCTGGCAGAACAAAGAAATGAATGGATGCATGGACAGATAGAGAGACTAATGCAGCTTGTTGAGACAGGGGCTACAGCTTCACTGATGTAAGAACAACTCCACCCTCATGCCCCAGCCTTTTTCTTGGGGCAGGGGCACATGATAACCTTTCTCCCACACTAAACCTTGCTCACTACCAGACTAGTAGGCCTTAAACTCTGGGAGCAAGAATGGAACTCCTTCCTATCTCAACACCCCCTGCCCAGAGATTTTGATTCAAAGCAAGGTAGTAGATAGTTATTGAGAACCTACTATGTTCAAGGGACCGCGGTGACACAGTGAGAGGAAATAGCCTGAAAGAGCTTTCAGAAAGTGTGCTTTTAAATCCATCATTGACATTATCTTCATAAACATCTTTATAAATTCAAGATTCTCTGTGGTTCCTCTGATGGTTCTTTCTGGAAGTCCTTCAGACATCAACAGTAGTAGAGGGGGAAGTGTGGGCAGCTCTCTAATAAGAAATCTCTTTCTTGCCAGGATATGTGGGGTTTCTACTATATAGGAGTCCCTGGACCATAGGATTATTCAGGGCCAAATAAGTCATACTTTGTTCTCATTGCACTCTGACATTTTGTTTAGGGAAAATTAGATTCAAATGGGTGTACAAATCGCTGTGAATGAGAAGAGAGAGTAAGGTGGTCTCACCCCTTTGATGAGGAGAGCCTCAGATTTCTGTCAGCACGTTCTCCTTTAGTCATTGTTCAGCACCAGCTGGGCTCAGAGGCACAGGGTCTTGGACAGGATCTGCCCTTAGAGCAGATGGGCTGGGCTGGCTCCACCTCCACGGCATCATTCCTGGGACCAGGGTGAGCTGTCAAAGCTTATGTCTTAGCCAAGCCTCATTGCAAGATAGTCTCACCTCTCTGTCAACACCATGCTTGATCCCAGGATGGGTACAGGGCAGAGGCAAAAAAGGGGCTAGTGAGAGAAGCAAGGTAGCACCGAGTGAGATGACCCAGCCTCCTGAGAAATGGGAATCTACAGGGCAACAGTTGCCTGGGGGCATCCCGAGGAGGCAGGAGGCACCAGCAGCATCCAGCACTGCCCATGGGCATTCTGAAAGCACTGATGCAGGCACACATGGATATTCTCTTAGCCTGGGGCTTGGGGAGCAGGTAGAAGGATCAGGAGGTAGAGAGGCTGGGGCCAGGAGAGGAGCCCTCTGCGTCTGGCCAGTTTAGAGAAGTAGGATTGTTGGAGTTGAAGGTTGTTAGAGTTGCTTTGCAGCAAGCTCTTCATTTAGGTCCCCTCTGGGACACCCTCTCCCTCCTATCTGCCTCCACTACCTGTGTCCTTGGCCCCAGCATCCTGAAGTGACAAACAGTGGTCACTAGCTTACTAAGAGGCAATCCAATCATAAGGCCTACTCTTTTACAGCACCAAGAGACCTGCCTGGTACCTCCCTAGAAAAATGGAGAGGTATATGGCTCTCACAGCTCACTCCTGCTGCCTAAAGCCTCCCTAACCCAAGTCTGTCTCTCTCTGCAGTCCCACCCGCTGTACCTGTGCAATGCCAGTGATGACGACAATCTGGAGCCTGGATTCATCAGCATCGTCAAGCTGGAGAGTCCTCGACGGGCCCCCCGCCCCTGCCTGTCACTGGCTAGCAAGGTAGACTCACACTTCGCCCTACACACACCCGGAGCTTCACCCAGCTCTGGGCTGTGAGAAGACCCTGTGCTCTCTTGTCCCCATGTTTCCTAAGAGTGATGTACCTGATTCCCTTGGGTTTCCCTAACCCATGACTGGTCTGAGAGAAGTGGAAATTCACACCTCTGTTTTTTCTCCTCCGACTAGCACCAGCAGGACTTTTTGACCTTCATCCCAGCATGCTCCCCATCCCACCTCCTTCCCATCACTTGGGAGTTCCTGAGTCCCTTCCCCTGCTCTGCACCAGAGCAAAGAAGGGGTCAATTGAAGGGATTTCCATCTTTTAGAAACATACACTGAGCACTGTGCAAGAACAGCAGAAATAGAAACCATTGCCCCACCCTTAAAAAGTTCACACTTTTCCCCTGAGGTTGCAAACTGGTGGCCCATAAGCTGGGTTTGGCTTGCAGACATGTTGTGTTTAACCCTCACAGCGACTTTTCAATGTGTATATTAATTGCCACATTTAAAAATTAAAAATGTTTATATAAAAGCTGAGATTTTCACTAGGCGTGGTGGCGCACGCCTATAATCCCAGCACTTTGGGAGGCCGAGGTGGGTGGATCACGAGGTCAGGAGATCGAGACCATCCTGGCTAACACAGTGAAACCCCGTCTCTACTAAAAATACAAAAAATTAGCCAGGCGTGGTGGCACATGCCTGTAATCCCAGCTACTCAGGAGGCTGAGGCAGGAGAATGGTGTGAACCCAGGAGGTGGAGCTTGCAGTGAGCCGAGATCGTGCCACTGCACTCCAGCCTGGGTGACAGAGCGGGACTTTGTCTCAAAAAAAAAAAAAAAAAAAAAAAAAACTCAGATTTTCAGCTTCTTTAGAAGAAACCTGCAAAGCACATTGCTGCAGGCCATGGTTTGTAGGAGCTGGGCTGGGGCTGCCCCTTTTCCACAGCTGTGGGCCTTCTCTTTTGCTATGCTCCACCCTGACCTGCTACCTCACAGGACCTTTAGACCTTTGCCTGTGACTGCTGCTTTAACTAACAATAGCAGTTACTGTTTTCTATGTGCTTACAATGTGCCATGTGGACATGGGACAGATTCTTTGTATGTATGATCTCATTCACTTTTCAGGACAATCAGGAAAGGTAGGCATTATTATTCTTCATTTGATGTATGAGACAAGTGAAGATCAGAAAAGTCAGGTAACTTGCTGGATGACACAATTAGGAAGGGGTGGAGCTGAACTTTGAATCCAACCCTGTCTGTTTCTCAAAACTAGGCTTAATCTATCTGTGGCCTCCCTTCTAGCTGGAAAACTGAACATACGTGTGGAGTGTAGTCAGATTGTGTGTGGCACACACGGGTATGCCCCCAAGGGTGGTGAGAGAGGAGAGTGACACTCCCGGCCTTTGTGTTAGCTTGCTGTCTCAGGCCCAGATCCCTTGTGGATATCCTCGTTCTCCTGGGCACAAGGAAACAGCCTGGGTTCTTACCTCATCCCATGGCAGGCAGGGATGTGGGCAGGATTCTGAATGTGGGTGAAGATATTCACCTGGCCTGGCCGTGCTGACAAGGAAGGGGACTCCAGAGATGGTGGGAAGCAGGGGGTCAGGATGCACTTGGAGGAGCTGGGGAGTGTGGCATCTCTGCAAGGCTGTGAGCCTTCATGGCAGCAGAGTTGTTAGGCTGCAGCTGCCTGCCCTACTTCTGGATGTTTCATTTCTCTTTCCTTACAAAATATGGGCAAATGTCACTCATTTATTCATTTGGTAAACAAGTTCCCAGTGCCTGTACTGCATTACATAGTGAGTGTGTGTGTGTGTGCGTGTGTGTGTGTGTGTGTGTGTGTATGAGAGAGAGAGATGGGGAAGAAGGATTCCGAGAAGCTTTGCTGCTATTGGTGGGAGCTGGGCTGGGGCTGCCCCCTTTCCACAGCTGTGGGCCTTCTCTTTTGCCTGTTGCACCCTGGCCTGCTACCTCACAGGACCTCTAGACCTTTGCCTGTGACTCCTATGAGTCTTTGAGCTACCTGCAATATTTCAGAGGTTCCACGGGCTTACCTCAAGTACTTGGTTTTGTTTTGGTTGGAATTCTGTTAGTTCAACATGTTAATACAAGTTATCTCATGAGAAAATAAATTGTAAGTAATAAATATAGTTAGTTTGGTAGAACATCTGTTTTTCTTTTTTCTTTTTTTTTTTTTTTGAGACAGAGTCTTGCTCTGTTGCCCAGGCTGGAGTGCAGTGGCTCCATCTCGGCTCACTGCAACCTCTGCCTCCCAGGTTCAAGTGATTCTCCTGCCTCAGCCTCCTGAGTAGCTGGGATTTCAGTTATGTGCCACCATACCCAGCTAATTTTTTTTTTTTTTAACGAGATGGAGTCTCGCTCTGTTGCCCAGGCTGGAGTGCAGTGGCGTGGTCTCAGCTCACTGCAACCTCCGCCTCCAGGGTTCAAGCAATTCTCTACCTCAGCCTCCCAAGTAGCTGGGATTACAGGTGCCCACCACCACGCCTGGCTAATTTTTGTATTTTTAGTAGAGACAGGGTTTCACCATGTTGGCCAGGCTGGTCTCAAACTCCTGACCTCCAGAGTTCTGCCTGCCTCGGCCTCCCAAAATGCTGGGATTACAGGCATGAGCCACTGCACCCAGCCGAACATCTGTTTTTCTTAAAATGTGACTCATGAGAGGTCTAAGGGAAAGATGGGGTCTTAGGGGAGGGAGAGTTTGGAAACCACTGACCCCTGCAGCTCTGCTCTCTGCTTTGGCTTTTCCTGTTGGTGTCAATGGTGTTGTCACCAATGACAGAGCTGGGGCTCTCAAGCCAGATAGCCCTGGGCTTGCAGCCTGACTCCTCCACTGCCCCTCAGTGTGACCTGGACTTTTTTAGCTCACCTCTCTAAGCCAGCCTCTATTTCCTCATCTGTAAAAGGGGAATAATAATGGGACTTGTAAGTAGTTAGGAGGATTTAATGAGACAGTACAGATGGAAGTTTTTAGCCCCATGCCACGTACATGGTAACCACTCAATAAATGATTGCAATTATCATTACTATCATCATCACTGGCATCATCATTCCGTGCTTTTGTAGTTAACAAGGTTGCGGTATTTTTCCTTCCATTTGTTATCTCGCTTATTCTTTTCTGAAACCCTCACCATAATTCTTCTGGAGGCTTCCATTCTTGTCACCACCCCACTATCCCCTCCACCCTCTGTCCAGTCACCCAGATTGGTTTCTGTTTCTTTATTAGCAGCTCCACAGCCATCCTGGTGATAAGCCAGAGCCTTATCACCTCATGCCTGAACTAGTGCAGTGGCCTTTTGCCTGCTAGAAGGAGCTAGATCTGGAGAAAAGCAGATGGGTGCAAGCCCTGCCTCTCTTACCATGGAGGCCACTACCTGGTAGTAAAGAACAGGCAATCTGAAGGCTGAGGTCCTGGGTGCAAATTCTGCCTCCACTGCTTCTCAGTTGGTGACCCTGGGCAAATTATTCAGTTCCTCTGAGCCTCAGTTTCCCACCTCAAAAGTGGGGCTGATGACTATCTTATAGAGTTTTGAGGAGTAAATGAAATCACATGTCGGAAACACATAGTATTAATAATAGTTGATATAAGGACCAGGTGTGGTGGCTCATACCAGGTGTGGTAATCCCAGCACTTTCAGAGGCTGAGGCAGGTGGATCACGAGGTCAGGAGTTTAAGACCAGCCTGGCCAACATGGTGAAACCTCATCTCTACTAAAAATACAAAAATTAGCCAGGCGTGGTGGCACGCACCTGTAGTCCCAGCTACTGAGGAGGCTGAGACAGGAGAATCGCTTGAACCCAGGAGGCGGCAGTTGCAGTGAGCCGAGATCACACCACACACCACTGCACTCTAGCCTGGTGACAGAGCGAGACTCCGTCTCAAAAAAAAAAAAAAAAAAAATTAGCCGGGCCTTGTGGTGTATGCCTGTAATCCCAGCTACTCAGGAGGCTGAGGCAGGAGAATCTCTTGAACCCGGGAGGCGGAAACTGCAGTGAGCTGAGATTGCGCCCCTGCACTCCAGCCTGGGCAACAGAGTGAGACTCTGTCTCAAAAATAATAATTATAATTATAATAGTTGATATAATAATAACTAATGCTTAAGCAACACCCCGTGCCAGGCACTATTATAAATGCTTTGTGTGGATTCGTTTATGTAGTCCTCATAACAACCCTATGGACTAGGTCCTGTTATTATCCCAGTTTACAGAAAAAAACAACAGACACAGAGTAGTGAAGTGACTTGACCCAAGTCTCACAGCTAATAGTTGGTATCAGAGCCAGGATTCACCCCTAGGCAATCTGGGCACTGGATCTCAATAAAGGTTATATTCCTTCTCCTTCCTTTCACCCTTAACTTTCAAGCCCAGAGGAATCCCACCTTTGCTACTGAATCTTTCCTGACCAGCCCAGGCCCAGCCAGCCCAGTAGGAGCAGAAATCCCTCCCTGGGGGCATGCCTCCAGAGGGTAGGGTGTCTGTGCATGCTTTCAACACCATCTTCTGCTAAGTCCAGGTTTCAGGGACGCACCTGGTGCGTGGAGGGGAGAGGCTGAAGGTCCTTCCTGTCCCCACCCCTACCTCAAAGTAAGCAGCCTCACTTTTATCTGCTTTCTATATTGAACATTTGTGCCAGATTGTGTGTATGTGTGTTGGTGGAGGGGATAGTAGAGGGGAGAGCCTTCTGGAGTGAAAAAAGGTCTGGAAGCTTCCGTTTCTATTCCTTTGTGCTTTAGAATATTATCAGCGTTATAGCTTCATGTATGTGCCTTGTCTCCACAACTATATTATGAGCTGTTTTGGAGGGCCTGGCCTTCTATGGCTTGGTGCCCTGGGCACGGTAGGTGCTTCATTTTTGATGAGCAGAAGATATACAGGGACTCTTGTCTGGAGAAGAAAATCTAAGGCCCAGAGAAATGCAGCAGCTGACCAGTGAGTCCTGCAAGTAAGAGGCAGAATTGCAACTCACTCTCATTGCTCTCTCTGTAATGGCTCCTGTTGCTAGAGGCTGTGGCAGCCTTGCCTGCTGCCCCTAGGGCTGGCCAACTCTGAAGCTTCCAAAGAGCTCTTTGGATTCTTTCTAAAACTGCCTTCCTGTCCTGAGGGCCTGCCTATCCTCTCTCTGCTTTCCAAATTCCAGTACCCAAATAAGTACTTTTTTCCTTTTTGCCTCCACTTACTTTCTTGGGGGCAGGTGGACAAGAGGCATAGATAGCCCTAGATTGGACTGCTATCTGTCCCCAAATCTTGCTTTTTATTCCTAGAATTCTGGACACAGGGACTCACTGTCTGAAAGTCCTGTTTGTTTTCCCCTGTTGGCCAGTGCTCTGGGCTCTTTGATCACTTTTACAACTTTGTAATTATGGGCTGTAATGGGCTGGAGTGTTTGAATGTCACAGTAATTGCCTTCCACTGTTCCTACCCCAATTCTTCAAAGAGAGAGGGGAGGGGAAATAACAAAATCTCCAAAGAAGAAAGTCTTTGCCCTTCCTCATGCTCTTCCAGGCCAGGGTGGGTCCAGGGTCTTGTTCTAGGGGTGTGAAAACTGAGGCCTGGGAGTCCCAATTCTGTGACTACTGGGGTGACCTCTCCTGTCCTTGGCCAAATCCCTGGAATAGGAGATCACCAGTAGGGTTCCCTACCAGGGATTCCTTTTCCCCTGGTACTTCTCCCTTACCCTTGTTAGGAGGGTTCTGAAGATTGGAAAGTCTCTACCTGCCTGGAGTAGCTTAGATGGGAGGAAGTGAGTAGGGAAGATGGAAGCCATGAACCTCTCAACTCCTTCAGCACTTCCATTCTGGAATTGACTGGTCCTGTGAATTTCTAGTCAATTAGCCTGGTAAGCCTGGGCCCTAGGCTGGGCCTAGCTCCTGGGGGAGGAAGGAAAGTTACCTTCCTGACCAAAACAGGGCCCCGCTTGAGTGTCTCCTCTGCCTGCAGGCAGTGGGTTCTGAGTGGCCCCCTGGGCCTTGCTGCTGTCTGGGGAGTGGAGAACAGAGAGCTGGAGCAAGGAAAGGAGCTGCTCCCAGCCTGCCTGGCAGGAGACCTGCCCTGACAGGCTCTCCCTGGGAAGACAGGCAGAGATCAAAGTGCTGAGCCTGTGAGTAAGTCCCAGCGCTGGCTCTTCTTGCTGCCACCACTACTTGCAGGAGGGTTAACTCCTTCAATGCCTGTGGGAAGACCCCAGAGACTTTGGGGGTGAGGGGGGGCGGTGCCCAGGGATGTAAAATCACAGCCTGATGCCATTAGAAGATGAACCTTTGCCCTAGGGAGGAAGGCTGGAGGGTGGCTGTGCTAGGCCGGGAGGCCCCAGGCCAAGCCCAGGAGCAGCTCCTCACAGTGCCTGTTAGTTGTTTGCTGTTGTGCCTCCCGCCTCCCCCGACCTTTAGCTCTTATCTCCCTTTCCTTACTCCCCTCCCTACACACACCCCCTGGATTCCTGCTTTTTGTTCTCTTTCTGGCACTGCTATCTGTTCTGCCTGGTTGGCTAGATTCTGCTTCCTCAAGCTGACTCTTGGAGCCCTTGGTGAACATGCACGTGTGCATACTCACCATATGGGACTAGCCCCTTGAATCCCTCCCCACTTTTGTCTCTAATGCCACCCTAAGGGAGGGGACGAAAGGATAAACCACTGGACAAGGACTCCTCTAAGTCCTTGAATTGGAGCCAGAGAAAGACTTGGCAAAGTAGAGTGTGGCAAGGAGAGGGAGCCCATGAGATGAGCTGAGACAGGGGCTTTGTGATGGTGGCCTTGCGTGAGAGTGGCGTCCCAGGCTCTTAGACCTTTGCCTGAGCTGGGGAGATGCCCTGCAGGCAGGACTGGGCCCTGGAAAGCCCAGCTCCCTCTGAAGGAGAGCTCTACTTCTCTGCTGTCCCCTTCTTCCTCTCTCTTCTCCTTCTAAGGGGTGCAGGTCCCTCCTACTCTTCGTGCTCATACCTCTTAGTGAAGGCAGGCTGATTGTACCCTGAGGGCAGGAGCTGTGTCTTATTTGTCTTTCATCCTAGAGCCAGGTCCACCACCTGGCACCCTGTAAACCCCCCTTAAGGGTTTGTTCCATTACAAAAGGAAAAGCTAGATATTATCCCTTGAAGGCAGTGGGGACCTGAGTGAGCTCAGGAGGCAGAAGAGGAGATCTTAGACCCAGTGACCCCTTGCATAGGTAGATGTGAGTGTGCAAAGATGTGCTGTGGGCATAATCCTAGGAAGGGATAGATGTGTGAGGGGTGAGGCTAGCCTGTGGGTGGGCTCTGTCCTTCCCTGACCTCAGCCCAACCTCTACTGTGTGCCTCTGCAGGCTCGGATGGCGGGTGAGCGAGGAGCCAGTGCTGTCCTCTTTGACATCACTGAGGATCGAGCTGCTGCTGAGCAGGTACCCAGGGACATTTGCGTGTTCAAGGTGGGGGCTGGATGGAGGAAGATAAAGCTCTCAGGGGAGAGGGAAGGGCAGGGAGAAGTCACAGCAGCCCTGTGGGCACTTTCCCCCTGTAGCTGCAGCAGCCGCTGGGGCTGACCTGGCCAGTGGTGTTGATCTGGGGTAATGACGCTGAGAAGCTGATGGAGTTTGTGTACAAGAACCAAAAGGCCCATGTGAGGATTGAGCTGAAGGAGCCCCCGGCCTGGGTAAGCACACTAGACCTCCAGACCTTGCCCTGCACTTAGCCCTACTTTGTCCTGTGGCAACTCCCACCAAAAGCCCTTAGACTCCTGGAGCTGCGAGAGATCCTGGAAACCCTCTAGTCCAACTTCATCCATCAGCTGTGTGCCTCTGGGCAAGTTTTCCCCCGTCTTTGGGCCTCACCTACAGAATGAACAGATCAGGACAGATGAGTTCTAAAGTTCTTTACAGCTCTGTGGCTTCATGGCATGGAATAGCAGAGCTAGAATGAAACCCTGGTCCCCTGATCCATGACCCCTGATTGGGGCTTCTCTACTGGCCAAGAACCTCATCCAGCGGCTCACTGGCAAGAAACTCCCACCTTGCAGAGGGGTCCCTTTCTCTTTTTTCCCCAAGCACATGGGTTTTGAGATAGTACTTCTCCCAGTGACATCTGGAAGATCCTCTCTGAGTGCCCTTGGGCAGGGAGGGCCCACCTAATCCCACTTGCAGGTTCCTCTCCATCCCCTCAGATGGAGGACTCAAGGGAACCTCCAGTTAGCTATGTGCCTCCCGGGCTCCTGTGTTTCCTCCCGAATTGACCCAGCTCATCCCGGAAGTATGACCCTTTCCCTCTCTGCTCACTCCCCAGCCAGATTATGATGTGTGGATCCTAATGACAGTGGTGGGCACCATCTTTGTGATCATCCTGGCTTCGGTGCTGCGCATCCGGTGCCGCCCCCGCCACAGCAGGCCGGTGAGCAGTGTGGGGTCTTTGGCGGCGGTGAACGTGTGCGTGTGTGTGGGTGGGTGGTTAGGGAGAAGGAAGGAGTACGTGAAGAAGGCACCTTTATACCTATGGAACCATTTACATCAAAATACCCCAGCGTCTGTCTTTGTTGATTTCCAGCAGCCTCTCCTCATATTACTCATCCATTCAACAAATACACCAAGCTCTATTATGTGTCAGGCACTGTTCCAGGTGCTGAGGGTAGTACAGTGAACAAGATGACAAAAAACTCCTACCCTCAAAGAGCTTTTTTATTCTAGAGGGAAAAAACAGACAATAAACAGACTAAATAAGTAAAATCTATAATGTTTTAGATGGTGATATGTACTACGGAGAAAAAATGATAATGCTGATAGCAAAGTGGGGAGGGAGGGAATGCAAGGGAACAAGGTTTTTTTTTGTTTGTTTGTTTGTTTGTTTGTTTTGAGACAGAGTCTTGCTCTGTCGCCCAGGGTGGAATGCAGTGGCGTGATCTCGGCTCACTGCAATCTCTGCCTCCTGGGTTCAAGCAATTCTCCTGCCTCAGTCTCGCGAGTAGCTGGGAGCTACTAATTTTTGTATTTTTAGTAAAAATTAACAGGGTTAATTTTTAAAAGCAAGTCCAGAGAAGGCCACATTGAGAAGATGGCATTGCAGCAAAGACCCTAAATGGGAGAGGGAGTGATCTGTGCAGGTATCTGAGGAGAAAGGGATCTAGGCAGAGAGAACAGTAAATGCAAAGGCCTTAAGGCAGAAATGTGTCTAGTGTATCTGAGGAACAGCATGAAGGCTGTGGCTGGAACAGAGTGAGACGGCAGAGTAGCTGGTGGGGGCCCCGTTGTATTGGACTGTTGAGGCCATTTGTTTTTTACTGTGGGTGAAACAGGAGCCACTGGAGTGTTGTGAGAGAAAGGGCATCACGATCTGACTGAAGTTTTAATATGATCATTCCTGCTGTTGTAATGAGAATAGACTACAGGGAGGCAAAGCTGGAAACAGAGAAACCATCTAAGAGGCTATTGCAGGAATCCAGGTGACAGTAATGGTAGCTTGGATTAGGAAGGCGGCAGTTAAAATGGTGAGCAATAGTTAGGCTCTGGGTATATTTTGAAGGCAAAGCCAACAGATTTAGTAATGGATTGATTGTGGGATATGAGAGGACTCAAGGACGGCACCAAGATTTTTGGCCTGAGCAATTAAGAGAATGGAATTGCCATTTGCTATAATGGGGAAGACGGGGAAGACAGGTATGTGGTTGGAGATGAACCCATGGTTAATAAGATGAGGCCTATAAGTTTGAAATGCTTATTAGATATCCAAGTTGAAATGTCAAGCAGCGGTTGGATAAAAAGTTTCTCTCATGGGTCATCAAAGGAAGAAAAGCTAATGGTATAAGCAGGTGGGTGGACTGGGAGAGCTTGGCATGCTTGGCAGAGCCACATATGAGCTCCGAGGAGACGAACTCCTAAGGATGTTCAACTGGCCATGTGATCTACCTGAGTGACTGGGAACGGAGTCCAAGCTTGGGTCCAGAGAGGGAGGGAAGGGGAGCCCATGCCCCAATCTGAGCCCCATTCCTCTTCCCAGGATCCGCTTCAGCAGAGAACAGCCTGGGCCATCAGCCAGCTGGCCACCAGGAGGTACCAGGCCAGCTGCAGGCAGGCCCGGGGTGAGTGGCCAGACTCAGGGAGCAGCTGCAGCTCAGCCCCTGTGTGTGCCATCTGTCTGGAGGAGTTCTCTGAGGGGCAGGTAAGGCAGGTCTTGTGGTTCACCTCCATGACCAGACTGGGGAGATTGAAGCTGGGGGAGGGGTGGGCAGGCCTAGGGGCTGGTATGGGTACCCTGGCTACATCTGTTTCCCATGTGTCCTGCATGAGGCAGAGATCAGGGACCAGCCTGAAGTTTGGTCACTTTTCTGACCTTCCAGTGAAAGAGCACTATTGTTTGTTGAGAGTGTACCACGTGCCAGGCTGCAGTGGTGCTTTGGATGCATTATCTCATTTTAGACCCATGGCAATGAAGGGTGGGGTTAGATTCATTTTTTTATCTTCATTTTACAGCAGAAAACTGTCTGTTAAGAAAGTTGCCCAACGTCATGCAGCTAAGTGCAAAATCCAGGTCTATGTGATGCCAAAGCTCATACCATTCCTATTCTACTGTGAGGTCTTTTACAAGTAGATAATAGCAAGGAGAGGCCTAAGGGAGTTGGGGGATGTCCTGATTCCTGGCAATTCCTATGGCTACAGAAGCCTTTGGTTTGGACCCCCTCTTTTTCTCCAGGAGCTACGGGTCATTTCCTGCCTCCATGAGTTCCATCGTAACTGTGTGGACCCCTGGTTACATCAGCATCGGACTTGCCCCCTCTGCATGTTCAACATCACAGGTAGGAGGTGGGCCAAGGACTCCCCTCTGTGTAGGCAGACAGGTCTAGAATGTGGCTTCCCTTTGGGAAAGGGTTGCAGCCTTGAAGCTGGGGAGAAAGCAGAACTGCCACCATAGTTGTATGGGCTGTACACTGCTCCAGAGTGCCTCACTCGAGGGGAAGCGTCATTCAAAATGTAAATATCTTTATTTATTTATTTTTTAATTTTAATTTTTATTTTTTGAGACGGAGTTTCACTCTCATTGCCCAGGCTGGAGTGCAATGGCGTGATCTCGGTTCACCGCAACCTCCTCCTCCTGGGTTCAAGCGATTCTCCTGCCTCAGCCTCCCGAGTAGCTGAGATTACAGGCATGCGCCACCATGCCTGGCTAATTTTGTATTTTTAGTAGAGACGGGGTTTCTCCATGTTGGTCAGGCTGGTCTCAAACTGCTGACCTCAGGTGATCTGCCTACCTTGGCCTCCCAAAGTGCTGGGATTACAGGCGTGAGCCACCGTGCCTGGCATGTAGATATCTTTATTATTATTATTATTATTATTATTTTTTGAGTTGGAGTCTCGCTCTGTCGCCCAGGCTGGAGTGCAGTGGCGCGATCTTGGCTCACTGCAAGCTCCGCCTCCCAGGTTCACGCCATTCTCCTGCCTCAGCCTCCGGAGTAGCTGGGACTATAGGCGCCCGCCACCATGCCCAGCTAATTTTTTTTTTTTTTGGACTTTTAGTAGAGACAGGGTTTCACCATGTTAGCCAGGATGGTCTCGATCTCCTGACCTTGTGACCCGCCCGCCTTGTCCTCCCAAGTGCTGGGATTACAGGCATGAGCCACCGCGCCCGGCCGTAGATAATCTTTATTATTGTAAAAATTATTTGTATTTCATGGCAAGTTTGTTGATTCTAAATCTGGGTGATTTATATGTTTATTATTCCAATTTTCTGGCAATAAAATATTCTATTCTAACAAAATCAGTATGTTAACATAATTTTCTAAAAGATGAAAGTGAAATAAATATCTTGAGGAAAGAGAACCTTTTTCTAAGGTACCCACAGGTGCCCTATGGGCTAACAGTGGCCCTGGGTGAAAGAGCTCCAAATGGCTGAGGGGAGGTTTAGGGATTGACACGCATAGTGGCCCTCCCAGGGCAGGCAACCTGACTGGAGGGAACAAAGGAGTCCCAGAGCACAGGCAGCTTAGGCACGTCCTTGATCCCCCAAACTCTGAGCTCACAGGCTACTCAGGGTCAAATAGATTAGCTACAGCCATGTCTTTCTGAATGCATTCTCTGTAGGTTTGTAGAGTTAAACATCTGTGCTCTTGGTTCTTTTTTCCAGAGGGAGATTCATTTTCCCAGTCCCTGGGACCCTCTCGATCTTACCAAGAACCAGGTCGAAGACTCCACCTCATTCGCCAGCATCCCGGCCATGCCCACTACCACCTCCCTGCTGCCTACCTGTTGGGCCCTTCCCGGAGTGCAGTGGCTCGGCCCCCACGACCTGGTCCCTTCCTGCCATCCCAGGAGCCAGGCATGGGCCCTCGGCATCACCGCTTCCCCAGAGCTGCACATCCCCGGGCTCCAGGAGAGCAGCAGCGCCTGGCAGGAGCCCAGCACCCCTATGCACAAGGCTGGGGACTGAGCCACCTCCAATCCACCTCACAGCACCCTGCTGCTTGCCCAGTGCCCCTACGCCGGGCCAGGCCCCCTGACAGCAGTGGATCTGGAGAAAGCTATTGCACAGAACGCAGTGGGTACCTGGCAGATGGGCCAGCCAGTGACTCCAGCTCAGGGCCCTGTCATGGCTCTTCCAGTGACTCTGTGGTCAACTGCACGGACATCAGCCTACAGGGGGTCCATGGCAGCAGTTCTACTTTCTGCAGCTCCCTAAGCAGTGACTTTGACCCCCTAGTGTACTGCAGCCCTAAAGGGGATCCCCAGCGAGTGGACATGCAGCCTAGTGTGACCTCTCGGCCTCGTTCCTTGGACTCGGTGGTGCCCACAGGGGAAACCCAGGTTTCCAGCCATGTCCACTACCACCGCCACCGGCACCACCACTACAAAAAGCGGTTCCAGTGGCATGGCAGGAAGCCTGGCCCAGAAACCGGAGTCCCCCAGTCCAGGCCTCCTATTCCTCGGACACAGCCCCAGCCAGAGCCACCTTCTCCTGATCAGCAAGTCACCAGATCCAACTCAGCAGCCCCTTCGGGGCGGCTCTCTAACCCACAGTGCCCCAGGGCCCTCCCTGAGCCAGCCCCTGGCCCAGTTGACGCCTCCAGCATCTGCCCCAGTACCAGCAGTCTGTTCAACTTGCAAAAATCCAGCCTCTCTGCCCGACACCCACAGAGGAAAAGGCGGGGGGGTCCCTCCGAGCCCACCCCTGGCTCTCGGCCCCAGGATGCAACTGTGCACCCAGCTTGCCAGATTTTTCCCCATTACACCCCCAGTGTGGCATATCCTTGGTCCCCAGAGGCACACCCCTTGATCTGTGGACCTCCAGGCCTGGACAAGAGGCTGCTACCAGAAACCCCAGGCCCCTGTTACTCAAATTCACAGCCAGTGTGGTTGTGCCTGACTCCTCGCCAGCCCCTGGAACCACATCCACCTGGGGAGGGGCCTTCTGAATGGAGTTCTGACACCGCAGAGGGCAGGCCATGCCCTTATCCGCACTGCCAGGTGCTGTCGGCCCAGCCTGGTGAGTTTTCAGAGGGAAGTGGGTGTGGTAGGGAGAGGAGACTACAGCTGAATATTTCAGGACAGGTGAAGTCAGCCAACAAAGGGTTGATGGAAGCTGAGAAGGATACAGCAGAGATGACAACCAAAATACTTAACCATCGGGACAGCGTATCATGCTGGCTAGAGTGCAGGAACACCCCACCTCTGCCAGGTGCTACCCCTTTAGTTGGCAGATCACAGGGAGGTCCCAGGGAGGTGCTGGTGTGGCTGAGGCATCAGAAAGGCACTTGGAAGGCCGGGTGTGATGGCTCATGCCTGTAATCCCAGAACTTTGGGAGGCCTAGGTGGGTGGATCCCTTGAGGCCAGGAGTTCAAGACCAACCTGGCCAACATGGTGAAACCCTATCTCTACTAAAAATACAAAAATTAGCCGGGTATGGTGGCGGGCACTTATAATCCCAGCTACTCAGGAGGCTGAGGCAGGAGAATCGCGTGAACCTAAGAGGCGGAAGTTGCAGTGAGCCAAGATGGCGCCACTGCACTCCAGCCTGGGTAACAGGGTGAGACTCCATCTCAAAAAAAAAAAAAAAAAAAAAAAAAGAGGCATTTGGAATGGTCCCCGGGGTAGTAGCTCAAACATAAGTGTTTCTAAATTTTAATAACTGGTTTAGTTCTACCAATGCTCACAGCTCAGTATTAGTTCTAAATACAAAGAAGGCTAAGAAGTGTTCCTCGGGGGGAGCTATAGTAGAAATAATTACACATAACCATAATACGAGGCTATATAAGAAGAGCTATGTGAACAACGAGAAAAAAGAGAGAGAGAGAAACCACAGGTGGTTCCCAGCAGCCCTGTGGAGCCTTAGGTTTTCTTCTCTTCCCCTGTGGTAAAAGAACAAGGAGGACTTCCCTTCAACACATCATTATTAATAAGACTGACCTTAATTTCTTGGGGATTCAGTGCATCCCTATATCATAAGCAGTGATCACGTAAATTCTCAACTTTAACATGGTGTTTACTTGCCCACATATCTCTCTTTTCCATTCAGGACCTTCCACCTTCTACTCTTCCCCATCTTCCCCCATTGTATGGATGACACAGTTCTTTGTCTACAGCCATCACTAGAACCCTTCCAACCCAGGAGGTGACACAAAGGTCCTGAAATATTCTTCAGTGTAGGAATTCTTCCTGCAGGACCTAGGAGCTGCCCTCATCCAATTCATTCATTTATTCATTTCCTTTCTCCTTCCTTCCTTTTTTTCCTTCTGACTATATGCCTGCTTTGTGCTAGGTTCCAGGCTAGGCTCTGAAGACATGGAACTTGCCAATCAGGACATCCAGGTCCATGGGGAGAGAGCCATGTACTGCAAGCTTTGGCTATGTGTTTGTGATTCCATTCGGACCCTATTGTGTGTGTACTTTGAGTGCTGCCAGTACCACACCACTATCTCCCTTTTCTCTCAAACTCAGAACTAGTTTCAGTGCCTCTCTTTTTCTTGCCTTTCACATCTAATCAGTGCCAGATTCTGTTAACTGTATCTTGGCTAGCTTTATCATGTTCTTTTCAAGTCCAGTACTGATGGCCCTGCCAGTGTCTTAGGTATACCCTAAAGATCCATGCAGGAGCCTCCTAGCTCTTCCCTTCCCTCTTACAGGGCCTCGAAGGCTGAGTGCTGCCCATCCAGTATGTCCCATAAAGTTGTGCACCACAGCTCCACTGCTCACCTACCCTCCCTATTGCTGCCAGCGTCATCTGCCTTACACTAAACTGTCCAGAAATCTTCAAATGTTCTGTTTGTCCACAGAGAGGAAAAATCCAACCTGCTTTGGCCTCAAAGGTTCCTGCACCAGCCAGCCCCCATCTTCCTTCTCAACCTTATTTTCTATTCTCTTCCCTCCCTTCCCCAGGCCCATGCTTTAGCCAAACTGGGTAAACAATTCTTGTAGTTCCTGTAGCCCAGAATATTCTCCTGCCTTCTCTATTCCCATAAATCTAATTCTTACCTATTCCTACAGAATCAGCTCATTTATCCCCACTTCCAGGAAGCTTTTCCTGATTGCTGCACTTGGACCTGGTCTCTCTCCTTCCTTAATGCATCTCTCGTGACTCCTGTCCTGTCCCACTGGCGTAATGGCCATTTGTTTTCATACTTTCTCTCCAAAAAGGTTACCAGGTCCCTGCTTATTCTTTTTGGTCTTCTATTTGGCACGTGGTAGCAGACCAAATTCACAACGAATCCTTAATATTTATTGGGTGAATAAATGAATAGTAAGTATTGGTAACACACTGGTTGCTATATATATTTCTTTAGATTTGTTTTTCTCTCCCCTGTGTCCCAACTGGGGCCCCCTTAGCTTTCAATCTAACCACCCTTTCCAGACAGTCTCTGCTTCTCCCTCCCTGTGGTCCCCTCTCAGCCACACTCTGCTGCAGGCGAGAGAAGCAGGTCCCTGGCCTGACCCTCAATGACCTCTTTCCTCCCCGCTCTCTAAATACAGGCTCAGAGGAGGAACTCGAGGAGCTGTGTGAACAGGCTGTGTGAGATGTTCAGGCCTAGCTCCAACCAAGAGTGTGCTCCAGATGTGTTTGGGCCCTACCTGGCACAGAGTCCTGCTCCTGGGAAAGGAAAGGACCACAGCAAACACCATTCTTTTTGCCGTACTTCCTAGAAGCACTGGAAGAGGACTGGTGATGGTGGAGGGTGAGAGGGTGCCGTTTCCTGCTCCAGCTCCAGACCTTGTCTGCAGAAAACATCTGCAGTGCAGCAAATCCATGTCCAGCCAGGCAACCAGCTGCTGCCTGTGGCGTGTGTGGGCTGGATCCCTTGAAGGCTGAGTTTTTGAGGGCAGAAAGCTAGCTATGGGTAGCCAGGTGTTACAAAGGTGCTGCTCCTTCTCCAACCCCTACTTGGTTTCCCTCACCCCAAGCCTCATGTTCATACCAGCCAGTGGGTTCAGCAGAACGCATGACACCTTATCACCTCCCTCCTTGGGTGAGCTCTGAACACCAGCTTTGGCCCCTCCACAGTAAGGCTGCTACATCAGGGGCAACCCTGGCTCTATCATTTTCCTTTTTTGCCAAAAGGACCAGTAGCATAGGTGAGCCCTGAGCACTAAAAGGAGGGGTCCCTGAAGCTTTCCCACTATAGTGTGGAGTTCTGTCCCTGAGGTGGGTACAGCAGCCTTGGTTCCTCTGGGGGTTGAGAATAAGAATAGTGGGGAGGGAAAAACTCCTCCTTGAAGATTTCCTGTCTCAGAGTCCCAGAGAGGTAGAAAGGAGGAATTTCTGCTGGACTTTATCTGGGCAGAGGAAGGATGGAATGAAGGTAGAAAAGGCAGAATTACAGCTGAGCGGGGACAACAAAGAGTTCTTCTCTGGGAAAAGTTTTGTCTTAGAGCAAGGATGGAAAATGGGGACAACAAAGGAAAAGCAAAGTGTGACCCTTGGGTTTGGACAGCCCAGAGGCCCAGCTCCCCAGTATAAGCCATACAGGCCAGGGACCCACAGGAGAGTGGATTAGAGCACAAGTCTGGCCTCACTGAGTGGACAAGAGCTGATGGGCCTCATCAGGGTGACATTCACCCCAGGGCAGCCTGACCACTCTTGGCCCCTCAGGCATTATCCCATTTGGAATGTGAATGTGGTGGCAAAGTGGGCAGAGGACCCCACCTGGGAACCTTTTTCCCTCAGTTAGTGGGGAGACTAGCACCTAGGTACCCACATGGGTATTTATATCTGAACCAGACAGACGCTTGAATCAGGCACTATGTTAAGAAATATATTTATTTGCTAATATATTTATCCACAAATGTGGTCTGGTCTTGTGGTTTTGTTCTGTCGTGACTGTCACTCAGGGTAACAACGTCATCTCTTTCTACATCAAGAGAAGTAAATTATTTATGTTATCAGAGGCTAGGCTCCGATTCATGAAAGGATAGGGTAGAGTAGAGGGCTTGGCAATAAGAACTGGTTTGTAAGCCCCTAAAAGTGTGGCTTAGTGAGATCAGGGAAGGAGAAAGCATGACTGGATTCTTACTGTGCTTCAGTCATTATTATTATACTGTTCACTTCACACATTATCATACTTCAGTGACTCAGACCTTGGGCAAATACTCTGTGCCTCGCTTTTTCAGTCCATAAAATGGGCCTACTTAATAGTTGTTGCAGGACTTACATGAGATAATAGAGTGTAGAAAATATGTTCCAAAGTGGAAAGTTTTATTCAGTGATAGAAAACATCCAAACCTGTCACAGAGCCCATCTGAACACAGCATGGGACCGCCAACAAGAAGAAAGCCCGCCCGGAAGCAGCTCAATCAGGAGGCTGGGCTGGAATGACAGCGCAGCGGGGCCTGAAACTATTTATATCCCAAAGCTCCTCTCAGATAAACACAAATGACTGCGTTCTGCCTGCACTCGGGCTATTGCGAGGACAGAGAGCTGGTGCTCCATTGGCGTGAAGTCTCCAGGGCCAGAAGGGGCCTTTGTCGCTTCCTCACAAGGCACAAGTTCCCCTTCTGCTTCCCCGAGAAAGGTTTGGTAGGGGTGGTGGTTTAGTGCCTATAGAACAAGGCATTTCGCTTCCTAGACGGTGAAATGAAAGGGAAAAAAAGGACACCTAATCTCCTACAAATGGTCTTTAGTAAAGGAACCGTGTCTAAGCGCTAAGAACTGCGCAAAGTATAAATTATCAGCCGGAACGAGCAAACAGACGGAGTTTTAAAAGATAAATACGCATTTTTTTCCGCCGTAGCTCCCAGGCCAGCATTCCTGTGGGAAGCAAGTGGAAACCCTATAGCGCTCTCGCAGTTAGGAAGGAGGGGTGGGGCTGTCCCTGGATTTCTTCTCGGTCTCTGCAGAGACAATCCAGAGGGAGACAGTGGATTCACTGCCCCCAATGCTTCTAAAACGGGGAGACAAAACAAAAAAAAACAAACTTCGGGTTACCATCGGGGAACAGGACCGACGCCCAGGGCCACCAGCCCAGATCAAACAGCCCGCGTCTCGGCGCTGCGGCTCAGCCCGACACACTCCCGCGCAAGCGCAGCCGCCCCCCCGCCCCGGGGGCCCGCTGACTACCCCACACAGCCTCCGCCGCGCCCTCGGCGGGCTCAGGTGGCTGCGACGCGCTCCGGCCCAGGTGGCGGCCGGCCGCCCAGCCTCCCCGCCTGCTGGCGGGAGAAACCATCTCCTCTGGCGGGGGTAGGGGCGGAGCTGGCGTCCGCCCACACCGGAAGAGGAAGTCTAAGCGCCGGAAGTGGTGGGCATTCTGGGTAACGAGCTATTTACTTCCTGCGGGTGCACAGGCTGTGGTCGTCTATCTCCCTGTTGTTCTTCCCATCGGCGAAGATGGCCCTGGAGACGGTGCCGAAGGACCTGCGGCATCTGCGGGCCTGTTTGCTGTGTTCGCTGGTCAAGGTGTCAGTCGGGGACCTGGTTGTAGGGCCCATGGGGGACCAAGGTCGGGGAAAGAGGGCGGAATGGGGCTGTGGGACAGTAAAGAGAAAAGTTAAGTCTCAGAACTCAGAGGTGGCAGGGGGAGTGAGAAGCCGAAGGAGGCCATCGTTTACCTCGTAGGATCGCGGACAGGTCTTGCAGCTGAGGGCAGGGGCGGTCTTACATGCCTTTGAATCCTCAGCTCTTAGACGTTCGGTGAACTTACGTTGGAGCCGAAAGACACTGGGAGTCAGAGGCGGGTGGGGATCCGCTGCTGAGTGAGTAGTCGGAAAGGATGCCTGACCCTGAGTAGACTAGAGAAAGGAATAGATAAAACGGAATTGGGAACGAGAGAGGAAGGAGTGGGAGGGTGGGACTTAGGAATGAAGCTTTGAGAGTAGTAGGTGGGGAACCTTAGGATACACAGTCAACATAGGGAAACAAGAAATTGAGCAGGTCGAAGTATTGAGAAAGCTACTTTTTCTCTTGGTCTTGTTCATGCTTATCTCTCCTTTTCCTTTATTTTTCTTTCACTCCCAGACTATAGACCAGTTTGAATATGATGGTTGTGACAATTGTGATGCATATCTACAAATGAAGGGTAACCGAGAGATGGTATATGACTGCACTAGCTCTTCCTTTGATGGGTAAGCCGCTTCAGTTTCCATCATTCACTTCTGCATTACCCAACCTGCACCCAGAGAAGTAAATGCAGGGCAAGTGTTAATCCTAGTTGGGCCCAGCCATTCGTTTTTGGGGGTTATTTTGTGTGGGTTTTTTTTTTTTTTTTTTTTTTTGAATCAGGGTTTTGCTCTGTGGCTCAGGCTGGAGTGCAGTGGCATGATCATAGCTCACTGCAGCGTGGAATGATCCTCTGACTTCAACCTCCCAGAGTGCTGGGATTATAGGTGTAAGCCACTGTGTCCAGCCTCAACAGTTATTTTGGGACATACTAGTGCTATGCATCTAATACAGTGACCACTATCCACGTGTAGCTACTGAGCACTTGAAATGTGTCTAGTCCAAATTAAGACATGCTTTTAAGTATAAAATATACCCCAGATTTCAAAGACTTAACATGAGAAGAAAGAATGTAATCTTAATAATGTTTGTTAAATGCATGAAAATTTTTTTTGAAAATGAAGGGAAGGGAGGTGTAGTAATGGTAGATCATTGCCCAAAAGCTGTTGCTTTTTTTTTTTTTTTTTTTTTGGACAGACTTTTCGCCCTTGCCACTCATGCTGGAGTGCAATGGTGCAGTCTCGGCTCACTGCAACCTCTGCCTCCTGGGTTCAAGCAATTCTCCTGCCTCAGCCTCTTGAGTAGCTGGGATTACAGGCACCCACCACCACTCCCAGCTAATTTTTATATCTTTAGTAGAGACGGGGTTTCACCATGTTGGCCAGGCTGGTCTCAAACTCCTGACCTCAGGTGATCTGCCCACCTCGGCCTCTCATAGTGCTGGGATTACAAGTATGAGTCACCATGCCCGGCCCATTTTAGCCATTTTACTTATTTATTTATTTATTTATTTATTTGAGATGGAGTCTCGCTCTGTCGCCCAGGCTGGAGTGCAGTGGCGCAATCTCGGCTCACTGCAACCTCCGCCTCCCAGGTTCAAGCAGTTCTCTGCCTCAGCCTCCTGAGTAGCTGGGATTACAGGCACCTGCCACCATACCCAGCTAATTTTTGTATTTTTAGTAGAGACGGGGTTTCACCATGTTGGTCAGACTGGTCTTGAACTGCTGACCTCGTGATCCACCCGCCTCGGCCTCCCAAAGTGCTGGGATTACAGGAGTGAGCCACAGCGCCCGGCTGCAATGGCACGATCTCAGCTCACTGCAACCTCCGCCTCCTACCTCAGCCTCCTGAGTAGCTGGGATTACAGGCGCCCACCACCACGCCCAGCTAATTTTTGTACTTTTTTTAGTAGAGACAGGGTTTTGCCATGCTGGCCAGGCTGGTCTCGAACTCCTGACCTCAGGTGATCCTCCCGTCTCAGCCTCACAAAGTGCTGGGATTACAGGCATGAGCCACTGTGCCCGGTCGCCATTTCTAAATACACAATTCAGTGGCATTAGTGCATACTCACTGTTGTGCAACCGTCACCACCATCCATCTCCAGAACTTTTTTCATCTGTACCCATTAAACACTAGCTCCTCGTTCTCTCCTCCCTCCTGTCCCTGACAACCACCATGCTTTGTCTCTATGAATTTGGCCACCTTAGGCACCCTTAGGTACCTATGGGCTCATTCAGTAGCATTTTTTAGCTTCTTTCACCAACATAATGTCTTCAAGGTTCATTCATATTGTAGTATGCAACAGAATTTCCCTCCTCTTTTGAGCTGAATAATATTCCCTTGTATGTGTATAGCATGTTCTGCTGCCCATTCATTCATCAATGATATCTTGGGTTGTTTCTCCCTTTTGGCTATTTGTGAATAATACTGCTGTGAACATTGGTATACAAATATGTGTTCAAGTCCCTGCTTTTCATTATTTTCAGTACAGATGCACCTCAACTTCCGAGGAGTTACAACCTAATAAGCCCATCATAAGTTGAAAATATAAGCCAAAAGTGCATTTAACACACCCAACCTACTGAATATAATAAGTTAGCCTACTTCAAATGTGCTCAGAACGCTTATGTTACTGTGGCTGACCAGAAGCTGTGGCTCATGGCTGCTGCGCAGCATCATGACAGAATATTGTACTGAATTGCTAGCCTGGAAAAGAACAAAATTTAAAATTTGAAAACGATTTCTATTGAATGCATGTCACTTTTGCAAAATCATAAATTTGAAAAATCATAAGTTGAACTAAGGTAAGTCAGGGATCATCTGTATATCCACAAGTGAAATTGCTAGATCATATGATAGTTCAGTGTTTAATTTTTTGAGGAACTGTCATACTGTTTAGCAACTGCACCATTTTCCATTCCCACCAACAGTGCCCAAAGGTTCTAATTTCTCCCCATCCTCACCAACACTTAATTATTTATTAATAATAGCCATCCTGATGGGTGTGACTTTGGTGTCCCATTTCCCCCAATGAATGGTGATGTTGAGCCTCTTAGGTGCTTATAGCCATTTGTATATCTTTGGAGAAATGCCTATTCAAGGCCTTTGCTCATTTTTGACTTCAGTTTGGTTTTTTTGTTGTTAGGTTGTAGGAATTATTTGTATAATTCTAGTGCATATTAGGTCTTAAAGAGTGGGCAAATTAAAGATCGGAAGAGGGCTAGATGACCTCAACCAGAATTGGAAGAGGTAGTACTTTCCTCTTAAGGCAAGAAGTTTGGGATTTTTGAGGAAGTTGAGGTGAGAGAGAGAGAGAACATTCCAAATAAAGGGAGTGACTAGAGCAAAGGCTTAGGATGGGAAAAACCAGGATGTTTTTGGAGAACAGTGGGAATTCTGTTTAGGTTAAATCATAAGGTTGGGCTGTAGGGACCCTAAGGCTAAAAAGATAGATTGCAAAGGACAGAGAAGAATATACTTGTGGTCAGGAGGATGGCCTGCATACATGCCTATCTCCCATCAGGCTGCAGGGCTGGGGGCTAGTGTTCTGCTTGTCACCCCTGGAGGTAGGGTCGGTTCCACTTAACAGCGCATGGCTGAGAATGTAGGATTTGGATGGGAAGGGAATCTTCTCAAATAAGAATCCAAGATTGTTACTGAGAGAAGAGGGGAGGCATATTGAGGCAGTCAACAAATGTCAGTGCTTACACCCACACAATAGGCAGTCAGTAAGCATTTGATTGAATGCGTTGAATGACAAAAATGCTTACCCATCTTGCTCAAGCAGCATCTTCTAGCCCTTGAATAGCCTTACCATTCCTCTGGAATCACAGCTACCTGGGAAGGACTATTAGGATAATGAGGAGAGCTAATGCTTATTTAGCACCTACTCTGTGCTAGTCTTTGTGCTAGGTGTTTTTCATGTATTATCTCAACCTTTGAGTCTCAGCTTACTGATGAGGTTCTGAGAAGGGAACCCCACATGTATAGGTCATTAGAGGGGTCCCCATATGTATAGGTCATTAAGAGGAAAAGTTTAGCCAAGTTGAACTCCTTTCTAGTAGGAGGATCCGTTGTTTTCACTCACCCTCCTCTTTGCACTAGGCCCTAGACCCCTTGTAGTTGTGTTAGTTGTAACTATTGGACCCCTTGTCCTAAAGCCGTCTCATTTTCTAGGGAATGTTAGGCTAAGGATGTTTGTGAGCTGAGTGAGATAATCTTTTGGGGATGGAAACTGACCTGTGGCTGGCCGGCCAAGGACATAAGAATGAAGAACTTTTGTCAGTCCTAGCTTTGAGTCAGCCTCATCCCAACATCAGAAGGCAGTTTTGCCAGCTTTCCAGTGGAGACTCGGTACTTGGCTTTTTCCTAGATTCCTCTCTCAGAATTGAGCTCAGGCCCAGGGAGGCTCAGGCTGACTCTCCATTTCTTTTCCCTCCCTAGAATCATTGCGATGATGAGTCCAGAGGACAGCTGGGTCTCCAAGTGGCAGCGAGTCAGTAAGTGTTGGCCTGTCTCCTTTTGGCTTAGTTGTAGTGTTGTTACTGTTCCTCAGGTCCATTAGGGAGTCTCAAATCAGCAAGATGAGTGACCTCAGGGTGGGAAAGATCGGGTTGTAGGAAACACAGGGAAGCAGTGTCCTGTGCCTTGTCATTTAACACTTGTAGCCAAAAGAGGGAATAGCTCTTCTCTTGGAGTTGCATCACTTCTTTAGCTTAAGCTTCCATTTGATCTTGAGTCTTAACTAACTTCACTGTAATCTTGTATCTTTTTTCTTCTCTCTCAGGTAACTTTAAGCCAGGTGTATATGCGGTGTCAGTCACTGGTCGCCTGCCCCAAGGTAATAATAATCATAACAGCCAATGTTCATTTACTGTAAAGCTCTGTGGAAGTTTTTTTATCTGAATTAATGCCAATTCTCACATTCTATGAGGTTCAGCATTTTACAGATGGGGGGAACCAGGCACAGAGAGGTTAAATCACTTGCTGGAGGTCACCAGGTAGTAAATGAGGAGCCAGGATTGGAATCCAGGCATTCTGGCTCCAGAATTTTTGCTGTTTCTGTTTTTTATTTTTTTTAGAGACAAGGTCTCACTATGTTGCCCAGGCTGGACTCTAACTCCTGGGCTCATGTGCTCCTCCCACCTCTGCCTCCTGAGTAGCTGGGACTACAGGTGCTTGGCTTAGAACCTTTGCTTTTGATGACTACATGTATCCCTCTTTTTCTTCTCATTCTTACCGAATACCTGCCTGGGTCTTCACTAGTAATGAGTCAACTAAGCAGGACCTTTTTTTTTTTTTTTTTTTTTGAGACAGAGTCTCTGTCACCCAGGCTGAAGTATAGTGGCATTATCAGAGCTCACTGCAGCCTTGAACTCATGGATTCAAGGGATCCTCCCGCCTCAGCCTCCCAAATAGCTGGCACTACAGGTGCAAGCCACTACACCTGGCTAATTTTTAAAATTTTTTTGTAGAGATGGGGCCTTGCTCTGTAGCCCAGGCTAGTCTTGAACTCCTGACCTCAAGTGATCCACCTTGACCTCCCAAAGTGCTGAGATTGCAGGCATGAGCCACCGTGCCTGGCCAAGCAGACGATTGATAAGTAGTCTAGGAACTCCAGTTTGCTTATAGTACCCCCCTCAAGGTGGCAGCTGAGTGGCCTATCTTACCCTTCTGAATCTTACCTCACAGAACTGTTTCTTTTCCTGCTTCAGGAATCGTGCGGGAGCTGAAAAGTCGAGGAGTGGCCTACAAATCCAGAGACACAGCTATAAAGACCTAGCAAGATGCAAGGCTGCCAGCATCTTTGCTCTCCACCTCCTGCCTCTGCTTATTTCTTGTTCTGGAACTAAATGAACAGAACTTCAAATACTTCCTACCCTCCAATTCAGACTCAGCTGACTGTTGAGAGAGCAGCACATCATTTTATCATTTTATCTTCTTTGGACTACAGGTGGGGTGGGAGGGATTTGGGTTGGTGGATTAACAGATGGAATTGAGGAGAGAGTAGGATGCTGATTTTCCTACCCGTGGCCCAGGTCTGTGCCTTCCCCATGCCAAGGACTCTAGGTCAAATGTCAATAAATATGAACCTCGAGAAAGTTCTGAAGGCCATGACACCTGCCTTGCCTCCCTCTTCCATTCTCTTAGGCACAGTAATAGCTTATTTGCCCTATAAGAACCTTCCCAGAGCAGCAGAGGCCCTTCTACTCCCTCTTGACTGTCTCAGCCTCTGGGATTGCAGCCTTTGTAGTGTGCTTCCTTGCTTCCTATCGGAGGGTGCTGATCCAGAGGCTCAGTAACCCCATCAACTTGGTGGCCCTGGTGTCTCACACTTGTATCCTTCTGCCCTCGAGACCTGGCACAGCAGTATCCCTTGAAGAAATCCTGAGGCTTTGTAGAGTGCTCCTTGACCATGTTTAATAATTCTTCCCTCCCCTGCTTGTCTATTTTCTTCTCTTCACGGCTCTTCCTATACCTTAGGCCAGTCTCAAGCACTCACTGGAGACCCTTGGGCCTTGGGCGACCATTGAGTCCTAGTCTCCCTTGTTTGTGCCCCTGTAGGAGGTAGGTCCTTTTCTCCTCCGGCCTAGTAGGGGACCTTGGGTAACATCCCATTTTTCGGCCAAGGTGAGTTGTTTTAGGATAAAAAAATTTACCACAAATTCTCATTTAAATTTCCACAGAAATCCTGTTCGTATCCCCATTTTGATTTCCCTAAGTTCCTTGTTCTCCCTCTAAAAAGAGAATGATTGCACCCTGCCTGTTTACCTCAGGATTGTTGTGATTGTAGAAACGAAGCTATGTGAAAATTATATAAGTATTATAAAGGTGAAATACTTTTGCTCTCCTTTTTGGGCCATTTTTCAATACATAGAATATGTGCACAATCAGCCAAAATAGTAGGGGAAATGCTGAGAACCACAACTGCAGGGTGAGCTGTGCTGTGCTAGGGCAGAGCTGCCTGTGCTAGGGCTTTGTGTCTCAGCCACCTGGTGTTGCTCTTGAGTTGATTTTGCTTGTTACCTGTGGCCTGGAGAGTGTGGGAAGGAGGAGAGATGCGACCTGACTCTGATTAGTTTGTCTACTCCCCTTCCTTGTCCTCACATAGGCCTATGGGAGGGAAACTGGGACTGGCCGGGCTGCTCATGTCCACTATGGTCTTCAAACCAAAACCATTTTCTCTGGTGCCTTCAAGCTCTGAGGGAATGGTCAGATAACCCCAACTCCAAACTGAGTTTCTCAAGGATTTCCCCAGCCCAGCAAACAGAAAGCTCCGTGGGTGGTGATTTCTGTTCAATTTCAACCTGAAAGCAACCCTGCCAGGCTAGAGCTTACGTCCTGGATGGAAGAAGTGCGTTTCAGCAAGTGCCCAGGCTGTGCAGCCAACACCCAACTTTCACTAGCTTCTCAAAAAGTCCCTTGGAAAGCCCCAGCTGCTGTCCTGGGTGTCTGACCCGGACGTGGCTGCTTGGTGAGAATGGAAACAGTTGTGGGGAGGGGAGGCAAGAGGAGCTTGCACAAATAACCACATTCAGGCTGCCTCAGCCCTACACTGAACTGGGCCCTAACTGACAGTCTCACAGGAAGCAAAAGACATAGCATAGGCATTGATGCTTGTGGGGGAAGGGTGGCCTGTTTTCCTTCCTGGACTCTACAGACTGTGCCAAGTGGGCTCTCCCCGGGAGCTGCTGCTGAATTAGCTTTCTTGCTTTCTCTGGTACTTGAACATGCAGGTGGTGCCACTCAGCAACCCAGACAGGCAGAAAGGTGCTGGAGTCCCATCCTCTACTGGGAACCCAAAGAAACTAAGACAAGGACTTGGTTCACAGCTCCCTGGGAGTGGGCGGTCCTGGTACTGCTGCCCTGCTTTCCATGGCTATGAGGGCAGCCATGAGAGCTATGTCCTGCCCCATTGGCCCATTGTGTCTGTCAGAGTTTCAGTCCCGTCCTGGCTGCCGAAGTTCTGAGTGCATAGCATCTTAAGATCTCTCCTTGTCTTGCTCAGTAGTTTGGCTTCTCTCCTGAAGAGCAAGCCTCCTCCCTAGCTCAACAAGGACAGATGCAAGTCAGACAGAGACTAGGAATAGTAGCCAGGCTGCCTTCCCCTTGCCTGCCCTTGCCTCATTCCCTGCTTCCTCCCTGCCACATACTGTGGAATTAGGGTCTCCCAGAACACTGAGGAGCTCAGTGGCAGTGCATTGATAATGCAGCCTCCAGCTCAAGAAAGGACTGGTAGCTGATAGAGCAAGGGTCAGGATGGTCTGGTCTTGGAGGGGAGCAGTTTCACCAGGGTTGGGAACTGAGGCTTTGCTCTTGGTGTGGCTTCTGCCTTGTTACTCCTAGTCTGTCTGCAGCCTGCTACTTGATCCTCAGGTCCCCTCCCTGACATCTGGTCTCTATGAAAGAGGCAGGTAGGTCATGTTTAAGAACAGACTAATAATAACTTTGTCTGGAAGTCTGGTTCATGTTTAGTATCAGTAAAGCCTTTCATGTAAATATTTTTACAGTTGACAAAGGTGCTGGGTGCTGTGGCTCATGCCTCTAATCCCAGCACCTTGGGGAGGTCAAAGCGGGCAGATCACTTTGAACCCAGGAGTGTAAGACCAACCTGGGCAACATGGCAAAAGCCCATCTCTACAAAAAATTAGCTAGGCATGGTGGTGTACACCTGTAGTCCCAGCTACTTGGGAGGCTGAGGTGGGAGGATCCCTTGAGTCTGGGAGTTTGAGGCTGCAGTGAGCCGTGATGGCGCCACTGCACTCCAGCCTGGGGGACAGAGTGAGACCGTGTCTCAGAAAACAACAAAACAAACCCAAATACAGTTGACAAAGGGCTTTCATATCCAGTATCTCATTTGATTCTCACAGAAACCCTGGAACTAGTTAACATCCTTATTTGGTGATGAGGAGACTGAGACTCAAAGAGTTAAAGTGTCTTGACTGGGCACGGTGGCTTATGCCTGTAATCCCAGCACTTTGGGAGGCCAAGGTGGGTGGATCATGAGATCAGGAGTTCAAGACCAGCCTGGCCAAGATGGTGAAACCCCGTCTCTACTAAAAATATAAAAAGTTAGCCAGGTGTGGTGGCGGGCGCCTGTAATCCCAGCTACATGGGAGGCTGAGGCAGGAGAAGTGCTTGAACTCGGGAGGCGGAGGTTGCAGTGAGCCAAGATCGTGCCACTGCACTCCAGCTAGGGTGACAGAGCAAGACTCTGTCTCGGGGTGGGGAAGAAAAGAGTTAAAAGTGTTTTAGCCATAATCAAGTAGTGGAGCCTCAGCTCAAGAAATATAATGTCCACACTAAGTTTAGGGCTACTAACTGTTTGTGACATAGTTGTCCACAAACACAGCAAGTTTTTTTCCCTCCATAAGTGTTCAACAGAACCAGTGTGAGGCATTAGCTTTCTTCTGAGTGAAGTTATTACAACACATTGTCCCTACACGTTGAGCCCACCAACCACTCTAATCCCACCACTCTAGTCCCTAAGTCTAAAATTAGCCAAAGAGATGGAGGCAGTGGGGCAATGGCCCAGGGAGGGGATCCTTGGGATTTACTCAAGGATTCCTGTGCAGAGCATTGGGAAACCAGTCTAGCCCTTCATGAGTTACCCCTGGCTGCATCTTCTATTCCACTCCAGCAGCTCTTACGCACCTGCTGACCTGTGTGCCCCACACCTCCCAACCTCTCTTTTTCCTCCTCACCTCCCTCAATCTGCAGACTGATGATGGCACCGTCACACCCCACTGGAACACTGAGACTTGTGCGATGAAAATACATGTATCTAACTAAGGGCAGAGTCCTGGCCCTGCTGCCTCCACCAGCCACCAACCCTGTGACTTTCCCAAGTCACCTCTAAAATGAAGTTTCTTGTCTAGGAAGTGCAGTTGACAAAACTATGATGTTAAGGGCAGGATCGTGGTTAGCTGTGATAGGTGGTGGTGGAGGAGGGCATGAGAAGCACCTAAGGTGCTGGTTATATTTTGTTTCTTTCTTTCCTTCCTTCCTTCCTTCCTTTTTCTTTCTTTTCTTTCTCCCTTCCTTCCCTTTCTTTCTTTCTTTTATTTTCTTTCACTTTTTTTTTTTTTTTTTGAGACAGGGTCTCACTTTGTCACCCAGACTGCAGTGCAGTGGCATGATCATGGCTCACTGCAGCCTCAACCTCCTGGGCTCAGTTGATCCTCCCACCTCAGTGCCTCAAGTAGCGGGGTCTACAGGCATCCACCACCACATCCAGCTAATTTTTATATTTTGGTAGAGACGGGGTTTTGTCATGCTGCCCAGGCTGGTCTCGAACTCCTGGGCTCAAGCCATCCACCCACCTCGGCCTCCCAAACTGCTGGGACTACAGGCATGAGCCACTGCGTCCGGCCTTTTATCTTGATCTTGATGCTAGTTATGTAGGTCAGTTCACTTTCTGGAAATATATTGTTATATACTTAGGATTTGTTCACTGTTATACTTCAAATAAAAAGTTTGCTTTGGCTGGGTGTGGTGGCTCACGCCTGTAATCCCAGCATTTTGGGAGGCTGAGGCAGGTGGATTGCTTGAGCTCAGAAGTTTGAGATCAGCCTGTGCAAAGGGCGATGCCCTGTCTCTACTAAAAATTTTTTTAAAATTAGCTGGGCGTGGTGGCACACGCCTGTAGTCCCAACTACTTGGGAGGCTGAGGCAGGAGGATCACTTGAGCCCAGGAGGTCACGGGTGCAGTGAGTCCCAGTTGTGCCACTGCACTCTAGCCTGGGCAACAGAGCAAGACCCTGTCTCAAAAAAAAAAAAAAAAAAATCAAATACAATAATTTAGGCAAAAGCAATTTGAGAGTTGTAAACTATGTAAGGAATTGTCATTATCCAAGGTTGCCTATCTCTAGGTAAGTTCTAGATAGGTGTGACAAGAATTTCATCCTTCCAGCATTGTTGGGTAATGGTAATAGGTGTTCCACCACATATATCATACATAAATACATCAAAACTGAATCAAAACAGAAACATTTTCCTTCAAGCACCAGGGCTTTTTTTTTTTTTTTTTTTTTCCAAAGACAGGGTCTTGTTCTGTTTCCCAGGCAGGAGCGCAGTGGCACGATTGTAGCTCACTGAAGCCTCCAGCTCCTGGGCTCAATCAATCCTCTCACTTCAGCTCCTAGAGTATCTAACAATACAGGTGCGCACCACTCCACCCAGCTCATTTTGGGGGTATTTTTGGTATTTTTTGTAGAGACAGGGTTTCAAATTCCTGGCCTCAAGTGTTCCTTCGGCCTCAGCCTCCTAAAAGGCTAGGATTATATGCGTGAGCCACTGTGCCTGGCCAAGGTTTTTTTAAAATTTTAATCTTTATGTTCTCGTTTTTTATAAGATAAAGTTTGGTTTGGGTTTTTTTTTTGTTTTTTTGTTTGTTTTTCTGTGGTTCTTTTTTTTTAGACAGGGTCTCACTATGTTGCCTAGACTGGCCTTGAATTCCTGGGCTCAAGAGATTCTCCCGCTTCAGCCTCACAAGTAGCTGGGACTACAGGCATGTGCCACTACACCTAGCTTAAATTTTTAAAAATGTGTTATATACTTCCTTGCTATTTGGATACAAGATTCTGAATGTGATTTAACCTGATTTGGTTCAAAGTCATTGTTGTAAACCTCCATTTTTGTATCATGTGGTGAAATGGTTCCGGGACTGACTCTTTTTCTACCTCTTGGATTCATAGCAACCTGTCAGCTGTCACTTCTGTTGCTCATGTGTGGCTGTCCCCCTTCCAGTCTTGTCTGACCTAGGAGAACAGACAGCCACACTTGGTAAAAATTGCTATAGGTTGCACCAATAAGGTTTAGACTGGGGAGAAGAGCACATGGCTGCCTGCCTCAGTCTTGGGGTTTCGAGGCCTTCACCAGTGGGAAGGTGAAATGCAGAGTCTACAGAGGAGTGAAGGCAGACCACAGAACATTAGGACTGGGGGAGTCATGACTTAGGCCAGCCCCTCACTTTTTAGAGGAGAGGACTGAGCCCCAGAGACTGGTCAGCTTGACTTCAGGAGCGGGTCGCTGCTACTTTGTATGTCCTACACTGCCTAGCTCAGTACCTCTTGTCTAAAGATGCTGTGTTTCTCTGCCATAAGATCCCAGGAAGCGGGAACTGAGTGCAGAGAACACTCTGCCTTGTGCTGCTGGTACCAGCATGCCAGATCCTCTGAGAAATAGGATGGAAAACATTTCCCCTCTATGCCTTGGCACTCCCCCATTCTCAACCCTCTGCCTTCCGGGTAGAGGGCAGACATTATGTTGTCCCGATAGGGAACTTGAAGTCCAAGGAACTTTCCTTGGGGGTCTATCTATGGCGGATAGAGGCCTGGGCCTCTAAGAGAGAGCTGGCCTAGCCCATTTTGAAAGCCCCTGTGTGCTGCTTCCGGCCTATGCACTCTTCTTCCTGCAAACTGAGCTCTTGTGTTACAGAGTGAGCGTGAGGGAAGGGAAGGAGCAGCTTCAGACAGCAGGGTAGGGGGACCTCAGTTTCTCTCCAAAATGGATCCCTCATCCCCTTTCCAAACCCAGCAACTACCACCCTTTCAACCCCTTCCCCCATCCCGGAAAATACCTGGAAGGAAGTGAGCGCTCTGGGGCCACTAGCAGGAAGTGGGGGGTTAACTGTCACCTCATCCCTGGGGGCTTGAGTAGCAGAAGGCAGAGGGGGAAATGCAAATCCATGCTTGGGAGGGAGAAGAACTCCTGAGAGGAAGCAGGTGGCAGCCAGAGCCCAGACTTCCTCCTGGGCCAGTGGTCCCAGCAGGGGCTGGAGAGGCCTGAGGCAAGGGAGTTATCACAGGCACTGAACAAGACAGCAGTCGGCCCACCCTGTGCAGGCAGCTGCAGCACTTTCTCTGGTCAGCTGAGTAGACTCACTTCCTCTGCCCTGCACCCCAGAGAGGCCGGGAGATGGAGGGCGGGGTCTCAGGAGGAGGGGTGGGGCATGGTCTGGATTCATGGAAGGTGAGGAGATGCAGGAGAAATGAAGGGGGGTATGTCCCTGGGGAATCAGCTGGAGGCAGGCAGGCATCAGTCTCTTCTGCTTTTGCTTAGGGACTAAGATTCAGGAATCCCTCTGGCCTTGGCACCTCCCCCTACCTTGTTCTAGACACCAGGGGCCAAAATTGAGAACCACATGATATCCTTGCAAAGGGATCGTTTATAGCACCTGGAAACAAGAATCTAAGAAGCAGCCTTTGGCCTTGTGCCTCTACACTAATCATCTATTACATCCCTATGGCAATTTCCAGGTTCAAAATGGGCCACCTCTATTATTGCATTTGACCCTCAGTGCCATCCCACGAGGCAATATTATTCCCCTTTCACAGATGAGAAAACTGAGTTTCCATTACATCTCTCGCCCACAGTCAGTGGCCTGGTGAAGCTGCACTGGTGCTTCAGCCTTTCCCCTTGCACAACGCTGCTGTCCCTATGGCCTCCCTTCAGTTCTCCATGGCAGATGGGGATCCAGGGCCCATAACTGGGGCAGGGGCATGGGGGTCCTCCAGGTTTCCCTTTTTCTTCCTTGAACCCCATCCAGCCTGCAGGTGGGGCTCTGGGGTTGCAGGTCCACTGACCTTAGTAACAAAGGCTCCTTGGGGGTGAGGGCTTCCATGCCTCCTGTGTTCACCCACCCTGGGACCCCTCGAAGAGGTGCCGGGACCCCTGACACCCACCCCCATTTTGTCCCAGGCTTCTCACCTCCCCCTCCCCAGAGCCGCAGCCCCATGACGCAGCCAGCCGCTGTTGCCCCATTGGCCCGCCCTAGTGCATTTGCCCTTATTTGGCCAGGCCAGCTCCAGGCTGGGTCTCCACCCCCGGCCCAGCCCCCGCAGGCCTGTCTCTCTCACTTCGTCTTTTTGAGGTTTGGCTCTGGGGCTCTGGGGCTCTGGGGCCCTGGCGGGCGTCACTTCAAACGCACTTTCTGGTTGAGTCACTTTTTAACGGCTCCAGTGCTGTGAGCTGCTGCTGCTGCTGGGTCCCTGGCCTTGGGGGCCAACCCTCCCCCATTTGACTGCTTAATAGGCTCTGAAGGAAAGGGCTGGGGAGGCCATCTGCTGCTGGAGAGACTCTGCGGGCCACCTGGCCACCCAGTTAGGCCCCTCTGCCCCCCAACCCACAAGCCTGGGCCAGAGGGTCCGCCCTGGGTCGCTCCCACTGCTTTTTCCAACGGGGTTGTGAGGGGAGAACAGGTCTTCACAGAAGACCTGTTCTTTGGGGACTTTGAATTGAGCTCCCTCTGGGGAACAGAAACGGGGTGCCCGATTTTCAGGAAGGTGAAACTTAACCTCGCTGAGTTTCCGGTTCCTCATCTCTGAGATGGGGATACCATCACTTACCTCACTGGGTCAGCATGACGATCAAGCGAGATTCAGATTGAGTGTGTTTCATCAAGTTCTCTAGCTGCCTGGGCTGCCTCCCTTCCCTCGGCCCCGAGTGCAGAACGTGGAGGTGAACGGGATGAATCCAAGCTGGTTCGCAGGGCAGTCCTCACTGAGCAGTCTCTTTCCAACTCTCACCACCTTTTCCAGCTGGTCCTGGGATGTGAGGAATCCTGTTGGGGGCAGGAGGCTGGCAGGAGGAAATAGATAGCTCTTTGCCCCTTGTTTCCAGACAAGATAAGGGGAGAATTCTACTAGAGCCATTCCTAGCCACCCTGCCTTCTCTGCATTTTGGGAGGTGTGCCCTCGAGCCAGCTGAGAAGATACCATGGCTGCCTGGGGGCTGGGCAGGATTTGGAACACAGATACTGCTGCTTCCTCCTGCGAGGTCTCTGGGCTCCTGTGCTCTTGGGGACTTCCTAGAGCACAAACAAGTCTTTTGGTCAACTCCCTCCCCATTTTTATAGGTGAAGAAACAGGCTGGGGTTTAGGGGCAGATTCAGTGACTGGCCCAGAATTGTACCATAAATAATCACAGGGTGAGGATTAGACCCCTAGTTTCTTGACACTTAATTTTATCCTCTGCTTGGTGATCCTGATGTTGGGATAGGGAGTGGGGCTGATGAGGGATTGTAGTGGGTTCCAGGCAGAAAACCAGCTCTTGGACCCCCTCCCTGTCCCCGCCACACATACACACACAATTTATTTGCAGCAGTTGGAACTGGAGCAGGTGCAGCTATGCAAGTTAAACCCAGCACCTGTGTGTGGAGAGAGTCCAGAGGGAGCTTTCATCTCTCCACTTGTGTCCCCAGAAGATCCCAGAGGAGAAAGCTTCTGGTTTCACGGCCACTCCCACAGCAGTGGTCAGGGTAGCCTTCCTCACACCCACACCCCCTTTCCACCCAGCCCGTCCTGCCTTTTCCCAGATGTTGTGGAAAGAACCCAACTTGGCCCTAACTTGTTTTGTGACCTCAGGCTGCCTTCTGCCTCTCTCTGGGCTTGCAGCTCTGTTTCCTGACTCGGGACCAGTTGCTGCCTAACCTTGCTGCTTAAAAGTCCTTGGGTCTTATGATCCCAGGAGATCTGAGCCAGAACCCTGCCCCAGTGCGAAGTGACCTCCTAGTGTGGGCCACTGTGCATTGGAGCTGCCCCTTGCCAGACAGAGTAGAGCAGGAGAGTATGAAATTAAACCTAGGGGAGTCTGGTACGAGCAGGCAGGGGCTGAGGGGCAGCCAGTTTGCCCGCCCTCCTTGCCTGGAGGCCCTTTAGCACTCCTTGTGCTCCCAAGGCTCTGAGATGAGACAGATCTTCTGAGGTGCTGAGATGATCTCTGTAGGGGACATGGGCTGTCTTAGGTTCTTAAGGCACTTGCCTCTCTTGGCACCTGCTTCCCTTGGCTGCCCCTCCAGGGAGATGGGGAAGGGTCTCAACATTTGGGACTATTGACTCCAATTTGCTTTAGCCCCATTTTGCAATGCTAGGGGCTCAGTTTCCCTCCTTTGTGGCCAGGCCTGTCCCCAACTGTAGCTTACTGGAGGGCGGGTCTGCTCTGCCTTCTGGACTTCCTGTTTGTGAGTGGTTAAGTCTGTGGCTTCTCTCTTGTTGGCTCTTTGTAAGGCAGGTTATCTGGGCTGCCATCTCCCACTGGCTGCTTGCCTGCCTGTGAGTGAGGGCCCCAGGCCCATGCAGATGGCAGGGAAGGGTTGGTTTTCTTTTCTGCCTTCATGTGCGGACAATGAGCTTGTGTCATTTCTTCCACCCTCTGGGCCTGCTCTCCTTACAGGCATTAGGCCTTCAAAAGACAATTTTCTCCCTGTTTCTCCTCCTTGCCCAATCTCTCCTTCTAAACCCTCTTCCACCTGTACTCACATTCTCCAGGAAGCCTTCTCTGATGGGACTCCTGTGACTCTAAGGTTGCTACTACAGCATCCAACATCCCAGCCCCTTGGGCCCTGGCAACTGCCACCTGGGATGGCCTTGTGCCTGTTGCCGTTACTATGTTAAATGTAGATGTGTGTGTCTACTTCACCCTCAGATTCAGTGCTCACTAGAAGTAGGAACCAAGTGTCCCCATCAGACCTGAAGCTCTGCCCCTGCTTTGGGTACAAGACACTCACTTGCACTGACACACACACTCGTACACACTGCCTATCAGGCTGGGAGTGCCCAAGGACAGGTCCTGTGTCCTTTTCTCTGCCGGCTCACCTTTGCCTACCCACAGCCTCAGCTTGGCACACAGAGATGGTTGTCCCCCAGGTCGGTAAGGTGGGGGTGGCAGTGAGGGACCATGAGCCTGGAGCCCTCCAGGATTCCAAGCCCAGATCCCTCTATCCTGATGAAGGGCTGTTCCCACCTTGTTCCTGCCGCCCCCGCCCCCTACTTCCTCTGAGCAAGAATCTGAATGTCAGAACCAGGGAGGGCCGTGGGGGACTTTTGACAGCAAGTCCAAGTGAGCCAAGGTTGCCCAGTGACAGCCTGCTTGAACCTGGATCGGCCGCCAAGGAGGCGGAGTTTGAAGTATCAACTTGAACTCCTCTCTCCACAAAGACATCAAGGGTTTGGTTTTTCTCATCCTGGGGAACTCAGGCAACAGGTGGCTTTGGAGGCAGGAGTGGGAGCCAGGCCACTCTCACAGAGGTACTTATGTTCTGAATCCACCCCCAGCTCCTTCCAGTCACCCTGTCAAGCACTGGCCCCAGATTCCCAGGTGACCCTCCCTGTGTCTCTTGGGGAGGACGCAGGTGTGTCCAGGAGTGTAGATAGGCCTCCTCTAGGTGTGTGTACAGGACTGCGGGGTGTGTCGGCGACAGCGTGTCTGTGTCTGAATGTTTTGGGCTCTCTGGGCCGCTGTGTCTGCATGTGTGTTTCCATGCAGGCACTGGCTGCTCTTCCCTCAGGCACCTGCTGGTCAGTCACACAGGCCACGCATCTGGGTGGTGGCAGCCTACGTCAGGCTTCGAGTCCAGCAGCCTTGTTCCAGTCACAGGTGGACGGCCCATTCCATGTATCCTAGCCATTCTCACAAAGTTTCTTATTGTCTCTGTATTCTTATTTTAGACTCTGCCCCTTCCCCTGTCCTTGATTTTGTCTCTGGCCCTGTACCATTTCTTCTGGTTTGAGGCCCAGCAGAGTCGGGAGTCATCGCTGGGCTGGGGAAAGTCCAGGTCCTCATTCCATCCTTCTTTAGCCCCAGCCTCGGGATGGGAACCAGCAGAGGGCCTAGACTATCCAGAAACCCCCTGACCCCAGAAGCTCCGTTGACAGAGAAGCTGGGCCCTAAGCTCTCTTCTCAAAAAAAGAAAATAGATAAATAAAAATAAAAACTATTGGTGGTCTTTAGGCATTGAGGTTGTACAGAGAAAATCAGCCTCTGTTGTCACAAGACAACAGGCAGCAGGGACACCTCACCCTGCTCAGGACAGGAGAAGGGCTAGATTGGAGACTGTTGGAGCCATGTGTGTCCCTTGGAACCTCAGCTCTGACTCGCCACAGGTCACATGCTGAGGGGTCTATGGCATAGCTGGGCCCAGAAGCCGGGCTCCTGGGTCCCATTCTGTGACTCTCTTTTGTGGGGACAGGACGCCTCTGAAGTGAGGGCTATGGAGGCATCATAAGCAGGAGTAGGAGGTAAGATGCTCTCAGGGGAGGAGCCCTGAAGAATGGGGGTCCAGGAACCCAGGTTACTGCACAACTTTGATATTCTTATCCTCTTATCGCCTGGGGCAGCCACTTCCCCTCCACCCAGGTCAGAGGCAGCGGTGGTCTCTTAAAGGAGTATCGCCCCATTTCTGGCCAGCTGGCCCTGCAAGGCAACCCTCCTCACCACTTTCTCTTTAGACTCAAGGGGGTGAAAGGCCCCATTCCCCCTTTCTCTGTCCCATTTTAGGGACCTGGGAATGGGGCAACTTTCCAGGTTGAAGGACCCCCTTCCTGGAGGGAAGGATGTGGGGCCATCTCCCTCCCCACTGCCCCCATGCCAGTCCTCTTCTAGGCCCTGAATCTGACAGCTCCCTAAGGTCTGTGTGGGCCTAAACGGAGGACCCAGAGAAGAGGTCCATGGCCTTCTGGGAAGGAGTCACTGGGTGGTTTTCTCTCTACCGCTCCTACCTCCCCAAACCCATTCCTCTTGCTTCCAGAGCCAAGCCCATGGAGAGGCTTGGAGAACGCTGGGGGAAGATGGTATGGGCTGGGCTCAGCCGACGCTGTCCCCTGCCCACCCCCACACCCTACTCCCCTCCCCCAGCCAGGGGCCCTGGGCTGGGCAGCTTCCTGCCTTCCCCATGGGGAAATCGGGGGTGGCATGCAGGTGGGTGGGCCCCATGCCCACATCCGGTGGCCGCCAGAACCTTCCCTCGAGCCTCTTTCCCGCCACTCCTCCAAGCCCCCTTCTCTCCGCATAGCACCTGTGCCCCACCTTAGGACCTGATCCTCACCCAGCTCTGCCCTGCCCTCTTGTCCCCACAGGTCCCAAAGAGAGCGTGAACACCTAGCCTAGTGCCATCAGTCCACCGGGCCTGAGAGTGTCCCCCGCACTGTGCCCTGCAGGCTGAGGCTGCAGGAGGGGTGGCTTTGTGGGGTGCTGAGGACAACAGTCTCCATGGACGCCCTTCATGCATCAGCACCTCCATGGCCCTCGGGAGCACACGCAGAGGAGCCAGGGCCTGGCCTGAGTGTTGGGAAGGGAAGGGAGTTTTCTGGGCTGAGGTCAGCAGCGGTGGGGCTCAGAGAGAAGGTCCTTTTCTTGTGCTGGAATTCTGGACTCCCCGTTTTGGGCACTCACCGAGGGCCCTGTCGAGGAGCCCTGGTCTTCTGGGGTCACCCTCAATGCCCTGAGTCAGTCCCAGGCTCTTGAGCCATCCCTTGGAGCTGGTGCCACGGGGGGAAGGGCAGCTGGGGCCGGAAGCCACCTGCCCAGGGCATGAGAGAGGGTCCCCAGCCCTCCCGCGGGCCCACCCCCTTCTGTTTCCTGTCAGTCTGTCCTCCCCAGGGAGGGAGGGAGGGAGGGCGCTCATCCCCTGCGGGCGGGGGCGGGGCGCGCTCTGAGACCGTTGGGCGCCCTGAGATCTGGCCCACGTGGCCTCGGGGTTATAAGCCCTGCCCTCCCTGAAGGGAACCCCACTTCGGAGCCTGGAGCACAGGGCGAGCTCTCCTCCGCCCTGCAGCCTCAGGTAAGGATCCGGACCTTCACTGCTGCCCCAACTGGGGCTCCTCAGCTCGGGGCCTCTAGGGGCTTGGGCTGCTGGTCTGGGTGGAGGCGCGTTGGGGGTGTCGAGGAGCTTGGGTGCAAGCCCCATGCGGGAAGCTCAGGGCAAAGCGCCTTGAAACCCTCTCTAGTGAAGGAAGGTAAAATGGCTCCGGGACCCCAGGCGGGGAAAGAGGTGTCCAAGGAGGAGGGCTGGAGAGTAAGGCGGGGATGGCAGAGGGTACGCAGAGGCTGAGAAGTGGGACCAGTGTCTCAAGGGGCGCCAGCCTCTTCCTCCGCCCAACATGGCCACCATTTTTGTTGGGATAGCCTTGGGCTCCTGCCAGGGGAACAGCAGGGCAGTGAGGGAGTCAGGACTTTGGGCTGGTGGGGAGGCCGAGAATCAAGGCTCTGGGGAGTCAGGACTTTGGGGCTGGTGGAGTGGCTGGGGACTGAGGCCCTGGGGGGTCAGGACCTTGGGCTGCTATGGAGGCTGGGACTGAGGCTCTGGGGGAGTCAGGACCTTGAGCTGGTGGGGAGGCTGGGAATTGAGGCCCTGGTGTGTTCAAGACCTTGGGCTGGTGGGGAGGCCAGGGCCTGAGGCCCTGGGGGGTCAGGACCCTGGGCTGTTGGGGAGGCTGGGGACTTAGGCCCTGGGGGGTCAGGATCTTGGGCTGGTGGGGAGGCTGAAGGGTGGGGACTGAGGCTCTGGGCAGTCAGGACCTCACGGTTGGGGTGGACTGGAGACCAAGACCTTGGCAGGGGAGCTGTGGCTGCCTCATTTGGACGCTGGAGGGTGGCTAGCGTGGCTGGAAGCGGCCAGCCAGGGGTTCACAGAACTGAAGGTGAGGCCTCCAGAGGCCCTAGTCTCTACCTGAGTGTCTCTGAAACTGGGGGGATGGGGTGGAGCCTTTAGGGGGAAGGGAAGAGGGAACTGAAGAGGAAGTGGGGGAGGGAGGTAGAGGAGGCAAGTCTGGCGCCATGCTGAGTCACCGCCCACAAGGCCCAGGGCGGGCCCTCGGGGGGCCCTGGCAGGGTTGGGGGGATCTTAGGAAGCCACAAGGAGGGCTGGGGGGCTCTTGGAGCAGGAGTCAGGAGGCCTGGGCAGCCTGAAGAGTACACGCCGACGGACAGACAGACAGTGCAGTCACCCATAAAGTAGAAAGCACTACTAACAGCACTGGAGGGTGTAGTGTTTCCTACTTTATGGATGAGTGTACTGTGGGCTTCGGAGATCACGCCACTGCTGCCGCCCGCTGCCCGCCACCATCTTCCTCGGCGCTCGGGGACCTCGTGTGACAGGTGAGCACCTTACGGCCCCTCCCTACCCTGCCCAGATGCCTGAAAGGCCTCCATGGCTTTCCTGCCCTTCCTGGTTCCGGACAGCTGGGGAAAGGCCACAGCAGCTCCTCTGCTGCCCTGCAGTCTTTGGGGGCGGGGAGGGCTGGACATGTGGAACCCTGATGCAGCCGCAGCGTCAAGGACGAGGAAGGGGTGGGAAGGGATGGTACGTGGAGGGGAATGGGTGGTGGGACCAGGGACCCAATGCTAATAAAGACTGGACTGTGCTTCTCTTTTGTCTGAGACTCTGTTGCTGGGGTGGGGAGCTGAATGCGGGCGGCAGGCACATGGACAGTATGGGCGCACAGAAGGGCTGGGAGGGAGAACCTCTGTCGCTCCTCCAGAAGATACGGGTTTGGCCCTGCCTATGAGATCAGAAGAGGGCTCTGGGCCTGGCCAGGCCACAGCCGGAGGAGAGAAGGGCCTGGGCCATCTGCAGAAAGGGGCAGGGATGTAAGGCATCCTCTCACCTTCTACCCTAGCTCTGGCCCTATCCTGCCCCCCTACATACCCAAACTGAAAGCTGCCTACATCCAGTTTTAATCTAAGAAAGTCTAGGGGGTCCTAGGTCATATAAAAATTGGGCAAAATCCACTGTGGCACATACACAGCATCTTAGACAAGGGCACAGACACTCATATACAAAGCACACACTGAGATGCAAATGCATTTACACACAGAGGCCCCATTCAGTGTGCCAGTAACACACACACAGACACATGTGACATGACTGGCATGACACACACAGGGATTACACACACCCAGGGCACATACATATTCAGTAGTACACACATGCAATGATAGAAACATAGGGCGTGTCTTACACATAGAAGAGCACACACATACAGTGACATTTGCATAATAAACACGGTGGCTCCATACACATACATAGATAGAGACATGTTCATATATCATGATAAATATAGAATACATAGATACATGGTGATATATATATATAAATCAAACCATGTCATTATGCATATTTACATGACGATATGAGCATGTCATATATTGTGTAATCAATTACTACATTGTGCCATATAGTAGCATCCATATCTATATATATCATGATGTGTTGTAATTTATAAACTCATGCAATGATAGCCTCCCATGCACATAACAGCACACACATAGACACAGTGGCAAACAAACATAGATGCAATGACACAGAAACATACATACAGATACACCCAATGTGTTTTTGTTACGTTTTATTATGTGACTCATAGACACATAATAGCACACACATATATACACACAATGGCCCCTTCACATATACAGAAATAGATAATGTCTATTCTATAGATGCATACTATACACACGCATGCGCATAATGGCATGCATATATACTCTGACCTAAACAGCAACACATCATGCAGTGGCGTGCGTGTTGACCTACACACTGCTTTAGGGAAGTGAAGATGTCCACTCCTCCCCATGCACCCCCTACCTCCAGTTCCATTGGCTCTTGCCTGGGTGGAGCCCACAGTCAGGGGCTCTAGGGTTCAGTATCACCGCTGCTATTCTGTGGGGGTGCCACACGAGGGCCCCCGACCTTGGCTGAAACTGGCTTGCCTAATGAGTCCCGGGTTCAGAGTGGAGAGGGGCTGCCTCTCGGGGCTTCTCCCAACACCCCTGGCTCTGGGGACTCTGTCTAGACCCCTGCCACTGCATATAGACTGACTCCTGGCTGAGGGGATTCTCACGTCCTTGTCCCCCAAATTATTTAGCAACAAGATCTAAGGCTAGACAGAAGATGAACTTCCAGGCAATTCGGGACAAAGCCAACCCAACAGGCCATGTGGGCTTCCCTGGTGGCCTGGGACAGCCAGGTTGCCCCCCAAGTGCAATCTGCCAGGAGGAAGCAGAAGGAATTCTCCGTCTATTTCTACCTGTCTCTTTGCTTGTCTTCCCGGTTTCTTTCTCTTGGTTTCTGTCTCTCTCTTTGTTTCATCTCAAGTCCCATCTTTTCTAGTTCTGCCCTTCTCTGTGGCTGGATCTCTGTCATACCCTCCCCCGTTCTGTCTCTATCAGTCTCACCCGATGTAGGGAGGACCATCTGCACCCCACTCGCCTCTGTACTCCGGAAGGTGTGAGAATGTGTGAAGATGAGGGTGGGAGGCCACATGTGGGAGCCCTGGGCTGACATGCCGTGAGAAACCTGCTCTTCCTTCTGTCCCCGACCCTGTCAGCCGGTTCAGCCCACCAGTCCAGCGCCATCACCATGGAAACCAGCAGCCGACTTCCTATTGGTGGGTGGGAGGGGAGGAGGAGGAGGAGGAGGGGAGGGCTGGCTCTTCCCGGCTCACCCCCCCACCCAATTCTGAGGCTCAGCCCTCCTCGGAGCCCACCATCTCGAGGCTCCTGGACTGTAAGGGACCCCTGCAGTCCCCAGAGCAGAGGCCAGCAGGGGCTGAGACTATGAGGCAAGCAGCCCATCGACCCAGGCCTCCTTAGGACCAGCCCAGCCACCCAGCAAGCGAAAGAGCAGCAGCAGAGAGCAGAGCCGGAGATAAAGGACCACAGCGGACCACTGGGGATCACCCCCAGCAGCTCCTGAAGCCTCTGGCCGGGCTGAGGGGTTGCGACAGACGGCCAGACCCACAGACACTGACAGACACACAACGACACCGATGCACACAGCTGCACGACACTGACACACTCAGATACAACCAGGGACAGCATCACATACTGCCACAGCCCTGCAATACAGACACCCACACACACACACACAAACAACTGGCAACTCTGAAATGGGCAGACAGTGACACACAGCACCACCCCCCTCAACACACAGAAGTGGGGGCACCCATCTTCCCAACACATGAGACAGCATTGACCTGCACGGACAGACCTGGAGACACACACACGCACCCTCACCCAGGCGCAGCTGTCGGTGGCCTCTGCACATCCTCCCTACCCCCACAGGGACACCCTCGCTCCTCCACATACTCGCGCACACACACAGCTACCAGCAAACATAGCTCACATACCCCTGGCTCCAGCTCCAGCAGCCCTGGCGCCTTCTGCAGCCTCCTTTGTGGGTGGGGAAGAGCTCAGCCAACCTTGGATGGAGCGTCGGTGAAGCAAGAGCTCAGAGGGGAGAGGGGCTGGCCTGGCATGACCCTCGCCAGTCCCCCCACCTGGCTGGGTGATGTCCCCCGGCCCGGGTTCTGGGGCCCCTTGGCAGTACCATGGAGCAACTGACAACCCTCCCACGGCCTGGGGACCCTGGAGCCATGGAGCCATGGGCACTGCCCACCTGGCATAGCTGGACTCCAGGTCGAGGGGGTGAACCTAGCAGTGCAGCCCCAAGCATCGCTGATACTCCTCCGGCAGCTCTGCAGCTTCAAGAACTGAGGTCTGAGGAGAGTTCCAAGCCCAAAGGAGACGGGAGCTCCAGGCCCGTGGGGGGAACTGACCCTGAAGGAGCAGAGGCTTGTCTGCCCAGCCTGGGCCAGCAAGCATCCAGCTCTGGACCCGCCTGCCAGAGGCCAGAGGATGAGGAAGTGGAGGCTTTCCTGAAGGTAAGGGATCTGTGGAGGGCTGGGGTCTGCAAGGTGGGGGTCTCTCACCATGTCCTCCAGCCTGGCCAGGAGGTGAGGCGAGGTATGCATCCCCAATGCCCACCTGTCCTCTCTTGGCCTGTCTGTGGGTCCATCTCTGTGGCTATCTGTCCTCTCTTCATCGAGCAGAAATCTGAGGGGCTCCATTTCTTTCGTCATTTGTCTGTCCTTCTGACCCTCTTTGCCTGTCTGTCTAGATCTGGCCCTGCTGCTGCCCCGTCCCTCTCTGTGCCTCCTCCTGACAGTGTGTCTGTCTGTGTCTCTTCTTCCATGAGTCTGTCTGTCCTTAGGGGCTGGGGGATACAGGGGGAGTGTGGAGGTGCACAGAGAATCAGTGCAGAGGAAGTAGATTGAGGGGAGGGGGCTTGGTGCTGGGCTGAGGCAGGGTTGGGGTGGGTGTGAGCAGGCTCCTGTAGAAGAGGGAAGGAACAGGACTTTGGGGGAGGGCAGGGGAGTCTGGAGGGATGGGAGTGGGAGCTCGAGCTCGCATGTCCCTGGAGGAGAAGATGGGTAGGAATGGGAAGGATCAGGGAGGAGCAGGAGGGTGCCAGGTTTGGGGGTGTCTATGTGGACAGGGAGGACTGGACAGTTCCTTCTCCTAGGCCTCCTCTGCTCCTCTCTGAAGGCCTGGGACATAGGGGAAACCGTTTCATCTCCATGTCTCCTTGGACCATGGATGGTGGATGCTTCCACAGGGAAGGCTCTGGCTGGGTGACGTGGGTTTCTGAGGTGCTGTCCTCGGTCCTTTCCCATGCCAGGCCAAGCTGAATATGAGCTTTGGGGACAGGCCCAATCTGGAGCTGCTGAGGGCCCTGGGGGAGCTGCGGCAGCGCTGTGCCATCCTTAAGGAGGAAAACCAGATGCTGGTGAGGCTTGGAGACTGGGGTGCTGCGTTCTGGCTGGAGCCAGGCCCTCTGCCTCAGTGCCCTCCTCACCCCATGAACATCTTTCCAAGTGGGGGCTCAATGGAGGTGACAAAATCCTGAGACCCAGAGAGGGTGAACCCCTGCCTAGAGTTGCCAAGGACCCCACTGTGAGCCTAGGGCTCTAGCCCAAGACTTGGGCTGTTAGGACTGGGTCTGTGGGGTGCTCCCTACATGCCCCAATTCTGCCTGACCCCTTGTCAGAGGAAGAGCAGCTTCCCTGAGACAGAAGAGAAGGTGCGGAGGCTGAAGAGGAAGAACGCCGAGCTGGCGGTCATTGCCAAGCGCCTGGAGGAGAGGGCCCGAAAGCTGCAGGAAACGAACCTGAGGGTGGTGAGGAAAGGAGGCTGCTGGGCGGAGGCTGGGTGACCAAGGAAGAGGGGAGCCAGGGCTGGGCCTGAGGGCTGTCTGAAGCTTGGGAGTCACGGTCTCAGCTCAGCACCTAGGAAAGCAAGAATCTAGGGGCTAAGGTGCAGGAAGGGCAGAGGCTGGCCAGGCAAGGAGGCCAAAGGTTTCTGGAGCTGCAGGGGGCAGAGAAGAGCTGGATGGGGAGGTTCCTGAGCAGGCAGGGAGCAGGATTCTGGATTACCACGTGCTGGTGCTGGCGGCAGCCTTCTGCTGAGCTCATCTCAGGGTATAGAGCTGGAGTGGGGGCAGGGATGAGACCCATCACAGTGGCAGCCCCAAATTAGCAGCATCCTTTGATCCTAAACTCAGATGTAGAGTTAATCCTTTCCAACTGCTGGGATGGGGTAGAGTGAGGCTGCTGGTTTTCTGAGACCCCAGTCAAGGTGGAAGCAGGTGGCTACCCCCCTAGGTTTTCATGCTAACTCCTCCTTTGGGAGGAGATGAGGAGTGGGAGAAGTGCCCCAGCCCTCAGGTGACCATTGGCCTTACCCCTCCTCTGGCTAGGTGAGTGCCCCCTTGCCCCGGCCGGGGACCAGCTTGGAGTTGTGTCGGAAGGCCCTAGCCCGCCAGCGAGCCCGGGACCTCAGTGAGACAGCCAGTGCACTGCTGGCCAAGGACAAGCAGATTGCTGCCTTGCAGCGGGAGTGCAGGGAGCTGCAGGCCAGGCTCACTCTGGTGGGCAAGGTGCGAGGAGGCCCTGGTCACCTCTTCCAGCTCAGCCCTGCACAGGGCCATCTGCCTGTTGTGGGATGCAGACAAGATGTTAATGAGACGCAAATGAAAGGGAGGGTGGAGGTTGCTGGGAGTAGGTTCCCCTGGCAACGGCCCAGGTGGGAGAGGGGAGAAGGGGGTGGAGCCATGAGTCCCAGACCTGGGCATTTCTGTGCTCCAGGCTTGAGGCTGTTTGCCGGTGGGTCTGGCTGTATGCATCCACACATCCCCTGTGTGAAGGGATGTTCACAAGGTATTTAGCACAGTGCTGGGCACATTGAGAGCACCCAAGAAATAAGTTACTGAGAATGACCGCATAGGGGCTCGCGGGAGCATGTGGCCACATACGCATGCACATGTAACCAGGCATGTACCCATGGGAGGGTGTGCACAGTCTCGCGCATCGGAGCCCCTCCAGCAAGGCGAAGGGCTCTGCAGGGGATGGCATGGGGCGGGCAAGGATTAGGCCTGAGTCCCCTCCCTGTCCCTGTCCCCCAACCTCAGGAGGGTCCCCAGTGGCTCCACGTGCGGGACTTCGATCGGCTGCTGCGCGAGTCCCAGCGGGAGGTGCTGCGGCTGCAGAGGCAGATCGCGCTGCGCAACCAGCGGGAGACGCTCCCGCTCCCGCCGTCCTGGCCCCCGGGCCCTGCTCTCCAGGCCAGAGCAGGGGCGCCTGCTCCCGGGGCCCCGGGAGAGGTGAGCGCCGGCGCAAGGGCAGGTGTGTGGGTGCGTGCAGATGGGTGGGGGGAACGACCACCGGGATCTCCCCTGCACCGTGCTCAGAACCCCAAGGACTCAGTGGTGGTGTGCGCACTCCCAGGGGCTGGGGAGCTTTCCCGTCCTGGGCAGGGTCCACCTCCAAGCCTCCCGTGCTCGTACCTGCGCCGTGCCCTCCCCTGGGGGCTCCAGGGTTCCGCCCTCCATAGGCCTGCGCCCAGCGGGGCCTGGCCGGCCGCCCCTGCCGCGCTGCCAGTGGTACGGCCCGGCCGCAAATCCCTGGTTGTCCTGGCAGCCGCCCGGGGCCCAGCCCGCGCCGCCTCCTCCCGCCGCCGCCGTAGAGCGGGGACGCCCCCGTCAGCGCCCGCCTGGCTGGCCAGGCCTGGCCCCAGCTACCCGGGGGCGGCGGTGCGTCCGCCCCGGCTCCAGGTACAGGCAACCCTCACTGAGCGGGGGGCTTAGGCAGCCCCTGTCTCGAGGGCCAGGGACCCGCTTAGGACCCCCAGAACTTAAGGGTCTGGCTTCTCGCCATCATCCTAGGTAGGCAGCAAGTAGGTCCTCCTCCTTCTGGGAAGAGGGCTGGGAGGAGAGACCAGGCAGTGATCTGATAGTGACCAAGACCTCCGGGTGGGGGGAGGCTTCTTGCTCAGATTTTGTCTCCCTGGCTGGCCCTGGAAGGGAGATGCACCCTCCCATCAAGACCTGTCCTCCCCCAAAGTTTGCACGGATAATCGGAAGGTGTGGTAGGGTGGGCTTGGGGGAAGCCAGGAGAAGGGTCTGGCTGGACTTGCGCTGCTCTAGGCCAAGCCCAGATTTGGATGATACAGAACCCCTATCTTGGGGAACACCACATCCCCGGGGGCCCAGGCAGCCTCCTAGTTCTCTGCCAGTCGCTGAAGGACACCCAGGACAGTTATTGAGTGCAGAGCAGGGCTGCTGCTGGAAGCTAAAAAGGGAAAGCTTTGGCCTGGATAAAGGACCCATCTCCCAGGGCACACGTGGGTCCCAGGATCTCAAAGCACTTATGGCTCCAGGACACAGGGGTGCAGCCTTTGTACTTACACATCAGCTGGAGACAATGGGAGGTGGGTGGGCAGACAGTACCCCTCTTTGCTCTTGCTAGGCAGGGATCTCTTGCTGGCTGAATGATGGGGTGGGAACCTGCTCTGGGCAGGCTGGGCTGGGGCAGGCTGCCCTGGGGCCCTGTTCTCAGGTGCCAGCCCCTTGCCCCTGGGCATTTCCAGGCCACGCCCCAGGAGGATGCGGACAACCTACCCGTGATTCTAGGGGAGCCAGAGAAAGAGCAGAGGGTGCAGCAGCTGGTAAGTCCTAGGTCAAGGGCTGGAGGCAGCCTGCTGTGGGCAGATGTACCTTCCCTCATGAGGAGCACTTGGTTCTGACCCCTCAGGAATCGGAGCTCAGCAAGAAGCGGAAGAAATGCGAGAGCCTGGAGCAGGAAGCCCGGAAAAAGCAGAGGCGATGTGAGGAGCTGGTGAGCTCTTGAGGGCAACCCAGAGGCCAGCTCCTCCCTTCACCCCGGCCAGCCAGGTGGTGGGCTCCCTCTCAGCTCTGCTCCCACCCCTGCTGCCCTCAAGAACACATTTTCCCTCCTGCTCCTTTCCTTTCCTGGCTGGTGCAGGTTCCAGCAGGGGAGGAAGGCCTTGCCTGGGAGGAGGGCAGGGTCCTCTGTGTGGGGAGAGGGGGAATGTGGGTGCTGGGCTCCCTCCTGAGAGCTCCTCTGCCCGCTCAGGAACTGCAGCTGAGACAAGCGCAGAATGAGAATGCCCGCCTGGTGGAGGAGAACTCCCGGCTCAGTGGGAGAGCCACAGAGAAGGAGCAGGTACCACTTCCGCCCAGGTGCTGTGGAGACCTGTGCTCCCACCACTGCCCCGGTCCCCAGCCAAGGGGCTTTCTCCTCCACCCCTGAGCAGGGGTAGGGTACTGTTCCCCCTGTGAGGGTGCTGGTGGGTCAAGGCTCACCCACCCAACTCCCTGTCACTGCCCCCTCGCCAGGTGGAGTGGGAGAATGCGGAGCTGAGGGGCCAGCTCCTGGGGGTGACACAGGAGAGGGACTCAGCCCTTCGCAAGAGCCAGGGCCTGCAGAGCAAGCTGGAGAGCCTGGAGCAAGTGCTGAAGGTGAGGAGATGGTGCAGGTGGGAGAGGGTGCTGGGCCCTGGCATGGGGAGCAAGTGGGACAGCAGAATATTCTTAGTGAGGGGCACTAGCTCTGAGGCCTGGGCCTGGAGCTGCTCCAGGCTCAGTTTCCTTTGTAATAGAGGAATCTGGAGCAAATGGTGTTTGAGGCTTCCTCATCTTAGATCTTCTCTAGAAATGGCCAAGTAGGGGCTCTGGCCTTGACTCAGATCTTGTGTTTCAGCACATGCGGGAGGTGGCCCAGCGGCGGCAGCAGCTGGAGGTGGAGCATGAACAGGCTCGGCTCAGCCTACGGGAGAAGCAGGAGGAGGTCCGGAGACTGCAGCAGGTGGGGCGGCAGTGAGGGAAGCTGGCAGGCTGCTGGACACCAGCTTTGCCACTCACTCATTCCACAAGCATTTACTGTGTGCCCGGCACTGTGCTAGGCGTCGGGGAGACTGTGGGGAACAAAGACCAGGTCCCTGAGCAGTCAGCAAATTAGCATCCAGGAGTGAGCTGATTTCAGACACTGATGAGCACAGTGGTGGAGAAGAACAGGGTGATGTGACAAAGTGACTGGGATGGGGTGAGGAGCCACTTTAGAGGTCATCAGGGAAGGCCTCCCTGAGGAGGTGACAATTGACCTTGCCAGCCAGGAGGTGTAGACATGCACATGCTCTGTGGCAGGGAAGAGCTGAAGAAGCCTGAGACCAATGTGGCTAGAATACAGCAAGGGATGGGCAGCGTGGTGGGAGTAGACAAGAACCCGATCCTGTCGGGCCTTAACGGCCATGGGAAGAGTTTGGGTATTTTGCTCTGTGAGTAGATAGAAGCTCCTGAAAGATCCTAAGTGGGGGAGTGACATGATCTGAGTCATAATTTTACAGGATCACATGGCTGGTATTATGGAGGGTGGACTGTGGGAGCAGGCGTGGAGCAGGGCCTGGGCGGTGGCCTGGGAGGGAGATGGTGGCTGTCTGGACAGAGATGCATGCAGTGGAACGGGAGACAAGTGCCTGGGTTTGAGTTATGTTTTAGAGATAGAACTGACAAGGTTCTGGCCGGGCATGGTGGCTCATGCCTGTCATCCCAGCACTTTGGGAGGCCAAGGTGGGTGGATCAGTTGAGGTCAGGAGTTCGAGGCCAGCCTGGCCAATATGGTGAATCCCCGTCTCTACCAAAAATACAAAAATTAACCTGACATGGTGGCGGGCCCCTGTAGTCCCAGCTACTCAGGAGGCTGAGGCAGGAGAATTGTTTGAACCCGGGAGGCAGAGCTTGCAGTGAGCTGAGATCGTACCATTGCACTCCAGCCTGGGCGACAGAGCGAGACTCCATCTCAAAAAAAAAAAAAAAGAATTGACAAGGATCCCCGTGGGATTCCAGTTGAATCCCTTCTCTGACAGCCATTTGCTGTATAAACCTTGGTGGAGGGTGGGGCTCTTCATACTCCGTGAGGTGAAGGATGAAGGGGCAGCAGATCTGAGAGGTAGGTCATCCCGAGTGCTGAGTTCCATTTGGGCCATGTCTGAGCTGCGCGTTAAACATTCAAGGGGAGCTGTCCACAGGCACTTGGATACATGAGCCTGGGGTTATGGGTAAGTTGGTCTTGGAGATATTTGGAGCCACCAGTGTGTTTAGTTGTATGAGTAGATGGGAGCCCTAGGAAGAGAGTAGACAATATAAACTGGGCCCAGCACTGGGTCCAGGGTAACCCTAACATTCAAAATGGGGGACAGGGAGCAGGCAAAAGAGGCTGAGAAGGAGCATCCAGAGAGGTAGGGGGGAAACTGGGAGGATGGTTGCTCAGGAAAGAGGGGAGCTGACTCAGCCACGCTTCTCCTGGTCCCCTTTGCCTTCTGGTCTAAGGTATGGTTCAGGGTGGGTGTTCAGGAGGGAGAAACCCTTCGGCCTCCCCCTTCCCTATCCCTCTTCCCTCTCTCCCTACCCTTTTCTTTCTCCCGGCTTCTTCCTCCCCTGCCTCTGTCCTTTCTACCCTTCCTCCCTCGCAGCCCTCTCTACTCCACCCCATTCCTTCTCCTTCCCTCCAGTATTTTGGTTCCCCCCACCTGTAGGCCCAGGCTGAAGCCCAGAGGGAACATGAAGGAGCCGTGCAGCTGCTGGAGGTAGGGCGCCTGGAAGTGGCCCCCAGTTCCACCATCTTGGGAGGAAGGCGGGGGTCCTCCAGATAGAGCTGAAATGGACTATGGCGGTGGGGAGAGGGGTTGCAGGAGGGGCCCTTAAATGCTCCAGGACCTGGGGGAGTCCCCTCCACCACTGGCCTATTTCTCAGGGTGGGCACGGCTGGGCAGGGGGCTCCCAAGTCTGGTGGCAGCAGTCTCCCATTGCTGCCACCCCCAGAGGCTGCCTTCACCCTGAGATATCCTTCCATTTAGGAACTGCTAGTCAGTCCAGGGAGCTGACTGGATGATATCCACTTAGGCCCCCTTCTCCGCCTCCCTCTCTGGGTTAGCAACCCACAGCGCTCAGGGTTCTAACCTGTTCTCTGCTTCCTTTCCTGCAACAGTCTACCTTGGATTCCATGCAGGTAGCGCCTCGTTCTCCACTTCCCCACACCTCTCCAGGCTGGCTGAGTTGCATCTCCTCCCTCAGGGCCCAGGCAGTCCCCCTCTCTCATCCAGCAGAGGGGGTGTCACTGGGAGCAGGCATGAGAATCCATAGGGGGTGGAGTTCCCACAGGACACGTGCGGCTGTCCCCTTGTCCCAGGCCTGCCGCCGTGTCTGTCAGACACTGGGCCTCCCCTCTCTAGCCACCCTGATCATGAGGAAGTTCATCACCAGTCTAACTTAGGAGCCTCGCCATAGTGGCCGGAGAGAGCCCCTGCTATTGGGACTCTCCTCAGACCTGAGAAAACTTCCCGGGCATTGGCCCATTCCCATCACGAAGACATCCCTGGCTCCCCTGTGGAATTTCCTGCCCGCCTCTCTCAGGGAACGGGTTTGAGTTGCTGATTGTGGGAGGGTGATGAGCAGTGGAGCTGAGAAAACTCCTGCGGTGATGGTGGTGATGATGGGGTGGGAATGATCCCTGTTGGCCTAGAAAGCAGCCAGAGGCAGAGGTGCCATCGCCTAGGGCCTGAGGGTTGGTGAGTGTGTGGCAGGCCCCGGCCTTGGCTCTGGAGGGGGCTGGGGTGAAGATGTCCCAGGACACAGCCCAGGACTTCACCCTCCGCTCTGATGCATTAAGGACAGTGGGGTGGCCAAGGCAAGGCTGGTGCCCAGGCCTGGGGCTGGGTGGATGGATATGACCTGAAACCCAGTGTAGGGCTGTGTACAGATGGCACGGGCTGGCACTGGGTAGCTTTGAGGGGCCTGGCGGCTCATGGTGGGTCTTGGCCCAGGCCCGGGTTCGAGAGCTCGAAGAACAGTGCCGCAGCCAAACCGAGCAGTTCAGCCTCCTGGCACAGGAACTCCAGGCTTTCCGCCTGCACCCGGGCCCCTTGGATCTGCTCACATCTGCCCTGGACTGTGGGAGCCTTGGAGACTGCCCACCACCCCCCTGCTGCTGCTCCATTCCCCAGCCTTGCCGGGGGTCTGGCCCCAAAGGTAAGGTGGACCCCAGTGGCATTGGCCTGGAATCCCCAGGCCTGGGCTTTTGGATAGAGCAGGGAGTTCAGGATCAGAGAAGGCCAGCAACTCATCCAAAGTCACACAGCAGGTTAGAGCTGTGCCTGGCTAGAACCACGTTCTGTTGGGGAAAAATAAAGCCCAGGGGAGTGACTGTCCCAGAGTCTGGCCCAGGCATCGTGGGCCACTGCTCCTCTCCTTCCAAAAGGACCTGAATGGTCAGACCTAGGGGTTGGGCACTAGGAGTCAGTAGCAGGCAGTGTGGCCTTGTGCAGAGTGGGGGCTTGGGGGTCAGTCGGATCCGGTGGTCCCAGCTCCACTCACTTGACAGTCACTGTGATTTGAGAATGCTGCTTAACCTCTCTGGGCCATAGTTTCGTAAGCTGTAAGACAGGAATAATTAAATGCATCTCATCAAGCTGTTTTGACGATCATGTGAAATAGTATTTGTAAATCAGCTATACCTCTATTTAGTAAGTTTCTCTCTAAATATTTCCCTTTTTGTAAGGAAGCCCGGCTATGGAGGGCCTGGTCCCCATATCCAAGAAGCACCACCCTATCTCCTGGTCCCTCCTCAGGCCACAGACCCCAAGCCCACGTGCCATCTTCTCTTTAGACCTTGACCTCCCGCCGGGCTCCCCTGGGCGCTGCACCCCAAAGTCTTCCGAGCCTGCCCCTGCCACTCTCACTGGGGTCCCTCGAAGGACAGCCAAGAAGGCAGAGTCTCTCTCCAACTCCTCCCACTCCGAGTCCATCCACAACAGCCCCAAGTCATGCCCTACACCTGAGGTAATTGCTGGGGTGGGGCCTGAAGTTCTGGCTTTGGCTTGGGGAAGGGTGCAGGGCAGGTGGCCCTGACCTCTTCTGGGGTCCCCAGGAGTTGGGTGGCAACTTCTGGGGTCCCAAGTTGGGAGGTGGGAGGCCTGTGGATTCCTCCTGTGGGCGAGGCGCTCAGGTGGAGCCCTTCCTGCCCTCCACTGCCTGCCTGCAAGCCCCACCTGGGGCCACCCCAGCCCACCCCTGGGAGGCCCAGGGAGGCTCTGGAGTGCTGGGCTGGATGGAGGAGACACTTGGGCACCAGGATCTGCATAATGAGACTGTTCCTAAGAGCATCTGTAGTGAAAGCAGGTGGTTGTATGAGAAAGCACATGTTCCAGGATTCAAATCCCAGCTTTGCCTTAGGCAAGTCACTGAGCCTTTCTGGGCTTCTGTTTCCTTATCTGAATCTTGGAGCTAATAAAACCTGCCTTCTAAGGTTGTTGTGAGAGTTAAATGAATACGGAACCTGCCTGTCTCAGTGTGGGGCACACAGGATGTGTGCTCAACACGGGGCAGCTGTTATTATTACTAAGCTCCTGGGCATCACTCATAGCTCTGGTCGTCAACTCATCCTTCTTTCTACCCACAAACCCCAGAAGGTGGAGGAGGCAGGTCAGAAGCAGCTCTGAGAGCCAAACATTCAGAAAGTGGTAGAACGAAGCCCTGGGCCTCTATTGCCCCCTCGTGGGATAGAAGGATGGTGCCAGCTTTGGATGTGGTTGTGGAGAGGTTGCCCACTTGGTCCCCTTCTCCCAGGCATTGGCAGAGAAGAGAAGACAGCCTGTTCCCCAGGCTACCCCAGCAACCTCAACAAGGGTCAGAGAATTGGGGTGCCCTGAGGTTGCGGTGCCCTGGGCTGTGGGCCGGGCAAGTAGACGGGAAGTTCTGAGTTCCAGAGCTGAACAGCAGACACACTGTCACTCGGCTAGAAGCAGGGACCCCTCAAGCTCCTTCTGCCTCCTTTCTGCCTCCTTGCTTCCAGCGATTTACAGTTGGGGTGCTTTGCTGAGGGGTTTCTTTTTTCTTTGTTTTTGTTTGTTTGTTTGTTTGTTTTTAGACAGGGCCTCGCTCTATCCCCCAGGCTGCAGTGCAGTGGCGCAATCTCAGCTCACTGCAACCTCTGCCTCCTGGGCTCAAGCAATCCTCCTACCTCCGCCTCCCAAGTAGCTGGGACCACAGGCATGCACCACCACACCCAGCTAATTTTTGTATTTTTAGTAGAGATGGGGTTTTGTTATGCTTCTCACGCTGGTCTCAAACTCCTGGCTCAAGCAATCTGCCCTCCTCAGCCTCTCAAAGTGCTGGAATTATAGGCGCGAGCCACTGCACCTGGCAACTTTGCTGAGTTTTTACCTTAAGGAACCAAACCAAACTTCTGTTGACACCCACTCCCCACACCAGCATGGCCTGGGCCCCTCTGAGATGAGGGAAGTGGCTTTATTTCCTGGCGGGTGCAGTAGAGGCTCAGGGAGGGGTCTGGGTTATCCCCACTGCCCCTGCCCAGGGCAGCTGGGCTCTGCCAGGACCTGCTCTCTCAGGCACTAATTTAGAGAGCATCAGGGGGTCCTTGCCACTGCTCCTGTGCAGCATGTATGTGCTCATTTTCCCTCCTTAAAGCAATAGGTCCTCTGGCTCAGCCTGGAAACCTGCCTGCTTGGCGCTTGGCCCCAGGCCCTGAAGAGAAACCAGCCCTTTCTGTTTGCCCCCAGGTGGACACAGCCAGTGAGGTAGAGGAGCTGGAGGCAGACAGTGTCTCCCTGCTCCCAGCTGCGCCAGAGGGCAGCCGGGGAGGAGCCAGGATCCAGGTCTTCCTAGCACGTTATAGGTGGGTCCCTCACCCTCACTGCCCCCTAGCCCAGCCCCAGCATTTGGGGTATAGGAGGGGGCCGGGTGGAGCTGGAGACCTCTGGAAGTGGTGGGGGCAGTACAGGACACAATGGACCTATTCTAATAACCTAGTTGGGCCAAGGTGGGTGCAGTGAGGGCTCAGCTTTGCTGGTGGTGGACAACCACAACCAAGTCTCCGTAAAGGCTCAGTGCAGTGGGAGAGAGAAGACAGGACATGGAAGTGGAGTGTAGGTCACTCTCCTCCTCCTCCTCTGTGCCTCCCCTAACAGCTACAACCCCTTTGAGGGTCCCAATGAGAATCCAGAAGCAGAGCTTCCGCTGACAGCTGGCGAGTACATCTACATCTATGGCAACATGGATGAGGATGGCTTTTTTGAAGGTAGGAATGTAGTGGGGGGTCATTCTGTCCATTCCCCTGCCTTTGAGCCCATGTTCCCAAAGACGGATATCCATCCATCCATCCATCCATTCATCCATCCATCCATCCATCCATCCATCCATCCATCCATCCCCTCTGCCCAGCGTGCTCAGCCCACCTTAACTTTTTGGTCTCAGCTAAAAGGCATACAGAGACCTAGTAGCCACTGGGGAAAGAGAAAGAAGGGAGTCTGGCTCCAAGCAGGACAGGACAGCATAGTCCAGATGGTGGAGAGAGTGTCACAGGAGATTTTGGCTAGATTCATTTTTGTGTGGATAGTCAGGGCGTGGCAGTGTTTCACAGTAGTGACACCTGAGGTCAGGTATGCAGCACAGATTTGATGCTGGACTCCAGTCAGGTATGCGAAGGAGGAATCAGGGTAAAGATCCCAGGGGAAGGTGTTCTCAAGCGGTTAGCAGCTGTCAGGGCCCAGGCAGGGTGTCTGCTTCAGGGAGGTTCTGCAGCTCCTGTGGGGAGTCAGAGGGCTGATCAGGCAACTCAAGGCAGATGCCTCATTGAGACTGGGCACTATGGGCCTGCGGAAGACATGGCCTTGGGAGACTCTCTCAGGGTGGCTCTGGCCTGGGTACCACCAGGCTGAGTCCATCAGCAGCAGAGAGGATGGCACTGTGTAGAGAATTGGATGGGGCATGGACAGGGCAGGGCGAGAGCCGCAGCTGTGTGTAGAGATTTAGGAACAGGCTTAGCTCTGAATCTGTAACCCTGGAAGCTTGGGAGCCTGCTCAGTTTCTTTTCCCTGGGTCCTCTGCCTGTTACTTGAGGAGCTGCTGAGACCCATGGTACCTGGCTTTGTGGCCTAAACAGTTAAACTCCCTACAGGGGTAGATTATGAAGATCAGAATTAAAAAGCTTTCAGGAAAATAATACTTTATAAATGAAGAAAAAAAAACCCCACCCAAATCAAAAACCAAAACCCAAACACTTTATTTTTGGAGGGGGCAGCAAAGGCATAAGTATTAACTAACCACAAATGACTAGAATTTGAACTCTGCGATCTGGGATAAATTGGGATAGATGTAAATGCCACCGGGGGCAAGATGCCGTATTCCCTGTCCAACCTTAGCTAAAGGACTGCTTCGTCTATGTCTGGGCCACCTAGGCTGTTCTCAGCTGCATGGGCTTCTGGAGCATGTGCCTGACTCCGGCCCAGGCTCCAGCTTCAGCCCTGCAGGCTGGAGATCCTCTTAGTGTGAAGACTCCTGCCTTTGTCTCCCACTCCACAGTGCTGGTGCTTATGATCGTTTCCTAGGGCTGCAGGAGCAATTACCATAGAGTGGCTTGAAACAATAGACATTTATTCTCTCACTGGCCTCTTCTGGAGGCCAGAAGTCTGAAATCAAAGTATTGGCAGAACTGCATCCCCTTGGGGGCTCTAGGGGAGGTTCCGTTCCTTGTCTCTTTTAGCTTACGGTGGCTCCAGTTGTTCCTTGGCTTATGGCCACCTCACTCCAGTCTCTATCTGTGGTCACCATTGCCTCCTCCTCTTAGTGTTTCTCCTCTGCATGTCTCTTATAAAAACACTTGTCATTAGATTTAGGACCCACCCGGATAATCTAGGATGATCTCATCTCAAGATCCTTAACTTAATTACATCTGCAAAGACGCTTTTTCCAAATAAGGTCATGTTCACAAGTTCTGGGGATTAGAACATGGACATGTTTTTGGGCGGCCACCATTCAACCCTCTACAGTGCTTATTATATCAGTGAATTTATTGACAGTCCCTCTTGTTTCTTCAAGTTCCTTACTTTTTTTTTGCCTAGCATAGGCAGAGAGAGAGAGGGTGGAGGTGAGGGGCACAGATGACTGTTGGGGGAAACTCCAGGCCCCCCTGCAGCTCAGACCTGCCTACACTCACCCCTCTCCCCTAAGCCCTGGCTCGTGCTCCCCCTTCCTCTCAATAAAGCACACCAGCTACCAGCTGTCTGTTTCCTGAGACCTTTTTTTCTTCTTTAAATTGACCGTGACATTACATGCTGGGTGCCCAGCTTCCTTGACATCCCTCAATCAAACAACAGCAAATGTTTTAAAATACTCTCTTGTCAAGTCTTCAGGAGAACTGATGCAGGTAACAAAACATAACCATTGGTGGTTGCCTGGATTGACTGCTGTCAATCATGCTGCTAGACACAGGCCTGCTGGGGCTCCTGATCCTTCTAGAACTTACAAGTGACTATTTCACTAGCACTTACTTCATTTGTCTCTAAAGATTCCTCCTTTACCCTGCTGAGTTGGTTGTCTCTCTCTCCCTCTGTGGATGTCTGCTGTTCACAAAGAGAAGTTGAGGGGCACCCTGGCCCCTATTCCTCAGGCCCAGGTAAAACCCAACCAGCAGAATTTTTTTTTTTTTTTTTTTGATACAGCATCTTGCTCTGTCGCCCAGGCTGGAGTGCAGTGGCGCGATTATGACTTCTAGCTTCTGCCTCCCGGGCTCAAGCAATCCTTCCACCTCAGGCTCCTGAGTAGCTGCAACTGCAGGCGTGCAACCACTCCCAGCTAATTTTTGCATTTTTTGTAGAGATTGGGTTTTGCCATGTTGCCCAGATTGGTCACAAACTCCTGGGCTCAAGCGATCTGCCTGCCTCATCCTCCTGAAGTGCTGGGATTACAGGCATAAGCCACCATGCCTGGCCAGTTTTCTTATCCTGACCTGCTTATTTTTTAAAACTTTAATATGAAATTATGAAATTATTATTGCAATTTTTAACACAAAAGTTTTCAAATGTACAGAATATATTTGAATATTTATATAGCCAGCACCTAGATTCAACAATTGTTAAAACTTTGGCATATTTGCTTTATATGTAGGTTAAACATGATTTTAAAAGCATTATGATATTTTACCTTGAAATACTCAACATGCTTACTTAGAACATGATATTCTCCTCCATCCTTGCAGCTTGAGTGTCACCTGGTGGCTTATTAGAATCACAGAATCTCAGCCCCATCCAGACCCAACCGAGTTAGAATCTGCATTTTAACAAATCTGTAGGTGATTCATATGCAAGTTAAAATTGAAGAAGCACTGTCCTATAGAACCAAAATACTATTATCAGACCTATCTCTAATCCAGATCTTTACTGCTCTTGTCTTTTAAAAGAATTGACAGTTAAATGTTGATTTGAATCAAATGCTGAAGATCACCCACTAGCAGTTGCTAAAATGCATTTATTATACCGTTTTTTCTTTATCTCCTCTCTGTCTTCCCCTGCCCTGCCCCTTCCTGTCCTCCTCCTGCCAGGAGAGCTCATGGATGGCCGAAGGGGCCTGGTCCCTTCCAATTTTGTAGAGCGTGTGTCGGATGATGACCTCCTGACCTCCCTCCCTCCAGAGCTGGCCGATTTGTCCCACAGCTCAGGCCCTGAACTCAGTTTCCTGAGTGTAGGTGGGGGTGGCAGCAGTAGCGGGGGCCAAAGCAGTGTGGGAAGGAGCCAGCCCAGACCTGAGGAGGAGGATGCAGGGGACGAGCTCAGTCTGAGCCCATCACCGGAGGGCCTGGGCGAGCCTCCTGCCGTGCCTTACCCCCGCCGTCTGGTGGTCCTCAAGCAGCTGGCCCACAGCGTGGTGCTGGCCTGGGAGCCGCCTCCTGAGCAAGTGGAGCTACACGGCTTCCATATCTGTGTGAATGGGGAGCTGCGACAGGCCCTGGGGCCTGGGGCGCCACCCAAGGCCGTGCTGGAGAACCTGGACCTGTGGGCCGGGCCCCTTCACATTTCTGTCCAGGCCCTGACTAGCCGGGGCAGCTCTGACCCACTGCGCTGTTGCTTGGCGGTGGGTGCCCGGGCCGGAGTGGTGCCCAGCCAGCTGCGGGTCCATCGGTTGACAGCCACATCTGCTGAGATCACCTGGGTGCCCGGCAATAGCAACTTGGCCCATGCCATCTACCTCAATGGGGAAGAGTGCCCACCTGCCAGCCCCAGTACCTACTGGGCCACCTTCTGCCACTTACGGCCTGGCACACCCTATCAGGCCCAAGTGGAGGCTCAGCTCCCACCCCAAGGGCCCTGGGAACCAGGCTGGGAGAGGCTGGAGCAGCGGGCTGCCACCCTGCAGTTCACCACACTCCCAGCAGGTATGTGGGCTTGGGCCCTGTTGTCCAGAACACCCAGGAGGCCAGGCCATGGGTGACGGAAGAAGGGGACCCTGATCTTATTTGCGTTATCAGGGAAATAGCAAATTGGGCAGGTATCTCTGATGGGGAGCGTCCTGCATCACTGGGTCTTGTGCCCCCCTGCCCCCAGGCCCACCTGATGCCCCTCTGGATGTGCAGATCGAGCCTGGGCCCTCCCCTGGGATCTTGATCATCAGTTGGCTCCCAGTCACCATCGATGCTGCTGGCACATCCAACGGTGTCCGGGTCACAGGCTATGCCATCTACGCTGATGGGCAGAAGGTATAGCCCTGCCCACTGTACCCTGGGAGTGGGGGTGGGTCCCTTCTTGCTATGCTCAGAGGTCTAGGCTCTCTGGCTTGGCACGGAGATGCCCAGCCCCTGGCATTTGGGTACCATGAGGCAGATGGGTTAAGAGCATGGGCTTTGGCAGCACATGACAGATTTTAGAACTGTTCCATCACTGAAGCCATATGGCCAGGAGGATGAAATGAGATAGGCCATGCAGAGGGCTTAGCACAGTACCTGGCGTAATGCTAGCTGCCACTGCTGTCAGTTAGCTGCCACTGCTGTCAGTGCATCCTCACGCTTGGCTGTCTCAGCCTCTGCTTCCCATCCTGTGCCCCCTCCACCCTGCAGATCATGGAGGTGGCCTCACCCACGGCAGGCAGTGTACTGGTGGAGTTGTCCCAGCTGCAGCTGCTGCAGGTGTGTCGTGAGGTGGTCGTGCGCACCATGTCGCCCCACGGGGAGTCGGCGGACTCCATCCCGGCTCCTATCACTCCCGCCCTGGCTCCGGCCAGCCTGCCAGCCCGAGTCTCCTGCCCCTCACCGCACCCAAGCCCAGAGGCCAGAGCGCCCCTTGCTTCAGCCTCCCCAGGGCCTGGAGACCCCAGCTCTCCTCTCCAGCACCCTGCTCCCCTTGGAACTCAAGAGCCTCCAGGAGCACCCCCTGCAAGCCCTTCCAGAGAGATGGCAAAAGGGTCCCACGAGGACCCTCCAGCACCTTGCTCCCAGGTACCCTGTCTGGGGAGAGGGGAGCAGGTGCAGGCTGGCAGAGGGACCTGGGCTTGGGTCCTTCCTCAGTGCTCTCTGTTCCAGGAGGAGGCTGGGGCAGCAGTGCTGGGCACCTCAGAGGAGAGGACAGCCAGCACATCTACCCTGGGTGAGAAGGACCCTGGCCCCGCAGCTCCCTCACTGGCCAAGCAGGAGGCCGAGTGGACTGCAGGAGAGGCCTGTCCGGCCTCCAGCTCCACCCAGGGAGCACGGGCCCAGCAGGCGCCAAATACCGAGATGTGCCAAGGAGGAGACCCAGGGTCTGGGCTGAGGCCCAGGGCTGAGGTAGGGGTTTGGGGACACACTGTGTCACTTCAGAGAATTGAGGCCTGTCTCCCTACCTTTTGCCAGCGCAAATCCAGTTGCCCTCTCTGCCTGTCCTCTGCTCTGGTCCTGCTCTCACACCTTTGGCTGTGCTATGTGTCTGTTTTTCTTCTAGGATTTCTCTGTCCCATGTGGCTCCCATCTCCCTTCTCCCACCCTGCCCCTGAGCCATGGTGTGCCTCCCCCATTTAGGACATGGCTCTTTCTCCCTCTGCCAAAGGACCCTTGTTACTGTGGCTGGGGCTGACCCTGCCTGGAACCCCCTGTGCCCCCTCACTGTCCTTATCTCTCCTGCCTTGCCTCACTTCTTGCAGAAGGAGGACACAGCAGAGCTTGGGGTTCATCTGGTGAACTCCCTCGTGGACCACGGCCGCAACTCAGACCTGTCAGACATCCAGGAGGAAGAGGAAGAGGAGGAGGAGGAGGAGGAAGAGGAGCTGGGTTCCAGGACTTGCTCCTTCCAGAAGCAGGTTGCTGGCAACAGCATCAGGGAGAATGGGGCCAAGGTAACGGGGTAGGGATGGGCTGTTGGGCCCCAGGCCTCAAACTCCGGGGCCTCCCCACTGTGTGTCAGCAGGTGCTCTGACCACCACTGAGTGCCAGAAACATTCTAGGTCTGTGGCCTGGGCCCTGTCCTAAGCAGAAGATAGGAAGTGCCCCAGGATTGGCCCCTGCCCTCCTGGAAAGAAAGGGGAAGGGGAGGAGTTCATTTCTGTACCTTCTCTCCCTCCAGCCCACCAGATACAGCGCCCTGGCCAGGGGAGGCCGGTGCCACCTAAGATCCTTGTGCTGGTAGCTTCTGGGGAGGGGATGGGGAGGCCTGCTCCTCAATGCTCCTGTCCCACAGGGGCTGGTGATGGTTCCTAGAGTGTGTTCCCTAATTCTTCCTTTGGCTCTCACTGGATATGTGTGTGAATTTGGGCCAGCCACCGTCCCTCTGGTTCTCTCCTCTCGGAGGAAGCCGTGGGAGGGCTGTGGGGTTGTCCGTAACCCCTGCCTTCGTTTGAGGGCAAAGATCGCAGCTCGCTCTCCTCTTCCCCACGCATCTCTCTTCCCTGCTGTGTTCTACTCCCACCTCCCCACCTCCACCAGTCCCAGCCCGACCCCTTTTGTGAGACTGACAGCGATGAGGAGATCTTGGAGCAGATCCTGGAGCTGCCCCTCCAGCAGTTCTGTAGCAAGAAGCTCTTTAGCATCCCGGAGGAGGAGGAAGAGGAAGAGGAGGACGAGGAGGAGGAGAAGTCAGGGGCAGGCTGTTCTTCCCGAGACCCTGGCCCGCCTGAACCTGCATTGCTGGGGCTGGGCTGTGACAGTGGTCAGCCCCGAAGACCTGGCCAGTGTCCCTTGTCTCCTGAGTCCTCCAGGGCTGGAGACTGCCTGGAAGACATGCCTGGATTAGTTGGTGGAAGCAGCCGGAGGAGAGGAGGGGGCTCCCCTGAGAAGCCCCCAAGCCGCAGGCGGCCTCCAGATCCCCGAGAACACTGCAGCCGACTTCTCAGCAACAATGGGCCCCAGGCCTCTGGACGACTGGGCCCCACACGGGAGAGGGGTGGCCTCCCCGTAATTGAGGGCCCCAGGACTGGACTAGAGGCTAGCGGGAGAGGCCGGCTGGGCCCTTCCCGGAGGTGCTCCCGTGGCCGGGCGCTGGAGCCTGGCCTGGCCAGCTGCCTTTCCCCCAAGTGCTTGGAAATCAGCATTGAATATGATTCGGAGGATGAGCAGGAGGCGGGCAGCGGGGGCATCAGCATCACCAGCTCCTGCTACCCTGGAGATGGGGAGGCCTGGGGCACAGCAACTGTAGGAAGGCCCAGGGGGCCTCCGAAGGCCAATTCAGGCCCCAAGCCCTACCCACGCCTCCCAGCCTGGGAGAAAGGGGAACCAGAGCGGAGAGGCCGCAGTGCGACGGGCAGAGCCAAGGAGCCACTCTCCCGGGTCCGTGCTCACTCCCCGCCCTGGGCAGCCCCTGCCTGCTGCCACCTGGTGGCCCTGCTTGCTGCCCACCAGCAGCTCCCATTCCACGCTGCCTGCCTCCATCAGCAGAGGTGGGGCCGGGCCTCCGGGCTCCCTCACCTGCCTCCTCCCACCCACATTCCACTGCTTTGCTGCTTCTGCTGATCAGGACTGGGATGCACAATATTCTATCACTAGTCGCCTGTTGCGGCCTGTGGGCAGGGTCGCCCTTTCCTCTGCATAGCTAGTAATGGCTTCAGGACGCTGACTGTGATGCCATGTCCAGGGTTACCTGCCCTGATGCTGACGGGAGGCCCTCCTCTCGCGGGCTCCTCAGCCAACTCCAGTCCCCTCTACTCCATTCATCTACTCGCAGGCTGGGGCTGGGGCCTCCCCTCCTGCCCTCCCTCCCACTGTGGGGGTGTCTGAGGTCTCCAGCAGGCTGGGCCGAGGCTCCGGGAGAGGAATGCTGTGCTCCTGCGCTGCTGTGCTGCTTACGCTGATGGGGCAGAGCTGGGGGAGCACGAGCCCACCAGAGGGATGGTGTGTTACTTTTGCCATCTGTTGCCCTCTTTTTGCAGGCAACAGAGACCGGAGAGGCCAGAGGGCAGGACGGCTCTGGGCGGAGGGGCCCCCAGAAGAGAGGTGTCCGAGTCCTCAGGCCAAGCACTGCAGAGCTAGGTGAGCACCTGATGGGGCTGGAGCTAGAGCTGCTCGGCCAGAGCTCGCTGCGTCACCGCCCTCTCCACTGTCTCCACAGTCCCTGCGAGGAGCCCCTCAGAAACACTGGCTTACCAGCACCTACCCGTCAGGATCTTTGTGGCTCTGTTTGACTATGACCCCGTGTCAATGTCGCCCAATCCTGATGCTGGAGAAGAAGAGCTTCCCTTCCGAGAGGGTCAGATCCTGAAGGTGACTGATTCGCCATCAGGGCTCAGAATTCCAAACACCAGCTGGGTCTTCCCTCCTCCCTCCTTTCCTCCACTGGAGGTAGCACAGAATCATGGTGGAGAACATGGCTTCTAGAGCAGATGACATGGGTTTGGACCTGACTCTGCTGCTTCTAGCTGTGTAACCTTGAGTAGATTACCTAGGCCCCCTGGGCCTCAGTTTTCTTTTTGGTAAAATGGGGATAATATTAGTGTCTACCTCACAGGGTGTTTTGTGGATTAAATGATCCAATGTACATAAAGTGCTTAAACTGCCTGAGACATAGGCAGCACAATCTAACTATCTGCTGCTGACATTACTATTTTTATTACTCCTCCAAGTATTGATTAAAGGCATTTTGCTATTGCTCTGAGACTAAGGAGATCCATTCTGGGGTGGGCAAAGGGCATGGCCATGTAGACAGTGAATGGGGATAATACAGAAAGGGCTGTCTTCTCCTATCCCTCTGATCCTGTTCTTTGCTGTTTTCCCCCTTTTCCCATTTCATGGCATACAAAAGGGAGAACATTCTTCTGCATTTCCAAGTGGGGTGTTGCTGGGGTTCGGGGCCTAGGGGCATAGGGAGTGAGCAGAACTGGCTGAGACCACTGGTTTTGCCTCCAGGTGTTTGGGGACAAGGATGCCGATGGCTTCTACCAGGGCGAAGGTGGGGGCCGGACAGGCTACATTCCCTGCAACATGGTGGCTGAGGTGGCTGTGGACAGCCCTGCTGGGAGACAGCAACTGCTCCAGCGGGGTTATTTGTCCCCAGATATTCTCCTTGAGGGCTCAGGTATGACCTGCTGCTGTCCCTCACCCACCTCCCACCAGCCCCCTTCCAACTCCACCTGACCCTGAGCAATTGTTGTGTCTGGGGTGCTCCCACTTACCCAGACTCTAGCAGAGCCTTGGAGCCTGCCTTGAACCCTGCTGCGTAGTGGTCAGACTGTACGTGGGCTGGCCGCGTGGAGTGGGCGTCTGTTGCAGAGGGGAATACAGCCATGCAGCCAGGAATTTTGGGTCCTGGAGGTTGGGTGGGGCTCTTGTCAGGGATGGGAGATGAATGCCCTTACGAAACAAGCTCAGTAACCTAGCACGGCCCTGAGAGGAAACTCCAGAGTCCCAGTCCTGTCTCTCCCACCTCCCCTGCCTCGCTTTCTCTCTGCTTTTCTGGATCAGGGAATGGTCCGTTTGTGTACTCCACAGCCCACACAACTGGGCCTCCTCCCAAGCCCCGCCGCTCCAAGAAAGGTGGGTAAGACCCCATTCTCTCTCAGGTGCTGGGAGGATGTGTGTGCGGTGGGGTGGCGCTGCTTGGCTGTCTGTTTTCTCTCAGGTGCTGGGAGGATGTGTGTGCTGGTGGGTGGCGCTGCTTGGCTGTCTGGGGAGGCACCTCTGGGTTTTTGAGCAGGTAAAGGGAATCGGCAGACCACCCACATCCCCTGCCTCCCCCCATGGGGGGCTTTGTTCCGGTGGGGATGAGGGATGGTTTGTGGAGCTCTCTGTTCCCACAGGCACCTGACTATAAAATCCGTGAATCCCAGAGCGTGCCATTTACCCTTTCTGGGTGTTAGTTCACTGCCACACAAAAGGGTTGGGGAGATGCGCCCTCGGCAGCCTTCCTTGCCTGCCTCCTTGTGTGTGGGCGAGTGTCTGGCCTGCGCTGCAGCACCTGCAGCCTGGGTGGGCAGGGTGGGAGGGGGCTCACAGGCACATTCTTTCCACAGCTGAGTCGGAAGGCCCTGCCCAGCCCTGTCCAGGTGAAGGAATATCCCTGGGCCCGGGAGGCTGGGGAAGGAGATAGGGTGGGTGGCCCCTCTGGCCTCGCCCCATTGGCTACAGCTAGTGGGGAGGTGGTGACAGGGGGTCAGCAGGGGTCCGGGGCAGAAGACAGGATGGGGTGTAGGGCTCTCCAGAGAGTCCAGAGTCTTCTCCTACTCCCCCTGCAGGCCCCCCTAAGCTGGTCCCCTCTGCTGACCTGAAAGCTCCCCACTCCATGGTGGCTGCATTTGACTACAACCCCCAGGAGAGTTCCCCCAATATGGACGTGGAGGTGAGGACCCTCAGATAGAGCCCAGCAAAGGGCGGTGGCAGAGCCTTCCTGGGCCTGATGCCCTCCTCTTGTTTTCCACAGGCAGAGCTGCCCTTCCGGGCAGGGGATGTCATTACTGTGTTTGGGGGCATGGACGATGACGGTTTCTACTATGTGAGAACATTGTTGGGGAGGGTGTACCATATCCCAGCCCCCCAGACTTCGGACAGGGGGATAGGCAAGGAACCCTCAGGAAGTCCGGAGGAATGGAACGGGTCACCTCCCTGGACAGTGGTTTTGGCCCCAGCTGTTCCCCAGGGGCATCAGAGTCGAGGGGCAGGGCCAGAGCCTCTTTCCTGATCTCAGTCTCACCGGCCTCTTCTCTCCAGGGGGAATTAAATGGACAAAGGGGCCTGGTTCCATCCAACTTCCTGGAGGGCCCTGGGCCTGAGGCAGGCGGCCTGGACAGGGAACCCAGGACACCCCAGGCTGAGAGTCAGGTCAGTGAGGAGCTGGGCTCCCAGCTTGGCAGGGCAGTCTACCCTACTGGTGGGGTGGTAGGGCCAGGGCAGTGTTGCGGCAGGGGTGCAGCTGGGGTGGTCATGCAGGTAAGCACTGTGTCCAGCGTGCAGCCGCTAATTGACCACCAGAGGGGAGCCCCACCAAGCAGCTGCCCCCCAGTATGTGCCCCTCTCTGCAGAGGGATGATAGCTGTGACCCTGACCCTCAGGCCATCTCGCCAGCTGCCAACACCTGGTGGCTGACGCAGGTGAGGGGGCCCTGTGGAAAAGGACCCCTCTGCCTCACACCTGTGGCCAATCAAAGTCCCTGTTTCAGGACACTCCCACCCTGGGGGTGGTCTCCATACCTCCCAGGTGCCTTTGGAAGCCAGTTGCCCAGCCAGGCCCAGCTTCCTGGGTTCTCGTTCCTTGAGCTTGCCTCTCCTTGGGGTGAGTGGAATACAACTAAGCCTCCACTCTCAGAGGGCAGGGAGAGAGGGTGAAGAGGCCAAGCCCCAGCCAGAAAACTCAGGGCTTCCATGTGTGAACACAAAGGCCTTGGAGAGTAGGGCCCACCCCTGCGCAGGGCCACCTGGTGGCCGGGCGGAGAAGGTGCGGGTCTGTCGGTAACCCATCTCCTCTCTTTGTTCCCTGTCCTCAGAGAACGAGGAGGAGAAGAGTCCAGTGCTAGATGGAGATAGATATATGTAGAGAGAGCAACATGTAAGTGGGGGACTGCCCCCCTGTGTGACCGTCCACCCCCACTTGACCATAATCAGACAGTGCTCCTTTGTCTCAAATACTGGAGCTGACCCAGCTTTCCCACTGTAGTCCAGGGAATGGCGAAGGAGAGCTTGCCATGAGCCAGATTTGCATGAAGAGTCATCCCTCCCCCTCCCTGCTCCCCTTGCCTTGCCTTTACCCAGGGCAGTGCCAGCTGTCATAGGATTACATGTCATCTTAGTGTGTGATGTCCCATATTAGCTGATGCTTCCTATTCTATAACACATGTGGTTTATAGAACATGACGTGACATCCATATTAGGACTCATCAGTGGTATTATGATACTGTGTGGCTATGGTATTATAATATCATAATTATTACTGGTGCCAGGGTGACACTGTAATGCCACCAGTAATAATAGGCTTCCCACCCTTGTCCTCTGCATTGTGACCTGTTAGGGTGATCAGATGCATGATTTACCTCCAACTCTCAGTTTTCTCTACTTGGGGGATAAAAGGGGAGGTTTGGCCAGGTGTGGTGGCTCATGCCTTTAATACTAGCTACTTGGGAGGCTGAGGTGGGAGTCACTTGAGCCCAGGAGGTCGAGGCTGCAGTGAGCGGTGATCACGCCACTGCACTCCAGCCTGGGTGACAGAGCAAGACTCTGTCTCAAAAATAAAAAAATAAAAGGGAAGTTTGAGTAGTTCAAATCCATAAATAACCCCAAACCATTATTCTCTGGGGCTCAGAAACACCCTCCTTTTGTTTCCCTAACAACCTCTCCCTCCTGGATGTTGTGGAAGGAGCCCTAAGAGGGAGTGGGAAGGGCCTGGGGCTCGCCAGCCGGCTATTGGCTCTGGCTGGTTGGGGGTAGATGCTTTGGCCTCTGTGGGCAGCCCTGCCACATCACTGCAGGCCTGGGGCGGGGGTGGGGCCTCGGTTGTGCACCCACTTTCCTTGCCTCTGGCCTGGGCTCTATAGTTGGTTCTGGCTGGGAGCCTGCCAGGCTCCGGGCAGCAAGTGGGAGTTTGAGGAAGGGAAGACATGCAGGCTGGCAAGAGCTGACAGAGCTGTGCAGGTACCAGAGGTGAAGGTGGGAACATAGGTGTAGGGGGCTTTCTGGTGGCTTCTCTGTTCTCCCAGCTCCCTGGCCTTAGATCACTAAGGAGCGCCGTCTGGGCGGGCTTGAGGCAAAGGGAGTGGAGTCAGGAGGAGATTCAGTAAGGAAAAAGATGCTAGAGCCTCCAGAGCCTGTGGTGGGGGCTGAGTGATGCCCCCAGCTGTGAGTCCCTCTGGGTCCTTGGCCTCCCGGCAGTCCTCTTAGGGGCCCTTAAGGGAGAGTCCCAATCTTCCTCCCCATGGAGTGGGTACTGGCTCCACACCCTGAAGGCCTGGGGGGGCCACATCTGCTGGGTTTGGGGAGACGCTCTTTCTGTCTATGAGGGGCTGTAGAAGCTACCTTCCTGGGCAGTGACAGCTGCTTCTAAGCAGTCCTTGTCCTTGCGCTCCATGTTTTTGGAGGGAGGTGACATGTGAGAAGTTGGGGGCACCCATCCTGAGGGGCAGGTTCCAAGAACTCTTGGGCCCTGTCAGCCCTGCACCCTGGAGGGAGAAGGGAAGGGGCCTGCCCAGGGTCACAGGTGAGCGATCCAGAACCGAGACTGCATCCCCTGGGACTCCCAGCTTAGTGCTCCCTCGGCATCACCCTCCCCATTCACCACCTGTGCTGTGTGTTTCTGACAGTGGTGGGAGGTGAGGCCCTGGTTCTCAGCGTCAGCCATGGTTCTGTGACATGGGAGGCTGCAGGCCCCTTAGGCTGTGGAAAAAATGGGTCAGGGGGTCAGGAGGGAATCAGGCCCTGACCTTGCTCCTTCTGTCTCACATTTCAGGACTGGGGCTGCACCACACAAGGGTCCCCAGGGCCCCCAGGTGGGCCTTGTACCCCCAGCTCTGGCAGCGCCCCCAGGATTGAACGTGGGGAGCCCCAGGGCAGAAGCGAGAAGGTGTGGGGTTTCTTCTCCAAGGGGAAGCAGCTCCTCAGGAGGCTGGGCTCTGGGAAGAAGGAGTGAAGCTGTGGCCCATCCTGCAGGCAGAAGAGGCCCTGAGAGGCCCCCAGATCACTGTCTCTGCTGAGCAGGGAAGGCTCAGACTGGGCCCAGAGCCCCCGTTCTTCTGCGTTAACACTGTGGCATTCAGAGGGAATCAAAGAGCCTTGGTGAAGGTCAGAGCTAAATGGCTCCTTAAGGATGAACTCTCTAGAGAAGCACCTTCCTCCTACAGGAGGGGAAACTGAGCCCACAGTGAGTATGTAACTTGACCAAGGTCACTGAGCCAGGACTGGACCCAGGACCCTCGCGTCCTGGTCCACCCACCTCGTCTACTAGTGTCCCACAGTGCTGCGCTAGTCCCTTCTGCCACCCTTCCCAGTCCCAGGACGGGCCCTGGAGGGAGAAAGGAGCCTGTGCCCCCTGATGGCTCTGGCTGTCCTGATCCTGTCTTCCCTCCCCTGAAGGAAAGTTTGCACTGGATTTTATTGGAGCCCCATCTCCCCAGCGGGCAGGCGGGCGGAGCCTGTATATATGTATATACTCAGTGCCTCAGTTCAGCTTCCTCCACCTCGCTTCCACTGCACAGGCCCAGGAAGGAGAAAGGCCAAGCCAAAGTGGGCCCCACCCTGCCCCCGTCGTGCTCCATCCTTCCCTGCCGGGGCCTGCTGGCCCCTGTAAGGTCCCGCCCCCAAAGACCCTGGGGCCAGCGGGGCCGAAAGCGGAGTTGGGTTTGCCTTATTTTGCTCATTGGATTCAAGTTCTTTTGCATAGTTTTCTTCTAACCCCTGTTGGAGTCCAGGGGCTGGAGAAAAGGACAGATTTATGCAGCTATTTTCATACATTCCCTGTTCAGAGTGGGGTAGGGGTTCTCCGCCGTTACCCGATCCACTCCATCCCCCACCCTCTGAGGGGTGAGTGTGTCTTTGCATGTTTCCTTTGCTGTGGTGGGAGATAGTTTGACTGAACCCCCACCTTGACCTTGGTCTCCAGGGGTGTGGAATGGTGGGGGAATTTGTTTAAAAAGACATTTTATTATAATAAAGTCTATTTTCACAAAATCTATGCTGGACTCTCCATGGGCAAAGGACTCCTTGGAGGGGTGGGGCAGCTGGGCTTTGGACTCTGGACTTCAGACCCCAGAAGTTACATCCTAAGGCTAACAGGGGCAAAAACCAATCAACACCACGAGCTTTTGAATCCTTTTCCTAAGAAGGTGGTTTGGTAGCTTCCTGAGCCCGTGGTCACAGGGTCAGATATTTGCTACTGGGGCTGGGGTTGTGGAGGAAGATGGGACAGACGGGAAACACACAGAGGGAAAGCACCAGTTTCAAGATGGTGGACTGAACACACACTGCAGTCTTTCTCCTCTATACCAAATGCACAGAAATAATAGACATGAGAGAAATAGAACAAATAAACACTATACACAGTTCCATTTGAAAGCAAGAAAGGGGACTCTCAGTAGACTAAAAACAACAGGATTCTGGAAAAGACAAGAACAGATGGCAGATCATACTGAGAAACTTGAGAGTAGGGTATATGTGGGAGAGCTCTGCACGTTGCCTCTGGACTAGAGGCAGTGCAAACAGGGCAGAAGAGACCCTAGGGGCTACCGATGGTGTGGTTAGTTGGGGTTTTTCTTTGAATGATTGTTGCACATTCTCCTTCTGCCATGGGCCAAGGGCAAAGGTGAAGATGTCTGCCTTTAGATGACAGACTTAGAGAACAGTAAGGGTTGCAGCTTGGATCAGAGACCAGGTGGTACTTTAGGTGGCTGGCCGCACCTGGCAGAAACAAGATGTATCACCGCCCAGGTGAGAAGCCACCAAACCGCAGCATACTGTGACCCTTCCCTCTCAACCAAAACCCTCAGAATCATGGCAGCAGTTCCCACCCAGCCGTCCAGCAAAGACTCCCAACCACAATGGCAAGAACAGAGTAAAGACTCAAAAAATATTTGAGGAAAGCCAACTTCACTAAGAGAGATAACAAATGGAAATGGAAAAATATACATAAGTCAGTAAAGCATTAGGAGAAAACTTTAAAAAGTCTACAGTTATTGTTGGAGAAATAAAGGAAGGAATTACATATGGGAAACAAGATCAAGTAGTTATGAAAGTGATCCTAATAGAGATCTTGCAAAAAATACATATATTCTTGTTAAAAAAGGACTCAATATATGCGTGAAGAGCATATAATTCATAGTTGGATACAATTAGTAAGCTTGAATTTTGAGGTAAGTAATTCCCTCAGAGTGCTGTACAAAGGGATAAAAGAGATGAGCAAAATGAAAGAAAAGTTATACATGGAGGATGGGGTCAAATGTTTCAATACCTATTCATAAGAATACCCTGGGGTTGGGAAGATGTGGGGAGAAATAGAGACCATGAGTGATAGAACAAATAATGGCTATAAATTTTCTAGGACTGAAGAAAGACACAGATACTTAGATTCAAAGGACTCACTGCATGTGAAGCTGATAAATAGATTACAAGTACAGAAAAAAAAAGAGAAGCAATCCAATTCAATGTTTGAGACTTGAATAATCTTGTCACCCAATCTAGAACAGGACAAGAAAACATTATGACAGATCTATCTGGTTTATGAACACAGAATATCCTAAATATAGCTTTAGGAAATTAAATATACATCATGGCTGTAGCATTTTTAATTTTGTTTTTTTTTTTTTTTTGAGACAGGGTCTCGCTCTGTCACCTAGGCAGGAGTACAGTGGCATGATCACAGCTCACTGCAGCCTTGACTTCCTGGGCACAAATGATCTTCTCACCTCAGCCTCCTGAGTAGCTGGGAGTATAGGCACATGCCACCATGCCCAACTAATTTAAAAACAATTTTTAAGAGATGGAGTCTTGCTATGTTACCCAGGCTGGTCTTGAACTCCTGGCCTCAAGTGATTCTCTTGCCTTGGCCTTCTAAACTGTTGGGATTACAGACATGAGCCACTGTACCTGGCCTGTAGCATTTATCTTAATAAGGCAAAAGTGTTTCACCATTTTATTATTAAATTGATTAATTCTATTATTCTATGTTAATAGAATTCACTACTTTAACAGATCAAAGGAGAAAAATCACATGCTCACTTCAAGATGTTGAAAAATCATTTGATAAGTGAAAGCATCCTTTCATAGTTTCTAAATATATAGCAGATAAGAAAAATAAGGAAATTGGGTGGAATCTTATCTGCATGTACCCCATTTGCACTGCAGCTGTGGGACCCTGGAAGACAGCCTACTCTGGGTTTTATACCTCAGGAGCATCAGGACTCTCTGGGATAAAGCCTTGAAGGACATCTGTCTTCTGTTGGGGGACTGGAAGAGAGCCCAGGCTGTTCTGGTCAGTTCCTCCCTATCTCAGGATGTTGTATTCCCAGCAAATTTTACAGTCATTCTTGATAACTACAAACAACAAAGGGGAAGAACTGGGTTGGTCTAAGGCTACCTGGAGAACTGTCCTGCAAAGAAAAAATCTAGGATGAAGAAATACGATTGAGTTTTGTATACTGATTTTGTATCCTGCAACCTTGCTAAACTCACTTATTAGTTCTAGTAGCTTTTTTCTCGGTTATTCTTTGGAATTTTTAAAGCAATTTGTTATCTGGGAATGGAGACAGTTTTATTTCTTCCTTTACAATTTGTATGACATTAATTTTTTTCCTTGCCTATTGCACTGGCCAGGACCTCCTGTACAATGTTGACTAGAAGTGGTGAAAACAGATATCCTTGCTTTGTTCCTAATCTTAGGGGGAAGGCATTCAATTGTTCACCATTAAGAATGATTTTCATTGAGTTTTTCTGTTTTGTTTTTATAGATGCCCTTTGTCAGGCAGAGAAAGTTCCTTTTGTTTTTTCCTAGATTGCAGAGAGGTTTTATCAAAACTGGATGTTAAATTTTGTCAAATGTTTGTTCTGCATCTATTAAGATGATCAAATGTCTTTTTTTTCTTTACGCTGTTGATAAGCTGAATTAAATTGATTTTTCAAAAGTTGAAATAGATTTGTACTCCCAGGATAAACCCCATTTGTTATGATTTTTTTATATTGCTGAATTCAATTTGCTACTCTTTTGTTGAGGAATTTTGCATGTGTTTTCATGAGTTATCTTGTTCTGTAGTATTCTTTTATTGTAATGTCCATGTCAGGTTTTAATATCAGAATACAGTTAGCCTCATAAAATGAGGTGGAAAGTTTCTATGACATTCTATATCATGGAAGAGATTGTGTAGAACTAGCATTATATCTCCCTTTTTTTTTTTTTTTTTTTTTTGAGACGGAGTTTTGCTCTGTCGCCCAGGCTGGAGTGCAATGGTGCGGTCTTGGCTCACTGCAACCTCCACCTCCCAGGTTTAAGCGATTCTCCTGCCACAGTCTCTTGAGTAGCTTTGATTATAGGCATGTGCCACCACACCCGGCTAATTTTTGTATTTTTAGTAGAGACAGGGTTTCACCATGTTGACCAGGCTGGTCTCGGAACTCCCAACCTCAGGTGATCTGCCCACCTCGGCCTCCCAAAGTGCTGGGATTATAGGCGTGAACCACCGCACCCAGCCCACATTATATCTTCCTTAAATGTTTGATAAAATTTGCCAGTGAAAGCATCTAGGGCTAGAGTTTTCTTTGTGTGAGGCTTTTAAACCATGAATTTAATGTCACTAACAGATACAGGACTTAAATATAACTATTTCTTCTTGAGTGAGCTTTTGTAATTTGTTTCAAGGAATTTTTTATCCTAGTTGTCACATTTATATTCATAATGTATGTGGGGTCTGTGGTAATGTTCCCTCTTTTATTACTGATGTTTGTAAGTTGTCTTCTTTTTTTCTTGGTCAGTTTAACTAGAGGTTTATCAATAAAATTGATCTTTCAAAGAATCACCTTCTTGGATTCATTTTTTTCTCTATTATTTTTCTGTGTTAAATTTCATTAATTTCTGACGTTTATTTTATTATTTAATTAATTTCTAGCCTTTATTATTTTATCCTTCTGCTTGCTTTGTTTACTGTAGTCTTCTTTTTCTTGTTTAACAAAGCATAAGCTTAGATCATTGATTTGAGACATTTCTTTCTTTTCTAATATAAGCATTTAATGCTATAAATTTCCCTCTATGCATTGTTTTAGCTGCATTCCACAAATTTTGATATACTGTGTTTCAATTCTCATTCTGTTCTATTTATTTATTTATTTATTTTTTGAGACAGATTCTCACTCTGTCACCCAGGCTGCAGTGCAGTGATGCAATCTCTGCTCACCGCAACCTCCGCTTCCTGAGTTCAAGTGATTCTCCTGCCTCAGCCTCCCAAGTGGCTGGGATTACAAGCATGCACCACCACACCTGGCCAATTTTTGTATTTTTAGTAGAGACAGGGTTTTACCACGTTGGCCAGGCTGGTTTTGAACTCCTGACCTCAGGTGATCTGCCCACCTCGGCCTCCCAAAGTGCTGGGATTACAGGTGTGAGCCACCAGCCCGGCCTCAGTTCTCATTTTTTAAAAAAACATTTCTTGACTCATGGGTTTAGAAGTGTGTTTTCTTAGTTTCCAAGTGTTTGGATGTTTTCCTGTTATCTTTCTCTTATCGTTTTCTAGTTTGATCCCATTATGCTTAAAGAACGCACTTTGTATGATTTTAATTCTCTTAAATTTGTTGAGGCTTGCTTTATGGCCCAGAATGTGGCCTATTTTTATGAGTGTTCCATGTGCGCTTGGAAATAATGTTTATTCCGCTATTATTAGGTAGCATTTTGTATACATACAAATTGTTTCCATTTGGTTGATGGTGTTATTCAGTTCTATATCTTTGCTGATTTTCTCTCCATTAGTTCTTTTTTCTTTTCTGGCAGCACAACTTTTATTTATTAATCACAATGTCAGGAATGTCATATGAGGTAAAATCATCGACAATAAAATAGTCACTACACTTTCTTTTTTTTTTTTTGAGACAGAGTCTCACTCTGTTGCCCAGGCTGGAGTGCAGTGGCGCAACCTCGGCTCATTGCAACCTCCGCCTCCTGGGTTCAAGCAATTCTCCTGCCTCAGCCTCCTGAGTAGCTGGGACTACAGGCATGTGCCACCACTCCTGGCTAATTTTTGTATTTTTAGTAGAGACAGGGTTTCACTATATTGGCCAGGCTGGTCTCGAACTCCTGACCTTCTGATCTGCCCGCCTCAGCCTCCCAAAGTGCTGGGATTACAGACTTGAGCCACCGCGCACGGCCAATGACTACATTTTCTAAAACAATATAAAAGTTAGCTCTTGGTTGAACAGTGATGCCAGAATTCTTATTGCAGTTTCTGTCTTCACTCTTTAAGTAGATAAATAAAGTCAATTTCATTCTTTCTTGCTTCTGCTGTAGCAACTAGAAAAATTGTTTATTTCAGTTATTCTACTGCCCAGGTGTTCACAAGAGGTTTCTATCTACTTTCAATGCACAATGGGTTAGACTACTTTATATCCCCCATTCATTACTTACTTACAAGCCAGAGAGGCTGGTGTGCTAGCCTTTTACCTTCATAACACTGTGAAAAGACAGCATTTAATAAACAAAGGGACACAAAACTGGTGAATAGGCAGCCAGAGTTCTGCAGCCACTTTTTGCCGGTAGTATTCTGTGTTACCTTGACAAGTTTCTTACAATGCTCGAACCTCATCTTTCCAGTCTTGAAGTGAGATTGTTTAGCTAAACCATCTCTAAGGTCACTGACATTCCTAAAATATTTGATTCTAATTTTAATTTGATTCTATTGCTTACCAATAGAGCAGACAAAGGAATATTAGGTTTTTTTATTTTAGTTTGTATTATAAGAATATTTTTATTGCTATAACTAAGCTTTTCTTTCTGAGTGAAAGTTCCACGTCCTAGTTAGTGAGTTATTATTTATGAGGGATAATAAGCAGTAAAAAGAGGTGAATAATTTTAAATATTTAGATTTAGAGTACATTTGCCTTTTGATCTGTTGACACTACAAATAAGAAGGAGGAGAAGAAATTAAGCATTCGTTTCACTAGGCTGACTTTGGGATGCGATATTATAATGTAACAGTAATGTCCTTACTTGACATTAACTATTTTTGAAGATTGGATGAAACTTTTTCATTTCTTCTCTTAGAGATCTGTTTCTGTAGAAGATGCCGTATGGAGAATTGGAACAGTATGGATGCTAACGCTCAGTTGCAGAGGTGTCAGCAGAATGCATTAGACACAATCAGGTTGATACTAAGCCTGTGCTCCGTGCTTGTTGCCCCACTTCTGGGTCTGGGTGATTGGTATTGACTATCAGTCTCTTTGCTTCTTTAAGACATGCTTGACTTCAAATCCTTTCTATGCCTTTCAAAAAGGCTAATGAATTGCACTATGCCACAGTATTTAAAATAAGAAGCATATTCAGGGCTTAATGTTAATATACTTCAAAATGTTGTAGCTGACAGGAATCACTGGGGAAACTGGGTCTGTCTTTGCATGACCGAGATTCTGATTCTTCTTATAATTCATCCGATTGGTGTTGCTTCCTCTTTCATAGCCTGTAAAAGAAATTGGGCCAGGCATGGTGGCTCATGCCTGGAATCCCAGTACTTTGGGAGGCCAAGGTGGGAGGATTGCTTGACGCCAGGAGTTTGAGACCAGCCTGGGCAACATGGTGAGACCCCTATCTCTACAAACATAAATAAATAAATAAATTAGCTGGGCTTAGTGGTGTTCATCTATAGTTCCAGCTACTCAGGAAGCTGAGGTGGGAGGATTGCGTGAGTCCATGTTTGCAGCATCAGAGGAAAGCAAATGGAATCACCCTTGGTTCTACTAATTACTGAGAGAGGAGTGTAAAAGCCTCCAACTACAATTGTGAATTTATTCATTTTTCCTTTTAATTTTATCAGTTTTGCTTTGTTTTTCAAAGCCCTGTTGTTAAACACTTATAAATCTAGAATTGTTATGTCTTCTTAGAGAATTAACTCTTTCCTGCTTTATCATTAGTTATTTTCTTTACTTTGAAGTATTTTTGTTTGATACTAACATAGCCACTCTAGCTCTCTTTTGATTTATGTTAGCATGGTATATCTTTTTCTATCCTTTTGCCTTTAACCTACTTATATCATTATATTTGAAGTGGGCTTCTTTTAGACAATATACAGTTGAGTCATTTAAAAAATTCTGGGCTGAGCATGGTGGCTCATGCCTGTAATCCCAGCACTTTGGGAAGCTGAGGTGGACAGACTATTTGAGGTCGGGAGTTCAAGACCAGCCTGGTCAGCGTGGTGAAACACCGCCTCTACTGAAAATACAAAAATTAGCCGGGTGGCAGTGGCGTGTGCCTGTAATCCCAGCTACTCGGGAGGCTGAGGCAGGAGAATTGCTTGAGCCTGGGAGGCGGAGGTTGCAGTGAGCTGAGATTGCACCACTGCACTCCAGCGTGGGTGACAGAGTGAGACCCTATCTAAAAAAAAAAAAATCATTCTGGCAATCTGTGTTTTAACTGATGTGTTAAGACCGTTCACTTAGATTCAGTGTGATTATTTATATTTTGGTTTACAATTATATTATTTGTTTTCTGCTTATTCCCTCTGTTTTCTCTTTCTTGCTTTCTTCTGGGTTGTTTGAACAATTTTTGGTATTCTTTTAAATGTTATTGCATTTATATATACATTTACACACATTATGTGTATATATACTTATATATATAACTTTTTTAGTGGTTGCTTTAGGTATGATAGCATATACATTTGACTTTTCATTACTTAAATCAATATTTTAGCACTTTAAGTGGGATTTAGAGATTTTACCACGATATATTTTCCTTAATCTTTCTCCCCAGTTGCCTTGTGTCTCTACATACATGAAAAATTTCATTAGGCAGCATTATAACTTTTGCTTTCAACCAGAAAATAGGTTTTAAGAAACTCAAAGGAGAGAAATAGTCTATTATATTTAACCCAGATATTCAACATTTTTGTTGCTCTTTCTTTATTTCTGATGTCCCAAGTTTCTTTCTGGTGTCATTTCAGAGAAATGGTGACAGTGAATTATCTTAGTTTTTCTTTAACTGAGAATGTCTTTATTTCACCTTCATTCTTGAAGGATATTTTCATTGGATAGAGAATTATGGGTTGAAAGTTCTTTATTTAAACACTTTAAAAATATTGTTTCCCTTCCTGCTGTCTCATAATCTCTGATAAGAAAGCCACAGTCCTGCAAATTGTTGATTCTCTGTAGTAATGTATCTTTCTTTGGTTTCTTGCAAGATTCTTGTCTTTGTCCTTTGTTTTCAGCAGTTTGACTGCGTGTTCAATATGGGTTCTTTTATGTTTATTTATGTTTATTCTATTTGGGGTTTGCTGAGCTTCTTGATTCTATAGGTCTATGTCTTTGCCAAATTTGGGGAGTTTGCCAAATTTGAAGTTTTCTTCAAATATTTTTCTATACCACATTTTTCTCCCTCTCCTACTGGGACTTGGATGATGCAAATGTTAGACCTTTTGGTATTGTCCCACAGGTTCTTTAAAGGGTTGCTTTCCTGAGCTCCTCCTTTTCTGTCATCTCCCTGATGCATTATGATTCCTTGAGATTCTTGATCCTTTGGCCAAAAAGCTTATTTACCTTGTTCTGTGATGTACTTCCTGTGACCATGCCTGCACCGGGGCAGGGCAATGGGAAGACAGAGAGAGAGAAGAAAGAGTATCAAGGATTCATTCCACCTTCCTGGGAGCACAGCTCCTCTGACTGGAGAGGAAGTTTGCCCTCCCTCAGAGTTCTGGGGTCTTTCTGGCCCCTTCTCCTGCTGCTGCCACTATTTCCAAGGATTGCTTGGAACTGGGGTGCAAGATAATGGAGAAAAGGAAAAGAGAAAAGTGGGAGGTCTCTGTACTCTCTGAACATTAGGAGATCTCTTTCCTGCACCTTAAGTCGGATCCAGAGAGTTTTCTCCTGGAGCCCCCTCTGCCCCATAGATGCCCATATTGGGTTTTGGGCTGCATTGAGTTCAGGTTGGGGGATACCAGAGGAAAAAATACAGTAAACTCACTGCTACTTGGGTGGTATATTCAAATATATTATTCTTCTTCAGTCTGCCTGCATTGATTTACTTTCAGAGTCTTCATATAGTTGCTCCATGCATTCTGTACAAAATTTATAGCTGCATTCATTGTGAGAGAGACAGACAGTGTGGAATGTGTTTATTCCATCTTACCTAGAACTGGAGCTTCTTATTAATATCTTGATTGTGATTGCATTGAATTATAGATCAATTTGGGAAGAATTGACATTTTCACAGTATAGAGTCTGTTTACCTATCAAAAACTATATCCTTCCATTTATTTAGGTCTCCTTTAATTTCTCTTAGCAATGTTTTGTTGTTTTCAGTATCAATCTTGTATATCTTTTGTCAGATTTATCCGTAAGTGTTTCATATTTTCGATGCTTAATTGAAAGTGGTATTGTTATTTTTATTTCAATTTCTGATTGTTTGTTGCTAGTATATAGAAACACAGCTAATTTTTGTATTTTGGCCCTCTATATTGCAACCTTCCTAAACTCACTTACCGATTCTACTAGATTTTACGTAGATTCCTTAGAATCATATATATATATGTGTGTGTATCTGTGTGTGTGTGTGTATATATGTGATCATATTGTATATAAGTAAAGACAATTCAAATTCTGATCCCTTTAATTTCCTTTTCTTGTCTCATTGTACAGCACAGACTCTCCAATACAATGCTGAATAGAAACGGCAGAAGCAGACATCCTTGCCTCATTCCCAGTCTTAGGGAGAATGCATTCAGTCTTTCACCATTAAGTATCACGCTAGTGATATCTTTGTTTGTAAATATCCTTTGTCAGACTTGAGGAAGTTCCTTTTCTTCTTAGTTTGCAAAGAATGTTTTTGTTTGTTTGTTTGTTTTTGGTTTCGGTTTTTTGAGACAGAGTCTTACTCTTTCACCCAGGCTGGAGTGCAGTGGTTCAATATCGGCTCACCGCAACCTCTGCCTTCCAGATTCAAGCAATTCTCATGCCTCAACCTCCTGAGTAGCTGGGATTACAAGTGTGTGCCAGCATGCCTGGCTAATTTTTATATTTTTAGTAAAGACAGAGGTCTAGGTGCGGTGACTCATGCCTGTAATCCCAGCACTTTGGGAGGCCGAGATGGGCGGATCACCTGAGGTTGGGAGTTCGAGACCAGCCTGACCAACATGGAGAAACCCCATCTCTACTAAAAATACAGAAAAATTAGCCGGGCATGGTGCTGTGTACCTGTAATCCCAGCTACTCGGGAGGCTGAGGCAGGAGAACCACTTGAATCTGGGAGGAGGAGGTTGTGGTGAGCCGAGATCGCACGATTGCACTCCAGTACGGGCAACAAGAGCGAAACTGTGTCTCAAAAAAAAAAAAAGACGGAGGTTTGTCATATTGGCCAGGCTGGTCTCGAACTCCTGACCTCAAGTGATCCACCTGCCTTGGCCTCCCAAAGTGCTGGGATTACAGGAGTGAGCCACCGCGCTGGCCCAATGCTACCATTTCAATCTTTGTTAGTGTCTGGCTTCATATTAGCAAGCCAGTGTAAAAGTAATCCAAACCTACTGATTAAGTAAAACCAAAGTTTGCTACTTTGCATAATTGTGGTGAGGGAGAGATTTTTAGTTCTTTCATGATAAAATTATTATATTTTCCTTGTAAAACTTTGAGAAGAGCACTGAGGATGAAGCAAAAGGGTCTTGTTCCTCAGCCCCTTCAGCTCATTCCCCAGATGTAACCACTGTAAATAGGCTTTTGTGCCTGCTCTCAGAATCTTTATGTGTATGTAAACACTTCTGTGTGCATGTGTGTGGTGCCTATGCGTGTATGTATGTCTGTGTGTTTTGTATGAATTGCAACATGCTATATATAATGTTTTGTAACTAGTTATTTTCTTTTGGTAACATTTCTTGCCATTTTGTTCTTTTTCTTTGTTTTTTTTTTCCCAATCAGTTTTCTCAGGTTGAATCTTGCCATTTTGCTACAAATAGATCTCCCTCTGTTTTAAAGGCTGCATAAAACACATTTACCAGGGTATACCACAACCTGGCAAAACTTTTCTGATGGACATTTGGCTTGCTTCCAGTCTTTTGGTTGTTGCAAATGAGGCGGAAATGAACACACTTGTGTAGGTATCTTTATGCTTTCCTAAGAATGTGTCTGAAAGATAAATTCCTACCTGAAGGTAGAATTGCTGAGTCAGAGCACTTTGGAGTTTGACTGACATTGTCAGATTGCCATCCCATGGCATGGGGCCAAGCTACGCTTATTTTTTTTCACATCCTGACTGGCACTGGGTTTATCAGTCTTTTCTATTTTAACTAATCTTATTGGTGAAGATGCTGTTTAATTCTTGTTCTTTGAGTTTAATGTTTCTTATTTTTAGTGTCTTTTGTAGAACTTTGACTCGTGGAAGCTTACCCCCTCCCCAAATAACCACAAGTATAAAGGGTGGAGTAACTGCAAAACCATTAAGCATTTGTAAAATCACAGAATTTAACTTGTCTTAACTTTTACAGTACTGACCTAAACATATTTGAAAACCAAATTTAAAACCAAAAAATTTTGAAAATTCACTCTTTTTTTTTGAGACACAGTCTTGCTCTGTCGCCCAGGCTGAAGTGCAGTGGCGCAATCTCAGCCCAATGCAACCTCTGCCTCCTGGGTTCAAGCAATTCTCCTGCCTCAGCCTCCCGAGTAGCTGGGATTACAGGTGCGCACCACCATGCCAGGCTAATTTTTGTATTTTTTAGTAGAGAAGGGGTTTCGCCATGTTGGCCAGGCTGGTCTCAAACTCCTGATCTTGTGATCAGCCTGTCTCAGCCTCCCAAAGTGCTGGGATTACAGGTGTGAGCCACCATGCCTGGCCGAAAATTCACTCTTTAAAAAAATTATATCTTGGCCAGGCGCAGTGGCTTACGCCTGTAATCCCAGCAGTTTGGGAGGCTGAGGCGGGTGGATTATAAGCTCAGGAGTTTGAGACCAGCCTGACCAACAGGGTGAAACCCTGCCTCTACTAAAAATACAAAAATTAGCATGGCATGGTGGCACATGCTTGTAATCCCAGCTACTTGGGAGGCTGAGGCAGGAGAATTGCTTGAACCCGGGAGGTGGAGGTTGCAGTGAGCTGAGATCATGCCATTGTACTCCAGCCTAGGTGACAGAGGGAAACTCCGTCTAAAAACAAACAAACAAACCATTGTATCTTCATCAGATAGAGACTCTAACCTTTCTAGAAAGGTCGGTTAGAAAGGTATAGTGCTTTTCAGATAAATGAATCTACCTTCTATAGAAAACTGAAAGAATAGAATCCCATTACATTTCGTTTTCTTTAAGAATACTTACCTTAGCTGGGAACAGTGCACACACCTGTAGTCTCAGCTACTCAGGAGGCTGAAGCAGGAAGATTGCTTGAGCTGAGGAGTTTAAGGTTGTAGTGTGCAATGGCTGTGCCTGTGAATAGCCACTGTACCTCCAGCCTGGGCAACAAAGTGAGATCCTGTCTCTATAAAAAAAAATAAGGGACTGGCGCAGTGACTCAGGCCTGTAATCCCAGCACTTTGGGAGGCCGAGGTGGGTGGATCACGAAGTCAGGAGATTGAGACCATCTTAGCTAACATGGTGAAACCCCGTCTCTACTAAAAATACAAAAAATTGCTGGGCGTGGTGGCGGGTGCCTGAAGTCCCAGCTACTCAGGAGGCTGAGGCAGGAGAATGGCATGAGCCCGGGAGGCGGAGCTTGCAGTGAGCCGACATAGCGCCACTGCACTCCAGCCTGGGTGACAAAGCGAGACTCCGTCTCATAAAAAAAAAAGAAAAAGAAAAAGAAAAAAGAAAGCAAAGAAAAAAGCTTACTTTGAATGTTTTTGAGGTTAAAAAAAAATTTGTAAGATGTTGCAAGTTCCGTAGAGAAACTTAATGACCAAATTTACATTTTTCAAAAAGGAAGTGCTTAGGAACAAACCTAACAAGAAACAAGCAAGCCCTATATGGGTAAAACAATAACATTTAAAGGAAAGATACAAAAGAAAACAAATGGAATGATACATTGAATTACTCAAGAATGTAAACTCCATGAGAGCAAGTAATTGGTTAACTGCTGTATCCCCAGGACCCAGAACAGTGCTGGCGCATGGTAGGTGCTCAGTACATATATGTTGAGTGAATGAATGAATGTACTGGGATAGGAAGACAATATCATACAGATATCAATCGTTACCAAATTTATGTATAAATTGAATGCAATATCATTAAAAATCTCAACAGGATTTTTTATGGAACTAGACAAACGTTCGGAAATTCTTAAGCAAGAGTAAATATGCTAAAATGCTGAAGACTATTTTTAAAAAGAATGAGGAAGGATAATTTATCTCGCCAGTAATGAAAACATATTAGAAAGTTATAGTGACTGTAATGATTAGGTATTGACATAGGAATAGATAGACTACTAGGAAGGTAGCGTAGAACAATCAGAAATACACACACATTTATGGTAAGTGACAAAACTAGTATCTGAATTCAGTGGAGACATGACAGATTATTCAGTTAAAGGCATTGGGACAACTGATTATCTGTTTGGGAAAAAAAAAAAGAAAAAGATGGCTCCCCACCTCATACCATTCACACAAACAAAATTCCAGATGGATTTGAGACCTAAGTGTAAAAACAAAGTGTTAAAGTATTATAAGGATATACAGGAAAATATGTTTATAATCTTGAAGAAAGGAAGAGCCCCTTAAAAAAAAAAGCTGAAAGAGCGAAATCCAAAATAAATACATAAAACAAAAAGCAAAATCCATATAAAAAAATTGATAAATTTGACCACCTTGAAATTAAGACACTATAAAAAACATAAATGAAAAGCGATGTACTAAAAAGAAATTTGGAACCTACATAACAACTGAAGGACTTTAGTGCTTACCCAGAATATAGAATACTTGTTACAAATCAATAAAAAGAGTGACAACACCATAGAAAAATTAACAAAACAAAACACAGGAAAGTTGCAGAAGATATAATTCAAATAAAAATATGCTCAACCTCACTATTAACCAAATACATAAAAGTTGAACCAATAATATGATTCCATTCTTTGCTCATGAGATTTTTACAAAGTTTGGAGGCTAGTTTAGCAATACGTATCTGTTAAGATTTTATTAGATACGGGGTCTTGCTCTGTCGCCCAGGCTGGAGTGTTCTGGTGTGATCATAGCTCACTGTAACCCTGAATTCCTGGGCTGAAGTGATCCTCCTGCCTCAACCTCCCAAGTCGTTGGGACTACAGGAGTATCACCGCGCCCAGCTAATTTTTTTTTTTTTTTTTTTTTTTTTGTAGAGACAGAGTCTCATTATGTTGCTCAGGTTGATCCCAAACTCCTCGGCTCAAGTGATCCTCCCACCTCGGCTTCCCAAAATGTTGGGATTATAGGTGTGAGCTACTGTGCCAGGACTTAAATTTTTTTTTTTTTTTTTTTTTTGAGATGGAGTCTCACACTATCACCCAAGCTGGAGTGCAGTGGTGCCATCTTAGCTCACTGCAACCTCTGCCTCCCGAGTTCAAGCGATTCTCGTGCCTCAACCTCCCAAGGAAGCTGGGAGTACAGGTGTGCACCACCACACCTGGCTAATTTTTGTATTTTTAGTAGAGATGGGGTTTCATCATGTTGGCCAGGCTGGTCTCGAACTCCTGACCTCAGGTGATCTGCCCACCTAAGCCTCCCAAAGTGCTGGGATTATAGAAGTGAGCCACAGCGCCCAGTGTTTTTATTTTTATTTTTTTTTGAGACAGAGTCTCGCTCTGTCACCCAGGCTGGAGTGCAATCATGCAATCTCAGCTCACTGCAGCCTCTACCTCCCAGATTCAAATGATTTTCCCACCTCAGCCCCATGAGTAGCTGGAACTACAGGCATGCACCATCATGCCCGGCTAATTTTTGTATTTTTTGTAGAGACGGGGTTTCACCATGTTGGCCAGGCTGGTCTTGAACTCCTGACCTCAGGTGATCTGCCCGCCTTGGCCTCCCAAAGTGCTGGGGTTACAGGCATGAGCCACTGCATCTGGCCTTAAAAATTGTAAATGAACAAAACCTGTGGTCCACTTCTTCATTTTTACCATGGGGAACACTTGTGTGTATGTACAACAAGGCCTCTCAAGGCATTGTTTTTTTTTTTGTTTGTTTGTTTGTTTGGTTTGTTTTTTTTTTTTGAGATGGAGTTTCGCTCTTTGTTGCCCAGGCTGGAGTGCAGTGGCAGTGGTGTGATCTCAGCTCACTGCAACCTCCGCCTCCTGGGTTCAAGCGATTCTCCTGTCTCAGCCTCCCAAGTAGCTGGGATTACAGGTGCCCACCACCATGCCTGGCTAATTTTTTTATTTTTAGTAGAGACTGGGTTTCACCATGTTGGCCAGGCTGGTCTCCAACTCCTGACCTCAGGCGATTTGCCCGTCTTGGCCTCCCAAAGCGTTGGGATTACAGGCATGAGCCACCGTGCCTGGCTGAGGGATTGTTTTTAATAGTGAAAAACAATGTTAAAATGTCAGCTTCCATTAATAGAGGAATGGTCACAAAATGGAGAGACAGGCCAACTAAGGAATATCATGTAAGTTAAAAAAGTGTGATACTACTCAGGAGGCTGAGTCAGGAGGATGGCTTGAGTCCAAGAGTTCCAGGCTGCAGTGTGCCACTGCACTCCAGCCTGGGCAGCAGAGTGAGGCCCTGTCTCTAAAAAATACCAAAAACCAAAAAACTTAAAAAAAAAAAAAAAAAGGTGAGATCACGCTCTAAGTGATACATGATAGATCTAAAGATGCACTGAGTAAAAGAAACACATTGCAGAACAATATGTATAATGGAATATCATTTATGGAGAAAAACCAGGGAACAGAATATTTCTCACAGATCCATAAATATGAATGAATGTAAAGTATTACTAAAAGATTTGGAAGGTCAAATACAAAAATGTCAACAGTGTTTGCATCTGAAGAGTGGAGGAAGGGGACTGGAACTGAGGATGATGCAATAACCTAATCTAAAAGGAGCTTTAGCTTGGTCTGTAATTTTAAATTTTTTTCCAAATATATCCAGGTATTACCTATAGAATTCAAAATTAATTAAAACAGTTGTAAAGAGAGATAAAACAAGATCTATGGGCTGAGTAAAACTGGTTTGTCTAAGCAGCCGCTGCCTCTGCCATCTCCCCAGCTTCCATAGCCTTCTGGGGGTGCCTCTTTCTCTCCAACCACACACAGGAAATCAGGCTGAAATCCCAACTGAATTATTTCTTAAACAGCATTAAGAAACAACATGCTGTTTTGCAAGCAGTAGCAGAGAGGGCCCGTTATCCCACCAGCAGCTGGGCTTCACCCTGGGGGTGGGGATATTTGGGAACTCTAAGTGGGCAGAAGAGACGGCAGTGGGGTGTGAGTGTGTTGGAGGCGGGGAGCTCTCTCAAATGACTATAGTCTTGAGATGTAGCAGTCCCAGCAGTGCCCTCCAGAGCCTACCCCCAGGAAGGGGACTGGCGGGTAACTCACATGGGACAAAGCTTATTTGAAATCCCTCCCACTCCCTTGAGCTGCATTCCCCTGGTTACTCTGCATGCTGAGAAGAGCTTTGAGCCTCAAACACACCTGGCCCGACAAATAGGGCCTAGATGAGGGAACGACAGAGGTGCAGACAGGAGAGGCTGACCACCTTGGGATAACCTCAGGTGGGTCATTATTAATTGGTTGAAAACATGTCAAGTCATAGAACATCTCTAGCCCTGGCACACACATGTGCATCCCCAGACCCACCCCCGGGCCAAAGACAGGGGCTTTGGGGAATCCACATCTTGGGAGTGCTCTCACCTCTATGTGGGTGGAGCACTCAGGGAGTTTAAACGTCGTTCTTGGAGAAGTATTTTCAAACACTCCTGGCCTGATTGCTGCCTGTGAGGAAGCAGAGCAAGCCTCTTAACAGGTGAATCGCTGACATGCTGCCTGCCAGGTCTCTGTGTCTGGGCCTGCCTTTCCAGCGCACTGTCCACACTGCAACCAGAGCAGGTGAGCTCTCCAAAGTAACTTGGACCATGCACTTCCGCTTCACAGACCTCATGACTCCCTGGGGCTTCGGGACAATAATTTCTCAGTAGGTCTGCGAGAATGTTGCATCCTGGGCCTCTGCTTGGCCCACCAGCCTCACCCTGTCCACCCTCTCCCTGTGTTGGAACTGAGTGAAGCCGACAGTGTCATTCTCTGGGCCCAGAATGCTCTTCCTCTGTGTCTACTTGGTCAGCTTTGAGACATTCTTCAAGACAGTCTCCAGAATCAATTCCTCAAGAAAGCCTTCACTGACCTCCCCCAGTTGATCCAAGTGCTGCTCTTCGCTGCTCCCTAAGGTCCCTGCATTGGTTCTGGGGGTGCCATTTGTTTGCCTTTCTGCTCCCCTCTGTGAGCTCCTTGAGGATAAGGCTCATGCTTTGCTCAGTGGAGAATGCTCAATGCCCAGCGCAGCACCTGACAAGGGCTCAGTAAATACTTGTTGAAGGAATCATTGAATGACAAGGGCTCAGTAAATACTTGTTGAAGAAATCATTGAATGAAAGGTCAGGAACAGGTGTCCAGAGGCTACTGGGTAAAGAGCACTGGTTTGGAAGTCAGGAGACTGGGCATGGAGATTATTCTGAACTGTGTCACACTGCTGACCTTGGTCAAGTCGTTTCCTTCCCTGGGCTCCTTCTTTCTCAGCTCTACAATAAGGGGCTTGCATTAAATATCTCTCCCCTGTTGAGCCTTGACAATTCCCTTAAAAGAGCGAAAGGACACTCAAGCATACTCAAGGTTGACAAGGGTGACAGGGGACAGGTGCTCTCATGCATGGCTGATGGGAGGATGAGGTAAAATCTTCAGCAGGCCATTTGACTATCAATATTAAAAAGCCCTAAAACACGCATACCCAAATACGCAGGAATTTTACTTCTTGCCTAAGGAAATAATTGACGATGTGGCGAGAGATTTAACTCCATGGATGCTTATCCTAGTACTACTTATAATAATGAAAATCAGAAACAACTCTAAGTATCTAATGAGATAGAATTAGTTAATAAATCATATAAAATAGTTATATGAAATATTATACAGACATAAAAATGAAGTAAACCTGTATTTATTGACACAGGGAGATGCTCAGACTAAAATTGTTAAGTACCGAAAGTAGATGGTAAAACAATATTTAAAGTTCTTCTTATCAATATTTAAAAATATATATTATGTTTACATATAGGATATCAAATTCTTAAATGAGGTATTGGTGAGTGGTGGGATTATGGGCAATTATTTTCCTTCCTATTGTTTATTTATGTGAAGACAATGATAAACCTTGAAAGAAAAAAGTACCCACAATCTCACTTGATGATGAGTAATTTTGATTTATTTTTATTTTTGCATACTCGTGTTCTCAAACTTTTCATCAGTGAAAATTATATTACTTAAAGGATTGAAAAATCATTTCCAAAAGCCTCTAAAATTCTAGAGCTTGATTCACAAAGAGCCACTCGACCAACTTCACACACAGCAAGTCACTGGCAGGGCAAAAGCTTGGTTCCCCTTCTCAGCAGGGGACAGAATCCCTGGACACACTGGGAAGATATTCTGGGTGTTGCTGTCCCTTGTCCCTTGGCCAAGAGGTGGTCTGGGCATAGAAGACAAGAGTGGGCCGGGCGCGGTGGCTCACGCCTGTAATCCCAACAGTGGGTGGATCAGGAGGAGGTCAGGAGTTTGAGACCAGCCTGGCCAACATGTTGAAACCCCATCTCTACTAAAAATACAAAATATTAGCCGGGCATGGTGGCGGGCGCCTGTAATCCCAGCTACTTGGGAGGCTGAGGCAGGAGAATTGCTTGAACCCAGGAGGCAGAGGTTGCAGTGAGCCGAGATTGCACCACTGTACTCCAGCTCCGCCAACAGTGAGAGACCCTGTCTCAAAAAAAAAAAAAAAAAAAAAGAGTGGGTGGCGGGAAGGTGGCTGAAGGTAGGAGGGGGAACCTAAATGGGACATGGGAGGCATGGTTGGCACGAGCTCAGCCTGACCAGGGCCCAGAGAGGTAGACTGATTCAGTCAAAAGTCGTAGTACTTTTCCTGCTGAGATTGGTGGCCCTTTTGCTGGGCTTTCTCAAGCAAGAAATATCCTCTTCTGTTTCAGAATTATTCTGAATCATTAACCCAAGTCCTCCCAACTGCACTGATCCTGTCCCAGAGAGGCCCTGGGCTGCATCACCTAACTGATCACTAACCACAACCAGTTCTGCTCTCTCCTGGTTCCTGAAATCCAGGAGCAGATGGTGGTGGGGAGGAGGAGTTTGGAGACAGCCCTCTACCAGAAGCCAAGAAGAAAGGGGAGTGAGGAGGGATAGAGGAAGTTATCTTGGTCCTGCGCCCACAGTCCCCAGGGTCCTCCTTCCTGTGAAGCCCAACGGTCTCCAGCCAGATTTCCTGTCCCCTTAGCCCCACCAAGAACCAGAGGCTGCCCATTGGGTGGCTGTTGGATGCAGGTTACTGTTGGAGTGGGGGATGGCCACCTGAGGCCAATTGGGTCATCTTTACTCCAGGTCTCCCTTTCATCCTCCTGTCTTCCCTGGGGGCACTCTATTCCCTGCAATTCCTTGGGCTACCAGTTCCTGACTTTTGTTCCTTTCAAAGGAACCCTGGATAACCAGTGTAACCAGAATTTCAGAGGGGTTAGTTGTGTGTATCCCCTGGGGACAAGCACTGGTATAGGCACACAATGGTGAGCTGAGAAATCTTGGGCTGGTAGTGCTAAATTCAAAGGCTGGGGACAGGCTGGGGCCAGTGGCTCATGCCTGTAATCCCAGCACTTTGGGAGGCTGAGGCGGGTGGATCACTTGAGGTCAGGAGTTCAAGACCAGCCTGGCCAACATGGTGAAACCCTGTATCTACTAAAAATACAAAAATTAGCTTCTTGCCTAAGGAAAAATACAAAAATTACTTCTTGCCTAAGGAAATAATTGATGATGTGGCTAGAGGCTAGGGCGTGGTGGCGGGCACCTGTAATCCCAGCTACTCGGGAGGCTGAGGCAGAAGAATCGCTTGAACCATTGCACATCAGCCTGGGCAACAGAGCAAGATAACGTCTCAAAAAAAAAAAAAAAAAAGGCTGGGGACAATGCTGGCCCCTCCTTTCCTGCCCCTTCCCCCCATTTCAGGGGCCCCTCTGTGTGTACCTTCCAACCCCAGTGGGGGAGGAGAAAGAGTTCAGTCTCCAGGATCAGACCTTCCTCTACCTCACCCCACCCCCAGCTTAGAGGACATAAAAGCGCAGATTGAGCTAAGAGGAGCTGACAATATCAGGTGAGCTGTGGAGGTGGGGTCCTTGGAAGCTGGATGACAGCAGCTGGCAAGGGGATAAGAGAGCAGTGAGCCCCTCCCTCAAGGAGGTCTGGCTTTATCCATAGACAGGGCCCTCTGAGGTGGGGCTGAGGTACAAAGGGGGATTGAGCAGCCCAGGAGAAGAGAGATGGGGGTTCCCTTCTTCTCTTCTCTCAGATGCATGGTGGACTTAGGACCTTGCTGGGCTGGGGGTCTCACTGCAGAGATGAAGCTGCTTCTGGCCCTAGCAGGGCTCCTGGCCATTCTGGCCACGCCCCAGCCCTCTGAAGGTGCTGCTCCAGGTAACAGTTCCCAAGGTGGGAGAAGATGGTGTGTTGGGGTGGTTGTGTTCCAGAGACCCCTTTTCTCAGAGCAGGCCTTCCTAGCTCTGGGGCCTGATAGGGGGTTGGGGCCCATTCCTGACTTTGTGATCCCTGCTCTGGGCAGCTGTCCTGGGGGAGGTGGACACCTCGTTGGTGCTGAGCTCCATGGAGGAGGCCAAGCAGCTGGTGGACAAGGCCTACAAGGAGCGGCGGGAAAGGTGGGGCACGAGGCACTGCCCAGCTCTGGGCAAGGATGTCCCAGGCCTTTCAGAGAAGCAGCAGGCAGCAGGGAGCTTGAAGGTGGGAGAGGGGGACTATGGGGACCCATGTGGACTCCCTTTCTGTCTGTCTGTCCCTGTGTTTCTGGATGGGAGAACAGCTTAAAAGCCATCCTTCCCAAAGCCTTGCCTCTGTCTGGACACCCAGGTCCATATCCTTTTTATAAAAGGAAGCCTTCCTCCCACCCGTGGGCCTGCCTGCATGGTCCTGCATGTCTGCCCCTGGGCTGGGGCTCTGCTGGGTGGGTCTGTATCCCTTCTCTGGCCCTCACTCCTCCTTTCTCCAAGCAGCATCAAGCAGCGGCTTCGCAGCGGCTCAGCCAGCCCCATGGAACTCCTATCCTACTTCAAGCAGCCGGTGGCAGCCACCAGGACGGCGGTGAGGGCCGCTGACTACCTGCACGTGGCTCTAGACCTGCTGGAGAGGAAGCTGCGGTCCCTGTGGCGAAGGCCATTCAATGTCACTGGTACTGTTGCCCATCACACCCCAGGTCCCTGCTCCACTAGTGACTCCTCCTAGGGACCCCAGCCGTCTCTCAGTGATCCCCTCAACTTCTTCCTCCAGGGAGTCTCAGGAGTCTCCAGGGCTCCTCAGCCTCAGGTTGCCTGGGATAGGAAGTGAGGCGGCTCAGCTCCCCCATTGTTCTTTCCCCCGGCAGATGTGCTGACGCCCGCCCAGCTGAATGTGTTGTCCAAGTCAAGCGGCTGCGCCTACCAGGACGTGGGGGTGACTTGCCCGGAGCAGGACAAATACCGCACCATCACCGGGATGTGCAACAACAGGTGCGGCTGGCTGGGGGTGGCTGCAGGAACCGGGCTCAGAGAGGCGTCCCGGACGCCACAAGCCTCCCGGTGTCAGCGCCCTGTCCTCCCCTGCAGACGCAGCCCCACGCTGGGGGCCTCCAACCGTGCCTTTGTGCGCTGGCTGCCGGCGGAGTATGAGGACGGCTTCTCTCTTCCCTACGGCTGGACGCCCGGGGTCAAGCGCAACGGCTTCCCGGTGGCTCTGGTGAGCGCCGGCGGGCAGAGGGGGCGAGGCCCGGCCACGCGGTGCGCGGACCCAGGCGCCAGCTGATCTCCGTGTCCCGCAGGCTCGCGCGGTCTCCAACGAGATCGTGCGCTTCCCCACTGATCAGCTGACTCCGGACCAGGAGCGCTCACTCATGTTCATGCAATGGGGCCAGCTGTTGGACCACGACCTCGACTTCACCCCTGAGCCGGCCGCCCGGGCCTCCTTCGTCACTGGCGTCAACTGCGAGACCAGCTGCGTTCAGCAGCCGCCCTGCTTCCCGCTCAAGGTGGCCCTGCTTCCCGCCCACTGCCTGGGTTGGGAGAGGGGAGATTGTTTCTGGAAGGGGCCATCTCCCTTCTGTGCCCAGGTTTCCTTTCCCAGACGCTGAGGAAGGCTGGCCCTGCCTCCCTTGTGTCCACAGCACTGGCTGCTCAGCTATGACCTGTCTCCTTCCTGCGCCTGGGCTCAGCCAGCTGGCAGCCAGGGCCGTCCATTTGCTCACTGCCTCTGGCAGGCCAAGGGAGAGAGGGTTGTTCCTCCTTGGCTGACAGGAGTCCTGTTGGTGGAATCACTGGCTCTTTGTTAGGTTGGGAGAGGGTTCTGGGAGGAGACCTTCTCAGTGCCCCCCAAGCCTCCATGCTCAGTCCTGTTTCCGCCCCACTGAGAGGGCAGCCCCAACCCCCATCACACAGAAAGAGAGAGCCTGGGGGTCTGGTGGGTGCCGTGGGACAGGGCTGGGAGTGGGCAGGGTGGTCGAGGCACTGCTGAGTAGGGAAGGAGGAGGAGAGAAAGGAGAGAGCGCCTGAGAGAGGGAGAGACAGACAGGAGAATGTCAGGGCCAGAGGGAGAGCAGGCACAGCAGAGAGAAGGGGAGAGAGACGGGCGACGCTTTAGTGAGGAGGGATCCGAGGCCTGGCGGTGCCCAGACCCAGGGGTTGCCCAGGTTCCCAGTTCAGTGTTCTGCTCATTAACCCTGCACCTCAGAGGCTGTTGCTGATGGCGCCCTAGGCAGCGATCCCTTTCGGGCCTCCGGAGGCCTCTCTGCAGGTTGAGGGTACCAGAGGTCCTGAGGGCAGGGGGAGATCCAGTTCTGCCTGGGCACCTTCCTTGCCCTCGGTGAGCCAGTCTAGCCTCTCTCTGTGCCTCAGATCCCGCCCAATGACCCCCGCATCAAGAACCAAGCCGACTGCATCCCGTTCTTCCGCTCCTGCCCGGCTTGCCCCGGGAGCAACATCACCATCCGCAACCAGATCAACGCGCTCACTTCCTTCGTGGACGCCAGCATGGTGTACGGCAGCGAGGAGCCCCTGGCCAGGAACCTGCGCAACATGTCCAACCAGCTGGGGCTGCTGGCCGTCAACCAGCGCTTCCAAGACAACGGCCGGGCCCTGCTGCCCTTTGACAACCTGCACGATGACCCCTGTCTCCTCACCAACCGCTCAGCGCGCATCCCCTGCTTCCTGGCAGGTCAGCTTTGGGGTGGGGACCAGAGGTGGCATAGGAGATGTTCCCTGTTGGAGCCACAGTGAGTCTGTTTGTGAGCAGCTTGTGGGTTTGTACTTAGAGAGACTGTCCTCACCAGCCATTACTATCAACTTCATGATATTAATCCAGTTGCCTTGGTAACAAGTCAGATGGAGCCAGAAAAGCAGAAAAGCAAACAACCTCTCCAACCCTAAGATGGAGACCCAGGCATGGCTGAGGAGCCTCTGTCCATCAGTCCATTGCTTTCTCTGTCCCTTTTTTCCCTTCTGGACTCTGGAAGACAAGAGAGTCAAATCCCTCAGGGGCAGGGAACTAAAGGACAGAGAACGCTGTGGTGCCCTCACCCTCTAGAGCGACACTATCCAATGTGGTAGCCACTAGCTGCATGTGGCTATTTTAATTTTAGTTATTTTAAATTAAATAAACCCAGTTTCTCAGCGGTGCTAACCACATTTCAAATGCTCAATTGCCTTACAGTCTAGTGGCTCCCCCTATTGGGTGGCACAGATGTAAAATATTTTCATCATCTCGGAAGGTTGAGTTGGACCACACTGCTCCAAAATATCCCCTCCTGCGCATCTTAATTACCCATAATAAGAGATGATGGGATTTTAAATGTAAACAATTGGCAGTTTTGGAGACACAATTGGGGCAGTGATGGCAGCCATGACCAGACATTTTCCAGTGTTTTTTTTTTTTCTAAGACGGAATCTCACTCTGTCACCCAGGCTTGAGTACAGTGGCACAGTCTCGGCTCACTGCAACCTCTGCCAACTGGGTTTAAGTGATTCTTCTGCCTCAGCCTCCTGAGTAGCTGGGACTACAGGCGCCTGCCACCACACTTGGCTAATTTTTTGTATTTTTAGTAGAGATGGTGTTTTACCATGTTGGCCAGGCTGGTCTCAAACTCCTGACCTCATGATCTGCCCACCTTAACCTCCCAAAGTGCTGGGATTACAGGTGTGAGCCACCGCACGCAGCCATTTTCCAGTGTTTTTAAATGTAAACCCAATAGTGGACCTCAGGCCCTTTCCTCTGGCCTCCCTCTGCCTCCTCCTGATGGTTCCTGCTGGTCTCTCCCTGGCTGGGACCCTGGGAGGAGGATCCAGGTCGGACTTTCTGCAAGAGATGCCCGACCTCTTCTGGGCTAGTTAGGCAAGGGCAGCCCTCCTTAGCCAGACTCAGCTGCCCACAGCCTGGCTTTGATGAGCCCCATGTCCCAAGCCTGGGTCATTATGACCTCTAGCTGTTCATGGATGGAGATGCTGCTCTCAGAGAATTTCCTTTCCACCAGCTTCTAGAGCTGGCAAGGACTGACCCTAGTGTCCTGACCCTAGCCCTCTGGCCCCTGCAGAGAAGGGTTCTGGGAGGACTAGGGGAACCAGGGGGGATCTGCTTAGTTTTCTTGAACAGTCTCAGGTGTGGACTCCACATATCTCATGTCCTAGCCCTCTCCCCTGGGGCAGGCTGCACCATTGGCATGTAGTAAAGGGCAGGGCTGACAACTCTGTTCAAATGGTAGTGGCTTTCTGGAGTCCTGTGTTGAGAAGGATTCTGAGGTTGCATCCAATTTTAGCAGGAAAGAGTGCTGTGATCGTTAGCTGCATCAGACATGGGCATGGATGTAGGCTGTGCCAACACGCATGCTTCTTCCCAGACACTCCTTGGAATCAAGAGAATCAATGAACCAAGCAGTGTTCATAAGTCTCATACTTTGTACCAGGCACTCTGTTAAGCCCCATGTATCCATATGTGTGCTAGGAGGGAGGGTAAAATATAAAAAGGCACAAGCCTTGGTCCTGTGCTCAAGGAGCTCCCAGTTTCAGGTACAGGAAAGTGGCATGTCATGTGTTGGAAGTGATACCTATTGAATGAGCATCCCCAACCAGCAGCGGCCCTGAGCTGAGGCAGAAGCTATCATTGTGGACTGGGGCATCAGGGAAGGCCTCCTAGAGGAGTGTAAATTGGGGATAGTTTGAAAAGATGGATGGGGAGGAGGGGTGAGTAGGAGGCATTTCAGGCCTTGGCTGGGGAGGGGGTTTCAGTGGAGCAAATCTTTTCTGGGATGGAGGCCTTAAGAATGACAGTGGCTTTTGCCTCCCCAAGGGGACACCCGTTCCAGTGAGATGCCCGAGCTCACCTCCATGCACACCCTCTTACTTCGGGAGCACAACCGGCTGGCCACAGAGCTCAAGAGCCTGAACCCTAGGTGGGATGGGGAGAGGCTCTACCAGGAAGCCCGGAAGATCGTGGGGGCCATGGTCCAGGTAGGCCGTCTTGAACACCGGGCACACGGGATCCAGATGTGTCCCTGCAACATCCTAGCTGTGTGACCTTGGGCAAGTTCCTAACGCTCCTGAGCCTTGCCTTCTTCATCCATGAGGCTGTAAGGATTATAATACATATATGAAAACACCTTTCAGATAGTAAGTGCTTGACAAAGCCTCCTTCCCTTCCCTCTCCTTCTTCGCAGGTTTGCTCCCTGCAGTCTTCTTTCCTGTGGGTCTGTTATTGGTGTTGGGAGGGTTGAATGTTTGGTTTAGCGCCCAAGTAGCTGTTCAGTAAATTCTTCTTCCCTCCATCTCACTGTCACTCTTAGCTCCTTTACCCACTCACCTCTTCTTTTTAAAATTAAAAAAATTATAGGGCTGGGCGCGGTGGCTCATGCCTGTAATCCCAGCACTTTGGGAGGCGGAGGCGGGTGGATCACGAGGTCAGGAGATCAAGACCATGCTGGCTAACACGGTGAAACCCCATCTCTACTAAAAATACAAAAATTAGCCGGGCGTGGTGGCGGGCACCTGTAGTCCCAGCTACTTGGGAGGCTGAGGCAGGAGAATGGCGTGAACCTGGGAGGCAGAGCTTGCAGTGAGCTGAGATGGCGCTGCTGCACTCCAGCCTGGGTGACAGAGCGAGACTCCATCTCAAAATAAATAAATAAATAAAATAAAATTTAAAAATTATTATTATTATTTTATTTTTATTTTTTGATACAGGGTCTTACCCTGTTGCCCAGGCTGGAGTGCAGTGGTGCGATCTTGGCTCACTGCAACCTCCACCTTTCAGGCTCAAGCCATTCTCCCATCTCAGCCTTCTGAGTAGCTGGGATTTCAAGCACGGGCCACCACGCCCGGCTAATTTTTGTATTTTTTGTAGAGACGGGGTTTCGCCACGTTACCCAGTGTGGTCTCAAACTCCTGGGCTCAAGTAATCCGCCCTCCTCGACCTCCCAAATCCCTGGGATTACAGGCACGAGTCACTGTGTTCAGCCCACTCACCTCTTCTTTTTGGCTCTGTCATAATCCACCCAATGTCCTTAGCCTCATTTACCCCTGGGGCAATGTTCCTGGTTCTGTCTCTCAACATCTGGTGCTTCATTGCCCCCACCCTCTCCCTCAGAGGCAGAGGCAGACATACACACACTCACACACACACACACACACACACACACACACACACACTCCTAGATTCTGGAGGAGAGAGTTTTCGGTGCTAAGGGTGAGTTTTTGATTTGCACTAAGAACTCAAGTGAAATTCATTTACACTCCAAAATAACTTCTAGACTCTAGAATGTAGAGTGAGACTATTCCATGTCTTCACTTTTCACAGGGAAAATCATGCCAGAATGGCCCTTCGTTCCTTCCTGCCTCCCTGCTTTCCACAAACCTAAACTGAGCCTTACTGTGGGCAGGCACTTGGTGGGCACTGTGAAGAATTTCAACAACTTCAATTTCCCTTGCTCTCAAGGACTTTATAAGATAGTTGCAGAAATGAGACATTAATAACTTGAGGACAAGGAAGTTATCACAATGACTAAAAAAGTGATTTGCTATTTAGTCCTCTAAGGCAGAGGGCAATATAATTATCCTTAATGTACATTTGAGGAACTCAGGCTCAGAGAGGTTAATAATTGGTCCAAGGTCACCCAGCCAGCAAGCAGTAGAACTCTATTTATGCCTCTCAGTGCCACTCTGTTAGGCCCAGGTCCGGTATTGTGGGAGGCTATTCCCTGACCATAGAGGGATGGAAGGGGTCCCCGAAGCCAAGAGCAGGCAGAGACTCTGGCCCTCCTGTGCTGCCAGGCGGCATTTGCTGTGGAGGAGTGGGTGGAGAGGCCATTCCAAATGACTTGTCTTTAGATCATCACTTACCGGGACTACCTGCCCCTGGTGCTGGGGCCAACGGCCATGAGGAAGTACCTGCCCACGTACCGTTCCTACAATGACTCAGTGGACCCACGCATCGCCAACGTCTTCACCAATGCCTTCCGCTACGGCCACACCCTCATCCAACCCTTCATGTTCCGCCTGGACAATCGGTACCAGCCCATGGAACCCAACCCCCGTGTCCCCCTCAGCAGGGTCTTTTTTGCCTCCTGGAGGGTCGTGCTGGAAGGTAAGCAGGACCTAGGCCAGGAGCGAGTGGGCTGACAGCTAAAGGTGGGGTAGGGATCACCTTGGCTCTAGGGAGCTAGGGTGGGGAGCAGTCTGCTTTCCTCCCATCTTGGAGATCTGGTCTGACTCTCTAGCCTCAGTTCCTCTGACTCTGCTTCCATATCTGATAATAAACAGTGGGGTGGGGATGGCCCTCAGAGGGAACTGGCTACTTCCTATGTGTTGTGGCTCGCTGTGACCCAGGAAGCCAGGGCCTGGGAGCATCCCAATCTTGCAAGTCTGAATGGCATAATCTCCTGAGACCTATATGTCCCTGGGGTCATGTAGTGACCGGTGAGGACCTGCTCACTGGGGCCACCACCTTGGCACCAGGCACTGCTTGTGCCCAGCCCTCTTCTCGAATCCTCCTGACCCTACCTGGACTTGTCCCTGACTCCAATCTGAGCTCTGATACTGAGCCAGATACTTCCCCTGACCTGGCTCCTCTGGTCCCCAGGTGGCATTGACCCCATCCTCCGGGGCCTCATGGCCACCCCTGCCAAGCTGAATCGTCAGAACCAAATTGCAGTGGATGAGATCCGGGAGCGATTGTTTGAGCAGGTCATGAGGATTGGGCTGGACCTGCCTGCTCTGAACATGCAGCGCAGCAGGGACCACGGCCTCCCAGGTGAGGGGCTGCAGGAGTCTCCCCTGATGCTCACCTCCCCTGAGCTGCCTCCTAGGTAGCCCATCACCCCCCTTCCCACTCTAGGGTCCCTGCCCTCTCCAAAGCATATTAGAGGCACTTTGCTCTCAGGAAGTAGCCTGAGGCCAGGCCCCTGCCTTTTCCCGGACCCACCTGATAAATTTCCAGCTCCTCTCAACCTCCTTTGCATGCTGTAATTCTCATATTAGGGGCATCGTCATCATAATGATAACCCACAGTCTGAAAATCTGTCTCTGTCATCATTCCATTTTGCTTCATTGTACGTTAACTCTGGGGGAAGAGATTATTATTGCCTTCATTTTACTGATGAGGAAACTGAGGCTTGATGAGATTCAGAACCTGGCCAGGTTCTCTAGCCAAGTCAGTGGCAAAGCTGAAATTTGAAGCCAGATTAGCCTAACCTCAAAGCCTGTGCCTATGTTATGGGGTAGCCCATGTGGCTGAGGCTTCTAGACACATTTCACCTCTCATGGGTCAGAGACAGACACATCGGGCTGCTCTGGAGGGGGACAAGGAGATGTCCCTATTCTTGGACCCAGCAGGAACTGTGGCAGTTTAGGGTTTGCCTTATGGTAGGAGGGCAAGAGAAAGACAGAGAGGGTCCCAGAGAGGCCCAGTTGTGCCCCTTGGTCTAAGCCAAAGGTACAGGGTTCCTTGAGGTGAGGTCCTTCCCTCCCTCTATGACCTTGGTTGTGTTGGGAAGGTGGGTTTTCTGGGCTGCTGGCGATATGTGAATCTTCCCTGCTGTCTCCAGTGACCTCCCCACCTTGAAGCAGAGAGACCTGCCCATAGCCACCTGTCCCCTCCCCCATGCAGGATACAATGCCTGGAGGCGCTTCTGTGGGCTCCCGCAGCCTGAAACTGTGGGCCAGCTGGGCACGGTGCTGAGGAACCTGAAATTGGCGAGGAAACTGATGGAGCAGTATGGCACGCCCAACAACATCGACATCTGGATGGGCGGCGTGTCCGAGCCTCTGAAGCGCAAAGGCCGCGTGGGCCCACTCCTCGCCTGCATCATCGGTACCCAGTTCAGGAAGCTCCGGGATGGTGATCGGTGAGGAGGGGCAGGCGTCGTGGGCCGCTGGGTGGCTGTGGGCCCATCCTTGACTCTCTTGGAGCCCAAATTTCCTCCTGTCAGTTGAAGGACTGGAGGGAGTCAGTAATTTTCCAGTGTGTTCCAGGAATCCTCCAGATGCCCTGGAGTGCCCCTAATGTGCCCTGAACCTGTTGGGGGTGCAGCAAGGAAAGACCTGGACCCCTGGTTGTAAAGGGTGGAAGATAGAAAAGTGCCACCCTTAGCTACTTCTTCCCATGGGTTTCACTGTGCCACCATGTGGGTGTCAGTCACCAGTGGGCAGTCCCCTCCCAGCTTTCCCACAGCTCCCCTTAGTGTCATTTCCTCGTGGTCCTGATGTCTTCATGTCTAGTTCTTGCTTAGCCTGTACTGCACCTTTGGGAAAATTAGAAAAAGGTGCCCCTCTCTGGGTGGGCGAATTATAAACCACCCCCAAGATTCTCTTCCACTCCTGTGGATGCAGCTCCTGGCCAGGGCACAGGGCTTCAGGAGTGTGTGTGGGCCCGGGTCCCCCTCCAGCATGGTGCCCTGGAGGCCGCCGGGCTAGGGGTAAGGGAAAGGCCACTGGGCAGCTGTGCTTTACTCTGCACGATGAGTGGAGCATCACTTGTGTGAAAGCCCCTGGGCTGCCCAAGGGCCTGGGGCCCTCCTGTGCTTCCAGGTGGCATTTGTTGTGGCTTTGTTATATCCTGGGAGCAGCACAAGCCCATCGATGCCCTGCCAGCCCAGAATATCCTTGGGCACAGTGTCCATGGGTGTTCCCCATGCAGGTTTTGGTGGGAGAACGAGGGTGTGTTCAGCATGCAGCAGCGACAGGCCCTGGCCCAGATCTCATTGCCCCGGATCATCTGCGACAACACAGGCATCACCACCGTGTCTAAGAACAACATCTTCATGTCCAACTCATATCCCCGGGACTTTGTCAACTGCAGTACACTTCCTGCATTGAACCTGGCTTCCTGGAGGGAAGCCTCCTAGAGGCCAGGTAAGGGGGTGCAGCAGTGAGGGGTATATCTGGGCTGGCCAGTTGGAACCACGGAGATCTCCTTGCCCTAGATGAGCCCAGCCCTGTTCTGGGTGCAGCTGAGAAAATGAGTGACTAGACGTTCATTTGTGTGCTCATGTATGTGCGAAGTATATAAATTGGCTTTTCATGCGTGTGTGTTGTCTGAACATGGGGAGTGTTTCATGGGTTATGTGTATGTGCCATTTATGTGAGTGTGTGTTTGTGCTGATGAGAATACTGAGTATGTGGAAGGCAGCAGAGCGGACTGGTGAGGAGCACAGCTCAGGAACTAGACTGCCTGGGTTCCAATCCTGGCTCTGTGGCTTGCTAGCTATGTGACCTTGAGCAAATTACCCTCCTTAAACAAGAGTTTTCTTCCTTGTAAATTACATCTGTCATGGTTTCTTGGAGGGCCCACTTGTATCCTCTGGTTCTTCATTTATTGAGCACCTACTACATGCAAGGCACTGTACTAGGCGTGAGAAGCATATAGAGGCAAGAAAGAGATACCAAGATGCCATCTGTGTCCTGGTTAGCAGAGCTGGACCAGTGGTGCCTTGGAGGGATAAGCCAGCTGCAGCTGGGCTGTGTGGTTGACTTATGGGCCCAGCCAGCCAGGCTCAGGCCATGGCTCCCCTTTTTCTTCCTCACCCTGATTTCTTGCTTATTCACTGAAGTTCTCCTGAAGAGGAACTGGGCCTGTTGCCCTTTCTGTACCATTTATTTGCTCCCAATGTTTATGATAATAAAGGCACCGCTGATGGGGACCTCCACTCTGTCTGTGTCTGAGGAGGAACTGGCGCTTTTGCAGAGGCTTACTCTGGGCTCTGAGCTTGAACCAGTGTGGTCTGTGCTCAGGGCCCTGTGTTTCTGAACCGAGGGTGAGGATGTTGGGGAGTTTTCCTTTGAGATCCGTACGTGGAGGGCAGCCATCTCTTGGAAGCCTGGGGGCCGGGGCATGCGGTGCAGACCCTCCTCCCTCACCTTCCACCCCTGCCACCCTGCAGGGAACTGTGGTCACCAAGCCCTCATGTTTGTTCATTGCTCTAGCAAACGTTTGCTATGTGTTCACTCTGTGTCAGGCCTGTGCCAGGGGCTAGGAAGTGGAGGGGACAAAATGCTGTGTGGTAGGAGAGAAAGTACAGAGACCTGGTGAGGAGGCAGGCCCTTCCCCAACAAGAGGGGCCTCTGCATCCTGCATCCCAGCAGCCTGGCACAGGGGTTCAGAGGCCCTCAAGACAGTGGACTCCTTCTCATTCATGTTGCACATGGCTCCTGGAGAAGGGAGAGCAGATGGCTGGGCCCAGAGGACAGGGCCAGCACTGAGGGAGGGGAAGGAGTGTATTTCCCTAGTAGTCTTGCCTGGAGCTTGAACCCTGCGTCTGACTGGTGGACTCCCTCCCTCTCCTCTTCCTTCTCAAATATGGGGAGGGGGCTGGAAGTGGTGTAGGACGGTGGGGTCTAATGTACTCATGGGGCCCCTGGTAACGTTAGGACCTCACCATGGTAAGAAGCAGCAAAAATACTGCTTGTCCTCATTTCTGTGATGAGGAGAGGGCTGCTCAGAGGGGTGAAGCGACTCGTCTGAGGCCTTAAAGAAGTGGGTGGCAGTGCCAGGCTGCAGCCGAGGTCATCTGGCTCCTGGGCTCTTCCCACAGGATGACTGGGTGTCTCCCACTCCCACCCCACCAGTTGGGGGATCTGGAGGCCCTGGTTGGGCTAATCTTTCCCAGGGGGTCATTTTAAAAGAAGAACATATGAATATGTATTGGGCAGAAACTCAAGGAATGTTCTGGAAGTGCCCCTTCAGAGGCATCACAGGATCTAAGGACCACTCTAGAAGAGGGTATTTCTCAGAAGGGCCACTGGAAGGGGTATTAGCTTCAGCTGCGGGAGACCCAGGCTTGGTTTCCCTTCCTGTTTTATCCCTTGGCACCACCGCCTACCGTCCCCCCCGTGTCCTCTCTCTTGCTACTCCACGGCCAGTGCTTGTTTTCCCCAGGAGCCCCCTGCCCCTCCCCTTTCTCTGAGAACTCTTAGAAATCCCACCAAACCATCCCCTTCCACCTCAAGACCCACGCACGCGCCATCTCAGTGGTAAGACATGTATGGCCTGTAAACGTCTAGTTACTTATTTGGCAGTGATTCCGAGGTCTGCTTTTGGAGGGAACGGTGTCACGCCTAGCATCTTTAGTCAGTCATCAGATGTTTTTGAGCACTTCTAATGTGCTGTGCACCATGCTAGGTGCCACAGGGGACCCTCGGAGGCAGGCTGAAGTCCTGGCCCAGGGAGCTTACAATCTAGGTGAGAGGACAGGAAGAAAGATAAAGGTTAAGGGCCAAGACTTGTGGAGGGAAGAGGACAGGTAACATCCAGCAAGCTGGAGCAGAAGGGCATCTCAGCGGGGCTAAGTCTTGACAGAAAGGAGAAGCCACTGGAGCTGAGTGTAAGAGCTGGGAGGGCCGAGGCAGCCACCCTGGGGCCTGAGCAAGCTGTTCATCCAGGGGTATAGAGAGGCCCAGCTGCAAAGAAGGGCTGGGACTGGGATATGGAGCTCTAAGGGACCAGGTCATTGAACTTGCTTGAAATGGCCCTGTGGACCAAAGGGAACTTTCCTGTGCAGCGCGGGCCCCTAATTCTTCACTGAGGCCCAGGGTGACAGGTCCAGCTTGTCGATGGCTGAGCAATCCACGAAGTCATAGGGGTAGCTGTTGGCCCAGAATGGGTCCCGTGGGACCTTGGTGATGCGGGTGTTGTCACAGACAAGGCGTGAGAAGGACATTTTCTGTAGAGAGTCCTTCTGCTCGTTCGTGAAGACCCCAGGGTTTTCCCACCAGAACCTGCAGAGACAGAAGTAGAGTCACTCCACAGTCTGGCCGCTGGCCCCTCCCCACTCTGTCACAGGGGAAGGAAAGGGTCACAGGGACCATGAAAAGCCCTACTCACACTGAGATCCGGAGTCAGCGCTCACGCAGGACCTTGGGACACCCCTCTTGGAGAAGGGCCCTGCCCTTCCCTCCCTGGCTGAGGACGCACTTGCCTGTCTCCATCACGGATCTGCTGGAACTGCTTGCCCAAGAGGCAGGCCAGGAGAGGCCCCACCCGACCCCTTTCCACCAGCGGCTCAGCAATGGCCCCTATCCAGATGTCGATGTTGTCAGGGGTCCCGTAGAGACCCAGTAACTTCTTGGCCAGCATCTTGCTCTTCAGCACTGTGTTCAACTCCTCTAGTGTCTGCGGCTGTGAGAGGTCACAGAAGGCTCTCCAGGAATTGTACCCTAGGGTGGAGAGACTGAGGCTGTCTCATCCCGGGGACTTCCTGTTCACAGCCTCCTTTGGGGCCATGTCCACTCCAGCTCTATCAGCCCTAGAAAGTCTGGGCTTACAGCCTTTGGGATGGGGAAGGAGGGAATCCATTGTTTTTTATCTGCACTTCAATCTTAAGGGGGCTAGTTGGTTAAGTCCTATGTAACCACTAAGCAATCATGAAAGTTATGTGGTATGTACTATGAGTCCAGGCACTATTCTAAGCACTGTGCAAATAAGTAAATGAAGAATAGAAATGTTAAGTAATTTGCCCAAAGTCTTATAACTAGTAAATGGCATAGGCGGGATTTGAACTCAGGCAGTCTGGTTCTTAATTAAATTGCCTTTCATGGGGACAAAAGAAAGGTCCAACAGTCATTGGTTTCTCTCTATTGTTTTCTTAATGTTTTCAGGGCTTTTAAACTGTTTTTAAAGTTAGTTGGTGACCTCTTTTTCATTTAAGGAATGCCAAGATAGTACCAGATATATGCTCTTTTCTCTGCATTAGGGGAAATGGGACATTCTGTTTCATAGATGAACAAAGTGGGTTTTAAGAATGGCCTGGGGCTGGACATGGTGGCTTGCACCTGTAATGCCAGTGCTTTGGGAGGCCAAGGTGGGAGATTGCTTGAGCCCAGGAGTTCGAGACCAGCCTGGGCAACATAGCAAGACTATGTCTATATTTAAAAAAAAAAATAAGCTGGGCATGTGGCACACCTGTAGTCCCACCTACTTGGTAGGCTTAAGCAGGAGGATTACTTGAAGCTAGGAGTTTGAGGCTGCTGTGAGCTGTGATCGCACCGCTGTACTCTAGCCTGGGCAACAGAGCAAGACCCTGTCTCAAAAAAAAAACCTCAAACAAAAAAAACTGGCCTGACTTTTGTTTCAGAATTGATCAGATGATCAGATCCTCAGGGTTATAGAAGAGAGTCTCCAGGAGCCCTAGAAAGTTAGCTAAAATTTCCCCAGTGCAGGCCAGACTTCAGACACTCACCAGGTTGCCCATGGTCCCGGCAACGCTGTGTGTTGATGGCAGCCAGGTCAAAGCCATGGATCCTGTGAGTTGGCTGGAAAAGCTTGTTGCGCAGCTCTCCAGTCATCATTTTATTCTGTTTCATCAGCTTGGATTTCTTGGCCAGCAGGCCCCGCACCAGAGGATCAATTCCACCTGCCAAGGGAGACCCAGAAGCCATGCTTAGGTTGGGGGAAGAGTGGGAACATCATTCATGGCTTGCCTCTGCCTCCACCAGACATTTTCTCTTAGTTGAATGTGGGTCACCTGGACATCCCAGGCTGGAAGGAGGGAGAGAAGAGCACAGTGCAGCCTGAAGGGTGTGCTCAGGGAGACAGGGGCATCCAGATTGTCTGCTCTGGGGGTGGGCAGAAAGGGGCAGTCATGGGATGATGGCATGAATATAAACATTGAGATATTTTTTGGCCATGCATGGTGGCTCATGCCTGTAATCCTAACACTTTGGGAGGCCAAGGTGGGAAGACTGCTTGAGCCCAGGAGTTTGGGACCAGCCTGGACAACATGGCAAAACCCCGCCTCTGAAAAAAAGGCAAAAAAATTAGCCAGGTATGGGGGTGTGTGCCTTGTAATCCCAGCTACAAGGGAGGCTGAGGTAGGAGGATCATGTGAGCCCAGGAGGTCAAGGCCGCAGTGAGCTGAGATTGCGCCCTTGCACTCCAGCCTGGGTGACAGAGTAAGACCCTGTCTCAAAAAAAAAAAAAAAAAAAAAAAAAAGGTATTTTTAAAGCTCTAGTTCATGGAGTCAGCTTTTTCTTCCATATGTTCTGCTGAGGAACGTTGCATAATGGGAAGAGGTTGCATAAATCTCAAGGAAATGTCCTTGACTTGCTAGGCTTTAAGTAAAGTTAATTTCAACACAACATAGCCTAGGGATAAAGGAAAGTTGGGTCCAACCTCTGGCACCTCTATGAAGTGAAAAACTCTAGAAGAGATCAGAAAAGAGCAATTTATTTACCAAACCCTGTAGAAGTCAGAGAAGCCTAGGGCGGGGAAAGGAGGTAGGGAAATCCCAGTCATCTTAGAAGCCAAGAGGAAAGAAAGAATAGCTTATATTTATTGATCACCTCCTGTGTGTCAGGAACCATTGTAGGGTGCTCCACATGTATATCTCATTTAATGTTTTGGATAGCCTCGTGAGATGGGTACTATTATTGTCCCCATTTTATAAATGAGGAAACTGAGGCTCAGTGAGGTGAATTCATTTGCCCAAGGTCATGTAAAAGTGCTTGGAATCTGACTTCCAACCCAAGTTTCCCTACAATAGGCTGCGGAGTGGGAGACCCAGGTGACAGCACTTCCCTGAAAGGGCATACCATCTTTGACCATCCTCCAAGTGTTGAAGAAGAGGGTGTGGAGGGGGAGTTCTGGTTCTGGCCCCCATGGCTGATAATTCTCATCCAGGCGGAACATACTAGAGGGGACCTCCAAGTGGCCAAAGCGGAAGGCGAAGGTGAAGACATTGGAAATTCTGGGATCCACAGATTCACTGTAGCCTTGATATGGGGGTATCCACTTCTGCATGTGGTCACCTAGCAAAATGGGTAGGTAGTCCCTAAAGGTGATAATCTGGAGGGAGAATAAAATCAAGAGGAAAGGGTGTAAGAAGGTTTAAACCTCTGCAGAGGGAGGCTGTGAAAGAGCTGCAGCCAAGAGTGATGAGCTGTTGAAAACCAAGGATGGCAAATGGATAGCATATGTGCCCAGTTCCCATTCCTATGAGCATAGCAGACATTGCTAATCAATCATGACATTTTTTTCTGCTGATCTCTTACGATTTGTCTCAACATAGGCTCTACTAATCAGTCATTTGAATTTGGCATATGAAACGTACTATCTTTGTCATCTTTGTGCTAAGTTTATGACCTTGATGCTAAAGTGACAGTCTTTGTGTGTCACTTTAATGTAACAATGTCAGGGCAAGAGGAATGATAAACCACAGGAATGATTCAGGGGCAACTGAGGAAAGTTCATCCAATCTCCAGTTCTGAAAGAAATACAGAAGAATGGAAAGACTGGTTTCTGGTTTTCTTTTACATAAAAACACAATGAACTAACACAAATAAAAAATTTTCAGAAAAGAAAAATGCCTCCACATAACCTAATAATTATATTAATTTTTATTCTTGTAGTCTTTGTCTATATGTTACCGACTTTTACATAGTTATAATCCTACAGAATGCATACCTGTGCATTCTGCTTTTTTGCTTCACATTTTCCACATTTCTATCTAGCTTTCACAGTGAGGCTCTGTGTCTCTTTGCTCTTAACCCAGTGCCATAAGGAGCTCAGGTGCAGTGGTTCCTGTTCCCCTAGAAGGTTGCTCAGCAACAGCAGGCAGCCAGGGAAGTACTTTCCTGCCTTGCAGACAGCACCAGCAGGGATTGAGTGGGAAGCCCCCAAACACCAGAAGAGTGAAGTAGACCAGAATAGCATTGCAAGGCTCAGGAAACTAAGCTTTGGTGGACCTAAAGCCCACAAAAGTAGTCCAGAACCTACATGCTAAACCTAAACAAGGTAACTATGTGCTAAAATGAAGTGCTTTTTTTTTTTGACAGGGTCTCACTTTGTCACCCAGGCTGGAATGCAGTGATGCCATCTTGGCTCACTGTAGCCTTGACCTCCCTGATTTAAGTGATCCTCTTGCCTCAGCACCCCCAAGTAGCTGAGACCACAGGTGCATGCCACCAAGCCCGGCTAGTTTTTCTATTTTTAGTAGAGATGGGGTTTCACCATGTTAGCCAAGCTGGTCTTGAACTCCCGACCTCAGGTGATCCACCCGCCTCGGCCTCCCAAATTGCTGGAATTACAGGCGTGAGCCACTGTGCCTGGCCTAAAATAGAAAATTTAAATAGGATCAAGGGTCTCCTAATATAGCAACCAAAATGTCTAAGATACAACTGAAAATCACTCATAATACCAAGAGCCAGAAATGCCACGTTTTGAGTAAACAGACAATCAACTGATGCCAAGGATGACATGAATCAGATGCTATAATTATCTGATAAAAATTTTAAAAGCAGCCATTATAAAAATGCTTCAATAATCAATTACAGATTCTCCTGAAACAAATACAGTATCATAGCAAAGAAGTAGAAATTATAAAAAAGAAACAAATCAAAATTACAGAACTGAAAATACACTAGCTGAAATTTTAAAAAAGCTTGAATAGACTCAATAACAGAGTGGGAGTGACAGAGGATAGAATTGGAGACAGATCAATAGAATTTACTCAATCTGAACAACAGAAAGAAAATAGACTTTAAAAATTGCTCAAACAAACCAGAGCCTCTGGGTTCTGTGAGACCATAACAAAAGATCTGGCATTCATATCAATGGAGTTCCAGAAACAGAGGAGAAAGGGGGTGAAACTGAAAAAGGATTTGAATAAATAATGCCTGAAAATTTCTCAAAATTGGTGAGAGGCACACATTTACAGATTCAAGAAGATGAATGAATCCCAAACAGGATAAACAGCGAAATTCACTCCAAGGCATATCATAATTAAATTTCTGAAAACTAAACATAAAGTATTAAAATAGTCAAAGAGAAATGACACATTACCTATAAAGAAACACCAATTCAAGTAATGGTAAAGGGCTGGGTGTGGTGGCTCACGCCTGCAATCCCAGCACTTTGGGAGGCTGAGGCGGGTGGATCATCTGAGGTCAGGAGTTTGAGACTAGCCTGGCCAACATGGTGAAATCCTGTCTCTACTAAAAATACAAAAAGAATTATCCAGGTGTGGTGGTGAGCATCGGTAATCCCAGCTACTCGGGAGGCTGAGGCAAGAGAATCGCTTGAGCCCGGGAGGCGGAGGTTGCCGTGAGTCGAGATGTTGCCACTGCACTCCAGCCTGGGCAACAGAGCAAGACTCTGTCTCAAAGAAACAAAGAAATAAACAAACAAACAAAATATCGGTGAAGCTCTCATCTGAAACCACAGAAGCCAGGGGAAGTGTCGCCACATTTTTCATGTGCCGAAAGACAAGAACTACCAACCCTGAATCCAATAGCTGGTGGAACGATTCTTCAGGAATAAAGGAGAAATAAAGACATTCTCACACAAAGGAAGACTCAGAGAATTTGCTGCACACAGACCTATCCTTAAACAATGGCTAAAGGAAACTCTCTAAACATGAAGAATGGTAATAGAAGAAGGACAGGACCTTCAGAAAGGAAAGAAGAACAATGTAATGGGTAAAAATAGAAGTAAACATCAATTCTTTTCCACCTCATGAATTTTTTCATTATATTTTATGGTTGAAGCACCATCTGATGTGCTATAAAACATATATAGAAGAAATGCTTCAGACAATTATATTTCAAAAGTGGGGAAGGTGAAGGGACCAAATGGAAATGAGTTTTCTACATGTCACTTGAAATGATAAAGCACTGACACCAATAGGTTGTGATACGTTGTAAATCCATATCTCTATCTCTCTCTCTATCTTTATTTCTATATCTATCTACCTATCTATCCGGAGAACAACCACTAAGAAAATTATACAAAGCAATATGTGATCAAATGGACCTCTAAAAAATGTTCAATTAACCCACAGGAAGGCAAGAAAAACAATATTAGAGGAAGAAGAAACAGAAGGAACAAACAGAAAACAAGTAATAAAATGAGAGATATGGGAGATTTAATCCCTAACATGTTAATAATTATTTTAAAGATAATTTAAAAGTACTAATTACTAAAGGTCAGAGATTGGCAGAGTATATTTCTTTTCCTTTTTTTTTTTAAGTGACCCAACTATATGATGTCTAAAAGAAACTCGCTTCAAACATAATGACATAGGTAGGTTGAAATTGATGGAATAAGAAAGATCATGCAGACATAAATTTTTAAAAGCAGGGGTGACTATATTAATATCAGATAAAGTTGACTTCAGAGGACAAAAGTGGAAATTACATAATGATAAAAGGATCTATCCATCAAGAAGATGAAGCAATCCTAAATGATATGGATCAAACAACAGAACTTTAAAGCTTTAAAATACATGAAGCAAAACCTGACAGGACTGGAAGAAGAAATAGGCAAATTCTCATTTATAGCTAGGGATTTCAACACCTGACTCTCAGTAAGTGGGAGAATTACTAGACAGAAAATTAGCTGGAGTACAGACTGAATAGCACCATCAACCAACAGATCCAACTGACATTTACAGAACATTGCATTCAACAACAGCAGAATACACATTCTTTTTAGGAACTCACAGAATATTCAACAAGATAGTCCACAGCAGGGTTATAAAACAAATCTTAACAAATTTAAAATTGAAATCATACAGAGTATAGTTTCTGATCATGATGGAATCAAACTAGAAATCAGGAAGGCAACAGGAAAATCTACAAACGCTTGGAAATTAAATAACACTCTTCTAAATTATACATAGGTTAAAGATGAAGTCCGAAAGGAAACTTAAAAAATACCTACTGAATGAAAATAAAAACACAATATATCAAAATTTGTGGGAGGCAGTCAACTCAGTGCTAAGAGGGAAATTTATAGTACTAAATACATTAGAAAATAGAAAAGATTGCAAATCAGTCATCTAAGTTTCTACTTCAAGAAACTTGAAAAATAAGAGCAAAATAAATCCAAAGCAAGCAGTATAGTTTAAAGGATAAAAATCATATGATCCTATCAATTGATGCAGAAAAACCGTTTGACAAAGTTCTACACCTGTTCATGATAAAAACTCTCATTACACTAGGAATGAAGCAGAACTTCCTCAACCTCATAAAGGGCAACTACAAAACATTTATAACTAATCTTATACTTAATGGTGAAAGATTGAATACTTTCTCGATTGGGAAGACAAGGATGCCTGCTTTCTTACCATGCGCATTTAATATAGTATTGGAAGTTTGAGCCACTAGGAAGTTCCAGGAATTGCCACGTAATAAGGCAAGAAAAAGAAAGAAAAATCATATGGATTAGAAAAGAAGAAACACAACTGTCTTTATTGGCATATTACATGATTACCTGTTTAGAAAATCCAAGTAATCTACAGCAGAATGCCTAGAACTAATTGAATTTAGCAAGGTCACAGGATACAAAATCAACACATAAAAAAATCAATTATATTTTCATACACTGATAAAATAAGTAGAAACTGCAATAAAGCTGTAATACCATTTATAATTCCTCCAAAGAAAATGAAATACTGGGCTGGGCATGGTGGCTCACGCCTGTAATCCCAGCACTTCAGGAGGCTGAGGTGGGCGGATCACGAGGTCAAGAGATTGAGACCATTCTGGCCAACATGGTGAAACTCTGTCTCTACTAAAATACAGAAATTAGCCGGGCATGGTGGCGGGCGCCTGTAATCCCAGCTACTCAGGAGACTGAGGCAGGAGAATCACTTGAACCCGGGAGGTTGCAGTGAGCCGAGATCGTGCCACTGCACTCCAGCCTGGTGACAGAGCAAGACTCCGTCTCAAAACAAAACAAAACAAAATGAAAATTAAATACTGAGGTATAAATCTAACAAAACATGTACAGAATCTGTGTGATAAAACTACAAAATGTTGATTAAAGAAATAAAAAATCTAAAGATTGGGGAGACATACTTAGTTTATGGATTGGAAAACTCAACATTGTAAAGATGTCAACTCTCCCTAAATGTATATATAATTTTAATGCAATTTCTATCAAAATTTCCATAAGGTTTTTTGATAGACATACACAAACTTATTTAATAATATGTATGGAAAGGGAAAGATCCTAGAATATCCAAAACAATTTTGAAAAAGAAGAATAAAGTGTTTTAAGGCTTACTGTATAGCTATAGTAATTGAGCACTGTGGTATGAGAGGAATAGACATACATACAAACCAATGGAAGAGAATAGACAACCCAGAAATAGATCCATGTAAATATGCCCAAATATTTTTTACCAAAGAAACAAAAGCAATTCAATGGAGAAACAATAGCCTTTCAATAAGTGGTGCTGGAGCAATTTGACATCCATAGCCAGAAAAAATTTAAAAAAGCATCTTGACCTAAACCTCACACTTTATGCAAAAATTTACCCAAAATGGATCATAGACTTAAATGTAAAACATAAAACTATAAAACTTCTAGAAGGAAAAAGCAGGAGAAAGTCTTTGGGACCTAGGACTAGGAAAAAAGTTCTGAGACTTGACATCACATGCACAATCCAGGAAAGGAAAATTTGATTAAAAGAACTTCATTAAAATTAAAAGCTTTTGCTCTACAAAAGACCTTCTTAAGAGGATGAAAAAAAAAACCCCCACCAAATTATAGACTGGGAGAAAATCACTGCAAATCACATATCTGACAAAGGACTTGTGTCTAGAATACGTAAAGAACTCTCAAAACTCAACATTACAAGTCAAATAGTCCAATTTGAAAATAGGCAAAATATATGAACAAGTATTTTATTGAAGAGGATGCACAAGTGGCAAATGAGCACAGGAAAAGATGTTCAACATTACCAGCCATTAGAGAAATGCAAATTAAAACAATGAGCTATTACTACACACCTATCAGAAAGGATAAAACAAAAAATGGTGGTGACACCGTCAGGATGCTAAGAAATTGGATCATGCATACATTGCTGATAGGAATGTAAATGGTACAGCCATTCTAAAAAATAGTTTGGCAGTTCCTTTTAAAACTAAAAGTAGAAGACTCAGAGTAGCCAAAGTTATCCTAAGCAAAAAGAACAAAACCAGAAGAATCACATTACCTGACTTCAAGTTATAGTACAGAGCTATAGCAACCAAACAGCATGGTACTGGCATAGAAACAGACACAAAGACCAATGTAACAGAATAGAGAACCCAGAAACAAATCCACACATCTACAGTTAACTCGTTTTCAACAAAGATGCCAAGAACATATACTGGGGAAAAGACAGTCTCTTCAATAAATGGTGCTGGGAAAACTGGATATCCATATGCCGGAGAATAAAACTAGACCCCTATCTTTTACCCATATATAAAAATCAAATCAAAATGGATTAAAGACAAATCTAAGACCTCAAACTGTGAAACTACTGCAAGAAAACATTGGGGAAAATCTCCAGGACATTGGTCTGGGCAAAAATGTCTTGAGCACTATCCCACAAGCATAGGCCACCAAAGCAAAAATGGACAAATGGGATCACATCAAATTAAAAAGCTTCTGCACAACAAAGGATACAATCAACAAAGTGAAGAGATAACCCACGGAATGGGAGAAAATATTAATTTTGCAAACTACCCTTCTGACAAGGGATTAACAACCAGAATATATATGAAGCTTAAACAACTCTATAGGAAAAAAATCTAATAATCCAATCAAAAGATAGGCAAAAGATTTGAATAGACATTTCTCAAAAGAAGACATACAAATGGCAAACAGGCATATGAAAAGGTGCTCAACATCATTGATCATCAGAGAAATGCAGATCAAAACTACAATGAGATATTATGTCACCCCAGTTAAAATAACTTATATAAAAAAGACAGGCAATAACAAATGCTGGCAAGAATGTGGAGAACACATTTGGCACTGTTGGCAGGAATGTAAATTAGTACAACCACTATGGAGAACAGTTTGGAGATTCCTCAGAAAACTAAAAATTGAGCTGCCATATGATCCAGCAATCTCACTACTGGGTGTATACCCAAAAGAAATAAAATCAGTATATCAAAGAGATATCCGCACTCTTACATTTGTTACAGCACTGTTTACAATAGCTAAGATTTGAAAGCAACTTGTGTCCATCAACAGATGAATGGATAAAGAAAATGTGATACATATACACAATGGTGTACTATTCAGCCATAAAAAAGAATGAAATCTAGTCAATTGTAACAACATGGATGGAAGTGGAAATCATTATGTTACGTGAAATATGCCAGGCAGAGAAAGACAAACATGGCATGTTCTCACTTATTTGTGGGATTTAAATATCAAAACAATTGAACTCATGGACATAGAAAGTAGAAAGATGGTTACCAGATCCCTGGAAGGGTAATGAGGGGCTGTGGGGGGCGGAGGTGGAGATGGTTGGTGGGTACCAAAAAATAGAATGATGGCCAGGCGCGGTGGCTCATGTCTGTAATCTCAGCATTTTGGGAGGCCAAGGTGGGTGGACCGCTTAAGGTCAGGAGTTTGAGACCAGCCTGGCCAACACGGTGAAACCCTATCTCTACTAAAAATACAAAAATCAGCAGGACGTGGTGGCAGGTGCCTGAAACCCCAGCTACTCAGGAGGCTGAGGAAGCCTGGGCAACAGAGCAAGACTCTATCTCAAAAAAAAAAAAAAAAAAAAAAAAAGAGTAAGACCTACTATTTGATAGCACAACAGGGTGACTATAGTTAATAATAATTTAACTTAATTGTGCATTTTCAAATAACTTAAGAGTGTAACTGGATTGTTTGCAACTCAATGTATAAATGCTTGAGAGGATGGATACCTCATTCTTTTTTTTTTTTTTTTTGAAAGGGAGTCTCACTCTGTTGCCCAGGCTGGAGTGCAGTGGTGTGATCCTGGCTCACTGCAACCTCCGCCTCCTACCTCCACCTCCTGGGTTCAAGCGATTCTCCTGCCTCATCCTCCCGAGTAGCTGGGACTACAGGCGCATGCCACCACACCCAGCTAATTTTTGTATTTTTAGTAGAGACAAGGTTTCACCATGTTGGCCGGGATGGTCTCGATCTCTTGACCTTATGATCTGCTCACCTCAGCCTCCCAAAGTGCTGGGATTACAGGCATGAGCCACTGTGCCCAGCAGGATACCTCATTCTTCACGATGTGCTTATTTCACATTGTATGCCCTTATCAAGCCATCTAATGTACCCCATACATATAGGCGCCTACTATGTACCCACAAAATTAAAAAATTAAAAAAAAAAAAAACACCTAAAAATGGACTTACCATGTGACCTAGCAATTGCACTCTTAGGCATGTATCTCAAACAAATAAACATTTCTTTTCATGCAGAAACTTATGTTTGAATGATTGTAGTAGCTTTATTCATAATAATCTAAAACTGGAAACTATCCAAATGCCCTTCAAAAGTTGAATGGTTAAACAAATTGTAGTTCATTCATACCATGGAATACTACTCAGCAACAAAAAGGAATGAAATATTTATATACACAACAGCATGGATGAGCCTCAAAGATATTATGCTTAATGAAAAAAGCCCATCTCGGATACATGTTGCATAATTCCATGTATATAACATCTGTGAAATAACATAGAGATGGAGAACTGATCAGGGCTTGTCAGGGGTTAGGGATATAGGGGTGAGGGTGGATGTGGCTATGAAGAGATAGCATGAGGGAGTTTTAGGGGACAGTACGGTTAAGAGTCTTTATTGTGGTAGTACTTGAAGCTACATCTGTGATAAAACTGCATAGAGCTATGCAGACACATACACACACACAGTTGATTGCATTTATAACTGGTGAGATCTGAGTAAGCTCTATGGTTTATATCATTGTTAACTTCCTGGTTTTGCCAGTGTATCTTGGTTATGTAAGACATTAGCACTTACATGCTAATGTAAGGAGGAGACTGGGTGAGGGGTGCATGGGACCTCCTTGTACATTTTTAAAAATTTCCTGTACAATTCTTAGAATCTAATAATCTGCAGGGAGGGAGGCCCAAGAGCCCTGCCACTGGGGCCCGCCTGGCTCCCACTCCTGGCTCTGCCCTCTGCTCGGTGCTGCGCCTCCAGCTACCTTCTCTGTTCCCAAACCTCTGCTTCCCCCGGCCTCTCTGCTGCTTCTCTCCTGTTGTCTCATCCTTTGAAACCCCCCTCCTATTGCAATATATTAGAATCTATAATTATTTCAAAATAAAATGTTTAAAAAATATGTGCATGGTTAATATCAACACATCAACCTTTGTAAATCTCTTCTAGTTAGTTGATCAGCCAATCAACAGTATCCGCTGAGTATGCCCATGAGATGGGCGTAGATGTAGACAATTAAAAAGGAAGAGAATCAAATCAAAATAACCCAAATCACTGCGATGTAGCAGTCCCGGGAGTGAAGGAGCCTACAGTCCCAGTAATGGCACCCAGGCAGGCACACTGAAGGGACCAACGCACAAGTGACTTTCCAACACTCCAAATCCAGAGATTCATTTTGAGACAGAGAAGCTGAAGAAATGAAAGGAAGGGGATTTCAAAGAATGAGACAACAAGAGAGAAGCAGCAGAGGGGCCGGGGGAAACGGAGGTGTGGGAACAGAGGAGAGAGCCTGAGGCACAGCAGCCAGCAGAGGGCAGAGCCAGGAGTGGGAGCCAGGTGGGACCAGGTGACAGTGCTCCTGGGACTCCCTACCTGCACGAAGGCTCCCAGGATTTTCCGGGCTTCCTGGTAGAGCTTCTCTCCATCCCACTGAGGGTTGAGTCTCTTTAGTTCTCTGGCCAGCCGGTTATGCTCGCGGAGAAAGAGGGTGTGGGATGTGGCCAGCAGAATATGCTCTGAGGCTCGAGAATCTCCTGAAAGCCCAGAAGGCAGGAAGGTAGATTCTCCCTAACAGCCCCAGGACCCAGTAACCTGCACAAAGAAATGATGGTGCCCCACAGGACCGCGCCCCGCCCCCCCCGCCCCGTCAACAAGCCCTACTTCCCGTCAGGTGAATAGGGATGGGGAGGGGGTACTGAATCATAGGTTTGACTCTCAGTTCTATATACACACTTTTTAGCTGTGTGACCTTGGACAAGTTACTTAACACTTCTGAGCCTCGGTCTCCTTACCTATGAAAATGAGAATAAAGCCTATCACAGCACTGTGACAAAGGCTAGTGGTGACAAACTACACAGTAACATTTTGCTAATTATAACCCAACCGCCTTCTAGGAAGGGGAGCTTCGAATGAATGAGGAGCTTTTTACTTCACAGAGCAAATTTGAAGGTTTTAGGAATGCGGGTTTGAGGTGAGGAGCTTGGGTAAGGCTGAGTTCCTCTGGGTAATAAAGGGAGAATAATCTGGAGATGGGGGTCTGTAGTGGGAGGGAGAGAGGAGTAACGATGGGGGAACAGTTAAATGGCCAAAGACCAGGTGTCTCATAAGGGGATAAAGGACTTCTCCCTGTGCCCTCTAATCTTTAGGAGAGTCTATCTATCTATCTATCTATCTATCTATCTATCTATCTATATATCTATATATCTATATATCTATCATCATCTATCTATCTATCTGGACAGTCTTGCTCTGTTGCCCAGGCTGGAGTGCAATGGCATTATCTTGGCTAACTGAAGCCTCAACCTCGTGGGCTCAAGTGATCCTCCTGTTTCAGCCTCCAGAGTAGCTGGGACTACAGGCATGTGCCACCATGTGTTGCTAGTTTTTAAATTTTTTGTAGAGACAGGGGTCTTGCTATGTTGCCCAGGCTGTTCTCGAACTTGTGGCCTCAAGCAATCCTCCCACCTAAGCCTCCCAAAGTGTTGGGATTACAGGCATGAGCCACTGCACCAGGCCAGGAAATCTATTTAAAATTGTAAATTCTTGGTGTGAGTGCATATTTTTATGAAAAACAAGAAAGAACTCGGTTTTGTGTCTGGATTGCTGTGGGATATATGTGAACACAAAATCCAAAAGATCTATAAAGGTATCTTGGCCTAAGAGCTGGCCTTCTGCAATGTCAGGGTGGCCAGGGGGTTTGTCCAAAGAGAGAGGATGTTTGAGGGTGGGATGGCCTCTAGAAGCCGGAGACAGAGAGGACCAGGAGGGCACCTGGAATGAACAGAATTAGCAGGGCTTTGGTCGTGCACAGGCTGAATGGAATGGGGATTTTGTCCCCAGGTTATAAAAAGCTTTAAAAATATACATTCCTCTTCATCTAGAACTTCCTCTTCTGGGAAATTAGCTTAATAAATGTATTAAAAATGAGAACAAAGATTTATCAATGAAGATGTTCATTACCTAAACAACAGCAACAAAACACAGGAAAACTTGAAATAACTAAATTCCCCCAAGTAGGATTGAGAAAATAAATGATGGTAATATGTGTCATGAAATACCAGGCAGCCATTAAAAATCACGTCATAGAAGAACAGTTAATGGCATGGAGTAAATTAAGTGAAGACATCAGGTTTTGGAGCATTATTTATAGTAAGACCCGATTATGTAAAACAATGTAGAACTGTATCTGTGATAGAAAAAATACTGGAAAATAAGCATGAAAATGTTAACGATGATTATTGGTGGGTAGTGGGATTGTGTGAATTTTCTTTTTCTTTTCTTTTCTTTCTTTCTTTCTTTTTTTTTTTTTTTTTTTTTTTTTTGAGATGGAGTCTTGCTTTGTTGCCCAGGCTGGAGTGCAGTGGCGTGATCTCGGCTCACTGCAACCTCCGCCTCCTGGGTTCAGGTGATTCTTCTACCTCAGCCTCCAGAGTAGCTGGGACTACAGGGGTGTGCCACCACGCCCGGCTAATTTTTTGTGTTTTTAGAAGAGACGGGGTTTCACCATGTTAGCCAGGATGGTCTCGATCTCGTGACCTCATGATCTGCCTGCCTCGGCCTCCCAAAGTGCTGGGATTACAGGCGTGAGCCACCAAGCCTGGCACTTTCTTTTTATTTTCTTTGTTACTTTTCTGGACTTCCTGATTTTGTTTTACAGTGAACATATGTTCTGGAATTCTTTATTCATCTGGGCCCTTCTGCTAGTCCTGGACCACTGCTAGGGACAGCAATGGCTCAGTGTGCATTTTTCCAGAAAGATGACAAGAAGGGGGCAGTGGTAAAGCTTCCCTGGATAATCCCCTTGTCCTTGGGCCCTTCTGTTCCCAGGCTAGACTCACCTGCCAGGAAGCAGGGCACACGGGCAGTGGTGTTGATGAACTCACAGGGGCTTGGCTTCTTGCTGTCATAGGGCAGGTAGGGTAGTCCATGGTCTGAGACCTCCTGGTTGACAGCCATGAGGCCCAGGGGGCTGCTGAGGTTGCGGAGGCGGCTGGCCAGGCTTGGCTCGGAGCTGTACACAAAGCTGGCATCCAGGAAGGAGGTCAGAGCGTTGATCTGCTCTCGGGCCAGGGACTTGTAGGGTGGAGTGGGGCAGACGAACCCAGCTCGGAAGAAAGGCATGCATTTCCCTTGAGTCCCCGCCTTGGGGTCATTGGGTGGGAACTGCAGAGAGAGTGGGCATAAGTGACTGGGCAGGGGTGGAACAGCTGGGTCCTGGCAACCTCTCCCCAGGGCAAGTCTGGATGCAAAGATGCTGATGGCACCCTCCTAGGACCCTGGTACCAGACACTGACCCCAGACACTTCTTGCTGACATTACACACCCTGGGCTCATAATATCCTGAAGTTCATTACATCCTGTTGTGTGAAAGAACTGAGGGTAATCATTCAGTCCTCACAGTGAGGGCTCCAAATTTCTGGTGAGGAGGGAGTATTGAGCTCCCTGGACAGGAAAGCAGGACACGAGGTGGGAACAGGTTTGTTAATAATTACTACTAACAACAGCTGCCATGTATTTATTTTGGACTTACCATGTGCCAGGAATTATGCATACTTTAACTCATCTCAGTCCTCAAAAAAACCCTGTAAGGTGGACAATTCAGTTCCATTTTATAGATGAGAAAACTGGGGCTCAGAAAAGTTAAGTAAGTTGCCTAAGAACTTATACACTGGAAGGGAAAGATGTAGGATTCAGATCATTGGCTTCATTCCACAGTTTATGCTCTTTATACCACAGCACATAGCCTCGATTTATTCTTTGAGTGAAGAAATGACTCTCCAACTGTAATACCCATGAATAATAAGAAAAGATGCATTGCTGCAAGCTCCTCTCCCTTCCGGATGGAAATCCCTACAAATCCCTGCTGCTCACTCGGATTCATCCAGGTTTCAAGTCCTTCTGAGTGGAGTTGAAGTCATCCTCCACGATGATGTACAGCAGTATAAACTTTATCATGTATAAAATGAATCTCTGTTGATCTTGGTAAAAATGTAGAATCTATTTCCTAACATCTTGGGTGAGACTTGAGATTTTGCATTTTTTTTTTCTTTTTCTTTTTTCTTTTTTGAGTTGGAATCTTGCTCTGTTGCCCAGGCTGGAGTGCAGTGGCGTGATCTCGGCTCACTGCAACCTCCGCCTCCCAGGTTCAAGCGGTTCTCCTGCCTCAACCTCCTGAGTAGCTGGGACCACATGCATGTGCCACCTCGCCAGGCTAATTTTTGTATTTTTAGTAGAGACGGGGTTTCACCATGTTGGCCAGGCTGGTCTCAAACTCTTGACCTCAGGTGATCTGTCCACCTCAGCCTCCCCAAGTGCTGGGATTATAGGCATGAGCCGCCTCGCCCAACTGAGATTTTACATTTCTAATAAGCAGGTTTTACCAATGCTGCTGGGTCGGGAATGTAGACAACCTTCTCCAGTGTTCCCATTCTGCTATCAGTAGTTTACTTGTCCAATTCCCACACTGGCCCTTTGTTCTTGAGAGCAGGAGCGGTGTCCTGTTCACTTTGGAATCCTCAGCGCTTAGTGCACTGCCTGGTATGGGGTGGTCAATGTCTATTTACTGAATAAACGGATGAGTGAACGAATGGACACGTGAGGCATGGGAAACTACCAAATCAGTATCCCAGATCTATCCAGAGATCCTAGCTGATGAGCTGGGAATGTCTGCTACATCAGGGTGGGCAAGGGGCTAGTCAGAGATGCCTAGCTGCAGGGCCGTACCATGATGGGGAAGCAGTTGTCTCCCTGGATACAGTACTCATCACACTGGGCTTTGGAGTACTCGCTACTCCCCAGCTCGGTGTCAGGGGCAAAGTCCAGGTCATGATCCACAATCTGACCCCACTGCATGAAGAGCAGGGACCTGTTTTGGTCCAGAACACCCTCCTCATTCAGATAGCCAACAATCTTGTTAGATACCTCCCGGGCCTACAGATGGAGAGAGAAGGGGAGGGCAGATTAGAGGAAAAAGTGCTTTGAGGATTCAGATGCAACTACAGCTTATTAACTACCTACCATGTTACAAGTGCACTTAATCCCTACAAGGAGTTTGTGAGGTGGGTGGCATTAGCCTATTCTGTAGAGGGGGAGATTGAATCCTGGACAGGTGAAGTCAGTTCTCCAAGGTCCTGCCGCTACAAAGGGACAGGGATGGGATTGAACCCAGATCCGTATGACTTGATGATTTGCCAAGCCGGTGCCCTTTCCACTAAGAGAGGGAAAACAAAGACAGGCTGCCTCTGAAATGCGAGCTACGGAGGTGCCAGGTGTCCAGGAATAGGAGAGGGGCTCTGGGTAGGGGCTGCCAGCTCGATAAGGCCAACAAATAGGACCTCCAGGCAAACAACAGCTGATGCACTCCAGGGGCGGGGGCTGGGGTAAGTGCGAGCGGGATGGGGCAGGGAGGCCATCTGCCCGGGAGACCCCAGGGTATCTGGCCTGCGGCGGCCAGAACGTGACCGCCACGTGGCCGGGCTCCGGGCTCCGAGCTCTGCTGCCCTCTAGCGGAAGGTGGGGGTCTGTGCAGATCTCCATCGCGCACCCCTGCTGCCCCCACCGATCCCTCCTCCTCCTTTCACTGCGTGTTTGGGTAGTGCATCCCGTCCCCTCTGGCTCCCATCCTTCACCCCGGCCCGGCCTGCCCTCACCAGCGGGAGAGGGAAGCCGTTGCGCGTCTTCCCCGGCGTCCAGCCGAAGGGCAGGGAGAGCCCGTCCTCGTACTCCGCGGGCAGCCAGCGCGCCAGAGCCCTGTTGGCGGCGCCCAGCGCAGGCTTCCTCCTGAAACCAGCACGATCCTCGCTGAGCTTCGGCAGGCCGGCTCCGGGGCTCCAAAGCCCAGGACCCCATGGGGGAAGGAGCCTCTGCTCGAGGCGGAGGGGACGCAGAGAAGGGGGCCTCTCAAATTTGGGGTCTCTGAACTGCGCCCACCCCCTGAAGGCGCGGGGCTCCCCCGCCCCGGGGAAAGGTGCCGCTTCCAGAGACACACAGTGGGCTGGAGGGAGAGGGCTGGAGACGCGCGATCTTGAGAAGGTGGGGAAGGTGGGAACGCCAGCCCAGGTGGGCAAGGCAGTGGCAGATCTGCCTAGAGTGCCCAAGGGACAAAGGCCTTGGCAGGGCGGGGCGGAGTGGCTGGAATGGTCGGCCCCCACACCCCAAGCCCCGCCACCTGTTATTGCAGTCTCCCGTAATGGTGCGGTAAGGGCTGCACGGGTCGCATCTCACCACGGGAGCAGGAGCACCACAGCCCACCTCCAGAGACAGTGAAGTCAAGTCCAGGCTGGGATCTGAAACAGAAGGGACCCCAAAGGGACTGAGTTCTTTCTCCATTCACAGGCACCCGTGGGAGGCAGGAAATGGAGACCAGAGGTGAACCTGCATGTTTTGGAATGCATTCCATTCTAAGTAAGCGTTTCTCAAGTGGTTTCTCAATTAATCTGACAGCACATTAAGGTAATACATTTTATTCCCATTTTACAGGGAAGAAAATGAGAACACAATGTTCAAGAGACTTGCCCAAGGCCACACAGAGTAACTGGGAATGTCCCCAGAATTGCTAGTAATTCCTGGTATACCAGGTCCAGATTCATTTGAATTGACAGATCTTTCTTTTAGAATGGAAATACCCCGGGAGGTTAAGCATATGTTAGTATGAGTTAGTGTGATAAGACTGCTTTCTTCTAAAGCTTCGTTCACATCTGAAGTACCAAGCAAGCAGGGACATAGCTAGGATAGAGGTTGGGAAGGGACAGGTAATTTTTCAGTGAGGGGCAAGGGTTGTGGGAGGAGTGACAGAGTAGGGGGGCTTTAGGCATCAGAGTGTTCAGTGTGGGCACAGAGTGGAGAGAGATGCCCACTTCTGAACGCATACCCTCATCCACCCTGGCGTCTGCAAGGGCAGGGAGGTGAGGGAATCTGGCTCATGGGGGCTTCTTCCGGGGGGCCATCTCTGAAAGGTGGCAGGATTTCAGCTCTCCGAACCTTTTGTATTTCAGAGGTCAAAGTGCTTCCTACTTCTTACCTTGTCCCAGTTTCCTTCTTTTGGAGCTTTGGAATTTGCCCAACTCCTGGGCCAGGTATCCCCCCTCACTTGATGTTTTCCCAGGGAGAACCTGCAGCCTTTTCCTCCTGTCAGGACCAAACCCCTTCCTCATGACCCTCTGTGGGCTGTGGCATTTGGTTGGGGGTGAGAGTGGAGGGGATGGAGGAGGCCATGACCAAGCCATCAGTTAAGTTCACTTACTGATAGCTCCATCTTACCCAGAACACGATGGAAATCTTAGCTCCTGTGACATTATCCCAAGTAAATCCCCCTGACACATGTGGCTTAAATGTCTCTTCTACTAGAGGAAGTGGTGACACTGTGGCTTAGGACAAGGAACCCATGTTTATTGACTTTAGCACTTCCTTTGGGCAGAGGCCTTACAGACGGTGTTATACAAAGAGCACCAATGTCCCCTCACTTGGAGTCGGCCATGTGAGCTTGCTAGGTCTCAGTTTCTTCCTCTGCAAAAACAGCATTGCCCTAGCTGTCCTCTAAGACCTTCCTTGCTCTGCCAGTCTCGTCTACGGGTCTAAGAAGGGAGAGACAGGAGTGTTCCTCTGAGTAGATAGCTCTCAACAGGAAGTGCAGCTTTGGGTGGCCTCTGCTTTCTCCTGTGGGGAGATGACCCCTTCCTGCCACAGAGGGCTGGTGGGTTTTCTGTACCTGTGACATTGGTCAAGGATGCCTTCTGCCTCAGTCTCTTTAAAGACTCCTCCCACACCTGTCCATTGCGGATGGCTGTGCGCGTCCGGCCTTTGGCATGCTTGAGGTATTCTGAGAGCTGTCGGCTGGTGGGAGTCTCAGAGCTCATGGCGGTCTTCAGCCTACAGTGGAGGGAGATGGGGATCATGGCCTGGACCCTGTAGGAAGGGGGCTGGGGGCCGCTGGAGGGGTGGGAGGGGTGTGTGTACAACATGGCCTCATAACCCAGCTGCTGCACTGTCCAATACAGTAGCCACTAACCACATGTGGCTATTTAAATTGAAACTCATTAAAATTAAAATTAAAAATTCAGTTCCTCAGCAGCACTAGGCACACCTCAAGTGCTCAATAGCCAGGTGTGGTTAGTGATGACTGTGTTGGACAGTGCAGATATAGAACATTTCATCATCCTAGAAAGTTATCTTGGACACTGCTAGCCTAAAGTGGGCTTAGAGCTGGACAGACACAGGGGTGGATCTGGGTTCCACCAGGATTGGTTTAATTATATGACCTCTGAGTGACTTCCCCTCATTTATGAACTGGAAATCACAATTTCCTCCCATCAGAGACTTCTGTATGGACTTTGGGATAGACTGACTGGGATTGGCTCCTGACTGCCACTTTCTAGTTGTGTGCCCTTGAGGCAAATTACTTAAGCTCTTTGTACTCAGTTTCCTTATTGGTATAATGAAAATAATGATGGTAATCTTAGGTTGAACCATGTTGTTTCATCATTTTTGACCTTGAAAACAGCTGTTTTCTACAGTTCGATTCAGTACTTCCTAGGATTTTGGGGAGGAATGAATGTAGGGCCCCCAGAGCTGCATCTGCACAGAGCACACACTCACGTGTGTGAGCATCACTGTCTCCATCAGCCGGGTCCCAGAGGGGCTGCTGCAAGGTATTTTAGAGTCCCCACCTCACACCGTGAACAAAGGCAGGCAGGCCGCGCTGGGCCTCCCTGGGCTTAGCCTGTAAGGTCCCATCCAAGGTTCCAGATGTTCCTTCCTTTCCCGCCCGGCCCTGGGCTCTGCATGCTTCCTCTGCCTGAACACAGATTCACCAGGGACTCACCTCCTGCTCTGCCCTGGGGCTGGGCTCTGTTGGGGGTAGGCAGGGTCTTGGAAGGACCTCTTTGCCATCTCCACAGTCTCCACCGCGGTCCTAGCCATCATCCTCTCCCATCTAGACAGCTCTTACTTCCACTGCTGTCCTCTTCCCATTCGTTCTCCACAGGGCTGCTGGAGTGATCTTTTTAGCATAAAAATCAGACCATGCCACCGCTGATTCAAATGTTCTAATGGCTTACCCTGGGGCGACACACCTCTCTGCTCTCACCTTATGCGTGATCCTCCTTGCCTCCTGCCTCCACTGGCCTTCCTTTTCCTGAGCACCCACGGTCTTTCCTGCCTCAGACCCTATGCTGTTGCAGTGCCTGGAATGCCACCCCCATGCCCTCTGCCTGGGTGGCTCCTTCCTATTCTCCAACAGGCTTCCCTGATCCCTGTGCCTAGAGTGGCATCCCTTGCCCTGTTTATTTCCTTCATTTTCCTTATCATAAATTGTGAGTCACTGCACTGTGTATGTACTTGGGTAACAGAATGTTTAAATGTGACTCGTTCTGTCTCTGTGAGGCCCCTGAGTCCAAGGACTAACCAGCAGGGAAGGGCTCCTCCACATTTCAAAGCAGGGCGCTGGTTGGCCTGTGCAGGACTTGCAAAGGAGGTGTATGAACACCGGTTTTGTGGCTTTTATGCTGTCCCCCATCTTGAGGCTATAAAGGGATTGAATTTGAGGAGCGAGAGAGAATTTTCCTTTGGAGACATTTGCAGAAATACTGGGCACGTCCCTCCCAACACCATGGGGCTCCTCCTTTGCTAGTTTAATTCTAGGGAGAAAGGTCTTAGGAGGAGGGCTTAACTGTGTGTCCTGGAGTCATGGCTGGGGTTTGACACCTGCCTGAAGAGCAGTGTCCTGAGAGCACGGAGAGAGGGGCGGAATCTGGAATCTGCACCGCCTCAACAGTAGGGCGAAGCTGCTAGTCTTCTGGAGGCTGCTTAAAAGGGACCTGCCCCAAGACAGGGTGGGGAGGGGTGAAGGAGTGGGCCCGATGCTCCCAGGCAGAGAGGGTTAGAGCTGGGAGCCACTGGCCAGAGAATTTTCCAGATCACAGAGTTGGCAGCAGAATCTCTCTCTGAAACCAGGAAAGCACCCAAGGGGAGAGAGAGAGAGAGAGCTTCCGGCCCCTTGAGGACTGAACTGTTCAGGGGATGTAGACTCACCACCCCTTTTTCCCTCCTCCTTCAGCTTAACCCCCAAGGAGCAGAAACCCAAGCTGGGAAGGAGGAGCCCCAGAAAGAGGGAGAAGGAGACTGCACTCTCTTCTCCCGCCAGAGGCCTCAAGCAGTTCTGAGCTGAAGGAATAGAGCAGGTCTGGCTTTATCTTCTTATGCTGACACTTTAATTCCTGAGATAATCCTGGTCTGGGGACTAGAAGCGTCCAGAGCGTGTTTTATCATCTAAGTCACCAAAAAAGTTATCTGACGGCTTGAAAGTTCATTCAAGGGCTGAGGAGGAGTGAGTGGAAGCCCAGGTCCAGTGTAAAGGGACAGCGAGAGGAAAGAATAAGGTTACTTTTTTTCTCAATGTCTGCCCTCTCCCTAGAGTGTGCGTTTCCTGAGGGAAGGCGCCCACGTTGCCCCTGTACAGGATCGGAGGGCAGTTGACTCTACTGGTGCCCTGTGGGCCCTGGGCTCTTCCCCTTGCTGCCATGGGTGCATCTGCTACAGGCTCACTCCAGTAACCTTGTTGGGCGCCTGCTTCTGAGCCACTGGAGTGGCCTGGCTGGGGGTGCCCGGGAATTCCACAGGTGTGCCACAACACCTCTCAGCCACCTGCAAGCCTGCAGCCATGTCTGACTGATGTGGGCAGATGAGGGCTCTGCTCCCTCGCTCCAAGATGGGACAGGCTCTGAGGAGCAACTTCTGCTCCAGGTCTCCCTGTGGGGTCAGGCTGAGGATAGACTTGAAGCCACTTTATTTGTCTAACCTCCCCCTTCACTTCTGCTTCTTCACCCCATCACAGCTTCCTTGTGAGCATTCCCCTAATATGTCACCTGCACCTGAATGCAGGGCTCGGATTCGGCTTCTGGTGGACCTGGCTGAATCAGTCAATATCAGCTGGATGAATGAAGAACTTTTACTGAGAGGCTTTCTGGGACTCTGGAATGCATGGCCCAAGGAAACATTGGGCCACGTGGAAGAAAGTCCTTCTAGGGTTAGATTAGATGTCCTCTTTCAGGTGATGTACAGGCTGAGGACTTTAGGAATTGTGGGCTATTGCTCCTACTTGTCATGTACTTGGAGGGCTAGGAGGATGGAAGGGTAAGTTTTATCATTGTTCACCTCATTGGCTCATCCGGGCTGGCCTAGATGTGCTTGTCATGAACAGGAAGCCTGTGAAGGGAAGTGTGTGTGTGTGTGTGTGTGTGTGTGTGTGTGTGTGTGTGTCTCACGTACCTGGTTCGGGAGTCCAGGAAGGCCTTGTTGACTTGGACCTTGGCCTGACTCACAGTATCGGAGATGGCAGAGGTTCTGGTAGTCTGCGCTTGGGGTTGGAGTGGGGAGCAGGAAGTAGGGTGTCAGACACCACTCCTTTGCGATGTCTTCTGCTTTTGTCTCCCTCTTTCTCGGCCATTACCCCCACCCCTCAAATCTGGGTAGGCAGGAGATCAAGATTAGGAAAGTTTCATAAGAGTCCTTAAGGGGAAAAAGCACAGAATGGGAAGAATACTCTTGGATCTTCAACAAGATGTCAAAATTGCTCTTTGAGATCTCACTAGAATGCCCAGAGATGGGATGAAGAGGGAGTGTGGCCACTCAGGGTGGCTTGGGCTACTGGACTGTGGGGATTTCTCTGGTTCCTGGTGAGATGGTCTTGTGGACTATCTCAAGTTCATCAAAGAGGACCCACTGATCACCAGGACCCTGACGTACAGAAGGGGATGGCATGAGAGTAATGGTGGGATTCCCTGTTCCCTCTTGTATTGGGGTCTGGAGCATGGAGGACAGGATCTGTTTTCTCAACAAGGAGAGTGTAGTGGGTTAAATAATGGCCCTCCCAAAATTCACATCTGCATGGAACCTCAGAATGTGACCTTATTTGGAAGTAGGGTCTTTGTAGATGTTATGAATTAAAATGAGGTCATACTGCCTTAGCATCGGCCCTAAATCCAATAAATGGTGGTTTTATGAGAAGAGGAGAGGACACCCAGTGAAAAAGGCCACGCAAAGACTGAGGCAGAGATTGGAGTGTTGCAGCTACAAGCCAGGGAACACCAAGGATACCAGGGCCACCAGAAGCTGGAAGAAGAAAGGAAGCATTCTTCCCTAGAGCCTTCAGAGGGAGCACAGCCCTGCCAACACCTTGATTTTGGACTTCTATCCTCCCGTACTGTGAGAGAATACATTTCTGTTGTCTTAGGCCATCCAGTTGGTGTGCTTTGTGACAGCAGCCCCAGAAAACCCGTAAAGGGAGACACTCACCTCTTGTGGTAGATGCTGCAGCCTGAAGCAAGATGAGGGAAGCCAGGAGGGCTGGGAGATGGAGAAGGACCCTCATCACTGAAACGAGATGCAGGATCACACTGTGAGCCTCTCTAGAGACCAAGTGGGAGGGTTTGAACCACAGAAAGCAGAGAAAGCCAAAGGAGCACCAGACACCCTAATATTGGAACAGGAAAGGAGAAACCACATTAACGAATGAAGCATCTACCATACACACAGGCCTGTGCTAGGTACTGGGAGAGATGGAAAGAGGAGAAGACATGGTGGAAGGGAAAGAACTCAGGCTTCAGGATCTAAGGCCCTGAGTTATCATTCTGCATTTGCTCCAATAGCTCTGTGACCTTGGGCAGGTTACTTAACATCTCTGGGGTCCTGGCTTGCTATGGGAGGAGGTGGGACCAAGTGATCCAGAATGTTCAATTCTGCCCTGACAGCCTGTGGTCGGGAGATGCTGTACCTGTCTTGTCACAGGTGTGAGAAACGCTGTTACCAAGGCTGGAGCCTGCCTTTGAGTTCCCCTCCCTCCTTCCCTGCAGGATGCATTGCTCCCTGCAAGCCAGTTTCCTCTGGCCCAGCCCCAGGAGAGAATGCCTGAGAGGCAGACACTCAGCGCCTCCCTTCGGAAACCTGGCAGGGGCTTCCCCTTCCCTCAAAGTGCCAACTTGATGGCAATACTGAAAGAAAGTTATGACAAAGCTCAGAGCTCCCCTGAGCCCACAGCTGTGCCCCAGGCTGCCTGGAAAGATTCCAGCTCATGGATTAACCTCTTTGCCATGAGCTTTAACTCTGAATGCAAATCTTTAGACTGAAATTTGTGAAGCTTTGTTTTCTGATGAGGGTCTTCACTGGGCTTAGTGGAGCAGACCCCATACATCTTCTGAGGAGATTCTGGCTCCAGCCCGGGGTGGCAGCCACAGCGTGCAGATGGAATGATTGTGTGTTTAGACCATGGTCCTGAGAGGCTCCTCAGCTTTCACAAGGGCGCCTGTGCTCTCCCTGCAGCACGGCGTTCACTGGTGGAATCCAGAAGCACACTAAGGAGAGCAGCCTCAGGTTGCCCCCCAGCCATGTCTCCCCAGGGCTCAGCTCCCAGAGAGAAATCATAGTTCTGGAGCTTTGCCTGACAGACTTCCCCGTATGTCTTGCAGACCCTCTCCAAATCATCTCCCTTTGGAATAGGCCAGACCAGGAGACCTCTGTATATGGATCAGGTCATTTCAGCCTCCTTCACCCCTGCCTGCCTCCAATTTTTCCCTCTGCCCTTTCGTGGTCCCCCTAATAATTTGTATCTTGTTGTACTTTTTGCCAGCTAACTCTAGAGAAGGGGCAAGGCATGAATAAATACCTCTCTGGCCAAGATTCTCTCTGTTACTTCCCCCCACCCCAAGATGAGTTCTCAAACAGCTTGACCTCTCAGTGGGCTCTTGTCCTTATAGTTGTATGGCCCCAAGGAGGAAGAGATTCTGTGACCTCCTATCCCTCTGTCACCATATTTTGCAACTTCAGGGGACCCATTGCAGGGTTCATTGAGTTAGCAGAAATCTGCCCTTCAGACAAACAGAGATGATGGTTTTGGAGGAAAAGGTATCATTGACTTTAAAAAACAAACTATGGTAAAAAACATGGCCAGGTGTGGTGGCTCATGCCTGTAATCCCAGAATTTTGGGAGGCTGAGGCAGGCGGATCACTTGAGGTCAGGGGTTGGAGACCAGCCTGGTCAATGTGGTAAAACCCTGTCTCTACTAGAAATACAAGAATTAGCCAGGCGTGGTGGCAGACACCGGCAATTCCAGCTACTCGGGAGACTGAGGCAGGAGAATCCCTTGAACCTGGGAGGTGGAGGCTGCAGTGAGCCAAGATTGCGCCACTGCACTCCAGCCTGGCTCAAAAAAAAAAAAAAAAAAAAAAAGAAAAAAGAAAAGAAAAGAACAACAACAACAAAAATCCACATAGCATAAAATTTAGCATCCTAGTCATTTAAACTCTACAGTACTGTAATGTTAGGTATATTCACATGTTGCACAATGGATCTCTAGAACATTTTCATCCTGTAAAAACTGAAACCCTATACCCATTGAACACCAACTCCCTATTTCCCCTTCCCCCTAGCTCCTGGCAACCACCATATCACTGATTTTTTTAAAGAGGGCTGTGGGCACAAACATTCATTATATTGTTCTTTGAATGACTAATGCGTTTCCTAATAAATGACAAACACAAAGTAAAAAATTAGTCCATTTTTTAAAAAGACATCATCTGAGACAGCCTGAGGAAGACAAAATCATAGAAGAAGACATGAAAGTTGAGAAATTTGAACAGGAAACAATACTTAAATATTCAATTCTCCTCTCCTCTTCTTTAGGACCCCCTTCATGCTCTCCTCACTGGAAAGTGGAGGAGGGGGACTTCAAGGCCAGAGAGAAATTATTTTCCCATGTCTTGGGCAATGTTCCTGGTGGGTGTGAGGGACGGGTATGAACAAAAATCAGAGCCAGGTGAATACAAGGTCATGTCACTGAAAAGGGGGTGTGCAGAAAGATTCTAGAGGGACACTGTCTTCAGCCAGAACCACACAGGGCAAGAGGGCCTGGGGCTTTAGAGTGTAAGAGGCCAACAAGAGGCTCCTGTGATGTGTAGATATTTATCCATATTCTTATCAACATGCTGAGTGCAGAAACCATTTCCCAAGCCCTTTGATTTGCAGCAAAGCCTGGAGCCTTCCCTGGGACATGAAGCACTATCTGGAGACAGAGCCACAGCCTTTGCCCCTCAAATGCCAGGCTGGTCCACAATCCCATGCCTCTACTCATGCTCTTCCCTATACAATACCCTCTCTGGCTAATAAACTCCTATTCATTCTTCAAAACCCAGACCAAATTTCACCTCCTCTGTGAAGTTTACCAGTTTTCTCCAGGAAAAGTTAGATCGTTCCTTTTTCTGTCCTCCCACAGTATTTCATCCATATCTCATATTACTGTCTTCACATCTGTTTCCCCTATCAGACCATGAACTCCTCAAGGGCTCCATCTTATTTATTTGTTTTCCCAGGACCTAAGCATGTCAATACATAATAGGTGTTGGGTGCATGCTGAATGAATAAAACTCCTAGAGCAGAGAAATTCAGCATCTGGAGGTTGCAGAGGGAGAGGGCAGAGATAGTCCCTCGGCAAGCCTCTCACACTGTAATGTGCCTACTATCACCTAGGGATTTTGGTAAATGCAGATTCTGACTCAGAAGGTCATAGAAGGGGCCTGAAAGTCTGCATTTCCAGTAAGCTCCAGGTGATGATGATGTTGCTGGTCTGCAGACCACACTCTGAGTACCAAGGCCTTCCAGACTTTGGTTCTCAATGTCGCTGAGCAGTCACCAAGGAGATAGGGGGAAGGCCTGAGAAGGGATGAAGTCAGTGAGATTCTCTTCCATGATTGTAAAGAGCCCTGTGGAGGGTGGTGGAGTGAGCCAATAGGAAAGCCATAATTCTTGCCCCATCACCTGCAGGAACACTCTCTTGATCTTTTGAGTGACTCCAAGATCAGGATGAGAATGAAGAGATAGCTCTTATCAAGCCCTCTAGAGCGGAAATAATCTACTTCAACTGAAAGATTTGAGGCACACAATTGCATAAAAAACAAATATAATTTAACCACCCCATTCCCCCAAAATGAAGCCTGCCTACTACCGCTGCATACAGGTCACACACCTGCTTGAGAGCCAGGTGTCCACAGGGCACTTAAGACAGCTAGGACTAGACATTGAGGGCAAACTAGATGGTCGGATCTGCTGCAGATGGCAGGCATGAGATGCTGGAAATGAGATGAAGACCTGACAGCTCCGGCTTAGGGAACCCCTTAAAACACTGCAAAATCTCCACTATAGTGGAGAGGCCAGATTTCATCACACTGTCTCAAGAACAGCACAGGGAGCACCATTCTGTCACTGTTTTCCCCCAAATTCCTGTGTGACTCTGGACACATTAAATTGCTTAAGTCTCAGTTCCTAAACAAGGTGGATAAGAGAGGTCTATGGTACCTTCCAGCCCTAAGAGTTTATGATTCTCTGACATAGTTTTCAGACACAGAAAAGCCTTTTTCCCCCACAGTGGTGGGGGGAGGCTTAATTACATTCTCTCTTATACCAAACAAGAGGAGTGTGCCATGGGGTGGCTAAAGCTGGCACCAGAAAGTGCCTGATAGAGACAAGTCTAAATCCAGTGTTAAGCTTTCTGAGAAGACGTTAGGAAATTTCATCATCAACTTTGCAGAAACCAGGAAAGATGAAAGTTGACGAGTCTTACCTGCCCAGTGCCTTGTCTTTTCACGGCAGCCAGGGAGTTGCTCTGCTTGGAGGAGCTGGTCTTTTATACCTTCCAGCAAGAATTCACTTCTGGGAAAGGCCCAGAAGGAAAGATTTTGATGTGGCTTGGAGGAGACGCTGAGGCTTAGCAGGAAAGACTGTGTGACTCCGGGCAGATACACCAGGAAACTGCAGAATGGCAGGGATTGGTTGATGCAATAGCACTGACTGTGGGTGAAGCAACTCCTCTTTCCATTTTCTAGCTTAAATGCATGATCCTGATCTAGTTCCGGAAGGCAAAAACTGCATGCCCTGAGCACATTTGTCCCTTTTAAGCTCCTAATGGGATCCGAATAGCTCTTAGAATTATGAACAATTATTAGGTTGGTGCAAAAGTATTGCAAAAACCGCAATTACTTTTGCACCTAGCTAAATGGTTCTCCTCCCCATTCATATATTCACTGCCCTTTGATCCCTCCCTTACATTCCACCCAATTTACTGTGGAATCCAGTGGATTCATCTTTTGGATTTAAAGTGATCAATAAACATTAATTTTTTTGGTCAAAATTTCAAAATACTTTTGGCCACCAAAGGGTGAGAAGAGCCCTAAGCTTTCATAGTGGGTTGCAGTCCCTGCCTCTGCCATTGTATGGCTCTAGGCAAGTCACTTCACCTTCTGGTGTCTCAAATTTTCTAGTATTGAAATCAATGGTTGGTTTTGGTGATTATTATGATTCTATGACTTCATGCCTTCTATAGGGTGACCCATTTAAAAAACTCCAGAATCTGGGAGGCCAAGGTGGGTGGATCACTTGAGGTCAGGAGTTGGAGACCAGCCCAGCCAACATGGTGAAACCCTGTCTCTACTAAAAACACAAAAATTAACCAGGCATGGAGGTGCATACCTGTAATCCCAGCTACCTGGGAGGCTGAGGTGGGAGAATCACTTGAACCTGGGAGGCAGGGGTTGCAGTGAGCCAAGATCATGCCATTGCACTCCAGCCTGGGTGACAGGACGAGACTCTGTCTCAACAAAACGAAACAAAACAAAACCACCACTATCGTATAAATTATTGACCTAAAGCTCAAGCATAATGTTACATACCTTTCCTACCTCAATGACTTTGGAAATTCAAGTTCATTAGATTCATACAAGAAGGAAAAAGGAAGATTCCGAGAAAACAAAATTTCATGAAAGTATATTTTACAGACAGACAATTTAAAACATAATAAGCCTCTTTATGAAATTATACTTTGAGTTGAAAATACTCTGGGAGCAACTGTCAGAAATTTATCAACCCCAAAACAGACTTCTTGGTTCGCCTTCAAAAAAGTGATATTTCCTTTCTCTAGATGGTGGAATATATCTAAAAACTACTTCTCTCGTGATGAATCCAGGCAAATAAGCTGGGCATCTCGGAAGAAGGCAGCTGTCCAGGAGAGGTGAATGAGACATCAGGCTCTTCTTGTTTTCTTTGAAACACACTTCAGCTCCTTAGCCAAGCATTGTTTTTCTGTGTCTGACCATTCCCTGAACTTTGGCACATGTTTCTCAAGGTTCTTGCCTCTGAGTTTTATGCTTAATATGTTCAGGAAGCTGTGTTGTTAGGCAGATCTTGACCTAGTTGGTTCTGAATAATCTGAAGATGGAACTTCCTTTTAGAAGACCCTATGGGATAACATTGCTTCCTATGTACAAAATATAGTGACTTATTGGTCAGGGTAACAGCAAAATACAGGTCTGATTATTCCCGGGTTTTATCATGTTATGACATGATATGATATGTCCTAGCTTTGGTCTTTCTGTAATGGGTCAAATAGGATGGGGCAGTGTCAGCTCCAGCCCAGTAAGGACCTTCCTTGATATTGGCCGTGAAGCACACCTGGAGGCAGTCAATCTGACAGTGACATGCCTATTGTTCTATAGCTAATTTTTATTTGAGAGCTTTGCTGACATGTGATGACATGTTTTCATGGGTTTATCTCAGTCTAGTCAAATCTGTAGCACAGGTAGATGTCTTCCCATGTGGGAATGGCAAATTGGCCTGAGAAATGGAGAGTGGAAGGCAGAAAGTTCAGGAGAAAGCTAAAAAGGCCAATAGCTTCTCATATGTCAGTGCAGAGTCCAAGATATTTTAGCAAAAGCAGCAGCAGCAGGGAGTACCCAATGAAGATAAGGTCTATCGCTGGCACATGACAGTACACACACCCACACACACACACAAACATGCACACATACTTCCCAGGAACACACAGTTTATAAATGAGACTGATTTTGGACATAGCTGGCTCACCTCTGTCGCCTTCTAGAATTAGAATGCTGCATGCTGCATACACAACCTTTGGTTGATCCAAAGGATACTCATGGTTGGTAACACAGTGACCATTCTATTTGTGTAAGGTGATTGTAGCTCTCACACTGGGCCCATGTCAGGTGCTCTCTCCCATGGGCGCATAGCTAGTCCCTTCCTTAGCTGTCTGTTTTCACCTTTGTCTGCTGGCTTGGCTGTCATTCATAGCTGGGCAGGGTTGTTTTTTTTCTTTTCTTTCCTGGCTAAAATGCATTTCCTTTTGTTGGTTTCCTAGAACACCAAACAAACAGACTTCTTGTCCCAAGGGTGGCTCTATATGCCCATGTTTACCCCTTTTGGGATTCATCCACTAGTTCTACCCCAGAGAAGGGAGGAACCCAGGCACTCTGGCTTAAGCTGTCCCTGGCCTCTGGAGGGGTGTGCAGATGGCAGAGCTTCTCTGAATGGTGTCCCAGGGCGGCATGAGCTGTTGGAAGGGATGGGGACATTGCCAGGCAGCCCCCTTTGGAGAGAGAGGAGGGATTTATAGATGAGAAAAAGAAATATTTGGGATGGGTTGTATGTCTCTCTAGCAGACAGGAGGAGGCTCTGTTATCTTCTCCTAGCAACTTTTTTTTTTTTCTGAGACAAGGTCTCACTCTGCCTCCCAGGCTAGAGTGCAGTGGTGCAACCACCAGTCAGTGCAAGGGCTCACGCCATCCTCCCACCTCAGCCTCCCAAGTAGCTGGGACTACAGGTATGCACCACCATTCCCTACTAGTTTTTAATTTTTTGTAGAGACAGGGTTTCCCTATGTTACCCAGACTAGTCTCGAACTCCTGGGCTCAAGTGATCCTCCTGCCTTGGCTTCCCAAAGTGCTAGGATTACAGGCATGAGCCACTGAGCCCGGCCTCCTAGTATTTTTTAGTGGGAGAATTGATCTGATGCTTGGTAGCTTCTGAGATTGGCATAACACAAGGGTTCCAACTGGCAAACCTATGATCAATGAATTTTTCCACTTAGCCACAGCATGCTGAGACTGAAGGGCTTCCCTGGGAACCGACCTGGTGGGTGGGCAGAATACTGTCTCTTCCTTCTCTTCATTAATGGCAAATCTTTTTTTTTTTTTTTTTCAGTTAATGCCATTCAACCATTTCCCCTCAGTGTTGTCTTTCCTTTCCTCCCTCTTTCCCTGTTCCTCTTAAATATTCACTGAGCACCTAATAGTATGTGCTTCTGGTTTTTTCTTACTCCTAATCCTCTCTCTTCCTAATTAGTTGACAAATTATGAATTTTAATAAGTTTGCTTAAGCAAAAAAGCTGTCAGATCTGTTCCCTGCCTTGGCAGGGTAATGTAGGCATAGGGCTGGGGAAGGGGATAGACCTCAATGGAGCAAGACAGTCTGAATAAATCCTGAGTTGCTCAGGGTAGAGATGGGGCAATAAACCAATTCCCACTTAAGCCACAAATAAAGAAACACAGGATTTTAAACAAAAAACAATCTTGAATTGCTATTGTTATTCTGTGAGCAGTCTGAGGATATGCTTTGTGATAAGTCCATAAAGAAAATATCATGCGAATAAAATGCCCTGTTTCTCAAGCAAGCAAGCATGTGTATGTGTGTGTGTATGTGTTTGCACACACACGTGCATACAGATGTGACAAAGCAACTAGCGAAAATGCAAGGAGCACTGGATTATTAAAACTCAGCAAGCCAGGCTCTAGTCCTAGCTTGCTAGTCAGCAGCATGTGACATTGGGAAAATTACTCTTTATTCAGAGGTCTCAGTTTCCTTCTCTGGAAAGAGAAATGGGTCCACTAAGTAATTGTGTTGGTTCCCTTGGGCTGTGATGTTTAGAATTCAATTGTGAATCAGTAGATCTTGTAGGTCCCAGTGCCAGTGAGCTTCTGCCTCATTGTACAGTCTTGTACACATTACATACCCTCAGGTTCTCTTTATATAAAAGGGGGATGAGAATCCTATGTTCTTACTCTTAGGACCAGCTGGGATGGGGTAGGGGGACAACTATCCCAAAGGCTGTTTCTCCTTAGTTCTGAGGGACAACCAGAAACAAAAGAACAGGAAGAATCTTGTTGAGAAAGAAGAAAAATTCTGCTGGGAATGTGATCATTCTCTGTCACTCAAGTTGGAAACCAGGGAGACACCCTGGGCATTTTTCTTTTTTCTTTCCCTCTTTTCTCTTCCTCCCCTTCCTCCCATCTTCTTGGTCACTGAATCCTGTCCATTTGTCCTTCATAAATCTCTTGCCTCTGTGGCTTCCTTGACTTCCCCACATTCTGGTTCTGCCCTGCCCTGAATTACCCCCCACTTTATTTATTTATTTATTTATTTATTTATTATTTTTTATTTATTTATTTTTTTTTTGAGACGGAGTTTCGCTCTGTCGCCCAGGCTGGAGTGCAGTGGAATTATCTTGGTTCACTGCAGCCTCTGCCTCCTGAGTTCAAGTGATTCTCCTGTCTCTGGAAGAGGCTGGACTTTTACCCCACTGCAGGGGTTAGAAGGGCCAGTTGAATTTGTAGGATTGTGGTGGAGGCTGGAATGGGGTGAAATGCTCAAATAGTCTGTCTGTGATGGAACCCCTTCCACTCTGGTGGAAACCTGGGGAGGGTGAAGTGGTTATTACCTCTCACTCTTCGCACAGTGCTAAGAAGGGGACAGAGGCTGGGGAGAGGAAGTGAAAGAATCTTCACTGTCCCACCCTCTTTTTCTTCTCTTAATGAATACAGGCTTTTCAAGAGGCTGTAAGCGTACACTGTAGAATGTCCTTCTACTCAGCGAGCAACATGGCCTCTGATATGCCTCTAACAAAAGATAATCATGACCAGGTACCCCTGAAGGAAACTGAGATTCTAAAATTTATTTGATATCTTACTTTTTTAAAGAGAAAAATTTTTATTTTAGAACAATTTTAGATTTACCATATTATTACAAAGATAATACAGAGTTCCTGCACACTCCACACCCAGTTTTCATTATGATTATCTTATTTTACAATGGTACATTTGTCACAGTTAATAAAGCAATATTGTTACATTATTATTAAGTAAAAGGTCAATATCTTACATTTTAACTTTCAAATTCATGCTTTTATGTCCCACTCAAGAAATTATCTGTTTGTTTTTATATAAAAATTTAAAATTTACTTCACAGCAACCTACAGTGGACACACCAAGAATGTGAGCCAAATGTAACCTGTGCTCTCTGTTTTCCGGGCCACTACGGTGTTCCCTGGGGGAGGCGCCCAGCTTGGGCCTACGAGAGTGAGTTCAGAGCGGAGTCGGAAGGAAATCTCATAGGGCCCTAATGACCCTGCTCGGTGGCTGTGTAACCTCAAGAGTTACTCAGTCTCTGAGCCTCGGCTTCCTCTTCTGGTGAGTGGGAGTAGGAGCAGCAGCCTGCCTCACAGGGTGCCATGAGGATAAGCTCGGCTCAGGCATGCAGACACGTAGAGCATGATTCACACGACGTCATTAGCATCAGGAGCATCCCTGAGACAGGAAGGTGAGCAGTGACTTCAGCACGAGCTGGTTCTTGAGAAGTCATGCTTTCACCCTCCCAGCCTCTGAATCGCCACTTCTAATCCTGAGGAGGGTCAGAAGCTGAAACTGAAAAAGGAAATGGCTTCAACCCCACGTCCTCATAGCTGGGTTGCACGCCACAGACAGAGGAGACAGAAAGGGAAAGTTTCTTTTTTTGGCTTCTGCTGCTGGGCATTCTCTCTGTCCTGGTGACTGTGTGGCTCTCCAATGAGCTGCTTGCTATCTGATGGGAAGAAAAAAGGAGATGATGGGGGCCATGGCACCACCCTGTCCCCAAGGAGCCAACTCTAGTTTTGCCCTCTTTTGGTCACATGGATGTGAAAGAGTCCATCTTCAGCCTGAGGACAACAGCTGGCCCAGGCAGGGTTTCTGCTCTTGAACTCGGCAACCTAGGCTAGTTGCTCCCACCTCTCTGAAGTCCCTGTGGACCTGGATACTGCATAGCTGATGATGTCCGTCTGCTGAAATAAAGCCTAGCAGAATTTCCTAGCCTGACAGCTGAAAACCGGCCTGCATTGCTTATAGTAACTCATGTTTTCTCTTTTCCCTTCTTGCTACAGATTTCAGGAGGCCCATTTTGACTTCAGTACCTGGCCCCCCATGAGGTGATGGCCCCACTGTTAGCTTTCCATGTCTAAACTCTGAAATTTTGCCCTGAATTTCGATCCAGTGCCCGAGGCACTGCCACTGCTGGCAATTTAATCATGGTCCTTACTGGATTTCACATCCTACAAATTCAACTGGCCCTTCTAACCCCTGCAGTGGGGTAAAAGTCCAGCCTCTCCCTCCAGCCCCAAGTTCTAAAACGTGGTGCTGGCCCACCTTCATGAACCCTCCCATTTGTGGCCATGTCAAAAGAGAAAATGATGAATGGGTAAGAAAAACAGAAATTGATCAAATCTGCCTGAGATTCTGCCCTCCTAGAACTTATCAAATCTGTAGCAATAAAACTTTACAGCCTCAGATTAGGGATCTGCAATTCCCTGCTCACAGCTGCAATGAGAGCAAGAGACCATGACCTAACAGACTCAATTGGGAAGATTCCCGTTTGTGGGATGTTTTCGATGTGTCACACAACCCTAGATTTCCTTGCTATTTTTATCTTTTGAAACATTCTCCAAGAAACCTAATGTGGAAGTTCCCTCTTTTAACATAATTATGTTGTTTCACTACAAGTTGCTGGGGTTCAAGAAATCATTAATTGGGCTACTTTAAGAGCATAATGTAATTCCAATCTGCAAAAATATAGGAAATATGACATTCTCTAGAAATGGATTTAAGCATAGATCTAGGACTCATAAATAACAAGGCAGTGTTTTGACCCTGGTGATATTTGCCAAGTAAGTATAGCAAGGGGATTTTAGTCAGCCTGGCTTTGCCTCATCATGATTTATATTTGTCTGATTCTTTTAAAAAGTAAGCTTAGAGTTTGAACAACATTTCAGAAGCCTCTGGTTCAGTGATTCCCAAAGGTTGCATCTGAATCAGTGGAAAGCTTGGGAAAAATACAGGCATCCAGACTCTGCTCCTGGTCTACAGAATTCCAGCTCTGGCATTGGAGTTGGAGAACCTCTATTTCTAATAAATCTCCTGGGTGAGTCTGACATACGGGTAGATTTGGAAACTACTAATCTAGCTGAACTTTCTACCCTCTGTAGGATTCCCCACTACATCCTTGCTCCTCAAGGTATGATCCAAAGTCTTATAGCATTGGAATCTTCTGGGAGCTACTCAGAAATACAGAATCTCAGGCCCCACCCAGATGTACCAAATCAGAATCTGCATTTTCACAAAATCCCCAGGTCATATTTATTTACATTAAAGCTGACAGATGGTCATCAAGTCACTGCTTGAACACTTCCGGGGTTGGGGAGCTCAGTATTTACATGGCAACCTGCTTCATTGCTGGGAGGCTCTAATTATCTAGCTCTTTCTTATAGCAAGCTCACTCACTCATTCATGCATTCATTCTACAAATATGGGCAGACTCTAAAAAGTTGACCAAGATGACATAGTCACGTGATCACATTTCAGCCATTTTTAAATTTCAGTTCATAGGCAGAGAGAACCTCTTTTTTTTTTTTTTTTTTTTTTTTTTGATGGAGTCTCACTCTGTCACCCAGGCTGGAGTGCAGTGGCTCAACCTTGGCTCACTGCAACCTCCGCCCCCGGGTTCAAGCAATTCCCCTGCCTCAGCCTCCCGAGTAGCTGGGATTACAGGCACTGCCACGGCGTCCAGCTAATATTTGTATTTTTAGTAGAGACGGGGTTTCACCATCTTGGACAGGCTGGTCTTGAACTCCTGACCTTGTGATCCACCTGCCTCGGCCTCCCGAAGTGCTGGCATGAGCCACCGTGCCCCGCCAAGAGAGAACCTCTCTTAACAGAGATGTATTTTCTTGTTTTCACATAGGCCAGTGTGAAACTAAGGGCCTGTCTCTTGTAGAACCTTACTGAGGGCTGTAAGAAGTTGGTAACACAATCCAATATCCTGAATTTTCCCCACCATCCTCCTAATGCAACAGCCTGCATAGTATGTGGTCCCCATTCCCAGACACATCAGTGTAACTCCTTCCTATCCAAAGTGTGGTCCATGGCTCAGCAGCAGTGGCACCACCTGGGAGCTTGTTAGGAACGCAGACTCTCAGTTCCCACCAAATCAGGATCTTCATTTGAACAAGATCCCCAGGTGATTTTTTTGCACATTAAACTTCAACAGGCAGAGAAACCAGTTCTATTTCACAATCCCTTAAATAGGATTGCTAACTTTCTAGCTCATGAGCAAGCCCTATCTCTTCAGCCAATTCCATCAAGTATAAGCCTGTTAATTGCAGCATGCCTACTTCCAGGCACACATTCCGTATTACTTAGCATGCGTTTGCTGGGCCCAGGTCACCAACAAACTAGCTCAAATTGGCTTAACTAACAAGGCAAATTTCAAATTGAATGCTGGGCACATGGATGGTGATTATACGATTTGTTCCATATTTGTGTTGCTGTTGTTGGTGTAATTTTTTTTAGTTGTGGTAAAATACACATAATATAAAATTTACCATCTTAACCATGTTTAAGTGTACTGTTCAGTTTTGTCAAGTATTCACATTGCTATGCAACCAATAATTGTTCCATATTTTTTGATCATTTGAAAAAAAAAAAAACCTCTAACAAGAATCCAGGGATAGGGTTGACTTCAGGGTTGAATTACTTCAATGGGCCTGGCTTCCTTCACCCTGCAGTTCTCCTGGCTTTACCTCCTCTCAGCTTCAACTCCATCCTTCCCTTGCAGGCAAAATGGCACACAACCCCCTGCAGGGGAAGGCAGAGAATCTCACAGAAGAGAAAGAATAGCTTTCCCAGAAATCCTGGCAAGCTTTTTCTTACGTCTCACTGGCCTGAATTGGAACATGTGCCTGTTCCTTAATTGGCAAAGATATTTTAAGGGTCATTAGATTATTGCTGTAGAAAGATCACTTGGCTTTAGGGTGGGGAAGAGGTGGAGGGTAGGACTGCAGAGAGGAAGGTCAGGAGGCACCCTGTTGCAATGACGAAGGTAGGAACTAATGGTATCCTGGAAAGAGGTAGTGCCTGGTGGTCCTGGAGGTGGAGAGCTGGGAAAGGATTCCAGAGATGTTAATGCGATTGAAATCTTAATTTTCTTCCGTTCAAAGACTAAAAATACCTTTCCCTTCACCCTCTCTCAAGAGAGCAATTAAAGCTTTGTGTCCTGGAGGGCAGAATTTTCTTTGTCTTTGGGAAGATTAACAAGCCTTTGTTTTGAAAAAACAAAATAAACAAGCAAATAAACAATAGACCAAACTAACCAAACAAATAACAACAAACAAAAACACAAGTGACAAACAAACATAGCTCACAGGGCTAGGGAGCTCAATTGAGGTACGGTGGGGGGTGGGGGAGGGAGGAGGGAGAATGGAGAGGAAACTGGTAGGTTGCTGAAGCCTATAGGGTTGGAGGGATTGGTTAGTTACCTTGGAGATGCAGGACCAAGAAACAGGGAATTTCAGCTCTCTTGCAGCATTCCTGCACGGGGCAGAATTCCTGCATGGACCTCTGACAGGGTGGCACATGGATATCTGGGACTGGACTCTATAGGCTGTGGTCTTTGGAGGCCAAGTTAGTCACCAGGAGGAAGATGGACACGGTAAGCAGAGAGCAGCCTGCTCAGCTGGGAGCTTGGGGCATGACCACCCCAGCACTGACCAGCATGGATTGGAGGCCCCTTTCTGGGGCGTAGGAACTCTGCACTGAGTCCAGGAAGTGGAAGGGGCCACAATAACAACATTGAACATCGCATCAGCTCTGCTGAGGGGGAGCTTGGAGACAGGTTTAATTTAACAATATAAATTATTCTAATTATTCACATATAATGATAGTGACAGGAGGCAGCCAAATGCCTAGACAGACAGGGTTGGGTACCCACCTCCAAGTCGAAGACAATTTAAATCCTGAAAGCCAAGCTACAAGTTAAATCCTTGGACTGGATTGAGAACTTGTCCTCCTGTTTGATGTGCTTTCCTCTGATTGATCCCCATCCTTCACCTATTTCACATATATCTAGCTTTTCCTAATTGGTTTTCTACACAGTCATGCCCACCTTTGAGTGGTGTTTTCACTTTAACTTTTTTTGCATACTCACAGACCAATCAGCACGCACTCCCCATCTTGTGCCTATAAAGACCCCAGGCTCAGTCAGTAGAAGAGGAGACTCCTGACTTTGTGAAGAGACAACCTGACTTTGGGGAAGATGACCTGCCCTTCTCATTGCCTCTCCTATTCCCCTATCCACTGAGCCATTTTTATCATTCACTAAAATTCTCCACCTTTGCCATCCTTCAGCTGTCCATGTGACTTCATTTTTCTTGGACCCTGGACAAGAGCTTGGGACACTTTACCCAGAAAGGTTGTCACACTGGCCCTTTGCCCTCACTGGTGGAGGGCAGCTTCCCCACGTGATGAGGTAAGGGGCCAACTGAACTGTTAACACACCGCTATCCGTGGACAGTGGAACTAAAGGAGCACTGTAACAACCCCTCTGGGCCTTTGGGATTTTGGGCACCCTTAGCTGGGTGCCTCTGCAGGCCCTGCATGGAGGTTGCTCTTGTGTTGGCACTAGGAGTGGCTGGCTGGACCCCACATTCACTCGCTCATGTGCTCCCTCCTGCAAGGGGTTGAGCGTGGTGGGCTGAGTAGAGGGGGTACCCCTGCTGTAAGTCCAGTGAAGGGGCTGAGAAAAATCTTGCATCAGTTGTAAGACAGTTGAGACAAAATATACTCATGTCCCAGCACCCAGCTTTGCATTTGCTGTTTCATCTGCCTGAAGTGCTCATTCTCCAGATATCCACATGGCTCATTTCCTCACCATCTTTGAGTACTTGCTTAAATATCACAGTCTTAGTTAGTGTTTCCAGATTTCCCTTTTAAAAAATGTCAAACTCTTCTTTTTCTACAATTCTTTTTTTGCTTTTTTGAGACAGGGTCTCGCTCTGTTACGCATGCTGGAGTGCAGTGGCACGACCACAGCTCACTGCAGCCTTAAACTCCTGGGCTTAAGCAATACTCCCACCTCAGCCTCCTGAGTAGCTACAACTATAGGCATGCACCACCATGCCTGGCTAAATTTTTTTAATTTAGTTTGTGTAGAGACAAGGTCTTGCCATGTTGCCTAGGCTGGTCTTGGCCTCAAGCAGTCCTCTTGCCTGGGCCTCCCAAAGTGCTGGGATTACAGGCGTGAGCTACTGTGTCTGGCCTTCCTCCTGTAATTCTTATTACCTTTGTTTTCTGTTGCTTATAACAGAATGCATGAAACTGGGTATCCCTATAAAGAAAAAGAGTTTCTTTCTCACAGTTCTAGAGGCTGAGAAGTCTAAGGTTGAGGGGTCACTCTGGTGACGGCCTTCTTCCTGGAGAGGACTCTCCTTAGAGTGGTGCAGGGTATCACATGGCGAGGGGCTGAGTGTGCATGTGCCAGCTCAGGTCTCTCACCAGTTCCCCTCCCATGATAATCCATTAATCCATCAGCTCATTAATTCATTAATCCACATTGGGGATTAAGTTTCAACATGAGTTTTGGAAGAGACATTCAGACCATAGCATTATTCTTTCTTGCTTTATTTTTCTTTGTGGAACTGACCACCATATATTGTACTATGTTTTGCTTTTTTGTTTGTTTACTGTCTACCTACCCCAACCATAATGTAAATTTCATGAGGTCAGAGACTGTTTAGTATACTACATACTCCAAGACCATCAAAACACAATTTTTTTTGAATAAATTAAGTGAATTAATTAATGAATTATGGCACGAACTCTTAACTACCATATCTTGTAGTCTCTGACAGGATTGCTGAGAATTCTTACTCAAAGCAATTTCAAGGAACCACCTAATTTCAGTTCTAATAGCTGAAGCCAAATGATTCTTTTGAGACAAGAGCCAAAATCTTGACTTAAAATTATTGGGTAAATATGAATGTATACTTTCAAAAGCTCACTGATGATTTGGAAAAAGTCAGTGGGCTATAATGAGATCAAACTTGAAAGAATCTCATAGTTGGTGGAAAGTTCTGGAAAAAGAAAAGGAGAAGACTGGCTTATTAGAATTTGCTGAAGAGATTAATTTCTTCGTGATTTCCAGGAGAATACCAAGAATGGGAGGAGCATGGAAGGTGGATTGTAAAGTCCCTGTATTTCTAAAAAATCGAATCCTCTTCTTGAGGAGGAGGAGCCATAGGAGCCAATATTATCAGTGTCCTACTGTTTAGAACACTCCTATTGCCCCAAGTCTTGACACATCACTGGAGACCTGAGCTAACCTGTTGGACACTGTAGGGAAAACAGGGCTGCTCAAGATAAAGCAATTAGTTGTCAGAAGCTTAGTATGTTTCTTTGGAAAAGACATTTAAGATCTGGCTAGGATATACAAGCGACCTGCTTCAGATGCTCAGCTCCTGGGTAACGCTGAACTATTTTATTCTCCTACTGACTCTGGTAATATCAACATGGTAATACTCATGTAGTCTCACCTGTTCTACCTGTTGGCACACTGCCTGGAAGGGGCCTGGGAAGAGGCAGGGATACTCATGATTGTGGTGTCCTGAGTAAGTTGGCCTGAGTTTAGCCCCACTCCCAATCCAATGTTCCCTGGGGTCACCTCCCCAAAATGTACTTGTAGCAGATGCTGTTGGTGTCCTACCAAGATCTTCTTTGCCAGCTGCTAACTATGTTGACTGTTAACAGCACATACCTATACCCATATCAGGATTGTTCTTGGCTGATAGGAGTTACCTAGCTAAGAAGTGTCTAAGAAGTTTCATTTTGCTGCTTCTCTGGGAATCAATGAATTCTCCAAGGAGCCCTGATTCCTTTGTAGTGGAGAATGGTCTTTAGAAACCAAGGTCTGGGTACTAGGTATGCTCATTTCTGTTGAGGAGTGACTGCTTCTGGGCTCTCTCAGTAGACAGAGCTAGAAGTTACATGTGTGGATACTAACTCATGCATATATATATATATATATATATATATATATATATATATATATATATATATATAAACACACACACACACATTTCTGACTCTTTTACATATATTTTTAAAATTTCTTTTTCTTTTTCTTTTTTTTTTTGTGATGGAGTCTCGCTCTTTTGCCCAGGTTGGAGTGCAGTGGCGTGATCTCAGGTCACTGCAACCTCCACCTCCTGGGTTCAAGTGATTCTTGTGCCTCAGCCTCCCGAGTAGCTGGGATTACAGGCATGTACCCCACACCTGGCTAATTTTTGTATTTTTAGTAGAGATGGGGTTTCGCCATGTTGGCCAGGCTGGTCTTGAACTCCTGACTTCAGGTGATCCACCTGCCTCGGCCTCCCAAAGTGCTGGGATTACAGGCAATTGCCACCATGCCTGGCCTATTTATTATTATTATTATTATTATTGTTATTATTACTATTATTTATTTCTTAAAAAAAGACTCAACCAAGTGGTATTTATACATATATTTTTAAACACCCATGAATTTTTACTGCTACCTCCAACTCTGATCCAGCATCACAGGGTCCATTCTTGCCTTCACCCCTTTCCTTATTTATAACTTCCTTCTCAGACACAGAAGTGGTACTCATTATCTACCACATATTTACTTATTTGTTTAGTGATAGTACATACATAAAGTAGCTTTAGAATTGCTAACTCAACTCCTCTGAGGAACAAATTTACCAACTAGAGTACAGTGTTTGTGGACAGATCTTTCTGTCTTCATCCTTCAGCTTTCAGCCAAAATAGTTTTCCAAAGTTACTTAGGTTGGCTCTTTGCTTCCTCACCCCCTTCAGTGTGGTTAGATGAGTCATCTATAACAGAGTCATTTGTCATAGTCTGCATTCCATTTTAAGTACCCCTCACAACCTGGTAAATAGCTTAAAATTTACATACAGTAAAATTCACTTACTGATACACTTCTGTAGGTTTTTAACAAATGCAACAAGTTGTTTAGCATCACCACAGATTTAGAACGGTCTCATCACCCCTAAAATTCCCTCACACTGCCCTTTATACTCAATCCCTATCCCCACACCCAATCCTTGGCAACCACTGATCTATTTTCCATCTCTATAATTTTTCCTTTTTAAAGAATGCCATATCGAATATATTGTACAGTATATAGTCTTTTATGTCTGGTTTCTTTCACTGAGCATAATGATTTTGAGATTCATCCATGTGGTTTTATGTATCAGTAGTCACTTTGTTTTTATTATGGAGTAGTATTTCATTGTATAAATATTATACAAATTACACAATTTATTTAAACATTTACACATTGATGGACATTTGGACTGTTTCCCATTTTTACTATCATAAGTTGTTATACACATTTACATACAGGCCTTTTTGTGGACACATATTGTCATTTTTCTTGAGTAAATACTTAGGAGTGAGATTGCTGGATCATATGGTATGTAAATGTTTCACTTTATAAGAAATTTCCAGTTTCCCAAAGTGGCTGTACTATTTTGCATTCTGATAAGTAATTATGAGAGTTCCAGTTGCTCCACATCCTCACTAGCATTTAATATGGTCTAACTTTTAAATCTTAGCCATTGTAATAGGTGTGCTGTGGTATCTTTGTGTTTTTAATATGTAATGTTCTGATGATTAATGATATCAAGTATCTTTTCCTGGGTTAATGTCATTCACATATATTCTCTGGTAAGTTGTTCAAATCTTTTGACCATTTAAAAAATAAGATTGTTTGTATTATTATTACTGAGGTGTAAGACTATATATTCCAGATATAAGTCCTTTATCAGATAGGTGTTTTGCAAATATTTTTCAGTGTGTCTTGTCTTTTTATTTTCTTGACAGTGTCATTCGAAGAAAAGATGTTGTGCATTTTGATGACAATTGATTTTTTCTTCTATAGTTTGTACATTTTGAGTCCTAAGAAAATATTTACCCAACTCAGGATCTCAATGATCTGTCCCTATGTTTCTGTCTAGAAGTTTTATTGTTGTAACTATTACTTTTTAGGTCTATGATCCATTTTGCTTCAATTCATTAAATTGTGTAGGGTAAGGAGTTGAATTTTGTTCATCTTTGTATTTGTTTTGCTTATGGATTTATTATTCCAGCATTATTTGTTGAAAATGCTGTCCTTTCTCCATTGAATTACCTTGGGACCTTTGTCAAAAATTGATAGGCCATCTACGTACAGATCTATTTTGGACTCTTTTTTTTGTTTTTTGCTTTGAGACAGAGTCTTGCTGCGTCGCCAGGCTGGTGTGCAGTGGTGTGATCTCAGCTCACTGCAACCTCCACCTCCTGGGTTCAAGCGAGTCTCCTGCCTCAGCCTCTGGAGTAGCTGGGACTACAGGTGCATGCCGCCACGCCCAGTTAATTTTTGTATTTTTAGTAGAGACAGGGTTTCACCATGTTGGCAAGGATGGTTTCAATCTCCTAATCTCTTGATCTGCCCGCCTCAGCCTCCCAAAGTGCTGGGATTACAGGCGTGATCTTTTTCAAAATTCTTTTAACCATGTAACTCCTTTGCATTTCCATATAGATGTTAAGAGTCAGCTTGTCAATTCTACAAAGAAACCTGGTGGGATTTTTACTGAGATTTAGATCATCTTGAGGATAATTACCTTAATGATATAGATTTTTCCAATCCATGGACATGTTATAGTACTCTACTTTATCCAGGTCTTCATCTTACCAATGTTTTGACATTTTAAGTGTACAAGGCTTGCACATATTTTGTTAATTTTATGTTTTGTGCTTTTGGATGTTATTTTAAATGGCTGTGATTTTTAAAATTCAAGTTCAAATGGTTTGTTCCTAGTATATAGAAATACCATTGATTTTTGTATATTGACCTTGTATTCTATAACCCTATTAGTTCTGCTGGCATTTTTGTAGATTCTTTAGGATTGTTTAGGTTCATATTGTATGTAGATATACACAATTTTACTTCTTCCTTTTAAATTATGTTCACTGCAGCGTCGACCTCCTCGGCCCACATGATCCTCCCACCTCAGCCTCCCAAGTAGCTGGGGCCACAGGCATGCACCACCAAACCTGGCTAATTTTTAAATTTTTTATAAATAAAAAATATGTTGCCCCGGTGGGTCTAAACTCCTGGGTCTAAACTCCACTGTGTCTGGCCCAAGCCATTCTTGATATCATGGTACAAACTCCTTTGAGAATCTGATAAAAGCTATGAACTCTTTCTAGAAAAATCCCCCATTCAGAATTCTAGGGAAAGGATTCATAGACTTCTTGAATCCCACTCATGGATCTCAGTTTTAAGAATCCTGGTTCATGCAAATCAAGACCACGATGAGATACCATCTCACACCAGTCAGAATGGCAATTACTAAAACGTCAGGAAGCAATAGATGCTGGCGAGGCTGTGGAGAAATAGGAACACTTTTACACTGTTGGTGGGAATATAAATTAGTTCAACCATTGTGGAAGACAGTGTGCGGATTCCTCAAGGATCTAGAACCAGAAATATCATTTGACCCAGCAATCTCATTACTGGGTATATACCCAAAGAAATATAAGCCAGTCTACTATAAAGACACATGCACACGTATGTTTACTGGAGCACTAGTTACAATGTCAAAGACATGGTACCAACCCAAATGCCCATCAGTGATAGACTGGATAAAGAAAATGTGGTACATATACACCATGTAATACTATGCAGCCATAAAAAGGAATGAGATCATGTCCTTTGGAGGGACATGGATGAAGCTGGAAGCCATCATCCTCAGCAAACTAACACAGGAACAGAAAACCAAACACTGCATGTTGTCATTCATAAGTGGGAGTTGAACAATGAGAACACATGGACGCAGGGAGGGGAACACCACACACTGGGGCCTGTCGCAAAGTCTGGGGCAGGGGGAGGGAGAGCATTAGGACAAATAACTAATGCATTCAGGGCTTAAAATCTAGGTGATGGGTTGATAGGTGCAGCAAACCACCATGGCACATGTATACTTATGTAACAAACCTGCATGTTCTGTACATGTATTCCGGAATTTAAAGTAAAAAAAAAAAAAAGGACATTCTGACACATGCTACAATATGGATTAGGTATCTAAAACAGTCAAATTTCATAGAGAGAAAATGTAGAATGGTAGTTGCCAGGGGCTGGAAGAGGGGAATGAGGAGTTACTATTTAATGGGAACAGAGTTTCAATTTTCAAAAATAAGAAAGTAGTGGCGATGGATGGTGATGATGGTTGAAAAACAAGGTAAATGTACTTAAGACCAATAAGCTGAATATTTAAACATAAAAGGATCCTGATTCATAGAAATCAGTAAACAAAACATGAAAACTTAGTTTACCTATATAAAAATAATACTAATTATGGTTGCTTACACAAATAGCTTATATTTCCATAACGTGGTATAGAAACTATTTTGCATATAATTATGTCAGATTAACTTTGTTATAAGTTAGATTTGGTTATAAAATTAAACTAGAATCAGGCTCCACTTTATCAGCTGTTGTGCATGTGGCACAGATTGCCTACTCACAATTTTAAAAGGAAACATTGGAGAGACAATTTCTTAGGAGCTAGAAAGGTGCCTTTTGTTTTATGTTAAAATTATTTCCGGCCGGGCGCGGTGGCTCACGCCTGTAATCCCAGCACTTTGGGAGGCCGAGGCGGGCGGATCACGAGGTCAGGAGATCGAGACCATCCCGGCTAAAACGGTGAAACCCCGTCTCTACTAAAAATACAAAAAATTAGCCGGGCGTAGTGGCGGGCGCCTGTAGTCCCGGCTACTTGGGAGGCTGAGGCAGGAGAATGGCGTGAACCCGGGAGGCGGAGCTTGCAGTGAGCCGAGATCCCGCCACTGCACTCCAGCCTGGGCGACAGAGCGAGACTCCGTCTCAAAAAAAAAAAAAAAAAAATTATTATTTCCCAGGTTGGAAATGTGTGCGTTTATGGAATAAATTGGTAGGTGAGAGGCTGTGAGGCAAACTGGAAGGTGGTTAGGCTTCAAAAGACAGAAGAACTTGGGCTAGAATCCCAGTACTTTTACCACTTGCAAGCTAGCAAGTCCTTTAAACCCTGGCCTTCACGAACTTCATTTTTAAAGTGAATAAAAGTACCTTTTTGAGAGGCTTCTACAAGGATTTGGGACAATGCAAACAAAAGTGCTCAAGCTGCACTAGATCCTAAATAAATGGTGCTATTTATGGTGAGTCGGTGTTACACAACTAGTGGCTATGGCACCCAGAGCTTCCAATGCCAAATCATCAAACTGGCATGAGATTCCCGAGTTCAGGGGACAATTGCTTACTTTGTTGGAGGAGGACTAGATGTGAACAAGGCTGATAAATGTTGACATTCCCAAAGTGCCGGGACGCCAGACGTGAGGTTACAGCATGTCCTTCCTTTGCTAGTACAACGAAGCATGACTTGTGAATGTCACTTTTTTGGCTTTTCAGGAAGCCAGTGCAGTAACAAAGTGGCTTAATGATCCAAAACTAACATACACAAGGTAAGAATCAGTTCAATAATAACATCGTTTCCTTCCTTACTGTTGACTTCCTTGTTTTTTCTTTCTTTGCTCAGTGAATATCAACACAAAGACTAATAAATCTTCTGACACTTTTTTTGTCTTCCAAGAATATATTTTCTTGTCTGGCTAAGGGCCATCACCTTCCCTGACTCCTTTGGGAATAATGGGTGCATTTCTTACAGTCACATCACCCGATTTTCAGGCCAAAGTTTTCACGCGTTGGGTGGAAGGCAGTGTGGCATGGTGGAAAAGGTAGAGGGCGAAGACTCAGGCCACCTGGTCCCCGTCATCATTTCTGCATCTATCTGTCTATATGAAGTGGGCTGATGGCTGTGCCAGTTTCCTCATTTGCACAGCGCACGAGGTCCCGCTTTCGGTGAGCTTTTATCGCATACATGGTAAGCGGTGATCGGTAGGACCCCGGAGCCCTCTTGGGCGTTCGGCTTGGGCTGCACTTGCACTGTGTGGCCAACTGCGACCGTGGCGCCGTGACGGGAACGGCGGGTTGCGCGCGCAGCACCTCCGTCGCCTCCCGATCCAGCGTCTCCGTTGCCAGGAAAACAGAGCGGCGCGCTTTCCGGCGCAGTCGCGGCGCGTCGCAGCTGTCATGGCGGAGACCGTCTGGAGCACTGACACCGGGGAGGCAGTGTATCGCTCCCGGGACCCCGTGCGCAACTTGCGCCTCCGGTAGTCGCACCGCCCCAGCCCCGAGGCCCCATGCTTTTGTGTCCTTAGATCATTCCAACCTGAGCTCGGTGTTCTGAGGTCCCCACTTTCTGCTTACAATCCCGACCACTTCTCCGGGCTCCCCACTTCTTTCACTATCCGTACCCCCATCCACTCACAGCCTCTAAGAACCCCTTACAGACCTACCCAAGTCCATTCACGTCTTTGTTGCTCCCAGTTTCTCAAAGCCCTGTGCCCCCAGTACACCCTCTCCCCTTCATTCTTCCCCATAGGACGGCGCACCCACCCACCTCCTCTCCGTTGTCTGCACCCAGCACACCTTGGCAACCCTACCTCCTCTGTTTTGTTTCCCCCATCCTTGCTTTGTGTTCATCTCCTGGTTGCGTGTCTGGTAACGAATATTTTGGGCTTTTCTTGACAGAGTCCACCTGCAAAGAATCACATCAAGCAACTTTCTTCATTATCAGCCTGCTGCCGAGCTCGGGAAGGACCTCATAGACTTGGCCACTTTTAGGCCTCAGCCAACTGCCAGTGGGTGTTACGGTGGTGATGTGCCATCTAATACTAATTATGATACTAATCAGAATTGTGGCCAAATGTAGTGAGATAACAAATACTATACTTCTGATATGTTATAGAGTTGCCCGGCAACCTACATTCTATTTGTGGCTTTTTTTTTTTTTTTTTTTTTTTTTTTTTTTTTGAGACGGAGTCTTGCTCTTTCCCCCAGGCTGAAGTGCAGTGTCGCTATCTCCGCTCACTGCAAGCTCCGCCTCCCGGGTTCACGCGATTCTCCTGCCTCAGCCTCCCGAGTAGCTGGGACTACAGGCGCCCGCCACCACGCCCGGCTAATTTTTTGTATTTTCAGTAGAGGCGGGGTTTCACCGTGTTAGCCAGGATTGTCTCGATCTCCTGACCTCGTGATCCGCCCGCCTTGGCCTCCCAAAGTGCTGGGATTACAGGCGTGAGCCACCGCGCCCGTCCTATTTGTGGCATTTTTAAAAGAGAAAACGTGCCCCAAACCCTAAATACACATATAAACACTTTTAAAAACAATTTTTAAACTGGAGACTGCTTGCAAAATCTGCATATGATGTGCATGTATAGATCAACTGTGTTCTTGTGGTTTTCCTTATCTGGGAAACCAAAAGAATGAGGAGGAGAGGACAGAGTGGTTGTTGTCAGGTCACTAGTCTGTTTGCTTTTATTGTTTCTCTTTCTGTTCAGAGCTGTTCCTGGGCAAGAGTGTGGGCTCACAGGTTGTGAAACGTGTCTCTGAAAAAGGCATACCCAAGAGTGTATTAGATTAGATTTGTTTTCTTTGTTTTTGTTTTCGTTTTGTTTTGAGACAGAATCTCATTCTTCTGCTCAGGCTGGAGTGCAGTGGTATGATCATAGCTCACTGTAAACCTTGGTCTCCCAGGCTCAAGCCATCCTCCTGCCTCAGCCTCCCAACTAGCTGGGACTACAGACTCACACTCAGTTTATTTTTTTTTAAAGTTTTAGTAGAGAAAAGGTCTTGCTATGTTGTCCAGGCTGGTTTCAAATTCCTGGGCCCAAGTGATCCTCCCACCTTAGCCTCCCAAAATGTTGGGATTACAGGCGTGAGTCACTGCATTCAGCCAGATTTGGTTCTGTTAAAAAATCATTTATTTGCCTTCACTGTCCTCTCCTTACACTTGGTCTCCTAAATTTCAGTGTTTGTGATTCTACATATATGGCTTTAGAAATAGTAAAGATAAAAATGCCAGGGTTATTTTCTAGCAAATGCAGACAGTTGGGACTGAGGAAGGGCTGGCTATTCAGCTTATATCTAAATTTCAGTTTCTTATATCCAGTTAGATTAGATATTTCCTGGAGCGGGCTGAGCGCCGTGGCCCACGCCTGTAATCCCAGCACTTTGGGAGACCAAGGCAGGTGGATCACCTGAGGTCGGGAATTCAAGATCAGCCTGGCTAACATGGCAAAACTCCATCTCTACTGATAATACAAAAATTAGCTGGGTTGGTGGTGTGTGCCTGTAATCCCAGCTACTTGGGAGGCTGAGGCAGGAGAATCGCTTGAACCCAGGAAGAGGAGGTTGCAGTGAGCTGAAACAGTGCCACTGCACTCCAGCTTGGGTGACAGAGTGAGACTCCATCCCCCCCAGAAAAAAATTCCTGGGGGGTATTTTCTTTTATTCAAATTAGAGTCATGACTAAGACTTCCTGGGTTCTAATCTTGGCTTCTACTCATACTAACTCTCATATACAGCCTCTCTAGCATTTCTCTAGGTTGAGTGCTTACTAAATTGCTGAATTCCAGCTAGTTTTTGTGGCAAATATAAGAATAGGGACTTTGGTTATAATAAACCACAGAACAAGAAGTGGTGCTGGTTTGGCTCAAGCATTTGATTCACTCTGTTGTCTTTGGAGGTGGACACCGCCCAGAGGAAGACGAAGAGGAGGAGATTGTGATTGGGTGGCAGGAGAAGCTCTTTAGCCAGGTGAGCCAGTGTCTCTTGTCTTCTCTGTCTATTCCATCTGGTCTACCTCCACATGGCTGGTGATACATATTGCCAAAGTGATTTCCAGACAGGTTGTAACAGTTTATACTTTCCCCTGTTGTGTTTAAAGGGCATTGTAACATAGGGATTGCCACTACTCAGTTTTGTGATTCTGGGTGAGGAACTTTTCATCTCTGGGCTATATGCCATCTGTAATAGCAGACTTGGATTAGACTATCAGTCTGGTTCCTTTTAGCTCTAATGTTCTTGGTTCCCCTGCCATTCATTAGTTTAGTGTTGGTTATGAAAACATGTCAGATAGCATCAGTTCTGTAGAACTGATTTGATTAAACAGTTACAGAAGCAAAAGTTTGATGTATTATAATGATGTACACATCTCTGTTTCCTTATGGTAACCTCAGTTTGAAGTAGATCTGTACCAAAATGAAACAGCCTGTCAGAGTCCTTTGGATTATCAGTACCGTCAGGAGATCCTGAAGCTGGAGAATTCGGGTGGCAAGAAAAACCGACGAATCTTTACCTACACTGACTCTGATAGATACACCAATTTGGAGGAGGTATTGTTCTTTCTAGGGTCTCATAGCTTCCATCTTTGCTTCCTCTAGCTTTTTTGCCTCACTGAGTTCTGTGTGTTATGTCAGAGCCTAGTAAGGGGAGACAAGTAGCCTGTCTAGGAACTGCTGTGAGCTGCTGCTGCTGGCAGCCAGCCTGGAATAGAATGGGCACAGTCTACAGGTGGTGAGGCTGCTGCTCCCTTCTCTGCCTGCTAGAGGGCCTGGGGGAGCTGCCAGTATCTCTGATTATATGCTTGCAGAGTGCATACTGGGAGAAGTAACCACTGGGCTTGACTTCCTCCATGCATCATGAAAAAAGACAGGTAGTGGAGTCTGGAACAATATAGATAAAATTCATCAGGGGATTCAGCCCAAACTCTGAGTATATGGGTTTGAAGAGGAATTCAGTATAGCTATGGAAAATGGCTTATGTCCTCAATTTGCCTATGACAAAAATACCCTTGTGACCTTGTTTTACATTTTCTTCAGTCACTGCATTTCAGTTGCTTCTGTCTTCTCAGTAAGATTTTAAGCTCCTCGAGGGTAGAGCCTATTTTTTTTATTTTTGTCTATGACTCTGTAGGTCTCTGCAAGGAACAGGTATTCAATAAATGTTTTTGAAAGATTGACGTGCTTTCATTATTAGAGCTGTGGATTGATAACATTAGCTGGGCATGGTGGCATGTACCTGTAGTCCCGGCTACGTGGGAAGCTGAGGCGGGAGGATCACTTGAGCCAAGGAGTTCAAGGTTGCAGTGAGCTATGATAGCACCACTGCACTGCAGCCTGGGTGAGACCCTGTCTCTTAAAAAAATATATAAATTAAATAAAATTTGGGTTGTCTGTTTTGGAAAAGCAAATGAAAATGCAGTTAGTGCTCAGTTACCATGTGAGGATTTCCCACAAAATGCTTGTATCCCATTTGGCATTTTCTAACCACCTTGTTAACTTCAACATCTACCAAGCACACTAACCCAACTTTTTGTTGGTTTGTGCTCAGAGAATGCAGACTGATTTTAATATTAACATAAATAACTCCTTTTTAAAATCCAAAGGCAAACCATGATGTGGTAGAAATCTTCTTTGGGTTGTTTGGCTACTGCTCCCTCCGTTAGCATGTATAATTGTGAGGTGGCGGAACCTGTGGGGTTCAGGTCCTGGATGAGGTTTCAGGAGGAAGACTTCCCTTCAGGTACTTGGCTCCATGTGGCCCTGACCAGATGGCGTACACAGGGCTGCTTGCTTTTCCCAGCACTGTCAGAGAATGACCACTGCAGCCAGCGAGGTGCCTTCATTCTTGGTCGAGCGAATGGCAAATGTCAGGCGTCGCCGGCAGGACAGGCGAGGGATGTGAGTGCGGGCATGGGATGGGGGACAAGCTTTTACTTTTTATTTCCTAAAGTTGGGTAGTTTTGCATTTTTATCAGTGGTTATATATAGTATTCAAGTATTACTTTGTAATTAATTTAAAAAATAAATATAAAAATATAAAATATCTTCCTCACTCTTCATGTGGACATTTTTCCAAAGTGCCTCAGAGAGAGGGAAGGGATGTCATTTCTGTTTGTCAAATATTTTGGCTCTTAAAAAACAAAACAAAACAGTATGTCCACTAGCTCAAACTTCCCATTCTGAAGTGGCTCTCCACTGGGGTGCTCCATTGGGGTGTGCCAGGGAAGTGACCTTTCTGTGGTGTCTCCCAGGGAGGGCGGCATCCTCAAGTCACGCATCGTCACCTGGGAGCCCTCAGAAGAGTTTGTCAGGAACAACCACGTCATTAACACCCCTCTTCAGACAATGCACATCATGGCAGACCTGGGGCCCTATAAAAAGTGAGTGGCGCTTCTCACTGCCAGCTTAGAGCCTCATCCTTTTCTCCTCTCACCAGCTCTCCCCTTCCTGTTATTATCATCCTAGGTTATAGGGGAGGGAGGGACTTTTTCTTCCTTCTCTTCTTAGTTATGAGTGAAGCTTCTCACTGCCAACTCAGATCCTCATCTTCTTCTCCTCTCACCAGCTATCCCCTTCCTGTTATCATCCTGGGTTATAGGAGAGGAAGGGACTTTTTCTTCCTTTTTTTTCTTAGTTGTACTTGGAAGAAAGTTTTACCATGACAGCTCTCCCTATAGCCTCTGTTCTCTCCCCTGCAGTGGGCTCAGTATCTCTTCTTGTTTCCCTGAAGGACCATTGACCTCAACCTTGGTGTTTTCCTGATTTCTAGGCTTGGCTATAAGAAGTATGAACATGTCCTGTGTACTCTGAAGGTGGATAGCAATGGTGTGATCACAGTAAAGCCTGACTTCACGGGCCTCAAAGGACCCTACAGGTGAGGAGAGGAAGAAAGGGGTAGTGGAGACTGGCATTCCTTCCCTTGGTTGCACTTTTTGTCCCTAGTCAACTAGACTGTCAGAAAGTCCTTCATCTGTTCTAACTTTTACATTCCCAGGCAATGGTTCGTATTCTGTTCCAAGTCATAGGGCCTTAGAAAACCAGGGACTCCTTTCTCAGAAAATGTGCAACTGCACCAATTTGAAAGGGATCACTTCAGTGGTACAGTTAAATGACAGTGATTCTCTGTGCTGCTGAATGTAGGACCTGACCAGAACAGAGTGGGGTGAACTCAGCCAGGCTTTTCCTGTGGGCTGACTGTTCCTCATCTCTGTATCTTGGAAATGACAGAAATGTAAATTAGAAATTATCTGGCCCAACCTGTCCATTTTTCAGGTGAGAGAACTGGGTGGCAGGAATGTTGTGCCTTACAGTTTGACTGTAACTTCAAGCCAGAAATGGGCCCAGAACCTATACTTTCTGAGTCTAGTCTGGTGCCCTCTCTGCTTTACCCTTTTGTTTCTCTCTCCTGGTCGTCAATACAGCCACTTTTATCATCATATACTTTAGTGAGGTGTATGGCCCCTGATCGCTCATCCCTGGGCTGGGAGCTATCCCAGGGCCCATCTCTCATTATTAGAGTTGCTCCTTTCTGTGGTTTTGACCTTACAGGATTGAGACGGAGGGGGAGAAGCAGGAGCTGTGGAAATATACGATCGACAATGTTTCCCCCCACGCACAGCCGGAGGAGGAGGAGCGGGAACGGCGAGTGTTCAAGGATGTAAGCGCAAGTTCATTCCAAGTATCCAAGGGATGAGCCTCAGTGCCTGGAGCTGAGACCATTTCTGAACTTGATGTCAGCAGTTGCTCGGGAAAAGCCTTGCCCTTCATGGCCCCTTCTGACTTAGGCAGCATTGCTGACATATCAGACAGAAGTTTTTGATCATATTATAATAATAACAATAACCATTTATTTGAGCATTTACCATGTTCTGTGCTAGGTACTTTACATACCTTATTTCCTTTAGTCTTTACAACAACCCTTTGAGGTGAACACTTATTACCACCTTATAAGTGGGGAAACCGAGATTGAGGAGCTAAGTAGTCTGCCCAAGGTGGCATAGCTTGTAAGGGCGAGAGTCAGGATTCTGCCCCAGACCAGCTGACTCCAGGGCCTCTGCTTCACGGTAAAATGGCGGTGAGTCAGGTGCTTACGCCTCCAGCTCTTGCTGACCCTTCCCACTATTGCTTTTCTTCTTCCCATTCAGAACTGAACTTTGGTCTAGCTTGGGTTGCATCTTGAGTTTTGGTTTGGTTTGTTTCCTCAGCTTTATGGCCGGCACAAGGAGTATCTCAGCAGCCTCGTAGGCACCGACTTTGAGATGGTGAGTAGCTTGGCTTCCTGCAGCACTGTGAGCTGTGTTTAGCCGGAGCATTCTGACTGTGGATGAGTTACACTACCTCTCTTAAAGGCCCAAAGGTATACTCTACAGTGTGAAAAGGAAGTCAAAGAATAGCACATATAGTCCTTGTTATGTGTTTTGCAACATTGCATGTTGATAGAGAACTGTTAATGCTAAGAAAAAGGTCTGAAAGGCTATGCACATGCTGTGGGTGGCTTTCTCTGGGGAGGGTGGGATTAGATGTGGTAGAAGGGTAGTGGGTGGTGAGAGGGATATATTAGGGATTTTTGCTTTTTATTCCCTAAACTTAGGTAGCTTTGAATTTTTATCAGTTGTAATGTATTTAGGTATTACTTTATAATTAATTTAAAAAATAAATATAAGGATGAAAAATGTCTTCTTCACCTTTCATGTGGATATTTTTTCAAAATACCCCATAGAGAGGCAGGGGTGCCATTTCTGTTTGTCACATATTTTGGCTCTTAAAAAATATAGGCCTGATGCGGTGGCGCATGACTATAATCCCAGCACTTTGTGAGGCCAAGGTGGGAGGATCACTTGAAGCCAGGAGTTTGAGAGCAGCCTGGGCAACATAGTGAGACCACATCCCTACAAAAAAAAAAAAAAAAATTAGCAAGGCATGGTGATACATACCTGTAGTCCCAGCTACTCATGATGCTGAGGCAGCAGGATTGCTTGAGCCTAGAAGTTTGAGTTTGCATTGAGCTATGATCACACCACTGCATTCCAGCCTGGACAACAGATCAAGACCCTGTCTGAAAAAAAAAGAAAGTGGTTTAGTTCAGCTATTCTGTTGTGCTGTTCTTTGTCTTTTCTCATTCTAAGAGTTCTATCTCTAGACCTGGAAACAAGGATAGAATTACTTCCTGGTCTCCCTCTCTTTCTCTGAAAAATTAACCTTCACTATTTCCATATTGCATAAGCAACAGATATTCAGTATTTAAAAGTTAGATAAGACATGCACAAATAATTAAAAAAGAAAACTCCCTGGTTTCTTGACCTCAGCCATCTAAAGGGAAGAGGGCGTTCTGGCTTCCCATTGCACACCACAGGACAGTTGCTGTTGCTTGAATAATTTCCCATAGTGCATTGTCCTCACTGCCATTTAAATTATGTACTTTCCCCCTACATTGTGAATCTTAGGAATGAAGGAAACAGATCTGTGGAGAAGTGTCAGGGTGGGGAGAAAGTGCAGTAGTGACACCCAGGGCCTGACCCCTAGTGGCAGGTCGTCTGCAGATTTGTAGATGGGGCTGGAGGAGAAGTGCCAATTCCCTCCAGGCCTGCTGATCCTTTCCCACTTCTCTTCACCTTAGACTGTCCCAGGTGCCCTCCGGCTCTTTGTAAATGGAGAGGTCGGTAAGTGTCTTGCTAGCATAGATCTCTTGATGCTTAGGCACGTGCCTAGATGGAGCTGTGAATAGTCTCCTCCACTCTGGTAGAGGCCTTGTCTGCTGTACTTGGGAAACTCAGTGGTGAGTCTTTCCTGGAAACGCAGAGGGTTCCTGGCCCTCAAAAGACTTGCTCTCAGGGTGTGTAGGCCCCTCAGGATTGGGTTGGGTGCTAAGGGTGGTAGGAGAAAAAGCTAAAATAGCTTCCTGTTTTCTCTCGTAGTTTCAGCCCAAGGCTATGAGTATGACAATCTCTACGTCCACTTCTTTGTAGAATTGCCAACTGCTCGTAAGTAATATTCTTAAGTCTCTCCTTTTATACCCATTCAGACAGATCTAGAGGCATTTGGTCAGGCTTCCTTTCCCACTCCTCTGCTGAAACTGTTACTGTTCTTTTCAAGGTCATAGATCACATCCACTTTACCAAACCCAGTGGAGACTTCCCTGCTTTCACCTCGCTTGACCTTCCTGAAGCATTTTCCAGAGCCCACTGTGCTGCATGACACACTTCTCTGGCTTCTGGCTCCACACTTCTCTCTCCTATCTCGCTGGTGGCCCCTCATCCTTCTTGGGTGATGCCTTCCCTTCTGTTGATCTTAAACCGTGAGAGTACCCACAGCTAAGCCAAGGCCTTCTGTTACTCTCTGTCTGCAGTCTTCCTGGGCAACGTCATCCATCCTATGGCTTAAATACCATCAATACGTCTCAGACTCCCAGGTTTCTGCCTCTAGCCTTAACCTTTTCCCTGGACTCCAGACTCATATCCAGTTACCTCTTTTGTCATTTCTGTCTAACATGACCAAAAAGAACTCTTGATTCCTCCTCTTCCCTCAAACCTCTCCTCCCTGGTCTTCCCCATCCTAACAGAATGGCAGTGTCATCTACTGAGTTGTTGATGCCAAAAACCTAGGGAACATCCTTGATCCCTCACTTTCCCTAGCTCCCTATAGCCAGCCAATCTGTCAACAGTTCCTGTCCGTTCTGTCTTCAAAAGCTGTTGTGAACCTATTTGTTCTCTCCAGCACCCTACACCAAGCCACCACCATCTCTTGTCTAGGCCAGTGCATTCAACTTCTGATGTATCCCCCTGCTTCCTGCCTTGCTCCCATTTGCCGTTGATTTGCCACAGACACCAAAGCCAAGTTGAGCTTTAAAAAATGTAAACAAGTTATGTCCCTTTTGAGCTGAAAACCCCAACAGCTTCCCCTCCCACTTAGAGTAAAATGTAAACTTGATACCCTGAATGAGCTGGCCCCTGCCTATCTCTTCCATACAACCTTCCAGTCATTCTTCCCAGCCAGGTTCATTCCCACCTTGTAGCCTTTTAAGGGCCGTTTCCTTTGTCTGAAACCCTTTCTGCCATATCTTAGCATGGCTGGTTCTTTCTGAGTTTAGGTCTCAGCCTGTGTCGCCTCTGAGAGGCCTTCTCTTACCACCCAGTCTAAATGAGCCTCCCAATCACTCAGTCCCTTCCCCGTTTTGTTTTTAGTATAGCACTCATCACTACCCAATAGTCTCTTGTTGGTTTGGTTTTTGTCTGTCTCCCTGCTTCCCCCAGAATGTCAGCTCCATGAGAGATGGGGATCTTTTCTATCTAGTTACCAAGATACCCCTAAGATATACTAGCACATAGCAGGCACTCAGTAAATGGTAAATGAATGATTGATTGTGTGAATAAATGAATAAAGAAACTGTCCGCCCCGTCTGGGAAGTGAGGAGCGCCTCTGCCCGGCCGCCCCATCTGGGAGGTGTACCCAACAGCTCCGAAGAGACAGCGACCATTGAGAATGGGCCATGATGACGATGGCGGTTTTGTCAAAAAGAAAAGGGGGAAATGTGGGGAAAAGAAAGAGAGATCAGATTGTTACTGTGTCTGTGTAGAAAGAAGTAGACATAGGAGACTCCATTTTGTTCTGTACTAAGAAAAATTCTTCTGCCTTGGGATGCTGTTAATCTATAACCTTACCCCCAACCCCGTGCTCTCTGAAACATGTGCTGTGTCAACTCAAGGTTAAATGGATTAAGGGCGGTGCAAGATGTGCTTTGTTAAACAGGTGCTTGAAGGCAGCATGCTCCTTAAGAGTCATCACCACTCCCTAATCTCAAGTACCCAGGGACACAAACACTGTGGAAGGCCGCAGGGACCTCTGCCTAGGAGAACCAGAGACCTTTGTTCACGTGTTTATCTGCTGACCTTCTCTCCACTATTATCCTATGACCCTGCCACATCCCCCTCTCCGAGAAACACCCAAGAATGATCAATAAATACAAAAAAAAAAAAGAAAAGAAAAAAGAAACTGTCTTTTTCTGAATGACTTGCTTTCCTCCCAGGCGAGCTTACTATATTTGGTCTTTGGCTTTCAGACTGGTCAAGCCCAGCATTCCAGCAGCTCTCAGGAGTAACACAGACCTGCACCACCAAGTCCCTGGCAATGGTATGGAGAATGAGAGCGGGTATCTGGAAGGGAATGAGATCTGCTCCTGGGATGGCATTTGAGGTTTTATCAGGCCAAGTGCTGTGCGCCCTGGGGAGGATTCCAGAGTTGGGTGACTTGTGTGTGGGTTCTACAGGGCCACCTGGTCCGGAGATCCTGTCTGTCTTTTTGAGCATGGCAGCAGCTTGTATTTGGGTGTCCTTTTGCATCTCAGACTCCTATTTCCCACCTGGGTGATAATTTTTCTTTTTCCCTTGTGAAGATAACCTTGTCATTGGCCACAAGGAGAACAGATTCCAAGGGAGGCCTTGCCCACCCTATGACACTCCTTTTTATAGGACAAGGTGGCTCACTTCTCCTACCCATTCACGTTTGAAGCCTTCTTCCTCCATGAGGATGAATCTTCTGGTGAGTAGCTCAGCAGTTGATCCTGGGCCTTGGTTCCCCTCAAGCAGTGCTGTCTCTTGGTGAAGGCCGCCTGTGACCTGGCCGCTTCTCTCCTTGCTCCCAGATGCACTCCCGGAGTGGCCTGTGCTCTACTGTGAGGTCCTCTCGCTGGACTTCTGGCAGAGGTACCGTGTGGAAGGCTATGGGGCTGTGGTGCTGCCTGCCACTCCAGGTAACCGCTCGTCTCTGCCCTTCTGTGGCCCACATGCCCTAGGCCCTAAGAACAAGACTAACACTCGAATGCTTCTGGTGAGGGGTGGAGATAATTGGGAATTGGAAATGTTTGGCTTGAAAGAGTTCCTGTTCCTCTGAGGACTTTCTGCCCCCCTCCATTAGCGACAATGACGTGGCCTTGGCACTGACTTCCTGACAGTCTCTCCATGTGCTTCATGCTCCTCTGATTGGACTCAGGGTGAGAAGCTGTATGGCAAAATTGGCTCATAGCATATGTGTATTGAATGAATCAGCATTCAGTTTGGAATAAAAGCATCTGTCTTTTACTGTGTGCCAGGCATTGTGCCATACTTCTCACTTAATTCTCCCAGTCACTCTGTGAGGTGCAGGTGGTATTATTTCCATTTTACTAGATGAGGAGAATGAGCTTCAGAGAGGTTAAGAAACCTGTCCTGGGTATGCAGGTAATAACTGGCAGAGCGGAAATTTGAATTTCTCCCTGATTGATTTCCATACAGGTGCTATGGGTAACCATGATAACCTGCACCAGAGGCCAGGTCATCACCAGACCAGGTGTTTTAGCTGAGTCTAGGCCTGTGTCATTGCTGGGGAGTCAGTGAGGGGCCACATGCCCTTTCTGGACCTGGCCCCAGTCTTCTCTTCCCTTGCGCAGGCTCACACACCCTGACAGTCTCCACGTGGAGACCTGTGGAGCTTGGCACGGTGGCTGAGCTGAGGAGGTTTTTCATTGGCGGTTCTCTGGAACTGGAGGACCTCTCCTATGTACGGATACCAGGATCCTTCAAGGTGACTTTTGTCTTTGGAGTGACTTCACGCTGAGAACTTATGGTCCTGTCCTTCTGTAGGAGGTGGGATCTGGGTCAAGACCCCTTAGTTGTGCATTGCTTCAGTATTAACCCCTTCCTTCCTGTGGCTTAAGCTGGAAGTCATGACCACATTTTGAATCAGGTTCCAATATCTACACTGCTATCGTAGGAGGTCTCTGGAAAATAGTATAATTAGAGATTTCCCCTGGTTCCCATCAGAATAACTGGCTCTTTCCCCCATCACTGAAGGCCTCAGTAATCAGATGTGGGGAGGATTCACAGTAAGCATATAAGACCGCCGCTTCTCAAATGAGGTTGGAATGTTCCCTGGTTTAGTTGGGGGAGCCCAATAGCCCAGTATTAGCCTTGAGGTAATAGAGTCTGGGTGATGGAATAAGGTTTCCCCAACAGAACTGCGCTTCCCAAGAATGGGAATAAGAATGGGGGTGAGGCCAGCATGGTGCGGGGGTGTCTAGAGAGAGCAGAAACCTGAGGCTGTCCCAATGGCATGCCACAGGGGGAACGCCTGAGCCGCTTTGGACTCCGCACAGAGACCACAGGCACTGTCACCTTCCGCTTGCACTGTCTGCAGCAGTCCAGGTGAGTGACTTGGCCCTCTGCCTCAGGGCACCTTAGCCCTGAGGGGTGGAGACAGCCGTAACCATGTGGCTGGCCTCCCTGCAGGGCCTTCATGGAATCGAGCTCCCTTCAGAAAAGGATGCGGAGTGTGTTGGACCGTCTGGAAGGGTTCAGCCAGCAGAGTTCCATTCACAATGTGCTAGGTATGTCCCCTCCCCCAGCTGGCCACCCCAGGTCAGCATGGGCCTGTTTCTCTCTGCAGTGCAGAGAGAAATACCATATGGCAGCCAAATAGCATATCTCCTTTCCTTACAGAGGCCTTCCGTCGAGCCCGGCGCCGCATGCAGGAGGCCCGGGAAAGCCTCCCGCAGGACCTAGTGAGCCCCTCTGGAACCCTGGTCTCCTAGCTCACAGCAGCCCTGGCCCACAGTGCAAGAGGACAAGATGGGGGATATCTGAGGCCAGTGCTCTCCTGCCTCTTCGTCTTTCTGATTAGAGACCACGTTGGTCTGCTGAGAACCAGAAAAGCTGGGAAATTCCCGGCTGGCCCCTCTGCCTAGCCTTCTGCAGGGTCTTCTCCCTACCCTGTGGAAATAAAGCCAGAGACCCTGTGGCCCCCCCTTTATATTTGCAGCCACTGTCAATGGGCATCACAGCAAGGCAGGCTTTTTGATCTGAAGCTGTTTGGGGTGACCCCATAGTGAGTCTGGCCTTGACTCACTTTTCTGGCTTGTCTCACAGTAGCAGGGGATCTGCTGTTCTCCACCCTTTAAAAATGGAGCCTTTCATCTTCCAAGACCAAAGAAGGAAGGAAGGTGGACGGTGAGAGGGTCTTAAATCCCCAGCCTGTGAGTCTCAGCCTCTTTCCAGGGAAGCCTCATTCTACTGCTTGGGGCTTGCTGAGGTTGAGATATGAGTTATTTCTGAGTAAGTGAAGGCTGAAGGCAGTGCTGAGTCCTTTCTGCTAGCTGGGTGGTATCTTTTACTGTGTTTTTTTGTTTGTTTGTTTTTTTGTTTTTTGTTACATAAACCCCTTTTATTTTGACTGATGTTCTGTTGGCTGTTTGTCTGCTCAGGTTGCTGGTATGGCTAGGGTGTTCTTAATGTCGGGGCCCCTACCATGTCTGCCCTTCCCCTTTTCTGCCTTTCCCTACTCCACAGTGTTTCTTTGGGCTCTCCTAATTCAGCCCCCAGGAGAGGCTTAGATGGTTGTGCCAGCTTGCGTGTTAACAGCACTTCTCTTAAACATCTGGAGCAAAGCATGGAACTGAGGCCACGTCTTCCCTAGCCCAACACAGAAACAGCAGCCCCTGCCCTTAGCAGTGCTTTATTGGTAGAAGCAGAGCATGCTGCCTGGCCTCAGGCTCAGAGGAGTATTGTGGGGTGTCTGGAGGCTAGGACCGAGTGGTCTCTTAGTCATGGTGAGGGAGGGGAGGGAGGGCTGGGAAACAGTAGAAAGTGCTGTAAACCCTCCAGCTGACTTTTCTTGCCTGGGGTGCAAGACCACATGGCTTGGCTCCCAAGCCTTTGCACGTGGCGCTGATTCATAGCCTAATACCTAAGAGGCTCCCAAGGCGGGAAGGTCCATTGCTGATAGGAGCCCCCAGCCTTCACTCCTGGCTGGGGAACCCAGCTCTGAGCTGTAGCCAGCAGAAGCGTCAGCAGCCTGCACTTGCTCCAGGGAGACAAGGCAGCCTCATGGTCCTCCCCTTCCCCTTGTCTCCAAAAGTTGGAGACTTGGGATAGACTCCTGTGGAAGTAACAGAACTGGATAAGTCAGGAATTTACTGGATGTTTAGAAATGGAGCTGTTTTCAGGTATTAGTGACCAAGCTGAGGATAGTTGGATGCTCCTAATTTCCCCCCAAAGTCCTAGGGCCTGGAATTGACTGTCAGCCCAGAAACTAGCACATTGGGAAGCCACTTGGAAAGAGTACCTAGTGACAAGTTCTGTTTTCTCTGCTTAGAGACCTAAGAGGACTCAGCCATCCATCCAGGGAAGGATGTGAGGGCTTAACCCAGCCCAGGGTGCTGGAGGTGGCCTCCCCTTACCTGCAGAAGCCTCATGTCCCTCGCCAGGCTGATAGGTTCAACCTGGGGATACGGCTGCAGTTCACAAAGCCCCGAGGGTAGATGTTGGCTCTGAAGATGTCCCTTGAAACCGTGGTGATACCGGTATTGTCACATATAATTCGAGACAAGGAAATTCTGCTCAGGGCCTTGCGCTGTCTTTTGGTGAAAACACCTCGTTTCTGCCACCAGAACCTACCAGGCAGTCGAGAGATGTGGGTGAAGGCTGGGGAGGAATTACCTTATAATGAGCACCTGTTGTGTGCCAGGTACTTTACATATATTATTCCATTCAATTCTCACAAAATTCCTGCAAGATTGGAATCTCAGAAATGAAACAAATTCAGTGGCCAAATAAATTGCCCAGTATTAAGTGCACAGTAATTTAAGTGGCCAGGGCTGGATTTGAACTCGGGCAATACCAACTCCAAATAAGGAGACAGGTCTTTTTTTTTTTTTTTTTTTTTTTTTTTTTTTTTTTTTTTGAGACGGAGTCTCGCTCTGTCGCCCAGGCTGGAGTGCAGTGGCAGGATCTCGGCTCACTGCAAGCTCCGCCTCCCGGGTTCACGCCATTCTCCTGCCTCAGCCTCCCAAGTAGCCGGGACTACAGGCGCCCGCCACTACGCCCGGCTAATTTTTTGTATTTTTAGTAGAGACGGGGTTTCACCGTTTTAGCCGGGATGGTCTCGATCTCCTGACCTCGTGATCCGCCCGCCTCGGCCTCCCAAAGTGCTGGGATTACAGGCGTGAGCCACCGCGCCCGGCCGTCAGGTCTTAAATCACAAATGTATTGGAGGGAAACCAGATTTAGCCCTTTCTGCCCATGTTTTCTGGGATCCACCAACCCAGAATAGTGAGGCTGCCAGGCAACCTCTGGGTTTAAGATGACTCCAGCTCAGGCAATATGGGCCTTGCCTGGGTCAGTGTCTCTCTTCCTTTGACCCAGCTTTTCAGAGAGGAGCCTCCTGATTTCAGATCCTGTGAACTTGGAAGAAATGATACTAAAAAGAGCAGTGTTCTTCAATGTTTAGTCTTGAAATGCTAGTGTTTTTCTGCTCTGCCTCTGGTGCTGATGTCTTTTATGATAGGGTCACTTACCTGTCTCCGTCTCGGGCTCTTCTGAACTGGTTCTCGAACAGACAAGCCAGAAGAGGCCCCACTCGAGCCCCCGGCAAAAGAGGCTCAGCGATGGCCCCAATCCAGATGTCAATGTTGTCAGGTGTTCCATACAAATTCAGGAACTTCCTTGCCAAGTCCTGGTTTTTCAGCACCCGGCTAAGCTGTGCCAAATTCCGGGGCTGGGAGAGCCCACAGAAGCGCCTCCAAGCATTGTACCCTGCAGGGGAACGGGGAGAAGCAGCTTCAGTCTTGCTGATCTCCCATTAGCTTCTGTTTTTCTCCACCAGTCCTCTGGGGGGAAGCTGTGGCCAGTCAATATTGGGCAGAACCAGAAGATCCTGCTGGCAGAAGAGTCCCTAGAGCTTCCAAAGACTAGGTTTCTGTCCTCTGATTGAAAATGTGAGTGGACAACTGTGCTCAGTGTGCATCAGACTGAGGAGTGTGTCCTAACCTAAAAAGCTGTTTTAACCCAAAACTCATAACCACAAATCCGACACTTAGTGATATTACTGGGCTCGACTGCATTCATTAGACACAAGTAAGACAGTACCCAGAATATAAAAGACTCTCCATCAGGTTTGTAGAATGAATGAGTGAGCAAATGAATAAATGAATGAACAAGCAAACAAATGGAGAGCAATGATAAAATTCATCTACTCAGAAAAGGACGGCACACTATGATTCTGTTGATATGAGAGGTCCTGCATAGGTCAATATAGAGACACAAAGTATATTAGAGGTGATTGGGGCTGGGGTGGGGATGGGGATTGACTGTTCTTACAAGGTTTCTTTGGGGAGTGAAAATGGTGTGATATTAGATCATGGTGATGGGTGCATAACTCTAAATACACTAAAATCATTGAATTGTCTATTTCATATGGGTGAATTTTATGGTATATCTCAATAAAGAAGTTTTTAAAAAGTTTTCAGAAACTTCCAAAGACAAGCCATACCAATTTGTCAGCCATCAGGATCCCACGCAGGGCCAAGCCACATCATAAGATGTGACAATCAAGGTAGGAGATAGCTTTGCCATGTCCCGAAGGGACACCAGCCCAACGTCATCCATTGAACTACAGCTCACACACACCATCCCCCAGCGGAACCCATGAAAACCACACAGTATTTTACCATTACTGAGCACTATTGGGTGAATATCTCAGGACCCTCACAGCACCTTTTTGAGGTGCTTTTATGGCATGCTAACTATATCTGGTATGTTTACTAAAGTTGAGCAACCATAGGCTTCAGGGTCACTTTACTGTTAAGTGGAGCTCAAACCAGGTTGTCCAGTTCCCAGTTTGATGTTGGACTTGGGAAGGGATTAGAGGAGATTGCAAGAGCTAGTGTCAGGATAATATTTCTGGAGGGCACAGGTATTGCGGGGAGCAGAAGCTCGCAATGTGGAAACTTGGGTGGCTAGCGATCTCAGCTCTCCAGCTCTTCCTTTTATACCAAAGTAGAAGGCAAGAATGTTAGTCCAAACTGCACCATTTTCTAAGCCCCCCACCATTTCCCAGACCTTGGTCAAAGTGAAACGTTCCACAGGAGGTCGGGCCATGAAAAACATAACATACCCTAATGGGCAAAGGCCCAACTGAAGGAACATCCCTATCATATCCTGCTGGGCAAAGGTCCAAGGAACATCTTACCACATCCCACTGAAAAAAGGACCTGATCATAGGTACATCTTATCAATATCCTGCTGGGTAGCAAGCCATACGACCCAGACCCCTCCTGCCCATACCCATACCCATACCCAGTACCCCAGCTGTAGGCGGCGGCAGGTTCTGGCAATAAGCTGGTCCCCCACCTCTGTAGGTTTTATGCTGGAAATAAATACCTGCATTGGCTGTTCAGCCGCCCTCTCTCTTTGTGTCTTTCCTTAACCCTTGCCTTCCCTTCAAAACCTAATAGAAACTTGGGTGGCTAGCGATCTCAGCTCTCCGGCAGGGGGTGCCCACAGCTCCTTAGCTGCCAGGAGCGCCCAAGTTTAAGAAAGGAAAGAAGCTCAGGTTTCCGGAGTGCCTGCTGTGCTCTACCAGGCGCTGTGTGAAGTGGGGTGGGCAGTAGGAGGTGCCACCACTGCTTCATACATGGGCAGATGGGCCTTCAGGTTCTTTCTAGACAGGGAGGTAGGAGGTGGGAAGGAGAGAGGAGCAAGGCAGTGGCCAAAACCTTCCCCTACTGGGGTTGAACAGGGGGAAGAAAGGAGAAATTGTAAATTTAAATTCAGATTTTACTACTTCTTATTTATGTGATCTTGGGCAAATTACTAGCTGTCTCTGAACATAGTTTCTCATCTATAAAATGGCTGTAATCATTTGCTTCTCAAGGTGATTGGGAGAACAAAATAAATTAATATACATGAAAGTGACTAACAAAGTGCCTATATTTTCTTCTTTCCTGGGATAAAGTCATTTGTGCCCTCACCAAACAGCCACTGCAGCCTTAGTTTTATTCCACCTATTCCCTGCCTCTAAGGCTCTTTGCCTTTCTCCACTTAGAGCAAGGAGCGTTTCTGTAGCTCTGGAATTTTAGCCTTCCTCCTTGGAACTTGCCAGCGTGTTGGGAATGGAGCAGTTCTTCCCTGCCTTTTAAGCCTATTGCTTTTTTTCTACTTGGAAAGTTCGAGCCTCCCTTTTTCAGCTCCTGAGCCTAAGTGCTGGTCCTGTGGTGAACCTAAAGCTGGAGCCCCTACAGTGGATGGGGGAGCCATGGCAGGACAGCAAGCGGTGTTCCAGGAGTGCTTTGGGACATCGACCTTGGCCTTGCATGCCTCTGCACTCCTGCACATCCTGTAGACAGTCCCAGTCAGAAAGGAGGTACCAGGGTCTTCCCAGAACCCCTTGAGCAGCCTGGCCCGAGCAAAGCTGGGAGAAGAGGTGGACAGCCCCCTCACCTGGAAGGCCGTGGTCCCGGCTTCGTTGCATGTTGAGAGCTGCCAGGTCCAGCCCAATCCTCCTCACTTGCCGAAACAGCCGGTCCCGGAGCTCATCCACTAACATGGCATCCTGACGGTTCAGCTTGGCAGGGGTGGCCATGAGGCCCCGGAGGATGGGGTCGATGCCCCCTGGTGGCAGGGAATGTGAGCAGCACAGATTGGACCAGCCTCTGGGAAGCTACTTGGGTTATCACATGATGCCAAGCTAGCCCAGAGCTGGACAAGCCAGTCGGGTATGTTAGTAACGTTTGTCAGGAAACAGAGTTCTGGAGAGACATGAAGCAGCTGGAGCTGGGAGGTACTTCTTAAGGAATGGAAGGTGAGCTCCCCATCAATCTGACATTAGTCTCCACCCCTTTAAAAAATCCTCTCATTCCACACAGGATGGGAGGCCCGTGACTGAGGGTCTTGCTGGCACCTGCCTTGTTTCCACTGTCCTGGGGAGATATTAGCAGTGGCCTCTGCAGCAGCCTGGCTTCCTGGCAGTAAGCTTGGCCCACCTAGGGGAGGGCATGCTCCCCACCCTCACCCCCATTTGCCCCCTGGAAAACCTGGTCACCTTCATACACGATCCGCCAGCTGGCAAAGAAGGCAGAGCTAAGTGGGACATGCGAGTTGGGTGCGGAGGCCCGGTACTGACTGTCCAAGCGGAACATGAAGGGCTGGAGCATTGTGTGGCCAAAGCGGAAGGCCAGGGTGAAGACATTGGCCACCCGTGGGTCCACATTGGAGCAGTACCCCCTGTAGTGCCCCAGGGTTCTCCTGGCCCGGGCCTTGCCCAGAACCAGGGGCAGAAAGTCTCGGTAGGTGATGATCTGGAAGGGAAGACAGGAGGAACATTCCCCAGAGGCTACTCACCCATACCCTTGCCTTTTCAAAGGGTGGCTCAGACATATTCTTTATTGTCATCACGTCAAATGTGACAACATTAATTTACTATTGGTGGGTGGAGATACAAAGCCCAGAGAGGGTGAGTGACACAGACAGGGTCACACGGGAGTTAGAGGCAGAATCGGGGCCAGAGGACAGGTCCAGGTGCTCCGCCAGTTGCCCAGACCCAGCTGGTTTTAGGCACATCCGCAAGGATGTGTTAAGGACTGCTTCTCATGCCAAGCTTGTCATCTGGGGGATGCTGGGATGCAGAGCTCCTTACCTGGACCATGGCCCCCATGATCTTCCGAGCCTCATTGTACAGTTTGTCTCCATTCCACCGGGGATTCAGGCGTCTCAGCTCGGTGGCCAGCCGGTTGTGCTCTCGCATAAAGAGGGTGTGCATGGCTGCCAGTTTGGGGGTTTCCGTTGATCGGGTGTCACCTTGAAAACCCCAAGCTCAGATTTACTGCAGCCTTTCCCAGAGAAATGTCTTTCTACCAGGGTAGACCCAGGGCTGGGGATGGGAGAGACGGGGTGGGCCAAACTCCTGGCCCTCACTGGACCTCCATCTCTTCAGCTGTGCTGAGGCTCCTCATCGCCACCCTCCTCCCTAACACCACAGGCCAGGAGCGGAAGGACCGGGGGTTCCTAGCAGGCTTGGGTGAGGTGGGAAAGCACAGGGCAGCTGCTGGTCTCAGGCAGGGGCATCTTTGCCTAAGGATTCTACTCTACAAGACAACCAGATCCATAGCCTGGACCAGCTATGGGCAAGGGCACCTTGACTTTGGGACTGAGAGCCCACCTGTCCATGAGCTGCATCTGCCTGCGTGTTCTCTGCCAAGGGCTGGTGTACCTCTTCCTATCTTTGGGCTTGGTATAATACTGCTCTCCCCCGTGAACCAGAGGGAAAGAGGAAGAGAGGGAGGGTTGGGCAGAGACTGTCCTTACGAACAGACCTACTACAGGCAGGGAAAGAAAGTTAATTCCATCATTTGCTTGGTTTTAACTAAACCCTTTTGCACAAGGTCTTAGTTCAGTTGACCTCTCCCGAAGGCACAAGCTGCTCTTTCCAGGACACACAAATGTACAATCCTTCAAAAGAGGGGTTGGGGCCGACTCTCTGTGAGGAAAACAGTGGAATACAGTGGACTGGGCAGAGACCTTGATACTACACTGACTGTGTTCTCAAGTGGACTCTGTCATTTGAAACTAACTCTGTGCTCTTGGGCGCATGATTCACTTTCCCTGAGTCTCAGTTTCTTATCGTAAAATGAGAACAATAATAATTCCCTCCTTTCAGGGCTGTTGCAAGGTTTAGAGATGGCACATTTAAATATCTTGATAAGGTTGGGCGTGGTGGCTCACACCTGTAATCCCAACACTTTGGGAGGCCAAGGCAGGTGAATCACCTGAGGTCAGGAGTTCGAGACCAGCCTGGCCAACATGGTGAAACTCTATCTCCACTAAATATACAAAAATTAGCCAAACGTGGTGGCAGGCACCTGTAATTCCAGCTACTCGGGAGGCTGAGGCAGGGGAATCACTTGAACCCAGGAGGCAGAGGTGGCAGTGAGCTGAGATCACGCCACTGCACTCCAGCCTGGGCGACAGAGTGAGACTCCATCTTAAAATAATAATAATAATAAGATAAATATCTTAATGAGAAATGACTACCATTATTATTGTAACCATGTACATGGGACAAAAGACCCTGAGGAAAGTTCAAATTATGCTTCCAGAAGAGGGTATTAACTGTCTAGCAACAGCTGGGGACAGGGAGGAACTACGGAAATTTATCCCAGAGAAGAGAAAAAAAATGGAGATGGAGTTAACAGCTACTTTGAGGTATTCCTGCGTGTAAGAGGGACAGTGTCTTTTCTGAGGTTCCAGAAGCATGATTAAGGGGAATAGGTGAATATGTGATCAAAATAAGGAGACTTTCTAACAGTCGGAGCTGCCTGTGGCTGAGCTGGGGTGCCATAGAGGCGGTGAGAGCCTTGTCACTGGAGACGGTTAAGCAGTTATCTCTGGCCACACACAGGGAGCTTGCAAAGGGACTCAACGTTCTGATTCTATGATGGCTGTGCACAGATCCATGCTTATGGTGTGCCTAATACTGAGGTCCCAAACCATGTACCTTCACCACATCCCACCATTGCTTCCCAGTTGGGACCCCAGGGATGGCTGTTTCCTGGGAAGACACCACCTTCCTCCCTGTCTGACCTGCCAGGAAGCAGGGGATGCGCGCCGAGCGGTTGGTGAGGAGACAGGGGTCATCGTGCAGGTTGTCGAAGGGCAGCAGGGCCCGGCCGTTGTCTTGAAAGCGCTGGTTGATGGCCAGCAGCCCCAGGTAGTTGGTCCGGTTGCGGAGCCGCAGCGAGAGGGAGACCTCACTGCCATACACCATGCTGGCGTCCACAAAGGAGGTGAGCGCGTTGATCTGGTTGCGGACTCTGTTCTTGTTTTGGGGGCATGAGGGTGCCGAGCGGAAGAAAGGGATGCAGTCACGCTGGTTCTTGATGCGGGGGTCATTGGGTGGGATCTGAGATGGAAGAGGAGACAGTGACATGGGGCCCCCTCAATAGCAGACTCACTCCTCTCCGTCATCTTCCACCTCCTCAAAACCTTGCTTAAAACTCCCTTCCTCCAGGAAGCCCTCCTTGACTCACCCAGGCTCATGCTGCTCACCCCGTCAGTCTGAGTGTCCTTAACATTTTGTTTCATAGAGTCTCAAAAGGTTAGGAATGAATGAGGCTTTTGAAACAATCTCGATCCTCATTTTACAGCAAGGAAAACAGCCTCAGAGAGGGGAAGTGACAACCAGTTAGCAGGAAAGGTGGGATTAGAACTTAGTTCTCTTGACTCTTAGGCCTGAGCTTCTTTAATTCTGTTCAATTCGACAGACCTTTTCTAAGCCCCTTTCTTGCTTGCTGCTTTGGAGATTATGAAGGTTAAAAAAACACAGGAAAGGTTGCAGGAAGCTGGCAGTTCAGTGGAAAAAGACACACACACATAGAGTTAAGAAACTAAGTTGAAGTGGCATCTGCTGTGCTTGATAGAAAAGCCATATGTGGGCCAGGTGTGGTGGCTCACGCCTATAATCCTAGCACTTTGGGAGGCCGAGGCAGGTGGATTACATGAGGCCAGAAGTTTGAGATCAGCCTTGTCAACATGGTGAAACCCAATCTCTACTAAAAATACAAAAATTAGCCAGGCTTGTTGGCACATGCCTGTAATCCCAGCTACTCGGGAGGCTGAGGCATGAGAACTGCTTGAACCCAGGAGGCAGAGGTTGCAGTGAGCTGAGATTGCCCCTCTGTACTCCAGTCTGGACAACAGAGTGAGATTCTGTCTCAAAACAATAATAATAATAATAAAGAAGAAAGAAAGAAGGAAAGATAAAGAAAGAAAGGACGGAAGAAAGAAAAAGAAAGAAAAAGAAAGAAAGAAAGGAAGGAAGGAAATGAAGGAAGGAAGGGAAGGAAGGAAGGAAAGGAAAGAAAGAAGAAAGAAAGAAAGAGGAAGGAAGAAGGAAGGAAGGAGAGAGAGGAGAGGGGAGGGGAGGACATATGTTAAAAGTGTAATAGGAAGATCTGAGAAGGCTCCCCAGAGGAGGTGCCCCTAAGCCAGGGATTGAGGAATAGATAAGGTTGCAACAGGGAGAGGCCATCCAGAGGCCCTCACATGTCATCCCTCATGAATGTGGCCCCACCTATTAAGGGTGACTGTGTGTGTACATGTGTGTGTGAGAGGGAGCGTGTGTGTGCACGTGTGTGTGTGTGAGAGAGTGTGTGTGTGCACGTGTGTCAACCCTATGTTCCTAGCAGAGACTCTGCTCCCTGGATTCTATCTTTCCTCCCCTAGTGCCCCACACTGTCCTTGGCTTCTAGCCTGAAGGTTAGGACCCTACTTACAGCCCAAGCCCAAGAAGCTGGCAAGAGCCGCAGGACCCTTGGACTACTCTGGGAAGGAGAGAAGGGCAAGAGCTAAGAGGCCCTTAGGTTGCCAAAAGCAGGGGCCCAGAGGCTTCCCCTGTTGGATTCAGACCCATGGGTCAAGGCATGTGTCAAGGGCTTCCCACTCCATGAAGCCTGACCTGAGCCTCCTGGCAGATTGCCCTACCCCCACCTCTCAAACACACACGGCGCGGGGTCTCTGCTCAGCTGTGTTTCTTGTGTCTCTGTCTCATACCCTAGCTCCACAGGCAGCTCCTTAAGGATGGTGCTCCAGTCTTCCAGATCCCCACCCCCAGCACCTTGCCTTTGGGGGAGGCCACACAAGGGCATGGGAGATTGGCTGAGGGTAGGTACCTTGATGGGAAAGCAGGGGGGCAGCTGGGCGCAGGTCCTCTCACAGTCAACGCCTGCAGTGAAGGCCACTCTGGCCGGGGACTCCGGGGAGAAGTCCAGGTCATGGTCAATGAACTGGCCCCACTGCATGAACATGAGGGCTCGGCCACGGTCGGAGGTCAGTCTCTCATTGGGGAAGCGCACAATCTGGTTGGAGACAGCCCGGACCTGGTGGGGAAATAACATCAGCACGGGACATGGGCTCCCTGACCCCACAAGGTATTAGAGCCAACCCAGGACTCAGGGAGCAGCAGCTCCCCTGCTGGAATTGACAGCCTCTCCTCTTCTGCCCTCCATGCCCCTTTTGTCCCTGGAGGCGTAGCCACCTCCTGCTCTCATTCCTAGAAGGATGGTTTCTGGCTGGGCTCCTGAGGATTCCGGTGGTAAAGAGAAGGAGAGGGGCTAGGTTGACTGGCTCAGACCTCACCAGCTCTCCCAGAGGGGAAGGGAGATCAAATAGATAGATCAATTTGTACACTGATAGCTAACCAGATGATAGCACGGATTCACAGGTGCATGGGCTGGTTGCCAGGTGATGGATAATACACGTAGGGAGTACGGGGTCAGCAGATGGAAGGGTGGATAGAAGAAAATTAATTAATAGATGTTGATAGATGGGTAGATGATAGACTGCTCTATCGATATATCAATAGAAAACTGATGAGTTGATAAATGTGAAATAGATCAATAGATAAAGCCAGATTAAGGTATAGAGCTGTTTATATTTAGCAAGACTTTGACACTAATTTTCTCAGAAAAAACCGTACAACACCGTAATGGTTAGCATGAATAGATCATGTCCTCTATAGCTATTTATACCAAGGACTTCAATATCCACACAGGCTCTACGAGGTAGGTTTTAGGGCCATTTTACAGATGAGGAAACTAAGCCTCAGAAAGCTGTGTTATTTGCCTCAAGTCACTGCACTGGTCAGTGGAAGGGCCTGGGTTCAAGCCCTGCCTGCGTGACTCTGGGCTGTGTTTTACTCCCCGCATTTAAGAGATCAAGCAACCTCCCAAACCCTCAGCCCCAACTCACAAGAGGGAGAAGGAAGCCATTGCGCCTCCTGCTGGGGGTCCAGCCGAAGGGGAGCGACAGCCCATCCTCATACTCGGCGGGCAGCCAGCGAGCCAGAGCCTGGTTGGAGGCCCCTAGCAAGGGTCTCCTCCTGCAGCCATGGGTGGGATAGGTTAGCAGGGGGCAGGGCCTGGAGATGGCTCAGCATGGAGGGAGAGGGTGGGTGCAGGAAGGGAGAGGTCCCCCAGGCAGGGGCAGCCCCTCCTGCCGCCCCGCACGCACTTGTTGTTGCACCGTCCAGTGATGGTGCGGTACTTGTCGCTGCAGCGCTCGGCCTGGTCCCGGAGAGCACAGCCACTGGCCTGGGACAGCAGCCGCAGCTGTGGTTCTGTTAGCACATCTGTGGGAAGGCAAATGGGCAGACCTGAGCTGGCCTGCTCTGTACCTCCCATCCCTTTACCCTCTCTCCTCCCAGCACCCCAAACCTGTGCACCCTGCCTCCCTCTCCTGGATTCCTTCTACTCCAGGCCAGGGTAGGCCCAGCGGGCTCAGTGGGGATCAGAGTACCAGTGACATTGAAGGGTCCGGACCGCTGGGGTTGTAACTTCTCTTCAAGCAGCCCCAAAGCCACATGCATATAATCTGCGGCCCGAACAACTGTCCTGGTGGCTGCTACCGGTTGTTTGAAGTAGGACAGGAGGTCCATGGGGCTGGCTGAACCGCTGCGAAGCCGCTGCTTGATGCTGCCCAGGAGAGGAGGAGTGAGGGCTGGAGAGAGGGTGCAGACCCACCCAGCAGAGACCCAGTCCTGGGGCACAGTCAGGACAGGGCAAGCGGACAGAAGGATGGATGGAAGGGAGGCTCTACCAACAGGAAATGTTCATGGGGTCCAGAGGTGGCTGATGAGTGAGATGAACTTGGCTGGGGCCCATGCCCCTCACTGATCCTCCCAGGCCCATGCAGCCCCCAGACCCAAGTCCACCTCTTCTGGGTCCAATTGTAGGCAGCATCCACCAGCAACTTGGCCTCTGCTATGCAGTCTCGCAGGACCGAGGTCTCCACTGCCCCAGGGGAGGCTGTTCAAAGAGATGGGGACTCAGGGTTCAGCAAGCCACAAGACCCCCTCCAAGACCCAAGTGCTTCCCCTTCCATTTCCCCTCCCTCCTCCTTGCCTGTCTAGGGGACTATTACCTGGGTCAGTGCCCTCACAGGGCTGGGCGAGGACGAGTGTGGCCAGGACCCCTGCCAGGGCTGGGAGCAGATGCATCTCTGCAGCGAGGCTTCACCAGCTGGGAAGTGAGTGACATCCACAGCCTGCACGGGAGGATCCTCTGCTCCCCTCTCACTTTGAGGACCCCCAGCCGACCTCTCACTTCCTCCAGCTCTTCTCTGGACGTAGCTGGGAAGGGACTTTTATAGCCCATTCTAGGGTGGGGGAGGGCAGCTCTGGGCCCTAGAAACCCAGCCTCTTGGGTGGAGTTCTGAAACTTCTCTCTGGTTTTCATGGGAGTTTTGAGACTGAAACCCCCCACCCCACCTCCTACCAGCCTGGGGACATTCTTCCTGCCTACCCTTCACTCCATCCCTACCCTCTACTACCAAGCCCACTGATGCACTTCTCCCAGGGCCCAGAGCAGCACCTGGGACACAGGTGTCGCTCAATGGATATTTGTTGGCTGACAGGAGCGGTGCACCTCAGTCGCCACCGCCTGGCTGCATGGCCTTGGGCAAGCCACTTTCCCTCTCCAGGCCTCAGTTTTCACATCCCTAGAATGAGAGTTGGGCCAGATGATTGGAAGGGTGCCTCTCCTCCTGCAACAGGGCAGAAACTGAATCTGCCTTACTGTTATACACACCCCCCATACCCAGCTCAAAGCCCAGCATTTAGTATGTGCTTAGCAGGTGTTTGTTGAGTGAATGAATGATCTGTGATGAATGATTTGGCCCCTCTCCTTATCCCCTAGCCCTACTCACTCCCTCCAAGGTGCCAGGGAGAGTGTGAGGCTGTGACTGAGGCAGGGCCTGGCAGTGAAATCCCTCATGGGGCCATTTTGGGGACATGGCGAGATGTCACAGGTAAAACACCCAGCCCAGTGAGCTGCTGCAGAGCCTAAAAGTAAGCGCCCGCCATGGGCTTTATTCTCTTGGAGTTTCTTAGGTGCCAATCAGTAGTAGGTTTACTCTGAGAAGTAGATTTCAATTATGAGTTCCTATTGGGCTTGGTGAGAAGTAGCTTCTTTAGAGGCAGTGTGCTGCACCAGGGTCTGATTGGCCTGGATTGAATCCAGCCCTGTCACTAGCTTCGTGACCTTGGGTGAGCCTCCATTTCCACCTTAAGTGCGCCTCCATTTCCACCTTAAGTGCAGAGTGCATCCCAGTCGGCCTTCTGCCAGGGCCCACCCTCTCTGCACCTAAGCCTTCCTCCTGTAGTTCCCTGCCCTGGATGAGCCAGGTTCATCCTTTGCCTCTGACCTCATCCCGGCTGCCTGGAGAGCACATGCTCATCCCTGAGACAGTTCCAGAGTCACCACCACTGTGGCCAGCAGCCTGCGTGTCCTCGCCCCTTCTTCAGGAGGACACGTCCATTCCTTCTTCAGTGTGGACCCCGTGCCTGCTCCAGACTCCCAGGGAGGCTGTTCCAAGTGTCCTTTCTCCTCCCCCACCCCCACACCCTACCGAAACCCTGCCCGGTGCCTTCCACAGCCTCCTCCTCCCACAGCAATGTTACCAGCCCAACCGTTGCTCTTGAAACAACCACCTCTCTTCGGCAACCCCTTTCACAAGCTCCAGTTGATGGCCTGAGCCCTCCTAATCTTATCTCCTTATCTTTAGCGGAGGCCCCTCTCCTGTGACGGGGGGCCTGGGTAGAAGTCACTGTGTAGGAGCTGAAAGCACACTGGGTTCCTTGATGCTGACCCACTGAGTGACTGGGTAAATCACACCCCTCCATGGACCTGTTTCCAAACCTGTGAGATGGGGACAGGGAGCCTCATGGAGGAGAGAGATTATATAAATCACACAGCACTCCTCAGCTGTGTGTCACCTCCCGGCCCTCAGGGAGCCAGGTGCTCCCCGGGTGGAGCCAGGTGGAATGCATGTACCCCAGGTTGGAGCTGGATGGGGTGTATGTACCACAGCTTGGAGCCAGGGTGGGGTGTATATAACCCAGGTTGGAGTTGGAGTAGGGTGTATGTACCCTAGGTTGGAGCCAGGGTGGGGTGTATGTACCATAGCTTGGAGCCAGAGTAGGGTGTATGTAACCCAGGTTGGAGTTGGGGTGGGCTGTATGTACCCTAGGTTGGAGGCAGGGTGGGGTGCATGTACCCCAGGTTGGAGTTGGGGTGGGGTGTATGTAACCCAGGATAGAATTGGGGTGGGATGTATGTACCCCAGGTTGGAGTTGGAGTGGGGTGTATATACCCCAGGTAGGAGTCGGGGTGGGGCGTATGTACCCCTGGTTGGAGTTGGGGTGGGATGTATGTACTCCAGGTTGGAGCTGGGGTATGGTGTATGTAACCCAGGATAGAATTGGAGTGGGATGTATGTACCGCAGGTTGGAGCTGGGATGGGATGCATATACTCCAGGTTGGAGTTGGGGTGGGGTGTATGTAACCCAGGTTGGAGCCAGGATGGGGTGCATGTATCCTGGATTGCTGTACTTCCAGGGTCCCCAGCACTCAGAGTGAGCTCTGCTCTCCCTGCAGAGGGTACTCTAGTTCTTCAACAATAGTGAGCAGTGCAAGGGTTTCTCCACAGCCATGGGCTGCCGTGGGTTATTGGGACAAGCCTGAGACAGAAACCTAGGCTCTAAGCCCAGCCCTGCCATGGTGGCTGATCTCTTGGGGATTTGGACCTATTGGTTGCTCGGGGTGGTGATGAGAGCCTGCTGCCTGGCTCTCCTGGACTCTGGCTCTGGATGTCTCCTTAGCCTACTTTCTGCCACGTTTCCCCCACAGGACCCTGCCCCTAGGCTCCAATCATCCTAACCTTCCACATATAACCCCCACCTTTTCTCTCCTTCCAAGCAGCTCCTAATTCTGCCGGAAGCTTCCTCTTCCTAGCAGGTCCCTCTGGGAAGCCATTTCTGAGTCACCCCACAAGCTGGGCTTGGTGCCATAGCCACAGCACTTAGCAGGCGGGAGCTCCTTGAGAGCAGTACAGGGAGGTGGCTACAAGCTGAACTTGGTCCCCATTCTAGCACCGTCATCCACTTGGGCAGGCTCCTCAACCTCTGAGCCCACCTCCTCACTGTCAGATGGAGGTCATTCCTAGTCTACCTCGCAGACATCATTCCTGACACATAGCAGGCGCTCAACAGTGTTGTTGAACATACCTTGTTTTTCTGCCCTATTGTTGCTTCCTTTATTGAGGTCCCTTGAGGCTGTCTGTCAAAGGCAGCAATTGCCATTGGCCTGAAGGGTGGAGGCAGTGAGTGCAAGGGATTTGCAGACCCTTCAGGGCTGGGCGCCTGGAAGGGAGGCCTCCAAGTTTAGGGCTGTTCAGACCGAGGCTCTCCAAGCACTCCTCCTCATGTCAGAGTGGGCGTGCCAGATACGGGGCCACTGGAGACGGAGTGAACGTGATGAAGTGACAGAGACCTCTCTAGCCCCTCTCCAGGGGCTTTCCAGCCTGGACCCCACCCACCCTCTCCAGCTCTGGCCCCCACTATGGGGCAGGTGACATGCAGGGTGCTCGCCATGTCTCACAGTGGTCCACGTCGACATCTGCTTTTTCCTCCCTCTGGTCAGGGCCAACCACATGCAGGGACAAGAAGAGGAGTGTAGGCAAGGGCCCCCTGCCCTCTGTGTCCCCCTCGTGGGCTTTTCATCGTGCCCACTGGGATTTCATTGGCAAGATTTTCCTTAGCATTAAGTGTTGTGCAGTAGCAACCTGGAGTATCTGACACTGGAAATATACACACACACACACACACACACACACACACACGTACACACACACACACACACACATATATATATATAGAGAGAGAGAGAGAGTCTTGCTGTGTCACACAGGCTGAGTGCAGTGGCGCAATCTTGGCTCACTGCAATCTCTGCCTCCTGGGTTGAAGTGGTTCTCCTGCCTCAGCCTCCCAAGTAGCTAGGACTACAGGCACCCCCCACCATGCCCAGCTAATTTTTGTATTTTTAGTAGAGATGGGTTTTCGCCATGTTGGCCAGGCTGGTCTCAAACTCCTGACCTCAGGCAATCTGCCTGCCTCGGCCTCCCAAAGTGCTGGGGTAACAGGTGTGAACCACTGCACCTGGCCTGGGAACAGATTATTTTTTGATACCCCCTCCTCTACACAACAAAATAATTTTTAGTAATACTCGTTAAATGAAGCAAGTCATAATAATGGCCAACAAAGAAATATGTAAAAGTTCTCTTTTAGTGAATTTTATGTATAATCATGCCAGTAGAGACATAACAAAATAAACAAATAAATAATATACAAAAGAAAAGTATAATGAATTAATACTTTTAAATTACATGAATGCATTTTAAATAAAGGGGAAATCTACATACATATTTGTAGTTTTAATATTTAATATGTCATTACATTTTCTGTCTTCTTGATCCATTCATTAGTTTTAAAATGAACAATTACAAACTTAGAAGAATAAATTAGATCTTAAAGTAATTATTCAAATTCAGTACAATATTTCATGTATGAAGTAAAATTTGCACTTAAAAATCAAGTTCTGTCTCCTCATCTTTACAATCACTGTGCTATCATTGTTTATATCGAACGAGCTGTTTAAATGCAAGAATCTACAGTGCTAACAGGGGCAGGAGGCGCACGTTGCACCAAAGACCGCTCAGAGGAATCTGAGCCATCAGCCCATCCTCAGAGGGAACATACTCAGCCAAGCGAGCCACTGTATGACTGGGAATTCTCCCAACCAACTTCCACATGGAAGACAGTGCTTCTTAAAGGATAAGCAATAAAAGTGCATTAACTTGAAGCTTCCACATATTACTAAGCCCAATGGTAATCACAGCAATGGTTTAGAATCTAGACCAACACAAGATTTCTTTGGGGAGCAGGATTTGAGCTCTGAAATTATGTAAACTTGCCCCTGCATGGTGATCATCGTAAGCAGCCTGACCTTTTATCTGTGTTGTTATTTCTTGTAAACTTCCTATAGATGACGAACCCCTTATTTTCTGCCCTGGAACGGGTGGCTTCCTCTGCCCTGTCCTTGGTACTGGCATTTGTCCCGTCTAATTACCTTTGCTAAGTGACAAGTTGGGAGGCTTTCGTGTCCTTCCATACCCTTGCCCCACCCCGCCTTCAACACACTCTGGTTTCCCAGGGAGAGGGAAGAGGAGAGCACTGGAGGTAGAGAAGGAATTGCTCATGGGTGTCCTGGGATGAGCCCAGCCCGTCCAGGGTCCTAGTGGGCAGGGTCACAGTCTGTGGGGTCTATTCATGATATTCCTTCAGCAGCAGTACAGGGAACTCCAAATCCTTCCATGGCTTCCTAGGCCCTGGAGGACTTCTCCAGCCTCTGCCCTCACCTCTTCCACCACCCTTCCTCCACACTCCAGCTTCATCCCCCGAAGGTTTCTGATGCACCGTGTTCCCCTCTCCCCTGGGTCCTTGCACGTGTTCCCTTTGCCTGATTAACTTCTACTCATCTTCCCAACTGAGCCGCGTCATTACTTTCTCCAGGTAGCCTTCTCTCATCCCTTTCCTTTTCACTCCCCAGATATGATCTGAATTAGACACCCCATTTTTGTCTGTGGGGCACCTGATGCTGATACTTCCCTCAACACATACTGTGCTGTACTGAAGGCATGCTGTCACCGTGTCCGTCTCCTGGACTGGCCACTGATCCCCAGTCCTGGTCTCATTTACAGCTGCATACCTTGTACCCACCACAGGGTTGGGCCCAGGGCCAGCGCTCAGAAATGTTTGTGGAACATGAGTGAACCACGTCACAGACTAACTCTGTGAGTCCACACACCCTTTTTCACCCTGGAAAGGAAGACAGGTCCCCTTCCCTCCCCACATCCCAAATCTCCTTCCTTCTCCAGATGGCAGTTCAGCCACTCCCAGGGTTTTGACCTTGATAAGCCAGGTGGGTGGGGTGGGGCAGGGGTGGGGGTGCCACCACGAGGTGATGTAGAGAACGAAGAGCCTTAGGGTGGGCACCAAGTGGGTCCTGAGGCCATCTCCATTGCAAGGCTGGCCAGGTGGGTGGTTAGAGCGGGTGCTGTCCAAGGGAGGTGAGGATGGACAACCCACTGGACATGGAGGCCACCTGCTGGGGACATCACTTGGGACACCTCCCAGGGCTGGGCATGTGGGAAGCCCGGCTCCCTTCAAGGCCTGTGTGAGCTCTTCCCTCAATAAGTGGAGTCCAGAACCCGCTGCTGGGCCTGGGCCAGGCTCCCTACAGGCCTGGGACCTGGTTGGACTTCAGAGGCTTGGGAGTTGTGTGGGAGAGCTCTTCTCCAGAAAGGGAAATGGGCAAAAGAAATGTCCAAGACCAAGCTACACAGGAGGAAATGTTTGTAATGAGACCCACCAGAAAGACTGCTCTTGGGGCGACAGGAGAAAACAAGGCTGCTTGGAGACTGGGAATGAAGGGGACAGAGAAGGTAGAGGTGTTTTTGGGGAAGAGGGCCCTGACCAGCCGGCCCTCTGGTTGCTGCTGTCCCTCCCTCCCTGGTGGCTATGGGAGTATGAGGCCTTGGGAGATCTGGCACCACTGGTCCTGTAAACATCCAGTCGCCTCTGCTGCAGTTGCTCCTAAGGAAAGGGAACCCGCAGGGATTTGCACAGTCTGGCACCTGCCAGTTTCCTCTCCAGTGTCCCATCCCCTCACCCTCTATTCCTCTGCCCTCTGAACCCACTGGCTTACAGTCCCCAAAACAGGCCTATTTCCTTCCTGTTTTGGGTCATAACCATGAAGCCTCTTCCGTCTGTTTGCCTGGCCAACTCTTATTCATCCTCTGGGTCTTATCCACAGAGAGCTTTTCTGTCCCACCTCCACAGTCTGGTCCTTCCCATTCCTTACTTTTGTAGCTCCCTTCCTAGAGAGTAACATCATTAAACACATATCTCTAGGGTTGGATTTGACTAAGCTCCAGTCCCTGCAGGTCTGTGAGTGTCACAGAAAACAG